>NC_000023.11:30887488-32137488 GCF_000001405.40 Homo sapiens | reverse complement strand
ATCTTTGTGTGTGAGTGACTAAACATATAATGCTATGTTTAGTGGATGGAGTAAGATTACCTTTGCAGAGGTTGTACTGGCTTACCCCTTTGGTTCTTGTAGTTTTCTTCTATTAGAGTTTTTTCCATCCCTAGGTTTCTATACTGTTCAAATGGGTTTAAGATTCTTGAAGGTATTCCTCTGACCTTGTAATTTATGCTTGTCTCCTAGCACAACTTTTTTTTGTAAAGGAGGCACCAACTATGTGGTTTGCTGGCGATGGCATACACAAATCAGGTGGGAGGAATTAATGAGAGCAGCAATTCCAATATCTGGTTCTTCAAGATTAACTTGTATAGTTTAATTCAGCATTCTAAATAAGCCTCATAGATTTAAAAATCTAGAATAAACCCACATTTTTAAAAAAAGTTTTATGTTATCTGTGCTGATAATGCACGCTGTACATAATAAAATATTATTTTCTTTTTTTTAAATTTATTATTATACTTTAAGTTTTAGGGCACATGTGCACAATGTGCAGGTTAGTTACATATGTATACATGTGCCATGCTGGTGCGCTGCACCCACTAACTCGTCATCTAGCTTAAGGTAAATCTCCCAATGCTATCCCTCCCCCTTCCCCCCACCCCACAGCAGTCCCCAGAGTGTGATATTCCCCTTCCTGTGTCCATGTGTTCTCATTGTTCAATTCCCAATATTATTTTCTAAGTGGCAGTGGAAGAAACATGGAAAGTTCTACTTCATCCATCGGTGGATTAGAATTTGTATACCATGAGATGATTAATTTTCAAAACCAGTTTGAATCTCACAAAATAATGACCCTGTTTTTTGAAGGACAAGGCAGAACAAGGAACTAGGCTGTGCCACGTTCAAGTCACAATCTCTAACATTTGTTTTGTTTTGTTTTGTTTTGTTTTGTTTTGTTTTGTTTTGTTTAATCTCTGTTGCTTGTTCACTTTCTCTTGTAATCTGCATTGATTTGCTACCTGGCTATTTGTAGATTGACTTCGGCTGCCAGGAATGGAATGTTTTTCATAAAGGAACATATGCCTTAATGAAAGTACCATAAGAAGGGAGTAGAGTGTGACCAATTGCCTAGGTAATAAGTAGTGACAACAATGATATTATTCTAGTATAAATGGAATCAGTTTTTCTTTGCCCAGGGGGCATGATAAAGAAGGCCTGGCTGGTATATACTAGGTGGGACACACCAACAGTGCCTAGAATGTCAATGGATCAAACCTGAGGGAACCAGAAGTTGAAAAGACATATCCCAAAAGAAAGCATTTGATGTTTAAGGGTTGGCTTACTTAGAACACAATGAAAAATATTACTAAAATTAAAACTATGATTTTAGCTATTTTTAAATATGACAAATTAAATAGCAGAACATTTTAATAAAACATTACTTAAGGTCCACAATTTTCTGTAAGTCTAATACATGGGTCATTAAAATAAAAAATTCCCCATGATTTATGGAATCAGATTTTTTTAATACAACGAATTCTAAATGGTTTTATAATGCCAATTCCAATTAATATCCTAATTATAACATGTCATCCAGAAGGGTTAATGACTAAATTTTATTAATATTTGTTTTCTATTTATTTTGATTTGTGCAGTTTATGTGTATAGTAACGATAGCTGCAAATTAGATACCATTAGCATTAAATAAGGTATATATTTTAATAGAAAATTAAAGTTAAGTATTTGAGCTAGCCTAAAATATTCAACAACTTAAATTTGTTTTTTGTGGATCACATTTTTTTGAGACAAAGTCTTGCTCTGCTGCCCAGGCTTGAGTGCAGTGGTGCATTCATGGCTCACTGCCTCAACCATCCAGGCTCAGGTGATCCTCCCACCTCAGCCTCCCGGGTAGCTGAGGCTACTGGCGCACGCCACCATGCCCAGCTAATTTTTTGTATTTTTTTTTAGAGATGGTGTTTCACCATCTGGTCTCAAACTCCTGAGCTCAAGCAATCTGCCCACCTTGGCCTCCCAAAATGCCGAGATTACAGGCGTGATCCAGTGCACTCACCCCTGTGAACCACCATTAAATAGCTAATAAAAGATGCATGTCAATAAAAATAAACAACTTACTAGAATGATTATGTGAAAATCATTTATTCTTCCAAAGCATGAATTTTCAAACACACCTTTTGTTACTGTTTTAAGAAGGGAATCATTTCCATATATTTGCATGTAAATCACTTTTAGTCTCAGAGAACTTTCCATAAAAGTTTTTTTATTACTGCTGTAACCGATAGAGCTAGTGGACTATTAATTTAAAAAGCTGTACATAAAAACACATCTATAGCTCAAATAATCTAGGATACCTTTTAGTTTGGGGAAATGTAGATGAAAATGAAGTAATTACAGAATCCTTGTTAATTTTCAGATTTAGACAGTCTAGGCAATATCTTTCAGGAATGAAGAGATATGTGTTTTTTGGCATCTTGGTAGAGTATATTCCCATTGTAATTCTTTTGTGAAGTCTAGACCAGATGTGGCCATAAAAATAGACCCCTACTACAATAATATATTTCATAGATAATCCAATAAAGTCAAATCTTATTGCAGTAGGCTTAGAACTCTGTTTGCACCCATGGAATTTATATCAGTTTTTGGCAAATCCTTTCATCTCTGAGGATACTTTTTCATCTCACATATACCCTATTTTCTGAACATTTTGCCTTCAAAGTATACCTCATTTATCAAGAATTTCTCTTTATTCATCTGACTTATACAAGTGGCAATAACAACGTCTGGTTCCCATGAAGTAACCAGTGACCCTTTGAAATAATATAGCGCTGGAAGAAAGAAAAGGAAAGGGAGACTGATCATTCAGCAACTCTTTAAAACCATGTCACCGTTAAACACATAGTTTATTTTATCTTTTTTTTAGAATTGTGAAAACCTATATTAGCATCTTCACGGATGTCTCCTTTGTTTACATCCCCGCTTCTGTGCCTTGCCTGCAGTAGAAAAAAAAAGGACATGTGTATCCCTATTCCCCATTGTCTTCTCATTCTACATGAGAATGAGAATTCTTTTAATTTCTTCTCTATCTACATGAACCCACTTCCATTATCTGTTTGTTCAGTTCTTTAAATGCCCTGAAGCTAGCTCTGTGACTGGGCAGTTGAAAGTTCTGGACTTAGCATCAGGTTAATTTGAAAAATACTTATTGAGCCACCACCATATGTCAGCCACTACTGTAGATGTTTTGAATGTGTCAGTGAACAAAGCAGAAAAGATGTATGCCCTCTGGATTCTTGGGGGTCTCAAATAGTGAAAGACAGATACGATAAGTATATTGTATAGTATGTTCAAAAGTGATAAGTGCTGTGAAAAAAAAGAAGAAGGGTAAAATAAGAGATGGCTCATGCTGGAGTACATTCCAATTTTAAATAGGGTATCATGGTATTCTTCATTGAGAAGGTGACATTTGAGCAAAGATCTCAAAGAATGAGGCATGGGGTTGAATCATGTAGATATCAGCAGTAAACTCATTTTGGGTTCAGTAAACAGTCAATGCAGAATTCCTAAGCCATCGGTTTATCTGCTGTTTGGGGCTGGTTATCTGCAGTGTGGCTAGAGTGAAGTAAGTGAGAGAGGTTTAGGAGAGAATGTTAGTGAGGTGAGGGTGGACCTTTGAAGCCATTGTAAGGACGTTTTTCTCTTTCTAAGTGTGAGAAGATGATGCTGACTGAGACCAGGGTGATAAGAAATAGTCATATTCTGAACGTGTTTGGAAGTGGGGCCAACAAGGATTTCTGGATGAATTGGATAAGGGGCATGGGAGAAAAATGGAGTCATGAATGGCTCCAACGTTTTTGCTCTGATTAACTGGAAGGGATAAAGTTGCCCTAAACTGAAATAATAAAGACTATAGATAGAATGGGGCGATTAGGGAGGCATTAAATTTGGATATCTGTTAGACATATCACCAGATATATTGAATAGGCAATTGAATAAATACCTTTAGAGTTCAGCAAAAAAGGTCCAGGTTGGACGTTTAAATTTCGGAGGTGTTTGTATAAGATAACATTTAAAGCTGTGATATCAGATTGTATCACTAAGGAAGAATATAGATAGAAATGACAACGTGACTAAGGACTCTAACATTAAGAGGTGGATTGACAAAGGAGAAAACAGCACAGGATAATGAAAAGGAATGATCAGCCAGGCATGGTGGCTCACACCTGTAATCCTAGTACTTTGGGAGGCCGAGGCGGGCAGATCACGAGGTCAGGAGTTGGAGACCAGCCTGGCCAACATGGTGAAACCCCATCTCTACTAAAAATACAAAATTAGCTGGGTGTGGTGGCACACACCTGTAGTCCCAGCTGCTCTGGAGGCTGAGGCAGAAGAATTGCTTGTACCTAGGAGACAGAGGTTGCAGTGAGCCAAAAGATTGTGCCACTGCGCTCCAACCTGGGCGATGGAGCGAGACTTCATCTAAAAAAAAAAAAAAAAAAAAAAAAAAAAAAAAGAAAAGAAAAGGAGTGATCAATGAGATGGGAAGAAAAACAAAAGTGTGTGGTGTCCTCAAAAACTGACGTTCTATTTTCAAAACCTACATTTTGGGTCTCCTTTTACTATATCCTGACTTTCTAGCTATATAACCAAAAGGAGAAAGCAGTAATTTTTTTAGATATAACATGTTAATAACTCTAAGGGTATTCAATGAATCTGAATAATTCAGTGGTATAATGTGAAAAAATATAGTATTCATAGGAAAAGGAACAGAAGTTAGCTCAGGAAATGACTTGAATGAACACCGAAGCCAAATCTCCAGCGCAGGTCCACGTATTATTTGTCTCAGTGGTTGAATTAGCAGCAAGATTCCTTAGTAGGATGAAAAAAGATGTTGTGAGCATCTGTATCTACATGACTGAATTAAATTCCTCCAACAATGAAATGTAGTTAACGTAGTATCTCGAAAAGAACCCTAAGTGGAATTCAGGGAACCTAAATTCCAACCATGGTTTTGCTGCTGACTGATTGCATTCACTTCAAATCTATCATTAACCTCCTTGTGCCTCATTATCCTCATTTCACCAAATAAGAAAAATGAAATATTCCTCCTTCCCTACCTCACTAGGATGTTGTGGATTTAAATGTGTGAGAAGTGCTTGAGATGCATAAAATTTGATGGAGTGTTTTATTCATGAATTCAAGGCATCTGAAGTAATTTGACCATGATGGACAGTTGCTTCCTTGCACATTTTTTAGAGTGACATTTCCGTTACTGACCCACCCATTTATGCAACATGTTGCCTAATCTAAATTTAGGTCAAAACAAATTGACCTTATAGGTAAGCATTATATCTATTAATATTGTATTTTTGTATTATTTTATAATATTCATCATTCACCTATTTTCTCATGCAATATATGTTACTGAACACATATAGATTAAAAAGCCTTCATCCCTAAATAACAATGATGGGACCTTCCATTTTTATATCCCTCTGGCATTTAAAATGTGCTTTTATAGCCATCATCTCCATTGATCTCTCAGTCCCTTGAGGTTGATATGACAGATATGCTTTTTCCATTTTAAAATTACGGAACTGACAGTCTCAGATGACTTTACCCTCCAACTACTGTGTGAAGAAGCAGGGTCTGGCACTGAGGTCTTCTGACATCCAGTGTAGAGCACTATACTTCACAATATGGCCATTGGCTTACTTTATTACAAGCACTAAATATTTTCCACTGAATACGTAATACCTAGAGGAGAATGTCGTGTAAAACAGCAGCAGTAGAACAGAGGATTAAATGACCCATTTTCTTGAAGTTATCTTAGTTTTAAAGGGTTTTTTCTTCATCACTAATGACCATCCCTGACTAAGAAATTATTCTCATAATACATGATAATATCTGCGTTTTCCAATGCGACAAGAATGTTAGGATGTCTATACATGATCTTGACAATCCCTAGCTCCATCACAATGTGTCCAAATTCATTTTATTTGGCTAGACAGGCATGTAGTCTTACTTTCAATGGTTGGCTCTGCTGGATGCTATGTGATCTAGAACCTGTCACTTACCCCTTCTAAACTTCAGGAATTTTTTATCCTTAAGATAACAAGAAAACTCGTACCTGTTTCAAAGAGCTGTTTGTTCAATCACCTATCCATTGATTATCTTCTATATGCCAAATGTTTTTCTAGGTGCTGAATTACAGGAATGAATCAGAAGCAAAAAGTTCTTACTCTCAAGGATCTTATATGCTAATGAAATAGATGTTAAAAAATAACAATTTTTGTTTCATTTTATTTTATTTTATTTTGTTGAGACAGAGTCTCACTCTGTCACCCAGGCTGGAGTGCAGTGGCACAGTCTCTGCTCACTGCAACCTCTGCCTCCCGGGTTCAAATGATTCTCCTGCCTCAGCCTACCGAGTAGCTGGGATTACAGGCATGCGCCACCATGCCTGGCTAATTTTTGTATTTTTAGTAGAGATGGGGTTTCACCATATTGGCCAGGCTGTTCTCGAGCTCCTGACCTCAGGTGATCTGCCCTCCACGGCCTCCCAAAGTGCTGGGATTACGGGCATGAGCCAGCGCACCTGGCATTAAAAAGTAATAACAATTTTTAAATATCAATATGTCTTATACAGAAAAGTGAGCAGTGTGGTAGAGTGTAACTGGAATGTGAGTTGAGACATAACACCAGACAGAGAAGCCAGAGAAGGACTTTTGTTTGAGGAAATGACATTTGAAAAGGAACCTGAATAGTGACAGAGGCAGATACCTAAAGAATATGTTCCAGACAAAGGAAACAAAAAGCGTGCAATTGCATAGTCAACTTAGCCTACTTGAGGAAAAGTGTGAGTGGATTTTGGTGATGGAGAGGTAAGTGCCAGGAGATGAAGGGAGAGATCTGGCATGCATCAGATGATGTGCAGTCTTCCGGGACGTTGTAAAGAGTTGGGCTTTTTTTGTTTATAAATTAAATGTTAAGCCATTGGGGTTTTTAACCAGAGGAGTTATGTGATATGATCTATAGTTAAATTATGTTTGTTCTTGGATGGAGTGTGCATTATGGGAATTTATACAGAAACAAGATTTCACATATATATATATATAAAACTCAGTGTCAATAGAAAATAATAAAAACAAATTTTATCCATTGATAATTCTGGCATTGATAGTAGTGGGTATGGTGGTAATAATTGTGTGTAACACTCAAACTTTCTGAAAACCTACACTTGATCTGTAAATCCAAAAGTATATGTAGCAAAAGCCATAATCTGCTCTTATTTCTGCACCACTTGCACCAGTGTGGAGTGATAAGGCAAATTATTCAGGCACCTGTGTAAGCCTTCAGTGTCCTCACCCCCTTGTTATAACTCTCCACTAATATTACATTGGTAAAGACGTCCCTGACCTATATGTCACTGAGACCTCAAAGAAAAGAGCAAAGCTAAAGCGTAAGGGGGAAAAAAGCCAGCTTAAAAAGACTTAAAGGTTTCTGGGACCAAAAAAAAAAAAAAAAAGTCTTTGAAAAATGAGAAAGGAAGGATAGAAGAAAAGATTCTCCTTTGGTCAATCTGGCCAACCTTTGGAAATAAAAAGTATTGTGTTGCAGCTAATAACTATTTGTCACTGCAGGCACTTGCTGATGTCTGCCCTTTAAAATGACCCAAACTCGTTGGCCTCGAAATCAGAAGCCAAGGAAAAAATCTTGGACATAATGTTTTCTGTAGAATTACCAATTTTCTCTCTCTCTCTCTCTCTCTCTCTCTCCCTCCCTCTCTCTCTCTCTCTCCATATCTATATATATATAGATGTATATATATTTTTTCTGTAGGAACTACCAATTCCTATCTATAGGGACTGATTGAGAAGTCCCTTATAGCAGTTTTTCTTTGGCTTTTAGGATGCAATGATTATTGGTGAGAATAACTCTTTCATTTCACATTTGTCATTGGCTTATTTGAATGTAATCCTGATTCAATCGTTATGATCTCCTTTAAGTAGGAAGAGAAGCTGGTATTACATTGTAGGATTTTAATTTTGTACTCATGAAACTTTTGAAAAACATTACTCATACTCTTCTGACTGTCAAATTGGCCTCTAAGAGGTCCACATCTCAAGAGGTATCAAGCATTGGTAACTATTTTTTGGTGTTGTTTTCTCATCATAAAATGTACTTTTATTAGGTGACTTTGGAAATTTTATTGAATCAATGCATGACACTGCCTCATTCTAGTAATCTGATGAAGCAAAGCTGAAAAACAAAATTTGAGGATTGTCAGTATATATACTTTTATTTGCAGTCAAGAGTTATGCTGCAAAAATGGTTTATTGAAGTAACAAAATTTTAGCTGATATATTAATCTGAAAGATACAGTATACATTTTTAGTATGGAAAAGATGAGGAAAAGGAGGTTCTCTTTCCTCTAGGTATCTAGAGCAAACTGTAACTGTCCTTGGTATTTAATTTTTGGCTAAGGTACTGAGATTAGAGGTGGGGCCTTAGATATGATTAATTGTCAGACTGATAAGCTAGATATTTCATTGAGTTTCTGTTGTGCTCTTTCTTTCAGATCCTCTGTTCGATGCTTTGTTATAAAGATTTGGGCATTTCAAAATCTTCTCCATATCTGGTGTCTTTCCAAACAGCAGGTCATAGACTTTACACAAAGAGGAACGACACAGGTTATAAGTAGAAGTGTTTTAAACCCTGAGTTCCTATTTCAGTTTTGCTTTCTTAAACATATTTTCCTTATGTGATAAATGCGAGTGTTGAATGGTGATAAATACCACCCATAGGCTTTAAAGCCTAAATGTTGAATTTGACACTGAGAGTTTAAAGGCATCATGAAAATTTCTCCAGAACTAATGTTCAAGCAATTTAGGTTTTACAGGCAACTCAATAGTTTTGAATGATGTAGTTATTTTGAAAAAGTCACCATAAAACGCTATGTTTAGGGAATTGGTACTTTGCATTTATCAGAAGATTGTAAATGTCAATCGATTGGCTTGCTATTTGGAATATAATTTTTTAAATTATAGTTCAAATCATTAGGATTTAATTCATGATTTTGTACTACAAACTAAATCTATGAAAAATATCAGATATTTATTTTAAATTAGAGGCATGTAAAGGAAAATATAAATTTTGAAATGCCATTTTACTGGATTTTTCTCTTCAGCCCACCCTAGGCATTTGTTACATAAAATATTTCTGAGGAAGTCTTCCACTGATTTTGTAAACAAACATGTTTTATTGAACAGTTCTTTGTTGACTAGATTAACATTGACCATTGTATGCAATGCATTCTCAAAATCTTAGAAGCTGGTTTTCTTTTTAATCATATAATTTTACTTGTTTTACAGTGAAATTAATGCATGTAAAAAGTATACCTATATAGAAAGTTAAAAGAATATTGCTAACTAGTTACTATACTTCCAAATTGCCTATTTTCTGTGTCTTGCATTGGACAGTAGTGATTACCTCTAAAAGAAAATGGATGGTCTTTGTTTCATTGAAGGGATGGATAATGGACATAACTGGCATTCTTGAGCAATGCAATTGCAAATACATGTCTTTGCATTTATGGTCCAATCATCTTCTTACTATGATAGCATATAATTGAAGGTTCAAATAAATGCCTCGTCCCTTCCTGTGGCATATTAAAGAGAAAGAAAAATTAGAAATACTTTCAAAGCTACCTCACATACTAATGGTAGAGTTGTTTGAGTATTTAGGTGATTTAACAAAGCTGATGTATTTTATTATGCTTGATCATTGAGGAAAATTTATTTATCGGAATGCTTTTGAGAGCATATATATTGTCAGAGATAAACACAGCTGGATATTAAAGAGGTAAAAACAGATTTTATTCAATACCTCGTGAAATTAGGGGAGAGCTGAGATCCATTCTAATTTGTGCAGAGGCGACTTGGTTGTTTTAAGGCAAGAAGGAGGGAGAAGGAGTGGGGGTTCATTCGAGTTAGAGAAGTAAAAAAGTACAAAGGGCTGGACAGTGTAAATGTGATTAGGCCAGCTGTGTTAGCTGGAAGTTATTGAAGTTAGGATTCTATCTTCCCACAGAGAACAGGAGACAGAGGACTTATCCTTCTTGATGATGTCATTTGAAAAGAATGGCTTTCAGGTCCTTGAGTGAGAGACACTTCTGATTTCCAAGAGCTACATGTTCACAATTGTAAGCCCTTTTGAGTAAATGTTCTAAGAAACGGAGGTAAGAGTCCTATCAACAGATGTGTGTTGGCTAGAACAAACATTAAATTTTCCTGGCAGCACTGAGCTTTCTCAAGCAGGCACTTAAGGGAAGGCTAGGGTCATCCTAGGGACATGGCCTTCTGGGGCTAGAAACCATACTAGAGTTTAGTCAAGTCTTAGTGCAAGGGTTTGGACAGAGTTGTTAAGTGCTGAGAGTTCTGTATTTCTCACTGTCACAAAGGAAGATCAGAAGCTCCTGATACTTTTTTCATCAGTACAATTGAATATATAAATCCTATACACAAAAATAAACTAAGCTTATACAAGCATATTGGTCAAGGAATGTTGCTGGCCTTATTAATTAGATAGCCCAGTTAAAAGAAGAATTTTTTAATATAATTAATGTTAAAGTAGGATGATAGTATATAAAACGTGTCTACTGTCCTGAATACAAACTAAACTGTTTGGTTTAGCATTTACCTCAAGATCTCTTAATATCCCCCAAAGGGTCCCTAAAACCACAACTTATCTTTGTGCTCATGAAGTAGAGAAGAGACAGTTAATAGACATTTCTAGCTGATAGACTGTTGTAGAGCAGAGAACGCTCTGTGTTTTTGAAAATTAAACATATGAATTTGCCCCTCTTCCCCTATTAAGGAAGAAGAGTTTCTTAATTGTGCGAACACATCAAGTGAACTATTCAATTAGATTTTTGTGACCCAGGGTATAAACATCTGGTTAAGGTTACATATTTCAAAGGAACAAAACACTAGAAACTCTTGGTTTTAAATCTCATGGCTGGAGGATAATTTGCAGCAGAGATTTATCTGGCAAGCATACAGAATTGCTGAGACTGTTCTAAAGATGTAAGTGTGGGTGTTTGTGTCGTGAAAATAGCTGTTTACATCTATTAAGTGGATACCGATGGTTGAAAGTGCCGTCTATGTCAAGTTTTTACCAAATCAACTTTTGCCTCACTGTGTCAGACCATTTTACCTAATCAACTTGGACTGCTAATGTCCTTTCCCCTGGCACCACTATCTGTCTCTTTTGCAAAGCACAGAAACGGCATGCATGATTGTAGTTTATAAAACACATGTACCAATGTGGTCTACAGCTTCTGTTGAGTTCGAGAGGGTCAGTTTCTGTAATCTCTTCTGGCACAGAGTCAAGAACAGCTTCACTTTCCTCCTGCTACCTCTCTACCCGTAAGTGTGAACCCATCACTTTGCTAACACTCAGGAAGGGGATTACACAAAATAGAGCAGGAGCCCTCTGACCTGAATATGCATCTGAGCCCTAGCCATAGAGCTTCTGATTCAGTAGATCTGGGATGGGGCCTAAATATTTGCATTTTTAAGTGTATAAGTGATGCTGATGCTGCTGGTTCCAGGACCACATTTTAAGAAATATCGATAAAGGTGGAGAATTAAACTGCAGCTCAGAAGACCTGAGTTCTTGCCCCAGCTTGACTTTTACAATCTAGCAAATGGATAAAACTCGCAGGACTTCAGTTCTCTTCATCTACACAGTGAGTGGTTAGATTGGCTTTGTAATTTAAAATTAAACAGGGTTTGATTCTGATTCACTACACAAGGTTCCAAAGAAGGAATGATATCTCCTTTCATTTCTTCACTTTGTCTTCTGTCCCTAGGTAATCTTATCTATGTTCCTGATTTAACCTAACTAATGTTTCTGCAAAGCTTCTAATATTTACATCTCCAGCCCTGAAACTCTCATTTGAATGCTAGTCTTATATACATACCCCCCTGCCTAATTGACATCTCCACTTAAATGTATCAGAGGCAACTCAGACTCAACAAGGACCAAACTGAATGTTCGACCTTGTCCTTCAAACCCGATACACATCCAGGTTCCTCCATCCCAGTGAATGACACTATCCAGTTAAGCAAGCCAAAAGTCTGGATTTTTTTTCCTCACTCTTCCTCACTGTCCGTCAACTACCATTATTAAATCTGTCACCTGGTCCTACTGATTTAACCTTCTCAATATCTCTACAGTTTTTCTTTATGCCCATTAGTATCCTAGTGCAAGCTACCATCGTCTCTCATTGGAATTAACACAGTAACCCCCCTACCCACCAGACTGTTCTGCCTACAGATAGTGTGATATTTAATAAATATAAATCTAGCCTTGGCTAGATTTCTCCTTCAAAAGGTTCACATTAATTTTAGCCTTAAAATGGTGTGCAAAGCTTTGCATAGTCTGTCCTTTGCTATGTTGGCAGTATTTTTTACTATCCCTCTCATCTGCTCATTCTCTGTACTCCAACTACACTAACTTTGTTTTTTTTTTTTTTTAGATTTCTCTAACTACAGTGCTGTAATCTCTTTTTCCTTTGCACGTACTATTCCGTTTGTCAGGGAATCTGCTCACTGTCTCCACCCACTCCACACACTCACGTTTTCCTGCCCGTCTTACCGGTCTTGATCGGTTGTCACTTGCTCAGGAAGGTTTCCCTGGTCACCCCCTCCACAAATTGAATTAAGTCCTCTTGCTGCATGCTGTCCTAGTGCTCTTTATTTTCCTCTCCTCATCCTTAATTCAGTTTGTAATTACATGTTATTTGTGTGAGGATTTGATTATTATCTGTGTCACCCACTAGATATTGGGCATTCTTTACTTACTCACCACTGAATTCATAGAACCACAGTAATTGTACACAACAAATATTCAAGAGAAATTTATTGAATTGATGAATGAAAAGTTGTACCTTAACATGTTCCTGACATGTATCCAAAAAAGAGCTCCCCTTTGGGGTCTATTAGGACTTTGGACCTAGGTAAACGTAACCCTAGTTTCGCTCAGGTTTAAACAGTAGAAAGTAATTGGGTCTCTTTTGCATGTGGCTTTCCTAAGGGCTAA
Source organism: Homo sapiens (assembly GCF_000001405.40). Classification (NCBI taxonomy): domain Eukaryota; kingdom Metazoa; phylum Chordata; class Mammalia; order Primates; family Hominidae; genus Homo; species Homo sapiens. The sequence continues at coordinate 32,124,399 of NC_000023.11, read as the reverse complement.
CCCTGTCTTCGGAATGAGTCAATACAGCAGAGCTGTTGAAAGCAGACTCTAGCTTCGGACAACGTTGGTCCGAATCATGGTTCCGTCATTTCTTAGCTGTGTGATTTAGAATAAATTAATGTTTTAAAGCTTTGATTTCCTCTTCCTTAATCTGGAGATGCTAATAAAGCCAACTTCGTAGAGGTATTGCGATGAGTAAATAAGCATAATTTGCTGTAAACACCTTGCAGATTGCCTGTTGTATGCTAACTAATCAATAAATTGAAGCTCTTAACATCATTATATTAGATATTTCCAGCATTGAGTATACTATCAGGCATGTGGTAGAAGCTCAATATAAAGTTTTGTTAAATTGAATAGATTCCATATATGGTATTTCTACAGCATTATGCTCCTTATTTAAGTGTCTCTAAGTATTTTTTAAGTATCACCTCACAAAAGACAGATGTTTAATTCATTACACATGTGAATTGTTTTAGATAGAAAATAAAATAAAAAATTCAAACATTGAAATCAATAGTGTACCTTACCTTAGGATTACACCATAAAATTTCTACCAATCGAGAATAAAGTGTACAGTCTATTTCCTTTCTAATACTTTTAACGCAACAAATGTTTATTGAACACTTACTACTTCTAATCTATGACAGACATAAAGATGAATAAAGCATGCCACAATGTTTAAAGGAGCTCACTATATCATAAGAAAGCGGATTCACACAGACAACTCTATAAGATAAAGTGGTAAATTTAGGCTGGCCTGTGAAACAAAGGATTATAGGTATAGTTAAGAGGTGGAATTTATTTTACTTCGAGGATTTCAGTTACCTTTATATTCTTTGTCTAACCTTTCATGTTTCTCTTTCTTCAGAAACAGAGCACCTTTTTCCTGACACATTCATTTCCCCCTATGGAGTAGAGCAGTTGTTTTCAAAGTGTGGGTCCCAGATCAGCATCACGGGGATGGTTAGAAATGCCCATTCTTGAGCCTCACAACAGACCTACTGAAACAGAAATTCTTGGAGAGTGGAGCCCGCAGATCTGTGATCAAGCCCTGTAGGCAATTCTAACGCACACTCAAGTTAAAGAACCACGGGAAGAAAGGTCCATCCTGTAACAAGACAGATTTTTTTCATTAGCATCAATTTTGATCATTTATATATATATATATATATATATATATATATATATATATATGCATGCTCACAAAACCATTCACCTTACTAGGTTTTAGTATTCCCCTTCCTGTATTCATGTGGTATGTATGTATACAAGATGAACACACATTTACCTGAGACAAGGTAAGACTACACATGTCTCATTTGGGGACCAGAGGCTGTAATCTTACTCAAGGTCAAAGCGTCTTCACTGCTTTCTTTCACTGCTTTTCAAAAGTAAAATTTCCATGTAGGTGTCATTTGTTTTCTTTTTGTGTTTTAGAAAACCGATTAAGGGGTGAAGTCTGGCTAAACTTAGTGTCAGGACATTTACTTAGATAAAATTATTTTAATTTATCTTGTAATGTTCAATGTGAGAAGAAAAGTCCTTATGAGTAGTGTATTCCTTAAATAACAACAATTTAAAAACTACCACTGAAGTCTGTCAGAGTAGTTTTGCCTCATTTGTCTAGATAAGAGAAAAAAGGTTCACATTAGGGATTGCAATTTGTCTGCCAAAGTGCAGTTTATTTATTCAGAAACATTTAGAGAGGAATGTGTCAGTTCTGTTGCAGGCACTGTGCTGTGACGGGGAGCTCAAGATGATCTCAAAAAATTTCACAGATGGGGTGGGCAGGGGGCACAGAGAGATGTATTTAGTGGTTCAGATACTATTTAGACTGTGGCCAGCATTTCTCTAAATGCAATCCAGATAACACCTTACAGAATCATCTGGGCAGCTTGATAAAAGCTGTAGACTCCTACCCTTCATCCCAAACCTATTGAATCAGTGTCTGTGTGTGAAGACCTAGATTGTGACTGGTAATTATACCAAAGTCTTAGAAGCAACTCTAGGCCAGTAATACTCACATCAGAATCAGCTGGAGGGTTTGCTATACCACAGATTGCTAGGTTAGCCTTCAGAGTTGCTGGTCCAGTAACTTTGGTGCAGGTCCAGATTTTGCATTTCCAGCAAGTTACCAGGTGATACTGATGCTGCTGGCCTTGATCGTGCTTTGAAAACCACTGCTTTAGCTACGCTATAGGAAAAACCATATAAGGCTTTTATACTGGCCAATGACTTCACAGGCCTGAATTTTAGAAAGCCCCCTTCTGCAGCTTGGCCTATAGATTCGAAGGAAACAGAACTAACACAAGAAAGCTAGTTAGGAGCTAGTTAAAAATCATCCTGACTTGCCAAGGAAAGGTGCTGAAGACCTGGGTCACAGAGCAAATGCAAAACACTAGGACTTTGTCCCTAGTTCACCATTAAATCAACTTATTTTCTCTTACCCCCTCATATTCACGTTTACTCCTTACTTTGTAGTGGTTGGACAAAAATCAAATAAATCTGAGAATTCTAAAATGCACACCCTTGTTTATTTTCTAACTCAAATATGCCACTGTTGTCTGTGCTCTGTCAAGATTTCAACACATCTTTTTCTCCTGTTTGCTTTTCCTTTTGGCATATAGTGAGTGTGTGTATACACACACACACACACACATTTTTTTTGACTCCTTCCAATGCCCTTCTGCTCTCCGCAGATACACTTCTGCATTCTGAATAAAACCGAATACATATATATATATATATATATATATATATATATATATATATATATGCACACATATTTTGAAAACCTTATTTGAAAAGAAAGCTTTCGGAGGAAACGTTATTTAGCCACTTAATCGAGTCTTTTACTGAGGGACTTTTTGTCGTCCCCTAACTTCCTGTCAGCAGTCCACAGGCAGCAGGAATAATGTGGGAGAAGATCAACAGGCTTATTTCAGGAGGTCAGGGGCCAGTGCCACCACCTGCAGGTGGAGACATCAGAAGCAGGAAGCAGCCCACCAGCTGCAGGGAGAACTCCCCACAGAGCCTAACCAAGATGAAGGGACTTGTAAATTTCAACCCTCCCTTTTGGCTTTTGTGCTAAAAATGTGAATATTGAGGTCTGCCCTGATTAAGAACTAGATACATTCCTCTTTGTGACTGCCACACTTCCTTAGCGTATTCATTTTTTGTCTTTCGATCTCAAGTTATTATTTTCAAATGCATTGCACGTATCTACCATGGATACCATTGCAATTGGAAGGAGCAAACGTTTTGTATGTTTACTTGACAAAGAGAAGTGACTGCCCAAGCCACACAGAGTTCTGCACAAATCAGTAACTTCTAACGAACGTTTGCACTTCCGGGCTTGTTCTCTACCTATTTCAGTCGATGCATTTGTATTATTTACTTCAAACTCCAATACTAATAATGCCTCAATCAGGTTGCAATTGGGATTTGAGCAGCCAGAATTTCAGAAATTTGGTTTGGTCCATATCTGTGACAGGTCAGTAAATCAGAGAAGCAAGGGTTTGGTTGCTATTATAATACATTGCTTACCTATCAATTTAGTTATCAGCCAAGGTGGTTGTTATCATCCAAAGTGGCTCATTAACCACCTTGGAGACTCAGTATACAATTGCAAGTAACCCTGGAAGTTGTAAATAATCCCAACTGAATTTGTATGAGTTTGGTAAGGTTAAGTGGAAACCAGCTGCTTAGGGCCTTGATTATAAATGAAGTTAGGAGTGGAAGAAGTAACAAAACCCCAGGCAAATTCATTAAACATTTTTTCCCTTCAACTTTATGCTCACGAATGTGTTGAGACTCTTCTGAATCCATAAAACACCTTTCAGCATCATCTGGGCAGCTTGATAAAGGCTGTAGACTGCCTGCCCTTCATCCCAAACCTACTGAATCAGTGTCTGTGTGTGAAGACCTAGATTCTGACTGGTAGTTATACCAAAGTCTTAGAAGCAACTCTAGGCCAGTAGTACTCACGTCAGAATCAGCTGGAGGGTTTGCTATACCACAGATTGCTAGGCTAGCCTTCAAAGTTGCTGGTCCAGTAACTTTGGTGCAGGTCCAGAATTTGCATTTCTAGCAAGTTACCAGGTGATGCTGATGCTGCTGGCCTTGATCATGCTGTGAAAACCACTGCTTTAGCTAGGCTATAAGAAACCATATAACATGGACAAGGCAAATGAAAAGGTTGGAATTCTTCTGAATCCCAACACATTTGTGAGCATAAAGTCGAAGGGAAAATGATTCTTCTGAATCCAGACACATTTGTTTAAGGATAAACTGTTTTTTCCTTCTGAAAATTTAATGTCTGATTCTCGTTCATTCATTCATCAAAAGTTATCAACTATCAACTATAGGTAGGAACTGTGCAATATGCTGGTGATAAAGAGATGAAAGACACAGCCCCTCCCTTCAACCAGCTCCTAGTTGAGGTGGCAAGTCAGCTGTATAATCAAGTAATTGCAAGACTGTGCACTGAAAAGGGTGACCACAGGGTGTGATGGCCACCCAGGGCTGTGGAATCAGTCCCAAAATGAAGAATGAAAGCAGGGAAGGGTAATTCAGAAAGAAGAAACAGTTCGCATAAAGACCCATAGATAAACATCAATCAGATGTGGTTAAGACAAAAGTAAGTTTCTGGAGGCTGAGGACCTTCTCAGCTATATGTTTGCAGTGCTTGGTATAGGGCTTTATGCATCTACATGGAAGACAGAAAGGGCCACATCACAGTGGACAAGGCAAATGAGAAGGAGGCAGTATCAGAAGATGAGGGTACACCGGAGATCCTAGTTATATATGGGCATTGTGTTCATCTCAGGAGTTACTGAGTAATGGGACCTTGACTCAAATGAATCTCAAGTCTGTTTTTGCCTAATCTTGGTTTTAGGACTAGGATTAGCATACAACCGCACTAGGAGCCTAGTTATACGAAAGGCTGCATTGCGGACCTGATACAGTTCAATATACATACTGTCACCTTGCAAATAGGGTTACGTTAGTTCTCAAGACTGCCAATCCTCTGTGCTCTAATCCTTTTGGCTTTTTTTTTTTTTTTTTTAACTGTCTCACTCTGTCATCCAGGTGAAGTGCCCTGGGATGATCTAAGCTCACTGAAACCTCCGCGTCCCAGGTTCAGGTGATTCTCATGCCACAGCCTCCCAAGTAGCTGGGATTACAGGTGCTCTGGCGCCACCAGGCCCTGCTAAGTTTTGCATTTTTAGTAGAGACAGGGTTTCACCATGTTGCCCAGACTGATCTCAAACGCCTGACCTCAAGTGATCTGCCCGCTTTCCTTTGGCTTTTAACACTATAGAGCAAGGGTCCCCAGCCCTGGGGCCACAGACCAGTACAGGTCAGTGACCTGTTAGGAACCGGGGCCCCACATCAGGAGGTGAGCTGCAGGGCCGCCAGCATTACCACTTGAGCTCCACCTTCTATCAGCTCAGCAGCGGTATTAGATTCTCATAGGATCACGAACCCTATTGTGAACTGTCCACACGAGGGATCTAGGTTGTGTGCTCCTTATGAGAATCTAATGCCTGAAGATCTGAGGTGCAACAGTTTTATCCCCAAACCATCGCCTCCCACGCACCTCTCCCCACAACCCCACCCGCCCCTGATCCATGGAAAAATTGTCTTCCTCTAAACCAGTCTCTGGTGCCGAAAAGGTTGGGGATTGCTGCTATAGGGCGATGGTTTTCACATTTGATCCTGCATCAAAATTTCCAGGTGACTCATTAAAATACTGATTGCTGTGCCCCACTCGTAGGAGTTCTGATAAGGTAGCTGTGGGGTGAGACCTGAGAATTTACTTTTCTAATAAGTTCCCAGGTCATGCTGATATTGCTTTGATAACCAAAGCAATATCAGCTTTGGTTATCAATATATAACCAAAGCCACATAGAGGGGGAGAAGTTCCTTGGGTTTAGCCCAGTGTTTACTGCGACCACCAAAATTGCTGGAGCTTAACCATGGCTCAGAGAGTTATGTTCTGTTCACTCTGTAGGCTGCTATTCCCTGTCACCTTTTGAACTATGATGGAGGGGAAGAGCTGCCAGCTCAGGAGATTTCACTTTTTTCTCTGCATAATTGAAAATCCAGAAACACAGGGTTTTGGGAAAGCTATAGAACAGATCATCAGTGATCAGTGTTTAATAAAGTAAAGCAATAAACTTTACTGTGTAAAATAGGATACTTTATTATATAAATTTTGTCCCCTTCCCCCACCTCACAGGCCAATAAAATAATATACTTCTTGTCCCTGGGTGTAATGTTATTGGAAACCTTTGAATGTAGGAGAGGCATGGGCTTGTAAGTTGCAGAAAACTGCTAGCCTAGGATTGAGAATTTCATGGATAATCCAAAAATAGATGATTTTACAGTTATAAGCCTTACGTGAACTTGAGGTAAGAAAACACAATGCCTTTATAGTCTTCTCAGTTGCTCCACATGCCCTCTGAGATTCTGTTCTGCCCAGCCTCTCTGGTTGTCACATCTCTGGGCATTAACAGAAAGTTCACATACTCTTTGTCTCTGATGATAATCCTTCTAGGTCCATATAGAAGATCCCTATCCAAACCATCCCCCAAACAAACCTATTGGTTAAATATTTTCTCCACCGAAGGCACTTTCTTAGATTCTAAGTGCCCTGTAGGCAGGCTTCCTCTCTGATTTGGGAGAGTACAAATTGCGACAAGGTTAAATCATAGCCTGGGAATTTGACCTAAAATTCACTCTTCTCCCATATGCATTCATGAACCTTCTGCTGGTTTTTAAAAGAAGCTACTTAATGTCAGCTCGAAGAGGTTGGAAGGGGTTAAAAACATGAGCATGGCAGTAAGAAGATTTATGAAGGATCTGAGAAGATTATGACTTGATCAGATGGTATTTTGTCAGCTAGCCACATTTGTGAAGACTTGAAAACTAGGGAGGCTTGTCCTTCTAAGAGGGGGCACTGCTGGGACCTGGATTCTGTGGAACCGTATTAGTAGAATAAACAATAACCTTTGCTTGTATCAAATGAACTTCTATTCTCATGTGTCTTTTGACATATTTTTATTAATCATATCACTGGGACCTCCTTGCTGAAAGATATCTCCGTTCCCCATTCTGATGACTCCCAACTAGGAGTGAGATCAAATGAAGATGGCATGGACCATTTCTCCATGTGACAGCTCTCTGTGGTTGCCTTTTAACACTTCTAATGCCCTTTCTCTTAAGAATTCCCATTTGTCGTCTGGCACTGGTGCTGTGATCAATAAAAATGTAATGGAGTGAGGCTTAGAAACATGAGGAAATTTACTCAAGCTATCCATTTATTGATGTGTCCATTTGTGTTGTCAGGGAAGAAAAACTTTTTCACTCCCCTCTTAGGTTCATTACTTGGGGGGCTGCAAATTAAACTGACGACAGATAGATTGGCAATAGAAAAGACAAAGTTTATTCAGAGAAGTATGTGGGAGCTCACAGAAAACATAGCTCAATGAAGTTAGAATTTGGGGCTTATGTACTATTTTAACAAGGGTTTTGAAAAGAAGAGTGTTAGAATTTCAAGCCACAAAGTTGGTGGGAAATATGAAAGAAACTAATGAAAGGTAATGTTTGTTTTAGTAAAGTCTGTTTATGTAATTTTCTTTTCCCAGCGACAACTTCTCATCTCTGGTGACAGGAGTCACTCTTTACCCCTGGTGCAAGAAACTTTCCTTAAAGGAGGATTTAAAACAGTTGAATTATTTCAGAAATCTTTGCTTTTAGGCAGATAGGGGGAGTACAGAAAAAGCCCCTTCCCGTATCTGTTGATCCTCAAATGGCTTTAGCTCAAAACAATTTTTACATCACGATGGCATAATGTAGATCTCTTCAATGTGTTCATTTATTCCACAGATATTTGTGAAGTACATGATATATGCCAGGTACTTGGGATACAAGAATACATAAGTATGTCCCTAGTCTCGTAGAACTTACACTCTAGTAGTGAGCTAGAGAATAAATGATATTATTTATTATATGCATACACATATGATTTCAGATAGTGATCCATATTGGAAATAAAGCTGGTTAAGGGAATAGAAAATGATATTGAAGGTGGACTTGTTTAGATTGGGTGGATTGGCATGGCTTCTCTAGGGGGCAGTATTTGAGCAGATATGAGAGCAGATATTCTCCAATTTGGGCAAAAACATTCCAGGCAGAGGAAACAAGGGCAAGGGCACTGAGTTCAAAAGAGACTTGACCTAGCCAACAAATAGCAAGGATTCCAGTGTAAGAGAAGGTGGGGAAGGAAGGAGGTGCAAGTATAGGCAAGGGCAAGATCACACGGGATCTTGCAGGCCGTGATAAAAGAATTTAACTCTTTCATAATTTTGACAGGACATCATTGAAGAATTTAGAAAAATAGAGTGGAGATACCTGATCTGCTTTCTTCAAAGAGTTCATTCATCATTGCTGAGTAGAGGTTAGACTGAAATGGAAGCAATAGTGAATACAGGGAGATAGCACAGGAAGCCACGTTACTAGTCCACATCAGAGGTGGTTCAGACTAGGGTGGAGTGGTGGGGTCAGTTAGAGAGCTGGTATTTAGGATACATTTTAAAGACAAAGCTGACAGGATTTGCTGTGATGAATTAGATGTAAAGTATGAGAATAATTGAGAATTATTTCTAAGTTCTTTGCTGGGGAAAAGTGGAGGAGGAAAAAGTTAGGGTACAAGGTGTGATGAAATCAAGAGTCTCTCTTATTATCAGAGTCTCATTAGATATCCAAGTGGAAATGCTGGAAAGAAAGTTGGGTAGATCAGTCTGAAGCTGAAGACAGATACTGTGACTGGAATAATAACGTAAGAGTTGGCCGGACACAGTGGCTCACTCCTATAATCCCAGCACTTTGGGAGGCCAGGATAGGAGAATTACTTGAGCCCAGGAGTCCAAGACCAGCCTGGGTAACACAGCGAGACCTCGCCTCTACACACACACACGCGCGCAAAAATTAATCGGGTGTGGTGGCACATGCCTGTAGTCCCAGATACTCAGGAGGCCGAGGCTGAAGGATCACTTGAGCCTGGGAAGTCAAGGCTGCAGTGAGCCGTGATCACACCGCTGCACTCCAGCCTGGGCAACAGAGTGAGACCCTGTCTCAAAATAAATAAATAAATAATGTGGCAGTCATAGGCCCTTAGATGGTTTTTAAAGACATGGGACTGGATGAAGTCTTCTAGGAGGAGAGTTTGGGAAAAGAGCCCGAGAATTGACTGCACCTTTCAAAACAGGAGGAAGAAAAAAAATACTCAAAGGAGACAAAAGCAACTTCTGTGATTTATAGAGAAAACCAGGCAAGTGGGATGAAGAAAGTCCTTCATGATAGAATCAAAAACAGTGTCAAATGTTGAAAATACAATTAGACAAACACAAAAGAATAGACCATTGGGTTTTGCAATATGGAGCTCATACTTGACCTTGATAAAAGACATTTTCACTGGAAGCATGCATCAAAAAACTATTTGTGGTAGGTTAAAATGTAGTAGGAGGTGAGGATATACAGACAGTGGCTTTCACTGTGCAGATACTGCTGCTCATGCACTAATTAAAAGACATTTGTTGAGTATCTACTATGTTGTATCCATTGCTAAATAGTAACAGCTGGGTTTAGTCAGGTAGAACAGCATCAAAATCATTATAGTATCCCAAGATAGGTACAGTAAAATCTGTGAAGGAATCAGAGTAGTCTCTTCTCCAACAGAGCGTAAGACCCAGCTTCACGGAGAAGGTGGTAGATTAGCTCATCTGGGAGGCTGAGTAGAAGCTTGTCATTATAGAGGGAGAACATCAGAAGTGTGGACAACAGCTTGAATAACCTTGAAAGGACAAAAGAGGACGGTCTGCCCTGGAAATATTAAGAAGTCTCACATGATTAGACACAAGATATTAGGGGAAAGGCATAAGGTGAATTGAGTCAATGAGGTCAAAGAGAAGCTAGCTGGAGGAACAGGCGATCATAAAATGAGTAAAAGTATATATTCAAAGATTCTTTTTAGAAGGGCTACACAGGATGGATAAGGGGAGAGAGAGAGTTGAGGCACAGAGACAAATTGGAAAGGTGCAATCATAACCAGAGACATGAAAAACCCATAGAAATCTGATGTAGATTATGTGGTCCCCAAGGTTGAACAATTAAGTACGCTTTCAGTTGTTATGCCCATGATATTAACATATTTTATAACTGCAATAAGTGCTGAAGCTAAAGATAAATACAAACAATGTAATTCTTATTCTGTGAGAAAATGTTGTAGCTGGAAGTTAAACATGTTTCTTAGCTAAAGAAAAATATTGTGTGATCTGGATTACTTAATGTTATAATTTAGCAACAAAATGTTGACATTGAGCCTTGCATAATCAAAAAAGTAGTCTATTCAATAACCACATTCTCAGAAAAAAAACAAGAAAATATTAGAAACAATGATAAATTATCGTAGTAATTTAATTCAGTATTCTATTGTTTTATTTGGATTTAGGAAAGGCAGAAATGTTGAAATATTAATATATATCCCTGTAATAATATAATTTGTGTCTGAGAGGTAGGAATGAGGGCATGAGGTCAAAGTTTGATAATGAACTTCAAAGCTATAACTATGATCAGGAAATTAAAATTGGACAATAAATTCCTAGAATCGTCAGGAGTTGCTTGTGAAATCGAGAAAGGAAAGGATATACACAAAAATAAAGAACAGCCAATGCTCTCAAAGGAGTCTAACTTTTATAATAGTCTTCTGTGTTAGAGCTGAACTCTTCTGGTTTAGAAGGACACTCTGTTGCCTGGAAATAGGGCATGGAAAAAGTCATCAGAGTCATGTCATCTTTCATTCTTCCCATGAACGAAATCGAGGCCCTGAAAAGTCACCTGTGTTTGCTGTATTTTATTGCAACTAAGATGTGCATTTTTAAATTGATACATAATAATTGTACATATTTGTGGGATACATGTGATATTTTGATGCATGCATACCATGTGTAATTATCAAATAAGGATATTTCTGTATCCGTCACCTCAAACATTTACCATTGCTTTGTGTTGGGAACATTTCACGTATTTTATTATAGCTATTTTGAAATACAAAATAGATTGTCATTAACTATAGTCACCCTACTGGATGCACCTTGTTTTTAATATTTCTGAAAACAGATACGTCTCATAGGTGATGGTGTCACAGCTGTGCATTAGTTATTATTGCCTGTGCAGGTGCAAACGTAACTATTCATATTGTTGTCAATTAATTAAATAGTTACATTTATTTATATGCGTTTATTATACTAATAAACACAATATTGAGATAGTTGAGCTCTAGTTTTGACTCTGCTGTTAACTAGCTGCGTTACTTTAATTTACTTAACTAATTTGGCTTTCAAATTCCTGATAAGTAAAATTACAACATGAGTTTCTCCTGCTATAATAGCCTGAGAAATCGGTGAAACACATGAATTCAGATGTTGATGCTATTTAATAGCGGGATTCCAGATATCTACTTGCCATTATGGGAGGGAGAGAGGAGGTGGACTGGAGGCTGTGATTTCCCTAGGAGGTTGTTAAAATTGGCCAGGTGAGGAAAGCTGAGACAGACCATAAATATGAAGCATGATACCTAGCCCTCAGTGTTGAAAGAAAATCAAATCTCATCTTTGTGGTCTAAATATCAGTATGATACAATCCTCTGTGTAGACATATCCTCTGCCCTATTGTTTTCTTTCTAAAAGCTAAAGCCCAGGTGTGATCACATCCCTCCGTTATTTACAAATTTCTGATGATGATGATTCTTCTAATATCTACATTCCTTACCATTACCATGATGTCCAAAACCTATTATAATCTATTCGTCTCCAAGTGCCATGTTGTGGTCACCCTATGCACCCTCTAAACCCACCATATGACCTTCCCGCTGCTACTTGAATACAGTTGGCCCTCTACCTCGTTGTGTCTTTGCATTGCCTATTTAATTGCCTTTCCATTCTCTAAATCACTCTTTCGCTGGACCAGCAACATCAGCACCATCTGGGAATTCATTAGAAATATAGATCCTCAGGCCTCATCTCAGACCTGCTTGATCAGAAACATTGGAGAGTGGAGATGAGCAGCCTGTATTTTTATCAGCCCTCTAGGTAATTTGATGCACACTAAAGTTTGAGAACCACTGGTCTAGAGCATTCTTCTTTAACTCTCTTCTAAAAATTATTAGAATGAATTCGAGGGACGGGATCTCCTTGAAAGCCAAGAACATTTCTTTGTCATCTTTCTGACTTCAGGGCGTAGTACACTTTTTGGCCCATAATTAAAGCTCGATAAATGCATTCTATGCCAATAAATCAGCTAATCAAATATATTATTCATGCCCTTGAGGTATCTGAAATTTGTTTGCAGAATGTAATATATAACTATAGAGTAACAAGAGAATAATTTATTGCCATAGATAATAAAACAATATCCTCTGTATAATAAATCCTAGCCTCTGCTCAATGGGCAAAAACGGGACTGGGGTTTCAGATTTTAAAAAGATTATTGGTAATTAAATCACCTGGAGAAGCACTTGCTGCAGAGATGGGACTTGAAGCATCATAATAAACTGTTGTTTATTATGATTCGGTCAGAGCTGATGGAATCACAGGGATTGTGTGAGGTATGGAAAGTGGTTGACATTGAATTCCAGGCTGCACAGTTGGGACTTGATATGATAACCAAAAAGAAAGAATGTCTGGGGTGGTAGCAAGCTCTAAATTTAGACAATCTAGGCTTATCCTAAGGAGAATATAGATACAGATAACTGAAGTTTGATTAAAGGGAACCTGGTGTATCACAAATAGTAAAAAGCTGTAGTTAGTCTATGCAGCTATCAGCTAGCCACATAATACTTTTGGGCAAATACATTATAAACCAAAAGAATGACATGGCTTATCTCTGTAACAAAGTGGCTCATTGTTCTTTATTCTACTGTTATCCTTAAGAAAAAAATTTTAGTAAATTTGTTATGCTATACTCAACTTCAAGAAGGGATAGCGCTTATAAAAAAATTGTTTAAAGAAACAGGCCTATTTCTCTTTGGGAGAAGCCACGGAGAAACGAAAAGAATGGAACGTGTGTTTCTGCCCAGATGGCAATAAAATGTAGGGTAAATTTCTGTCTTTTAAAACTGTATTTTTTCCATCCCTCTGTATATACACATATCCTAGGACTGTTATAAAATGCTGCATGCGTATGTGAAAATGGAACCTTATTGGGCTGTTTGATGGACCTTTAAAATATATTTGTTGGTTTGGGGTACATACTAGCTATGCAATATAATCCGCATTATTTCTTATGTAAACAATGGATAAACTGTTTCACAGTCCAGACATTTATTTGGTCACTGTTTGTAGAATGTCTATTTTATTTACTTCTGAATTTGTATTCCAGAGATCTGCCTTCAATGTTGGATACTTCCACTGTAATATTCTAGGAGATGCTCACTTTCTTTTTCAGCATCTGACACAGTACCATCTGCCTCCTCTTTTCTTGCCACAAGTAATAACAATTTTATAAAGGAGGATCACATTACAGAATTATAGGTGGTAAACTTTCTACCACCAGATTTACCCAAGAACCTGAAACACATTTTTTCAAAAGGAAATAGAATGTCCTTCTTGTGACTACATCGGAATTTTGCTTGCAGCATTATGCTTTTTTTTTCCCCCTAGTGTAGCTAGCCATGTGGAACTGAAGCCATTAGCCAGCTCCTCATCCTATAAATGCTATTACCTGGGAAAAGAGGCAGAAAATATACTCTCTTCTCCAGTTAGAGTCTAAAGGAAGAGAACAATATGGGTAGTTGTGTTTACCACAAATTGATAGAACTCCTTTATTTTAAATGCTAAAACCAAATAACTTGTTTATATGACTTCAACATTGACTATCACACACTGTTGCATGATAACAGAGTGAAAACTACCTCTATTGGATTTAAGTGGGGAATCTATGTCTCATTCTCATTCTTTTTTTACTGTGGAAACTAGTTGATTCCAGGATCAGCCTTAGCTCCAACTTGCCACACTTTGAGTTTTGGTTTTTCACTTGCATTGTCACAGGAAACTTCTATAGGATAAATCGAGGAAGATTTTACTCTGCAACGTGTTGCAGAATTAAACATTTAAAGTGGCAAAACCTTCGTGTGTAGGTTGTCTCCCCAGAGAATGTAAAAATGAATTGAAGGCAGCACCTAATAGGTAAACGACAGCCAATCAAACAAGAACAAATGAAATTTGACTGGCAAAATCAAATTGAAAATGTATAACGCTGAATCTCAGAATATAGGAGGATGCATAGAAACTAAGCTGTACTATTATAAAAGTCATAGCCATTGAAAAATAATGACTGGTTAATTTGGTTTTCTTTACCTCATGGATGTGAATGGTTAGATTTTGATGTTGGTGTTATTTGACGTGTGTTTGTCAAGAAGTTGCCTTAGTCGGCTCGCATTTAGGATAAAAAAAATATTTTAAGAAATGTTTAAGAGATTATGTTGGAGACATTAGAAACAAAATAATTATGCAGAGGGCAGGACTATCAAAATATAATAGAAAAATTACACCGCTCTTTTATGATTTCCTCCTTTTTGGCATTTAACACAAAACTTTATGATTACACACACCACGCACTCCAGAAATGCTTAAAGGAAGATGAGAGGAAAATTCAATAGAAGTAGCAGGCATTTCTGTGAGGACAGCAGAATGATCACTTCATCTCTGTATTTTTTTTTTTTCAAATTTCTGTATCTGTACAATGTCTTTTCCAGCTCTAATATTCTGTGATTTGGTAATTTCCGCACTCAGATTTTCTTTAATGAATTTTGTATGATATTACCTATTTTTATACCAGATATTACCTGGCTCTAATTTCTTTTTCACCCTAGGAAATAAAAGTATCGGGTGAATTTCCCATTTTCTTATGTTATTGATACAGGTCTCTGTTGGATATCCCCACGATTAACTTTCCTGCAGCATGTTCGATGGTGGCTTAAAGAAGAAACCATGTATCAGAGCCCCTTGTCTATATAGACTTTTAGATAAAGAGAAATACATATCACAGAATTATTCTGGGCGCATAGAGTCTCTAAATGCAAAAAAAAAATTGTATTGTAGCTGTTGATTCTTCTCAGATAGATTGAGTGTAGAGAGAGAGCATTCCAAAAACTGAGCAGAAGAAACACAGTCTGAATCAAATAACATGAAATTTTAGCTAACAAGTAAATAACACTTTTTTCAGAATATGCAAATAATATTGGTTTATTATGAAAAATGTATAGGCTGATAGATGAGCATAGAGAAAAAATTATAAATATCTTCTTTAATATCACTTTCCCCAGCAAACCACTTTTAACATTTTGATACATTTTCATGTTCAAACATTTCCTAATAGTCTTTTTTCCTGTTATATAAATATGAATTTTAAACATTCGTATGTTTATGAAAAGGCAATAAGATACTGCTCTTTTATAACAGGCTTTCTGAACTTCACAACATGCAGTGTATTCTAACATGCTCCTTGTGTTCTTAACTAATAAAAAACCTCACGTTATTTAAAAAACCATCTTAAACATAATTATCCATTAAGAGAAGAGGTTGGGGTAGAGAGTTTCAGACTATCAATATCAAAGTTATATTTTCTGTAAGTATTTTAATTTTTAAGTGTAGCTATAGGTATATGATTATAAAACCAATAGCAGAGAAAAGATACCACCTTTGAATATAGTTTTCCTTGGTTCCATGAAAATGGCCTCCTTTCTTTTTGCCAGTCCCTCAGTATCATTAACTCATTTTTCTGTAAATGCCATCATTGTATCACATGTCCTCAGGAAAAGGCACTTTTCTCTTTTAAGCTAGTGTTTGTTCTTGTTCTAATTTTATGGCAATTTAACGAGTAACAATCCTGTTTCTATAAATACTGTTTCCTAATTAATCTATTGCATTCTATCCATGAGAATTTAGATGACTTTCTTTGTAAGAGAAATCTCTGTAGCATGAGATTCTTCTTTGCTCTTAAATTTCATTCTTTCACATTTTTAAATGACCTGATAGTATTTTGTTGTATTTGTGCTGATTTTTTTTAACCAATCTTACCTTGTTGAACATGTAAGTTGTTTCTAATATTTGCAATGATCAAAATGTGGATCCAACTTCACTAAAGCGTTAAGAATCTAAAACAAAACAAAGAACAAAAAGTTGGCTGTCATCTTGCTTGGACCACCCCGTGAGTTACTATTTTCTTGTTTCCGGTCACAGTTCATCCTAAATCATTTCAGTACACAAAATGTTTTTTAAAGTTTGGGACAGGGGGTAGAGAATGTCAATTATTCCTCCAAGGCAGTCATATGAGCATTGAGTATCATGTGGAATAGTTGTTACTTGTAAAGTTATGGGGCATCAAACCCAGTCAATATGTTTCTGGAATTGAAAAAGTCCCTGGACATTCTAATGATACTGTTGTTCACTTTGCACCTACTGTTACCACTACTTTGATCTGTCAACACTGCCCGTAATGGTTAATTTTGTGCATCAACTTGACTGGGCTACAAGGTGCCCAGATATTTGGTCAAACATTATTCTGGGTGATTCTGTGCAAGTGTTATCAGATGAGATTAACATTTAAATTGGTAGACTGAGTAAAGTAGATTGCCCTTCCTAATGTGAGCAGACTTCATGTAATTAATTAAAGGCCTGAATAGAAGAAAAACACTGACCCTCCCCTGAGCAAAAGGGAATCGTTCTGCCCGACTGCCTTCAAACTGGGACATGGGCTTTTTCCTGCCTTCAGACTTTAACCACAATATTAGCTGTTCTTGTATCTCAAGTCTGCTCTACTTCGATTGGAACTACACTATCAGCTCTCTCGGGTCTCCAGCTTGCTTGTTCACCCTGTATACCTTGGGAGTTGTCAGTCTCCATAGTTGCCTCCATAATTGCATGAGCCAATTTCTTACCACATACAAACACACACAGAGACACACACACACACACACACACACACACACACACATATAATTATATATGTGTGTGTATACATATTCTCTTATTCCTTTTGTTTCTCTAAGGAACCCTAATATACTCCTTATTACTCTTTCTACTGCCTTAGAGATCTTCAAGGCCAAGAGCGTAATCCTCCATCCTGGCTCTTTTTCCTAATCATTAATGATCAACTCATAGCCATTTAGCTCAACTAAAAATAATTTGTTCATGAAGCTTTACACTCCCACATACTGAGGAACGTGGTACCTAAGATCAAACAGTCACTGCCTCATCAAATGCATTCCTCTTCAACCCCATACAAATGTCCCCAGATGGAACTCACACCATAAAAATATTAGATCCCATTGACTTTTCTGCTTTCTCAAGGATCATTGCAGAGCTTGAAAAAGATGGCTCCTCCCTTTGCCTAAGCAGGTTAACTTGGTGTAAAAGTACATGTAAGATTTGGCACAAAGGAAAATAAATCAGTTTTGCCTGGGTCCTAAGAAACATTTCCCTCTGCCTCATGGTAATTGTACCTGCCAGTTGATTGCATTACTCAAGTGGAGACCATGAAGTGAAGTGGTAGAACAAGAAGAAATCCCTATAATTTTATTAAGTATGGTGAAAAATACAGATATGTAGAGAAATGACTGGGATTAGATGGAGCAAAACATAATTCGAGATCCTGATACAAATTGTACTTCCTGGCTCAAGGGAGGGAGCAGAACATTCCCTGCTACATGGGAATAATAATAAATGCCTGATAAAAATGCAGATATATCATAGACTACAGAAGCTGAAGTGGATTCTTATGGTCCCCTACTCAGACAGCCTCTCCTTCAGATGAAGAAACTGAAGCACAGAAAGCTCATCCTAGTGTTTCATATTGAAAAACCCATTCAAGTCTATTTTAATAACCTGTTACCAAAAATGAGGGAAATAATTTAACTTTAATGTTTCACTTTGCATTACCCTTTTCCTGACTAGACTTCTATCCTTTTCTTGAGTTGAGCTCATTAACTACTATGAAATTATGGTTATGGGTAGAGGTTAATTTTATACCTGTCCATCTTCTGGCATCTTATTTACACTAAAAATCATTTTTAAATGGCTTCATTTTAAAAAATATTATTTCAGTTGACATTTTAAAAGACACATCATTTATGTACTACAGAATATGCATTTTATACTCTCCTTTATTAATTTTATTATTTTCCAGGTAGACCAATCAAATGAATCAGAAATTCTTGGTTAGATCTATTAGACAGCATAAGTATGTTTTTCATCATTAAATTAAGATGAAAACACAATTTTACTTTAAAGTGTTTGACGTTTCCAGCCTTTATAAAGTCAACACTTAATCACATCTGAAATTTGCAGGAAAAAATTTTGAAAGCCTTCAATTATTAACATTATTTCGGGAGAAAAAGCCACTTTGCCGCAGAACTTTCACTTTTCTCTCGTGAATTAAGTCTGATACAAATTATTCATTATGGTGAAGTTTAAACATAATAGAGTCTAGCTACTTCCACAAAAATACTATTCAATGAGTTTCTACATTGACATCTAACTGACCTTGTAATTAATGTTGTACACGATCCTTTTATTATATGCTGGATTATCAAATATGACTTATTAGCAGTATAAAGACACAAAGTTCTGAAATGTAATTTATAGCCATGAAAAGGAACTGAGCTTTGTGTGACAGTTAAATTTGAAGAGATCAGGTGATTATTATGAAGCATGAATAATAATGCATATTAAACTCACGTTTTTGTTTAAATCATTAATATGATTGTTTTAGAAGAAAGTCTACCTCTATCATATGGGCAATAAAATGTGTATAAGAGCAAACATTTGTGTATGTGAAATAACTCAAATTAAAACCAGTTTTCCACATTAATTCTTACAGTTTTTAAAATTTAAATCATTTAATGTATCACACATAGCTTTATTCATTTTAAGCTATAAATGTTACAATTTCTGTTTAAGCTGTTAATATAAGCTTTGTAAGAGCAATTCTGTATAAATATAGAATTGTCATTATTCACTAATAGCTACCATTTATTTAGTGCTTGTTGAGTGCAAAAGTACTGCACTGAGATCTTTGCATATGTTCTCTTAATGTTACAATTCTTACCTGAGGCATTTCTGTTTCTGCTGGAATATGGTCTCTCTGAATTGAACAAGGGAGGCATTTTTGGTTGTTATGATGAAAGGTGGACACTGCTGGCACTAACGTGTGTTGGTAAGCGACTAGACTCTTCATGATGCGTAAACAGTGTTTCCTCATACCCCTGCACATTCAAATAGAGGAAAACCTTGTTTATAGTTAATTTCCCCTAGAATGTAAATCCATTTAACATATAAACACAAAGCGTGTTTTGTGTGGATGTTTTTTACTGGAGCAGGGAGACAGGAGAGGAAATGCAGTTTTGATAGTTGCTGAATTTTTCAAGAATGCAGCAATTATAGAACAATTTCTAGAAGTTTCCTAGGAGCTCTTTTCCATAGCAGAAAACTAGGACTTAATAGCCTTGCGACTCATGGTACTTGAGTGTTCCATACAACTCACCTATATTCAGGGGACATTTGAAAAATTCTACATTAAAGGGGATTCTTAACATAGGCGCAAGTGTCTGGCATCTTCAATAGGTCTTCTGGTGTGGCCATGAAAACATTCACACGTTTCAAAGTATTTTAAAATAAAATAAAACATATATTGTTGTGTTATGAATTATTTTCTTTCTTTTTTATATGATGGTTAGATCACTGTGCAGACAAGTTTATGAGATCTATTCATTTCATTTCAGGGTGGTAAATGAGGGTGTTACTAAATGTTGGTTCTAAAAAGGGAGACATTGGGTATTACAGAATTCAGAACAGCTCTAAGCCCTGTGCACATTTAGCATTAGAGGACACAGGCAAATCTGGCCTCCAGTCCTGGCAGCTTCTTCACTATGTATATGATGTTGGGTGGGTTGCTTTACCTCTCTAGTTTTTACTTTTATTTCTAAGCTAGGGCTATTCATAGTTCTTTATCATGTGGTTACTGTGAAGTAGCAAAGCACCTGACATAATTAGAGCAGATAAAATGCTCAACAAATATTGCTTATCAGAAGGATTATGTATTACCTCCCGAAATACATCAAAAATATATTTTCCAATTCAAAGAATATGTAGTACAAAAATCATGCCTAAATTAACAGAGTTGCAGTAGCCCAAGGAGAGAAGATAATCATTATTGATTTCTTCTTCCTTTTTGCTAAGCAGTTCTCTGTCTCTGCCTCCTCAGTTGTTGTCCATCCCACTCCCCCACTCCCAAGCCCTGAACTCTGAGGGGTTTGCTGCCGTGGCCGGTTCTGTAGTCATTGCTGTCCAATGATGAAAACACAAAATACTGCAACAGAACACTATGCCTGTCAGCTTAGCTCCCTTCTTTCTGCTAAATGACACTCAATCCTATTCTTTTGTTCTAAAGGATATCCTAAATGAATAGCCACTGGGGGGAAAAAAGGTTATATAAGATTGTGCACTGTGTGAAACTGATGCAACCAGATCAATGATGTGAATTTCTCTTAACTATTTACTGGGATCTAGAAACAGGTCTCTCAACTTAGCAGTGTTTACGAATATAATAGGCCTTCCTTATACATACATCTGAAGCCAATCTGAGTCAGGAAGAGTCGTGGTCTGATAAATATTTTGAAAACTTGCATTTGTTCTATTAAAGCAAACTGTTTATTAATAGTGTGCCTTATTTTTTAAAGCAAAACATTTATAAACAGTAGTCATTACAGGCACTTCAGTGTACGGAGTGATCAATTGTTAGACCTTTAGGAATCGATTGTTTCGTGGAGCTTCGGCTTATAATTGAAATGTCATCAGAAGGAGTGTAAGACATAGCTTCAGGAGAGGCCATTTATGCGCTTTTGTTTTCAGCTAAGTTATAGAGTCATCATGTGAAGAAAGATTCTTCTCTTAGTAAAAATCCTTTAATGGTTGGAATAACACTTGATATTTAATATTTCTTTCTACTTTATATCCACATTTATTCAAGTGCTAACGCGTGTGGGGCAGCAATGAAGCACTTTATTCCAACATTATAGTTCTCATATCTGCGTATGATTATTTTTCATTTATCGTTAGCATATATATAATGATGACTTTTAAAGTACACTGTATTATATTCACTGGAATAATGATTAGCTATTAATAATTTGAACACTATCCAGGAAATTACTGAACATGTCCTACAAGATAAACCTCGTATGATATTGTCTCCAAATAACAGTGCTAACCAAGAAGAGTGCTACCAAGTTCAAAAGTAATCACAGGGAGTAACCTAAATGCAGCTCCGTTGGGTTAAAAATAGTTTCTCTAAATTATATGTTCCCTAAGTTTGAGATCGATTTCTACAAGGGGATAAAATGTTTTTATAAATTCTCAGTGATAAGTCATGTGATTAAGAACCCCCAACTTTTTTTCCAAAGACATTTGCATCTCTGATCAAAATAACAAGATCCAGTCTTAGTTATAAATTGGGGAATTTTCATCAAAATAAGGAGCTACTCGTTGCATAAGAAGACTAGTACAACTTAAAGCCAATTTAATTTCAATGAATGCATGATCAGCTCCATTGCCAATTGAGTGTTTTTCTTATTCATCAGAAGATGGGTTCATCATCGTGTTTCATATCAACTGTTCTCAAACCATATTGCCCATTTAAATAAATATAGATTTGTCTCGAAATTCTAAATTCATGTCATATTTCATAAATAGCCTATGGTCCTATTTATTACTTTAAAATATTATAGATATAATATTTTTATTCTAAAGTAACTGTGTTATACAACCAAATTATTCATTTAAATATGTGACTTTTTAAATAAGTAAATGACTTATTTAAGTAAAGTCATTAAAATTTTCCAGTCTGTCCTTCATCCACCTGATCTTTGAATGAGTTAGGAACAATACAGGAAACTAATACAAACTTAATTTTGATTACAAAAGATGAAATCATTCTGTTATTTATTCAACACACTATGTGTCAATAAAATCTTATACTGTGAAAGAATTCGTCTAAGTCCATTTGCTGTTGCTTGTAACAGAATACCTGAAAATGGGTAATTTACAAAGAAAAGGAGTTTACTTCTTACAGTTACGGAGGCTGAGAAGTCCAAGGTTGAGGGGCCACATCTGGTCAGAGCCTTCTCCCATCCAAGTACTAACCAGGTCGAACCTCACTTAGCTTCCAAGATCAGATAAGAGTGGGCGCGTTTAGGCTGGTGTGGCTGTAGACTTGTTAGAGCCTTTTTGCTCATGGGGACACAGCAGAGCCCTGAGGCAGTGCAGGACATTACATGGCAAGAAGGCTGAGTATTCTAATGTGTTCATGTCTCTCTTCCTGTTCTTATAAAATCATGAATCCTACTCCCATGATAACCCATTAACCTATTAATTTATGAATGGATGAATCCATTCATAAGGGCAGAGCCCTCATGATGCAATCACCTCTTAAAGGCACAATCTCCCGGTGCTGCCACGTTGGGGATTAAGTTTCCAACACATGAAATTTGGGGGACACATTTAAACTATAGCAAAATTGTAATAAAATGTTATATAGAAGCAATGTTCTTACTGATTATAATTGTTATATTGGTAAAGTGTTAAGTCCTCTAACCAAGGGATATATTTCAGCTTATTATAATAGTTTTAAATTTACAATTCAATATGAATAACATCTGGTAAAAGTTCTTTTCAAGAAATGGGAAAATTAGAAATGTTTAGAAGAAAATAATTCAATAAATATTAAGTTCAAACTGGATTCATAGTTTATGTGAAATTCTGGGAACCAATTGCAAGGGGAGAAAATAGTTACAATAGCAATGGTGAGGATGAGAATAAGAGCAGGTATCAACGTTAATTGAGGGTGTGTTATAGTTCTAATCGTGCTATGCCCACTACATGACTTTTCCCTGTGTGAGGTTTCCGAGCTTCTTCGTAGTAATCCTAAATTGAGCTGGAGAGAGGCTAGGGTAACTTACTCACGCTCATAGAGCCATAGAGTAGTAAAACCTGTATTTGAACTCTGGCCTGTCTGACATCATTCTGTGGTCTTTTAAACCACCACTGCTTCTCCATATTAAAACTCCAAATCTAGGTGAAAAGAAGAAAACTCAGAACATGTTCTGCAACAAAATATAACAAAATATAATGTATATAAACACTTATACATAATATCACTAATATCTTTACTATGAAAAGACTCTGATACGAACATTTTACATAATTCATGCAGAAGTGTTAATCACATTGTCTGTGATGAGCTGTGTATGTATCTGATAAAATTCTGGCAACCAGACATCAACTCGTAGGCATAGATCTGTAACACTAAATATTTGCCTCGAGAAACTTAAAGAAATAAAGACAAATGAATGAATAGGAACATGGAACTGAGTACAAGATAAAATCCTCCTAAAGCAATCGATGTACTTGCTGCTGCGTTATTGTTCTAAGCAAAAGAAGCATGGCGAAGGGAGATGTGAAGCTAAAAACAGAATGCTTAGAAGGAGATGATAGCAGGAGGGAAGCAAAGATGGGACCAAGCTCCCAAAAGGCGGGCTTTGAACAAACAAAACAGAAAGCTAAGCCTTTGACGGATGCACGGGATGCAAGAAACTTTAGTCAGGAAAGAGGAGGCGAAGAAAAACCCTCCAAAGAAAAGGTGAACAATATTTTAATAGGCAAATTGACAGATAGCAAGAGATATATACCATGCTATGTTTTCTCATTGCAGCTGAAGACAAACTGGGGTTATTTATGCTTTGAAAAAGCGTAAATCTAAAAAACAATTGTGGAGGAAGAAGCGATGAAAACACGTGTTAATACAGAAAACATGGCTCCAAGGCTTTAAACTTCCTTGTGAGATAAATGCATTTACATTTTCCGTAGTAGCTAATATATATATATATACATATATATATATATATCTGGGAAAATAATACACAGTGATTTTCTTTCTTTTTTTCATCTACTTATGTGAGAAAAAAGTAGGCTATCTGAAAGCTTTTCAGTTAAATGAGGAAGAAAGTTAGGTGATCTTGTAAATAATATATATGTTCAAGATAATGTAAGGCCCTTGTGTAGTTTTCAAAACTTATCTTTAATAGCAGTTTCTTCTGGGGATGGGGTAGTTCAAAGTTGAAATGTTAGAAAGATGTTAACTTTTTTTCCTTTTTACTTCTCCCTTTCAGGATGGAATTAACAAATTTGATTACAAATAGATCTCAGAGAGAGGCAAATGCATTGAATCCAGAAGTAACATAAAATTAGATCATGTTTAGTTATGCCCGAGGTCACATGGTGATAAAAATGAGGATAAACTGAAATTGTCTGTGAGCCAGATTAGTTTATTTTATGCCAGTCCTAGGAAAAAGACACATCATGGTAGGATACATCCTTTTTTTTTTTAATTATACTTTAAGTTTTAGGGTACATGTGCACAGTGTGCAAGTTAGTTACATATGTATACCTGTGCCATGTTGGAGTGCTGCACCCATTAACTCTTCATTTAACATTAGGTATATCTCCTAATGCTGTCCCTCCCCCCTCCCCCCACCCCACAACAGTTCCCAGGGTGTGATGTTCCCCTTCCTGTGTCCATGTGTTCTCATTGTTCCATTCCCACCTAAGAGTGAGAACATGCGCTGTTTGGTTTTTTGTCCTTGCGATAGTTTACTGAGAATGATGTATTCCAGTTTCATCCATGTCCCTACAAAGGACATGAACTCATCATTTTTTCTGGCTGCATAGTATTCCATGGTGTATATGTGCCACATTTTCTTAATCCAGTCTATCATTGTTGGACATTTGGGTTGGTTCCAAGTCTTTGCTATTGTGAATAGAGCCGCAATAAACATATGTGTGCACGTGTCTTTATAGCAGCATGATTTATAGTCCTTTGGGTATATACCCAGTAATGGGATGGCTGGGTCAAATGGTATTTCTAGTTCTAGGCCCCTGAGGAATCGCCACACTGCCTTCCACAATGAACAGACACTTCTCAAAAGAAGACATTTATGCAGCCAAAAAACACATGAAAAAATGCTCACCATCACTGGCCATCAGAGACATGCAAATCAAAACCACAATGAGATACCATCTCACACCAGTTAGAATGGCAATCATTAAAAAGTCAGGAAACAACAGGTGCTGGAGAGGATGGGGAGAAATAGGAACACTTTTACACTGTTGGTGGGATTGTAAACTAGTACATTCTTAACATCAATTTATTCCTAAAAGCAATGTTCATAGGGCACACTGTAGGCCATAGATTTGCCTCACAAATTTAAAGGCCTAAGCCCTCAACATGCACAGCAGTATACTCAGAGACTATTTGTAAAGATGACGATTCTGGAACTTTTTAATGACCCCAATCATTAGCAATGATTAAAATTAATATTCAACATTCTATATTTACCAAGGCAATAAAGTAGACTAATCTATTTTAAAAGGGTTTTAAAATGAAGAGATGAAACAAACCAAATGATTTTGATTTAAACTTCATGAAAACATAAGTTGCATTAATCAGGTGATTTTGTTTTATGAGCATTCTGATTGAAGTGATCATATTTAGCCCCGGGAGAATAAGAGAAGGTAAAGTATGGGTATGGCACTGAATTTACTGAGATGATTATATTGTTTGAGTTAAAGAACTTGTATTAAGAAACAAGTATGTGCCAAACATTGTGCTAGGAGCAAGCAATGCTAAAATTACATGGGTAGAAAGAGAGAATGAAATATCTAGAATGAGTTAGAAACATCAGTGTTTTCCAATGTGGAGCCCTGACTTCACATGAAAATTCTCATTTTCAAACAAGGTAGTTTATGAAAACTGGACTATTAGCAAGACAGGGTGGGCATGCCATCAGTATAGTACCTGGTGTAAAACTAGAAATTTTAATCATTTGTGCTTTCATTTTATAATCAGTAAAATCCAAGGTAGGACAAACTTTTACTTTTTCTGTATAATGGACTGATATTTGAATTATACCCAACTTTAATTTTTTGCCAGAAATTATGCTTTATTGTTTCTCTAAAATGGTACTATAGATCTTTATTTATTTCTATATATTTATATGATTTTTACATATATGTGCATTTACATGTATATACATCCATAAACTATATACATATATACACATAAATTACAAATATGTGTACCTACGTACATATATATGCATATATCACGCAAATACAGGCACATTTTCAATACCCCTTTTTGATTTTTTTCCTTGAAGAGCATAGCATCTGAATTTATTATGGATTTATTTTTAATTTATGGTCATGTTCTTTGAGTGCTTTTGGTGTTTATCTGGTTGCCCCAAACTCGCTAGCATTGTAAAGAAGATGTGCAAAGCCTGAATCTAGACTGACTTTCATATTGACTTTATTAGTCAAAAAAAGTAGATGAAAATGTAACAGTCCGTGTTAAAAATGGGAATAAGACAGATGTTCAAGCCCTAGCTTCAGCAGTTTTTAGCTGAGATTTACTGGAAGAAAACATTTTCTGAACTGTAAAACATGCAAAATGCCTACGTGACAGACTTCATTAACATTATTAAATGCTATGATATAGTAAAAGAATTTGTAAACTGTCAAGTGCTTTGTCAACATTAGGAATTTAGTTATTATAGGTATTTCCATATACATGTTGTATTTAGAATTCCCTTTAATTTTATACTTAGGGTTGATTTGTATTTTAACTAAGTCACTTTATATATCTGGTCCCATTATACAAGTATACTTTTCCTTAGGATAAGAAAGTGATCTTTATATATGTTTATCAACCCAAATGCCCATCAGTGATGGACTGGATAAAGAAAAGGTGGCACATACACACCATGGAATACTATGAATCCATAAAAAAGAACGAGTTCATGTCCTTTGAAGGGACATGGATAAAGCTGGAAGCCATCATCCTCAGCAAACTAACACAGGAATGGAAAAACAGACACCGCATTTTCTCACTCATAATTGGGAGTTGAGCAATGAGAACACATGGACACCGGGAGGGGAACATCACACACCGAGGCCTGTCGCGAGGTGGGGGGCAAGGGGAGGGAGAGCATTAGGACAAATACCTAATGCATGCGGGGCTTAAAACCTAAATGACGGGTTCATAGGTGCAGCAAACCACTATGGCACATGTGTACCTATGTAACAAATCTGCACGTTCTGCACATGTTTCCCAGAACTTAAAATTTAAAAAACTTTAAAAAAAGAACTGTAGATACTGATCCAAAAAAAATGTTCATTAATGGGGGTTAAATGATTATTTCTAAGTAGACTACTCTTGAACCCTTGAATCTTTAAGAATTTTCTTTGCTATTGAAGCCATTCAAACTCTATTTTATTAAAGCTGTCGTTATTCTAGTAGATTTTAAACAGTAATACCTGAATACATTAGAAATATGCAAATCTGCATTACATATGGCATCTGCAGAGCAGAGGAGTTTGGTCATCTGGACTCATGCTAAAGTCTCCGAAAAATCCGCTTGTCTTAATGATGGTTGACTCGCTAATGCTATGCGTATATAGTCTTATTTTAAGTGATTGAATGATGTGGCTAATAACCCCTCTGTTAGATGCACTCAGAACCTCACCTACCTGGGTCCTCAGCTCTCCAGTGAAATCTCTACTTTAAGTTTATTTTCTAACATGGTAAGAGCCTTCAGTTTATGTTATGCTCAGGCCCGTCACTGTGAATAAAATATTAGAAATGGACTTTTTTTTTTTGTATTTTTTTAATGGATCCCTTGGAACTTTAAAAAAATTATTTATTTGAGCTTTCTACTGTTATCACAGTGTCTCCTAAGCATGGCCTCCCGTTTTTTGTTGGTAATATAATTCTTACGTTATTCAAATTAGTAACCATTATTTTTCTCATGGCTAGAATTCTGGAAACTATTAGGAAATCACTGAGCATAATTGAATGGCTGTTTATTTGAAGAGCTATGTCAAGGCAGCATAGAGTTGTATTTTCTTGCAGGGGCTCTGGAGTCAAAGAGCCTGGGTTCAAACCTTGGCTCCACCACTTTCTATCTGTGGGGCATTGGGCGTGTTACATTTGTGAAACTTTTGTTTCTCCATTTGTAAAGTGAGGTTTGGGGGATGATTAAACCAGATAACTCATGTGAAATATTTAATGGAAATGTATTTGGTAGGGGATTTATTATTTTTAAATTTGGATTGCACATGACACATGTCAGGGATCATGCTATGCATTTTGGATAGAAAGATGGCTAAGATATCATGCCTGACTCTTAAAAACTTACCTAATGGTAAATGACGAGTTAATGGGTGCAGCACACCAACATGGCACATGTATACGTGTGTAACTAACCTGCATGTTGTGCACATGAACCCTAAAACTTAAAGTATAATAAAAAAAAAAACTTATAATCAACTGTAGTAGAAAGAGATCTGAATGGCTTGCCATTTAGCTAGGCACATGGTATATGTGCTTAATTCATACTAGCAGCCACTACAGTTGTCATGATTAATAATGAGCTTCCAACTGCACAGAATGCTTTTAATCCATAGAAAATCAAATCAGAAACAAGTTTTTGTAAAATTAATGTGAAAGGAGCAACAATTAAAATGCAAGATTGACATTTATTTTCTAAATTGGTTCTATTTTCTTTCACATTTACAAAATTTATAAGAAAATTCTTTATTTCTATGTGATATAAAGAACTAGAATGTACTTTGATGTGAATTATTGTTGCCAGTGCTGTTCAACTTTTATCCATAATTTACTAAGCACCTACATTTAGACAAAGGCATTATCCATCCCTTTGGGGAGGATTTCAGATGATTCATACACAGACCTGGTCTCGAGGAATTTAAGATTTTCTTTGGGGAGGGAAATAAGGACTTTAACCAACTCAAGAGTACTTAGAGAATTTTCTGAAAATAATTTTATCAATGAAAACTTGTTATATTAAAAGAAACTGTCATTCTGACTTCCACAAATCTAGGCTTGAAACTATGGATAACGAGATATTTTCTATTACTCTCACTCACGTCATTTTCACAAAGTGAAAAGGTACATTTTAACTAGTGAAAGAATAGAGGAAATGGAAGTAGCTCGAGGCAGTGGACGATGATTCAAAAAGACAGGGCCCTATTATTTGATCAAGTTATGCAACGACTCTGGGCCTGTTTCTTCACCTCTGGAAGGAGGAATAATCTCCAAGCCCTTTCAGACTCTTTTGGTAATTCACCTCCAGCACATCTTCTAAATGCCAGCATTAACTGTCCTCTGATTTGTCTCATGTTTTTCTAGCCCCATGCTCTCCTGTTCGCCATTTACCCTCATGCAAGGTACAAATTACACCCATCATCACAAGACACTTGCTCAAGTCCCATTGCCCCCTTGAAGACCTGCCACACCTACTCTCTCAAAAACCATCATTTCCTGAAAGTCCTATACAGCTCATTTGGTATTTACAGTGTACTGCCACAAGCCACTAAGCATCGTTTTGTGAATACATGACTTACAGACTTAGCTTGAGTAAAGATACTTGAAAATGAACACCATTTCTTGGCTATCTTCCTATTTTGATGTACCCTTCAGGCCTATGAATTTTAGTATAATAGATAACCAATAATTATTTCTTGGTTCTTTCCTGCACATCTGAATAACCCTATGCAAAGTGATAGAATGTTTTTCTATAAGGAGGTCCTACACTGGAGATTGTGTATTTCTTAATGCTGTTGAAGGAAGAGATGTGTATCTAAAATAAATAGACTCTAACAAACATTAATTTATATTTCTATTATCTGTTTTGTGTATTGAGATATCTCACAAAAATAACTAAACATTTTGGCATTATTGATATTACATATTTGCCATGAATATTTGTAAATGAAGAAAAATATATATACATCAGTAATTATCTTGGCAAACTCTTCAATTATGCAATATTGTTACATAGATTACATATCTAAGTGAACACTGGAGTTTTAACAATATTGTGTGTTCATAAATGTTTTATTTATTATTGCCACTAATTCTTATTGCCATTTCAAGAACTATGTATAAGTTGTTCTAAAAACTATTAAAGTATAGGTGACCATGGTCACTACTGCCTACTTTGGTAAAGGCCAAA
This sequence comes from Homo sapiens, assembly GCF_000001405.40. NCBI lineage: Eukaryota > Metazoa > Chordata > Mammalia > Primates > Hominidae > Homo > Homo sapiens. The sequence goes on along the minus strand of NC_000023.11, from coordinate 32,094,188 downwards.
TATGTGAAGACTTTTTAATGTGTTAACAAACGTTGAAGGTTTTTTAACCTGTTAACAATCAGTAGGACTCTTGAAATTATTTCCTAAGAGAGTAAATTTTACAACTTGCAAAGCATGATTAACCTCTTGTAATTATAAACCATCTCTTGTAGTTATGTAGCATTTTGTTAATGAGCAAAGAACCATTGTGGTTCCTTTTTACATTTCTTAAAATAATTCTCCGTAACCTCATTGATATCTCCAGTAAATTTAGATAAGCTTTTTTTTTTAAAGGAGGGTTAAAATGACATTTTAAACTAATTTTTCTTGTTAGTTATACAGAGTTGAACTATCTGAGGGTTTTATTGACAGTCATAAAAAATTTGTTATTTTCTGTGAAATATAGAGAATTTAATTCATTATCATATTATTAATTCTGTGGGCCATTGTCTTAATTCTAGAGGCACAAGCTGTTTTCATCCCACTGAAATAGAGGAATCAAAGTATGTTCCTTGCTCAAAGCACAAAAGTGACATACTACATAGTATGCTTCTTGAGTAGTCGTAAATCTCATGTGTTAAATTACATCCCAAAGATTTCAGTATGTTTTATGACTTTAATAATTTATGGTAATTTCTAATCTGGCCTTTGTTGACCTGTCTTGCTTTTTAAATTTTTAGTTTTTCGACAAAATAATTAACATATTTTAATAATCTTCCAAAGGTGTTTAAAATGGCATTGTATAGAGATAGCTGAAGGCTTTTGAGCTTCTGTGTTGTAAACACTTTCTTAATAAAACATGAATTGCTACCAGATGATCCAGCAATCCCACTACTGGGCATTTATCCAAAGAAAAGGAAATCAGTATCTTTGAAGAGATAGCTTTGTTCCCATGTTTACTGCAGCACTTTTCATACTAGCCATGATATGGAATCAACCTAAACGTCCATCAGTGGATGAATTGAAAAGAAAATGTGGTATGAAACAGAAATTGCTGCTTTAATTTATATTAAACACACTCATATTCTTCTCAGCTGTTAAGTATTGAGTTATAGATTTAAAGAATTCTATTGTGAAGACTAAAGTGACTATTAAAGTAAGAAATTATTTTTTCCATTATATTTAACTTATTTCATACTTTAATGTTAGCGCCAATGAGCAAGACTATTGAATACAAAAACTAATTAAGTAGTGGTGATAGTACAGTATATAAGGGAGAACATTCTTTTAGAAAGGAACAATAACAGGGAGCAATAGAAACAATGAATGAGTGTAAGGTCACTTAGTGTTAAAACAGCTAAAATATAGTACAAATAAGTTGCGTTTTAATAGTGATTTTATATAATTACACCTTGATGTTTTATTTGTTACAAGAATTGTCCAGGAAGATTTCTCTAAAGACCAAAGGCACTCTTCCCCTAAATAACTCCAAAGCCAGTCCTGTGTTTCTATAAAAAAAAAAAAAAAAAAAAAAAAAAAAAAAAAGTGAAAATAACGTGATGAACATTTTTGAGGAAGTATAAAACCAAAATACTCCACTGCATAGCTGTTTCTGCAGGTATTGTATTGATATATTACATTATTCAGCTTTGGAGTCTCCACATCCAATGTTACATCATCACTCTAAATTAAACATGTATAGATAAATGAAATAAATGAGATAGCATATGAAAATCTCATAGCCCAGCCCCTGCACTATTTAAAATAGAAATACCAAAGAATTGTATTCCTCATCTGAAAGCTATTTAGTGGTGGTGTTTCAAATAAAAATTCCATCTACTGCTGTTGCTTCCATTGTATCTTTTTCTCTGCGGTACTGAAAGAGAAAGAGACCCAGAAGGGGCCTTGTCTGAAGTGTCCCTCTTTTAAGCTGTTGCTGCTTTAAGCACAGGGTGGACAAATGTAATAGGAGTTTCATAAAGGTGGAATAAACCAGCGGATTACGGTGTGGGTGAATACTTTCAGATGTTAACCAGGAGCTCTGCTTGCATGCTGGGAGTTGCCCATGCCTCTTCTAGATTGAGGCACATTATCATGCACAACCTAACTCCAAGAAATCTTTTAAACCACTGGAAATTGAACCCAGAACATGTCTCTAAGCCAGCCTTTTCATCCTGACACCGAATCATAGCATGAGCCAGTCTGTCAGGGATGCTGCTGCTCTCTAGGCAAATTTTAAATGTTGAAATAATGAATCATGTTTTCTTGAAAACCATGTACACCAAAGAAAAGTTAGTCATTTTATAGATGATGAATATTAACATTTTCTTAGACAATCTGATAAATTATCAGATCTCACTTTTGGCTCTTTTTAAGACAGTTATGCCTCAGAAATATTAATAAACCCCCAAGCCCTTATACTGATCAGTATGTTCACTACTAGCTATGAGAAATTCTTGAAGTTCTTGTAATTATTGTATTATTTCCTTACTTTCATTTTATTAGTATGTGAATAATATTTTTAAAAATTCTAGTGTATGTCTTGTATATATTTTAACAACATGACTTTTAATTAATGTCTTGATAACATTTCTTCTAGTGTATGTTTTCAGTAACATGATTATTAACTGTAACTTTAAAAACCTGTGGATTAGATGGGACCATTTTAAAATGTTTTAAACCTGGAAAATCTGATGGCTTTAGGTTTAGTTCAAGCTATAGATCACCTGTGGAGAATGGAACTGCCAAAAAAAAAAATAGCTGTAGCAGCCCTTTGAGTATTCTAAAATAGGGATGTTATCCAGAGCATTGGTTTCTAAAGCTTCCATTATTTATTGATGTTGAGCTTTCAGGATTTAGCTACAATATTTACTCAACATCTAAGCCATGCTTTTTTATCAGTCATGTTTTATATCTTTTATAATCAAACTGCTTATCACTGAAAAAAATATATAAGTTTCTATGTATCTGGAAGAATTCTCTGGTGTTTCTTAGATATGGATTTTGATGTGTGGAATAAGAATTCAATTCAAGGATAACAGAGATGTTGTCCTGAAAAAAATCGAAGAAAATCAGCTTTTCTTTAACATTCTGTCAAAGCTCCTGACTATTAGTTTATCAGCACTGTTTTGCCAAAGGTGTCTTCTCTTCTCTTCTTTGAAAAAAATCATCTGCTGCTGCTACGCCGCAAGTGTGTTCCCGCTGTGCCTGAGAAGATGTGTGGCATAAAAAAATGGGCATGGCCTGAGTTAAAAGTGCTACATTTAAGCCAGAGCTGGCTTATTTATTAGTTGTCTAATCATAGGAAAATGACAGAGCATGCTTTTCTCTTGCAATATCCGTTGCTGAAAATTAAACACATGAGCAGAGCTTTCAGAGAGGTTGACTGGCCTCTCAGACAGCACCTCATAGGATGGCCTGTGTTGAAGCATCTCCTTTAACCAGGGTCTGTCCCTCAGCATTGGGTTGGCTCACCTAGATTGGATTGTCCCAGCAGAAAAAAAAAACCCAAAATTCAGAATCATATCCAAACCGGAATACTCTTTCATTCACATTACTTGTACTACCTTTTCAGAAACTGGATACCTGAGTGTGTGAGGGTAACTTAGAAACTTATCTCATGGTTAGAAGTTTTAGAATTAGAGAGCGATGATCATGAAACGGACTTCATGATCAGAAGCAATGGAGCAAGGAATGAGATGTCTTTGAGGAGTATTTCCCTGAGGCTGTGGATAACGCTGACGAATAATCCCCACCTTAAAAGTGGGTTGACCACTCTAGTAGCTGTAAGGTGGGAGGGTTCTTTCTTCAGAGATAAATCTGTGCTCTTCACTTGCCCATTTCCCAGGTTTTCATGTAGGTAGAAGAAACACCTGTAATCTGAAGACACTCTTCCTTCAGCTTTGTTAGTGACAGGGATTTAAATATGTCTTTCACACATTTTCCTTAGATAGTTAAATTTCACTTTTCCTGTTTGTTTTTCTCTGAAGGTATTCTAACTCCCCTCCTAATGGACTTCTAGAGCTTTCTAATTCTATGCAATTTCTGTTGATTTGTTCTGGTAAACTTTGAAGGTAATCTCTGATTCAACTTCTTGGAGATTCTATCATGTCATCTCTGTTTATTAACTTTATGTTACTCATGGTTTCTTGATGAGGACTCATTAAACATAATGTAAGTAGAAAATTATTAACTACATAATATTTACTACGGGTTGTTATTTCTGATAGTAGCTAGCTGTAAGATTCCAATTGTTCTTCAAATCTTTGTCTCAGTGATCTCTGTGTAGTTCTTGACTACTTCAAATAACTTCCTAGAAGGATAGGGATTTAATAATCTCTTAATAGGAACACTTAACACACTGCTGGTGGGAACGTAAATTAGTTCGGTCGTTGAAAGCAGTGTGGTGATTTCTCAAATAACTTACAAAAGAATTACCATTTGACCCAGCAATCCCATTATTGGGCATATACCCAGAGGAATAGAAATCATTCTACCATAAAGACATATGCACGTTGTGTATGTTCATTGCAACACTACTCACAATAGCAAAGACATGGATTCAACTTAAATGCCTATCAATGAACAGACTGAATAAAGAAAATGTGGTACATATACACCATGGAATACTATGTGGCCATGAAAAAGAATGAGATCATGTCCTTTGCAGCGACATGGATGGAGCCAGTGGCCATTATCCTTAGCAAACTTATATGGAAACAGAAAACCAAATACTGCGTGTTCTCACTTATAAATGGAAGCTAAATGATGAGAACATATGGACACAAAGAGGGGAATAACACACACTGGGGCCTACTGGAGGGTGGAACACAAGTGGAGGGAGAAGATCAGGAAAAATAATTATTGGGTACTATGTTTAGTACCTGCGTGAGAAAATAATCTTTACACCAAACCCCCGCAAAATGCAGTTCACCTGTATAGCAAACCTGCACGTGTACCCCTGAACCTAATTTAAAAGTTATAAAATAAACGTATCTTATTTTCAGTACAATACACCACAGAGTAGAAGGGTTAAAAGAGATTGCTTCTGAGGAGGTGAGATGGGGGTAAGGACAGCACAAGAGCATTTTGGGGGGTGATGAAGCTGTTCTGTGTCTTGCCTGCGATGATGGCTACACGACTAAGCCCTTGTCAGAACTCACAGAACTTTACTTCAAAAGGAGCGGATTTTACTACACATCAATTCCAATAACAAATACTTTGTCTTTAAGCAAAGGGATACCTAAATATAGCGTATTGAATGGATCTCCAGAAAAACACATTTTTCAGTTCATGTTTCAGCCTAGGCCTCATCTCATCCAGGAAACCTTGTCTTGCTTGCCTTTACATACATGTGGCAATCAGTAGTTTCTTTTAGGGCTCGGACTGAACACTCAATGAACTTCAATCTTAGCGCTTGTCGTAGCAGATTGACATGGTTTATTTATATGTGTCATTCTCTGTAGTAAAAGGAAAGGATCAAGGCCATTCACTTTTGTAGTGATTGTGCATGGCAGTATTTGGCACATAGTAGATTATTAATTATGGAACTTCTGTTTTCACACACACACACACACACACACACACACACACTTCAGAGCTATTTTCATTTAAATATTTGCTTTAGTCTCCAAAGCCCCTCTGCCTCAACACCAACCCTTCTATCTCATTATTCATCAGCTTTTCTCCTATTACGAAACTACTTAGGAAAGCCCACTTATTTAGCTTATGATGGCAAAAATAAATATTTGTACTTTTTTTTTTTTTTTTAGTCATCGCTTCATAGAACAGCCTCTGTCCTCTGCTTATGCCATGTCTGAATATATGCTGGAGGTAAAAAGAGTTCCTGGTTGAGAGCTTCAATTTGAGAAACTATCTGAGATTACTTTCCAGGTTCCACCGTGGAACCTGTCTGACCTTGAACAAATGACCTCGAACAAGTGGCTGAAATCTCTTCTATTTCGTCAACTGTAAAATGGGGGAAAACCATGTCTATCTCATGGGGTTCATGTGAAGGTTAAGAAATTGCTTATTCAGTGTTTAGCACAGTGCCTGATATGCATAAAGCTCCTAGGAATATTAGCTGTTATTGTATTTCCTTAAAGAAGCCCATAGCTCTATATGCCCTTTCATTATATGTTTTAGTAGCCCAATTTAACATATGGATAAAATATTTTTAAGTTAAATGATTTGCTAATGGATTGTTGAACGAGTGGCAGACACCCATATTATAGACGAAGGTCAAGTCCATAACATACAGTACATTTCCCCACTTTCATTTCCCATTACCAAAATTCATTATTCTCCTGAGAAACTCATTATAGAATTCATGTCAGATTCATCTGTGTGTTCCCAGCAGTGCCTTATATCCAGAAATAACACTGAGTCATTGTCTAGATGTAGCAGAGGTGGAATCCTCCAAAGAGAAGCCTCAGAGTGGCCAGGTTTGCCAAGTATAGGGATGCCTTGATTACTGGCCTTACTCTTTATGCTCGTGAATTCCTAAGTTTTATTCCTCCTGTAGTCATAGATTGGCTTTTAAGCTACAAGCTGAAGAGAGAGAAAACCTCTTCCACCTCGTTGGAATATGTCTCTTCAATCCATTTGAGCCAATTTAGGACATGAGACTGCTCTTAGTCTAGAACCAGTCATCAGGAGAATTCCAGGTCTGATTGACTCGGACTAGCGGGTCAATATCAGGGCAAAAATTCCAACGCACAACACGATGTATCAGTAAGGAGAACCTCAAAATTATTTCTTAACGTCCAGATCATGTTCCTATTTTTATATATCTATTTTCTCACATAAGTCATTAAAATGATGTACCTGTGCGGGTCCTTTAATGATACTCAAAGATCTTGAATTATAGGCTAATAACTAACTTAATAAGCTGCAGAAATTAACATTTCTGCTACGTTTATGTAGCATTTTCCCACATGTACTTCAGAGGCTTGAGAAAAGACCCTGAAATAATGACTGAATAACAGCTTTACTCACTTAATTTCAAATTTGTTAATTCTTCTGGGAAATACCGTCAACATCCATTTTATTATTTTTCTCAATTACATGTACGTTTCTACATCAGTGGATAAGTTAAGGAGAAGAATTCCCTCATGATAATTTTTTCATGCTCGAAAATTTTGAATCAATTTTTTATTTTACATTATACTCTTTCCTAGTCATTAGAAAGGGAGTGGTGGTTAAGATAGGCAAGAATGCTTTATAAGGATACTACTCTCGTTTCAATTCTTAACATCAAAAACCTTAACAGTGTGTAGACTATAAAATAAAATATCTAGGGATCAGAGCATTGTGCTGAACTTTGCAGGTTTTTTAGTCAATAATATATATGACGTGTTCACAGAATTCTTTGTCAACAAAGTACTTTTGGAGCTCCAGGCCATTTAAGTTGGTTTTTGTACTTTTTCTTTTTCTTCGGAAGACTTTTTTTGTTCTATTTACCTGGAAGTGTTTCTTTTTTGGTACTGTGAATTAAAATGAGACCAATCTACTAGGCAGGAAAAAACCTTAATTAGATTGTTGACACAGACAAATAAGAATGTCAATTAGCATCTACTGTCACATGCCTCTCCAGACTGCTTCTAGGATGAGTGGCCTCAAGCAGCTACATCATCTTTATACTCCTAAAGCATCAAGGAAACTTGGAGTGACAATTCATATCATGAACACATCCACAGTGATGATGATTGTGCTTCTTCCCCCCCACCCAACAACAAAGGATGAATGCCAATTAATGTATTCAGTTTTTTGCGTCAAAGGCTGGATCACTTGTGCAATGAGGGTAATCATCCTGACCAGACAGGCCATACAATCCATATTGTGTGAATTAAAGATAATATGCGTGAAACACCTTACTCTGGATGTGGTTCATAGCAGTAGCAAAAAGATGAAAACTATGGTATGCTAACATTTTAGAGATCTGTACTCTATTTTAAATAATTTTATAAAAGTGCATATACAATAAAAAGTGCACGTATCACAAGTATATGCCTCAAAATCTAAAGCCAGTCATGTAATCAGCATCCACTTCAAGAAAGAAAACAAAACAGTACCCCTGGTTCCTCTTTGCAATCATTAGTCTCCCAAGAGTAATCACCGATCTGATCTGTGACAGCATAGATTGGTTTTGCCCTACTATATTTTTGCTGAATTATACAATATATGCTCTTTAATGTCTGGCTTCTTAGTGCATTGTATTTGTGTATCAGCTATTCTCTTGTGTGTAGTTATTAAACAATCATTTTATGGGCTGCATAATATTCCATAGGGTAAATATAACAGTTTTATTGATAACTTAGCTATTACAAATAGTGCTGTTGCAGACATATATTCTATTACATGTCTTTTGGTATAAGAATTTACACATTTCACATGGGTGTATACCCAGAACTGAGATTGCTAAATATTGGGGCACATTGTATACATTTTGATTTAGTAGATAAGATATTGCCAGATATCGTAAATGCACAGTTTGATAAATATAGAGATTTATACTTTTTCTAGAGAAAAGCCATCAATATCAGTGTATGTGTATATATATACGCGTGTGTATATATACGTATATATATACGCGTGTGTATATATACGTATATATACACACATATATATACGTATATATGTGTATATATATACGTATATATATACACATATATACATATATGTGTGTGTGTATATATATATATGAAACAACTCAGAAGCAGAAAGATACCCCATGTTCTCACTTATAAGTGAAAGACAAATAATGTATAAACATGTACACATGGACATAGAGTGTGTAGTGATAAGCATTGGAGACTGAAGTGTGGGGGTGTGCAAGGGAATCAGTGATAAATTAATGGCTACAATGTACATAATTTGGGTGATGGATACACTAAAAATCCAAAGTTCACCACTATCCAACATACTCACATAATAAAATTGCACTTGTACCCCTTACATTCATACAAATAAAAAATTATTTAAATAAAAATAAATATGTGTATATGTATGCATACATACATATGCATATACATATGTGTTTGTGTGTGTGTATATAACTTACACTTAAAATAAGCATGGATGCTGCAATGAATGCTCAATTTACAAGGGTTGTCCATCCAAACTTGTGGCAAGTATCTCACCTCTCAAGTTGTTTTCTTTTTTCTTCATATATTTCTTGCTTTTGTCTAGGAAGGAATAATTTGGCTTGCCTTTCAAGAGTGTACAGTCAGCATGATAACCCAAACACTTAAGACACGTGCTAACCCATGTGGATCCCTTGAGAGAAGGAAAACAGTGGTCCTTTTACTGGGCAGATAGAGCCCGGGGCCAGGTTTCGTGGCTTGAAGATTTCAGCTTCTCTGCGCCTCTCAGCTCAGTGCCTCTGGAAGCAATTTACAACTTGTGAGGCCATACTCAAAGGCCCTGTTATTAATTCCCCGCCTTCCGAGACCCCATTTCAGAGGATCTCAATTGCTCTCAGAGTGAATTTACTGTTTCCTGAATTCCGTAATCCCAATAGCAGGTCTGTTGTCCTCATTAGATAGCTTAAGTTAGAGTCGGCAGTGTAATTGGCAACTGAGCTACTAAGTATCCAATGCTTATGTGGAAAATATGTTCCCTATTGCAAACAACTGATATTCATATTCAATTTGGCACCATCATCTATCTATAAAGCAGATACTACTTGTGTTTATTAAGTTTTATCCCAAATAATTATTTTAGTAATAATGCTTGAAAATAGGCCTTGGTCATTTGCATGTCTGTATATGGCATATCCTGAGTCTTTGTATGTATTAGAAAGATCACTCGTTTTGACTTGATGGTTTAATAAAAGATGTCCCTCACTTTGGGCAGAGACATTTGAAAAAGGCACTCCAACCAGGGACCTAAGAGGTGAATGAGATGCAGCTCTGAATCAGGTCACACGGCCTCAGGAAGGAAACATCTTGGTTTTCACATCCCTCACTTCTCGATGTCATGTGCAATACACAAATGACCCCTCAACACACACACAGGCACATACACAAACACACACTCACTCACTCACTGTATTGTCTCTTTCCTTGACTAAGTCCTTCTTACTAACTCAAGCTCTAAAGCTTTTTTACTTACCTAAGGTGAGTGTGTGAGGATTTGAGGTTTCAATATTAAAATTCAGAAACATTTAAAGTTCATTTTAAATATTAGTAAAAAAAAATCTTGACAAAATACAATTATAGACAAAAAGAAAATTCAGAATATTTGGAATTTAAGGTTGAGGTTACAGCCCTATTTATGAAATATTAGAAGAAAAATGCTGGAGAGAATAAAGCAGGTTTATGAGTCTGATAGAAAGCATAACCAGATGATTATGCATATATTTGCATATGCAAAGCTTTCTAGGCAATCTGAACATTTAAACCTACAAATGTGGCTGCGATGAACAGCCACAGAAGAGCAGGCTAGAACAGAAGAGGAGGCTAGAACAGAAGAGCAGGCAGAAGTTGTAAATGAAATGTTAATTTTCAATGGTTGATCTCCCAAGTACTGGAACAGATTTGTGCTGTTTTCAAGGTTTTGGTTCAAAGAATCCAGTAGTGTATTGAATTGTTTTGTGGCACTTCCCTGTTATTTTGCTTTGTAAGCTACCTCAATCCATGAAGTGGCTATGAGCCCCTTATACAACACTGTTGATTTTTTTTTCCTTATCTACGCAAAAGATTTTTGATTCAGGGCCAGGCATGGTGGCTCACGCCTGTAATCCCAGCACTTTGGGAGGCCGAGGCAGGCGGATCATGAGGTCAGGAGATAGAGACCATCCTGGCTAACACGGTGAAAACCCACCTCTACTACAAATACAAAAAATCAGCCGGGCGTAGTGGCATGTGCCGGTAGTCCCAGCTACTCGGGAGGCTGAGGCAGGAGAATCACTTGAACCCGGTAGCCGAGATCCTGCCACTCCACTCCAGCCTGGGCGACAGAGCCAGACTCCATCTCAAAAAAAGAAAAAAAAAAAAGATTTTTTATTCAGGTGGCTATCAGACTCATTAAATAGAAGCCTTAGGTTAAGTTCACGGGTTGCTAGTTGGAAGCCTCCATGGACTATGTTCATAAAATAATAGAAAGGAGTTATGCAGGACTTCTTGAAATGTTATTTAAAAAGTCAGAATAGGCTTTCTATTACTTGTCTGAGGTCAAATACATGTAGTGCTTTCTGACCATTTCATCCAGGGTGTTAGCTAGGACAATAAGAGGTGCTTAAAAATTATTAGATTGAGTAAATGAGAAAGCCCTTAGAAACATAGGAACAGAATGACCCTTGCTTTGGATCTAATATTGACTCCCACGCCTAAATCCCTTTGGAGAACTCCTTTATTTTCTCTTCCATCAAGAGCAGGTATAAATTAAAAACACCATTAAAGGGGCCATCTAGCTCAGCTGAAGCTTTCATCACACATGTAGGGGAGGTATGGTTGGGAGGGATCTTTTTATCCTTTAGGTCTTCAATTTACATAGGACTTTTGAATAATCAAATAGCCCCAAAGAGCTGATCTTAGGACTAGTTGTAATTGAGACTATTTCTCCATGGGGTAGAAAAATCTAGTTGTAGGAAAACTGAGAAGTAGATGTATGTTAACCTCAAAGGCTGTTTTTTACAAAGGATGTTAAAGCATCATCTTTGCTCAGAAAGGGAGCAATAAAACAAATGAGTGGAAATAACAAAAGGAAATAATGGCCAGGTGCAGTGCCTCACACTAGTAATCCCAACACTGGGGGGCTGTGGTGTAAGGATCGCTTGAGGCTAGCAGTTCAAGACCAGCCTGAGTAAAATAGGCCTCATCTCTACAAAATAGATAGATAGATAGATAGATAGATAGATAGATAGATAGATAGATAGCCGGGCGAGGTAGTGTGCCCCTGTAGCCCCAGCTACTCAGGAGGCTGAGATGGGAGAATCGTTTGAGCCCATGAGGTCAAGTCTATGGTGAGCTGTGCTCCCTCCTGCCACTGCACTCCAGCCTGGGTGACAGAGTGAGATCCTGTCTCGAAAACAAAAGGCATACTTTTTAGATGTAATGGAATAGAGTACTTCCAAACCTGGCTGCCTGCTGGAGTTGTATTGGAAGAGGTTGCACGACTTCAGTGGAGATGGCCTAGATGCCTGCTCAGCAGTCATCTAGTTAAAGCAACTAAGAACATGTAATATGAAACTGCAAAAAGAGATCGTGTACGTAAAATCACTCTGGGCTCCTCAGATAGAGTAATAAACACAACTCCTGACAGCCAAATAAAAAGAGAAATAATACAGCCCTTGACTTCCTTGGTTGCTTTGACATACTAAGTAGGTGTTACAGGTTGGGTTCTCTGGGAAACAGACTCTAAAACATTTTTATTTTTACTTTATTTGTTGTTATTATTATTATTATTATTATTTTAGACAGAATTTTGCTCTCGTTGTCCATGTTGGAGTGTAATGGCACAATCTCGTCTCACTGTAATTTCCGCCTTATGGGTTCAAGTGATTCTTCTGCCTCAAACTCCCAAGTATCTGGGATTACAGGCAAGTACTACCACGCCTGGCTAATTTTGTATTTTTAGTAGAGACGGGGTTTCATCATGTTGGTCAGGCTGGTCTCAAACACCCGACCTCAGGTGATCCACCCACTTCTGCCTCCCAAAGTGCTGGGATTACAGGCGTGAGCCACTACGCCCGGCCAGACTCTAAAATAAAGTTTAATATGCAGAATACTTATCAGGGAATGCCCACTGGACCAATACATATTCAAGAGAGGGCTTAGAAGCAGGATTGGACAGAAAGAGAAGTTGAGCTGTAATGCAGGCCCAATAACAGCCTTAGTGTTAAGCAGGCTGAGAGATTCAGCAGTTAATGAGACAGTCAACCCAAACAGTTTTATAGGCATCAAAAGTATGATCAGCATGGTGTCAGTTTCCTGTGTCACTTGTCCCACAGTATGATACCAAAATTAAAGAGACCAGATGACATGCAACACAAGCAGTGTGCACTCTGTTGTTGAGAAGCCAATTTCGTCATGCAATTAAGCAGTTTTATACTCTGCAGCTGTACTTTAAGGGGAGCTGAGATGGAACATCATATGTCTCACCATAACCAGAAAGGCAGATGAGAAATGTTCTATCGCCACCTCCCACAAGGTAAGGGACTTCCCTAAAGATACAGAGGTGGGTGGAATATTGCCTTGGTAGACTTCCTCTCAAGACTGCCTATCTTCCCATGTTGGAAGGATCACAGAGCATTTGTCAAGACGTGGGTCAATCTGCAGTTGAACTTTGTGTATGTGGCCTATGTGGATACTTATAATATCATTGGGCACCTCCATAGAGCTGTTTCCCAATTGACCAAACATATGGGAAGCTTCAGAGCTTCGAATGACCCTTCAGAGTAGTCCTGAGAACAGTGAGCCTTACTACTCCTGCATTAATCAGTCATTGGATGATAGCCTTCTCAGAAATAAGTCATGACCTTGTGCAAGGGGGCTCTTCATGGCTGGGACCACCCCTAAAACTGAGAGCTGAAGGCTGTCTGCCACCAGCCCTTCCACCTGCTGGGACAAGTTCTTTATTGAAGGGAAATCTGAGTAGTTCATCAGCGTCCATCACAGTAGTCAAGCCGTTCATTCTTCCTTCTTATGACAACATTGTGCTTATTGTTATGTAATCCCTTTCCAGAACATTTTAGGTTAAGTTTTAAAAATAATGCATATAAATAGACAATTCAAATACTGGGGAAAAAAAGCTTGCACTTATATTGTTATAGAAATGTGCACACTTAAAGAGCTGATTTCTTCTGGGTATTTACATAACTTTATTTAAAAATCCATCCATTTTTAATTAGCTGTTTTTAATATGCAGTTAGCTAAGATATTATAAGCCATATATTAGGCTAATGGACATTTAACAGCTTAGTTAAGTTCTTTTAATGGAAATGCTGACAAACCTTTGTCTGTAATTATAGCAACACTGTGATTACAGAAGGAGGTGCCTCTCCTTGTTGTTTGCAGCCCTAAAATTCCATGTGGCTATAAGTAACAAAGTCCATTATTAGATAAACACAAGTCATACTTGGCATTACTTGCATTACTCGTCTCCTTGCTTTATTTGAATCATTTTTTAAAGTTGTAAAATGTTTTTCAAAACTCAGAATAGTGGCCAGTTAATAATATGATTCCTCTTATATTATGAGATTTTAAAAAATAGTTCACCAGTTTCTGGTGGCCTCTATACCCATTGGCAAGTCCTAGCCATTGTGAATTAAGTAAACAATTCTTTATGGAAATTTTTTAATCCTTAAACCCTATAAGTTTTTATTCATCATGTCAGGTCACTTGTCAAAGGGTTTAACATTCAGAATTCAACAAAAGTTTATCAAACACCTATTACAGGACGTGCAATTTTGGGCGCACTGGGATTTCAGCAATTAACAATCAAGATATGATTTGTATCGACATGGATATTACATTCTCTCACAGGAGACAGAAAACAAAATAACTAGAAAATATACATAAAGAGACTTTAAAATGGGGTAAAATTACAGATTGTGACAGGATGACCACTTTGGTTCAGAATATCTAGGACATTTTTTTCTTTTTTTTTCCCCTCCCTCCCTCTTTCTTTTTTTTCTTTTTCTTTTTCTTTCTTTTCTTTCTTTTTCTTTCTGCCTTTCGGAGTCTTGCTCTGTTGCCCAGGCTGGAGCGCAGTGGTGCAATCTCAGCTCACTGCAACCTCTGCCTCCCATGTTCAAGCTTTTCGTGTGCCTCCGCCTCCCAAATAACTGGGACTAGAGGCATGCACCACCAGGCCCAGCTGATTTTTGTATTTTTAGTAGAGATGGGGTTTGACCATGTTGCCCAGGCTGGTCTCAAACTTCTGACCTCAAGCGATCCACCCGCCTCAGCCTCCCAAAGTGCTGGGATTTACAGGCGTGACCCACCAGGCCCAAGCAAGGACATTTTTTTCTGAGCCATGTTATTTAAACAGAGATCTGAATGACAAGAAGGGGCCAGCTCTGTGATGTAGGGGAAGAAAAATATGTTCCTTCTACCCTTCTAGGCTGCCCAGCTGGAGTCCTACAAAGTTAGAGTGACAAAAGACAGATTAACAAGAGGAAAAGCCTAGAAGTTTATTAAAATATTCAGTGCACATACACCTGGTAGAAACTCAGTGATGAGTAACTCAAAGGGGTGGTTAGAATGTTGGGTTTATATAGCATCTGAACAAAGAACAGTAAACTTGTAGAGAAATGACAAAACAAAGAAAAAAGGGGTTTAGGTATTTAGGGTTGCCAAACTGTAGGAAGGTAAATATATGGGAGAAACATGGAGTATAGTTTGTTTATGCCAAGTCTATCTTGAGATCAACTTTTCGTATTCTTCATGGCCATAACAATTTCCCAGGAGAGAGGGCTTATAGCAGTTATCATTTCTCAGAAGTTTCTGCTTTTATTTAGACAAGGGAAGCACTGGGAAGGCTTCTTTTTGCTTATATTGATTCTTACTTGCCTCTAACTAAAAGTAATCTTTATGTCAAAGTGCCATATTTTGGAGTGGTATATATTGATCTCCTATAATAACAATCAAAAGGAACAGTATTCTAGGCAGGAGTACCACTAATGCATAGTGTTTGGTGTAAAGACAAGTTAACATATTCATGGGGCAACAACAACAATAAGCCAATATGGCTAAGACATTGAGGATGAGTGAGTTGGAGAAGTAGGCAATGGCCAGCTCATATAAAGACTTGTTCGTTTTTATAAATTGTTTAGATTTTATTGTAATTATGGTGGCAAGTGATTGGAGAGTATTAGCTTCACTTTGACTGGCTTATCGAAAACGGAATGTAGGGGGTGAAAGTGGAATAAAAAGACCAGTCATTAATTGAGTAGTCCGTGTGAGAGATGATAGTGGCTTGGACAAGGACGATTGTACTGGAGAGATTGAAGCGACTGATTTCAGATTTGTAGTCAACAAGGCTTAATTGGTAGGAGAAAAAAATAAATCAGTGTTAACTCTTTAATGTTTAACTTGAATAATTATGATGAGGGTATTACCATTTATTGAGATGTAGAATATTATAAAGTAAGAGCAGATTTGTTCAAAAAGTATCAAGAATCTTTATTTGGACATGCTAGTTTGGGGATGCTTATTAGAGACCCTAGGAAACTGAATATAAATGTGGATTTTAGAGAAGAGCTTAGGGCTGGCAGATGCACATTAAGGATCTGTCTAGAGCCATGGCGCTAGAGACCTCCAGGAGAACATAAATAGTCTCAAGATCAAGCCCTGAGACACTCAGATGTTTAGAAGTGGAACAGAAGAGGGACATCCAATATAGAATACCAAGAATTAGGAGGGGAATCAAGAGAGTGTGGCAATATGAAAGATACAAAAAGAGTGTTGAAGGGAGGGAGTAATTAATAACCAGCATGTTATGAGGGGCTCAGTATAATGAAAAGATAAGTGACTATTGGATTTGGCAACATATAATTTTTTGGTGATCTGGACAAGAGCAATTTGAACAGAATGATGGATATGGAAGGTCCAGAGGAGTAGGCTGAGTAAATAATATAAGGTGGGAAAATAGATACAAAGATTATAGACAACTTTTTCAAGAAGTTTTACTGTGAAGGGGCACAGCAAGCTGAGACAGTGAGGATAAATAATAGACTCAAGGATGGTAACTTTAGAATAAGAAATTTCAATCTGATGGGATTTAAGTGTTAGCAAGGAAGCTTTAAGAAGTTATTTTCCCCATTAGAATGATCTGAAAAATGTTTTAGAACATTCCTCTTATATTCTATTTTATCACATTTATATAACTTTCAGAGAATTGAAAGAGGTATT
Organism: Homo sapiens; assembly: GCF_000001405.40. Lineage (NCBI taxonomy): Eukaryota > Metazoa > Chordata > Mammalia > Primates > Hominidae > Homo > Homo sapiens. The sequence goes on along the minus strand of NC_000023.11, from coordinate 32,077,413 downwards.
AAGTTATTATGAAATTTTCTGAGATTAATAAGATAACAATTATAGGATGTTTTCTTTTAGTTGAAATACACCTACTCAGCCTAATTTTTATAACTTCTTACTGAAGTATAATATACTTCAGTAGAAAAGCATGCCTAATATAAAGGTGCAGCTAGATGAATTTGCACAAACTGAACACATCCCTTTAACCAGCACTTAGATTAAAAACAGAACCTTGATGATACCTCAGAGGCCCCCTTCTGCCCCTTTTCAGTCTCTCCGTGCTACCCCCATGGATAAGCATTATCGTGATTTCTAATACCATAGATTAATTTTGCCAGTTTTTGAATTTTATGCAAATGGATCTATTTCACCTAATTGTAAATATATAACATTGTCATAGCAAGGCACTCATTGCCTTACACTGAAAATTACATTGACTCTTTGCCACAAGCTTAGACTTGCTTTCTCATTTTATTATCATCAAGCCTATAGCTTTCACACTATACCTTGTTCCTGCTCTTCCCTACTCTATTTCTTGGTAGATATTCTATATCAGTCTTAGAGTGCAGTTTGCAGAACCCCTCCATCAGAATCTCCTAGGGAGCTTGTTAATAATGCAGATTCCTAGGCCCCTCCCATGGTTTATGAATCTGAGAGTGAGGCAGACAAGACTATACCCTCTCATGCCTCTATAATGTAATAATGTCTTCCTAGAATGTTCTTTGCTGCATCTCTTATTAAAGAAATCTTATGGGCCGGGCAGGGTGGCTCACGCCTGTAATCCCAGCACTTTGGGAGCCTGAGGCGGGCGGATCACATGGTCAAGAGATCGAGACCATCCTGGCTAACACGGTGAAACCCCATCTCTACTAAAAATATAAAAAATTAGCCGGGCGTGCTGGCAGGCGCCTGTAGTCCCAGCTACTCGGGAGGCTGAGGCAGGAAAATGGTGTGAACCCGGGAGGTGGAGCTTGCAGTGAGCTGAGATCACGACACTCCACTCCAGCCTGGGTGACAGAGCGAGACTCTGTCTCAAAAAAAAAAAAAAGAAAGAAAGAAAAAAAGAAGTCTTATGTTTCCTTTATGGCCAGAGCACAACATTGTCATGAAGTCATCTAAAATTTCCCACTAGAGGTAACATCTCCTTCCCCTGTCTAGCTCTTTTAAAGCATTACCTCCATTTGCCTTGTATCATAGCTGCTTGTACACCTGTCTGTCTTTCCGCTGAGGTTATAATCCTCTGGAGGGTCATGACTTTGCATTCCTTTGTGTCTCCCATTAGCAGCCAGCACAGTGCCTTGCATACTGTTAGTTCTAAATAACTTCTCTCTCTCTCTCTCTCTCTTTTTTTTTTTTTTTTTTTTTTTTTTTTTTTTTTTGAGACAGAGTCTCGTTCTGTCACCCAGGCTGGAGTGCAGTGCAATGGCATGGTCACAGCTCACTGCAACCTCCCCATCGTGGGCTCAAATGATTCTCCTGCCTCTGTCTTCCAGTAGCTGGGATTATAAGTGTCTGCCACCACGCCTGGCTAATTTTTGTATCTTTAGTGGAGACGGGGTTTCACCATGTTGCCCAGGCTGGTCTCGAACTCCTGGTCTCAAGCAGTCTGCCCTACTCGGCCTCCCAAAGTGCTGAGATTACAGGCGTCAGCTGCTGCGCGCATCCCTAAATAAACTTTTTTTTTTTTGGCATGAAATCTGTAACACTGGAAAGATGTTATTGCCTTAGAATAATTAAGAGATTAAATGTAGAATCTCAAAAACATTCATTTTTTTCCATGAAAACTTTACCAGGCCTCAAGGGATAGGAAAATTATGGGTACAGAATTGAGAATCTGTAGGAACTTGCAAGATAAACAACGGTTTCACAAGAAAGACCTTGTTGGAGAGTTAAATTTTCAGACAGTTGTAATAACTTCACATTAAAGTTTTGTCAAAAAATAAGTATCTGCATGTTTTGTTTGCCTTCCAATGCCCTCATTTTATTTGATTTTTTCCCATAAGTAACTATAGTGAAAGCACGAAAATGTGTTTCTGTGTTTGTGTGCCTGTATGTTAATTGTGACTGTTTCTATTGCATTGTTATTGCAGAACCTAGGCACGCACTCTGTAGGCTTGGGTGCTTTCTCCAACTGAAAAAAATCCTACATATGGATAAATTATTTTTACAGCCAGTGTTTAATTTTACAAGTGGTCCCCCTCCTTCTGTTTTTAGGATGGCAGAGAGAATACATATTTACTTACCATTATCACTTACTCATGCTTTGAGCTTGAAGGAAATGAGACAGAAAAATGAAGTAACATTAACTTCTCTCTGGAACTATGTTTCTCATATTAGAGCTTTATCTGAGGAGTTCACTTCCTCTCTCTTCAATGCTTTGTTCCTCTCCAGTCGATTCAAATGTCCTCTTAAAGCAGAAGTTCCGAACCTCTTTCTGTGACTTCAGGAGAGCATGAGAATGTAAATATAAGTTTTAGGACTAAATTTTCAAAGACTTTTTCCACTCAGCTCTCTTTTCCTCTTCGGTTTGTTGTTGTCGTTGTTGTTGTTGTCGTTGTTGTTGTTGCTGCTGCTGCTGCTGTTTTTCCCCTTCCACTTCCGTAACTGAGCTCTTAGGGTCCATCTGGAATCTGATTGCAATTAAAAAAAAAAAAGTTTATTTTTACCTCCTTGTACGTGCTTTCTCCTAAAGCAGGAGTCAGAAGCCTTTTTTCTTTGAAGGGCTAGTTAGTAAATATTTTAGGCTTGTCGTCTTTGTCGCAATTACTCAACTACGCTGTTGTAGTATGAAAGCAGACAATACATACCTGAATGAGCATGGTTTTGTTCCTAGCAAACTTTACGCACAGAGAAATTTGGATATCGTATAATTTTTATGTGTTGCAAAGTTGTATTATTCTTTTGATTTCTCCCCAACCATTTAATATGTAAATCCCATTCTTAGCTTGTGTGCCATACGCACACAGGCAGCAAATGCGAGTTGTCACACAGGCTATAGTTTCTGACTTTATGTCTTAAAGTAAACAGTAATAATCATTCTCTTTTTCCAAACAGTCCACTAATCTCCCTTTGTATTCAGCCCTTGCATAGTAAACGCCGTTTCTTCATCATCCTGATTTTTATTCTGAGAAAATACTGTATATTGTTCCCATGCACTAGGGTTCGGGGAAATTTAAAAGGATGTAGGATCTCCTTTTCATTGGTCCTAAAATTGCACTGGGGAGGCAGGTCATGTTTATGAACAGATAAATAGTATCATAATATAATCATGCATTTCTATGGCTAGCATTTAGAACTATAGCTTTTGATGTCATGTGGTTTTTATATGGTTGATTATTTTTTTCTTATTTATAAAATGAAAAAGTTTGAGAATTTTTCATCTCCTTAATGTATTCCCTTATTTGAGGGAAAAGTATTTACCTACTACATAGGAATTTATCTTAAAATTTTCTTTGTCTATCTATTTTTATGGAATATAATCGAGCAACTATTTTACTAATTAATACTTTAATATCATTATGAAAATGTTCTCATATTTTTAACCTTATAAGATCAGATAATTGCTATGCCAATCTATGGTTGAAATGGGTTCTTATACTTAACGCTATGCTCTTTCTTCTGAGATGTAAAAATATGTTTAAATCAGAATTTATATAGGTGTCAATTCAAAATGACAGTAGTTCATTATTTTGATTAGTATAAATGTTCACAACTAATTCTATTCTCTTATCTATTAAGTCACCAAATAAAGTATATTTGTTTTAAATATTTAACAGTTTAAATTATTCTTTGAAAACTTATGAGTCTAAAGTAAGAACAATTAACCCATTCATTTTGCAAGTGGGATAGTTGAATTTTACTTGCAATCCAGGGATTTTTGACAGTTTGAAATATACATACATACCATGTATGTTTAGGAAAACATTTAAAAAGAGGGGGTTGTAAAATAATAATAGTTCTTCCATGATTTTTTAGCCATAATGTTTATAATATAAAATATGTATACTCTTGTTATTGAATGTAGTATGTTTCTAATTTACCAGAAGGCAAGAGAATAATCCTGGAGAATTTCTCAAGGCATCTTCGAACTCTTTGATTTATTGCTCACATATAGTAATTTGCCAAATGACGCCCTAGTGAACTGAAAGAATTAATGCCCCGTCCTAAGTCACTTTCACCGAGGGACTGAAAACCTGCAGCATTTTGCCAATTAGAGGAGGAAACAATCTACCTTGCAGAGTCAGGAGTACTGGATAAAGGAGCTAAGAGTGTTGCTTTTTTTCCCCTTCTTACTTTAAAAATCCCAATTCATCCCATGTCTTTCTTAAAGGCTAAGTGAAGTAGTAAGTACGTTTTTGCAACATACGAATTTAGCAGACTGGCCTTGTGTTTATTTTTGGCCGGAACCATTACACTTATTTCCAACCCTCTCCTTTATTTGTTGGTTGATAATGGGCTAATTTTGAATCTTTACTGTCAAAAGAACATTAAGAGAAGCAGCCCTGCCTGCATCGCAGGCTATGTCTGTCCTTTGCCGAGTATTAAACACTAAAAAAAAATTAAGAAAATACTAACAAAATGACAAAGCATTAAGAAAATAAAACTAGATGTTAAAGGAAATGAGAAAATAGGAAAGGATGCTGTACCTGGAGTGATTTTTTTTCCCCAGGCTACCTAAGATGATCAAAAAAGAGCTAATTTCTCTTAGGTTTCTATTAAGGAATTACTAGAATATCGGGCACACCAGGAAACTTTATCAGTGGACCTGTCCTGAACCAAATTTTCTTAATGTATATATGATAATTTGTTACCACATCCCAGATTATTTTACAGGAATTAAAATATATTTGAAACACTGACAGGGAAAATTGGGTAAGACATTGATAGATACTACAATCTGTACTTGAAACTGCACTCAAGGAATTCGTTAGTCAAGAAAGAACACAATGACTGTGGGCCCCTCTGGGTTTTGGAACCTCTTTTGTAAAGCATTTTTTTTTTTCCCAAATAGAAGATATTATTTTTGAAAAGGTTAAATAAAAAATCTTTGTTCACTATATAGTTTCCTCCTAAGGAGTAAATTAATTTATATAAAATATTGCAATATAAATAACAATTTTAAAATCTCAAAAGAGCAGTGTTTTAAAAATAATGTAGAAACATTAAGAAATGACTTCAAATGATAAGAATGTCATTGGAGAGCAAAGGGTTTTTAATATTACATATCGTGGCACGTATATCAGCACCCAACCGCTCAAGATACAGAGTTCTTTACAAAAATCAAACAGAAGGAAATGTGCCACCTTGTTCATAAACTATATTTAATAATAAGCCAGGCAGATAAAGTCACTTTCACAAATAATGAGCAAGCCCATGGTAATATAATTCATTTACAATAAGATTTATCTCATGGAATTCTTAGACTGTGCTTTGAAATTTAAATAATTCTGATAAATGCCAACAGAATAGAGAAATCAATTCCAGAGCAATTACTAACACGTTGCATTACCTTTCTAACATTAATATTTCTCTTCATACATATCATTGAAGAGAAAATGAGGATGGAAAATAAAAAGATCAGGTAATATATTTGCTTTCTCATCTAGGGTTGTTATGATCTTCAAGATGAAGTTTTATTTTTTACTCCTAGCAAATGATATTCTTTTTTATTTTAGTTTTTATTATTTTATTTTTCTGTAAATTATTGGGGTACAGGTGGTATTTGGTTACATGAGTAAGTTCTTTTTTTTGATATTTCTGAGATTTTTTTTTTATTCTACTTTAAGTTTTAGGGTACATGTGCACAACGTGCAGGTTTGTTACGTATGTATACATGTGCCATGTTGGTGTGCTGCACCCATTAACTCGTCATTTAGCATTAGGTATATCTCCTAATGCTATCCCTCCCCCCTCCCCCCACCCCACAACAGGCCCCGGTGTGTGATGTTCCCCTTCCTGTGTCCATGTGTTCTCATTGTTCAATTCCCACCTATGAGCGAGAACATGCGGTGTTTGGTTTTTTGTCCTTGCGATAGTTTGCTGAGAAAACCACGAGGTACCATCTCACGCCAGTTAGAATGGCGATCATTAAAAATCAGGAAACAACAGGTGCTGGTGAGGATGTGGAGAAACAGGAACACTTTTACACTGTTGGTGGGACTGTAAACTAGTTCAACCATTGTGGAAGTCAGTGTGGCGATTCCTCAGGCATCTAGAACTAGAATTACCATTTGACCCAGCCATCCCATTACTGGGTATATACCCAAAGGATTATAAATCATGCTGCTGTAAAGACACATGCACATGTATGTTTATTGCGGCACTATTCACAATAGCAAAGACTTGGAACCAACCCAAATGTCCGACAATGATAGACTGGATTAAGAAAATGTGGCACATATACACCATGGAATACTGTGCAGCCATAAAAAAGGATGAGTTCACGTCCTTTGTAGGGACATGGATGAAGCTGGAAACCATCATTCTCAGCAAACTATTGCAATGAGTAAGTTCTTTAGTGGTAATTTGTGAGATCCTGGTGCACCCATCACACGAGTAGTATACACTGCACCATATATGTTATCTTTTGTCCCTCGGCACCCCTTTTCTACCCCCCAAGTCTCCAAAGCCCATTGTATCATTCTTATGCCTTTGCATCCTCATAGCTTAGCTCCCACGTATCAGTGAGAACATATGCTGTTTGGTTTTCCATTCCTGAGTTACTTCACTTACAATGATAGTCTCCAATCGCATCCAGGTCATTGCAAATGCTGTTAATTCATTCCTTTTTATGGCTGAGTAGTATTCATATATATATATATAGACACACGTACATACATATGTATATATACCGCAGTTTCTTTATCTACTTGTCGATTGATGGGCATTTGGGTTGATACTTGCACACACATGTTTATAGCAGCATAATTCACAATTGCAAGTGATATTCTCAGGAAGCATGATGTAAGTGACAGAGACTTACTTTGTAGACTGCACTCATTCACTTGTTCTCTGAATGTGCTCTAGGCAGCCTGAGTTTCTACTATGTCAGTGTTACATAGATGAGAAACCCCATGGGTGGTTTCCACAGAGGCTGCAATACTATTTTTGATACCAAAAATCTGTTTGGTTTTGTGAGCCCCAGATGCCCATATGGAAAACTGAAGTGTTGATACCTCTTTGTAGCCCTCTGATGAACTGCATGGTTCACCTTCCTCAGCAGTTTGAGCGGGGTGGGGAGAGCGCCTGCTTCCTAGCCATCCGATTGGCCTGAATCATCAAAAATGCTATCATGAAACAGGTTCTGTTTATCTGCTCCAGATTACACCCATCATGTTCTAGAGTGCTGGTTTCATGCTTGAATCTAGATCAAGCCTGCTTTCCTCCCCTGCCTGTACTCCCTGTGGCTACCTACAGTCCTGCTGCTGACAGATAATCTAAACCAATAGCACCTAATTAGCCTATTTGCTCATGTGTTTTTTCCATCGTGGTATAATGTCCTCCTTGTCAATTTAGGGTGAAAATGTAGCAACACGTTGCTGATGGTTTAATTTCTGGAATGCAGGTAATGAATGTGTTTTTGCTTATCCAAGTCTTCCCATCAGATGTCAAATATAGAAGAACAGTGTTCAGAGGTCCTAAATTTAAATTGGAGTGAGAAATTCACAGCGCCCCTGAACTCAGGCAAAATGCACTCTGACAAGTCAACCAGATATTCACAGATGGTCTGGAGGATTTGAAGCCTAATTTGGTGAAATAAAATTAAATGAGTGAAATTGTATGCAGTCATTAATCTATCACCATACTTAAAATGCTTCATTGAAATTTCTTTTACTGCTTCAAATGAAAAAAGATCAAACTATGTTATAGAAAAGCATTCAAAACCCTTACATAACATAGATAAAACTTGGTTGGAGACTTACAGAACTTTCTCTGCTGCTTCGAGAAAGTTACAGTGCCCACAAATCTATTGCTATTAGAATATTTTATTGTATTCAACACTCAATTCTACCATAATTATGTATATGAGAAAAATATTTTTACCTATAAAATAATTATTATTACCTTTTAAAAATCTGACATTCTTCCTTTTTTCTAAAGAAACATATTTAGATTTAGCTTTTATTTTATTTTTGTGTTGATACATAGAGATTGTACATATTTCTAAGATTCTAGTGATATTTTGATACAAGCGTATAATGTGTAATGATCAAATCAGGGTAATTGGGATATCCACCATCTGAAACACTTATCATTTCTTCTTTTCAATGCCATCATACCAAAAGGAAGTAAATAGAATTTCAAATATAAGGACAGCCATGATTTTACATACATGCCTACGATTCCACCACAAACCATAATTACGTCCCCCAAACTTTTAACATTTCAGATACTTTGTCCCAGGTATTTCATGATAAGGATTGGGCTATGACTCTGTTACAGAAGGGCCAAATGACTAAAATGTCTCTGAACAATATTGATTGCAAATATTCTACCCAGTTGTCAGGTCAATATGTTCCAATTCGGAATTTATAACATTGTATCTCTACTCCCAAACCATCCAATCTCACCTACCTCACTTCCATATTATGGTGGGTGATCTCAGATTATATTTAAGCTCATGGTTACTTGTCAAGTAGATATGGAGTTTAGCCTAACTTTTGAAATTTATGCTGAGATTACCCTTCTCATTATAGAATTAAGTAGGCAGTTTCCAAGTTTAGATTTAGCAGGCAGTTTTTTTCAAATCACTTAAAAGTTATATTTTTTTAGGGCATTGAACAGGTTTGAAATCCTACCAAGATGTCATGTACACATAGACCAATAGAACAGAATAGAGAACACATAAATAAAACTGCACAGCTACAGCCAACTGTTCGTCGACAAAGTCAACAAAAAAATAAGCATTGGGAAATGGATTAAAGATTTAAATGTAAGACTTCAAGCTATAAGAATCCTAGAATAAAATCTGGGAAATACCATTCTGGACATTGGCTTGGGAAAGAATTTTTGACTAAGTCCTTAAAAGCAATTGCAAAAAAAAAAAAAAAAAAAAAATGACAAGCAAGGACTTACTAAAATAAAGAGCTTCTGCATGGCAAAATAAATGATCAACAGAGTAAACAGACAAACACCAAATGGGAGAAAACTTTTGCAAGTTATGCATCTGACGGTGGTGTAATATCCAGAATCTATGAGGAACCTAAACAATTGAACAAACAAAAATCATAAAACATCATTTAAAAAATGGGCAAAAGACATGAACAGACATTTCTCAAAAGAAGATATACACGCAGCCAATAAACATGAAAAATGCGTCACATCACTCATCATCAGAGAAATGCAAATCAAAACCGCAAGGAGATACCATCTCACACCCGTCAGACTGGCTTTGTTAAAAAGTCAAAAGACACCCAATGCTGGCAAGGCCGCAGAGACAAGGGGATGCTTATACACTGTTGTTGGGAATGTTAATTAGTTCAGCCACTGTAGAAAGCAGTTTGGACATTTCTCAAAGAACTTAAAATAGAACTATCATTTGACCCATCAATCCCATTACTGAGTAGATATCCAAAAGAAAACAAATGGTTCTACCAAAAAGACACATGCACTCACATGTTTGTCACAGCACTATGCACAATAGCAAAGTAATGGGATCAACATAGGTGTCCGTCAACGTTGGATTGGATAAAGTAAATGTTGTACACATACACCATAAAATACTATACAGCCACGAAAAGAAGAAAATCATATCCTTTGCAGCAACATAGATGCAGCTAGAGGCCATTATCCTAAGCAAATTAACATAAGAACAGAAAACCAAATACTATATGTACTCAGTTATGAGTTGGAGCTAAATGTTAGGTACTTATAGAATTGAAGATGGCAACAGTAGAAACTAGGGACTAATAGAAGGGGAAAGGAAAGGGGGAGACAAGGGTTGAAAAGCTGCCTATTGTGTACTATGCTTACTACCTGGTTAATGGGATCATTTGTATCCCAAACCTCAGCATCACGCCATATATCCAGGTAACAAACCTGAACATGTACCCTCTGGATCTTAAAAGTTGAAAAAAAAAGATGTCATATAAATATTCGTGGTCACTAAAAGTATCTAATGTATTATACATAAAAATAAAAATTGGGTGAATTGGAAGTGTATTCTTTGTATCAAGTCATGTCGGAGATCCTATTCTGCTTTGATCACAGTGTGAATTCTTTTGCATTTTTGTTACCAGTCACTTCTTTATTTATTGAACTAATAATTACATATTCTGATAATCTGTCAGAAAGATAAAAACATTCTTTGTCCATGTGTCTGAAAATTTTTAACCTATTTTTCTAATGTTTTAAGTGAGAAGAGCATGTTAATACTGAAATTGTAAGCAGTAGACTGAAAAATCATCCCAATCCATGGGTTATATATTGAATTGCTTTTAACTGTATTACTAAATATTAAGCTTAATTTATTTTATTTCTACATATCCCCATTTCCACTATAGGTGATTTGTATGAATTTAGGAACTTCCTTCTCTCATCCATTTTTATATTAAAACTCAGACTTTCTAAAACAATATTTCTATCCATCCATCGTTGGTAACTATGTACTGACATGTTTTGTGCATCCGAAAAATGTTAGCATTAGTTTGTGCGCACAGAAGTAATTCCAGTCACCATATGATGAGCTGATTTATTTATTTCGTAAGTGTGTTCATTATTATTATCTCTTCAGCACCCAAATATATAGGGGACTTAATGATACCTACAAGTAAAAACGGAAGACAAAAACGCCCTGCTCTCTACAGAGGTTAAAATGTTTTTGCAACAGGGCTCTAGATCTCAGCTGTGAAAGTAGGGACGAGATGAGGCTAGGCATGCAGTGTCAGTATAATACAATATAATCAACATGTCAGCATCTAATGCAGGTGTTGCAAAACAAAATGTACACATGGGTAGTCAGGTAACAGAAAAGCATGAAGTAGTAAGGGCTATCTATGCAAGAGGTTCCAAGCTGACTATATACTGAAATATTTAAACACTATGTGGGGCAAATAAAATGGACATTAGAACAGTTCGATGGTCAGTTGGGGACTTCTGCTCTTTCTTCCAGTCTCTGAACATATCTTAAAGCCACAATCATCTATTTTTATTTATTGTTATACATTTATTTATAAGCCAGCACCCCTGTGATTTAAGTTCTGTTGAAATGCTGAGTTGGAAAAGATCGATGGATGGGGGAAATTTAGTGCAGAGGTTTTGCCCCAGGTTCAAAATCCTTTATAAAATATTAATACATGGAACAAATATTGAACAATTAAACCACTGATAAGTTAATCAATCTGATTCAAAGTACACCTGTGAAGAGGGACATGGCAAGAAAAATATTACAGTAAGAACTAGAAACATTCCTTCATGGCTGCTTGATATGGATATGTCATGTTTAAGAAAATTCTTCTTTAGACTGTTGAGATTTTTTTTCCTGACAAAGAAGATTCACTGTCGAGGAAAGAAAGAGGTACTGTGAAATTTGTTATTGAAAACATGCACATACTTTTGTCAGAATGAGTTAAAGAGTGAACAAAATGTGCCTATTACTTACGTGTTGTGCTGTTTTAATTCAAGATTAAAATATTTAACGTCCACAGACAAGACCACTTTTATATGAATATTATTTTTCTGCTTTATTGCTCAATTTTATTACCATTTCAAAACACCCGTGTTGCTTTCTATGGCCAAAGATGTTTAGCACTTTTCATGGTTATACTTCTGTACAGTCCAAAATACAACACTTACTTTACACATACACAAACATCCAATGTATTTTGTTTTCTGTCAAGTAAAGACAATGTCTGTGTTATTAAGTTAAATGTCACTTTCAAATACAGGATATGTTGATATTAGAATGTTCAACTTTATTTCCTCATTTAAGCAAATTACAGTGTGAAGAATGTAACTGCAGCAATTTATAAAAATCATATCACATTCAATTATGAGAGCAAACTTGTTTTGTAGACTTGAACTAGTTTCAATTAATCTTGGAGTTATCATTTCAAAAATTCTAAACAGAGAGAAATACGGAGTGTAATAATGGTAGGTCTTTGGGTAAGCTGCTTCCAGGAAAAGAAAGCAATTATATATGTTCACATAGCACTGACAAGGAGAAACAAAACTTTGGACGGCAAAGAACTTGCATTAGTCTTTTTGACATGTTCCTGTGGTGTGATTTATTACGTAGACAATCAGCTCAACTTCTCAAGTTTGATATCCTTGGAATCATTTGAAATTTAAATTTTAATGAAAATTCATTAATTCCAAGGCCAAAAGAAGTGATTCTAATTGCTTTTGAGAATCAGACTATGAAAGAATTCTTTGGCAAACTTGCACTGTCTTTTCTCTTTTATCATTGGTTGCTTCGTAGGTACTTAATTGAAGGTCCTCTGATTATCAGCACGGGCTGACATCAGTTCACTCCATGCATTTTAAACAGTAGGCCAGATGTTTAAAGGATCAGCTGAAGCATCGATAGCATGCTAGGGTGAATAATAAAATTTTCATTATCTACAAGAAGCAAATAAAAAGCATAAGCATTTTCCCCCATTATCCTGAAGGAGAAGATGAATGCCTAAGCAACATTTTAAGAATGGGTTGAGTGTGGCCTGTGGGAAAATTTGGGTAGAAAACTTGTAGTTAGCTAATGTATATACTGTTTGCCTCTTTAGCTCACCATATACCCACACACATGGGCATGCATGCATACAGACAGACACATACAATACACACAACAAACAGGAAATTCAGATATACTGAAGAAATGTATTTAAGGGATTACTAAGTTTTTGTAAATAAAATCCTTTAAGATGCTGAGAAACAATGGAAGAGAAGTAGGACATGATGGCTCATACTTTCGTAATTTACTTGTTTAACGTTTGCCAAGGTTTAAATTAATGTAGATGTTTTTGTGGCTAGGATTAATGATCTAACAGTTTGGAATAATTAGGCACTTTTATCACCTAGAAAGCCCAGAAACCCAGCATGCAAAAATTCTGGTATGTCTGCATTTTACACTTAGATATAACAGAGAAATGACAAGTAGTCAAGTGGATAGAGAAACGAATGATTCTTCACACATGCACACACACATAGAAATTGTCTTTTTAATAGTATTTTAATGTAACACATTTATGCATAATTTCTCCATAGTGTTTATCTTATAGTGAATATGTGATGAATAGTCTCTAACATTAGTGGTTTTATAGATTAAACATAATTAAGGCTTTATATATTAAAGAGTCAATTGGTGACATTCTAATATAAACATGTTTATCTCATATACATTGAAATATTAGATAATTCATTCGTTGAGAATAAATCGAATGAGTCAAAACTTTTAACCTCCACTTTGAGCTTTGTAATAGTATCCACTGAAAATATTCATGAAAATTTTTAAGTCATTTCTATTTATATATTCAGTCCAAACATCTCACAAGTTTAAAATGTAAACTCAAGAATATAATTTCTGTATTCTACAATTGGAAGCATCCATCATATCAGATGAACTTATATAGTTTGTGAAATTTTGCAAACTTTCTGTTTAGTAAATCTTAATGTCAAACATTTTAACTTCCAGGTTGTCTTTCTTTTCAGTTTTAATATCCGCGATCTTTGTATACTCGTTGAATGGATTCTCAATAAGTAACCCACAAATATATATACATACTATGTACCTACAAAAAATAATAAAAAGTAAAGAAATCGACACTTATCCATACCTGTCCCATAGTAATAAACTATTCATAAGTATATTTGAAAGATATGAGAATCATAAAAGTTCGTGTTTGCACCCTTTTGTGCGTGGAATCCTAGGTTTGCATTTTGTGGATCTAGACTTTTTGGAGTGTGGAAATAAATGAAACAAATAATCGAGACCCAGTCTTATATTCAGGTTATCATTTTACTACATAAAGCATAAATAACATTTGCAGTTTGTTTCTATGGCTAGCTCTAAAGTCTTAGCAACGAGAACATTATAGAAAGACTTCAACTGTAGCTTCCAGCAGAACTTCTGAGGTTCCGTTTATGGACTAAGCAGCAGTTGAGGGGGACAAAACTCATAGGCAATTGATCACTCCAAAGGATAGATTGTCTTTTCTAACCTAATCAAAAGATTTATAGTGAAGGCATATTCAGATTTTGTTGAAGGATATGGATATATAATCATGTGTGTGTGTGTGTGTGTGTGTGTGTTAGACATACTTAAAACATTATTTGAGTAGAAAATTCTGCACAAATGGAAAAGTATAACATGTGTTATATCCACACATGTTGAGCATTTACCTGGCTGAAACATCAAAAGCTGAATTGACTTAATTGAATGTTGAATACTTAATAGTTACTTTGTAGTGACTCACTATTAAAACATTATCTCAAGCTTTGTCAGAATTAATTTTTTTAAAAAACTCAGATTAGTGTCAGGTTTACTGAAACAGCAGATCTGAAATTACTGTGTTTTTTTTTCCTTTCAATAATCAGTTTCTAATCCAAAATTGAATATCAGTTCCAACTCTACATTCAGTTTCTGTTTTACTTGTTTGGACTGGCTTTTGGTTCTGTTTTCCACATAGATCCTCTCTGTGTAAGACAAAGCCATTTGTGCAGATTAAATTTTACTGAGCGTGTTAACCTATTTAAAACATTCATCCAAAAAGACTAGTATGAATTCTTCATATGGCAAGCTGCTTGTTTTAAAACTTCCATTTATTCTAAAATCCTTTTTACTTATACTTTTTAAGAAACGTATTCCCGATATACAAAAGTAACACATGCTCATTAAAACAAATTAAAAATAGTATTGTATAAAGAGCTGATACATTTCTGCCTTGCCCCATTTAACTTTCTTAAGTGTTCATGTGAATCATCCATTCACATCAAGACATTTATCTGTATTCATATGAACGTGTTTTAATATATATAACATATATAGAATTTTATATAAACTTTCCTTTTAAAATAGAAATGAAATTATATGATATATTTATTCTGTGTCTAGCTCTTGTCACGTAATTATTCAAGAACATATTTCTAGGTTAATATCTGTATTCTTAGGTAGCATTCACTAACTCCTCATCTACTTGTTTTCTTCCATTCTAATTGTGTTTAACATTTCTTCATACAATTGGTTGTCATTTGGTCTTCTTTCATGGAGGGTGCATAATGTTCATTCTCACCAATTCTTTACACTTTACATAACTGCTTGATACGAAGCCAGACCTTATAAATATCAACAAAGCAGGAACACTGTAATCAGCTATCAGTTTCAGTTGAGCTGAATGACCCTGAATATGTGTACACATATTTTCCAGGAGATTTTAAAACTGACACCTCAGATTTCTAAGACCTGGAGAAATCAGCATGAGAAACATTGATCTATATTATTCCGTGAAATGATTTCACTAAATAGTGAAGCATCTCCCACATGTGGACTCTGTAATTTATTAGAATAAAGAGTTCATGTGCTTCTGAAGAACTTGAACTACTCTTCTGGCCTCCGTACATTGGTTTCTTAGCTATAGGAAGGCTGAGCATGTTTTTCCTATGCGTTTCCTTTCTAGCTCATCATTTTAGTGACAAAACAATCTTTCGTGGTGTTGCTCTAGCTATAGAATTGTTTCAGATTCATTTGACCAAAGGTGGCAAATACAACAGTCCCAACAAAAACAAAAGACCTATTACAGAATGATGGAAATGACCCCAGGGAACAATGGCACCTCCACATTTCTTAATTCCAAGGTTATAAGCAGTGGTGTGGACAATTCTCAATTCCAATGCTGAATCGCCTTCTAATTTCAAATACCTGTGCTAAAAATTATTTACGTCTACTGAAATAATGAACTGGACCCCACCAGGAATGGCCGATATGCTTGTAGTCAGAGCACAACTGTAGAAAGAAAATAACATTTTAATTTATAGAGGTATGATGATAGCTGTTTCATACTGTTTTCAGAACGATGAATGGCCTGCTCAGTAGTTTCTTGTCATCGTACTGAGACACTTTAATTTCTTACCAGCTGAGATGAGGAATACGAGCCCAGTGTGCAGGTGAAATTGGTTAACAGGAGCCATTAAAATTTGGAAGAGTCAGAATAGCATCAATCAAAATGCTTTCAGTGTAGGAAGTAAACATGTACTAGCCTGACCCACCTGTCTTTTCTTTTAGGTATGTTGGTAATATTACAATCATTTTGAGGTATCCATAAACAACTGCTTAGATCTGAAGAATTGTATATCTTTCTTTACTCTGCCCTGGCCTGGGGTTATGGTTCTCATTGAGCTCTAACCTTTCAGAAAAAAAATGTAGAGAAGTGGTTCAAGAAGAATGCTTTATCTTGCTTCATAAAAATGATAGTGATAGTTTTATTGAAGGCTTACTATGTGCCAGGCCAAAGTGCGTTTTATTATCGTTCCCATTTTCCAGGCAAAGAAGCTGGAGCACAGAGAGGCTAAGTGAGTTGTCCAGGATGGCTCAGCTAACATGCTGCAGTTGGGATTTGCACCCAGACCAACTTCTTTTCAACCACTGTCCCATCCTGTGTCTTCTCTACTCAAAAAGTGTTTCAGCTCCAAACCTGAAACTTTAAAGAAAAGGAAATCCTTAGTGGAAAGACTAGGTTTTAGTCACAAATTATCTCCTTCCTTACATTATTTGTCTCTTTTTCAAATACTCCAAGCTTTGATTAAAACTGTCTATCACTAGGAACATTGTAGAATTGCTAAGGTGGAATTGTTAAAAGAACTCAATTCCAATTAACTTTGCCATTGATTACTGTGTGTTCTGGAGGGGTGTTCTTTCTTTCAGGTTAATGATGCTTTATTGTATATCTCAAAGATTAAAAATAACAATGAAGGAAGTAGCAAACCGGAACTTCTCTCACAATGCATCTTTCAATCTCGTGCTTTAAATGAAGATAAAATCATGGCTGTGGTAAGGTTGCAGGAAGGATGATATAGATTAAGTTTCTTGCAAACTGCCCTCTGAATTTTCAATAGCTGTAGAAGGTATTGGTTTTCCAAAAAATTGACAAATTGAGGATTCATTCAGCAGTTTTTTTCTAGGTCTCTTACCAGAAAGTGATCACTAAAAAGTGTAGGGAAACCACTCAAAGTTGGATAGATCATTATTTTCACTTAAGCATTTTAATTTCTTGAAGGAGCTTTATAATGCAACAAAGAATTTACAGTCCTGTGTCACCGCTTAAATTTTCTAGGGTCATCAGTAAACTCAGTGGAAATAAATTAGTTCATGAATATAATTGACCCTTAAATTCTGTCACTGTGCAAGTAATCGGTGGGTCTGCTGGATATGGCTTTCGAGCAGACAGGTCAACTTCTTCAAACAGAGAAGAAGCATAGCATAAATTGAAGACAAATAACAAACTACTTGTTTCCTCCTTCTTTGGCATCACCCTATGGATGGAGTATGCATTTATAATTTAACACAATCAAGAGATCTTTATTATCCTACTTTTGGGTACAACTGCTTCGTTTCTCTTTTGAATCTCTACAGCTATTTAAAAATCTGTTTTGTAAAATTCTTTAAAAAACTAAAACATCAGATTCATATTTCAGGTATCTTACTATCTTATACCAACTTAAGCATCCAGTATTATCACCCACCCTTCCCCTGAGTGAATCCTTAGCACTGGGCTCTTCCTGTTTTATCCCTGTGCATGCTGAGCTCTTTCTGGCCTTCAAGTCTACTTCCGTTGCAACTGTTGTCTGAATGGTCTCTCTATGTCCTTCTTACTCTCTAAATATTTCGGAATTTAAAGCCTGGAATAATCTACCTTAGTCCAAAAGATATGCTACACTATTCTAGTTCACAATGATCTCACACTGCCGTTGATACACAACATTTAATATCAACTTAATATCTATTTCAGTTCATTACGAGGTCACTTATGCTACATCTTATATTGTTGCCTTGGACTTTTATTATCTCTTCATATATGTGTTTATGGTGCTCCCACCCTCACGAGAAGTTGCAAATACCATGTTAGCTGTCTGATGGCTTTCTATGTTGTCAGGTATACCATTTCCCAACCAGTTGGCATTCAATGATTAAGTTCATTAACAAAGAATTGTATGTGTTGAAAAAGATGTTTTTTTCTTAATGAAGCACTTGTTTTTATTTTTTTAATGAAATCCACCCTCTTAATAAATTTTAAGTGCACAATACAGTATTGTTAAATATAAGCAAAATGTTGCATAGCAGATCTTTATAATTTTTTTAACCCTACATGCCTGATAGTCTATACCCATTGCACAGCATCTCACCATTTCTTCCCTCCTCCAGCCCTTAGCAACCACCATTGTACTTTCTGTTTCTATAATTTTGACTACTTTAGATACCTCATGTAAGTGGATGCGTGCAGTATTTGTCCTTTTACGACTTGCTTATTTTATTTAGCAAAATGGCTACAAGATTCATCCACATTGTAGCATATGGTAAGATTTCCTTTTTGTGGCAGAATGATATTCCATTGTATGTATATAACATAGCTTTATACATTCCCCTGTCAATAGACATTTAGTTTGTTCACACCTCTTGGCTACTGTAAAAATGCTACAATAAACATGGGAATGCAGATATCTCTTCAAGATCCTAAATTGAATTCGTTTAGATAAATATCCAGATGCGGGATTGCTAGATCTTATGGTAGTTATATTTTTTATTTTTTTGAGGAAACTCCATATTGTTTTCCACAAAAGCTGCACAATTTTATATTTCCACCAGCAGTCTACATCTCCAATTTTCCTACACCTTCACCAACACATGTAATGATCTTGGGCTTTTTTTTTTTTTTTTTTTAATAATGGTTATCCTAATCCGTGAGGTAGTATATCATTGTGGATTTGATTTGCATTTCCCTGGTAGTTAGTGATGTTGAACATCTTTTCATATAACTGTTGGTCATTTTAATGTCTTCTTTGGAGAAATATCTATTCAATTCCTTTGTTCACTTTAAAAATTGGGTTGTTCGAATTTTTGTTGTTGTTGTTATTACGTTCCTCATGTATTTTAGATATTGACACCTTATCAGATATATGGTTTGCAAACCTTTTCTCTCATTCTATAGGTTGCTTTTAATTCTGTTGATTGTTTCCCTTGCTTTGTAGAAGCTTTTTAGTTTGATATATTTCTGCTTATCTAGTTTTGTTTTTGTTGGCTGTCCTTTTAGCGTCATATCCAAAAAAAATTATTGTGAAGACCAATGTCAGGAAATTTTTCCCTTATGTTTTCTTCTATGAGTTTCATAGTTTCAGATCTTATTTTTAAGTCTTTACTCCATTTCATTTTGAGTTGATTTTTATGTATAGTTTAAGTTAAAGGTCCAATTCCATTCTTTGCAATGTGTATATCCAGTTTTCCCAGCACCATTGGTTGAAGAGGATATCCTTTCCCAGTTGTGTATTCTTGGCACCCCTATTGAAGGTGATGCTAGGTTTATTTCTGGGATCTCTATTCTGTTCCATTGGTCTATATGTCTGCCTTTATGACACTATCGTGCGCTCTTGACTGAGGTAGCTTTGGTAATTCATTTTGAAACTAGCAAGTGTGATGCCTCCAGTTTATTCTTCTTCCTCAAGACTGTTTTGGCTATTTGGAGTCGTTTGTGGTTTCATATGAATTTTAGGAAATTTACCTTATTTCTGTAAAAAATGCGATTGGGATTATGATAGGAATTACACTGTATCTGTAGATGGTTTGGATATATAGACTTTTAAATGACACATCAGATGTATTTCCATTTATTTTTGTCATCTTCAATTTCTTTCAACAATATTTCATAGCTTTCAGCACACACATCTTTTACCTTCTTGGTTGGGTATTTACTAAGTTATTTATTCTTTTTATTGCTATTGTAAATGAGATTGTTTTCTAAATTTCCTGTTTTTATGTTGCTAGCGTATAGAAACGCAACTGTTGAATGATGACTTTGTATCCTGCAACTTTGCTGAATTTGTTTATTGGTTCTAACCATGTCTCTGTGTGGCGTCACTCTTAAGATTTTCTACGTATCAGATCATCTAATTTGCAAACAGATATAATTTTACATCTTCCTTTCCAAATTTGATGTATTTTATTTCTCTTTCTTATCTAATTGTTCTGGCTAGTACTTCTGGTACGATTTTGAAAAGAAGTGGCAAAAGTGTGCATTCTTGTCTTGTTTCTGATCTTAAGGGAAAAGATTTTCAGTCTTTTGCCATTAAATGTGATATTCACTGTGGGTTTTTCATATACGGTTTTTATTATGTTGCGGTAATTTCGTTCTATTCCTAGTTTGTTGTGTGTTTTTATCATGAAAGTGTTGAAACTTGTTAAGCGCTTTTTCTGCAGCTATTGAGATGACCATAGATTTTTAGCCTTTGTTCTGTTAATGTTGTGTATCACACTGATTAGTTTTCATAAATTGAACCATTTTTGCATTCCAAGAATAAATCCTATATGGCTCTCGTGTATAATCCTTTCAATATACTGTTGAGTTCAGTTTGCTAGTATTTTAATGAGTTAT
Organism: Homo sapiens; assembly: GCF_000001405.40. Classification (NCBI taxonomy): domain Eukaryota; kingdom Metazoa; phylum Chordata; class Mammalia; order Primates; family Hominidae; genus Homo; species Homo sapiens. The sequence goes on along the minus strand of NC_000023.11, from coordinate 32,056,861 downwards.
TTTGCTTCTATATTTATCAGCGGTATTGTTCTGTACTTTTCTCCTAGTGTCTTTTATTGACTTTGATATCAGGATACTGATGCCCCTTGTAGAATGAGCTTGGAAGTGTTCTCTTCTCTTTAATTTTTCTGAAGAATTTGAGAAGGATTGGTGTTAATTCTTCTTTAACTGTTCATTAGATTTCACCAGTGATGACATTTGGTCCTGGGCTTTTCTTTGTTGGAAGGTTTTGGACTACTGATTCAATCTCCTTACTAGTTTCGGCCTACTCAGATTTTCTATTTCTTCAAGATTCAATATTGGTAGATTGCATGTTTCAAGGAATTTGTTCATTTTTTTCTAGGTTAACATACAGTTGTTTACAGCAGTGTCTTATAATCATTTGCATTCTTTTTGGATACCAGTTGTAATGTCTCCTCTTTCATTTCTGATTTTACTTATTTGAATTTTCCTTTTTTTTTTTTTTTTTTTACTTAATCTACCTAAAGATTTGTCAATTTTATTGATTTGTTTTTAAAAAAACTCTTAGCTTTGTTGATTTTTCTATTGTTTTCTATTTCAATTTTGGCTTTTTTCTGATCTAATCTTAATATTTCCTTCCCTCTGCTAACTTTGGGCTTAGTTTGTCCTTCTTTTTCTAAGTCTTTGAGGAAGAAAATGGCAAGGACATGACTTTCTTTAGCAGTTGGAAGGACAATGCTGTAAATACTCAAAAATTAATTATTTTTATAGTGACAAAAACAAAATAAAAAACACTTCAAAGCAAATGAAAGTTTATCATTTAATTTATCAAATCACTAAGCAGACTGCTTGATCAGAGAGAAGATACTCATATGATCACATAAAACTGAAAGATTAAGAGGTAAGGACATTCATGTTATCATTACATCTAACTTTCTTATTTCCAAGATGGAGAAACTGAGGGTTGGAGAAAAAGAAAGATTTCTTTGTTAGATACAAACAGACAGGACTAAACTCAGTATAGCAGCCTCCTAAATTCCAAAGTATCATGATACTGTGATTTTATGCATTCTTCAGAAAAATAGTAGAGCCACTGGATTCTGGCAAAGAAGTTATATAAAATGTCAAGTTCTTCCTTTGCCTCAGAAATGAAGTTTTATGTTCCAAAATTGATTGGGAAGTTCTCCTTATACCTCACATCACGTCTACTATTTTACATTGTTTACTTTTGAAGAATTTTTTTAATTGACAAATAATAATTGTACATATTCATGGAGAACCTAGTGATGTTTTTATATATGTAATGTATAGTGATCAGATCAGGGTAATTAGCATATCCATTATCTCAAACATTGGTCATTTATTTGTGTTGGGAACATTCAACGTTCTCCTTCTAGCCATTTGAAACTTCTATATTATTGCTAACTATAGTCACCATTCAGTCGTATAGAGCACTAGAACTTATTTCTCCTATCTAGCTATAATTTATTTTTAAATATGCTTTTTGAATCTGTTACTATAAATTGAATGTCACATCGTTTTGAAAATATTCTTAATTTATGCTCAACAGGCAAGATTACACACCTGTGATAATATCTTTAATTTAAAACATTACTCTGTTTAATTTACCAGAATATGGAACCCTAGTCATTTTAGAGGTGGAGCAAATTTCAGTGATAATCTAGTGCAAATTTCTCATCTTATGAATGAGGAGATTGAGTCTGATATAAGGGACGAGATTTTCGTCAATGAGCAGCTTGTTAACATTAGCTCTGTGATAGAACACAGGCACTTGTCCTCCCAGGCCGGTGTTTCTTCTACTCTATGATGGGCTGTTTTGTTGTAGTTTTTAAACAGCAGCATTTTCACCATGCATAGTTTTCTTCCAAAGTTCGTTCTTAACGTTTTTGCACAGAATAACTAGATTTTGGAAGTAGAAAAAGGAAATTCTCTTTGCATCCTTGTATCTCTGGTTATTTTCTTTGTCCTTTGATCTCTCTCTCCTCCCCTCCCCTCCCCTCCCCTCCCCTTCCCTTCCCTCCCCTCTCCTTCCCTTCCCTTCCCTTCCCTCCCCTCTCTCACACATTAGAGAAAGAGTTAAGGTATTAAAGAATACATAATACTATTAAATTTCCTTCACATAGAGAAAGGAATGAAAAAAAGTGAAAAATGGTCCTCACCAAATGTCCAAACTTCTGTAGGTCATTTCCATAGTATCAGCAATGTCCTGTATGGTGCCTCGGGGATATGTAAGCAAATGAGCAAGTGGTTAGCTAATTCTAGCTTTGGCAAACACTTGTTATGGCTTACTTGAGGAGAAGTCACTTCTCCAAAGTGAAAATAATGTGCACAGGTCAATTAGAATTTTTTTGTAGAAAAGGAAAATACTTTGTAGGGACATGGATGAATCTGGAAACCATCGTTCTCAGCAAACTATTGCAAGGACAAAAAACCAAACACCGCATGTTCTCACTCATAGGTGGGAATTGAACAATGAGAACACATGGACACAGGAAGGGGAACATCACACACCGGGGCCTGTTGTGGGGTGGGGGGAGGGTGGAGGGATAGCATTAGGAGATATACTTAATGCTAAATGACCAGTTAATGGGTGCAGGACACCAACATGGCACATGTATACATATGTAACAAACCTGCACGTTGTGCACATGTACCCTAAAACTTAAAGTATAATAAAAAAAAAAAAGAAGAAAATACCTCCTTATGCTCCTGACTTATTTTCTTTTTGGTTCCTCAGTCCTCTTCTCTCTCTCTCTCTCTCTCTCTCTCTCTCTCTCTCTCTCTCTCTCTCACACACACACACACACATACCCCACATATACAATATGATTAAGGATATATGTGAATAATGAAAGCTTCTTGTGTATAGATTTAGAAGTCTAATGGACAAAATCAATATTTTCCTATGTGCATTTAATTCCCCCCTTTGATTTAGGTATATAGTCTTTTTTTAAAAAAGAGAAAAAAAATTAGGTGACCTTAAGGTATAGATCCTACTTTCAAAAGGTTTACAGAACTAGGGAGAGGAACATGGACAAGATTTAAAGAACTATTTTAAGCAGAATAAAATGTGATTTATGAACAAAGCATATATTATTTGTGCGTATGTGTGTGTGCCAACAAAGATGCAATTAGGAGATTGCACAGGGAGATGTCATTAGAACCAACCTTAACGGGTGAGAAGTCTTTGAAGACATTTAGAACATGGAAGATCTCTGACAGAGGGAACAAAGGCATAGTGACAAAAGTCAAGGGCATATTTAGGACTGGAGAGTGGTATGTGTGGCTTGAGAGTGGGCGAGAAAAAACAACAATGCCTCTGTAATAGGAAAGTAGACAGAGGCATGACATTAAGAGCTTTGCCAGCTGTGCTAAAAGTAGTGAACAAGAGCTAACAAAGTGAAGAAATGTACCTTTTCTGATGTGTATCATTCCCTTATTCATATACTTCTTGAGGGGGAAATTCATTCTGTGTTGATCTAGTAAACTACTACAGGACCAAATGATAAAAAGAAGTATAGGAAAGAATGTTTCAGCATACTTTACGAGATAACTTCCTTGTAGCTATTCTCCATAGTATTTTGAGCATCACAAAGCAATGAGCTGAAACTGTCTAAGCCAAAATTGACTTGTCATCTGTTAGGGATGCTTAGATGAGAATTCTACATTTGAGAGCTTCTTAGATTCATTGACCACTATGTCCCATTCTAAGATCCATGAATGCGTGACCTAACTATTACACCTTCTTTTAGTCTGATTGTCAATTTTGTATTTTCAATTGTGCAAGTTTCTAAAACTATTTTAGGAAGATAAATCTAGCAGTGGTGTGGGAATAGACAAGAGAGAAGGGGAAAGACTCTTCAGGAAACTAAACTCACAATTTATGAGTATTCTTTATTGCCCAAGTCTTCCCAAAGTCTTTCATCAAGAAAGAGGCATTGCAACTCTCCTTTTATAGTTTGTTTTTATTCTGGAGCAGTGATGTTTTGGTGGAGTTGTTCCTCAGTGCGTAATTAAAGGGCCTATGACAATTACAGTTCATCTCCTGCTGCTCAAGGTACTGCAGATATTTGGATCTACTACTCTCATTCATTTCCAATTAATGTCAGCTTTAGATTTCCTTCAGTATGCTATGTTATAAAATTTGATTATCGTTGTGCCCACCTTCCCACTTAATTTCAAGCAGGTTTCTCGATTACCTGACTAAACTAATGAAATCTGACTAACCCAATATCTGTGGACAGTAGTGTGATGTTACTGATTTTTGTATGATTAGTCAAGTCATATTCATGCCACGTTTTCATATAGTACCATAAAGGATATTCTTCTCGTGGTCCTTTTCTTTTATTCTGAACATACAATGAGAAGACCGGTAAAGTGGGCTAGGAAATTAAAGAAAAATACAAATGGCAAAAAATATGGGTCACTCGAAGTCTAGAATAGAGAGCACAATCAATTTTGAATTAAGGGGTGATAAGGTGATTTGGTCAGGTGACTGGTGAAACAGGAAAGAAACTATACTTTTTGAAGTGTTTCATCCATGTGTTAAGATTCATTTGGGGTCAAGAATCTAAATTTCATATCCCTGGGAGTGGAAACTAAGTAAAAAAAAAAATTATGGACCTTGGTTTAATAGCTAGAGGAGCAAGAGTGTATCTTTATGTGACTTAACTTCTATGTGAAAAGTGAACCTTAAGATTAATTATTGGGGGAATTTACTTACTCAGGTTCTATGCCTAGATGGTCTGCCCAACTAAGAAAACTTATTTTCCTGTTACTCCATCCTATTTTTCATACTTTTATACTGCACTTGCAGAAAAGCATATATTTCTACCCAATACGAAAATTCCTGGGAACATATTTTTCTACATTTCCCAAATTACTTCAAAAAGTAAACTTAGGTTATTTCATGATCTCCATTACAATGGACAGGTGGCCTTATTGAATGTTGTCCTGTGAATACAAAGATCCAGAGTTTAAAGAACAAGGTGTACTTGCATCTCCCACTTAGGGTTTGCTTGTGGTGGAGAGAGAATCTAGTTTGCTTAAAAGGATGACAGTGCAGTGCCCCAAAATATCTGATATCATTAAAAGTCTCATATTTGTCTTTCGTAACTTCTCTAGGGCTGTCGATGACAGGAGACCCTTAACTCCTATGCCTTGATTATGTGAATAAGCACATGAAAATATTTTAGTTATCTTAGTTCACTTTTAAACTAAGTTTCAATTATCACTAGATTCTAAATATCATCATTGAGCCGTTCTTAAGGAACTGATTTTCTACATATTCATTCACTTCACCTATATCTAGTGTGTCTACTATTTGCCAAGAAAAATTTACTCTCTTAATTCAGCATTCCATATACTTAACATCATAAAAAGTAGGCCATTTTTAGTTTTCTAAATTATTTATTTAAACATTTCTTTAAAATTACATTCTATCATTACACTATATTTCAACACTACAGTAAGCAGCCTATTTTGTGATTTTTCCTTATATAAAATACATAATTGAAATTAAAAATGAAGTTACCAAGAGCCATTTTCACTCTGGGGAATGCACATTTATAAATTATGGGGTTATTTTTTCTTCATCAGCTTTCATATTATTAAACTTTGTCTCTTCATAATTACAGAGATGACTAGACACAGAAGGGAATTTAACATTTGGTGTGCATTTGTCTAACCTATACTTTATGTTAGAAAATACATTTCCATTTGAAAAAAAATCAGTAATTGTGGGTGTGATCAAGAGGGCAGCCTGAAAGTCGGGTGATGTGACTCACACCTGTAATCCCAGCATTTTTGGAGGCCAAGGTGGGATTATCGATTGAGCCCAGGAGTTCAAAACCAGCCTGGGCAACACAGTGAGAGCCTGTCTCTATTAGGGGGAAAAAAAAAAAAAGAGGAAGTTAGCCTGAGGCAATGTAAATGAAATACATATTTCAAGGATATTTATACATGATTCACGTTATTCATATAAAGATGTGCCAGAGAAGACTATAGGTACGTTATTTTACACTATTTTGCTAGGATTTTAAGAAATTCAATGTGTTTTTATTTCAGTTAACTTAGAAAACTTACCTAACTTATACTTCTCATGGACACAAAAGTTTTTAAAGATAGGATCAAAAAGCCCACATGGTGAAGCATTTTGAACTGGATGAAAAACATCTATTATCTTTAAAATTTTATGATATTACTGATTGTAATAGACTCCCTTTTTAAGAAATCATTCCTTATAGAACATAAGGTTTACATTTACAATCAACAATTTCTATCCTTACTACAATAAAGGCACATATAAAAAGTACAGTTGCATATTTAGCAGGTTTAATTGTACATTTTAATGTAGAAATCAATTCAATTCTTTCATTTATCAGCATTATTACAGTGATTTCAAATTAAGCATAGGTAACTTTGATATAGATAAATGATGTACACAGCAGTTAAATTTTATTTTCAATTATGTAGTAATTGTATAACCTAGGCAGTATAATTTGTAAACTTTGTATTTTATTATTATGCTTCTCCCACTTGGCATAAGCACAACACTTCCTAAAAGCATAATTTTCTATAGACTTAATAACTCCCTAAAAACCTGTTTTGGACCCCTATACTATTTGATATAGGCAGAAAAAAAACATAATCCATGCTCAAATTTGAAAAATGACTGGTCACATTTGGTATAATACTAAAGGTAAATAAAATCAAGAGTCTATGAACATTTCCGGACCTGCACATTTGTTTTATTAAAATGCATAATTGTCTTTAGTGTGTTTCTATTTGTTTATACTCTACTGATTTTAATTAAAAATACCAAAATACGTTTATTAAAAAACTGTCAGAATCTAAGTTGTTAAATATACTTAACTAGGAAAGTAACTGTTTAAACGAGATAATTTATAGAGAAATGTGGTGTATTGCCAATTAGATGTCAAGATACAATACAACTGATAATGAAAAAGTAGCATTTTCTTAGGGATGGAATACAGTGTAAGGAACACCCCAGTAAGAATACAAAAATTACTGAAAAAAAATCTTCCTTCCTGAAAAACCAAGTGCCCTTCAAGTGCAGAACCTCATCCAACTAATTGTTAGGTATCACTAAAGCCTGATACCTTCAATTTTCTGGATCATTCAAGCTGTATTTTTGAGTCCTTATACTAGAGGAGGTAAAGAGCTATAAAAACACTTAATGGTATCTGATGTGAACTGTGGATCACTTTGACCCATCACTTCTACGTCTACATCTTGGATAAATTCCCATTGTTGTCATAGATTGTACAGGTTTAATGGTGCGTTTGTGGAGGGGGCTCGCTTATAGAAAATGGAGACTCTGAAGGGATAAGGAATAAATGTATCACTTCAGGTCTTTTATTTGAAATTGGGGTCCAGAGAGCCTTTTTGTATCAGACTTGTCAAACCATTTCCATTTAGTAATTATATATGCACTAGCACTTATTCCTACTTACCTCACCTCTTTATGCCCATTTCCTTGTAGTTGCGGTTATGCATGAATAATTTATTGCACCCCTTACCAACAATGGAATAAAACTTCCATTCTGAAAGCTTTCCATACTCATTTCCAATAGCAATAGGGTTTTTTTAACGGACGTATTACAAATGTACGAGTCAGTTGAACATAGTATTCCTCTTTGTAAGAACTCCAAGTGGATGCATGCTGTTGTCTCAAATCTCAATTAGACCTTGCTTTGAGGTCCCTTCATTGCCAGTCATCTGTTCTCCTTCCCCTGACTTGAGTATTTCTCCAGATATAGATAATACATTTTCCCAACTCTGTGTTCCAAGAACTGACAGTGGCTTTCATTCATTTTGTTTGTTTGTTTGTTTCTTCTCGTTCTCAAGTATCCCGCAGTCTACTGTTTCTTCCCTCCATTCGTTTGTCCTTTCAGAGTTTCAAAATCCAGCATAGGTACTTCTTCTAAAATGTCTTACCCTTCACATACACACACCACTTGAGACCCCATCAGCCTCTGTCCACACAGTTTGGTTACATTCATAGACTATTTTTATACATCAAAATATTTGAAAATTTTAGGGTAAATCTCAGTAGTCATTCATTTTTGCTCTTATTCAACCAATACTAGTCAATCAGCCTGTGCCAGGTTTTGTTGCAGGTACCAGGTATCCATCCATAAAGAAAACAACGTCCCTTTGTTGTGGAATTTACATTTTAGCAGGGGAGGCAAAGAACCCAATAAATATGATAAAATATCAGATTAAAAGTACGATGAAAAAAATCATCAGGGTAAAGGAAAAAGGGAAGCAGTATTTTAGCAAGAGTGGTGAAGAGAGGAGGCTGAGAGTGTGACATCTGAGCAGAGACCTAAATCAAGTCAAGGAATGAAACATGCTACTATCTAAAGAAATGAGTCAGGATAAGGAACTAGTAAGAGCCGAGGCCCAGAGATGTGAATATGCTGTTCCAGGAACAGCAAAGAGACTGGTTGATATGATGTGAAAAATGAGAAGAAACCTTATGATATGTGTCAAGAGAAAAAAAAAATTTAAAAGCATGCTTGGGAACGGAGGCCTCCAGATGAAAAAAAAAAACACAGTTCAAATCCTTGTTCATGCATTTAGTTTGCTTTGCAATCTTGGGCAAAATGTTAAATTTCTGTACGTTTTATCTTCCTCATTTTTAAAATAGGCACAAGGACATCTACTTAATAGGTTCATTGTGAGGAGTAAATGAGATGATATATCTAGGATGCCTGGCATTATATCATACACTTAATAATACACTGAATAAATAATAGTTATGTCTATTTATTTCCTTATCGTTTTTATTATTATTTCAATGCACAGACCTGTTCATAAGATAATGATAAATATTAGTGGCAGAAACTGAAGATGTTATAAATTATTAGGAGGCGGGACCACTCAGTTCAATGTATCTGTTTTAATATAGTCAGCAAAAGTGTGAAGATACCAACAATTAAATTTCAATGCATTCTTCCATTTCACTAGTTTTATAAACTGATGAACTACCAGAATGTCAATGTATGAATTGCATACTCATTCTTAACAAACAGATTTGCAAAATTATGTGTAAAATTAGCCCTCAGCCTTCCAATTTGTTATTGTCATATTTCATGGAAATACATAATCTGTAAATTTTTGTTTTAATGATATGTGAAACTGCCTAAAGTAGAGTCTTGGCAACTACTTCACATTTGTCCTCCAGAGATAGTGGATAAAAGTGTCAATAAATGAACACTCTATATTCACTAATCACAGGCAAGGGACAAGGAACAGAGTGGTCACAAAATACCACAAAATTAAAGCACATTCCAAATTAAATATATATGTTTTTATTACAGATAATGTTTGCTAGACTCTTTCTAATTATCTGCAAAGATTTTAGGAATGTTTTAATGTTTTAATATTTACACACCTGTGTATTTCAAGTTCAGTCAAACACTATTGTTAAAACTAAATCTTCTCATCTCTAATAATAAGATGTGAACTTATCTTGGAAGGTGGTTATTAGGATGGGAGAGATAATGTATTTCATTCAAAGTAAAAATATTTCTCTGTTTCTATCTTTCTCTTTCTCTGTCATCTATTTATCATCTATATCCAGGTATCTATGCACCTATGTAGACTAGCATTCAATGAACCATAGATATTATTAGTAGTAGAATTGTTACTAATATTAAAATAAGAAGTATTTAAGAAGAAACATGTCCTAAAGCATAAGGTCAATTATTACTCTCATGTTTTTTGGCATATGAAGCCTAAAAAGTGTCAATTTCAAGAGAGTATTAATAAAGATTGTGATAACTGAAAGGTTCCTGCTTGAAATTTTGTGTGGTCTTACAAATATATAAACTCTAAGCATTTCAGTGAGCCAATTACTGACTAGGCACTATGTCTTATGACTCTTTTGTCATAGTATGTAAAAAACAAAGAGTAGAGACATCATAAAAATTATAGTAGATGGGCACTAGGGAATTACGCAAAATAATTTGTAGATTTAATGTGAAACCAAAACATCTGTTCAAGTCAATTTCCCACAGGTCATGTGGCAAAGAGTATGAGTTCCAGACTGAGGAGAGGAAAAGGTTGTTCTTCCACAGGGAAATAAACTGAGTGTAATAAACATAATTTTTCTTCTTAAGCATTATTTAAAACAAAAAAAATGCCATTAAATCTATCTTTCCTGCCTCTCTTATCAATGCTCCCTTCCCTTTCACCACTTGTTTCAAACTCCAAGCCTTGGGATTTTATTTTGGCTTTTTGCCTTAATGTAACTAAAATGAGAGCATCACAAATATGAAGCTCATCAAATAATTTAGCAGCATTTTCCCCTGTTTTTAACTTTCTCTTTGGAAACGTAGATTTCGAAATTTAAGGGCCCAAAATATGAAATGCAATTATAATAGGCCATTTGTTCATTCAGCTTGATAAACTTGAATAAATAGTATTGAACTTTTAATGCAAAAAGAACAAAACAAAATAGAACTCTCCACGAAGAAACTTTTCAATGTTTGCATTTCTGTGTGAGGAGAAGGGTAATGAATGTGGGAACCTTAATGGAATCCATGTTCTTCCAGTGATGACAAGGGTCAAAATGGAGAAAAATGGTCACTTTCTACCCAGTACATTATATTAGTTCTATGTGGACAACTATAACATAGCTGATGCTGGTTTTCAGGCCATAAATGTAGGTATGTATTTTCCTACTATTTATAAGGCAAAATTTCTATTTGTTTAATGATTTCTATATAGGTAGATTATTCTGTCTTTAGGATTAAAAACGACCTGTAGACCAAGAGACTTTCTAATGTCCACCTTAGAGTATATGGCTTTTACTGTTACAGTTTCCATTTCCTTTGCTTGCCCCTTTGAGAGAAGGAAAGGAGACATTTGGGATACATACATCAATGAGGAGCTATTAATGAATAAATGAATGAAATTGTCAGTCAATTTATCCACATGATCATCAATTGCCAATAATTTTATCACCTCTGTGGGATTAAGTAGAGGTAACAGTTTAGAAATTTGATTTTTTGAAAGCATTTAAAATGTTCAAATATATCACTCTGGTAACTAAGGGAAAGTGTATTATTTTCTTATGCTTAGTCTTATTTTGGTTTTGCCTTTTTAATTTAAATTGAACACTTATATCAAAGAGCTTGCAGGATTATAATTTGAATTTTTGAAGCAAAGATCATTTTCTTAACATCAAACAAAGAGTAGATACAATAGGAATAAAATCGGCAGAAAAACAAGAGTATCAAGGACAGACGGGGAGGGTGGGTCTGTGTTAGCATGTATTGCTATGAAGAAATAGCCGAGACTGGGTAATGTATTTTTAAAAAGAGCTTTAATCGATTCATGATTCTGCAGGTTGTACAGGAAGCAGGACACCAGCATCTACTCAGCTTCTGGGGAGGCCTCCGGGAGCTTTTACTCATAGTGGAAGATGAAACAGGAGTAAGCATGTCACATGGCCAGAGCAGAAGCCAGGGGGAGGTTGCCACACATTTAAAAAAAAAAAAAACAAAACAGATCGCTCAAGAACTCAGCTGCTATCATGAGGACAGCATCAAGCTGTGAGGGATCCACCTCCGTGACTCAAACATCTCACACCAGGCCCCAAGTCCAACACTTGGCATTATATTTCAACAAGAAAAAAAGTTTAATTGGCTGATGGTTCTGCAGGCTGTACAGGAAGTGTGGCACAGGCATTTGCTTGGCTCCTGGGGAGGCCTCAGGGAGTTTTTGCTCATGGCAGAAGGTGATGCCCACACACTTTAAAAAAAAACCAGATCTCATGAAAACTCACTCACTACACTGAGGACAATACAAAACCATGAGGGATCTGTCCCCATGACCCAAAAACCTCCCGCCAGGCCCCACCACCAACATTGGGAATTATATTTCCACTTGAGATTTGAGTGGCGGCAAATATCCAAACTATATCAGGGCTCATGTCCAGTTATATGTCAACATGCCTGCATTCGAAACATCCTGTCCAAATCACTGCCTTGTCATAATACTTATATTTTTCTTTATTGAATACGAACACAAGAAGATTAAATAATAGCATTTCTACTTTAAAACAGTGGGCACCATATTAACATTGGAATAATAGTAGTAATAACGATAGTAATAACAATGATATAGGCTGGGTGCGGAGGCTCACGCCTGTAATCCCAGCACTTTGGGAGGCCAAGGCGGGCGGATCATGATGTCAGGAGATCGAGACCATCCTGGCTAACACAGTGAAACCCCGTCTCTACTAAAAATACAAAAAAATTAGCTGGGCATGGTGGCAGGCACCTGTAGTCTCAGCTACTTGGGAGGCTGAGGCAGGAGAATGGCGTGAACCTGGGATGCAGAGCTTGCAGTGAGCCGAGATCGTGCCACTGCACTCCAACCTGGGCGACAGAGCGAGACTTCATCTCAAAAAAAAAATTAAATAAATAAATAAATAAATAATAACGATAAAAGGATATGTGTAGGTTTTTTTTTTAATAGGCTGTTAACATTAATAGGCATTGTGATTTCAGGGATATCATCAAACATCCTGGTCCTAAGACATCCCCTATTGAATAGGAAGGGCTTAAGTTAAACTTCTCATGAGCCACAATTTTCTGATTATATGTTTGGTGTGTGTAATAGCCACCTCAGTGATGATTTGATTAGCCTGGACCCTTACATAATCATTGAAGTATACCCATGTTCCTTTATATACTTCTTTAGTGTTGAAAGCTCAAAATTAAGCAAAATAGTCCCCTTGATAATGTTTAGATTCTTAACATTTGCTTTCTAAAGCTGGCAAATACTCTCTTCCCAGTGTCATGAAGTTAAATAACATGTTGCTTAGTGAGGACTTTAATGTTGCCATGCCATAGGAAGACCTTATTCGAAATCCCCTTACCTGGGAGAATGTCAGATTATTACCCCCCAACTTGTTTAACACTTTTAGGATTTTAAAGGTGTTCACATTTGTATTAGAACAAAATACTATTGAGAAACATTTCTAGAAAAAAATTATCTTTCCAAATTAAAATCAGTGGTATGTAATGTAGGAGTCTGATTATAATGATTAAAATACATGGGCTTTGGGCATACTGCCTAGGTGAAACTCCTGGTTTATTGCATCACTATTAGTATAACCTATGGGAGTTAACCTACGTAAGCCTCAGTTAATTTTTCTCTCAAATTGATCTAATAATCGTCTCTCATAGGCTTGTTTTGATAGATATTTCAGTGTATATAATATACTTAGGACAGTGCCTGATATCAGTAAGTCTCCTTATATGCTATTTTTCTTTCTATTTTAATTATTTATGCAAGAGAAACTATTATGCTTTAACTCAATTAAAATAAAATGCCTTTGTATTTATTCATGTCAAAGGAAATATGCAAGTATTGCATTCACTTCCTAGGTGCCTTTTTGAATTGAGCTTTGCATGGTTAGTTTGTATAAAAGGTTCAGTGAACTTTCTCATAATGATTTTTTATTGAACATATGGAATCCATTAAGTGTTAGCAAAAGTCACTATCCACTGAGCTGTGTCCAGGGGCTGACAGTTATGTCTATCTCTTGCAAAAATAAACACATACATAAATGCACTAAGACGTATATTACCTGTCGTCATCTCTTAGAGCATTTCCATTTTTCTTTTAAGTTTTTTCTTTCAATGGGTTTTTTATCTTTGTGAGTACATGGTAGGTGTATATGTCAACGGGGTACATGAGGAAGGTGTATATATTGATGGGGTACAAGAGAGGTTTTAACACAAGCATTCAATATGAAATAGTCACATCATGGAGAATGGGTTATCTATCCCTTCAAGCATTTGTGCTTTGTATTACAAACATTCTAATTATACTCTGTTAGTTATTTTAAAATGTACCATTAAGTTATTACTGACTATAGCAACCCTATTGTGCTATGAAACAGTAGATCTTATTCTTATTTTTCTAACATCTTAGAACATTTCCACAAACACTACCTGCTTGTTAAATATACCTATTCTAATCTTCATATAATCAATTACTTTTTTCCTCTAGAATGTACTATGACACATCCATGGGGAAAATGTAGTAATCTAATTAAGACTATTTCCTCTCATTTTATATTTAAAAGAATGTGCTCTATCAATTTATTTACTTGTACAGCCGTAGGCAACCTCTAAAATATTTAAAGTTCTTAAAAGTCAGATATTTCAGTTAATATTGTGATTATATAGTTGATTTTGATGAACATGTTCATCTACCAGAAATAAATTATACACACACATTGATATGGTTAGGCTTTCTGTCCCCACTCAAATCTCATTTTGAATTATAATCCCCGTGTGTCAAGGGAGAGACCAGGTGGAGGCAATTGGATCTTGAGGGTGGTTTTGCCCATGCTGTTCTCCTGATAGTGAATCATGAGATCAGATGGTTTTATAAAGGGCTCTTCCCCCTTCCCTCCTCACTCATTCTCCTTCTTGCCACCTTGTAAAGGAGGTGCCTTGCTTTCTACTATGCCCTTTCTACTATGCCCTTCACCTTCTACTATGATTGTAAGTTTCCTGAGGTCTCCCCAGCCATGCTGAACTATGAGTCAATTAAATCCCTTTCCTTTATAAATTACCCAGTCTCAGGCAGTTCTTTATTGCACATATATGTGTGTGTATGTGTATGTGTGTGTGTGTGTATATGTATGTATATATGTATACATATGTGTGTATATGTATGTATATATGTATGTATATATGTATACATATGTGTGTATATGTATGTATATATGTATACATATGTGTGTGTGTATATATGTGTACATATATATATATATATATATATATATATATATATATATATGAACAGAGAGAGAGAGAGAGAGGGAGGAAGGGAGAGAGGGAGGGAAGCATGGAGAAAGAGAGAGTAATAGCCTAAATAGAAATAAAACTAGCTCCAAGTACAGGTTCGTCAACACTCTCCTATCATACCCCCACCAAAGTTAATGTTAACCACTTGGAGCCCTGTTCTTCCTTAGTTGTGGAGTACTTTAGCAAAATTTTAAATCTAATTATGCCTAATTCAACGACAGTGCTAATTTGAAAGTGTTAGAAACTGAAGACCTATAATAATAATGAGAGTTACAAAACATAAATAGTGAGACAATGATGAATGTAGTGGATGCATGTACGAGGGCTATCATTTGACAGTAGAGATGATGCTCAAGGACAGACAATGAGTCTTTCAATGTGTGGAGAATGTGCTGCTGTTACAGTGATGTACAGGAAAGAAACAAAAACTGAGGAAGTATCAGTAAACAAAACACTCAAACATATGAGTATACAGCTAGAATAAAAGCAACAGTACTAGATGACAATAAGCCCAATGTTAACTCAGAAAGCAGAAGGTTTTTAAGAATTTGGGGAATACTGTGGCTGATGATACTTATGTCTCAAGCCACAGATGCCATATGGGCTCTGCGCCCAGTTGAATCGGCACCACCTGGCAGTAAGTGGGCAGGTCCACGACTGCCAGGACATCCCTTCCAACACTTGTGGAGATCACCAGGAAGGGGGGAGAGACCTGCCTTGACAGATTTTCAATGTGGGCGAAACAGGTCTATTTTGAGAAAAGATGTTCAATAGAACATATGTCAGCAAGGAAGAAGAGATGATGCTTAGTTCTAAAGCTCCAAAGAGCTGGCTTACACTCCAACTTGGGGAAAATGCATCCGGGAAATGCAAGATTAATCTCATCTTAGCCATTCTTTTGAATGGATGGACATGACCCCTTTCTACTTGAAGACAGAAAACATAACCATATTGATTTCAGGTTTTCTTCATTGGTTTCCATTTAGGATTGTTCCTCCCCATCTTCTTTCTGTGTAGGCATCCCAGTTCCCAAGTGTTCATGAAGCACGTATGGCCTTCAGGGGATGTGTCTGTATACATTGTTATCTTATGGATGCACGGTTTTGTCTGCACCTTGGTTCTGAATGTCTTTACTCTTGAGCATCTGCCCATGGGTCCCCTTCTCAAGGCCTCAATTTCTTGAGTTTAACACTGCATGGCCCATGCAGCTTTTCAGTTAAGCATCTCTTGCTATGACCAACTCTTTTCCTCAGTCAACTCCCACACTCTTTTCAGGGACAGGAAAAATGTAGCCACTTGCTGGCTGCACTCTGAGGCCTCAAGAAATTTAGTGAATCTGCCTTTGCCCTTCTTGCTGATGAAATACTGCCACATCAGGCCCCCTCTTCGGAAACCTACAAGCATCTAATTTTCTTGCTTCCTCCCCAACTTTCTTTTTGACTCCCCCCCATCCAGAGAGTTCTTATGTCTACTGTACTAGGAAAAACTCATTCTTAAGGTATGGTTTTCAAATCATTCTCTGGTCTGGACTTTAGCTACGGTTTTAAATGAAGAAACAACCCAGAGCCAAAATATAATGAAACTATTTCCTTCTTCCACAGAGTGGAAACTGCTTTGGGGTTAAAGGGCCAGTGAACCAAATAGAAAAGGATCTCAGGGAACACAGATTGAAGAGAGAGAAGAAAAAATATGAAGGCATTGTTGGTTCTCTTTTGAGTTTAAAATCTAGTGGGGATTGTAAGCACACACACATATACACACACACGCTTACACACACACACCAGTGAAGTTATGAAGGATTTTGTCACTCCAACGACCTTGAATTTGATTATCTAGGTCAGTTGTTACCAAAGTGGAATGTACATGCCCAATAATATGCGTGCTAAACAGTTGGGGTAGTGAGAAAAAATACTTTTTATTTATCTTGTTCTCTAGAAATTAATATTTTGATTGTATATTTTATAGTGTATGTGATGTGTAAGTTGTGTCTACAAAACTAGTGTCAATGTAATTTAAAATTACATATGTCTGTGAATATATATTTATATAGGGTACATGCTTAAAATGTGTTTACTTCTGAGGTACATGAACATTTTTCCCCCAGGCACAGAAAGACAAATACCACATGATGTCACTTAAATGTGCAATGTAAGAAAAGTTGAATTCATAGAGATGTAGAGTAGAATCATGGTTAACAGAGGCTTGGGAGGTGGAGTGAGGGAATAGAGAGTTACTGTTCAAAGATTACAAAGTTTCAACTAGACAGAGGGAATACATTTTGAGATCTATTTCAGGAACATTTTGAGACCCTCACTCTAAGTAATAGGAAATCATTACTTTAGTTAACATATTTGAATATGAGTTGTGATGTTCTATATCGTTTATTTGGATTCTACTAACCCACACCTAGATTTTTATGGCATTACCTTTTTACTCACTGTGAATATCCTACTCATAGACAGATGCCCTGGGAACTTGGACTTGAGGCACCCAAGAACTGAGACAGTGAGATTTGGGGGCACAAGGATCTATGGATAAGTTCATCTTAGTGATGATAAAATCAATTTGGCATGTTTCACGGACAGTGTGCATTTTAGAAAGGGTAAAGACTTGGAAACGGGATATTTTTGAGCCCAAGTGTTTCCAATAAATAGCTGTATAATTTGAAGCAAATAATTGATTTTTTGTTCTCTTTGTGCCCTCGCCTGTAAAATGGGAGAAATGTATTCCTTTCTCATCCTTCTCATGAGGCCATTGAGAGTATCTAATGAGATCAGACTGTGACATAGCATAATAATTCTCATTTCTTGAAGGCCTATTATACACTTTGCAAGCACTGTATGTGTTGTTTCTACTTCTCTTGTTCGTTTTTCCTGGAATAAATATCCCCCCCTCCTTTACATTGGATTGCCATTATTCACCCTGTAAGGAAGGCTTCATGGTTCTCATTTTCATCTGAGAAAACTTAGGCTCAGAGAAGATCAGTAACTTATCTAAAACACACACATACACACACAGACATATCTATGCCCATTATTCTTAACCTAGTTTCTCTATTCAGGAGTTATCTCTGCTGTCTCTGCTTCTGATTATAATCTGTGTAAGCTGATCCAAGTGACACGATTACAGGGAAATTGTAAGCCCTTTGAGAGCAGAGACTACCTATTGATATCTACATTTTAAAATTTGATTTTAGCCAACCTGTTTATATGCAATGACTAACAGGTTAGTTTGACTTGCAATAAATATTCCAAATCCTAGACTAAGTAAATTTATTAATGTAATGATTTAACTTGATTTTTTCATTGGCATGTTTCCCTGAAGTCGTCATGCAAAATTGAAAAAAAAAAAAGTATAGTGTGTGATTCTAGATTGAAATTCAGGAATCCTCCAGGGTTACCTTGTTTGCTTTCCAAATAGTTCAGATTGCTTAGTCTGACCAACAAGGTCCCTGACACTTGGAACTCTGTCTATCCCTCTAATTGACTTTGTCCCTGATGACCTCGCCCAGAGATACTCTTCACCCCAGCTATACTGTGTTGCTAGAGTTTCTCTGATATCCCATGCTATTGTTTCCTTTGTTCTCTTCATAAGGTACCATTTCCCACCCGCCAACTCCTGTTTTCCTGATGGACTTTTGTTTCACCTTACAAGATCATTGCTAATGTATTTATTTTGAGAATAAAAAGTGTAGGAAAGGTCACGGGACAAAGCTGTACACCAGACCTTTCCCAGACGAACCTAGTGTATAATCTCCCTAGTCCAACATCATGGCTTAAGGCAGTCGATAGATCCGTCTTAATGTCCCTTTTGAGTTTTCTACTATTATTATATGAGGATTTATTTTTGTCTGAATTCCTCCCTAGATTTGCCCTAGAGAGCAATGACTATTTACAGTTTATTCCTCTTTGTATCTCTTATGTTAAGGCCAGACCTTGGCACATATTCTAGCTGATTAGAAGACGTTTGTTGAATGACCAAGTGATTGAACAAATGACCATGTGCTCTGCCACAGTCCGGTCAGTTCTACTTTGGTTTGGTTATGTGTTTGCCACATTAAAGTTGTAGCCTGGGAAGTTCAGTTGTGAGATGTCTGCAGAACATGAAAAATTGGAATAATGAGGTTATTTCTAAAATTGCTATAATTTAAAATAAATAGTGGTTTATTCCATATATGAATATACACTGGAAACAAAGAATTTCTAGAATACTGGAGATTCAATGATAACATCATTGAAATTAAATAAATAATAGGATTATGCTAGTTACTTTCTAATTTACTAGAAATTGACCGTGTGCATGGCACGTATAATGAGTATCATGGGATAGTTACAAAAAGTGGTGCTTAGTGAGTTTCTGTGGAAAATCTCGGTACCAATAAAACGGAGGATTTCCAGAAATCGATATTCCTCAAAGCTTGACAGTATTTATGCACGGTTACACTTTGTGTGTCTTTCGTTTGAATCAATGGAAGGAGGCTATAACTGAAAATTATTGTTTTAGTGTATTATATCTTTAATAATAAGAGTTTTAAGAATCTATCATTAGAAATAATTATTCCTCAATTTGTAATTCTCAACATTTGAACAAATAAATGCTCTGTGTCTATCAGTTAATCTTGCCCATGAAGATTTAATAAAGCACGCTAGTTTTTACAAATGTGATTTTAGAGATGGTCATTACTTGGTAAAATATTTTGTGTTAACACTTCCATGAATATGTTCTGTGGGAATATACTGCCTCCACATTGCTTGCTCATGAAGACATGATTTTTCACATCATCCTATCAGTATTTTGAGAAAGAGATTGATCCCATATTCTATGAGCATTTGAACATTCTCTAGTATTTTTGTTTAATCATTAAAACAACCCTTGAAGTCTATGTGCTACACTGGTTATTTCCCTCTTGACTTTCCTTTACAGATAACCCTCTATCATAAACAACCTATCTATATTTGTTGTCTCCACATCATGTTGCCAGCCCTGCTTTAACACACTGCACATTGACTTCTAGCAGCAAAGGCTCATGGGAGGTACTCTCATCAAGGACACTGATGGTCCTCATGTTGCTAAATTTGGTGGGTCCTCTACAGTCTTTATCCTAGTTCACCTTATTATGGACCACTGTCAACTCTGTTCTGCTTAAAACACTCTGTTCCTTGCTTATATGACTCTACACTCTTAACTCCTTTGTGAATTCCTCATCTGCCCTTCCATTAAGTATTGACGACATCCTTCATAGTTTTGATCTAGGACCTCTTTTCCTCTTACTTGACATTATGTGGGTAATCTTGTCTTTGAACGCAATTACCATTCTTATGTTGATGACCCTTAAGCTATAATTCCAGCCCAAATCATTTTTCTGAGGAAGCTACAAGAATACACAAATGTCTAATAGATCTCTATTTAGATGTCCCTCAGGTGCTTCAAGCTTAAAATACTCACCTGAGCTCATCACCTCATCTATAAATTCTGCTTCTCCTCCCTGGCTCCCTGATTTATTTAATATGACCACCATCCACTTAGTTGAATAAAGCAGAAGCCTGGACACCATCTATACCTCCAATTAATCACTAAGTTTTGTTGTTAAATACGTTCTTACATTTTCTCTCTAGAATGTCTTATTTTCCCCATCTTTACACCCAAAACCAAAAGTCAGATGACCCTGATCTCCTGCTTAGATTTCAAAACACTATCTCTTGCCTAGACTCTGGAATTTCAGTCTTGCTCCTCTCCAATCTATTTCTACACCCTAGACTCTGGAATTTCAGTCTTGCTCCTCTCCAATCTATTTCTACACAAAAGCTAGAGTAATTTTTTAAAAAACAAAAATCTGAATGTGTTCATTTTCTGCCTAAAAGCCTTCAGTAATTCTTATTTGTTCTTCCAGGGATAGAGTAACAACTTTCAGACCTAGTTTATTAGCTAGTTCTTTAACCACAAAGGACTCTCTCACTTGTCTACTCCCCCTAACACACTTCGCCCTAACCTTTGCCATTCCTCCCTTTCCCTTTTCCTTCCCAGATGGACTTAAGTCCTTTCAGATTCTTAAATGTTTCTTCCTCCAGTCTCTTACATCTCTTTTCCTTGTAACTCTAAAAACTACTTAGCTTACGCAAGGAAAAAGGTCTGTACAATTCCCGGAATCAGCGATCCTAACGTTCCCTGTTGTTTTTTTCGTTGGGACATGAATTCATTCACAGTGGCTCTAAACATCACCACCCCTGCCTATCTCTCCCATTCCTACTTTATCTGAGCTTATCCATACTCTTGAAGACTTACATATTTTTTTTCTACCAGGAAATCATTACTAGCCTTATTATCCCACTGTCCAAACCAATAAGTCTGATTAGGTATCTGTATATATTTAATATTACTATATGTGTTTTTCTAACACTCTAGTAGAGGAGAAGGTGTATTTCTTTCTGTTTTTTAGAAGCCTGTATTTCTGCTATTATAGCTCTTAAGGAACTCTCATGCAATTGCCTACTAGAATGTAAGTTACGGTAGGATAAGAACTGGATCAGTCATATCACACATCCACATATAGGACCTAGCACCATATCTAACACACAGCAGGTACTCAATACATTTCTTTCCCAAATAACTAAAGAGTTTAAACAAACCAAAATGATTAAATGAGAAGTAACTGTTTTGGTAATTCTTGTGTCCTTACTAGAGTCTAAATTGAGTGATTTTTATATCATCAGTTTATACTCCCCTTTCCCAACCCCAATTCTTTCTTTTTTAAATTTTTTAAATCAAATATGCCTTAAAACTTCAGGATCAGTTGAGTAAAATGATGCTTTTGTCGTCTTTTGCAAAATAATTGTATTTCAGAATTTTGATTTAGATATTATAAACACACCTAAAATAATAGCTTTAGTCTTAAGATGAAGTGCTTCTTAAACTCCCTAAGATGGGTTGGACTATGGATATGAACATGGACAATATCACATTAATTTGTGTACACAGTTCTAACACAGGGTCTGGCATATAAGAACAAGTCAGTAAATAGTTGTTGAATGGAATTGAAAATTTAAGTAGCAAATAAAGTATTTTGACCTACAAAGCAAGAAATCACATTTTTCTTTTTGTCACAGTTCCTTAGGAAGATAATTAATTTTTTAGTATTTAAGGATGTTAAATATTTATTTTATGTTCTATTTACTAGGCTTCTTTTTATGAAAATTAATTGGTGAAAATAGCGTACATATCTTCCTTTACCAGAACATTTACATTTTGGGCAGTAACGCTGGCTTTTGTTAAAAAAGCAAAATATGTGTGAAATTTATGTTTGAGTTGATTTCAATGCATTACATTTCCATTTTAAATCTTCTTTGAAATACTCTATTTTTGACACCATGAAACTGTATTAGATCTTAGTATGTTAGCAATGTTTTGCAGTTTTAGAGCCATAATTATTTTAATGACCACTTTCAGCATATACGTTTTCTACAGGAAAAATAATCTCAAGAACATGAAAAGTGAAATCTATATTTTGGGTTTCAAAATGATACATTTTAGCTAAAATATCATAGTTTTAATTTCTCAGTGAAAAATATAGTGTGGTAATTTATGAAGAGACTCAGTGTTTAAAAATTATGACTCTATAGTCAAGTTTATGTTTATAGGACATAGGTTATTCAATTACATTTAAAATAATTAATTTAGAAAATGTGATCAATGTAACAAATTTTACCTGTTCTTTTCTAAAGCTAAATTTGTTGTTTGAAGTGTTTCTTCTAAAATGCTAATGAACTATCAATTTAATTGTTGAGCTTAGAGTTAGAAACTTAATTATATTGCCAGAAATAAAGAAACAAATGGATCCCAAAAGATTCACACATTAGAAATGTATGCCAGGGAAATGCTTTTGAATGTGTTCAAGTCATGGCTTCTAACTCGTAACTTATAACTTGTGTTATGTCTGGCTTCATTCCCTTAAGAAAAAGGAATAATAATGCCTTCGGAGAGCATCCCAGCTGTAAGAGCTATGCATTGGTGTCTAAAAAAGCTTCTCACTCCTCATACCATCCTGGTCTGGGAATTTAAAAAATTGTCATCTTTTGATAATCTGTATCACATAGTCTTCTGCATAGTCATATGAGGTTAGAACTGCCCCATAACTTTTGCAGGGCCTATAGTAAGTGTGCAAATGGTTGCCTGCATGCCACATATTTAATATTTATAAGGTATAAAGTCAACAGACTATTAAATATATCCTATCTGCTTTCCTTGACAATTATACAATCATAATGATATGGACATCTAGATTCGATTTAGAATTCTCTCTCTCTCATTTTCTTTTTCTTCTTTCTTTCTTTCTCTTTCTTTCTTTCCTTCCTTTCTTTCTTTCTTTCTTCTTTCTTTCTTTCTTTCTTTCTTTCTTTCTTTCTTTCTTTCTTTCTTTCTGTCTGTCTGTCTGTCTTGTTTTTTTAAATAGTGCAAGCAGTTTATTCCCTGGCAAGGAATTTGGAAAAAACTCAAATAGCAAACCACTTGATACAATAAAATAAATTCCTTAGAGTTTTGTACTGGAATGAGGCAGCTTGGTTAGAGCTAACCCTAAGCCTGTTATTTAGGATACATTGGCTTTTCTTAAGCTTAAAAAAAATTTTACTGTGTTAATGACATTTAACATGAGATCTATCATCTTAATAAATACTACATGCACAATACATTATTATTGACTCTAGGTAGAATGTTGGACAGCAGATCTCTAGAGCTAATTCATCCTACTTAACTGAAATGTAATGTCTGTTGATTAGTAACTTCCTATTTCGCCCTATCCCCAGCCCCTGGCAACCACCAGTCCAGTCTTTGATTTTATGAGTTTGACTGTTTTAGATACCTTATTTCAAGTAAGTGGAATCATGCAGTATTTGTCTGTGTCTGTCTTGTTTCACTTAGCGTAATCTTAAGGTCCATCCATATTGTTTCATATTGCAGAATTTCCTTTTATAAAGGCTGAATAGTATTCCATTGTGTATATATACCACATTTATCTATTCATCTGCCAATGGGCATTTAGGTTGTTTCTGCATCTTAGCTATTGTGAATCTGTTGCCTTTTTTCCCTACCTCCTTTACTCCATCCTGCACTGTGAGGAACTCTGTGCACATAGATCTGGTCGCCCCATTTCCCACCCACATGTTCAAGTTTTTCCCACTCACCTCATGCAAAGATTTACCCCTTAGCCATACCCAGTAACTGACTTTGAAACATTTGCCCAGGGAGTTGAGGGATTCTGAATGCCAGATCATGGGAGCGGGGCTTCTAGTGAGCATGTTGGCTTGGTCCTACAGACTCCTAATCAGAGCTTTGCCTTTGAAAGCATGGGGCCCAAGGGCAAGGACCCTACTTGTTAAGGTCTAAATTTTTTTTCTGAAATAACCACATCGAGCTTTTATGTGTAGATGGCCTAAATTGGGCTAACCCAGAGGCAGTGACACTCAAGTAGTTTACATCTAAGCGCTTTCCATGTGCTTCTTTTCCCATTTCTGTTACTTCTTACAAAATAAAAAATCAGCATCTCAATTACCCTGATTTGATCATTGAGCAATCTAAAAAGTATCAAAATATCACATGTAGCCCCCATATACATACAACTGTTATATATCACTATAAATAAATATATACACATTATATTTAAAAATCAATACTTTAATTTTACATGTTTAACAAATCACTAGCATATACATTCCAGATTGAACTTACGAGGGATGTGGAAAAGATTCAGTGACTAAATAACAATAAAGTACTCTAAAAATGAAAATGTGAAATGGAGACAGTATAAATCTAAAATCATATCACTTATGAAGTATTGTTTCAAATAAACAATAAAATATATCTTCAATCAATTTAATTTTATTTTAGTTGTATAAAATCTTTCGGTCAGCATTAACCTAATTGGAACACTAAATAGGTACATCTAAAAAATATAATCCCCCCCAAAAATATGTAGCTCATAAGAGATAATGCATTGAACACAGATAATATTGGCGTTAAAAACAGAACTCTACCACATTTGCAACGAAATGTTTATCTGTTCTTCCTACTAGAAAATAATAAAATAGTTCTGCATGAGCTTGAACTCGAAGTATTAGGTGTACAAAGACCTTTTAGTGAATGAATGCTAGCTGAAAAGCAAATTTTAAATATGAAAAATTAGCAAGACAAACATTTGAATTTGTGGGAGATGAGTAAAACTCCTATAAAAATGAATTGTTTAGTGTTAAACAGATTGTGTATGAAATATTAATGGCATATTGTCCTGAGCTCCCCTTCCGCTGTTTCCATGTAGATGACTGAATTTCAAACAGAAATATGCCAGGAATGATTACGTGAATGAATATTACTACATGAGATTGCTTAAAGAGTATTTCTTCTTTTGCCTTCTTTTTACTTTCGTTATTTCATTTAGTAGTTAGAAAATACTGTCTACAAATATGTGAGAACTGCTTAATTTATTTTTGAGACATTAATTAATTCAACTAAACTATATTGACTGTGTGAGAGAGATTCCCTTGGTGAATATGTGGATTTTTGCGGTGGTAAGAACTCTCCTCTGGAGCGCAAATGGTATTGCTCTAGGAATAAAGCATATACCTCAGGCCCAGATGAACCAGTGCAATCTACAGTAACAGGTTCAAAGATGACCTCATGACCTACTGTGGACTAATAAAAATCAAGGAGACCTACTGCAAAGGTTTCTGGGAAATTCTTTTTCTCTTGCGTTGAACTAAGTAATATACATATGTGATAGTTAGAGCTGCAGCCTTTGTAATACCATGACAGAAGATAACCTGAAATAAGGCTGACAGACACAAGAGGGAGACCTAAGAGTACTGAGAGATATGGAGCAGGACCCCCTGATTGAACTTCACTTGCAGCCCCCTTCTGCAGTTTTCAATGACGTGAACCAGTAGAATCCCTTTGTTTACTGTTTTTGATTAATTTGAGTGCAGCTTTATGTTATGAGCAACTAATAGCATCCTCACTGTCACAACTGCCCTCTATACGGCAGGCACTTTGTGATACTAAAGAAAGCAGTATACAGAGTAGAGCCCAGTGAATAACAGGGCAGATGTTGCAATTAAACTGCCTGTTTAAATTCTAGCTCTTCCACTAGCTAACTTGTGACTATCTAAGTAATTTAACCTTCCTATAATCATACCTATCTTGAAGACTTGTTGTAAGATTTAAAGCACAACAGTGCTACTATAAAACAGGTATACAGTAAAGCTTAGCTACTTTTTTATTAGGCCATATGATATCATTTCATTAAAATCTTATAGCCATGCTATAAGGTATTATGATCCTCAATTTATAAATAAGACAGCTCAAGTTTTGGTCAAGTGACTTTACCAAGGTCATAGAGCTAGAAAATAATGATTCCAAGTTACAAGCCAAACCTCTTCAATGCCAAATTTACATCATCCCCCATTACTTGAAGTGTAAGATTCACATGGACAGAAATTTTTGACTGTTTGATCACTGCTATCTCCTTATCATCTAAAACAGTCTCTGGTCCATATTAGGTGTTCAATAAATATTTGTAGAGTACATAATTTCCTTCACAGACTCCACAATCTGGTGAAGGAGGCAGACATGTAAGAGAATTATTTCAGGATTCCACAGTTGATGCTGTAACAGAGCTAAATATAATGAATGGAGGAGGAATGAATAAGTTTGTCTGGGAGCAATGCTATGGCTATTGAAATAAGTCTTGCTCATGCTTTGATTGAAATGGTGGATATAGATCACACAACAAATAACAATTAGATAACAGCTTGTTGGGAGAAAGCGAGGATCAGTGTTTGCCATAAACATTTCTCATAGCTAATGTCAGGTGTTTGATTTCTCAACATTTTATATCTTTGACTTTGATTTTCTCTGTTTTTATTTTTTAACTCCATTCTCAAGAAGTCTGCACATAAGAGTTTCAACATCTAGCACTTCATAACTCCGTCATCTCCTCTCAGGCTTAGAGCAAATTCTGAGACGTGGATTTATCGTCGAGTGATTTCTTCCTGGCATTTTATCTCTGAGACCAGGATCTGGTTGCTAAGCATGTAGACATAGAAATGCATTTCTTCATTGAACCCCATAGGTTCAAACTAGTGGATAATGAGCACAATGTCAATGTGATTATTTGTAATGGGGGAAAGGTTACCGGAGAATATTACACGACCATCCACATAGACTAACATTTTCCTCATGACTAAGTTTACTTAGCAAAACAAATTAAAAACAGAAGTTTGTTTAGCAGCACAGAATTGAAGGAAGACAACCAGATGGTTATGAGGAAGATTCATCCAAACTATGCCAGAACTGAAAGAAATTAAGTTCATTCAGTACAAGAATTGTCTAGAATAAGAGAATCCATTTTGTGTCAGCACTTCCCAAGTTCTTGTTAATGCTACCTTAAGTTCAATTCAAACCA
This sequence comes from Homo sapiens, assembly GCF_000001405.40. Lineage (NCBI taxonomy): Eukaryota > Metazoa > Chordata > Mammalia > Primates > Hominidae > Homo > Homo sapiens. The sequence continues at coordinate 32,029,570 of NC_000023.11, read as the reverse complement.
GGCAGCATTTATTACGTGTTGTGCTGGGTCCTAGGAGGACCGCGTTTTAAGAACTTACTGTGATCTTCTAGATCAAGTTTTTATTTCAATATTTCTACCTCATTTCTGATTCTTAGGTGTTCCTTATTTCCCAATTTATCCCCTGCAGAAATTGAGGCAATAAGATGTCTATCTTATTGCCTATGGTGTTGATTATTTATGTTATATTCTGTTTTGTGAAGTTTGACCTCTACCTAATTAAATTACATTTTCAATTGTATCTTGGATTGATTTATTCAATAAGTATTCTTTAATATTTTTGCATGAGGTCGGTCAGGTTTCATCAGACATTAGGAATTAATTATAAAAATCTCTAGATTGGTACTTGGAGCTTAAAGGAATAAGGTGGTGGAACGTTAAATGAGGAGGAAAGAACCAGCAGAGCTGGGATAAAATTCATCTCTATCATCTTCCCACCTGCTTGATCTCTGGCATATAATTTACTATCCGTGAACCTCAGGTTTCTCTTCAGAAAAGCTGCAGGGTTGTTGGGGGAAATAAGGCAATTCCTGGGCTTCAGTATGTTCAAAACAGAGCATTAATATTATTATAGACTTTTGATGATTTACACAATTTTAGCTTTTTGGCAAGACATATTTACTAGTACTAAGTAAAAGCACGTTGACTTTCTAAAATGAAAATGTGTATGTGAGGATGAAGAAAAAGAAAGTGTTTTGTTTGATAATATAGCATTATAACACTGCACAAAAAAAAAATGGTATATGCAGAGACTTCCATCACTTGCTTATGATGCCGCATTGGGATCTCATTAATAAGACACTTCCTCAGACACTTCCTTTGTGTTCAATAAATTTCAATTTCCTCCTTTCCTTCAGTTCACTTCAAGAAGGACGGCAGCAACTTTCTTGTTGCCAAACCTGACAAATGTTTTTTAGTGCTGATTATACTCGAGCATTCTGTAGCAAAATGCTGTGGGTGAAAATGCCTTCCTTCTTAAGGGAATTTAGCTTCTGTAGTACCAGAATCTCCTTGTTGAATGAACATGTACTGCCTAAGTCTTAGTAATCCCTCCTTTTTGAGCCCATTTTCTGGCATCTCTCCCTTTAATATTCCTCAAAAAGTTGGATTTTTCCTGGACTTTTCATATTACAGACTTTCCTTTGGTCATCCTCATCCATTCCGTGATTCCAACTACATTTTCCCTCCATCCTGGCATCTTCTTTCTTCCAGACTTGTATATGCAACTGCTTCCATTCATACACTTGACCAACCTTTTAATTTCTATAAGATCAAAAACTCAGCTCACAAGCTTTCCCCTACCATCGAGCGGGGTTCTTCTTTTGCTTCTTTGTTTCAGACAATGGCACCACCATACTCGAGTAAGGCACGTTCATTTATCAGGTCCTACCAAATCTACAATAAACTCTCTTGAATTTATCCACTTGTTTTCATTTGAACAGTCATTTCTTTACCTGGGTAGCCTGCACCTTCTACCTGCATTGATTCAGCAGTCTCTTCACCACTGGCTCTCCCTCCCTCTCCTGCCTCTCTTCTTGCTCCTTCAATTTATTCTCTACTCTTCATAGTGACTTTTATTAATGCAAATATGACCTTATAACTCCCTTGCTTAAAGACCCACTCATGTTTGTCTTTGTATCCATAACTTCCGGCCTAGGGCTTAACGCATAGCAGGTGCTCAGTAAATCTGTGGTAGATGAAAGAACAAGTTGTATAAATACTGAATGGTCTGATGTGCTCTTTGTTGTGTCAAGAAGGACATTTTGCAGTCAGGATAGCTACATCAGTCCTTTAGTAGGCATTTGACAGCACTCGCATTATTCCTCAAGAGAAGATGGATGTATTGATTCTGTATTTCAAATGACATAACTTTTGTGAAATAAGAGGCTGCCACGGTAATCTGAGGGATCTCTCAAGTTCAAGGGACTCCACAGTGCTTTGTGTAAGGTAACAGGCTAAAGGGTTCAGTCTTAAACTTTCTTAAGACTGTAGTTCAGGGTTCCTATGGTGGGGCTATAACCCTGAATTACATCCTCTTTCATTTCATGCTGATAATGAGAACTACAAACCAAGGGGTATTAGGAAAGAATCCAGGTTTGATGCAGGGAAAAATAAAAACAACTGATAATCTCTAGTGTCCCCAACTTCAAGAATTCCTTTCTTCTTTACACCAAGCTTTTTTTCTCTGCCAGGACTTACTTTGTCTTCTACATGTTTAAGGGAGAAAAATGAGTTAACAGAAGGGGAGGTACAGCATTTCTATTTACTTAGATGCTAGAGAACAGGATGAAAGGTATGAAAAATATGAAAGTCTCTCTCTCTCTCTCTCCCCAGCCTTCCCCCGCTTCTCTCTCTCTCTCTCTCTCTCTGTGTGTGTGTGTGTGTGTGCACGTGCGTGTGTGTGTGTGTCATAATACTCAACCTTTCTTTTCTTTCAAGCATATGTTGTGGCAGAGACAAGTGTACATCAAAATTCGTGGTCCCTCTTTCATAGTATAGAGTTCTTGCTAGGATCCAGCTGCAAGCCAGCAACTACATTTCCCAGCCCCACTGGCATCTAGTTAGAGCCATGTGACTAGTTGTGACCAATTGAATGTGAGTGGGAGTTATGTTGCAGGCATACCTTTTCCATCTTCTTACTTCCCATTTGCTAACCTTATGGAAAAGAGTCCCAAAGACCTAGGAGATGAAAAAGCCTAAAATGGAAGGACTCAGAGTCCCTGAATTACTGGGTAGAGAAAAGCTGTTTGCAGATGGGAATGCCCATTTTGTAGTATTCTTTCTTTTCTTAAGCCACTAAAATTGTGGGATCTCTTTGTTATAGCTACTGGCATTAACCTCTTACGTATACATACAGCTATGTGCTACAAAGAGGAATAGATACATTTTTTAATCGTTGAAAGGGGAGAAAGAAACATATTTAGGAGGAAAATAATTTAGTCTCTACAATTGAAAAGTGTTTTATGAATAATATTTTGTTTTGGCAGCATATTAAATCTCAGGCAGCTGAACTACATTAATTTTCAATTCTCTATATATGTTTTTGTCTTCAGGGTTTAGTAACACTGATATATAACAGTTTCTTTCTTTTAATTTCCAAATTTAAATGTCTAAGTTTGCCTTCTAGGCAGAAATTAAGTCCCATTGTGGAATGAGATTGGATCAACACTTCACCAAGATCATTTTAGTTCTTTGTAATCTTAAATGAAATAAGCTAATAAAGCATTAAATTAGCATGTTGTAAAACTTCGTGAAGTTTTAATATGCTTCTAAGTGGCAGCTCTTAGCTTATTATCTCTAAAGCTAAAGTCAAAATAAATGTCTCAGTTGATGAAATGGAGATGAGGCAACATTTTATCAAATTTAACAAAATATTTTATATCTGAATTATAAAGTCCAGATTATCTAGTAATTATCATATAAATGTATTTAACCAGACATGCATTTTTCTCTAATCAGTAGCCCTGGAGTCTTTGGACCACAAATGTGCCTTATCTCAAATGCTTTAACTGTGACATTTTGCTTTAGACTAGCTCGACTACTTCTACAGAAATTATACACTTCATTCACATTCATCCAGATGAAAAAAATACATGTAGAAATGATCATAATAAGTAACATTTGTTTAGGATTTCAGAGTTTACGAAGGGTTTTTCTATTCACTTTCTCACTTGTTCTTCATGTAAACTGGTTTGGTGGACAACTGTCATTATCCCTGTTACCTGGAGCCCCTGGGTCTTAGGGAGACTTCTTGACTTCTCAAGGTCATGAAGGTGCTAACTCTGACCGTGTTTTTATTCCTACTGTGCCACACTTCTCAGGTAAAAATCATATTGCAGACACTTTAAGAGAAGTACTTAAGAAAATAAATTCCTCCAGAGAATTACATTTAAGTTGTTTCATTAACTGCAGTGCATAAAGAAAGGAAAAGTGTTCCCAAACCCATGTAGTATTTTGCTATTGCTTATGGTAATATTCTGCACACCTAATATTGTCAGCATAATTTTCCATGTAACAAAATGTCCTAAATCAGCAATGTCCAATATAACTTTGTGTGATGATAAAAATGTTCTGTCTCTGTGCTGTCCAATACAACAGCCACTAGATACACATGACTACTGAGCAATGGTAATATGGCCAGGGACACTAAGGAACTAAATTTTTATTTAATATTAAATAACGTTTAAATTTCAAAAGCCGCATGCGGCTAGTGGTTGTCATCAGATACTGCAGTTATAGAAAATTAGAATTTACCTCTTTAAATACTAAACCTATTTTTAATAGTAGGATTTTTAAATTAAAATAGTTCTAAGTGCTTTTAAGTGATACGAAGTCAAATGCAAGATTTCTGTTTTAATAGTACTCTCAACCCAGAGACAATCTTCATGCATCCTTATACATGTTCTTTGTTGCCTTATTCTAGTTTTATTTTAACATTAAATGCCTCTGTTCTACTTGATATTGACTTGCTTCAGAGAACACCAAGTATAGTGGAAAGAAACACACACATGAGGACTTGAGGCTACCAACCAGGTTCAACTAAATGCACTCTGATTTAATTGTAGTATTGGGATCCCCTGTTGCATTTATTGAAGAAGAAAAAAACTTTGCAACCAAAAAGATATTTGAAAGCAACTGTTCTTCTTGGACACATGATCCCTCATAAAGTGGGGCTTCCTGCTTTTCAGAGACTTAATTTCTGTTCATATTCATTTCAGCAATAGTAATAATGATGATGGCGATGATGATAATAATCATGATGATGCCTAAGTGTTGTAGTAATGCTTCTTCTGAGCCAGACGTTAGTCAAATTACTTTCTCTACATTAATTCAGGCAATCATCACAACAATCCCACAGGACAGGTTTTATTATTATACTTATTTAGCTAGCAAATGATATAACTAGGTTAAGTTACTTGCCCAAGGTCATACTGCCAAGACAGTGGCTCTAGTGTCCCTGCTTCTGACCATATGTTATGCTGCCTATCCTAGAGCTTTTCTCTTCTAAAATAGTAAAATAATATATTCTTTGTTTGTTTCATACTTTTTTTTTTTTTTTTTTTTTTGAGAGGGAGTTTCGCTCTTTCGCCCAGGCTGGAGTGAGGTGGCGCAATCTCAGCTGACTGTAACCTCTGCCCCCACCAGGTTCGAGTGATTCCCCTGCCTCAGCCTCCGAAGTACCTGGGATAATAGGTGCCCACCACCATGCCTGGCTAATTTTTGTGTTTTCAGTAGAGACAGGGCTTCACCATGTTGACCAGGCTGGTCTCGAGTTCCTCAGCTCTGGCAGTCCGCCCGCCTTGGCCTCCCACAGTGCTGGGATTACATGCATGAGCCACTACACCCGGCCCATACATAAATATTTTAAGCGAAGTACACATGCATGATCATCATACTTTTAATAATTTCATTTAACTGTTTCCAAAGAATGTTAGTATGAGGTTTTCTTTTTTTCTTTTTATAATTTCAACTTTTATTTTAGATTCAGCGGGTACATGTTCCCTGGATATAGTGCATGATGATGAGGTTTGCTATATGAATGATCCCACCACCCAGGTAGCGAGCATGGTAACCACTAGTTCTTCAACCCTTGCCTGTTCCCTTCCTCCCTCCTTCCTCTGTAGTCCCCAGTGTCTATTGTTCCTGTCTTTATGTCCATGTGCACTCAATGTTTAGCTCCCACTTTTAAGCGAGAACATGCAGTACTCGTTGTCTGTTCCTGCGTTAACGTGCTTAGGATAGTGGCCTCCAATTGCATCCATGTTGTTGCACAGGCCATGATTTTGTTAGTTTTTATGGCTGTGTAGTATTCCATGGTGTATACGCGCCACATTCTTTATCCTGTCCACCATTAATGGGCACCTAGGTTGATTGCATGTCTTTGCCATTGTGAATAGTGCTGTGATGTTATATGTACTTTTTGGTATATTCAAAGAGAAATGCTATTTTCCTCTTGACATATTTATGTCAATTTAACATATTTATGTCCCTTTTCTTTTTAGGAGCACCATTCTCTTCCTTTAACATTATAAATAAAATATTTTTTGCTTTTCTGTTTTTGTAAGTGCAGTTTTATTGACAGAGTGAGACATACACGTCGATATTGTGACTAGCTGCATGTCTTCTATTATTTAGAGGTCTCACTCAAATGTAGATTATCAAATTCTGTTAGTGAAGAGGGTAGAACAGCAGAACTAATGCTGGTTTCCTTCTCTAGCATTATTTGATGATAAACTAAGATGATAATACCCCCCAGGTCTTAGATACCTGCAGTAGGACAGGCACCCTACATTTAATGCTCCTAGGAATCCTTCAAAGTGATAGCATAGTTATTATACAGTAATTGAGAAAACTGATGTTCATAAGTTAGAAATTTTTCCGAAGTTGCAAAGAAAGTGAATGGAAGAATTATACCAAGTTCTGGCCGGGCGCAGTAGCTCATGCCTGTAATCTCAGCGCTTCAGGAGGCCGAGGCGGGCGGATCATGAGGTCAAGAGATTGAGACCATCCTGGCCAACATGGTGAGACCCCGTCTTTACTAAAAATAGTAAAATTAGCTGGGCGTGGTGGCACGCACCTGTAATCTCAGCTACTCGGGAGGCTGAGGTAGGAGAATCACTTGAACCCGGGAGGCGGAGTTTGCAGTGAGCCGAGATCGTGCCATTGCACTCCAGCCTGGGCGACAAGAGCAAAACTCCGTCTCAGAAGAAAAAAAAAAAAAAAAAAAGAGGATTATACCGAGTTCTCTTTGATTCCAAGCCCAAACAAATCCTTTTTTGCAATATATGACATTGTTTCCCTGTTTGCATTCCCCATTCTGTGTATCACACATCCTGTGGCCTGATCAAAATTCATTTTCAGATTCTGAATTTATTTTCCATTGAATCTATATAAACTATAAAGACAGAAGATATATGTATGTGTGTATACCCACGTTTCTCTTCCAGTGTCAACTGATAAAAATAGATTTCAAAGTCTCAATAACCTTTAATTCCCTTTTTCTCTTAAAAATTCTTTAGAACTTGTACATGACATTCTGACTCTAGCAGATTTTAGAAAACAGAGAGGCCATTAGATATTCATACCTTACTATTCAGATGAAGTATTCAATGCTAAATTATGTAATTTATCTGCTTTGCAAATTGTATGGTCAGATTGAGTTCCACAAAGGAGAGATAATTTTTAATATAGGCATTCTGTAGCTTCCCTAATTATTGAATTAGTTTAGAGCAAAATCCTTAAATTGTATCGTTGCTATGCTCAAATTTTGTATACTTGTCCACGTAGGCTATATTAAGATTTCATTGAATTTTGGTTTCTTTCTCAGTGATAATTCAATATATCAACTCACCACTCAGATTTGCCTTTGGGAAAATCCAGGCCCCTTTTCTGGATTTTTAGAGCAGATTTTAAAAAAGTGATTCTGTATATGTGTTGAAATTAACCACATCTCATTGCTTTTGAATGATTGAGGTAATGTATACCTACTACTTTAAAAAAAATGACTTACTTAGAAGGTGTCCATAGTTTTATAAGTTCCATTGAACTGGTTTATATTGTATTTAGAAAGGAAAACTACTCCTTTTATCCTTAAGGGTGAAAACCTGGATTTTATTATACAATTAACACATATTTATTTTTTATTATGAAATATATCACAATATAAACGTTTACAGGGAGTGTTTAAAGTGGTGTTGTCCAATGGAAATATAATGTGAGTCAAATACGTAGTTTTCAATTTTCTACTAGCCATATTAGAAAAAGAAACAGAGAAATTAATGTAATAGGATACTTTATTTAGCCTAGTATATCCAAATCACAATTATTTAAATATGTAATCAATATAAAAATTACTAATTATGTATTTAACCTTTTTCTTTAGTAAGTCTCTGAAATCTAGTGTATATTTTACATTTATGGCACATTGCAATTTGCATTAGTCACATTTGAATTGTTCAATAGCCACAGGTGGCTAATGGCTACCGTGTTGGACAGCACAGGTTTAAAGAATAATATGAACATCTGTGTTCCAACATTCTGAGTTTCAAATAAGAAGAACACCATCAGTATTTTGGGAGAAGCTCCCTATGTTACCCCTTGCTAATCACCTTCCTTCCCCCCAGAGCCAAAAGTAACCATTATCTTGAATTTCTAGTAAACAATGCTCATTTTTTAAAAAACGTATGTTCAACACCTGTATTTGTATCTTTAAAGAGTAGCTAGTTTTAGTTTGCCTGGATTTGAACTTTATATTAAGGGAACCACCCCATCTCTAATCTTCTCTGTGAATTCTTTTCTCTCAATACTATGTTTTACATATTTACGTTCATCAATGTGCAACTCATTGTATGTATATAACACAATGTATATATTTTACATGCGTATGGACATTTGGGTTGTTTTTATGTTTTTGTTCATCACAAACCACAACACACATGTGTTCTTGTATATGTTTTATAGTGCATGTTTAAAAATTTCTCAACAGTATTCGCTAGTAGTATTGTCAGGTCATAGGGTATGCACACATAAATAGAAATGATTGATTAGCTGCAATTTGTAGTGCACACATATTTGCTATGTAAGTGATCCATGTTTAAGACTTTAACTGAATTTAAAAAATATTTTATTGGAGCCAATCTAAATGAGCTAAGGGTTTGTATTGTTTACATAAGCAAAGATTACACTTACTGGGTCAATTCGGTTGATTAACTTTGGATATATAAAATATATAGCTAGTTGTTAAATAGATATAATTATTAATTGGCATTACTTTTGTTTGTATATAAAAATTTCAAAATATCCATGACTTAAGCAAGGTAAACACCCACTGGGTGGCTTAAGCAACAGAAATGTATTTCTTGCAGTTCCGGAAGTTGAACGTCTAAGATTAAGGTGATGACAGGGTTGGTTTCTGGTGAGTCCTCCCCCATTGGCTTGCAGATAGCCGCCTTCTCCTTCATGACCTTTCCTCTGTGTATGTGCATCCCTTGTAGCTGTTCTTCCTTTTATGAGGACATTAGACTTATTGGATTAAGGTCCTACCCATATGAACTCATTTAACCTTAATTACCCCTTTAAAGGCCCTACCTCCACTTGCAGGGGTTAAAACTTCAACATATGAATGGGGTTGAGGAGACCTACTTCAGTCCATAACAGTTTCTATATTCTGAAGATGGTCTTTAATTAACTAAACAGTTAATGTTACTTTACTGGGAATGTCTTTTGGATGGGGGAATAAGCTGATGATATGAGAAGGGTTGGTGAATTTCTCATAAGTGTGAAATTTGTTGGGCCGGCCCAGCATGATTTTCAATCAAATACGCTTTGGGGACAAGTAGGTTGAATCACTACGAGAGGTTTAAAAGAAAGCAAGTTGTAATTGCAACTTTTAATTGAAAGAAAGACAGGCTTTGTTGATGTGCCAGCAAGACTGATAACTGGCTTTAACGTAGATAGTAAGGCAGCAGATTCAATCCACTGATCGTGATCTACTAGTGAATTTCAAAGCCTTATGCAATAGAACTACAAACCCTTTCCTTGCCCACCTTGCAGGTGGATCCATAGGCAAAATGAACATTTGCAAAAAAGCCGCTATGTTTCAGAATTTGTGCTAGGGCTTTAATATCTATAATTTCTCCAAATCCTCACAATTTAAGAATTAATTCAACTTAGCCCCATGAATAGGGTGAAAATTCTGAGATTTAACAAACTAAAATAAGTTATCTGAAGACAGACAAATAGAAAGAGTTGAGATATTCTATTTGAATGTAAAATTTTCAAAAAGTAGAATGACAGCGTCAGGAATTACAGTCTCAGTGTTGAACACAAGACTTAGGAACAAATTTGCTGCATGTAATTTCATTGAGATGGGACAAAGTACAGCATACGTAAGGAAGTTTTAGAACAAATAAGATAATTATTTTACGAGCTTTGAAACATGTGTAAGAAAGATACGAATAAAAGTATAATCACATTTGACTAAAACATGAATACCTTAAAACTGAAAAGCACTGAGATTATCATTATATAATTTTGAATATTTTAAACCACAATGCTTTGGGAGTGCACTGTAATATTTTAGAATTGGAATTTTAACTTACTGGCTTAAAAAGTAATGTACTTTGTTTTAAATTCAAAGATTATCTTGTAAATTCAGTTCGATCTATTGAAAAAATTATAAAATTCGGCAAGAAGCCAAAGAAGAACAATTATGTAGCTCAAGATAATTAAATTTTCATGTTTGGCTTTAGAAATATATTCGTCGTGACATAGTACATGGTAATCTAGTGAGCCCAGACAAGTAGTTTTCTCTTTTTGTCAAAGGGAACAATTTGATGCGTGTTCAAGTTGCTTAAATAAAATTTTGTATGTGCTTTCTCATCACAAGAGAACAATATGATTTTTGAAATTATTTTTACTTTATAAAAGAAAAAAAAAAGCCCTCACAGAGAAAAAAGAAAAAAATGATGATGTCTTTGAAAAACAAAGTTAATACAGCTTTACATATATTTGACCTACATCAGGGTTAATATTTTTCAAGGTGAAACATTAGATGCTGGAACTTGCAAAAACAGGCAATCCTCCTTTAGATGAAACGGACACTCTAAGGGTTAATTCATTCACTGAGACCTATTGTGAAGTAAGCCCTACAGAGACTGAAAAAGTTAAATGCAACTCACAAAAGTTGCTAGAAGAGTCATGATGTTAAAATAAAATAAGTACACAATGTATGCTGCAAGTATACTTAGAGCCATGCTAGGTGCGGTTGAGAAGTTCAATACAGGTCCAAGATAATAGCTGCTTCTCCTATAGAACATGTCTTCTCATTGGAGGGATAAGACCTGTGTCTATGAAACAGGCGTAATTACATAGCTCTGGAACTATATATGCCGAAATAAATGAGACAGTAAGTGTTATTGTACTATAAAGAATGAAGAAATCATGATGAGAAGTAACAGTTAATGAATGTTTTCTAGAAAGAGTAGGATCTGAATTGGCCTTAGGTTGTAAGCAGAGTTTATAGATAGAGTAGTGGTATGTCAGAGTCACTCTGGGTGCTTAAACATACAAATCCCCAAGTCTCACCCAAATGTGTCTTCAGATGAAAGGAAAAAACAAATGACTTGAGCTCCCCCGCAAAGAACACGGGTGGTATATTGAGCAGCCAAGGAGTGACCAGAGTGGCAGGCCCATGTTGAGGGACAAAAGAGGACAATTAGAATATGATTAATACAAATTTACAGTGGGATGAGTTGTTAGCCTGAGGAGCTTGAATGTGAACCTCTGTGCAAAAAGGAGTCATTAAATACTTTTGAAAAAGGTGGGATGGGAAGAAAATGACATTCTCAAGACAATTAGATCGAACAGTATTAAGCATGCTGACTTATTAAGTTATGCACCTTGAGAGGGTGGAATGAGGGAAAAGGGTCTTTATCTGGAGTAAGACAGGAAGAAGCTAAGCTGTAATTCTTACTGGACTGTAAATTATGTGCAGATATATTATCTGTCATGTTCGTGGGCGCATTCTCAGTACATAGCACTTGAAACAGGTACTCGATAAATTGTCAAATGGATGCATGGAGTGATTTCCATGCAAAATCTAATATTGTATAGTATTAGAAGGGGGAAAAAAGCATGGCATTATGCTAGCAGAAATGTCATTTGGTATTGAGGATGAAACATTTTCAACAGTTTGCAAAGCCATCCACTCAAACATTCTGTCACTTTCCAATAATTTTGAAGGATGTTCTTTCTACTTCTACCTTATTACACAATGAGTTGAGTAAGATAAAGAAGTCATGTGCAACAAAACAGAGGGAGATTTTCTGAAAGGCACTACACCAGGAAGTTGTTGTACTCTTGCTTCATCTTGCCATCTTGGATATACTTCTGGCGCTACCTCCAGGCCAGTTCCTCGTTACATATGTCATTTACTTCCCACATGCTAGACTCACCGAGTTAATCATTTTGCTGCAGTTAACACATTTTAGCAGAGTGTAGGTTTATGGGTGAGAAGGAAATCAATGATGTTTCAATACAGGGTTCTTTTCCCATCCCCCTTATTTCCACTTAGAACTGTCTCTCAAGTCTTAATTTGCCTCTAAACTTTTTTCCCAGCTTACATTCTTTTCTGAAAAATGCAACGACGATGCCAATGTTTGTTGACCTGAAATACATTGTAAAACATTCATAATACTTTGAGCAGAGCTTCCAAACTCCCATTTGCCTCTTTTATCTCCCTTACCTTGGCCCCTTTTTGAAGGCAATGTGATATTTAATCCGTTTCTATTGATGCTTCAAAATTATTGAAAAACTGGTAATTGTATTTTTCCCTTTACTTATCAGTTGCTAGTTGACAATGAGTGTTTGCCCAAACAATAACCAATCAAAAGGTAAAAAGGAGATTCCAGACATATCTGAGAAGAAATTCTTTGGAAGAAGCCCGTAAATGGAATGGGAATTCAAACAAAGCCGTTTCCAAAAGAAATACTAAATGGTCTCTAAATGCAAAAGGATTGCTCCCCAAGCATTTTATGGGAGCATAAAAAGCTCCCAACACATTTTATGACAATACTTCTACTCAATGACTTCTTGTGTTGACATATTTGTTGCACTCGACGTTAGTATTTACAGCTTCTTATCCCAAATATTTACTTAACTGAAGCCCTGATGTTTTTAAAAACTTTTCATCTGTGTTTAACAGCCCATTTTACAGAAACTTATTTGTTTCATCAGGCAGATATTTACTGAGAACTTGCAAGTGCCATATATTCTAAAAATGCTGATGATAAAACTGTGAACACAATAGATTCTCATGGTGCTTATGGTCAGGGCTAGCACACACACTTGTGAAATGATCACTGATGATCAAAGGCATAAACACTACATTTGGAAGAAATACCGAGGGATCCAGAAGTATCTTGGAAACACTAGCAAGTATAGCAGATGGTGGGATTGGTGCTTCAAAGAACTTCTTGTGGAAGATGTTACGTATGTACCTTCTCTGTGCCAGGCACTGCTAGGAAGTGCTGGAGAGAAAAAGATGTGCTAGATACCGCCTCTGTCCTATGTGCTTGTGCTTTGTGGGGAGGTGAGTAGGATAATCCCAGTTCTCATGCAGTGTAATGAGTACCATGACGGAAATGCACTCCAAGAACTAGGCAGCATGACCAGAGATAGGACATTTGAGAAAGACTTCACTCGGGTGGTACTATCTTAGTCTGGGTGCTAAAATAGATGTGATAGATGAGTAAGGGTGACCCGGAAGCAGGAGGGAAAGGGAGGGGCTTTCAGAACAACAAGTGCGAGGACATTAAGGTGAAATAGAGTATAATAGTATTCCCAGATCCTTGGGATTGTTCTCCATTAGGCTAAAACAAAGGTGTTTTCTCTTCTTTAAGATTTCATGACTGCAGATTGCATAACAGAAGGTCATTTAATAGACCTCTAAACTGAAGGAATTCTTGAATTAAATCACAACATATCTTCCATGGCCAGAGAAACCATTGCCTCCTTATGTCGACATTACTAACAGCACCAGCACCTGCTGCTCAGGCCAGCGGGAGGGTTGGGTGTTGCTGCCTAGGTAATGCTCACCAACTGATGTCCTGCCATGAGTAGTTTTGCCAAGTTCCACAAAAAAAACTTAGTGTTCTATCAGCATCTAATGAGAATTACAGTCATTAGTTAAATAAAAGAACTATTAGATAAGGAGCAGAATGAACAACACACAATCCATCAGCTTGGTGAATGGTATCAGATGGTTTCTGGGTGCTGGGCAGCTGTGCATCCAAGTAGACAGGGAGAATATATATGTCCTTTGCCTTATGTACTTGTTTCTCTAATCCAAAGGCACAGCAATCCGTGGAAGCTGCTATGATAAGGTGTTTAGTGGTGAAAATGTCTTGAAAGCCAGTAGATTATTAAAGTGATGTTTTTAAAAATGCAGATGGAGAGTAAGTACTTTTTATCTAGAGTAGTAGTTCTCAAAGGGAGGTCCCGGGATCAGCAGCGTTAGCATCACTTGGGAACTTAGACCTGCATGGGCCCCATTCCAGATCTCACTTGAAAACTCTAGGGGGTGTAGCCCGGCAGTCTTTGTTGTGACCAGCTCTCCAGGGGGTTCTGACACTCCAAATGTTCAAGTTTCAGAACGCTACTCACAGGCCATCATGCTCGGCATCACCTGAAAGCTTGTTAGAACTAGAAAGTCTTGGCCCCACCCCAAGCCTACTAAATCAGAGTTTTTGGGAGTAGGGCCAAGAAAACTGTGGGTTAACAAGGTCTCCAAGTGATTCTTATTCATGTCAAAATTTGAAAAGCGTCGATCGAACTGTTGGTTCTCAGCTTTGATTGCGTATCTGAATCACCTGGGGAGACAGTTGAGCTATTCCGGGCCCAGATCACATCTAGACCAATTGAATCAGAATCTATGGAGGCAGGACCCAGACATCAGTATTTTAAAATATTTCTTGAATGATCCCAGAGTGTAGCTAAGGTTGAGAAACACTGTTCTAGGATTAAAGGATTAATGTGTTTGAGAGTATGTTAAGATCTTAGGCAAATCACAAGGGTGTTAAGAACTACCATCTTCGCAAAAGGAGAATGTGCCTCAGATATTCTGGTACTGCTTTGATTTTACCTTCAGTAGTCTTACCTATTTTGAGTATGCTTAGTAGTACTAATATGAGGCTTATTACTAATATGTTAAAATTTGTCTTTTAATTAAGTGGGTCTAAACGTTTTAATCTTTAATCTCTGACCCAACTAGAACTTTTCTAAACATTTTCATAATAGTCTCCACCTTGTCTTCTGACCTTCACTTATGTTCTTTCAGGGTTCTTCGTGTGTTACTAGTAATAGTAATGGCAAGTGTTTATTGAACACTTACTATGTGAAGATTCTAACTGGCTTTTAATAATCACATCAGCTCTGGGAGGTAGAAGGTAGGGATCCTCCTTGCTTATCAGGTGAGAAAACTGTACTATAGAGAAGTTAGCAACTTTTCCCAGGTCATAATATGTGACAGCTAAAGGGAGCATAATGGTTGGAATAAAATAAATCTACTCTAGTTGTACCGAAGGCTCATATTTGTCTCACGTACTTGATTTGGTCGAGGCCCAAGGGGTCAATTTCCAATGCTTGGATTCCTGGATATGTAGAGTTGTATTAAAAATGCTAAAAACCTATTATGTATCATACAATCATACATATCACCTAAAGTATTATGGAAATGAATCTGTATTATTAAGGGAAAAAGGCCTGTGTGAAGAACAACTGAAACTTCATTTTAATTGAAATTAAATAACATGCATCATACACTAAAAGTGCACGTTATGACCCCATGAATTACTTCAGGTGGCTTTGATTCATGTTACATACACTAACAAATATAGAAGAGTGATATAATGCTTCTTAATTAACTACTAATGGAAGTTTACTATTTAACTGCTTCTTATGTAAGAATGTAAATGTTTTCTGAAATATCAGAACTTTTCATTAGGAAGCACTTTTAAAAATAGCAAAACTGATATGCACTATGATTTCCATATACATTAAATTGAACTTGTAAATGATGTTATAAATTATAGAAACCAAGGGGATGTTCAAATTAGATATTTGTCTAAATAAATCATGTATGGATTGAACAAATACTCATTGAGAAATAAATGTATTCCTTTTCTTTCAATTATCTAGGATTCCTTGTTTATCTCTTCAGAAGCAAAATGTCTTCTGTCCGTTTTATTTCCAGTTAAACATTCTTCAGATTATGTAAATAAGTTAACTTCCAATCCTCTTATTTCTGTTTATCTCACCACTCTTCTAATTTAGACGTGATCAATATCTTATCTTTTTGCATTTCATAGACATCAGGATCCAGAATAATTGAGTGAGCTCAAAACAACAATGGCAAGAATGATGTTTTCAGAAAACTCAGCAATCATTCGTTTAATAAATATTCATTGCCTACCAACTATAAGCAAAGTATTGGCTAGGCCATGTGGGGTATACAAAAATGTATTAAATATGGCTCATTCTCCCTAAGAACTTACACCTATTAGACAAAGTACATGCATAAAAATTATAATGTATAATAGAAAATAAATACAAGCCCTAGAATGCACAGTTGAAGTACGATTTGCATTTATTATAAAAAGAAAGATGAATTGGCTGGGCACGGTGGCTCACGCCTGTAATCCCAGCACTTTGGGAGGCCAAGGTGGGCAGATCACGAGGTCAGGAGTTCGAGACCATCCTGGCCAACATGGTGAAACTCTATCTCTACTAAATATACAAAAATTAGCCGGGTTTGGTGGTATGCACCTGTAATCCCAGCTACTTAGCAGGCTGAGGCAGGAGAATTGTTTGAACCTGGGAGGTGGAGGTTGCAGTGAGCCAAGATCTGGCCATTGCACTCCAGCCTGGGCAACAGCAAGATTCCATCTCAAAAAAAAAAAAAGGAAAGAAAAGAAAAGATTAATTTCCTGTTAGCTAAATCAAGGAAGGCTTCATGGAGAAAAAAATATTTCAACACACACTTGACGTAGCAGTGGGATCAGGCTGATGTTAGGGAAGAATGAATGACATTCTACACTGAGAAAGAGATATTCAGTATATATATGAAGAGCAGTAGAGAAACTAACAAGTGGAAATAGACTCAATTTACAATACTTGCCTGCCTGGAGTACTCTATACGTTGACTGTAAGTTGCAGTTTACTCAGAACAATCCCACTTTCTACTTGTTTATCCTATGTAATCATTTATTGGGCCTCCTTTTGCTCTCAAAAATATCCTTGTTTGGATAATAGATTATCACTCTGTTCCTAAATGAACTGCCCTGTGTCCTATCCCAGTAAAAGGGTGCATTCGGGCCCTTCGTAACTGCCTCCACTACATGGTTGATTGAAACCAGAGCTTGGCATTAAGAAGTTAGCTGAACAATCAGATTTCTATTCTTGGAAAACCCAAGAATTTCAGAATAGATACAGAAGCTGTATAGCTTTAATAACATGACAGAGTTGTAGCCTTGAAAGCTATGTACAATTCAGAATTATGAGGGAGAAGAAATTGAAGAAACAGTAGCAGCCGGGTAAATGCAGAAACAAATGAGGGAGACACCTAGGGGGTGACTGAGGCACAATAATGGAAGAGAAGTGCAGTGAAATTGCTTGAACTCTTACTGATGAGATTTCTACTGTTGCCTTGAATCCAGGACCACCTATATGTTCATTCTTTGTCATGCTCAGAGTTATGACAGATGCTGTTATTGAATTCCCCAGAGACTCCCTTATCGTCTCACCTCAAACCTTACAATAATCCCTTCTATCTTTCTATCCATCCAAGCTGGCTTAAGTAAAGTCTATGATCCATATTCCTAGTAAACAGAGAAGGGAAAGAGACTGAAGGCAAAGGCCCCAATTAGTAGGCTATTGCAATATTTCAGGGAAAAGGCAATGGCCATCACATTGTTGTCCCAGGAATGAGAATAGAAATGAAAGAAGATAATGAAAGTTGAAAGGACTGGGGGGGCTTGACAACTGTTTAGACTTGAGGAGTCAGATAAAATAGGAAGCCAAAGATAATTCAGAATATTTTGATTTTGATTTTCATCACCAAATAAGATAGTAGTACTATGAAGAAAAAATGGTTAAAAAACAATAATAATAAAGAGAACTCCTCCAAATAGTACCAAGGGAGGGAGTTTAATAGAGGAAATTAATTCCGTAGGTGATGAGAGTCCTGAGAAGCCAAACGAGAAAAGATCAAAACAACCCAGGGATTGGCAGTCGCAGGAAGCTGTTCTCACTTATGGCTGGGGCTTTAAGCACAAGGTGACATGAGATTTCAGAATTTGAAGTCGTCTGGAGGCAGCTAGGATCAGGTGGGGCCTGTCCTGTTCGGCAGGACCTGCAACCACAGGAGGAGGATGCGTCAAGCAGAAAGTTGGAACACAAGAGGGGATTCAGCCATAAGCCACAAAATACCTTCCAGAGCAGAGAGAAGGAGAAATACCCTGAATTCCGTATTTTCCCTGCCATTTAGTTCCCTGCTATTGCCACACATTGACGTATTCCATCCAGAGAAGTCCATTGGCATATGAGTCTGGGAAATGTAGTTCCCAGGGGGACATGATCTTAAGGGAAATAGACAATGACTGGTGCAACAACTGACCTGTGTGAGGCAGGAGGGAAAAAACAGGAATAATATAGTTTTTCTCTAGATCCCTTCATGCACAAAGATGCAAAAGAAATGTGTTGGCTTAATGAGCCATTCTGGGTGGCCCTGTAGGTGGCTGTCCTACGAATAAGATTTTTAGACAAAACAGAGATGACTTCAAATGTCACAAGAAAAGTATCAGACAGGAATTAATATTGACTTGATCTGTCACAGGCGTCAATGATTTGCATTAAGCCAACGATCTTCATTGTTAATGTCTGGGAAATTGCCAGCAGCATTACGACTACTTGTGTGGATTAGTGTAACGGATTCCCCCACTAACATTCAGGAAATCATGTCAAGCACAGAGTGCCTATGTAAGAGTGGTTGTGTCTATTCACTACATTTCTTGGACTAATAACACACTTAGCCTTCCTGAATTGCCAACATGTACAAAACCAGATTGGGGTTTTTTAGTTGTTCATGGAACTATCATTTATTGGGTAGCTCCTGTAGAAGCAAGATACAGAAACTCTAATTAGGAATAAGACAGTCCCTGTACTTCAAAGAGCTCTCAGGGGAGGCACACAAGTAAACAAGCAATTATTATCATACGTTAGGATAATACCGTCATGGTGATAACCACTGAGTGATAGCCAAACACATGGAAGAGGTACCCAAGTCTAACTTGGGGTAGTCAGAGACTGCTTTCAAGGATATCCGAGTAAGTGTTAGCTAAGACATGATACGTATTTCTAGGAGGGAAATTTTCAAGGCAAGGTGGAGATTGTGCAGTGACGCCCAGAGCCTGGATTATTTTGGTGACTGCTAGTATTTCAGAATGACTTCAGCAAAAGTTGTAGAGAAGATAGAAGACAACAAAGTATAAGCAGAGGCCAGATAATGAGGACCTGGAACAGTGGTTTGCTGGTAAATGTTTAACAAGAGGCTCTTGGCGGGGAGAGAGAGTGTCTGATTTGCAGCATTTGGCAAATTTTGTTGCACAAATGCTCCAGCATAGCCAATTTCAAGCTACCAGTGTGACGTCATTGAATGCAGAATTGGAAAGAAACGGGCAGTAGCACAGCATTGTATAGTTATTTTCATTACCCAGATATAATAGATAAAATATCCAGATGGTATTTAATAGATATGGATGCAAAATTTAAATATATGTACATTCATGTGCTTCATGTTACTGAATGCGCACAACATTCATTATCCATTCATTCACGTGTTAATTTAACAAACATTTCTGAGCCTCTGCTCTGTGCCAAACGCAGTTCTAGCTGCTGGAATTACAGCACTGAAAAAAAAAATTTGTCCTCACTGAGGTAAGACAAACATTATTATGCCCATTTTACAGCTGAGAAATTAAGACATATGAGGATTAAGCAGTATAGTTAAAATCACACAATTGGTACATGAAGGAATCAAAGAGGAAATCAGCTCTCAGATTTTAAATCCAGGGACTCGTTTCTGCTATACCATACTACCTACCTAGTTGAGCTGGATTTTATCATGGTTTCCCTATTTTTATCACCATGTGGTTGGATAAGTAAAATAAATATATGTGACCTTTCAAATAAATTTGGGTCATTTTTCTTGGAAGCTCATCTGGTGTGAACTTTAAAATACTGCAATTAATAATGATTATAATACCCTGGAACTCTGTAGCAACCTCTTTTGAAGAACTCCAAGGAGCCTCTAAATGTATCAAACTAAGTTCTTCAAGTGAATTAGTTATCATCTGAGAGTAATATAGACTTTTAAAAATGCATTAATTGTATTAACCCTTTCAGGCCCATAGACTTAAGTGTTTCTTTCTCCAAATAAAAATAGTAATCTCTGTCCATTTTCTTTAGAGAATAATGAAGTAATTTTCATTGAATATGTAGTCAACATAATTACTTCAATTCAATCGTGAAGGATTTTAAAAATTATTTATGTCTACTAACTTAAAGACATGCATAGATTTCAAGAACTTAAAAATGCATATTGCCTCTTTGCCCTATGCCTCATAAAACAAAATTATGATAACGTTGTGTGTTACAGAAAAACGCACTGATTGTAATGAAGGGTGCTTCAAAGGCCATGAACTTGGAAAGCAACTTATTTACAGAGACCCCCAGCAATAGCAGCTAAAAGATTGACTGACTCCCTTTATTTTCAGTTATCCTTCAGACACTTTTGACCTCTTCCTGTGCCTTTCTAGTCATGTGCAATCTTGTGGATATCTCTTCCTTCCTCTTGTTATTTTCTATTTCCTCTGTTTCTATTTGTTTCTAAAAATAATCATGTTTGAATATAGGATTAGCTTCCTTCCCATCTCCCCATTACCAATCTCTCACTATACCGCTATGTTATTAATCTTCCTGAGAAATATATCAGGTTCATTACATTAGTTACCAGCTCAAAACGTATCAGTGGCTTTCTAGTCCTCACAGGCTCAAGTTAATCTGCATATTCTGACTTTCATATTCTGGGTTCATGCAAACTTTTCAACTTTCCCTCTTATACCTACTTAGGAGGACCCTCAGGTTCCATCATGCTCATGTTTCAAGCCAGAAGTTCTCCTGCCTCTTCCTCTATGTAGACTCCACATAGACTATGATATCCTGCTTCTCTTTTAATCCTCCATCTTCAGCTCACAGCCACACTCCTCTGTGAACAGTTAAATGATTCTCCCACCTCTTACCTCCTATAGCACTTATTTTTCATGCAGCATTTTTGAGACTTAATTAAATCTACAGTTTTAAAAAATGTTTTTCTACCACAGTCTCTTATTCATACTAAAACTTTCAAGTCTATCCATTTTGCTTATACAACCACACCGTTAGGTCTTTTAGGTCCAAGAATACAAGAGAATGGCAAAGCACGTTGTTTACATCCACACATACTGTGTAAATTCAGGTAATTTTTTTTAATCCTATGATCCTCAATTACCTCACCTGTAAAATAGGTACTACTCATACTGCAGAACTCTTGTTGGAATTAAATAAATGAGTGTATTAAAAATGCTCAACAAGATTTGGCACAAAATCGGTACTCAGTAAATGCTAATCATTATTCCCTTTCTCTTCAAAGCTCCACAATTCTGTATTCATATCACCCTCTTTATATCATTTGCAAAAATGTATCCTATTCCAACTCTTTCCACCTAGCCTCAACATTTACAAACACTCCTGGTGGGAAGGGAAAGCTTTTGAGGAGAGCACATCTATACTCATTTACTTCTCAGGGATGCAAGCTGCCCTGCTTACTGAGGGCATATGTTCATAGTCACACCGGAGCCCACTGTCCCCTTATACTCTCAAATGGGCAGTAGCAAATCATCTTGATCGGTAGTAATGACCTGTCTCTAAATTTTCACATGCATCAGATAATTTCTTTTTTAGTAAGTGTTATCTTACATATATGCCAAAATATCACCATTATATGGAACACTAGCTGAAAGAAAAATTATTCAGTAGTCTTAATTTTCTAGCTAACATAAATTCTCTCCATTTTCATCATCCATTTAGATTAAAGACTTTACTGTTAGCTGAATATTCAGAGACTTTATTCTGATTTTTAAAATTTATGAGGTTCATAATGTTAAGACTTCAAGGGTGAGCTGTTTGTGTCATTTATAATGCGTGACTAGACAGTAACTAGAAAATGGATTGTTGACTTTACAAGATTTCTCCCCACCACGTCCCCCCAAACCTGTGCTGCTGTGTATTTGGCCTGAAATCTTTACTTCTAGTCAATCTTTGGACCTAAAGCCTACCAGCTTTTAGCATCCTTTAAGATTGACGTGTCTCTGGGAGACCAATAGATGCTAAACCAAATTTCGTATGCACTTGGCAATATAGGATAATAACAACCATACTCCCTGCAATTGTTTCCTAACACAGATGTAACAAATTACCACAAGCTGGGTGGCTTAATAGACATTTATTCTCTCACAAATCTGGAAGCTAGGTGTCCAAAATCAAGGTCAATTATCCCTCTGAAGGCTCTGGGGAAGAATTCTTCCTTGCCTCTTCCAGCTTCTGGTAGCCCCAGGTGTTCCTTGATTTCAAGCAGCACAAGTTCAACATCTGCTCCTGACCTCACATAACCCTCTTCTTTGTGTGTCTTTCTGTGTCCACTCTTTTCTTTATTATTATTATTATTATTATTATTATTATTATTATACTTTAAGTTTTAGGGTACATGTGCACAATGTGCAGGTTAGTTACATATGTATGCATGTGCCATGCTGGTGTGCTGCACCCATTAGCTCATCATTTAGCATTAGGTATATCTCCTAATGCTATCCCTCCCCCCCTCCCCCCACCCCACAACAGTCCCCAGAGTGTGATGTTCCCATTCCTGTGTCCATGTGTTCTCATTGTTCAATTCCCACCTGTGAGTGAGAGTATGCAGTGTTTGGTTTTTTGTTCTTGCGATAGTTTACTGAGAATGATGATTTCCAATTTCATCCATGTCTCTACAAAGAACATGAACTCATCATTTTTTTATGGCTGCATAGTATTCCATGGTGTATATGTGCCACATTTTCTTAATCCAGTCTATCATTGTTGGACATTTGGGTTGGTTCCAAGTCTTTGCTATTGTGAATAGTGCCGCAAAAGGACACCAGTCTTTGGATTTAGAGCCCACCCTAAATTCATGGTGATGTCATTTTGAAATTCTTAACTAATTACATCTTCAAAGACCCTATTTCCAAATCTGGTGACATTCAAGGTTTCAGGGACATGTGACTATTCAGGGGAAACTATTCATCCCACCACATCCCCCTTGAAAATTCTGGAAAATGTAGTAATAAAGGCTTCTGATAAATTAGTGTGGAAAGTATTCACGGTTATAAATTACTAAAAAGTCTCACTGTGAGCTCTTAATCAAAAGGCCCTATAAAACATTTATTTGCTTGATTAAAACTACACATCCGATATTTTGGTTTTGGATTTATTATTATTTTTAGACTTGGAATAACTATTTTATGTGAAATAGATTCCATAACTGAAGCAGCATACCTCTCAATTTCCCAACATTTATTTTATTATTTTTTGTCTTCACACTACTTAATAACTGAGGAAAAATCATTTAGACCAAAGTTCACCTTGGTTGACACCATCCAGACAGCTACAGGAAATAACAATGGAAACTAAATCTCTAAGAAAAAGAGTCTTTCATGTGAAATATTGCAGAGTTGATTCTAGATATATAGCTGTTGGAAGAATGGATACTATTACATAGATATGGCAGAGTGGTATCCAGCACCTTTCAACAAAGATCTTTCAGAGTCAGTCTTATTATGTCTGGAGAATTTACCCAGGGCTTAGGTGCTTTTACTGACAATCTAACCACCTGCACCCCACCCACCGTCTAAAGCTAAAGTTTATTGGAAGACTTAGGAAATCAGTCTTCGGAATGTTTCTGAGACTGGTACACCCACCACTTCATTAAAGTGCTTCACTTCACTTCATTAGACAAGAAGTAAAATACTTGTCAGGAAATTATTTATAGTACCATGTATATGGGTATCTTATTTAATACTACTTAATGATGGTACTACAAGTTATATAAAATGGAGAAATAAGTCATCAAGTTTGACAATAATGATATTTGATATTATCATTATCTTTTTTATTCGTTCCCACAGAAGTACTCTGTTATTGGTTTAGAAAAATGATATTTGATATAATAAAGAAGGAAAAGGTGGTAATATTCTTTATTTTTTGTATCTTTATACCCCAGCTCTTTCACCAATCTCCCCCATCTCTGTAGTTCTCCTCTGGTGTCCCCAGGCAGTGAACTATTCCCAGTGGTTAGGGAACATCTCATTGAGTAAGTTACATCAACATTTCTTCACATTTCAGGACAACAGGAACAGTGCCAAATCCTAGCCCATTGTTCAACTCTCAAGCCTTATTATCCTAATAACACATCCATCCCAAGAAAGAATTCATCAAGATCAGAGAGGAATACGTATAATTTTTTATAGTACAGTATTTAAAATGAAACAGCTTTTGGCCCGCGTGGTCTCAGTGGGCTCAAGGGGGAAATTCAGGATGCTAGCTCATCTCACACCAAGTTTAATAAAGGGTGTCCTATAAAAAGCTAATTTCTTGCTGGTAAATTGCTTTTTAAGTAATCCTTGCTGTTGCAAGAGACCCATTCATAGCGCTGACACTGGGAGCCATGTTGGAAAGGCTAGATATGCTCTGGGAGATAAGGTAAGATCCAGGTGGAATCTTCTCTTTACAGAATGACAATGTATATAGCTAATATTGTCCTTTGAGGCTAGTTTGCATGCAGTTGCTGGTATGGCACTGCTCAGCAGCCTGCTGCAGATAAGAATGAGTGATGATGCCCTAGATTTTAATGGAACTTTTAGAGTGCATGCAGCAGTGGGGTGCAGTCTTCAGCAAAGAAAAACGAGCTGACTTGCAGGCATGAGAGATCATCAAGAAAGATAAAGAAATAGGACATCCACTCTAGGTTAGGCAAGGCTTTTTAGAGGATATTATGGAAATGAGCAAGAACCAATTTAATTTTTATAATGCCACTCCATTTAACTTTAAAATACAAGGTCAAGGTACTGTGTTTTTCATAATGATTAAAGATTTGGAGCACTCTTTCTGTTGAAACATACTGCATCTGTTTGGCAGAAAAAAAAAGTGACAAAGAATAAAACTGGGATCAGAGAACAACAAAAACATATTCTGTCACTTGCCTAACACAAGTTAAAAAGCAAAGGAAAAAGAGACAACTCTGATGGACATGTTCATCCTTATCCCAACAGAAGGATTTATTTACCTAAGGTCCTATTATTTCAAGTTACTTTGATCCCAGGATGGTAACATAAAATGTACATTTTAAAATAAAATGGAAGTATAAGATCAATAAAAACCACATATCTGTGGATAAAACAGCAGATTCAATCTTGTGGCTGAAAGTTTGCTTTAACCCAACATTTGGTAAACTATTCACTCTGTAATTTATTAAAAGACATACTGTTATTATAAAACTATCTCAGTTTGCATCTTGTTGGTTCTGTCAAAATTTCATCCTGCTAATTCTCAACTTGTAATATCTCTGATATACATGATTAATCTATTTTAGGAATAAAACAAAAACTACCTTTATCTTACGCATTTCTAGGAAGTGTTTTTAGATGTAAAGTAGGGGTAATTGTAGTATAGTGGAAAGGATTTTGAACTTGAAGCCAGAACATATGTCTCTGCCAAAAACTAGGTGTGTGACCTTAAATAAGTTACTTAGCTTCCTGAATCTTAGTTTGTTTAGCTTTTTTCTATAAAGTGGCACACCTATCCACATCACAGTTTTGTTGTCAAAATTAAATAAAATACTATATTAGAAAGAAACTTTTAGAAAGAAATTTATAAACTGAAATGTACTATACAAGTTTAAATCATTCTCATTATTTTCTTACCCTAAAATTTTGACCTTATTTTTCTTAGCAAATGGCTGAATCTGTAAAATTTAACCCCCACGCAGCATCTGGATTCAAGAGAACTACGGTCATTTCTTTATACAGAATACTAATTATACACATATAGCAAAACACAAGTTTTTTCCAACTACTCTGTGTTTTTAAAGATTCAGTGTGGGCAGAAGGAATTTTATCAACTATGTTAGGGGAAAAAAGTCTGAAGAAATGAAAATAATGAGAAAAAGCACTGTTGATTTAAGTGCAGGAACATAAAACTTCAAGGCAAATGTGAGGCCAACTGAGTTCATATATATCCTCACAAAATGATTTAGTTAATTTAAAAACTTTTCTAATAAGCAACACAGGTAATCCCAAATTCTATCTTTTATAGCTCTAAGAGTCCCCATAATTTATTCAGCAATTATTTACCACCCACTTATTATAAGAAAAGCCCTGGGATAAGTCTTGAGAAGAAACTAACAAAAACAAAACTTGATTGTTTGCTCTCAAAAAGCTGGGTCTAAAATAGGCAAGGTAAGATTTTGTTTTGAGGAGCCCGTATTTTCCAGCACTGTCCATTGTAACATTAAAATAGTTTGCCAAAATCCTCACTCTGTGGGTGTATTTGCCTAGGGTGCTAAAATTGCTTAAAAACTTTGTTATTTGGCTAACTAAAATCACTGAATAGTAAACAGTAGCATTAGAGATGGCAGAGACATTAGGTGTCATGCAGTTCAACTGCTTCACCTAGCAGACAAAGACATTAAGTTCCATTTCTTAAATTTAACTATCTGGTTG
The DNA here is from genome assembly GCF_000001405.40 of Homo sapiens. Lineage (NCBI taxonomy): Eukaryota > Metazoa > Chordata > Mammalia > Primates > Hominidae > Homo > Homo sapiens. Next base: position 32,003,150 of record NC_000023.11, on the reverse strand, counting down.
AGGATACACAGTAGCAGAGCTAAATCAAGAACCTCTTGGGGTTAGAGTTTTTGTTTATGCATTACTTTGTTTTGGAATTAAAAACAGTGCCTGTTTGCTAAGTTAAATTGAAAATATGCTCTGAAGGAGAAAAACAGCTATAAAAATAGACTTAACTTCCAAACTATGGATCACAATAAACTAAAGAAATAATTTCTGTAGCAATAAACTCCAACACTTTCCATAGGACCAGAAAGGCTTGAGAAAGAGGAGAACAAAAAAATGCTTTGGGGCTTACCATATATATGGAGAAAGCTAAATGAATAAACCAGTTGAAAGACAGCGAGTTATACTAGTAACAATATTACTGATATCGGAGCTCTCACTTATAAATTGTATATTATGATCATAGTGACTAGGTACTTTATATCTGCTTTCTCATTCCTTCCTCACATTAATTCACATGTAGGACAGATTACCTCTTCTGTTTCTATCCAGAGGCCTAGAGCTCAGGCCCTCATCGAAGACAGACAGAGCTATCATCCTTATTCTAAAAAAAAACTAAGACCCCAGACATAGCTGTGCTACTTATAGACTAGAATGTGAGAGAAAAAGACAAGCTTTCATCATGGGCTTAACAAACTGAAACACTTCTTCAATTTTGAGATTGAGAAACTTAGCTAATGCTAGGTGTAAAGATGATATGCTACCTTCATAACCTTGGTGAGGAGAAATTAGCATTTCTCTCAGTCCTAGAAGGAGGATGACCATGAAGGTCTTCATTCTCTTGAGAAGATAATCAAATGCTTCACTGCCCTGTTAACGGTTTACTCAATATTCACCAAGAAAAGTAGATGGGATTATTTTTGCAGACACTTATACGGGTAATTTATTCTGATAAGCAGAGACATACCTTTAGTGCATAAATTGTTCCCTTTGTGCTCTTTGTAATAAACATCACCATAGAGAACAAACACGAAGTAATGACATTGAATTAAAAGACACCATAGAGGCAACAGCGACTGGAATTTGTGAAAGTAAAAGGATAGTGCAAACAGTTGTGCGTTGCATTCTGCTCTGAAGATTAACAAGCTGGGTCAGGCTTTGACCATCATGATGAGCAGGAGATTTTTCTAATGGAAATCCCCAATCAAGTTCCTGCTGCACCCAGAAAGGAACGGCTTACAGAAATCTTACATTTCTTTGCACATACCAAATTGCTTGGCATATTCTATCACAAGGTTTACTTTCCAGGGAATGTGATCAAGAAATCATGATCCTAATTCCTAGTTAACCCTCAAAGTTTCTCAGAACAGTCAGTGCATCACTGTCAACTTTTGTGCAATGTGGAAATCAGAATTGGTCACACGTTTTTCCGGCCACTGTTTTAGATTCATATAATATTAGTGAAATCATGTCAGACTGGTATAGCCATGAATTTATACTTCATGAATAGGCACTCAATAAATAGTGGATTAAATCGACCGATTTGATTTTTACCTCCAATAATTTCAAAAATATCATTGAAGACAAGGTTGTTGAAGCTGTCACTTTTCTTGCTGAACCTTTGTTGTGCCAGGAGGAACAGATGGTAAAATCAAAAGTGATTAGAGAATCAGTGGGGTGGGGGTGAGATTGGAGGGGAGAGGTCTTCCCAGTGAGACCCGCTAGCGTCTTCCCTGAGCAGTATGTTAACCCAAGACAATTTTAGAAATCTGTGCCCCTAAGTTGCTTGACATCCAAAGCACACTTGATGCATCCTACATTTCTAAATATTTTTATTGTTGTTTCTCGGTAGTAATCATCTGGTTTAGTCACTCTAAAAGTCAAGGATGAAATTTTAAAATGCAAATAAAAGTGCCTACTTTCTCTCTTTCCAATTCCTTTTTGTTTTATTGAGGTATAATTTACATGCACAAAAAAATCGCCTTTTTAAAGTGTACAGTTTGATGAGTTTTGACAAACATATGCAGTCCTACAACCACGTCCGTGATCAGAATAGGAAATATTTTTATCACTTCAAAAAGTTTCCTTGTACTCCCGTTGCAGTCAGTCTCCTGCCCCACCCCAGCCCCTGGAAACCACTGATAGGTAAAAGCACTTTTAATCTGAAAGGTATTTAATGTATGGCAGTGTCAGTGGTAATAATAACAAGATTTATTCATTGGTTCACTGTATTTTTGAGCACTTATATGTGCCCGTTGTATGCAACCCATTATGCTCAACCCCTGCCCTCCTCACCAGGGATAAACTAGTGGCAGAGATAGACAAAGAAGCCGTCTCTCTATCACCCCTATCTTATAGAACATTCTTCAATGTTAGAAATGCAGTATAATGTGGCCATTGAGAACTTGAAATGTGCTTAGTGGGAATGAAGAACTGAAGTTTTAACTTTATTTAATTTCAATTAATTTAAATTTATATAGCCACATGTGGCTAATGACTATCCCACTGGAAAGTACAGCTTCTATACAATATGATAATATGATACATTATAACGCAGGAGTTTAACCAAGTGCTAAAGCTTTACTATCACCAGGGTCACTGGTGTTATGTGAAAAGAAAACTTACAATAGAAAAATAAATCCTTTAAATAGTCACAGACCTGAGAAAGTTTCCTTCTCAAGGGAACACACATTGGCTCATTCAAAGGAGGTTAAAAACTAGCATTTAAGGTAATTTCATGAAGCTTTCCTTTGGATTTCTCATGCTTATTGTATACATAAATAGGCAATTTTCGATGGGACCTAATAAATCACTGTTTTTTATTTGAACATTTTAACAAAATTATCAAACAGCATTGCATTTATGTTCAACCTATTTGTTCTGAGAAAGACAACGATTAAGTAGAAGTCATCAAAGTTACCAGAACAATTTTTGTTCTTATGTTTTAGAAGGCATTGAAGGTGTTTAAAATGTACACTTATAGAGTCAGAGTACTATGCAACTGTGGCCCTTATAGTTTATCCGTCATGCATCTAAAGCCATTGTTACATCTGTTTCTAATTGTGCATGGATTGTCCAAGATACACAATTGGAAATTCCATTTTATTTATCAATTTGAAGAGGTTTCACCCATGTGGTCACTATGATCACTATGGAGTCACATTAAATTGAGAAGTCTCCAGAAGTTGCAGTATTTATTTAAAATTCTAACTTTCTTCAGAGGAACAAATTCTCCATTTCTGGATTCTGAATCCTCATTAGCCATAAGGTTGTTGTAAGAATTTGCAGCTAATAGGAACACATCCTGGGGAGAGACCAGTTGAAAAGTAACTTGGTTCTGAGTGAAATTATACAGAGACAGTTTCTACTTCAGGTGGTGTTGCTAATGAAGCTATCATGGTAATTTTAGCCCATATGATCCCTAAACGACTTCAGAACCACTTTTCATCCACTAAGAACCCACTTCAACCACTGCCACGTTCACTACCACAGTATAATATGGAACACCCTCTGGAATTCAGTAAGTAACTTCTTAACTCATTGGCTATAGAGCTTTGCCTTTGTAAATTCTTTCCTTTTGCAGTAAAAGAGATTGTTTCAAAGTAATCCAATTAGTCCCTAGGCATGTCTAGAAAGGTAGAGTCAACAACAGTAAGGTAATAGTCCTTATAAGATATGTAAGAAATTATCAGTCATTTACTTTAAAATAATTTGTACACTTTTCCTTTTATATGGTTCTTCTATGTTGAAGCCAGTGGTCATCCAGTGATTAAGATTAGCCAAACTCAAAAGGCTAAAACTAAATTCAAATGGTATTATTTTGCTTTAATTTTATGCAATGCTATGTATTTAAATTTCATGAAAGTTTCGTATGGCATTGCTATCAATTTCAGTCAGGATAAATTTCCCGTGAAATAATCCACAATTTTCAACTGTACGTTGGGTACAGGTAAGGAAACACCCTTAAGAGCTTATCCAGTTATTAGCTGGTATTATAAATTTCAAGTAATTCAATGTTCAATTAATAAACAGTTACTTTAAATGGGAAAGTATGAGTCAAGAGTTAGTACAAAGGAGAATCTTAAAAGATGAACATCAAAGAATCTTACTATTGATTTGTTGGTGCCTTTGCTTGCACTTCTCCAAATTGACTTGACGTTTTAAATTTGTACTGATAATCATCAGAGTCAAATCTGCTTTTAGGCAAAAAGTATCCGCTAGTTATTCCCCTACTATGAAAGTGATGAGATGAATTGATCATGTCTCCAGTGTATGGATGGATGTCTTTGAGGAAGACCTACTGACCTTATGTTTATCTTCTGTCAGCATGGTGTGACTATGTGGAGAGACAGTGCTATTTGCTAAATACTTTGTTTTTCAAATAAAAAGATTTCACAGATTATGCATTGTAGAATTTATAAGTATTCTTTTATGTCTTTGAATGTGCCAATACAATTTTTATGAAGTTGGAACTATTTTATCTATTTTAATGAAATTGTAAGCCTTCTGTGAATTCTTTTATTAATTTTATTCTGAAGAAAATCTGACCAGGTTAGGGAAATCAGGTCAGGTTACGACGTGATCCCAGTGGAAAAGCTGAACTGTGGACTGTGATTTAAAATAGGGAAGAGGTACTGAAGTGTTGTTTTTATTTTTGTTTACAAATCAGCCTTTCTAACTATTATGTACTCCCATCCTTCTATCTTTTTCTCCACCAGAACGTATTAACAGGCATGCATATAATTAATGCTTTTCTTGAGATAATATTAAAATTAACTTCATCTGTCAGGCCGTCTGGGCTAAAAGTACACAGTCAGATCTGGGTAACATTTGAGTTGATGTAAATATGCCCACACATACTGACAATGCTTACCATTTATTGTGTGAATGAAAAGCAGTGTAAATATTGTTTGTTCTACTAGGGAAGCTCCACATTTTAATCAAACTTTGACCGTATTTCTAAAATGCCAGAGCATCTGGAATTGTTAAAGGAACTGATAGTTTTTGTGTTTTTAACTGTTAGGATACTTGAAATCCAAAGGGTAAAGAAACTCAGCTGATTTATACGTTTCTTCCTCTTTATTTTAATGTGATAAAATGTAGTTTTTGTCATGGGCTGACAAACAGTGGTAGACTACACTAACTCTGCGTTTGCTGGGTTTAATCTTACCCTCTCAAGGCATGGAATGGGAGCTCACTTCAGACCCAGCCATGCTTCACTGTCCACTGCCTTCTCATGGATATAGTGTGAACATTAATTAGATGAATTCCATAAAGTGCTTTAAGCTCTTTGGAGAAAGATACTCGCTGCATAATTATTCTTAACTCCCATACGCTCTTATGATATAAACCATTCTGCCAGGAAATCCTTTTTAGGGATTATCACTTAAAATGAAATTTTCATTATTAAAAGCAGGAAGAATATACATCTACTGACAGACGAAAATGTGCTTAAGGCGACTGCTTTTAAATAGGCAGAAATCCTGAACTATGGAGCCATCCATGCCTGAAAATACTGAGTAATAATGAAAACTGGTAGCAAATTTGGAATATTAATCATCACATTAAGTTGCAAAGAAAAAAAAATACAAGCCACATGCCCTTTAAAAATACGTGCACAAATCTTTATTCTAGAAATATATAACTTTAGGCCTAAAAAAGTACAAAAAGTAAATTATTTTATGGCTCTGAAAGTATCCTTAATTTACTCAGGTGACAACAATTAGTGTTTAAAGAGTTAGTTTTCAATCTTAGCTACAAGTTGGAATTACTCTGGAAGCTCTAAAAAAACAAAAAACAAAAAAAAATAGAGATGCCTAGTTCCCACCTGCAGAAATTCTGATTTGATTTTTCTGGTGCGAGACCTGAGAATAGGAATTTTTTTAAAGCTTCCCTAGTGATTCTAGTGTGCCACCTAGGTTGCCTTAAGGTAAACCTCATATTATGCAGAACCTAGCAATCACCTATCCTGATTTTATAGACGAAGATCATAAGACCCAAGAGGGCAAATTGATTTATTCAAGATTGAATATACAAATGATAGAAGATTCACATAAGATGCAGTATACAGAGTGGCTTGTGGATTCTTGCCAATGCAGGCAGCAGAATTTTCTTTAGGGTTCACCCAGTTCAGGCACCTCTTTGCAGCAGCACTTGACTAAGGTTCTTCTGATTGGATCATTATATGGGCAAAAAGAAAAAGCTTAATTGAAAAGAGCTGAACCCACATTGTGGAATGGAAGATATACAGTTTACACGTTATAAATGATTAATATTCATGAAAGCATACTGCCCTTTCCTCTTCCCTTCCCATAGATGACATCATTGCATTGGTGTAGTTAGGTTGGTGGTTTCTTGTTGTTGATCTTGGTTCTGACACAGTTCATCACTTATTATCCTGGCTTATTATCTACTTCTACATTCATTGTTCACTCACTCACTAATTAATTCAACATGGTTTTTATTGTTTTGGACCGGTTATATGCCTGCAACGCTACGTAAGGCTGAGGATATTACAATGAACAGGAAACAACCCTGAAGTTTAAGGTATCAAGCCTTTGAGTTACTGTCTTTTATCATAGCTGATATAAAATTGAAGCCCCACTTTTTTTGTTTTCAATTACTGAAAATTCAGTGCTAAAAAAATGTGGATTTTTATTCAACTAGATAAAGTACTACAATTAGGTTTCCACTGACCTTGGCTGTTTTTGTTCCCAGTTGCCATTACATAAATCTGTGCCACTCACAACTTAGGAAGGGTGTAACATTCTCTGTAATAGTTTGCCTTTCGAATAGTGTTTGGATTCATTACTGTCCCTCGCAGTTTGGAATAATGACCACTGAATAATCAGTGTTTGGAGACTAAATTAGTGCTGCAAAATTCCCTCAAATTACCTACTGTTCTTTTCCCTGTCGATGTATCCTCATATTCACTATGATTACCCTGAGAAGAAAGATATTGTTGAGAACCACTTTACCTACTCGAAGTTTTGGTATTTCAAAGATTCATACTTATGTCATGTTGATTACATTAGCACTAATACTATTGGCAGAATTCTAATTCACGTTATTTTCTTTTTTTCCAATTTCTCTCCATGCCTATGTGTTGTCCCTTCGCAGCTATAAAGCCATGGCCGATTCATGGGTGCTTTTGTTAAGGCGTTCAGCAGTCACGTTTGTAGATTTTTGAATGGGACTTAGAGCCCTTTTTTGTTCTTTATGTATTTCTCTATTTCTCAGCAAAGGAAATGCAGACATGCAAGAAATAGTGATCAAATGTCCTGTGTACTATTGTGGGTGTCATTAATGGTATAGGGAGAAATAGAAAATAGTTGCAAAGATGCATTTAACAAATAAACGAGGTCTTGAGATTCACCATGAATGTGGCCCCTTCTATGAAAAGTAGTTAACATCCAACTGCAAAGTTGTACTGGATCAGTTTGACTTTAACCTTTAGCTAATATGAAAATATGGAATTGTGTGGTGGTGCTCACAAAAAAGAAAACTCATTTTTCTTAATTATCATCAATTAACATGTACTGACTACCCATGAGGGAAAGTTAATTTGCTCTTGAGTGGAACCAGTTATTTGCCCTATTATTTCTCCCTTGCTTATTCCCCTCTCCCTCCCTCCTCCCTTTCCATTCAACAAAGAAAAATAGATAAAGCAATTTCTGATTAGCCAGTGAAAGCCTCTAACATAAAATTTCCAAAGATGTGCCATAAATTATCCACAAAATGTAAAACTTTTCAATTTTGGTTTGCATTTTCTTTTTTCTTATTATAAAGGTAATAAGTGCTCATTATAGAATTTGAAAAATATAGGAAGTTGCACGGAAGACGAATAAAATCAGCCATAATCCTACAAACCTATTGACACTTGTACATATGTTTGTTATCTCTAATGCATTCATTATGATAATGCATCTTTTCAACCAATAGAGTAATCACTGGTGACTTTCAAATTTGCCTACTCATTTTTCACTCTGTGGACTTACTTTACTACCTCTTGCCCTTTTTCAGTAAATGAATAAATATTTAAGTAAGTAAATACAAATGTAATAACTTATGCGCTCAAGCACACAGATACACACAGAGAGAATTTGGAACTTCGGAAATGCCATCCTCTCCCTAGGGCCGCAAGTGAGTTGATAAGCACGTAAGGAAGGATAATCAGGGGAGCCTTCTCGTATTGCCCAGATGGCTCAAAATTCGTCATCTCTACCAAACAACTATTTGGAGCTTTGAAGAAATATCCATGACCCCTTTGAATTCTTCAGTTTCTTTCGCGTTCACTTTGAGAACCAAGTGACAAGTGAATTTCCTGACTTGGTCTTTTAAACCTGTTAGCGCAGTTCCATTGAGATTTTGTGGGCACAAGATTGCAATGAAGAGATCAACAGGGAGAAATTCATTTCCCTATATATGTGCGATTAATCCGGAGTGCTAAGGGCAGATATAAAGCAGGTGCCTACTCCTGTATAACTTGGAATAAAACCATTTCCAAAGGCTGATGATCCTCAAGTCTTGTTCTGCAAATGACTGATGTATAACTTCAGGCCAATTTTTCTCCAGTTAGTCTGTGTCACTGGGAGTCCCATTTCTCGGGGAGCAGCCCCATGCTTTGTCAGGTGCGGAGCCCACAGAAGGTTAATGCGAAAAGAAGGCCTCTTGCCAGACTGTTTTCCAGATGATACGTAGGGTTATTAGTTTGAGCTCCTTAAGAAGATTTTTCTCACCTGTCCTACCAACTTATGTTTATTTCATTGGTGTTAGAGGGTTTCAGTGGCGGAAGTAAAATATTTAGCGGGGAAGGGACAGCGTTCATGGGAATTTTGCCTAACTTAATTTTGTATCTTTAGCTCATTCGTAGTCATTGTACTTTGTGTTTTGTCAACTGAATTTTGTTTGCATACAAAGGCACAAAATGTTTGCTTCAGACCTGTCACTCTTATTTTTAGCATGGTTAGACAAAAACTGAGATGCTTTAATTGTCTAACTTATCCCAGTTTAAGTGCTGCAAAATCTCCCAGGCAATGTCATGGGCAACTAAGGGATAAAATCAGAGATTTAAAGGTGCCAGGTTTCCCACGCTTCTAACAGTTGGCGTTTTGGGTGTATACAATCCCTCAGCTTTCTTCTTTAGTTTATGGAGTCTTGTGGAGGGAATAGCAGGTTTTTAGCTAAAATTATCATGCTGTCGAGTTGGGTCTCTAGTGCATCCTGAAGAGCTTGCATTATTTACAGAGGCTGGGCTATCATTTTAAATCCTGATGCTTCAATGCCCGTTATCATTCTTGACAAACTCTTCCAGCCCGTGGTCTGTTTTCCTCTGTTTGCTTCCATTTACTTTCCTGAGCAACCAGCTGAGCAAAGATTTACATAACTTTTGTTTAAACAAACCCTGTACAGTTCACTCTTTCAGCCAGTATGTAAACACTTTTGAGACACAGTTACATTTTTCTATTTTAGTCCCAGATTCTGTTTATTTGCTACATTTTTTGTGCCCACATTTTTGTCTTTGTTAAGTCTCTTACAGATTCACATGAAAAACCAGAAACCGTGGCTGCTCAAAAGTCATTAATAATGAGATTTTTAGCTACTGTTTCTGCTTGTAAATTCTTCATTTCACATAATACAGTCTCAAAAGGCCACAGAGAATTCAGCCTCGCTTATCTCTGTGTTGCAGATGATGGCTTCTAGCCTTACCCAATCCCAGTGCAGCTTGCTTGCCATCCAGGAGTCGAATTTGTTTCCATCTGACATTAGCGTATTAAAAAGATTGGAGATCAACAAGCAACAATGTTCTTGTAGAAAGGTAATCAAGGTTTAGAGCCTGTGTGTCATGAGACTCCTAGCATTTGAAACCGCTAAGGGGTTGACCACCATTGTCCCAAGCACCTGTTTAAGATTCTTTCCTATGATAAGGGACCTAAAGTGATTAGCATACTGATAAGATTTTCCTAGAATAACCTATTTATTTCAGTATTATTCTTTCAAATCTTAATTACCATCTTTTCCTTTACCCAGGGTCTTCTTTCTACCTCTACGACACATTTAATTACCTATATTCCCCAACCTGTACCATATTAAATTTTGAATGGAAGTTTTATAGGGTAATTTATTGGAAGGATGGCCTTGAGTGTCATTATGTTCAATGAATGCCCTATTTTGACAAAGAGATGACTAAATGTTATTGAAATCTTTTTAATCCACCACGCTTCTGCTTAGATGTAAATGCAAATCTGTTCTTTACATTTGTGATTGAATTGAACTTGAAAAGTACCGCCATATTGATTCCTTCTGCAAATAAAATATAATTACATTTCCCTAAACTTTCTACACTCTCCCAAGAGATTGGCTGGCTTTGTATTGTAGATTTTTGGTGATCACAGAGGACAATGCATTATCATAAGACCAATAAGATTTATTTTTACCTTGGTAAAGAATTTTAATTTATTTCTAGTTTCATTTTCATTTATATCCATCTCTTCTCACCCTCTGCTCTACAAAAGTATATATGACTATATAAATTGAAAAAAATATCAAGTGCAAAATTACAGAAATAAATAATTAGGTTATTTTAGTGGAGGAAGGTTTGTTGTGGGTGGAGGAGGAGAGGAGTGAGCCAAGAAAAACGAGGGACCATACGTGATCATATTTTTGCAGCTATTTTAAATTGTTTGTGTATATACTTTAAAATATTATAAAATAAAATTTTAAGTGCAATGCATATTTGGAGCCAATGATGAGGGATAACTTCAGAAACGTAGCATCATCATCTAGTGCTTTCATAGTCCTTTCAACATTTCCAGATAGTTTTAATGGCCTGCTCATGGAGGCAATGCCCTAATTTTAACATATCTCTTCACAACTCTGATTTCTTGCTTCCTAACATTAAATGTCTTCAAAGCTTCTTTCACCACTAATTCCTTATCAAGAGGATAAGCCAGTTTATTCTTTAAGAAAAACTAGCTACACAAAACCGTAAGTCATTCCAACATAAATCCTTCACTATCCTCTCTCTATAGATTTGGTTTTGATTCCTCCTGCTGAAATTCAACCTTCTTTCTTCAGCTATCCACACGTCTTACCCTCTAACTTCCCTCAGGAGTGTCTATTAGCTCCCATTACAGTGACCACAGTAATATAGTAATCCCCTGCTGTTCTCACTCTCCACTTCCTTACACTGCGTTTTAAGTCTCTTCATATTCTTTATCACCTTGTATCATGCATCGGTTTTCTTAGTTGTTTATTTTATGTTGCCTTCATAAATTCCATGAGAGCTCACTGCCGTATCTTTAGAACATGGAACAGTGCTTGGAACATAATGGGCATTCCTTAAATAGCTGTAGAATAAACTTTCAAAATCAACAATAATGTATTTGCCAAATCCATTGGCTTCTCTGCCATTTTATCTTGTTCAATACCACTGCGATATTCCCCTTCCTTTTTTTTTTTTTTTAAAGTCTGTAACCCTTTAGCTTCTGTAATATTCCTAGTTTTTTATTCCTCTCATGTGTCAAAATCATCAGTTGAGGCTTATTGTTTTCTCTTTCTCACTCTGACCTCACCTTTGTTTACATCTCATCTTCTGGCTTTGGCTATCCTGTTTTTTATCTCTGTTCCAACCTGTATTTCTAGCCCTACTACCTGGACATGACATGTGGATATCTCCGTATGACCGCAGTTTCCATATGACTTTGCAAATTCATCCCTGCTCTCCCCTCCAAAGTCATCCCCACAATTGACTTCCTGTTCCTTCCAACCTATTAAGGTTCAAACCCACTTTTGCTCCTCCTTTGCAGGCTACACTTTTCCTTCTCAGTACCTCTTTTTTTTCCAAGTTCTTAGATAAAAGTCATAGTACCTTACGTTGTAATTGCCACTGGTCTGGTCTTTCTGCCTGCTTTCCTTTCCATTTGTAATCACATTATCCATTCCAATCCATTTATAATACTGTGATCAGCCATAAAAATAACATTTATCATATCGTTTGTCTCCTTAAAACCTGTAGTAGATCCCCTCTATTTACAAGATCTGGTATAAAATCACCCTTCCTGATATTCAATGCCTGTTTTAATATAATCTCAATATTATGCGTCATAAATCCCCCTGTGTTCTTGCACTTTTTATTTCTTATACATCTCATCAACCATGTCTTATCAACTCTCAAAACCTGTATTGGTTTTCAGGAAAACTCATAAATTATTCTTTTGTAGACCTTTTGTTTGTCATCTTTGAAGATCTCTCTCTGAACTACAATATTTTGTCTGTATAATCAATTTGGAAATTCATCAGGTATTGAAATATGACATGTCTTCTATTGTCTTGAACATTAATTAAAACTTTATTTGACTTTTTATATGCTTACATCTTGTTTCCTCACGGAGTGTTAACCTACTAGAAAGTAATAGTTTAATCTTATATTTATTTTAATTCAGATTTAGTAGCATACTTTACACGTGGTAGGATGTGTAACTGCCTTACACCTTGCTTACGTGAGTTATTAATGTTTTCGTATATTTAATCTGAGGATGTACTAGCAATGTTAAAACTGTACCGCATGAAATTGAGTAATTGAACTATTTGTTTTAAATGTGTTGCTTAACTTATTGTACCATTTTCTCATAATCACAGCTCAAGTTAACTTTGTGGTTGTACGTATTATTTCTTGTGAAATGCCAACAAACTTAGAGCAAGGAAAATAACAGGTATAATCATACTATAAAGGCAACCTTAACACTAGCATAGTCTCTTAGCTCATATGGTAACTACAATAATGTACAGTGACAAAGAGAATATTGTACTTTCTTAGCACACACTTTCCTACTACTCTACTGTTGTGGATAAAAACAGACATACTTTAGGAGAAACTATGTTATTTCCAAATAATGCCTTAAAGGTTACTCCAGGAAAAGGCATTTACATAAACTATCTAGGAAAAGAACCTTTTAAATAATATAAAGAGCTCACCCAAAAGGACTGAAGTGTTTAGTTGAAAAAAAGTAAAAATGTCGAAGACTTTGAAAAATAGTTTCTTGCAGTATATTTTCATCGCTTCCACTTACGTTATGAAGACATTAAGCGCTAGTTTATCAAAAACTATTTTTGTACATGTCTTCTAATGACAGAACAATGTCAACATGATTTTCATCATTGAGAATGCGTAAAGAAACCCTTTGTACAGTTTTTTCTATGAATGTTCCCCTAAGATTAAAGCAAATTTCCAACACGAATTAGGCACTCCGAAAGGAGGAGGGGAGGGAGGGGAGCAAGTGCTGCAAAACTTCCTGTTGGGTACTATGTTCACTATCTGGGTGATGGAATCAACAGAAGCCCAAACCTCAGCATCACGCAGTATACCCTTGTAACAAACCAACACATGTACCCCTGAGTCTACATTAAAAATAGAGATTAAAAAAAGGAAATCAGTATATAATCTAATAAATACCTCTCAAGCTTTCTCATTTTTAAAATAAAATTTTAGATTATTATTTTAGGAATAAAATAGGCTCTTCATTGTATATAAGTTCATTTCTGAGTTGCAAAAATCCTCTCTTTATGTTTTTTTCCCCGTATTAGCATGTTTTTCTCCTGTTTTTCCCCACTCAACTTGGCTGCCACAATCAGAAAGCACAAAGACAATTTTTTCTTGCGCTTGTAAATCAAAACCTTAGCATCAGACAAAATAACTGCTCCAGGTCTGTCAAATAGATTCATTTGAGCTTTCTTCATGCATTGAATACGGCAGAATTTCTGACCTGAAGAAATCTAGCCTTTTCCAAATTTGCTTTAAGAACATTTTGCAATAAATTTAATATAATAAAAGGAAAAAACACATCAGGCTAGAATTTGGAACCGATTGTTATTAAAAATCTCAAGTCTATCAATTTAACTTCAACAAATTACTTAATTTCTGTGATGGTTAATTTCATGTGTCAACTTGGCTGGGCCGCAGGGTACCGAGACATTTGGTCAAACATTATTCTGGGTGTGTTTATGAGGCTGTTTCTGGAGAGATTCACATTTGAATCAGTAGAGGGAGCAAAGCCGATTGTTCTCCCTTGTGTGGGTGGGTCTGATCCAATCAATTGAGGACCTAAGTCCAATCGATTGAAGACCTAATCAAAAAGCCTGATTAAAAGGAACTCCTGCCTGATAGCTAAAGCTGGAACACCCATCTTTTCCTGCCTTTGAGCTTGAATTGAAACCTTGGGTCTTCTTGAGTCTTAAGCCTCCAGTTCTGGGGCTGGAACTTAACGTCATTGGCTTTCTTGGTTCTCATGCCTTTGGACTCAGACAGGAACTACATCATTGGCTTTCCTGGGTCTCCAGCTTGCTGACTGTAAATCTTGGGACTTCTCCAGATTCGTAATGAGCCAATTTATTACAATAAGTCTCTCCCTCTCTGGTTTCGAGAGAGAGAGAGAGAGAGACAGAGAGAGAAATGAGAGCACAAGAACGTGAGTGTGAGAGTGCCCTAATATAATTTCTCTAAATATCACTGGTTACTCTTCAAAGTTATAAAATTGGTATAAAAGGTGACCTCAATTTTTCATGGAGTTAATGTATGAAAGTCACAATTAAAAAGGAAGAATTAGTTCTGGTGTCCTGAAAGTTATTTGAATAAATTAATATGCTATGGAGGCTTTAAAATACTATGAAAATTTAATATTGTATTATTCTTAGTGTTGCTATTTTTAAATAGCACTTTTTCTTTTCCTTTTTTTTTTTTTTTTTTTTTTTTTTTGAGATGGAGTCTCACTCTGTTGCCCAGGCTGGAGTGCAGTGGCATGATCTCGGCTCACTGCAAGCTCCACTGCCCGGGTTCACGCCATTCTCCTGCCTCAGCCTCCCAAGTAGCTGGGACTACAGGCGGCCGCCACCACGTCCGGGTAATTTTTTGTATTTTTTTAGTAGAGACGGAGTTTCACCGTGTTAGCCAGGTTGTTCTCGATCTCCTGACCTCATGATCCACCCACCTTGGCCTCCCAAAGTGCTGGGATTACAGGCATGAGCCACCATGCCCGGCTTAAATAGCACTTTTTCTTGTGAGTCACTTTTTAAATATTTGTGCAAACCTTGTTGCCATTCTACTCAAGCTAATATCCTAAACCGAGGACATTATAACATTTCAGGAGTCAAAACTTCAGACACTTAACATAGTATCCTCAGGTTCATCCATGTTGTCATAAATGACAGGATTTTATTCTTTTATATGACTCAATAATATCCCATTGCATATATATGCAATATTTTCTTTATTCATCCATTATTAAACACTTAAGTTGATTCTATATCTTGGCTATTGTGAATAATGCTGCAATAAACATGGGAATGCAGATATCTCTATGACATACTGATTTTATTTGCTTTGTCTCTGTCCCCAGTAGTGGAATTGCTGTATCGTATGGTAGTTCTATTTTTAAGTTTTCGAGGAACCTCCATACCGTCCTCCATAATGGATGTACTCATTTACATTCCCACCAACAGTGCATAAGGGTTCCCTTTTCTCCATATTCTTGCCAACACTTTTTATCTTTTGTATTTTGATAATAGCCATTCTAACTGGAATGAGATGATATCTCATTGTGGTTTTGATTTGCATTTTCCTGATAGTGATGTTGAACATTTTTTCATATGTTGTATTAACTAAGCCAAACACAGAAAGACAAATGCAGCTTGTTCTCATTCATATGCACAATCTAAAAACATCGATCTCATAGAAGCAGTAAATGGACGGTGGTCACCAAAGAATGGGGGAAGTAGGGGAAAAGCGAGAATGGGGAGAGGATTGTCAATGGGTACAAAGTCACGATTAGAAAGGAAGAATTAGTTCTGGTGTCCTGTTGCATAGTATGGAGACTATTGTCAACAGTAAGGTATTGCGTATCTCAAAACGGCTAGAAGAGAGGGTTTTGAAGGTTTCTACCCCAAATAAATGGTAAATGTTTGAGGTGATATGCTAATTTTCTTGATTTGATCAAGTAAAGGTCTTAATTGTTTGGCAATTAAGACTCATGAATACAAATAAAGGTCTTAATTATTTGGCAAAGCATGCTGAGTTTTGTAAACAATTCAGTAGTGATTTTTGAGAATAGGTCAATAGCAAATATTAATTAAAATGTCTTCTATTTATGACCTACAGCTAGATGGTAAACAGATAGATGATAGATAGATAACTGATAGATAACTAATAGATGACAGATAAATGATAAATAGATAAATATAGATAATCGAGAGAGAATACCTTTCCCTTCACACACGTGCATATAGGCACACTCCATTTCTATCATAGTTACCAGGATTCAGACATTTTGTCTCACTATTTTTCTCAATGTGAACATGCATATAGGAATATTATAGTTTTTGTTCTGTGCCCATTTTAGTTCGTTTTTTAATATTTCAGGACAAAGGCAATATGGCGGTTTCACTTTGTTTTTCATTTTTGCTTATACTTTTTAAAGCTCAGTGTAGAAAAGTTTGAAAATACACAAAAGTATTAAATTAAGACAGCTGGGCACAGTGGCTCACGCCTGTAATCCCAGCACTTCGGGAGGCCAAGGTGGGTGGATCACGAGGTCAAGAGATCGACACCATCCTGGCCAACATGGTGAATCCCGTCTCTACTAAAAATACAAAAATTAGCTGAGCATGGTGGTGTGTGCCTGTAGTCCCAGCTACTCGGGAGGCTGAGGCAGGAGAATCGCTTGAACCCGGGAGGCAGAGGTTGCAGTGAGCCGGGATCACACCACTGTATTCCAGCCTGGTGACAGAGCGAGACTCTGTCTCAGAAAAAAAACAAAACAAACAAACAAAAAAGCACCTATAGTCTTTCTCCCATAGGTTGCCTTCTTAATGGGTTTTACACCTTTTGATGTTTTCTTGAGTTCTGTCCCATTAGCAAGTAGTATTGTACAAAAAAAATTTTATCATCTTTTATTTAATATTTTATTGATGTTTAATAATTAGAATTATTTTAAATTTTATATGTCATTTTAAAATGCAATACAATATAGTAAACTCCCAGATGTGATTGTAAATAATTAATTATTCTCCCATTATTGGGCATTGGGACTGCTTCCACATTTTGGTCACTGCAGTGAACATCCTTGTACATGAATCTGTATGTTGAAGTTGATTTCATTCCACACTCCCCTTCATTCAAGGGGCTCCAACCATTCTCGTTTTCTTTCAGCTTCTTTATATCCAGGCATATAAAGTTCCTTCCTGACTCGGGAGCGTCATACATGCTGTTTTCTCCATCTGGATAAGTAGTTAATTCTGTTCTTCTTTGTGCATCTCCCGTTTCAGTAACTTCATCTCCAAAGCCTTTCCAGGTCACTTTATCTAAAGTTACACCATAATCTTGCAAATCCTCAACTATTGAGCATTATTAGTCTCCGTTATCATTATTCTCCATTATTCTCTGTGAAAGCATCCCGTGATTTTCTTTTGTCCCTATTACCACAATATGTGTTTATTCCGTGTATGTACATCTTTGTTTGTTTATTGTTTGTCTATACCTGCAATGAAATGCCTAAGGTCAGGAACTGTCTGATGCAGGATGCAATGCGCTCAATAAATATTTACTGAACAAATTAATTCATTTGCTCAGTCTTGCAGGCAAATGGTACTTCTGTATATTTAAATATCTAAAATGAAAGCGTTACTCGTTACTGTTGGTTGTCAATCAAAATTTAAATGTCGATGTTTAAGCGTGAAAGACCTCTGTCAAGTTAATCTGTACTTACCCAAAGGCTATTATGTAGAAGCGACATAAATATTTTCCTAAATGTTGATTTTCATATTTTAAGAAGACAATGAATGTTTCAAAGCATTTTCTTCTACACAGCTATTTATTCTGGAGAGTGGGGCATATGTTTCTTAATATTGTTAAAATTGGCAAGGGGATACTGTTGCTATATACAAAGAACACCTAATCATCATGCAGACGTTTTGTTTCTGGCTCTCAGTTATGAAAAGCAGAGATTTTAAAAAGTTACCTTTATATGCTAAATTAGGAATGGCAGAAGGTAATATTCTAATGTTTATAAGTGGTTCTTCTCTGAGTCCTTGGTTTCTATGTTTATGAATTCTCTTTTTGAAAGAAATTATAGTTATTATTACCAGGTCTATTCTTTTACATTGTTTCTAATTCTATGGTGATCTTCAAAATAGAGTATCAATTTTAAATACTTGGGAATGAAATTATTCTTCCCATATCATTTCTTTGTATGGCATACATTGTGATTTGTTGTCCCATCATTGTTTCAGTATGACCTGTTACTGCAAAAACATATTGAGATAAATCATCCCACATACTCTCGGCCAGGACAGACATCACACTGTTGCAGCAACACTTCAGATGAGCCCCATTCAACCTTGTGTTTTTATAGAGAAGGATGCCACATGTTTATATTCATTTCTGAAGATTGGCTCATATTATTTATTGAAACATACTAGTTTAAAAATCTGTCCATTTATATAACACCTGGTCTATCTACATAACTTGAATTACATAAATATAAAACTAAACTTCCCCTCTTCTCCAGTGTATAGCTTGCAAGCAAGTGCATGTGAAATAAATTAAAGCCTTGTTTGTGTTTTTTTCATCATGTGAGTACAAGACTTTTCAATAAAAATGAATTACTTTTGAACATATTTGTTTGGACAACAAACAAGAGAAAAGATCTATTTGATTGATAGTGGACAGAATTTTCATTAAGTTCAACAGCAGAAATACCACAATTGCATCATTCACCTTCGTGTATCAAAAGAAAACAGAAAATTAGATGTGATGAACTCTACACAAATGTTCACTATGCATACTTTACCCATTAAATACATTATCAAGAATCATGTCAGCATGACATTCTAATATAGCAGCTTTACAAAAACATGTAATCTAATCTAGGGATGCTGTTGTCCTCTTTAAATCAGCTTCAAACATATTCTGGGTTGATATTTCTCATTCTTTTTTGATCCACATTGTTTATTCACATAATGATTATATTTAACTGAAGATAACAGCATTATCAAAGTGAAAGACAAAATAGATGTTTAATAGGAAAGTGAGTATCGAATCATCTTTTTTCTACCAAAAACATCTATAATTATGAAGTATTTGGTTAATTATTTTCACAATAATTTAAAAGTGTACAACTTGCCGATTTTTTTGTACTTTCTACTTTTCATGTCTCGCATATATCTCTTTAATATCTAAGTATTTGAGTCAGAAAAGAGCCAGTACCGAATAATGGGAATCTCACTGAAATGTGATAACAATCTGGGGCCTGGTCCTGGGACCTTTATCTGCAGGACAACTTGGACAAATATTTAGACCCCCAATTCCTCGTCTTTACCCTAGGAATAATAACACATTTTTCTGACCTCATACTTCACGTGGATCTCAAATGGAACAATCATCTGATAGCACTTTATGAAGTATATGAAAGCAATAAATTATCACAATAAGATAATTGCAATTATTCTTTGGCATAGTATTAGTGATGTCTTTATCTGTCTGACAAAATCAACATTTCTGTATGGTAACTGCCTTTCCTTGTTTTAACAGAAGATCATGCCAGAAAAGATGAGTAGGTAGATACTTAACTTGTTGTTCCTGAATCTGGAATGTATTGCAGATGTCCCAGACTGATCTTTGTTCTTTTTTTTCCTTACAAATTTCTTTTCACATTGACAGTGTGATATTTCTTTAAATGTGCAATACATAGCTAACCTTATTTGTTTGTGTTTACTAATTAAAATATCTAAACTGCTTAAAGGAGAAAATTCAGTTTTAAGTTTTATTGATTTATACCCTTCTTCAATCCACATAGGATTAGGGTAGTATGTAACAAAATTTCAAACTATAAATGAAATATTGAGTTTTGTATTAAGGCCAAGGATGAGGAAAAAAAAAGTAAGTATATATGGAAAAAGAATGGTATTGAATGGGAGTTTTGATGGAGCATGTTGACATCATGATAATACCTATTATCTTTATATTCTGAATGTCAGAACAAAATTAGAGCAATTTTCCCTTATTTCCCTACAATACGTCTGTCTTAATAATTCTAAGCTTTCCTGATTTCAGTAGTAATCTGTATTTTGCAAAAGGCAGCATGTTTATAAGATATCAAGTAAACTAAGTTTATGGAACTTGTAACAGCATTTTTAACAACATTTCTCCCTAGATAGTTCATGGTAGACATGAATTTATTCAAAACTAGTATGTAGAAAAATACCATTAACAAAAGCTCTGAAATTATATTAGAGGAGCTGAATAATGTTACTTGAGAAAGAATAAAATGTTATTTATGATTTTTGGTATCTTTTACCCACTATATATGGCCATATCTCTGAAAAACTTTAGTAATATGTACTAATGCAAATATGGTAGTAAATTATGTCTACAGGTGCTGATACCATAGTAGATAAAGTATGATAACTTTATTTTAAAATATCATATTTAAATAATTAATATACAGTACTGGGAAAGACTATTTTATCTATTCTCTCACTCTTGAATAAAAAAATCCAGAAAAAAATACCTTGTTTTGGTAAGATTATATCAATTTATTTCCCAAATGGGTAGAGGGTTATTTTTTTCTGATCATAAACGTATGTCTCTTCATTATAAAAATCCACTAAAAGTGATAGAAGAAAACCAAAAGAATAAATGTAAACAATGATGCCATTTTCCAAAAATCACCTTCGACATTTTTCTGGATATTGATACAGTCTAAATCTCTTTTCGGAAGACTCCCTCCTGTGTAGGTTCCCCAACTACTCTGCAATCTTATTTCCTCTTGTTCTGTTCTTGTAGAAAGGAGACCCATTGTCACCATGTCAAATAACACAAAATGGTGCACGTATAAGATCATTGTCTCTGTCCATTATTTGCCAGAGGACCTCAAACTTTTTCAGGTGGTGGGCAACTGGATGTCATGCTGCTCCTTGTACAACAGAACACAATTCATTATTTATATGGTTATTTCATTTTAAGAAAATTTAACTTTCATTAGCTGGAAAAAAAAAGAAGTGGTTTTTAAGTTGTTTAGAAATGTGAAATTCAATTTTCATACTGCAAAAGAGATTCAACTGCAAACACAGGCACACATGTCTGGTGTAAGAACGAGTTGTCATACAAACCCAAATTAGCTGCCTCCACGTTGTCTTTGTTAACAAGTGTTTGTTTGCTCCTTGTTCCATCATTCAGAAATGCTCTTTAGCAGGAATTGATGGAACACAGTCGCAGTGACCTCTTCCTGTCTTTAAAAATCGAGATGACATTTGCCCATCTGCAGTGTTAACATAGTTCCTCAAAGACCACTGACAGTGGGGTAGGACTGTATTGCGCAAGTTCTCTCATTTCCCTAGAATATAATTGGTCCAGGGCCAGAGATTTTAGCTCATTTAGAGCAGCAAGGTGCTCTTTTAAAATTCCCTCACCTATTTTGGGCTTCATTTCCCTTATACGGTTATGCCTTTTCCAGTCTGATGAACATTCTCCTTGACAGAGCAGACAAGCAAAAGGAGCTGCACACTGCTGCTTTCTGTGTCGTCTCTATCCCTAACCTTCTCCCTTCTGCCCCAATCAGTGAACCTTCGTCTTTCTGGTTCTTCTTCCTCCAAATGGAAGTAAAAAGGCCCTGAATGTTGTCTTTACCATTATCACGAGCCTCAATTCATTCCAAGCTCAGCTTTTCCTCACTGTTTATACAGTTCTATATTGTTCTTCTAATATTTGCCCTCAGTTCTCTGTCCCTCGTTTCTTCCCATGTTCATACTCTATTAGAATCTGAGCACCTTTGAGGTTGTCCATACAGTGGCACACATCTTTGTTTTATACTCACTGGGATGATTTGCCATTATATTGTCAAAATTTTATTCTAAAGAGCTTTTACAGGCTTTCTTGAGCCATTTTCTCTTGAAATTCAAGATCGTTGAATCTCTACGCTTTTTCCTTCTTAATCTAATAAACATACACCCCCACATACACACGTGTGTTCCTGAAAGACAGATGCCACTTGACTCGTCTTATAGATTGTCTAAATTGATCATTGTGTGTGGGGATAAAAGGGTGAATTGTATAATATCCCTGATGGTTCACGAAGTCTGTTCCTGTATAACCTGATTAGTCTTCTGAACTCTTTTAAATTCTGTCTGCAAATGACTGAGGTTTGGCAATCAGCCTATTTCAGTTAGTTGTTTTCTTGCATAAGAAGGGTCCATATGTACTGTGTGAAGTAAGAGAGAGAAAGTACTTAGATTTGCTGGATGCCCTGATTGTTAGCATGGCTAAGGTATTGTGTAAGTAAGGAGAGCAGTTAAAAATGATATTGTTTTTATTTCTTAATTGAGGTAAAATTTTATATAAGATGAAACAGACTTATTTGGGAGAGGAGGAAGAGTTTGTTCTTACATAACATTTCAACCTGTCATATTTAGTTGAGAACTTCAATCTGTCAAGATACTTTGTATAATATTCAGATTCTGCCATCTAATATATTTTCCACGCTTTCTTACTGGGTGTGACAGTAACTTATACTGTGGCAGGTGTATAAGTTAGTAAAGATATTAAATGCTCAATCTGTTAACTTTTGTGAAGTGGTCCCACTGATAAAGTGACACCTCAATAAAATAAAAATTTCCATTACCTCAGAAAGCTTTTTCATGCTACCTTCCAGTCAATTCCCAGCCCCAATAGGCACCTATTCTTCTGATTTATATCACCATAGATTAGTTTTGTCTTTTTAAAAATTTGTATAAATGAAATCATACAAAATGTACTATTTTGATCAGCATACTACTTTTGAGATTCATCCATGTAAGTGTATCAGCTGTTCATTCCTTTATTGATGATTAATATTCTATTGTATAGATATACCACAATTTATTTATCTATTCTCCTTTTGATGGACATTCAGGTGGTTTTCAGTTTTTGGCTGTTATGAATAAGATGCTGTGGACATTTGTGTACAAGCCATTTGTGAGCATATGTTTTCATTTAGTTTGAGTAACTCTGTAGAAGTGGAATGGCTGGGTGAAATGTTTAAATTTATGAGATATTGTCAAACAGCACCTAAACAGTTTTCTAAAGTGGTTGTGCCATTTTGCAATGCCACCAGTGATGATGGAGAGTTCCAGTTACTCTACATCTTTGTCAATATTTGGTCTTGTCAGTCATTTTAATTTTTGCTATCTTACAGAATATGTAGGTATATTGTTGTGGTTTTAACTTATATTCCTCTGATTACTAGCACTATTAAGCATCTTTTCATGGATTTATTGGACATTCATATAGATTATGTGTGTTGAAGATTATTACCTTTATGATTATTGGGTGAAAATAGTATCATTTTGAGGTCATTCATATAACTTGAAGACTGGGAATGACAGACATTTTCCTGTTTTGTTTCTTTTCTTTTTACTTTATCTGAAGAGTCTACTAGAATGCAGTGTTGCTGCCTGAGCAGCAGGGCATTAGCTTTGTAAAAGCTCTGTTCCTTGGCAACCCCACCACTAATATGAAGTGCAGAACATTTGAATTGTCTTTGACCAGCTTCAGCATCAGCACTATTTTTTTTTTTTGCTAGACCCCTAGTAGGTATTTAAAAGTACAGAAATAGAATTTAATCATGCTTTTTACCAAATGTGCTATGCTCTTAGAGATTCTTTCAACGTGCATAAAAATTCTGCAGTTTCACCACATACCAGTAAAAGAAACTCAGTCACTCATTTAGCCATTTAGTAAAAAGAACAAATTAACTGATGAGCATAGTGGAGACCTCAAAGGTAAAGAAGACAATGTCCCTGAAATAAAGACAATCATAAATTTTCAATCAAAATAATGAAATTTAGGCTGGGCATGGTGGCTCATGCCTATGATCCTAGCACTTTGGAAGGCTAAGGTGGGAGGATTGTTTGAGGCCAGGAGTTCAAGACCAGCCTCAGCAAAAAAGTGAGACCCTGTCTCCACAAAAAAATTTTAAAAATTATCTGGGTGTGGTGGTATGCACCGGTGGTCTCAGCTACTCAAGAGGCTGAGGTGGAGGATCACCAGAGCTCAGGGGTTGGAGACTACAGTGAGCTATGATTGTACCACTGCACTCAAACTTGCATGACAGAATGAGTCCTTGTCTCTAATAATAACAAAATTTAATTTTTATAGACTGTGAAAAACCATTATGTAGATACAGTTCAAGTACAGTATGATTTTATAGGATAGATAACTTTTGCTTGAAAATGTATTCCCAATTTATAGGATAGATAACTTTTGCTTGAAAATGTATTCACAATAGAGTTAGTATTTGGGGCACACCTTTATCCATTTAACAAACATGTTTTGAGCACTGCCAGGTAGCAACACGTTACTAGGCACTAGAGTGAGAAAAGATTACAGTTCCTGCTCTCATGGATCTCATGGTCTAGTCAACTGGAATGAAAGGATTACATAAGTAGAGGTAAAGACACACATGATGGAGGATGGAGAATAGTCAAAGGTCTGGAGAATGACCAGGACGTCACTGTGAGTTGTCTAATTGCACTGAAGCATGGATGAAGAATTGGAAAGTCATTGTAAGAAGCCTAAAAAGGTATCTCTCAGGGATGCTATGAGGTTCTGAATGTTATGTACGCTATTTGGGCTTCAACAGGCAGGCACTGAGTATTCAGTATAAATTTTTGAGCAGGGAATCCACCAGAAGAACTATGCATCTGGAGGATTAATCTGGAAAGATTGTGTAGAATGTTATGCAGTGAAAGAGTCTGAGATGAAACAGTTAGGAGGGTGTATTAATAACATAGGTGAAGTGTAATGAATAACCAGGCTGGAGGAAAAGCAATAACGATGGAATCAACCGGGCAAGAAGTATAACAATTAGGATCAGTAAAATAGAATTTGGATTGGAGGAATGAAAAAAAAAGGGACAAAACAAAGTTGAACTGCTGGTATCCATACTGGAAAATACAGATGTCATTCAAATAAATAATGTAATGAATATAAGAAACCAGTTTTAGGAGTGAAGTGGATGTTGGCTTGAAAATATTTCCTTTGAGGTTTCAGTCAAATGAAAAGGTCCTGAAATGCTACGTGGTAGCCTAAGAAGGAAGCGTTCCTAGAGAGAAAAAAATTAGAAAAGATTTACATTTGATAATTTAATCTTTTCCTTCATACAAGCTAAATTGATAAGAAAGTAAAACCTATAGTTTTCACCACTCTTTTACAAATATCCCTAACCTTTTAGATATTCACATGAATAATTGAGAAAAATCTAACAGATGACTTGCTTATGTCATTTGTCTGCTTTATCCTTAGGTTCCTCTGGCTTATATATTGTTCAATAAAATACAGATCATTGATATTGTACAATGTACTGATAATGGGGAGTGAATCCATGCTTGTGCATTCTTTTTTTTTTTTTTTTTTGATTTGCAGAGGGCGTGCCCAGTCAACAAGAGAGGCACAATTGTTTTTATCATCACCTCTTCTCATCTAATTCCATGAAGGAGAGTAGTATTACCATACAACAGATAATGAGTTGGAAAACAAGAAACCTAACCTCAGAACTTAAGGCTTGGGGAAAAATAAAAGAGTAATTTGTGTTTAATGCCTGTATAACTTGGCAAGAGGGACATATAAGGCTTAGTGATGCCCAACATGTGCTTAGATGTGGATTGTTAGTTGATGTCTTGGGGGTTCTGTAATCTAAGCTAAATGCTCAAAATCAATTAATTGATGTTAGACACAGAGATCTGCTTTGATCCCTCTTTATCGTATTTCTAGGCCTTCCCATTCTCAAGAGCCTGAGAAACGACAGCTTTCCTTAATAACTTGTTATTTGTGGTAGGAGATGAAACTTTGATAAAAACACAATTATTTTTAAATGTCTCTTTTTCACTCTAGGCTGTTGTATGTATTTCAAAAAGTTACTTTTGACCCTTTCCAGAATGAGAAAGCAATCAAGAAGATTATAATATCTTGCTTAGTTTTCTGCTCAATTTATCAACAAATATTTCTTAAGCAATTATTAAGCTGAGCAGTGCTCAGCGCTGTACTTGGTGATATAGGAAATGGGGAAAAGACTGTCTTTAAGGCCTTTATAATAGTAATTACCTCAACTTGTCTGTTTCTTTTCCTTACCATTTCGCCAAATTCATTGATCTATCTTGTTCTCAAAGCAATCGCCATAGTTATATTGTAACACAGCATTTTCTAGGGTGTCCCCATTAAGTTGAGAGTGTTGACAAGAAAATACAAGCTTATTTATCATTGTAAAACTTGAGACACCTAGTAGTTACCCTAAATTAAATATTTGTTGGAGTCAGTCACACTAAAGAGAACACTTACTGCATTGAACAATTTACCTACATTAGACAGCATTTAAAGACTATGCCACAGCAAAGGCCCATGGAATTCTTGTGAACACAGAATAGAAGTGTATTAAGGAACAAGCTTAATTCTGTTCTCTTAAAGCACAACACTTTCTCAAAACATATTTTGAAATCACCTTTGACCATTTTTTTTAACTAATAGGTGGGTGGGAGTTAGGGTAGGAAAACACAAGCAGCTTCATCAAAACGATATTCTATTTTCTTCAAATTTGTGGGGAATCATACGGCCTCTCAATTTTCTACATTATGCTAATTATGATATTAATCTCTCTGCCAGCAAATGAAAATAATACATATTAGATGTAGCAAATGTCAATAATGACAAAATTAGTCATCATGCAGATACTCAGGGATTCCCAAAATATGTTTGGATTATGATTGCTAGCTTTGAGTTTGCCCAGAATCGTTTCAATAAAAATAAGGGACTCAAACACATTTGGAGCAAAACTCACATCATAAATTTTAGACATAGCTCTGCCAATAATGCTCTCAGTTATATTTTCAGTCCTAATATTTCCTCTGAGTTCCAGACCAGTATCTTCAACTGTCTGATTGATACTCTCTCCTTCATTTCTGTCTCCAATGCATTAAGTCCTGTGTATTTACTTTCCAAATGCCACTTGGTTCCATGCACTTCTCTCCATTTCTGCCACTGACTCCTCCTCAATCCAAGCGACCATCTTTCCTCACTTTAACTACCATGATATCTCCTGCTTGGTCTCCTTACTTCTATTCCCGGGCTCCTCCAATCCATTCATCCTCCAGCAGAGAATGATGACTAGCACCTTCCACAGTGTCTGGCTAATAGGAGGTATCCAATCAATAATTGACTTACAGAGTGAAAATATAGGCATGGCAAATACCAGTAGAGAACTACAGGGTTTTAGAACCAATGACATTAGATACTTCCATCAAATATTTACAGTGTATAATCAAGTTGACTTGCACATTGTCTTATTTTTGAAAAACAATTTTGTTGGCTTTTTCTATATGCACACATACATATTGTATCACCCTCTACCCGCCAAATGGCTTTTGAAGAAGTATTTATGTGGCTCCAAATTGATAATACCTCTAGAGAGAAGAGAAATTAGAAATTTTAAAATGACCTATGCTTCCTTTCGAATATCACGTCCTGAGACAGTGTTTTTTGAGTTACGTGCAATATGTTCCACGATGAAACATTTAATGTGTTCAGAGGCATGCTAGTAATCATGTAGAAAGAATTTTATGCCTGAAGTCACATGTTCTATAACCAGGATCACTTAATAAGAAAACAAGTACAGCTGTGGACAAGATGCCTTTTTATCAGGGAAAGGCCAATTTGTTTTCTTTGCAAATCTAAGTAAATGGAGAGAAAAACACAGCCCTTAAATGTTTTCTATTTGTCCTGAAGTTCTCATGAATGAGTTAGAAGGCGAGAAGGATTAAATAAATCCTTGAACGTAGAGAGAGCTAACATTTATTTTAGCAAACTAAAACCTATTCGCTTTGCAAAGTTCTGTTCTGTACTTTGTAACAACAGTTTTCTTTAAAACAAGAGCCACCAATTCAAATGCCTTTACAGAATGATTGAATGCTTTCATGCCCCACCTAAAGGCATTCAAATCATTAATCAAACAAAGTTCTAACGCCAAAACATGTCTGGGACCAGATTTAAAATGTAGCCCTCAGTTTCAGAGGGCAAAAACTTAACATATTTATATTTTCCTCACTTTAGGTAACACTGTATTGAATCTCTGCTTGAAATTGAGGAGCACGTGATTTTTTCTTTTTGGCCCAGGGCAGCATTTCTTGGAAGAGAAAGAAAAACAACCCAAGATACCCTTACAAAACATGTAGTACTTAAAGCTCTTTATGATGAATTAATTTTGGTATACACATTAATAGCAGTGATAATAACAAATCTATATATATATATATAATTGATATGAATAAGATAAATACATCAAAAGGAAATTTCATTACAATTTGATATTAGGTAAATGTCCCATTAAAATAAATTGCTACTGTACATAATTTTCCTTCAGTTCATTGGCAGGATGTTTGCTTTGGAAAATAAACAGTCTATTTCTAGTTTTAGAAGGAATTCTCATTATTCTTTTATAGCAACCATTATCAGGAGCAGATGGGAAATTGTACCAAGAGCATATCTACTATTATACCTCACAGGAAAAAGAGAGTATTAAATGAAATCTAACAAGGCCTGCTCCTGACTCTAGTTCCTGTAACAAATGAACACACACATTTGTATGGTTTCAGCATTTGTATTAGTAAGGTACAATAAATGTTTACTGAAATTGAAAAAAAAAAAGATAACAGGAGAAAGAAGAGGCTAAAAAGGTGCATTTTATTTCTGATCGTTCATTGTAAAGACTGCTCCTTTTTAAAATAATCAAATTTTATTTTATATACAGAGGGTACATGTACAGGCTTGTCACAGGGGAATAGCGCATGATGCTGAGGTTTGGGGTACAGATCTCATCACCCAAACAGTGAGCATAGTACCTACCTGATGAGTAGTTTTTCAACCAATGCGCACCCTCCCTCCTTCCCACATCTACTAGTCCGCGGTATCTGTTGTTCGCATATTTACGTCCATATATGCTCTATGTTTAGCTCCCACTTATAAGTGAGAACATATAGTGTTTGTTTTTCCTGTTCCTGCGTTAATTTGCTTATGATTATGGCCTCCAACTGCATCCGTGCTTCCGCAAAGGACATGATTTCATTCTTTTTATGACTATGTAGTATTTCATGGTGTATATGTACCACATTTTCTTTATCCAATCTACCATTGTTTCACAACTAGATGGATTCCATGTCTTTGCTATTGTGAATAGCACAAGACAGGACCTTTTTATTTGACTGAGTTCCTTGCAAATTACTAATAAAAGATCTGGAGGTCCTTAGTTAAAAGTTGAATCTGTAGTGCCGTTCAAATTTAGAGATGTATTTTCTGTTCAAGAGAAGAAAGCCCTCATTCGGTCATGCTTAATATTCAGCTGTAAAGTCCAAAACATATGAGAATGACACAAATGGAAACATTTTATAAATACCTATACAAAGGAGGGGCACTTAGTTCCCCTAGGCCTCTTAAAAGTCCTCTAGAAAGAGGGTACTTTTATGCTAACTATTAAAGATGAGTAACGAATTTGTCCTATACAACTTAACAGTATCGTCAAGGAAGTAGAAAGTTACTCAGTTTTACTGGGCATTGGAGCTAAGCTTGAAAGTGAGGAGGAGAAGCGGCAGGAGACGGAGCCGAGAAGGCAGTGGGGAGAAGAGGAGGATGGTCCTTTCCATGCTCCCTGTTGTACTAACATGTTTGGATATTATCTTATACTTCATATATGGACTGGATTCTTGTCCTTCTCATTCTGAGCTCTCCTTGACCTTGATTCTTACCTCCTATAACTTTCATTCTTTCTTTACTCAAAAAAAGGCCATTTATTTCAGCCATTTTTCACTGTTTTCTTATCCTTCCTAGTTGCTTTTCTATACTATTTTTCCACTCTTTTTTTTTTCTATACTATTTTGCCCTTCTCTCCATTTTCCTAACTGCTAGATTTCCCCAATTTTAGCCATCTTTCAATTGTTCTGACTATCCTCAGGTGCTCCCACAAGGTTATCAGACCTTCCACCAAGACGGAATCCCTCAGTCTATGGACAGGCTAAGTTGAATGGGTCCTGGTGCTGTGCTTAGCATATGCCTTGAGTATTTGTGCATTTATTTTGCTTCTTTACAAAAATCCATCATCCGATAGAAGTTGAAAGAAACTTGCTGAAGCACATTAAAATCTCTGAAAACAGTATTGGCTATATTTTCTAATAATTAGCATGACTGGTTAACTTGCTTTATTTATCATTGAAAAAAGTATCAGAAACTGTATATCAAACTCCTGAATTCTTGGCACTGACGAAGAGACACAATGAGAATGACCTTAGGATAAAAAAACAAGATAAAGCACCATATTTGTAGGAAATTGCACCATAAAAGTCTGTTTCACAACTCTCCCAAATTTCATTTTATTACATCTTTTCTCTTGACCAATCAGTAAACTCGGTTAATGATTTACCTGTCTCAAAATAATTCATGAACAAAATTACAAGTAAATCTCAGTATTGGATTCTTGAAACATCTCCTTGTTCAATGAAGTTTCCTTTTTCTTCCCTCTATTTCCCTGTATTTATCTTTTCTTCCAGTTGCATTTTATCTCTTCTGTTTTTTTATCTTGCTCCCTAGTTTGTGATTTTTTGCCAATTTTTTATTTCCTACATAATTCATCCAATCTGTCATTGTACAATTTCTTATAACTGCTTCTTAGCTTATTCCTTTTCTTCATTTGTCACATTCTATTTTTCATCTATTGTGTTTTCATGCAGTTTTGGAAAGTTTTACAAATAGACTTTTAAAAAAATGTACGTAATGTTTTCATAGAAAAGGTAGTGGTTTCTTTTTCTTATATCCTTCCCTGTATAAAAATAAAAATGTAGCAGTTCTTTCTTTGCCTATGTTTCCTCTTTCCTTCCCCCAATTTGACCAGACTTGAAGGACTTAGATATGTAACAGTGTTATTTTCTATAATTTAGGAACAGCTTTTGACTTAAAAAGCAGAAGAGAAGTTGAAAATAATATAGTAATTCTACATGTCCTTCCTGCTTCCCAACTCTCTGCACATGTTTGTAACCTCCCCTTTCTTTTTTAGTGTATCTCTTTCATATACCTTTGTCCCCAGAAATTCTGATTCAGTAGACTTAGAATGGAATTCTGGGCTTTTATATTTTGAAAAGCTCCCCACGGGAGTTAGATATGCACTTCTTATTAAGAATGAATGCTTAATATTGGAATCAAAACACAATAAGCTTTCTAACTATGATGAATAATCCAACAGATTTAATTATGATTTTCTTTTTGTCCAGAACCAAGACTAGATGTTAATTGCCAGAGAAATAGATAAGAATGCCTATGACAGCAGTACATTAATATGATATCAAAGCTTGGAAATTTTATTGGTAATGAATAATTCAGTACTTAAAATATTTAGAAGCTATAGAATTAAAATTAATTAATGTTGTTCACTGTGTGAATAAAGTTGATTGAGATTTTACATTTAATTTTGTAAACCCAGTGTTATCTTTTCCAGCTCAGAAAACACCACATACAAGCTACTACTTTCTGTTTTGATCCCTTATTTTTCTTTCTTATGCTTTATCACTGAAAACTCTCCTTGAGCAGGCCATGCACTGTAAATATTTCTCCTGGTTGCAAAACCTTCTCATACAAATGCAGTAGACTGTGTAATGAGCTCTTCTTTCACAAAATTAAAAAAACCTGAAAGCCCTGATTTGCGATTCTATACAAATGAGATTTAGATCTAACAATTTTAAATTATTGCTTCACTCTTAGCTGTTCAATTCTATCTCTTATTTGGGAAACCGAAATAATAAAACCATTGCTGATTCCACAATTAGGTTGTAAAAGTCACCGTAGCCATCAGCCATGAAGCAAAAGTGCCAAGATCAAAACTACAAAGCAAAGAGGCTGAGATAAAAATGCTGCAGCATTAGTTTATAGCATTATAAGCAGCAATAAGAATTCCTTGATTGCTTAACAAAGACTCAAAAGGCATTTACTCCATTACCTTACAACTCAAAGAGGTATTCCTGGACCAGCAGTATTGGCATTTTTTTGAAGTTTGTAGGAAATGCAGAATTTTGGTGCCTCCACGGACCTAATGCAGCAGAACTTGCAGTTTAGTAAGATCTCCAGGAGATTTGTATGCGCATTAAAGTCTAGGAAGCACCGCTATGGTATACATCTGATGTGTGCCCATGCATTTTTTAAAAGTATGAAGTAATAGTTGTAAGTATTGGACACTCTTGAAGGAACAAATAAGAGCCATGGTCTTTACTCTCTAAATACCTCCCTGACATCTATGTTTTAGGCAAAATTTTTTTCCCATTTCAGTAGTCACTGATGCTTGCACGATGCAGTTTATTCCAAAACAATGGTGATTCTCATGTAATAGTTCATGTTGCCTTAATAATTTACGTTGCCTCAAGTTCTCTGCCCAGGCCCCAATATACACCGAGGGCTGTACTCCTCCCCTAACGCCTGCTCTCATACAGTGGCATAGAGCCCAGTTTTATGCTCTTGGTCACATCATGGAGATTGCACACCACAGGCTTTAACTTCTGCCGTACTCTCACTGCCTCTAACCCTCCATATGCCTAAGTTCTACGATTCTTTAAATTCCAAATTGACCCAGAAGTCTCCTCCGCTCATCCTTTTCACTGAGATCATCCCTCTTCTGGCCTACCATTTGTTGATCACCTTGCTTTTTTTTTATCCTACTGTATGTAGTATAACAAATTATCACTTGCAACTGTGTCTTATTTTTTCAACTAGATTATGTACTGCCTAAGACCTAGAAAATTGTGCTTATTTATTTGAATCTCTAGGAGGATCAGTAATGGGTATTAATACTAATGACTCCATGGTGATGATGAGCCTGAACTTCCTCCCTTCCTTTCTTTCTACCTCTCTCCTTTCCTCCCTTCTTTTCTTCCTCCATTCCTTCCTCTCTTCCTCCCTCCGCTTCTTCCCCACTTCCCTTATTCATAGATTCATGCGTTCACTCAGCAAATGCTTACTGAAACCTTCCATGCATCAGACATTGTACTAAACAATAGGAAACTATCATGAATAAGACACAATATCTGACCTCAAAGAATTTATGATATAAAAGTAATGGCATAAACCGTGATTACTTTTGCACCAACCTAATATATAGACACAGTTTGTTATGACTGGTGTCTCTATTACTAAGCAATGACTGTCACATGCAACGCTGATCTGAACAGGTGGTAAAGAGTGAGATGTAAGCAATGGAGCAAAGCCAACTAGTTACAAGGAAATATCACATGTTTACTAGAGCACATCTCATGGGCATTCAAGAGAGTATGGCCAGGACAGCTTGTGAATAGTTCAGTAACTGTGCATAGTTTTATATTCATTGTGAGGCACCGTGTCACCGGTTTGCTGATTTACAGAGTATTTTAATTGCTAACTGTATGCTACCAAAATTTCCAGTATTCGAAAATAATTTTGCTTGAATGTAGAAAAAGAAAAAAGCCAAGAAATGTATGTGAAACGAGAGTCTAAGGGAGCTTTACCTCAGTCTCAGAAAACATGCATTCCTTCCTTCATTTAGGAAGCATGTACTGGGGTCTACTGTCAGCTTGCTATTGTGTCAAGGAGTAGGAGAATACAAAAATATTAGAGAATATGAATCACATCTATTAGGAGAGTTTTCTACATACGCACATTATTCTGTCAGTGACATAAGGATTTGAGTCATTCAGATTTAAATACGGTAGGTACCTCAAGTTCTCAGATATTATTTCATTTTCTAAGGTTCGTATTTAGTTAATATGTTATTTTAATGGCCTTACAAATTCTAGATTATCTTTTTTAAAAAGTTAAATAGAACGTAATTGCCATTTTTATTTAATGGTAAAAAGCATTTTTGTTTTTGTGTGTACTTGGTTGTAATATTCTCCTTTTCAATTGAGCTATTTTTCTGATACTTTACTCTTAAAATTTCATTCAGGAAAAAAGTAAACAATATTTAAGCTTGACAATCATAAAAATGCTCTGGTGACTATAGATTATTTTAAAATTTATTACTGTAGCTTAGGGATATCTTGATGGGATGCTCCTGAAAGCAATTAATTCTCAGTTTTTTGTGGCTTCTAATGCAAAATACATTGACGCAGACAGAATTTGAAATGAATTTTCTTCTAATATAGCAATTAATTTTATTTAAATATCTCTAGAGTTTTTTTTTAATACTGTGACTAACCTATGTTTGTTCTTTTTCACCTCTCGTATCCACGATCACTAAGAAACCCAAATACTTTGTTCATGTTTAAATTTTACAACATTTCATAGACTATTAAACATGGAACATCCTTGTGGGGACAAGAAATCGAATTTGCTCTTGAAAAGGTTTCCAACTAATTGATTTGTAGGACATTATAACATCCTCTAGCTGACAAGCTTACAAAAATAAAAACTGGAGCTAACCGAGAGGGTGCTTTTTTCCCTGACACATAAAAGGTGTCTTTCTGTCTTGTATCCTTTGGATATGGGCATGTCAGTTTCATAGGGAAATTTTCACATGGAGCTTTTGTATTTCTTTCTTTGCCAGTACAACTGCATGTGGTAGCACACTGTTTAATCTTTTCTCAAATAAAAAGACATGGGGCTTCATTTTTGTTTTGCCTTTTTGGTATCTTACAGGAACTCCAGGATGGCATTGGGCAGCGGCAAACTGTTGTCAGAACATTGAATGCAACTGGGGAAGAAATAATTCAGCAATCCTCAAAAACAGATGCCAGTATTCTACAGGAAAAATTGGGAAGCCTGAATCTGCGGTGGCAGGAGGTCTGCAAACAGCTGTCAGACAGAAAAAAGAGGTAGGGCGACAGATCTAATAGGAATGAAAACATTTTAGCAGACTTTTTAAGCTTTCTTTAGAAGAATATTTCATGAGAGATTATAAGCAGGGTGAAAGGCACTAACATTAAAGAACCTATCAACCATTAATCAACAGCAGTAAAGAAATTTTTTATTTCTTTTTTTCATATACTAAAATATATACTTGTGGCTAGTTAGTGGTTTTCTGCTATTTTAAACTTGAAGTTTGCTTTAAAAATCACCCATGATTGCTTAAAGGTGAATATCTTCAATATATTTTAACTTCAACAAGCTGAATCTCAGTTGTTTTTCAAGAAGATTTTAGAAAGCAATTATAAATGATTGTTTTGTAGGAAAGACAGATCTTTGCTTAGTTTTAAAAATAGCTATGAATATGACTATGAAGCTAAAAAAAGTGATAGTGTCACTTACCTCTAGTTTCACCACATTTGTGAATACATTCTTGAAGGGGAACTTGAGCCAAAGAGGTACAAGTTTAATGGGGAAAACAAAACCTCAAAAAGGTTACTGTCAAATTCAATCATCATTTAAATTTCCCTTGGAATGTATTGAAGGCACAGAAAGCCAAATGCGTGCTGCTGCAGTTGGAAAGCCTAGAGAGTTTATAAATGGGATTTTGTATTATGCTTCCAGTTGTTGATGTTAATGTGTCTTGTTTCGTAAAGGAAGACTTGGCCTTTATTTACCAAATGAGACTATTGTTATGAACAATGAAAACTTCGTTCTTTTGCCAAGCTCTTGCATCCCACCCATCATCCACATAATAGGTGGATTTTAATATTCAGGAAGCTAGAACAACTCATTGATGAATATCTTTCGTTAAGATGTATTAAAAAGAAGATTTTGGAATTATGTCAGTTGTCTTTGCCCACCTCCTCTTTCCCTCTTTATTCATGTTACATTATTCAGAAAGTAGATACAATTCATATTTTGTACAAAATAAACACATTAGTTGACCTAAACACACACACACACACACACACACACACACACACACACACACACACACACACACACACCCCTTGCCAAAGTTAAAGAATTATAGCCTCATCAAAAGATATTTTGAATAATTAAGTCTTGGTTTTGAAAATCTTCTTGATTATAGATAGATAAAATAAAGAACTAAACTTTGTAGTTAAACTACTTCCTTAGGTAAGTCATATACTTTTTTCCCAGATTGAAATTCTTCTCTTAATCATACAAGTATTTTATTATTTAGATAACTGATGTGCTTATACTATGAACAGGTATAAACCTGTATAATGTCATTTCTGAACTAGGCTCAATCTAATCCAAATTAAGATGGTAAGAAATGAGAAAATTAAAAAAATTGAATACCATACTATAAATATATATATACGGAGAGAATTCATAAAGTGGATTAAATCGACTGGAAGATTATTTTTCTATAATATATAAAGTATTGTTTCCTATTTTAAATGTCTTACTCATATAGTATTTGAATAGAGTGTATTAACATTCCCTCTGATAACTCTAATTCACCTGAATTTTCAAAATCTTGTTATCTGTTATTGGGCTCTAAAGGCACATTATAATTTATAAACAAAGATGTAGCAATATGCCTGTTTCACCAAATAAGCTCTAAAATTTTAGATCTTTCTAATTTTATAAGAAAGTGGTATATGCTGACTCTGTTGTGAAATAGTATACAAATTTTAAGTTAATTACAGCTAGGGATTTGGCTGTAATTAGGAAAAAAATTTTCCCATTTAAACATGTTGACCTACATTAAATATTGCACTTCAGTGCTTTAAAAAGTCAAGTTCAGCTTCCTTGAGTTTTTTTTTTAAGCTGAGCTTTTAAAGTTGTCTATTTCACGCTACATTTTAAAAATAAATGTTAACATATTTAAATTTCCACTGAGACCACTTTTGTGGCATACTTCCTCAGGATTTTTATATCACTTAAATTTTATGAAATGTAAAAATGTAATAAAATATAAGTACTGGTTCTACCAATATACTCATAGCTATTTCTAAGCATCCAGTAGCAAATCAAGTAAAAATTAATAAAATAATATTTTATGAATAATATGTTAACCTAACAATTAATTATAGAAGGGCTGTAATCACGAACCTATTGCTAATCAATAGTGTACTCTCAGTGCAACGCAAGCAGATGTTAGAAGGGAATAGAAGTTATTTATTGCACCGGTGAAAAATATATAAGATGCCTATTCAACTTAACAACAGTAGTCTTCGTTTGTAATGGACTTTAAGTACAGCGGTTAGAAATATTTAACATTTTTTAGTCCAGGGACATCAATGAAAGAAAGTGTATAAATTCAAGCTAGATGTCTATATGGAGCCCTGTAGTTGCAAAACTTTAAGTCTTCTGAAATTTTAAGATATTAGAAATAGGAAAAAAAATCTCAAAAGTTCAAATAATAGTGGACATCCAAGAAGGTTAGTCTATGTTGGAAGCAAATGAAGTGTGAAATGTAGTCAGTTAGCGATGCAGTTTAAGATAGACAATTCACTACAGCTTCAATTATGTAACAGAAGAACTGGATACATCTATAGGCTTAAGCATGATAATAATGAGTTTAATGATGGCGTAGCCACCAAAACTGTCTTTGTACACGAAGGAGGTGCAAATAAAAACCTATCATCGGCTGTAAGGGGAAGTCATAGGTTGATACAAAGCAAGCCTGTGTACAAGTCTTTAAGCAAGCGTCCATGAATAGCAAGGGGCGCCATGCTCTTCACTGGAGAAGAAAATTACCTATTTGTCTTTACTAACCTCTAACTGAAATTAAGCATTCCTTTTCATTTTGAAAGTAGGCAAAAAAATCACAGTAGTACAATCAGTACCTATGAAGTCACAGATATGTACACATCTCATTACAGTTATAATAAATATATCAAAATATCATTTATGCTTATCACTACTTCAAAACTGCAGTACTTATTATATGTGCTACAGGGTCTTATTGTTGGGCTTTAAAACATTATTCTGAGGAATGTCAGGCTTCAACAGATTGCCAAAGAAGTCCAAGGCATAAAAAAATGATCCTAGCCAGCTGTCTGTTTATCTGCCCAGAATCTCATCCTAATTTACTATGGTTTCAGTCATTTTAATGTGCAGTCACTATCTTCATACACTCCTTTTCTTCTGGAGTATTCTAGGAGAAGACATACCAGTCGAGGGGTTCTGGGGAGCCAGGCCTTCAAGCAATGGATTGCTGACAACATAATGAAGAGGATTTTACTTAGAATAATGTCAGTTGATAAAAGTTTGAATGGGAGACGGAAGCAAGGCAGTGGGAAGTGGAATTCCTAAATTGAGGAACCTCTGAATCATAATCCTTAGCAATAATAATTAAGATTTCAAAACATTATAATTCTTTCTTCTTTTAGACAAGTCTGATATTGCTTATCCCATATCACAGATAAGGCAATTATTCTACTAATATGCATTAAGGAATAGTGGTTTTAATTTAAGTGTTACCTTAATGAAAATAATTTTGAATTTTTTCCTTCCCCAAGTCTTTTTGTGAAAAATTTCAAACATATAGAAAAATTGAAACAATTGCAAAACATATGCCCATTTACACTGTTTTCCTCCCCCTAAATTCTTAGAGTCAACAATTGTTAACATTTTGCCATATATGCTTTTTTTCTCTCGCTTTCTCTACCCTCTTTCTGTATCTCTCATATATAGGGCATCACACACACACACACACACACACACACACACTTTTTAACATTTTTGCAAATAAGTTATAAATACCATTATATTTTACCCCTAAATAATTCAGCATGTGTCGCTTTGAAATACAGACATGCCATATATAACCATGCCTGTTTATTATGCTCTCCTCCAAATTAAATATAATACTGCATTATTGTTAATATCCATTCCATATTCATATTTCCTTAATAGTTCAAAAATGTCTTTTATATTTTGCAGGGGAGTTAGTACCAATATCTTATCATGGCTCATGCATTACATTTGGTTATTATTATTTTTCATCCTTCTTAGTCTAAAATAGCCCTTCCACATTTTTTTCACCGATATTGAAATTTGAAAATGTCCAGGACGCTAGCCTCAAAAAATGTCTCATCTTTCAGGATTTGTTTTATTTTTTTTCCCCTGATGGGATGATTTAACTTGTTCTGTAGTCTCTGAATTTCTAGTAAACTGGAAGTTAGGTCTAAATAAGACTTCAAGAGATGCATGTCAAACATGTTTGGCGAGAATACTTCATATGAGATGCTGTGTATTTTGTATTACGTCACATCAGGAGGTGCATCATATGAAGTAGTCTCACTAAATGCTGCAAAGTTTTATTACTTGCTTCAGGTGGTGACTGACAGATCTTGCATTATAATGTCACATTTTTTCTTCGCAATTAATAAATCATCTAATGGCTTTAGTATCCATTGATGATCCTTCCCTAACTCAGTTATTACACTGGGGCTTGCAAAATGGAGGTTTTCCTAATCTGACATGATCTTAACATTTACCAGCTGGCTTTCTTCTGTTTGAAAAAAAAAAAAAAAAAAGGTTTTTCCTCTATATTTATGTCAAAATGGACTCATAAATTTTTATTTATTCAATATATTATTATGAATTACAGTTATTATTCTTGCCCAGAGCTTCCTGCTCAATTGTCCCAGGCTCACCTTGGACTTTGCCTATCCCAGATTTAGAATTACCCATTTTTTTCAAGGAACTCTGGTTACTTTTAGAGGTGAATAGTACGTAGAAACGTACATCTGGGTAGTAGCCCCTTCTCAATGGAATGTGTGCACCTTTCTGGCAAGCAGTCCCAAAGGAGATAATATTTTCAGATTACCTTGGAAATGATTCTTGACAAATCTCTTTCAGAATACATGGAAGTTAAAAGTAAGTCTAGACATGTTAAAAAGCCCTTCTTGTGTGAGACTTCATGTACGGTCATTAAGTTACTACTCCTTTAAACCTCTCTACTTCTGAATTCTTAAACCAAAATGTACTAGTATATAATCTATGCTGGTTTGCCATGCAAATTAATGGTGTAAATAAGATAATGGGAGGCATTCGTAAATGTACTTAAAGGAAGAAATTATTGTTTAAAGACCTTAGCTCATTGTTTGCATGCAAATACACGCTGTTGATTAGAAATGA
This sequence comes from Homo sapiens, assembly GCF_000001405.40. Lineage (NCBI taxonomy): Eukaryota > Metazoa > Chordata > Mammalia > Primates > Hominidae > Homo > Homo sapiens. Next base: position 31,963,183 of record NC_000023.11, on the reverse strand, counting down.
GCCTTATCTAATTCATTAAAGTAGGCCTGGTTGGTCCTCTTCTTGAAAGTCTCCATTAGCAATTCATATTGCTCTATGCGCTTCCTTGTAAGACAACTGTTGTCTCTTAAGTTTTCTTTAACTTTGGCTTCTTACAAATTCAGACCCCACCCCCAACCAAATAGCTTTCAACCAAATAGCTTTTCAGCATCTTATTTCCTACAAATTAAAAGCGAATATTTTAATGACTCAAATGGCTCTTTACAGTGTGTGCAATATGTTAAATGTACCCAGTATATCCGTGTGAACCAGTGCTACAAGCCTGCTCACACATTCACATTTTGCCCCCAGGATCTGTCCCGTCCGCTTGCTCTGTACTCAAACTTCCTTTTTTTCTCATTGCCAGTTTAGACCTTGACTCTCCATCCAGCCCAGAGTTTGGAAACTGAGTACCCACAGGCTGAATCCTGAATGCATGCAGTATTTTTGCATAGCCACTGTTTTTAAATAATTGACAACTTTTAAAAATTGAGAGACCTCATTTTTTAAAAAAATATGGATTTCTGTCTTCTTTTGAAAATTTAGATCTGGCTACTAGGCACTCATTACTATATTTTCTCTTGGCACCATCACCTACAACTGAGTAACAGATGTTTCATTTTCTTGCTACTCAAAGTGTGGTCTCTGGTCCAGAGCACAGACATCACCTGGGAGTTGCTAAGAAATGCAGAATCTAATAAATAACAGTCAGCATTTTTAATAAGATTTCCAAGTTTCCAAGTGATTCATGGGCACATTAAAGTTTGAGAAGCATTGCCTGGGGTAAGCAAGCTTTGTCCTCAGTTTGCAGCACCTGTCCCACTTTGCTCATTTATATTAATTGCTTTTCCATAGATATTTGATTTTATAGTACCTCATGCAGACCTTTGTATGATGATGACGGTTAGGGTGGTGATGGAAGTGATGGTGATAACACTTAATATTGCCATGCACTGTTCCAAGTGTTTTACGTAGCTCAATACTTATAACAACTCTATGAAATAGTTGCTATTCTCCTTTTAATTTTACAGGAGGGCAACGAAGGCACAGACTGATAAAACTCTTTGCCCAAGATTGCACAGCCAGCAAGTATTTGAACCAGGATGCAGTCCCGCAGTCTGCCTCCGGAGTCCTTACTCTAGATCAGATTTTGCATTATTTATCCCAGTTTTGTCCATCAGGATTCTCTGGTATACACTTGCAATTTCTTCCTACCAACCTTCTCCTTACCTTTGATGGCCACACGTAGTAGCAAAAGAATTGAACATAGAATCTGTTCTGACCTATCTTTCCAACCCTGTTTTTCATAATTTCCACTATTTCTGTTTATGTCTGAAGCTTTGAATGACCTGAAGTTTTCTGTTCTTCAGCTTTTGCAAAAAAAAAAAAACAAAGAACAAAAAACAAGACAAAAAAAAAAAAAAACCGCTTCCTTTGGTTGAATTCTCTTTCCCCTTATTTTTTTTCCCAAAATCTTACACATCCCTTAAGACTCATCTTAACTGCTATTACCTCAATGAATTGTGACCTGCTCTTCTCAAACATAAGCAGTTTATTCTCTTAAGGTTTTCTTGCCCCTTTTTATAACACTCATGTAATATTGTATGTATATATCATGTATCATACCTATTTACATATGCTTTTCCCCCAGCAAGATTAAAAGCTTCATGAGGGCAGAGGACTCTCTTATTGTTATCTCTATAACCCACAGTACTTACCAGAAAGCCTGATATATTGTAGATGGCCAGTAAGTACTTTCTTAATTTAAATCGTAAGAATTTTATTCACATTCAGATTAAACTGAAGATTTAAATCTTTACACTTGACATTATTATATAGATTAAAAATAGATCTAAAGAGCCAGACCAATTTTTCTGTTTTTATCATGTTATCACATTTCCATGGATACGTTTGCAATTCTAGAAATTGACCTTGATCCCTTCTAGTCTTAAAAAAATGGAAGGAGTTTGGTTAATAATATTTTAGGTATTCTTCAGAATTTAGTACATTTAAGAGACAAGTAACTTCAATTTATTTAGCTAGTTATGGCAAAAAGCAGCTCTTTGATTCAAACATTTTGTACATTTGTTTATCCTACTCTCACTGTATCTCAACTAATACCTTTTAAGTGAATTAAGCAGGAATTAGCCCTGAAACTGAATGTTTTAGCCTCATCCTACATATAGCCACAAGATGTTTTAGATGCAATCCATATCACCAAAGAGCTATTTTTAGATTGATCAGAGAGAATCATACAGATATTATTATTCACAGGTGTCAATGGAAAAGCTGGTCTCTTCCCATCTGTTCTCTGATGACTCTTGAAAAGCTTTCAAGGGCATTCATAATTCTTCATCAAAAGACTATGAAAAATCAGCTTCATAGTTAATTGTTTTATGTCATATTTTATTTTTTCAACTTGGCTAGTTCTAGTGAAACAGACTAGCTGGCACCAAATATGTTGTTGCATTGGCTGGTAATGATGATACCACTGTGTGGAGATATACAAGTGAATGTACTTTATTTGTGGCCTTCCATGAACTTTATGTGCCTGGGAAAGTAGGAGTTAGGGAGAGTTTGTTAGGGAACGTGATCTCTGGGATGGGTCTTAAAGGATGAGAAGAGGCAAATGAAGAGTAAATGGACATGCCAGAGAGAAAAAGTGACAGGAGCAAAATCACTGAAGCAAGAAAAAATGGCCTACATTGAAGGACTATACACAGTTCAGTATAAAAAGGCTCTGTTAAGCAAGCACCATTGACTTACCCTAAACTCTTCATTTTCTACATATAAACTGCCCAATTCCCACTCCAAACCTATTGATGGATATTAGTAACCTATTGATGTTTTTGAAAGGTGTTCAAGTATCCTTTCTGGTACCATGTACCTTGGCTCCCACCATTTGAGAGTATGTTCTCCAAGAGGCAACAGTCTGTGGTTCCTGACCTGGCTATGCAAGTTATTCTTATTATTAAAATTGTCCTATTTAATTAAATATCATGAAAACTAATGAAATAGAAATGAAAAGATAAGAGAATTGTGGTTTCTATGAATACTAAATTGAATGCTTTGGAAGACTTGATAAAGGTGATTAGAAAAAAAAAAAAGGCCAGATGCGGTGGCTCACACCTATAATCCCAGCACTTTGGGAGGCCGAGATGGGTGGATCACCTGAGGTCAGGATTTCGAGACCAGCCTGGCCAACATGGCGAAACCACATCGCTACTAAGAAAATACAAAACTTAGCCAGACGTGGGCCTGTAGTCCCAGCTACATGGGAGTCTGAGGTGGGAGAGTTGCTCGAACCCGGGAGGCGGAGGTTGCAGTGAGACAAGATCATGCCATTGCACTCCAGCCTGGGTGACAGAGTGAGGAAAAAAAAAAAAAAAAAAAAAACCACGGTGCTGTTGAATTAGATGTAGGTAAGACAACTGTTTAAGATTGGGTATGAGGGATAGAATCCCCAAAAAATGGAGGTATTTTGCATTGAGATTATTTTCAGCATCTCCAAATCTGACTGTAATTCAAAGAAACCAAACTAAAAGTCACAGATTATGAAATGTAGAAGTGTTTTATGCAAAAAGTAATATGCTTAACTTCAACCTGTGGGCTTTTACTCCAGGAAAAGTCTCGGACCCCATACCAAATGAGAAGTAAATGAGTGACCACTTGTATATTCTAAGAAAAATAAAATGTTTGAAGATGTGTAAACACATTTATATAATCCCTCCAATTTTACAATATTTTTCCAAAAACCGCCTATCCACTTACCCTAATCAAGTTTGATAAGGGGACTTCCTTTTATATGTAGGAAGGCTGAAAAATGACGCCATGACAAATGAAATTGTCAAGATGGACCAGGTCATGGAAGATTTGAAATCTCAAAGAATTTTTTCCAGGGTAGAATATAAGGATGTTGGGACGTTTTTATATGCTTTAGATTTGCATCCTCATATGTCCCTTTGACAGTTGAGCTCAGAGTGAAAAAAAGAGAGTGAAACTAGTGGCAGGGTGACTCAAGTTAGAGACAATGAGTAAGCAGAATAGAACTTTAAAAACCTGACAGATTCAAGAAATACTTGATGAAAGTGGAACAATTTAGTCGTTAAGTAGATGGGATGATGAGGGGAATGAAGGGACAATTCTAGGATGATCCCTTTTCCAGGTTTTTTGCTTGGGGGAACTGGCTGCATGGAAGGCTGTTAGTCAGGATAGGAAATACAAAGGAGAGTAACTGAATGGAAAGAGGAAAGCAAATCAGACATACAGAGCTCAACTTGGGATATAATAGTCTTAAGGAGCTCTTGGAACATTGAAAATAAGGTGATCAGAAAACACGCATTTGAATAGGTAAGTCTGAACATCAGGAGGAAGACAAGGGCTGAAGACACTGAGCCATTTTGCTGTCAATGTAGAGATGGTGGCAATCTCCATTGAACTAACTGCTTCTCAATAAGGTACCTTTCTCAAGTCATTAATTTGCTAACCAGTAAACAAACCAGAATTCCCAGAGTACACATTAACCATTAAGCACTGCTGTGGAAAAGGAGTTCAGGTGTCAGGAAGCCAACGTGGCAGATGAGCACTAGTGGTGACAAATGAACCAAAGTGATATGGGTGATCTTTATGGGGCCACAGAGTACCACTGTAAACTATCACAAATCAGAAGGGTTGACAAACAAAATATTGGGGATAAATCAGGGAAAACCTACCACAACATACAGGAAAATAAGTTCAAAGATTTCATCCTACAGATTGCAGATAAGAAATGAGCCCTTTTTATTTGGGGCACCCTAGGGAAAGAGTAGATGCCCATATGTATATTTAAAGTATGAATACAGCATTTATTTGAATATACTGCAAATGGTCAATACAAGGGTAGCTACAGAGCCCATAACATGAAAAGGAAACACAAAGAAATACATGCCCCAGTCAGACTCCTTACTTGGGTTGCTGTAAATTCTCTCTCCCTTTAAGGTTATTGCATTTAAAGTCTATCTGTTGATTGGACCCAACAGCAGCTGCACCAAGACTGTACCATTTTTAAAAAAAAAAAAAAAAAAAAAAAACAGGCCAAATGGCATTCTGCATTTATTTTCCTTGTTGCTGAAGAAACTTGAATTGTCTACCCTCAAAGCCTGTCCTTTGAGACACATTTTATAATTAGAAACACTTATTTACAAAGTTCTTTTTATGTTAGAATCACAAATCATAACACTCCAAAAAAGGAATACACTATCCTCAGGTGAGTGTCCTACCTTTGTTTACAAAAGAAAACCCAAAGTCCTAAGAGAAAAATGTGTTGATCATTTTATTGATTCCTTACCTTGGTTTAATATAGTTAATGGATGTCTTAGATATGTATAATAAGTCTATTATCATGTTCCCTTTAAAATTCTCTTTTGTTTTACTAATTATATGTTGTCATAGTTTGACCATTAATATAAGTCTAAATTTATTATAATGTGATTTTTTCTACAAAGGTTAATTTGAATTAAAATATTTTATTTTATCTCTCTCTACTATGATAAATGTTTTTAAAAATCGTTTGTAAAATGAAAGTACTATATTTGTGTAAGCTGCCAATCTAACAATTTATCATTTACCATTATGATGGTGAATGTATAACAATCCTTATATTCAGCAGAAAGCCTTATCTCTCATTTCAGAGGAATCTTGCCCCGGTTAATTATTCTGTCTCTTGAATGCACACAAACACAAGCATATCTTTACCCTTTTTCTGCTGCCTCACTATCCCTGATCAGGTGAATGTTTTTAGCTCCTAGATTACAATATAAATATATTCAGACATTCCTTTCCAAATGCATTCATTCCACTGTACTTGTCAGAGTTCATAGCTGTGAATAACAGAACCCAGTTTTTGTTGATAGAAGCGGAAACGGACTTTAGGAGAAAGATACAGACCTGTTCCCATTCCTAAACAAAGGGATAGAAAACCAGCTCAAAATGGGCAGAACTCAAAAAAGAGGCTCAGCTCCAAGAACTATAGTCCAAATCATACCCTAGATTGGATCTCGAACTCTTGGACTCAAGCGATCCACTCATCTTAGCCTCCCACAGTGCTGGGATTACAGGCATGTGCCACGACGTCTGGCCCCCATACACTAGATGTAAACGTTGCCATGCACCACTCTACCACTGCAGACACTGGGTGAAGAATGTCATTGCTACTGGAAAGAATTCTAGATAGTGCCTTATAATTCTGTCACTCATTCCAGATTCAAAAACTGAACTTCCCCCATCAGATTCCATTTGTATTTGGGGATTTTGTTCGACATAATCAGGGCATTCAGATTCTGGGCAACCAAAGTTAACAAATGTCTCTTACTTCCCCTTTCTTGTTATTATTCCCATTTGAATCTTCTTCATAGTTAGTCACTGTTACTTAAACACACATTCTCTATTATCACATTTCCCTCTCCTCTCTTTTGCTGTTTGCTTTTGATCCAAACCACTGCTCAGAAACCATTATTGCCAATAACAACAATGATTTCTTGTAGTTAAATCCACTGGACATATCTTAGTCCTATTATCCGTAGGCCATGTGCCATTAACTGAACACTTTCCGTATTAGCACTTGGTCCTATCTTATCTTCCAAGTCACTAATCTTATCTGAATTTATTCTTACCTCTCTATGTAATTCCTTACTATATTGATGACACTCCTTGCTTTACCTGCCCCTTACATCCTGATGTTTCTCTAGGACATGTTCTGAACCCTCCCTTCTTCTCATTCTATACGGTTTCCCTGATTGTTATCCATAGCAACAAATGTAGCTTTCACTGTATCAATTAGAATAATATCTAGGGAGATTAAAAAAGAATTATAGTAACTGAAACAAAGTAGAAATATATTCATCTTCTTGTAGAAGGAATCTGCCAGTAGGTAGTCCGAGGTTGGTATCATTGCTCTATGATGTTGAAGATCCAGATCCCTTCTGTCTCACAGATCTGCCATCCTTTGGTGAGGTCCTTACACTCATGGATCAAGATGACTATCAGCTCTCTATCTATCACAACTGCTTTTCAAAGGCTGCAAGGTGTAGGAAGTGGACAAAAAAGGGATACCTCTACCCTTTTAAAGGGACTTCATGGAAGATCTACACAACACTTTAGCTTGTATGTCATTGGCCAGAATTTATTCTCATGACAATGCCAAACTGCAATGGGCATTCAAAATGTAGTGGAATGGATCATGGGCTAAGCAGCTAAGCAGTCTCTACCAAAGTCACCGATTTCATTTTATGGCCTAAGTCTAATATTTGGCCCAATATATAGTTTCAGATTAGACCTACATATGTAGCTTCAAATGGACCATTTCCTCTTCTATGTCTCAAAGCCATCTCAAAGTCAGTATATCCAAAACTCAACATGTTATATTCCTCTCCCAAAATCTACTGTGGGTGATATCACTATCTATTCATGTACCCAAACTATAAATTTGGAAGTTACAAGAGCTAGTATTAATGACACTAAGTTTTGTGCATTTACTCTATGAACAGGACTTTGATAAGAGTTTTACAAATGTTTCCCACTTAATTGTCGCAATATCTCAGTTATAGAGATTTTATACGTCCATCATCTCACCTGACTCTTCGAGATCATAAGCAAAGCATGGCAGCATTCTTATGTCCATTTTACAAATTACCACATTAAGCACAAGAAAAAACAAGATATATGTCCAAGGCTAACCAAAGTTATAGAAGGATCGAGAACTAAAAGTCAGTGATTTAGACCCAGATCTGTGCCTTTTCCCTTATTGTTACATATGACCATATCTAGCTATGTGAACAAAGCAGCTAATAGTGACGACAGGGTAGAACAAATAAGAAAGTGAATATTCCCCACTACATTTATGATTATTTGCCAGTTTAACAGCTTCAAGCCTGTGTCTTCTCAGATATGTGCTTCCTCTTATGTCTAAGGAAAAGTACTATATTTGATATGCTTTTATGAACTTTCTTTTTTGAGATGGGGTTCTGGCTCTGTCACTCAGGCTGGAATGCAGTGGCATGATCACAGTTCACTGCAGCCTTGATCTCCCAGGTTCAAGCGATCCTCCAACCTCAGCCTCCTGAGTAGCTGGGACCACAGACACGGGCTACTACACCCAGCTATTTCTTTTTTTTTTTTTTTTTTTTGGTAGAGGCAGGATTTCACTGTGTTGCCCACCTGGTCTCAAACTCCTGAGGTCAAGTGATCCACCCACCTCAGCCTCCCAAAGTGCGGGGATTACAGGCATGAGCCAATGTGATTGGCCTGAATTTTTTAAATTTAATTTTATTGAGGTAAAATATACCTCTATATAAATAAAAGTAAATATACCTTTACCATTTTTAAGTATACAGTTCAGTGGTAATAAGTAAATTTATGTTATTTTTCCCCTTTGTCCCCTCTCCCTACTCCTATTTCTGATCTCTGGTAACCACCAAGGTAGTGTCTACTTTCATGAGATCCATGTTTTTAGCTCCCACATGTGAGTGACAACACATAATATTTGTCTTTCTGTGCCTGGTTTACCTTACTTAAAATAATTACCTCCAGTTCTATCCACGTTGCTGCAAATGACAGGATTTCACCCTTTGTATGGCTGAATAATATCCCATGGTGCATATATATATATCACATTTTCTTTATCCATTCATCCTATAAATTTTAAATGGTGTGGAATTTGGAGAATACTTAAGGAAAAATGACGATTGTGTAAAAGGAAAGTATCTACAAAAGCAAGGTTTATCTACCCCATAAAGATAACAAGAGAATCTGTGAATGTGGATACGGTTTCTGGAGTGTTTCAGAGGTTGAAAGATTGTGAAGAACTGGATGGGTATAAAAAAAAGTGAGGAGGAGAAGAAATGAAAGTTCTGGAATGTTCTGTAAATTGTAGATGAGTTCCCTATATTAATTTTAAAATGTAAATTGAGATTATAATTATTTTTTGATGATCTATTTTTGCTGGGCTGATTCTCTGTTGGTGTAACTCTTTAACGAATATGGGTCACGTGGGACCCTGGATTTTATTAGAATTACATGTGCGAATCAAATTCTAACTTTATGAGCCAATATAATGATTGTTTTTTTAATGATTAGAGTCTATCCATGACAAAAACAGCTTGTTTCTCCTACTGACTTATTTGGTGTTTTCTTGCTAATTAGCCTTTATACTAGGCAGTAGTAAATCAGAGTACTTGGACTTCAGGTTGGCCATTACATAAACCTGGCAACTAAATGCTGGGTAATAATCACCTATCTTCCCACCTGTGTTTATTACCTTTGGAAGTATGTAACATGGTATCTTTGCGTTTATATTTTTAATTTGTTCTTTTTTCTCTTGCACCAGCTACTTAAATTATCTGAGCTTCCTTTTACTAATCCAAAAATAAAGATAATAGTACATATTTATAGAGATGTTGTAAGAGTAAGAGGTAATGTAAATAAATTGGCTAGCTCTATGCCCAGCACATGAGTAGGTGCTTAGAAGTTAGTGTCTGGGTACATGACTTCTGGGGATGATAAAGTGAGTAGCTCGATAAATCTCCCCAAGAATCAGTAAAATGGGACACACTGGAGAAAACATCTTATGACCCTGGATATCAACCAACGGCATATGCTAAATTAAAAAGTGATTATTTATAAAAAGTACTAAACTTTGTATATGAACAATATGAATTTGTGGTGTATTTGCCTGTATTGCCCCCAGTCCCCACTCCCAGCTTGGTCAAGCATAATAGTTCTATCAAGGTAGAACAAGCCATGGAAATAAGCAGCTTCATCACCACAGGGACTGATTTTATTTGAAGCAGAAGTTTAAAACTCCATGTCCAGAAGCATTGTCAGTAACGGTGGAGACCTAGGCGGCAAACAAAAAGGCAGAATAGCAACTCAGCTGGCCTAAAGTTGCAGTCTTGATTGGAACAAGTAACTGACTGGCAGACTGGCCAGAAATTTAATTTAACCAGCATATCTGCAAAATGAGGCAGCCGTAATAGGCCTCAGTAAGGACTCCTTGTGTCTCCTTCATGAAAACTTAAAATGTGCCTGCATGTTGAATATACCCTTTAACACATATAAAGAACCTTTAGCAAAACTTGGAAGTCTTACTGGCTTGAGGTATTTAAGATCAACTGCTGGCCAACTATTGACTAATGCAAATTAAGCTATGCTTACCTCTAGGAAACTAGGCATACAGTTTGTTTCTGTTGTTTGACAGAGAAAGAATATCAACAGCCACACACTGTGGGGAAACAGATTCCACAGATTTCATCTAGGCAAGTTATTAAAACTTCAATTTAAAAAACGCTGGGCATAAGAAGGAACATCAGAATTTGGGGCTCCTTTAATATGTTATTTAAAATGTCAAATTTTCAAGAAAAATTTACGATACGTTCAACTGTGACCCATTCTCATGGGGAAAAGCAGTCAACAAAAGTTGTCTCTGAATTGGCCCAGGTATTGGCAGATAGAGACTTAAAGGCTCCTACTATAAATACCTTCAAACAACTGAAGAAAAGCATGTTTAAATAATTAAATGAAAGTATGGTAACAATAACTACAAATAGAGAATCTCAACTAAAAGATACACACTATATAAAAGAACCAAATGAAAATTCTAGAATTGGAAAGTAGAATAACCAAAATTTAAAAAAATCACTAATGGGGCTCAAGAGCAGATAGTAAGACAGAAAAAAAAAAAAATCAGTAAATTTGAAAATAGATAAATAAAAATTATCCAATCTGAATGTCAGAGGTAAAACAGTATAAAAAACGAACATGAGTCATAGCTTTGTGTCAAAACATTGAGCATATCAATGTAGATGTTACAAGAGTTCCAGAAAAAAAGAGAATGTTGTTAAAGAGGCAGAAAAATTATTTGAAGAAATAATGGCCAAACACTTCACAAATACGGTTAAGCTCAACAAACCCCAAATAGAATAAACACGAAGAGATCAATACCCTAAAACATAAGAGTCAAACTATTGAAATAGTTTCATTTGAAATTATTGAAAGACAAATGGGAAAGTCTTTAAAACAACCAGAAAAAAATGACTCCTCATGTACAGGGATCACATGATTGATAGTTAATTTCTCATCATAAACAATAGAGGCCAGAGGTATTGAAATGACATATTCAGAGTTCTCAGAGAACACAAAATTGCCAACCAAGAATTCCGCATAAAACAAAACTATCCTTCAAAAATATAGGTAAAATAAATATATTACCAAGTTGAGAATGAGAATATTTCTTGCTAGCTGACCTGACTTACAAGAAAAAACTAAATAAAGTCATTCAGGCTGAAAAGAAGTGATATTCAGTAACTCGAACCCAAATGAAGAGATAAAGAATCACAGAACTGATAAATATGTAGATACATATAAAAGACTGTACAAATATAGATATATGTTTTTCTTCTTTTAACTTCTTTAAAAGACCTAAGATTGCATAAAAATTATAACATTGTGTTATTGTGTTTATAAGCAGGAGGAGCAAAAATGGAGCTTAGCAGAGAAAAATATCTAAATTTTACTGTGTTAAATTAGTTTGAACTTAAGTAAATTATGATCAATTAAGATGCATATGTAATCTTTAGAGCAAGCACTAAGAAAATAAATAGTTAAAAACAAAATTTAAAATTACACACTAAAAATAACTAACAAGACAGTGCAGTAAAGGAGAAACAGGAACAAAAAAGACATGAATAAGATGTGAAAAAATACAATATGGCACATGTAATTGCAACTAAAAGTTGAGAATTCCCATTAAAAAAATCTGAAATTTGAAATGCTCTAAAATGTGAAACTTTCTGAAGGTTGATATAATACCACAAGTGGAAAATTTCACACCTGACCTGTAATGAGTCACAGTCAAAACACAGCCAAAACTTTGTTTCATGCAAAAAATTATTTAAGATACTTTATAAAATTACCTCCAGGTTATATGTATAAGATATCTATTAAGATATATATATATACATATATATATATATACATATATATATATATACACATATATATATATATATATGTATATATATAGTATGTGTGTTTAAACTTAGGTCCTATCTCCAAGATATTAGGTATATGCAAATATTACAAAATCTAAAGAAATCCAAAATCCAAAACACTTCCAATCCCAAGCATTTTGGATATGGGATACTCAACCTACATATCAATAGTTATAGTAAATGGGAGTGAACTAAGCATTCCAATTATAGGCAGAGATTTCAGACAGGATTATTTAAAATATCCAACCATAGTTTGTTTAAAAGAGAAATGTATTAGAGCCAAAACCATATAATTTCAAAGAAAAAAGAGGTACTATGCAAATTGTTTACATATAAAAAATGAAGTGACAATACTAATGTCAGACAAAATAGACTTTATGACAAAATATGTAACAAGAGAAAAAGACATTTTTAATTATATAAGGGGTCAATTAAGCAGAAAATATAACAATTATAAACGTATATAATTAATAGGAAAGTCCCAAATTCTATGATGCAGAAATTGACAGAATTCAAAGGAGAACTAGACAATTCAACAATTATTATTGGAGACTTCAAACCCTACTCTCAATAGCTGGCAGGCCAATTAGACAGAAAAATAGCAACAATATAGAAGAATTCACCAACACTATCAACCAGCTTGACCTAACTAACATTTATAGGAGACGCCACCAAATGAAAGCAGAATACATATTATTTTAAAGTGCACATGAAATTTTCTCTGGGATAGATTCTATGCTAGGTCAAAAAACAAATCTCAATACACTCAACAGGCTTGAATTCATAAAAATTATGTTCTCTTAATATGTCAGAATTAAATTGGAATTCAACAGAAGGAAATTTGGAAGATATCAAAATATTTTGAAATTCAACAACTTCTAAATCCATTGGTTAAAAACTAAATCACATAGGAAATTATAAAATATTTTGAACTGAATAAAAATAAAAGCACAACATGTCAAGATTTATAGGATGTAACTAAAGCAGTGCTTACAGGGAAACTTCTAGTTTTAAATACCTATTTTAGAAAAGAATAAAATTCTTAAATCATTAACTCAAGCTTTCGCCATAAGAAACTAGAAAAAGAAGAACACAGTAAGCTCGAAGGAAGCATAAGGAAGGAAATAACGGGGGTTAGAGCAGAAGTCAATAAAATAGAAGAAGAAGAAAGAAAAATCAATGAAACCATACATTAATCTTTGAAAATATTTTTTACATGGAGAAGCTTTAGCTAGACTGACCAAAAAAAAAAGAATTACCAAAATCATAAAGGAAAAAGGGGTAATTACTACCAACCCTACAGAAATTAGAAAGACTAGAATGTAATAACATGAACAACATTGTCAACAATTTCTGCAAAACATATTAAATGAAAAAATTCTTAGAAAGACATAAATTAACAAAACTGATTCAAGAAAAAAATAGACATATGAATAGACCTAACACAAACACAGAAACTGAATTAGTAATTTAAAATTTTCCAACAAAAAAACCCAGGTCCAGGAGAAAGATAGGAATCCGAGGCATCCACAGTATAGAAGAAGAAATGAAACTCTCTTTATTCACAGACAATACAATCCTGTATGTAGAAAAATCTGATATCCACAAAATAACTGCTAGATCTGATAAGTTCATGAAGCTTGCAAGATAATCAATATACAAGAATAAATTACATTCCTGTGTACTAGCAATAAAAAATTGAAAATGATACTAAGAAAATAATTTCATTCTTTGTAGCATAAAATAGATTAAATGGTCATAAATTTGAAAATATAAGTACTAAACCTGTACTCTGAAAACTGTAATACATTGCTGAGAGAAATTAAAAATCTAAATAAATGGGACCATATTCCATGTTCATGAATTGGAAGACTCAATACTGATAAGGTAGTGATTCTCCCCAACTTGTTCTATAGATTTAATGCAATCTCCATCGACATCTTAGCAGATGTTGGCACAAATTGAAAAATTGCACAATCTTGGCACAAATTGAAAAATTGATCCCACAATTTATATATAGCAATTCAAATGTACCAAATAGCCAAAACAATTGTGAAAAAGAAGAAAAAAGTTAGAGGACTTTGAAATCAGGACATTACCTGATTTCAAATCTTGATGTAAATCTGCAATGATGAAGACAGTGTGGTACTGTCATAAGGACAGGCTTATAGATCACCTGTAGGTTTAGGAAACAAACCTATTCATATTTTTTTCTTAAATCTACTAACTGCACTCCTAATGTTGACAATGGAAGAGACTCGATAGTCCAGCAATAAACTCTTATATTTATGGTCAATCAATATATGACAAAGGTGACAAGATAATCCAATAGAAGAAAAGCTTATTATTGGGTAGCTTATTGTTAGTGTACAGAAACAGAGCTGATTGTTAATACAACTCAACAGGAAAAAGGCAAATAACTTGATTTTTAAAATATTTAAATATATATTTCTCCAAAGAAGACATAGAAATGGCCAACAGGTATGTGAAAAGGTGCTCAGCATCACTAGTCATCAGGGAAATGCAAATCAAAACCTCTGTGAGATGAACACTATCATCTCACCCCTGTTAGGATGGCTACTATAAAAACAAACCAAAAACAAGAGATAAGAAATGTTGTTGAGGATGTGAGGAAATCGGAACGCTAGTACACCATAGGTGGTAATGGAAAAATGATGCAGCTGCTATAGAACACAGTAGAAAGGTTCTTGAAAAAGTTAAAAATAGAACTACCATATGATCCAGCAACCTCACTCCTGGGTATATATCCCAAAGAATTAAAACCAGAATCTCAAAAAGATATCTGCACTCTCATCTTCTCTGAAGCATTATTCACAGTAGCCAAGATATCAATACAGCATAGCTGTGCATGGAAGAATGCATGGATAAAGAAAATGTGGTGTATTCATACAGGGAATATTATTTGGCCTTAAAAGGGAAGGACGTCCTGCCATATTTGACAATATGTATGAACCTGGAAGGCATTATGCTAAGTGAAATAAGCCAGTCACCAAAGGGCAAATACTGAATGATTCCATTTATATGAGGTGTCTGAGACAGTCAAACTCGTAGAACCAGAGAGTAGAATGATAGTAACCAGGGGCTGGGCGAAGGGGGAACTGGGAGTTGCTGTTCAATGAGTATAAAGTTTCAGTTATATAATGTAAATAAGTTCTAAAGATCTGCTGTACAACATAGTGCCTGTACTGTGCACTTAAATTATTATTAAGAGGATATGTCTTAAGTGTTCCTACCATAAGAAGAAGAAGAAGAAGGAGAAGGAGAAAGTGAAGAAGAAGAAAGAAAAAATGAAGGGGGCATGAGCAAACTTTTGGAGTTGATGCATATACTTGGTTACCTTGATTATGGGGATGGTTTCATGGTTGTATGCTTATATCCCAATTCATCACATTGTATACAGATGCTCCTCACCTTAGGATGGGATTGTGTCCTGATAAACCCATCATAAATTGAAAATGTTATGAGTCAAAAGTACATTTTCAATTAATGATATTTTCAACTTACAGTGAGTATATCCAGATATAACCCCATCCTCAGTCCAGGATTATACTAAATGTGTATCGCTTTTGCACCATGGTGAACTTCAAAATTGTAAGTCAAACCATCGTAGTCAGTCGGGGAAGATCTGTTTGTTAATTATGGACCCATCGTGTACACCTTAAATACTTAATAAAGCTGTTAAATGAAAATTAAAAGTTGACTGGGCACATGGCTCATGCCTGTCATCTCAGTGCTTTGGGAGGCCAAGGCAAGAGGATTGCTTGAGGCCAGGAGTTCAAGACCAGCTTGGGCACATAGCAACATTCCATCTCTACATAAAATTAAAAATGTAGCCGACTGTGGTGATGCAAGCCTGTAGTCCTAGATGCTCGGGAGGCTGAGTTGGGAGAATTTCTTGAGCCCAGGAGTTGGAGGTTACAGTGAGCTATAATCATGCTACCACACCCCAGGAGACCCTGTCTCAAAATAAATAAATAGAAGCTTTAAAAAATATTGGTATCTCAGTGTTCCTCATTATCCACTGTATTTAAGGTTTAGCTACTTGTGCTTGATGCTTGACAAGGTAATCTTACTTTTCTCCCTGATATTGGTATGATGCAAATTTACTATATATATGACACAAATTTATATATGCAATATTTTCTCGTTAATGGCCTTTTATTTTACTCTCATTTTCATTATGCTTTGCCTTTTAAGTCATATAGCAAATAAATTATGTGGCATTTTCTTAGCAACTATTAATTCAGGAGAATGGGAACAGAATTCTCTCATAGATTCAGCTGGAAGGTAATGATGGTCAGCTCCCAGTGGAGAAAAAAAAAAAAACTCCCTTCAGTTTTCGTAAACATACAGAGAAATTTTCTCCTAAGTGCTATGTCAGTCTGCTGTATGTCCTATTGATCTGAGAACCAGAAAACACATATTTTAGTTTACACTGCCTTGACTCTATTGTACATGGCTAGGTCTGTTTAAAAAAGAAATCCTTGAAGATACCCTTTGGATTCTAGTATTTTAAAACGGATGCTTAGCTAAGTGAAGTGGTCTACTTCAAGGATCAAAACCAATCTTGAGTAATCTGTTAGGTAGACTCCCTAAGTTCATCTGTACCTTGTACCAAATTTTTAATGAATTTAGTAATTGACATGGATGTAAAATAAATAATACACTAATAAAGTTCATGCAGAATCAAATTTTAATGCCCAGAGGTAATGTAGAAGATATTACCTGTCCATTTCTCTGGACTTAGCTCCTGCAACTCTCCATTTTTCTCTCTAAACTTTAGCCACACTGAATTCCTAGTTTCAATTCCTCTGACTCGCTAAGTATTTCTTCTACCTTGATAAAAGCTAATTCCTTTGTCTTGTACCATCTGTATTCCGGCTGATATTGACATAGTTTTCAGGGCTCAATTTCAATGTTACTTACTCAGAGGGACTCACTGTTACAACCACCACAGCCTTTTCAATCTAAGTAAGATCCACTGCTCTTCTTAGAAACAGGTTATATTCCAAATGACTGTAAGTGCTTTTGTTCTTAGAACATATGTCTCCATTCAAAAGACCGATAGATATTCAGTTAAGCCCTTTGAGAAAATTATAAATGTTGAGGACCTTGATTATTATTGTTATTATTGCTTCTTTTCTATGTTTTCCCAGGACTCTCAACAAATTTGCTTTGCTTTTGTACTCATGGCACATAATGAGATTAATAATGTTTAGAAAACATTTCAAAAATACACACAGAGGAGACACATCTTAGTCTAAAGTTAGACATGATACCAAAAACTATAATAACTATAGCTGACCAGTGACCCCATTTATTCATGGAAAGTAAAATTTGATGCATATTTGCCTTTAGGAGCAACATACCTATGAAAGTTCTGAAAGTGAAAGTTTGTAAAAAAGGAGTACTCTCCTAACAATCTTAATTTTTTTCTATATATATGTATGGTTTGCATTAAACTCTTTTGTATGATTAGTGGTTTAATGTTGATGTCACCCATGACACCATAAGCTACGTGTATGGACTGGCTCTGTTTTGTTCACTCCTGAATATCCAGCAAAAATAGTATAGTGCCTGGCCCTTGGTAGATGTGTAATAAATGTTTGGTGAATGCATAGCTACACTTCAATGCTTATCGCATTTTAATCCCAGCTACTCGGAGGCTGAGGCAGGAGAATCGTTTGAACCCAGGAGGTGGAGGTTGCTGTGAGCCAAGATCGCGCCACTGCACCCCAGCCTGGGTGACAGAGCGAGACTCCATCTCAAAAAATAAAAACAATAAAAAAAAGGAGACCCATTCATGTATCTGTATCACTGACTAGCCTGTCAACATTTTGTTAACTACCTCATCAAGTAGCAAAATCAGTACCTGGTATGTGGTAGATGCTCAAATATTTGTTGATAAAATACAGTAAGTTAATGACAGGCGAGCTTGCCTCAGTGAAATATAATCTGTAAGTGAGCAGTGTGTATATCATTTGAAGGTGCCCTACTTAGCCTAGCATATCACAGAGATTCCCAGTAAATATTTAGGCAGTTCATTAACTCTAAAAGTTGACCCTCATAGTCATTGGCCTACATTATTCACCTCCCTCTGTCTCTAATAAATTCATTGGCAAATTTCTGAACTCCAACTGGAATGTTTGTGGTGGATTTCTTCATACCTAATGGATTATTTCAATTTTCATTTTACATTGTATTATTTACTTGTCTGAGGTCTTTATAATGACAAACTCGGCATGCATGATAAGCTGTCATTACTTATGCCAGTTGACAAGGACATATTATTTTTCTACAAAAAAAATTATCTTGGCCAGGCGCGGTGCCTCACGCCTGTAATCCCAGCACTCTGGGAGGCCGAGGCGGGCGGATCACGAGGTCAAGAGATCGAGACCATCCTGGTGAACATGGTGAAACCCTGTCTCTGTTAAAAATACAAAAAAAAAAAAAAAAAAGCAGAACAAAACAAAACAAACAAACAGGAGTGGTGGCGGGCGCCTGTAGTCCCAGCTACTCGGGAGGCTGAAGCAGAAGAATTGCTCGAACCCGGGAGGCAGAGGTTGCAGTGAGCCGAGATCGCACCACTGCACTCCAGCCGGGCGACAGAGTGAGACTCCGTCTCAAAAAAAAAAAAAAAAGTGGTAATTGTTCAAAATATTTACTTATTAATTCATTTTAAAATTGCATGTTGAAATAAAAAATAAATGTTTAGTTTTTAAACTATCTCTTCTACAACAGAAACAATATAGTGAGAAGAGTGATCTTGTTTTACATTTTTGCAAATCTCTTTAAAAGTTAGCTTAAGAGAAGGCAGCTGGTTCTTATATCTGTTTCTGCATTGAATGTGCTGTCATATCTCGCATCATGTAGCCTCTGAAAAACTCATAATAGAATGAGAGAGGAAAAAGTCAAATAACATCTTAGTATTATTACGAAAATAATTTGGACCTCACAGAACCACTGCATGGGTCTCAGGGACTCCCAGGGGTCCCCAGACCACATTTAAGGAAATACTGTTTCAGGGAATATAACTATTTTTGTACCTCCTGTGGCTATATTCTTTTAAAGAATAGTAACCTCTGTTTCTGAGGAACTTAGCTGCAATTATGTGCAGAGTTTAAATAAGTGAAACGGAAATACCCTTTGCCTTTCTGCTCGAGTATGAAAGTGATGATCAAAATGTTCCCTTTTCTCTCTCTCTCTCTCTCTCTCTCTCTCTCTCTCTCTCTCTCTCTCTCTCACTCTCTGGGGAACTTCGGGTTTCCGTCTCTATATAATGTATTCATATTCCACTGGAAACATACATAGTTTGAGAAAACAGATGACATTTTTTCTGGGGGTGGAAAGAATTACTACCACGAGGAATTCAAAATACAGACACAGTAATAAAAATCACCATAAAGCCCAGAGGGGAAAAAAATTGAGTAACAAAATAGGAGGTGAAATTATAAAACTGAGTAACAAAAAAGAGGTGAAATTATAAAATAAATGATAAAGTTGGTTGTGGGTTAGGAAGAAAGAGAAATATAAAGAAACTGGCATAATGTAAAAGCCAAGACAAGAAAAGTGAGGCAGAGGCATAGGTCTTTTGACTATTTTCCATGTTTGATTCTAAGGTAAGTAGATATAGTTTCTCATAGTTGGAAATGTTCGTGAATTTAAACAGAATTAATGTTTATAATCAGATGCAATGTCTAGTTTTTCTATTTGTCCTGTGAAATAATAATTGTGTAAAGTGCTCATGATTGTTTCAAGGGGTGAGGAGTAGTTCTAATTATCATAGATATTTTCATGACTTCGCATACCACTGGTTTATAGAGATTATACAGATTTTCTTATATCAGAACTCTCGTATCTTTAATTCCCTAGTAGATGTCTAAGAAGGAGATTTATCACATAGCAGATGGTGGTAAACTTGAGTAAAGTGCCAGATACTAAATGCCTTTGGCTTTGTGGGCCATTCAATCTTTGCTGCAACTACTCAACTCTGCTATTGTAGCATGAAAGTAACCATAGACAATATGTAAATGAATGAGTGTAGCTCTGTTCCAGTAAAACTTTATTTACAAAAACAGGTGGTGAGCACAACTTGGTTCATGAGCCATAGTTTACAAACACTTGCTGTATAGCTTTCCCTGGTTGAATTTCGTTAATTTTATACAGAACCTGCCTCCCATACACACACACTTTGTTCTTCATGGAAAATCTCCCCAGACTACTATGAAATAATGTTATTACTTGGAGATATACAATTAAGATGATGTCATTAGGAGATTATTAATATAGGAACTAAGCAAATACTATATGCTAAGTACTGAGGATAGGGTGCGATCACAATAGATAGAAAATCTGCAATAGTTTGATGAACATGGGAAATTACAGTATTTCCTGTGATGGAAACATTATGAGGGGCTGTGGGACTACATAACAGGACCTGTGACCTATACCTGGGTTGGGGATGTCTAATTAATCAAGGAAAGCTTTGTAGAGGAAGTGATGTCTAACCTGAGATTGGAAAGGTCAACCTGGAGCTACCTAGATGAAGATGTATGGAAGGACATCCCAGGCAGAGGGAACATTGTATGATGAATCCTGATATGGATATAGTGCTGGATTTTAAGGAAGAGTAAGTTGTTCCATGAACTATACAGTGCAAAGAAAGATGAAGAAATAGAAGTAGAGACCAGATCACAAAGGGCTTTTTGACCATGTTAGAGAAGTTATATTTTATCCCATTGGCACTAGGATGTTGTTGAGTATATGAGGACATGATCAGCAACATATTTTAGAAAGATCTCTTATTCTGAAGTGTAAAGAGTGGATAAGAAGGAGACAAGGTAGGAGGCACGAGCTAATTAGAAAGCAGTCTCAGAGAGGCTGTTAGAAATCAGAACAGAATGGCTATTATTAAAAAGTCAAAAAACAACAGATGATGGTGAGGCTTCAGAGAAAAGGGAATGCTTATACACTGTTTATGGGAATGTAAATGAGTTTAGGCACTGTGGAGAGCAGTTTGAAAATTTCTCAAAGAACTTAAAAGAGAGCTGCCATTCAACCCAGCAATCTCATTACTTGGTATATATTTAAAAGAACACGAATCTTTCTACCAAAGAGACACATGTACTCACATGTTCGTCGCAGCACTATACAGTAACAAAGACATGGAATCAACCTAGGTGCCCACCAGTGGTGGATTGAATGAAATAAACGTGGTATACATGCACCATGGAATACTACACAGTCATAAAAAGCATACAGTCACGCCTTTTGTAGGAACATGGATGCAGCTGGAGGTCATTATCCTAAGTGAATTAATGCAGGAACAGAAAACCGAAGATAGTTAGAAGCTAAACATTGGGTACTCATTATAAAGGTGAAAACAATAGACATTGGGGACTACTAGAAGGGGGAGGAAGGAGAGGGGCAAGGGTTGAAAAACTACCTATCGGGTACTATGCTCACTACCTGTGTGTGGTGGGATCATTTTTACCCTAAACCTTGGCATCACACAACATACTCAGGTAACAAACCTGTACGTATACTACCTGGATCAAAAATAAAAGTTGAAATCAGAATGAGAAGGAGCGAAGGAGACAGCGACAGGAGGATGGAGAGAAGTGGGCAGATTCAAGAGAGATTTCTCAAGTGGACTTATGAGGACATGCTTATTGATACGCTCTGGGAGTGAGGGAGAGAGAAGAATCAAGGATGACTTCTACACTTTCAGCTTAAAAAACCGGGAGCTGGTGGAGTCATCCATTGAACTTGACAGAGGAGCACGTTTAGGCAGGAAGATGATGGTGTTTGAATGTCTGCGAAGGGAAAAACTGAACTGGGATTCAAATCAGAAAAAACGGTTTGAAGTCATACCCTCTTAATTGCATTTTCTATCGGATGGTAATGGCTTTGTGACAGGCTTTACTGATAGGTGATGTAACTCTGCCTCTGACAGATGAAGATCCAAAGCATCCTCAGATTTTCCCGAAGCCTGTTTCAGCAACTGTGTAGACAGCACACACAAAAATCTGGGGGGAAGTCCTAGGGCTCAGTTAGTTGATTGGATCTATTAAAGTAGCATTGGAGAACACAGTTCAGTCTGAGATTTCCCAAACATATTGCTCTATAATTTATTTTTACCCAGAAACTGAATTCGATGTGGGATAGGGATTATAAAAGCCTTCAGATTCCAGATAGAATCTCTGAATAGAAGGCTTTTGGGCCACATCTAGTAATCTCCTTTCCTCACTCCATTTCTGAACTTCTTGTTCACTTCTTCGCTGTTTTTAGGACGTTCTTACTACACTCCTGCCTCAAGGCCTTTGTACTTGTTTTCTCTGCTTAGGGCGTTCTTTCCCGCAATATTTGCATGGCCTCCTCCCTCGCTTCTTTATTTCTATATTACCTATCTTTATTAAAGCTGCTATAAAAAAAAAAAAGCCCACACCTCAGTGGCTTAACATAATAGAAACTTTCCGTTCATGCAAACTTTACAAAAATTTTCTGGTCAACAAGTAGATTTCCTCCAAATGGTGGATCAGGGGGGCCCAGGGCACTTCGCTTTTGTGGCTCTGATGTCTTTAACATACGGATTTCAAAATCACTGTGCTCTTGTACATAAGAATGAAAAAGAACAAGGAATATTACATATGTGGTGGTGGTTATTGGAGGTGGGGTTATGAGCCAGGCTTCATATTCATGAGCATCACTTTTGCTCACACTCCATTGGCTCGAACTCAGTCATGTAGCCAAACTAATGGCAAGGGAGACTGGGAAATGACAGCTAGCTGCACAATTAAGAGAAATGAGTAGACTTGTCTAATGAGCAGCTAGCCAGTCCCTACCACGAGGACTTTGCTCAAATGTCTCCTTCTCCATGGAACCTTCTATGATCACCCTTTATAAAATCACAACTGCTCCCCATCTTCCCCTCAATATTTCCATCCCTTTTCCATGCTTCATTTTTTTCCTCTGTAACACTTACTGTATCACAATCTATAGATTTTATTTCTTTATCTTGTTTACTGTCTGCCTCCCCTTCCTCCCAATCGGATGTAAGGTCCATGAGGCAGGGATTGCTGCCGATATTCACGGCCATATCAATGGACACTAGTAGACCCTCAATAAATGGCTGTTGCATTGTGATTACATATATGCTTCACCTAGAAGTAGTCTCATCTGGTGGCACATTTACTCATAGATTGACATTAATTCTCTATTGTTTTTTCCCCAGCAAAATTTGTCAAGGTAGTTTGTCAGTAGGGAGAAATAAAGTTGTCAGGTGGCTCATCAAAAGTTCAATTTTGAGTACTCCTCCTGTGTACTCATAATGTTTTATAAATACTTTTATCTATGTAAGCACGTGGGCTTAGACACAATTCTAGGATTAAAACAGAAAGCTCTGTATCCATATTTTCCCTTTTTTGTACCTCCTTTTATGTTCTCTACCATTTTTTTTGAGTGCTGTTAGTGAAGCACTAGGCTAAATCTTGGGTTTCTGCAAAAAAAACTTTAATCCTCACAACACTCTAAAATGTTTATTGTTCTAATTTTAAGACGAGGAAACTGAGGGCTAAAGAGATTAAGGAACTCGCCCGTGTTCACGTACTCAGCTGATAACTGGCAGCATTTAGATTTGGACTTACTTTCCATACAGATATTCGCATTGCTAACCTTCAGGTTTTTCCCTCATCGTTTTCCACATCTACTCAAAAGTTGCTAATCATTTCCTTAATAGTGAGGCATAAATGACTGAGAAATCTTGATATATTATCCCCCTCAGGAGCACTTCATTCCGACAAGACACAAACTTTAGGGAAAATGAACAAATGTCTACTTGTACAACTCAAGCACCAACCAGGTATGGTAGACATGTTGGCTTAAAAATAAAGTTGATGCTTGGGTTCTGATTCTGATAATGACCTACGGAGGGTATGGCCTGAGGAGGTTACTAGGTGTGTGTAGAAATCAATGTTTTGTTTTGGTTTTCCCTCGGGAAGGGTCAACTTATACTTGAATCCTTCTGAAGTTTCTCAAATTACAAGATGGTCATTTATTTTACTTCAATCAAAACAACAAAGTACTGTCCGGGAAAGATGTATTGCCTTGACTTATTCTCAATTTATGCTTATTTTGGAGGCTTGTAGAAGTAAACCTGATAGAGGAGGGCAAAAACACACACACACAGACACACACACACTGGGAGAAAATAAATTTAACACAGTTTAGGGATTGACTTTGGTTGTATGACATCACAATTGCAAGAGTTGGATGCCATTGTAAACAAGCTATGGAAAGAATACTGTTAAAAGTAACTCATTAAGTGGTTACATGGTGTAGCTCATGGACATATGGCACAGAAAAAAGATAAAGCTGTCTTTACATAACATAAAACTGTATTCTGTTATGTAAATGTGTGCTTGTGGCTTGCAGTAAAATTCCTAGTGAAACATTACCTCTAGATTCAGCAGTACTATACCTCAGGCCACATGGATGTAAGTAAAGATGATGCCCTCTGGAAAACTGAGTTAGGCAACAACAAGTGCATCCATGAGGATGCAAATTTCAATGTTGAAGGTGCCTGTGAAGAATTTGAACAAAATTGTTGCATGAAATATGAATGAAGAAGTGTGATCTAATGACATAATATTTTGTACTATATAATTTTAAAGTAGTACACACAATCAAATTAATGAATTAAACATTATATGTAAACAGGTGATCATTGTATCTCCATTTTCTAAAGTTTCTATGTTAAAGGTGATCAAAAAACTTGGAGAGAGGGACTTCTCATTTGGAAAATGGGATAGTCACCTTTGGGTATGTGATGTATCAATCTCTAGAACTTCAGTTTCTTCATTGAAAGCATATAAAAGGCAATCCAAAGGATGTATGGAATATTAAAAGATTCCACTGTGAAACTATCTAGCACTTTACCTGAAACACTTGTTAGATCCCCTCACCAAAATCATGCCATGTGATTTGGCAGTCTATTCCTCTTAGCGTAAGAGTAGCCCGACAGAAAATGTTCATTAAGAGTTAATGTTAAATTCATTGAATTTAGCAACACATGAGTAGCGCTTCCTTTCTGATTATGCAAATCTCTCACCATCGTAATACGTGCTTCCTTTAATTTCATTGGGAACATTTGTAATGTAAATGGTAACAGAGCCAATATTTCAAACAGAAGCCATTCTTTCTAAAAAAAGCTAAATGTCTAAATGTATTGAAATGCTTCTAAAAGTAAAATATTTAGCACTTATTTGCAGATGGGTAATGTTAAATATCTCACTCATTATTATTACTACCACTTGTCTGAATAAATCCTCCCATAAGCATTAAGCAAGTAGGTAAACAAAGAAATAACACTTCATGTGATGAATGCCAATATGAAGCACGTTTAAACTGTTCTGTCAAGAGACAAGCCTGGAAATGCTAACTGTGTTTCTTTGCTTTTCTGCAATCATCTGAATACATAAATTCAAATTGCAGCTTTTAAAACTTCAAATCGAGGCTTTTGAAATTTCAGAAAACACATGCGCTTGGAAAAGCAGATTATAACAAGGTCCCAACGGGATTTTGTCACCATCTTTTTTATATTTCAAAGTATAAAAAAAATCTAGATAAGAAATGACTACCAAATGTTTTCATATTTAAAAGATGCTGTTTTTTTAAAAAATTAAATCACTGGAAAAAAAGTTTTCCACAAATATCGTGTAAAAAGAAAGACAGCAAAAAGCTTAGCCAAAGCTTTTACTGTTTAAGTGATGATTTATTCTGAGAGTTCTTAAGAGTTTTCTAAATTAGTATATGGTTAATATCCATAAAATCATATGCAAGATGCTGTCTTTCAAATTGATGCTGAAGGTTAATTATAAAATGTACTTAATTATTTATAGTGTCCCATTGAGTCCCAGATACTCTGTGTCCAAGAACACTGTAAATACAGAAAGTTTAGCAGAATTATATTGGAAAGGCAGTAATTCTTCACAAATTAACTTATTGATATAATGCAATCCCATTTAAAAATTTTCAGCGAGAATTGTTTTATAATTTGACTGAATGATACATTACATAAGTTAGAATAACTAAAGTGGGAGAGCGGGTTAACCTACCAGAAATTAAACATATTTTAAAGCTGCAATAATTGACATAGTGCATTACTGTCACAAAAATCTACAGTAGATCAACAAGCAGAAACTTAAAATATCATGAAGAAAGCACCATAAATCAATTCAGAAGAGATGGTGCTGGGGGAAAAAATATCAGTTTCTGAAAAACTCTTCAAGGTTAGAAACAACACTATATAAATTTAAGATGGATTAAATATTTGGTTGTTCTTTTTTAACAAATGAAAGAGTAAAGGATCAAGAATAAATGAGAATATCTGAACAATGGTAAAATGGCCACAATTTTAAGGATACTATCAATGAACATAATATCAAAGAAATAAACTGTTAAATTTTATTTAGAAAAAACTACTAAAAGGCAAAAAGGAAGCTGGAAACGTAGTCTCAATTAATCTATGTTTCAGATAATGTGAAAAGAGCTCTTAAAAATAGGAAAACACAGGAAAAATGGGCAACAGACATTGCCGATAATTGACAGTGGAAACTAAATAAATGACAAACATGTACACACATACAACATTTTCAACTTTCCTATTAGTAGAATACTTAAAATATCTATGGCAAGCTTTTTATTTGTTTTATTGGTATATCAATTATAATGCTCAATAGTGGCAAAAGTGTAGTGAGACAAGTATTTTGTAACTGTTGGTGGGAGTTTACGAGTGTTCTGAGTACCAACCTTGACAGAAATTCAACAATGTGTATCTAAATCCTTAGGATTCCCATTGTTAACTTTTCATTCTCATTCCAGCAGATACATGATTCAAAATGTATAAATAAATGTGTTTATTGTAGGGTTATTCATTATAATAAAAAATGAAAGCAAACAAAATTCCTAATAACACAATAATGGTGAAATATAGGGTACCCCTATATATCTTATTACTAGGATCTTAAAAAATCAAGTTTTTAAAGCGTAATTAATGACCTACAGAGACACATAGTAGAATAATAAATGAAGAAAATAAGCATACAATATAGGGTTTGAACCCAGTAATACATATAAATCTCAACTATGATGAATAAGCACAACATCTCTCCTCTGTACTGGATATTCTTGATAGAAAAAAATATGCTAGTAAATAATTTGAGACATATTTGAAAAGAGGGGAGTGTTTGATTTAGAATTTTCTAAACTTGAGGGTTATTATTATTTTTTTGGTTTGATATTACTTTTTCCTGCTCCTTAAATTTTTGTTTGTTTGGGGGGTTTGGGGTTTTCTTTTCCTTAAACGTGTCTGCTTCTAGATGAAAGTTGAAAATGTTTAAAAGCCTTGCCAATGTGTCTAGGTTTTTCAAATGTAATCAGATTTTAGCAAGATTTTACTTAACTAAAAGTATTCAGAACACTGTGCAAAATCATCTGGAGTCAAATAGTAATGGAGGCAATGATTTGCAGAGTAGAAACAGAGAGAGAGAAAAAGATGAGATAGACCCTCAAAATCTAGACCCAAGGAATTAAATCTGCTTGGAACATTTAAACAAATAAAGGATGCCTGTACTATACTAGACGTTTTCTTCTTCCACAATTGATTCTAAGGTCAGAATCTGAGGGGAAATGGTGCTGTTCCACATTCTAAAACAAACTGCCAGCAATCGAGACCAGCCACTTCCCCATAGGGTTTACTCTAAAGCAACAGGGATTATTATCTCTATTCCAAGCAATTTCCAATCTCCTCTGTACTCCGTGTCCCAGGCAAGATTAAAAAGACTCAGGTAGGAAGGGGTAGTAAGCTTTGTGGGGAGTGCAGTTTGTGGTAAGGGACAGTTCCTTCTCTTTCATCTCTCTGAGTCAGAAGTAGAGACTTCGAGAGAATCACTGAGAGTAAGTATGTAGACTCCAAGAAGGAAAAAGCATCCTCTCACTTCAATGAATGTTTGGAATCTGCAGACCTCCTTCCCAGGTCTGTGTAGCTTTTGGAGAGGCCAGAAGAGCACCGTAGGCATTCCTTTGGCTTTCCATGGCCAAGCACATAGAGTAGAAGAAGAGGAGGAACCGTAAGGTTAACCATACATAAGAAATCAACAAAAGGCTTTGAAATTGACTTTTCCTATTTTTCAATTTAAATAAGAGAGAATTGTCAATGATTAAAATTCATAAAACGAAGAAAGAATGGACTCAGAAAATAGCAAACATGAAATGTTAATTATTAGTTCAAAAGTTAGTTTACCGTGTTTTCTCTGCCAACTGATTGCTAATGACTAAAGTCCTTATTTCCAGCTTTCCTCTCTCCCCGAGCTCCAGATCTCTTGATTTATTAAACTAGTAGTTTCCCCAAAATATATGAGACAACAAAATATACTCTCAGCTGAAGTAAATAGCATTCATCTTCCCAGTCAGATAAGGCAGAAGTACTTCTAGATCAGATGTTATATTCGGGATAGGTTAAAAACAGACCCTGCTCCCAGTGTCCCAGGAATGAACAGTGGATGTGCTTATTTCTCATTGCATGCGTGTATCAAAATATCTCACGTACCCTACAAGTACATACACTTACTATGTCCCTACAAAAATTAAAAACAATAAATCATAAACATTTGTAAAAATAAGCGAATAAATGTATAAATGAATTTAAAAGAGAATAGACAGAGGGGAGAATGTAACTTTACGTGTCCCAGAACAGACTTTGAACAGGCTCTTATCATATAGGAAAACTGAATGAATATATGCAAGCATAAGTCCAATAACCAGATTCTGATTTACAGAATGATCGCAACTGTAGTTCTCTCAAGGCCCTGTCTTTGAACAGGCTGTGTCTTATTCCTGCAACATGCTGATCTATCTTCATGCTTCAAGACTCAGATCATTATCTTCTCTGGGATGTCTCCCAAGCACTGCCCCAGAAATAACTTCTCCTCCTATAATACTTAATCATAATCCTTGGCTTACATGCTTGTTTCTTCTCATTGACTATGAAATCCTCAAGACAAGGTATATAACGTATATATCTTTAATCCTAATGCCCAATTGAGCTCTTAGAAGGTAGTAAGCTCCCAATACACATTTGTTAATTTGAAGCAAAAAAAAAAAAATAGCTAATCATTCAAAAAACTGAATTATCACAAATGTCCATCTAAAGTACTATATTTACACAATTAAATGCTATACAGCCAGGTTAATGAACAGACTAAAATTATATGCAACATGGATTATCGTAAACATAATTTTGAATGAAAAAGGCGAGACACAAAGGAGTATAAAGCCATACAATTCCATTTTCATAATATTCAGTACCGGCAAAATAATCAAAGTTGACAGGGTACTGGTTATACTTGGAGGCAGTGACTGCAAAGGGATAAGAGGAGATTTCTGAGATTCTGATAATATTCTATTTCCTTCTCTGGTTGTACAGTGTGTTCAATTTTTAAAACACTATTGGGCTATACAGTTAAATTGTGCAGTGTCCTGTACGTATATTACACTTCAGTTAAAAGCTTCCATGGAAGCTACACATAGTTCCCAAAAGACAACAAAACAAAAAATTTTCAATTATTTTAAGCACAAACAATTTTGTTCAGCTGTCTTACAATCGAATATGTAAGAATAAATTTATGGCTAATTAGCATAGAGTTATATGCATTTTCATAATTAAAACTTCCACGAGTACAACATATGTTAAGTATTTTAAATCAGTTTTTCTCTTTCCTCAAATAAGGTTGTGAGTCATAATTCGGAAAACAGTTTAGCATGTAATAATTTAGTGTTTTATTTTAAACCAAGCTGAAGCCACATAAAGCAGAACTGCTCAACTGAGCCCTATCCAAATCCTTGACCCACAGAATAAGAAGCAGATAAAATGGCTGCTACTTAAACAAAACAAAAACCTTGTTTATATTTTTGTCCTCTCATTTTCCATAAGTATACTTTAATTAAACATTTTAAAACTTGTAACTTTAGGTTATATACTTACTTTAGTTGGTTCTCAACCAGGGACAATTTTGTCCCCACCCCCAACCCCCCAGCATATTTGGCAGTGCCTTGAAACATATTTGGTTGTCACAGCTCAGGGGCGAGGTGTTACTACTGGTATCCAGTGTGTTCAACAGGCCAGGGATACTGCTAAATACCCTACAATGCAGAGGATAGCTGCTCACAGCAAAGAATTTTCCAAACCTAAATGTTAGTAATGCTAAAGTTGAGAAACCTTGCTCAGATATAATGACATAATGTTGTTAGAATTTTTATTTTATTCATTTTAATGTATGTATGTATGTATGTATGTACGTACGTATGTATGTATGTATTTGAGATGGAGTCTTTCTCTGTTGCCCGGGGTGGAGTGCAGTGGCACGATCTCGGCTTACTGCAGCCTCTGCCTTCCACGTTCAAGTGATTCTCCTGCCTCAGCCTCCCTAGTAGCTGGGATTACAGGCGCCTGCCACCAAACCTGGCAAATTTTTGTATTTTTAGTGTAGACGGGGTTTCACCATATTTGCCAGGCTGGTCGCAAACTCCTGACCTCAAGTGATCCGCCCACATCGGCCTCCCTAAGCGCTAGGGTTACAGGCATGAGCCACTGCGCCTGGCCAGGAATTTTTGAATCAGAATTTTTCTTGTTCGATTTTAATCTCTTATCATTTAGAGATTCTTGAAATATTGAAATTACTTTGTTCAAAGTGAATGAATTTTCTTAAATTATGTATGGTTAACATCTTTTAAATTGCTTATTTTTAAATTGCCATGTTTGTGTCCCAGTTTGCATTAACAAATAGTTTGAGAACTATGTTGGAAAAAAAAATAACAATTTTATTCTTCTTTCTCCAGGCTAGAAGAACAAAAGAATATCTTGTCAGAATTTCAAAGAGATTTAAATGAATTTGTTTTATGGTTGGAGGAAGCAGATAACATTGCTAGTATCCCACTTGAACCTGGAAAAGAGCAGCAACTAAAAGAAAAGCTTGAGCAAGTCAAGGTAATTTTATTTTCTCAAATCCCCCAGGGCCTGCTTGCATAAAGAAGTATATGAATCTATTTTTTAATTCAATCATTGGTTTTCTGCCCATTAGGTTATTCATAGTTCCTTGCTAAAGTGTTTTTCTCACAACTTTATTTCTTCTTAACCCTGCAGTTCTGAACCAGTGCACATAAGAACATATGTATATATGTGTGTGTGTGTATTTATATATACACACACACATATTGCATCTATACATCTACACATATAGATGTATAGATTCAATATGTCTAAATGTATATAATTCACAGTTTTTATCTTTGATTTGAAATTAATTTTAGATTTTACTTGAGAACTTCACAACTTCATATAATTTTAAAAACTGAAGACCAGATTGTGGAATCATAAAATCTAAATCTAAATGGGAATCACTTTTTTAATCTGTCCTGGTTACCTACCTGGAGATTTGAGAAGAGTCTTTAAAAAGAAGAATCCATTTTCTTAGGGAAGATCTGGATTGCCAGATCAGTCTCACCACTTCAGCCTCTACTTAAAGGCATTATATTCCCCCGAAGCAATGTTTTGTTTTAGCTGATTTGTCTGGGGGTGTGGGACGTGGTGTTGGTTCACATTCCATTTGGTTGAATAGACATCCAGCTTATTCCAGTGGCTTTTCATACCGTCCTACTGTGATGTCTGCTTATTACTGATTACTTCCCTTGGCTGACTGACATGCTCTGATTGTGCAATTGGATTAACTTTCATGGTTTTAGTTTTAGGAAAGCAGCTCTTTTGGATCTATTTCATTTTAGTTGTCAAGCAGAAGGTGAAAGGGGAAGAGAAATTAATATTTAATCATTCCCTGTTATGTGCCAAGTATTAGATACATTTACAGCCACTATTTTATTTAATCTTCATATCAGATTTTGACAATGGTTGCTATTATCCTCATTTTACACGGTCACATAATCAAAGGGAAATGAAATTGGTCCTTTATCAATGATTCAGGTGCTTTACACATGTAAATTAGAGTCCAATGTCAAACGTTTATTTCTGTGAAACAAGAGGTTTACACCTGAACAAGAAATAAAGTATAAAAATAAAATATGGCGTAATTCAATAAACAAATATGGAGCACTGACTATACATCCGATGTTTTACTAGGTATTTGGGATTCAAAAATAGAAAAGAGTGGGAATCATTTGAAGATGGTTATACCCTAGAACAATGAACTCAGTCTTTTCTTGGAAATTTATCTTTCCCAAATGTATTGAGTGTCATATATAGTAATATAATTGATAATTCATTCGAAACATATTTAGTGGCATTTTCTTATTAATTAATATGCATGAGTCTATTTTCTCCTGAAAGAATCTAGATCAGTGCTTTCAAATAGAACTCCCGTGATGATGAAAATATTCTGCATCATCCATTTTTGTAACGACTAGCTATTTGTGCCTTTTGAATACCTGGAGAGTTGGTCGTGTGACTGAGGAACTTGAGATTTTATTTTAGTGAATTTTGATTAACTTGAATGTTAATAGCGTTGTATGGCTAATGGGTACTGTAGCAGACACAGTAACTTTAGTTGACAAAAATGAAGTGTTAACACCATGGTGATTTTGGAGGTCTTGGGAAAGGGCATACACTATGTGGTGGTGAATGAGTTCGAGAAATTTAGGGATATGAAGTAAAAAATGAGGACTCCAGAATGAAACTACCCAAATTTGAACCACACCTTTGTTGCTTGCTAGATTTGTGTCCTGGGAGCTGGTATTTAACCCCTTTGTCTCAGTTTCCTTCCATATAAAATGAAGATAATTGGATCTACCTGATATAATTATTATAATATGAAGATAAACTAAGATAATAAATGTGAAAAGGTTAGCACAGTGCCTGGCACTGTGTATATTGAGAGTCAATACTCTCAATGTCAGTTACCTCTTAAGATGATAATGCAATTTCTCAGCAGCAAGCTACGGTATGCTATGGCATGCTATGATACCCAAGAGGCTGATGAATTTGTTCACATTGTTCTATTTCTGATAGAGAGATAGGTTTTCAGACACTAACTTTATTTGGAGTGTTGCTTTACCATCTCACATTTTTCTCTTAAAAAATTTATGAGGGATAATATAATCGTTTATTTTCTACAGAGATTTATCTACTGAGGGGGTGAGTGTTTCAGTCAATCAGCTCTGTGCTCAGATAGAAAACTGTTGGTATTTGAGGTACCACTGGGCCCTCGGTCAAGTCGCTTCATTTTGATAGACTAATCAATAGAAGCAAAGACAAGGTAGTTGGAATTGTGCTGTAATTCATTTTAAACGTTGTTGCATTTGTCTGTTTCAGTTACTGGTGGAAGAGTTGCCCCTGCGCCAGGGAATTCTCAAACAATTAAATGAAACTGGAGGACCCGTGCTTGTAAGTGCTCCCATAAGCCCAGAAGAGCAAGATAAACTTGAAAATAAGCTCAAGCAGACAAATCTCCAGTGGATAAAGGTTAGACATTAACCATCTCTTCCGTCACATGTGTTAAATGTTGCAAGTATTTGTATGTATTTTGTTTCCTGGGTGCTTCATTGGTCGGGGAGGAGGCTGGTATGTGGATTGTTGTTTTGTTTTGTTTTTTTAACCTGACCGTTTGCTTTGGCTATATGTTTTGTTGTGGCTAGAAAAAATGATGATGGTGAATGGCTTTACATTAATGACCAAATGCCAAAATTTATACCACAATTTTTTGCATAAATTATTCTGAAGAATCAGACTGAAGAAATGGCGAAGTATTTAATTCAGTGGCCAGGCATGTACTGACAGTATTTAAGCTGAAAGGACGTGGTCTGGTTCTAGTTAAACAAGTGTCATAAATCAAAATTAATTATTCACACCTGTGGTATGGACTTAATAATTAATGTACACTAACGTTCGCCACAAGTTTATTTATTTACTTACCTACTGATTTATTAACTTGTGAGTTTTCATCTTTCCACCTTGCATACTATATAAATCTAACAGTAATACTATTTATTAAATTAATACATATTTATTTTATATAAAGCAAGTGGTACATATGAATTTATAGTAAAAAGCAACATCAATTGATCCAGCACTATTCATTCAAAGACAATCATTTCCCCACTGTATTTTCATGGCATCTTTGTCATAAATCAAGAGAACTTGTATGTATGAATCTGCTTCTGGATTCTGTATCCTCTTCCATTTGATTAAATCTGTACTTTAACAACAGTACTTCACTGGCTTAATTACAATCTTTTTTTTAAAACAATCCTACCGAGCTATAATTCACATACCATTAAACTCATTTAAAGTGAACAATTCAATCGTATTTCGGTGTTACTTTTTTAAGGTGTGATAAAATATATAACATAAAAAATTGTCATTTTAGTCATTTCGTGTGTCCAGCTCAGTGGCATTTATTACAACCATCACCACAGTTTATGCCCCACCCCCAATTTTTTTTTTTCTTTTTTGGAGACAGAGTCTCGCTGTGTCGCTCAGGCTGGAGTGCAGTGGCGCGATCTCGGCTCACTGCAACTTCCGCCTCCCAGGTTCAAGTGGTTCTCCTGCCTCAGCCTCCCTAGTAGCTGGGATTACAGGCACCTGCCAGCATGCCCAGCTAAGTTTTTGTATTTTTAGTAGAGATGGGGTTTTGCCATGTTGGCCAGGCTGGTCTCAAACTCCTGACCTCAGGTGATCCGCCCACCTTGGACTCCCAAAGTCCTGGGATTACAGCGTGAGCCACCGCGCCCAGCCTCCAAAATTTTTTATTACTCCAACCAGACAGTCTGTAACCATTAAGCAATAGTTCCCCTTTCTCTCTCTTCCCATCCGCTAGTAGCCTCTGGACTACTTTCTGTTTCTATGAATTTGGCTATTCTAGATCTTTTATATAATTGGAATTATATATTTGCCACTTTGTGTCTGCCTTACTTCCCTCAGCATAATATTTTCAAGGTTCATCTATGTTGTAGCATGTGTCAGAACTTCATTCCTTTTTATGACTGAATAATATTCCATTGTATGTATATACGCAATCATTTTATTTAAACATTTTGGATCTGGTTGTGTAAACCTTCCACTTTGTTCTTCCTATTCAAGATTGCCTTGGCTACTTTTGGTTCTTTGAATAAATTTTAGAACTATATTGTCTATTTTTACATAAAGCCTTCCAGGATATTGATTGAAATTTTGTGAATCTGGAGCTCAGTCAACATCTTTACGATACTGAGTCATCTAATTTGTGAACATTTTGAATTGTGTCAGGTTATTTATTGTATTTTTTAAATTGGTGATGCTGACATTCTAATAACAGATCATTTACACGACTGATAAAATATTTAGGAACTAAAATAAGTACCAATTTTATGACATTAAAACCATAATGTGCGCTTAAGTGTCTCTATTTCAAGCAGGTAGTTATTTGAAAAAAAAAAATCCCTTCTTGGTTTCTACCTTTAATGATTGCAAAACATCTGTGTAAAGATACAGACTTTTATGTATGGAGGGAAGGTGGTGTCCCAGCAATTAAATTTTATAGCTACATAACAATACAAATGAAATCATCCCTCATAAAAAGAGAACAAGGAGGAAGGATACCCAAAATGTTCTACAATATCTCAGTACATCTTATGACAAAAAGAAGAACAAAAATTATAATTGTAGGAAATGTGAGAGAACTATCTAAAATATACAATAGCAGCTTTGTGGGTTGTGAAAGAGTCAAGGTTTTATGTGTCCTGCAACAGAATAAAAAGTCAAATTTTTATGATAGAAAATTAAAACTGAGGTTACGAACACCATCATGTATAGACTTATATTACTACAGCATCCATAATATCTGTTTCCTATGCCAAAATTATAATTTTAATGCAATGTCTTTGCCATTAAATGCCACAGGATTTGGAATTTTATTCATTAGTCATATTAAAATTATTTAATCATCTTTTCTCCATCCATATGCCTCTGTATCCCTGTTAGTTTAGATTTAGGGATAGAAAGCAAATGATCAGTACCAGATTTAGGTAAATAACACAAGTTTTTTTAAAAGTAAAAGAAAATGGCTTATAACACTGGCAGACAGTCTTGATCTTCATTAAATCTCAAGCTCTTACTTATTACAGGAGGGTAGAAATAAAGCGGACCCCCTCCCTGTGTCCTCCAGCCCTACCCTTCATCCAAAGGTTAGAGTGGGTGATATAATTGGAACTAGTGGGTCATAGTTACTGTGACATGAATATGTCAATTCCTTAGTACATAGTATCTCCAAACATATCCTAATATCATAATCAGTTGGCAGGTGACTTTCTCCACAGCTAACTCTAATATGCTGCATTCTGCGTATTGAGCCAACTGACCCCTTACTCTTGTACCTTTATTTTATTTTTTTTTTTATTTATTTTTTGAGACAGAGTCTCGCTTTGTCATCCAGGCTGCAGTGCAGTGGCACGATCTCAGCTCACTGCAACCTCCACCTCCCGGGTTCAAGTGATTCTTCTGCCTCAGCCTCTCGAGTAGCTGGGACTACAGGCGCGCACCACCACACCCAACTAATTTTTGTATTTTTAGTAGAGATGGAGGGTTCGCCATGTCGGCCAGGCTGGTCTCGAACTCCTGACCTCATGATCTGCTCACCTCAGCCTCCGAAAGTGCGGGGATTACAGGTGTGAGCCACCGCGCCCGGCCTGTACATTTATATTTCATTACTGAAGAGAGAAAACAGCAGGTGAAGATAATATAGCTATTTCTTTAAGGGAGTGGTGGACAGGGTTGCTTTAAACTGAATATAGCCATTAGCGTAAATTTATGGGTAGCTTCATGCAATGAAGGCTCATGAAATGATATCCTCATTCTTGTCTAATACATAACTTGACCTTTTACAGCCTTTAACAATGATACCCGTAAGAGCCACAAAGTGGGGATGTTATTAAAGCTAGCCTCTGTGTTCCTCTCTCTGATCATCTCATTCTATGATCTTCACCCACACTTCTGACTCAGGTGTTTTTAATATTTATCCCTCTTCATATTTCTTTGTATTTTCTCTGAACATGCATGTGGGTGTAGGAGGCTCTCTCGCCATCATCATCACTCTCTTCCTCTGTGTTTCTCACTTTTAGGCTAATTTTCATCTATGAATTGACACGTATATTATAGGAATTTATTTTTATATATTTATTAGGAATCTTCTTTTTGTTTTTTTTTTTTTTTTGAGACAGAGTTTTGCTCTGTCGCCCAGGCTGGAGTGCAATGGCACGATCTCCACTCACTGCAACCTCTGTCTCCTGGGTTCAAGCGATTCTCCTGCCTCAGCTTCCCGAGTAGCTGGGATTACAGGCATGCACCACCACGCCTGGCTAATTTTTGTATTTTAAGTAGAGACGGGGTTTCACCACGTTGATCAGGCTGGTCTTAAACTCCCGACCTCAGGTGATCTGCCCACCTCGGCCTCCCAAATTGCTGATATTACAGGCGTGAGCCACCGCACCTGGCCATGAATCTACTTTTCTATTTGCATATTTGCCACTCTTTTTCTGCCCCAGTTGTTTATGTAACACATTCTCTTCTGCTCTCCTTCCCTGACCCCGTTAATCCCAGTTTCATCTCTTTCATGTCTTTTTATTTTGTGTCCCCTTTCCTCATTCTTCATTGCTCTTTGTATATGTTATATGTGGGTATTTTTTTAACTACCCATTTATTTAAAACCAAAATATGCTTTATCATTCTTTATTTTTGAACACCGAGTCCTAGAAAGGTTATGTGACTTATTTGAGACCATGTAGCTTTCTATTTAAATATAAAAGTGATTCCAAAATAAACAGTAGGGGTTTTAACCTTTTGGTGAAGCTCAAGTGATTTTTATGTGGATAATATCCTAATATTAAAATGGGGATTTATTTTCTTTTAAAAAAACTATATGAGTTTTTGCTTTGGTTTTTGCCCTTTTTGAGAACTAGATGCTGTGTTTTAAAATTACTTTCTAGAACCTTCTCTGCTGTGGAACATTTACAGTTGTGTAATATAGCAAAACATGTTTATGTTGTTTCAGAATTAGTTAAAATCCTACTATTTTTAATGTCAAGTAATTTTACAGGTGGTGTACGTTATGCATTCCTATTAGTTTTAATAAATATGTTGTCATTTTGTTAAATAAGTTTAAATTTTTCATCGCATTTTACATGTAAACAGTAATTTACTATCTACACATAAAATACCATTTACAAATAAGATATACTGTTTATATGTAAATGGTAAATTACTATTTGAATTTGTTACTGCCCAGACAGTATAAAATGGTGCACATAAAGAAAAAAGCATTTTGGAAAACAATTAAGAAATTTGGCTGGAAAGTGAATTTTAGTTAAGTGCATCTTATTCACTTTACCGAGGAAAAAGGTAGGTTTACAAATACAACATATATAACAAACCTTTAATATGGGAATAATTTTTGTAATATTGATAATAATACAGGTATTATTTTCAAAAAATCACCAAATAAAAATTATGAAAGTAAAAATACAGTGCAACTCCTAGCACAAACTATCTTCCACAATATACAGTTGGCTGTATCTAAATTTCCAGAAATCTGGTTCATTTTGTATTAATCTCTAATCATGTTGCTTCTAAATATGTATCTGAGGAGTAAACATTTCAGATTTATTTTCATTTGTATAAGGTAAATGAATGTTTAGTCTTTTTCCAGACGTATTTGCTATGTAATGACAGTCATTATTAGTCGTCAGTATAAATGTGAATAGCAAAAAGGAGAAAATTAAATAAAGCTAGAGCTTGGCTTTCCGACTCCTTGCTCAAAAATGGACACTTTGTCCAATCAATTTCCTATCACAAGATGACGATTAATAGATTGTTCTAATAGTTACCATTCAGTCCTGCCCTTAACGTGATGTTTTTTCAACCAAATAATAGAATCTTCACTGGCATTGTTACCATATTGACTGGTATTTATGGAACCCCGGAAAAAAAAATGCTGTAAAATATATAGTAGGAAGTATAATAATCATTATAGGAAATCATTTCTCTAGCTGGAAGTCTTAGCAGGGACCAGATAGTTCCACTGGAGCTTTTATGTGCTCATGATTTTCTCCCTTGAAGTGTATTTGTAACACAGTTCACACAGTTTTTAATTTTATAAATCTGTGTGCTAAAACGCTATTATATAAGAAAACGGGCCGGGTGTGGTGGCTCACGCCTGTAATCCCAGCACTTTGGGAGGCCCAGGCGGGCAGATCACAAGGTCAGGAGATCGAGACCATCCCAGCCAACATGGCAAAACTCCGTCTCTATTAAAAATACAAAAATTAGCTGAGCGTGGTGGCATGTGTCTGTAATCCCAGCTATTTGGGAGGCTGAGGCAGGAGAATCACTTGAACCAGGGAGTAGGAGGTTGCAGTGAGCCAAGATCATGCCGCTATACTCCAGCCTGGCGACAGAGCAAGACTCTATCTCAAAAAAAAAAAAAAAAAAAAAAGGGTGTTCACCTATTTATTGGGCATATAGTCTGATAGTTCCCAGAAACCCATTATCTTGAATGTTTTCTTTATGTAAGTTCCTGGAAATCCATTATTTGGATGTTTTCTTTATGTAGTTAATAATTACAGCAAAGCTGTAATTAAATTATTTATTCAAGAGCTATCTATTAAAGGACTACTATGTGCCACATTCTGTTCTAAGCATATCATAATCACTTCCCACCCTTCCCTTATTTAAAGGACATGCATAATTTTATAGGGCTTGGCATTATAAATATTCATATCTCTAATTTATAGTTGCTAAACAGTTTGAAGCTGAGGGTTGGGGGAAGGGAGTAGTAATTTAAAGTTTATAACATAAGCATCCTTGACTTTGCCTCCTATAATTTCACACTGACATGAGGTTTATTACTAGGTTGTGTGTCATGAGTACATCTCAATTTGCTCTGACTGTTCTGGTTTTTGCCTGTTATCCTATCATAATTTTTAATAGCTCCCTCTTTCATTGTCATAAGTATTCCACTTTAGAAGATAAAATATATAGAGAGGGTCACTCTAGTTATGAGAACAAACATCAGGCTTTTAGAGCTAGGCTTGGTCCAGTGCTCAATAACTATTATTATCATGATTGCTTTTGTTCTTAGTAGCATCATCGTCCTTGTCATCATCATCTACCTTCCTAATACTTTAGTTCAGCTGAGAATTTCGGCCTATCCAAGAAATCTGATTGCCATTATTACCGAATTAATCACTCTTTAATGACAATAGTATATAAGAATACGTGACATTTAACTTTCCAAATTATTGAAATGTTACGCTGTGTATGGAAAATTCTTTCTAACCGTGTTTTTTCTCTACTCTCAAATCGTAACAATCGTCAACACAGAAGAAGACTTTTATGACCAAATTTGTGGAATTTTTTTCCCCATACACCAAACAGCAGGCACCAGCTGGGTGTCTCTAATTCAGTCCTGACACTATCCACCCAGAGATAGTGTCAGATCCCATAGATTGAGGGCTCAGTACCGAGGTCTGCCTCCTCTGCACCCCCCTAGCGCACGCGCGCGCACACACACACACACACACACACACACACACCAGTCTCAAGTCCAGGCCTCTGGAACTTCTGACCCATGGGCTTCAAGTTGGGGTTCCCATGACCCTCTCTTTGGGTTCAACTAACTTGCTGGAGCAGCTCACAGAACTCAGGAAAACACTCGCTTTCACCTGTTTATGATAAAGGATATTGCAAAGGACACAGATGAAGAGATGCATAGGGTGAGGTATGGTTGGGGTGGAGGGACGGAAAGGGGCATGGAGCTTCCATGCCCTCCCTGAGTGCACCACCCTCTAGGAATCCCCACCTGTTCAGCTACCCGGAAGCTCACTGGACTCTGTCCTCTTTGTTTTTTATGGAAGCTTCATGACATCAGCATTCCTTCCCCAAGGGTATATGGTGGGACCCTCTAACAGGAGGTTTTTAAGACCTATAATCTGAAAGGCGAGGGAACATTAAAGTGAAAGGAGAGCAGGAGAAGGTCAGAGGCCTGCCCCTGAGACCCAACGCAACCAACATTATAACAAAAAACTGTAACAAGGGCTATGGGTGTTATGAGCCAGGAACCTGGATAGAAACCAGTATGTACTATAATACCATATAGGCAATGCCAAGAATATGGATCAGACACTTTACAAACAAGGAAAAAGTAAACAGGAGTGATGAGGAGGTAATTTACTGCAGGCATTAATGATGAGATTATGAATTATGGATTCCACTTGCTACCAGCTATGTGATCTTATACCTACTCTGTCCATACCTAAGTTATAACATCCATAAAATTCAAATACTAAAAGAAGACACTTCCCCAGGTTGTGGTGAAAATTCAATGAGGTAGTAAATGGGAAATGTGTAACACAGTATCTGGCATATTGTAATTGCTCAAAAAATGTTAGATTAAAAACAGTAGGAGTAATACTAAAATAGAAAAATGCAAAGAGCAAGCACAAAATCATCTCTGATTCTCACCTCCAAATTCTCCAAAAGTCTCACCTTCTTAATCAAAGTTGTAAATATGGCTCTTGGGGAGAAAGCTGAACTATGTGCTACTATTATGAATGCAACAGGTGAAGGAGAGGAGAGTTAGAGGCAGCAAGACAACCAAATGGCTCTCGTGGAAGGCACAGAGGATTTTCAGCCACTGCTCTCCTATTCCGCTGATATTACTTTCATTTTCTATGACCAACTAGCATTTCAGCTAAAATGTGTTGGAAAATGATAGATTTTTCTCCTCCTATTGCCTAAGAAGCCCAACAAAGCCAGCATTGTTTTCAAACACCAGCATTCTCACTTTTAAAGTATGAACATAATTCAGAGGACTTTTAATTCTGAACATCGTTTTTATCAATCTATTGGCCTGATTGTAACCCAGAAATCCAAGCAGAAAGCAAGTAAACTTTCACACTGCTTCCCCATCCCTTCCCCCTACCTTTATTTTTGACATCAGTTTCCCTCATTTTGGCAAAGTAAAGGAAAAGCATTTGTAGAAGGTTACACTGAAGCTAGATAATTTTCTATTAGGAAACCTCACCAAATACAAGATAATTTGTTCATTCCAATATAATAATGTTTTAAAAAATATAACAAAAATCCAGCATAAATTGTGAAGCACTGATACTTGTGTAACAACTAATTTCCATAGTGAAACTTCATTGTTGCCACTATCTACATACTGAAAATGTATATCAAGCATGTAAATGTGTCACTTAAGTATGCTGTGCCCTAGATTTTATTTAAAAGTTAAGCTAATTTTCAACTAAAAACAAATTCGACTATTCTTAGCAATCTCTCCTCCCCGTTCATGATGGATTTAAAATGATGAAGAGTATAAATGATGATGAAAAGAGAAAGGAGGAGAAAAATTTCATAACTCTGCATCTTCAGTGTAGCATTTTTAAGTAACTCCTTTATTAGCACAAAGGTGTTTGCCTGAAGCAATGACTTCTAGAAAGGAGAAGAAATGACATAATAAAAGGGGATTTTGCTAATATAAAATGTTTTTTCTTTCCTTTTGTTTCTGCAATGCTTTTACTTACATAGCACCAACCCTGAGACTAGAGGGAGTTTCCTTCCTTTCTAATAATTTAATAATCGTGAAATGATATTAAATGGAAGTTTTCATATGCCAACTCCTTAAACTGAGGTTAAATAAGGAACAAAGATTAAAGGCCATATTTAAGACCACATATTGTAAATTCTAACCCAGTTTCATTTATTATATCACCTGCAAAGCCAATATGCCATACAAAAGTAAAATAACAGGGTGATTTTTATTAAAGATCAGAATCATACCAAAAATGAACTTTTCTGTCAAATCTTTATACTCATACATCAAGATGTGAGTTTATTTATGTAGCTAAAATAACTTAATACTAAATGCTGACTACTATATTCATGTCAGCTGACCCCTAGTGCTTCAAACCATAGAAAAGGGATACCAAATGCTGGGTTGGTTGTGTATTCCATTTTTGCCGTATACCACCTGCCAAGGCTTATAACAGATCTGTAATGGGTTTCTTACCTTTTATTGTGTAGAAAATGGATTGTTGGATTAGGCCTGGGGCCAGTGAACCATGGAACCCCAGGTTTGCAAGAAAGAGTTTATCACCCTTTGATGTTATTTCTGTCTCGTGTCAGCTGAGAAGGATGAGCTAGATTATCTGAAAGTAAGCTGGATGCCAAAATCAGCATTCCCCTCATTTATCCACCTTATGGTTCGGGGCAAGACCACTGTATGGGTAACAAAAGGGCTGATAAGGGCCTGATGGAGAAATTTGGTTTTTCTCCCTTTTGATTGGCTTGCTGATATTAGAACCAATTACAAGACATTGACGAGAGCATTTCATTGTTTGTTGCTAGAGAAAATCCATCAATTTTGTTGTGGAAATGAAAGCATTTGAGCTGAATGTTGCACTTATAATTTGTGAACATTTTCAGTTATCACCGGGACAAGTATAGTCCATCTTTGGCATGGTTGGCCAAGTGTGGTGGGAAAAGAGATGGACCAGCAAATGGGCCGGAAACCAAAGTCATCAAAAGGGTATTTCAAGAAAACTCTATTTGTTCTGATGGTTACATTCTGCAGGCAACCTGTGACTGATGACTGATGCTTATACCTCAAATGCAGTCTAAAAATATTTTTTTGTGAAAGTGACACATTCTGACTGTGATGTGGGTGACATCAACAGTTTTGAATAGGACAGTACTTCTTGGACTTATTGAAACTTTTATAAAAGAATGAACATTCTGAACTCAATTGCAATGTAAATGACTATCATGAAGATTGCTTCTGTTGGTGCTATGACTTTTGTGACAAATTTTAGACCATTGCAGTTATCTCCTAGAGGTTGCTTTATTGTTTTATTTTCATCAGTGATGTGTATTTTATCAGTGATGTTAGAATCACTGAGCTGCTGGTTAAGGAAGAGAAAAAAATTAATATTCAGGTGCTATATAGGCCCTTATTCATTGAGAACAAATAAAGGCCAACACACAAAACAGGAAAATTAATAGAAAAGACACTCTATGGGTAAGATTTCATATAGTTTGGGAGCA
Organism: Homo sapiens; assembly: GCF_000001405.40. Taxonomy (NCBI): domain Eukaryota; kingdom Metazoa; phylum Chordata; class Mammalia; order Primates; family Hominidae; genus Homo; species Homo sapiens. The sequence goes on along the minus strand of NC_000023.11, from coordinate 31,918,981 downwards.
GACAAAAACTATTTTAATTACTAAAATAATTAAGAAAGATGTTGAGGCTGGGCACGGTGGCTCACGCCTGTAATCCCAGCACTTTGGGAGGCCAAGGAGGGCAGGCCACTTGAGGTCAGAGTTCAAGACCAGCCTGGCCAACATTGTCAAACCCTGTCTCTACTAAAAATACAAAAATTAGCTGGGCGTGGTGGCACATGACTTGAATCACAGCTACTTGGGAGGCTGAGGCAGGAGAATCATTTGAACCCAGGAGGCGGAGGTTGCAGTGAAAGGAGATCACGCCACTGCATTCCAGCCTGGGCAACCGAGTGAGACTCTGTCTCAAACAAACAAAAAAAAAAAGATTAAAAAAAAAGATGTTGACATTAACATGTTCAAGTCTTTATGCTGAAACTAGAATGCAGTATGATTAAATAATCATTTCTACTTCGGGTGAAGGATTAGTTTTCTTAAAGATACCCCTTTCCAGCTTCTCAGTTCGCGTGTGGTTAATTCCCAACGTGGCCTCAAATATTCTAATGGTTTGTGTAATGAGTGCCACCGTTCCACCTTCTTATTCTCCATGCCTCATCTCAGTCCTGGAAAGATCACTAAACTTGCAGTTCATAACTCAGTCTAGACCCAGGTTCAACACTCACTAACTCATAACTGTGGGCCACTTATTTAAATCTCTTAGTGCCTCTAGTTCCTCATTTGTCCAACAGTGATGCATTATGAAGCATGTTTGCCCATCTCCCAGCGTCTAGTGAGGAACTAAAAACACAATATATACTATCATACTTTATTACGAGGAGTTAAATTGTGGTTACTATTACAAAGTAGGTTACCATAAAATTCTAATAGCAGTGGTAAGGGGTAAAGATCCACGTGCCATCACGTAGAGCAGAACTTCTCAAACTTTAATGTACGGCAGGTCCTTGAATAATGTTGTTTCATTGAGCATCACTGTGTTATAATATTGGCAAGGGAAAAAACTGTATCTCAGCTAGGGGGGCACTGTCTATGTGGGGTTTTCTTTTGTCTCTGTGGGTTTTCTTCTAGTACTCTGGTTTCCTCACATGTCCCAAACTGTGCACGTTAGGGGAATTGGTGTGTCTACATTGTCCCCATGTGAGTGTTTATGTGTCTACGACTGTGCCCTGCGATAGAATGGCATCCCTGCCAGTGTTGGCTCCTGTCTGGTGCTCTGAGTTGCCAGGATGGGCTCTGGCCTCCCAAGTCCCTGAACTGGAATACGTGGCTTGGAAAATGAATGACTGAATTAATATAAATTACTGTGAAATAAAAATTCATATAGTATTCAATAATCATAAAGATGCGTGACAATAATTGATGCTCTACAGAAGTGCTCAGTGAGCTGCCATATTGATTATTGTTTGTTTTTGAACTTTGTGGTGAGAGAAGGCAATCCTGGCAGTTTATGCTTTGCAAACATTTATTCCTTGAATGAACCACCGCCACTGCAAACACTGTCACTCACTGATTCACCAAAAACTGGGTAAATAATTTTCCTCCTGGTTTTTATTAATCTTTCTAAAGTGGATGTATATCTCACATTTATTTCTGAGTTTAATATTAGAAGTGCTTGGGGTCTTTATTTAGATGTTGGATCATGTTTTGTGAACACAGGTATGCAGTAGGAACTTAATTCTTGTTTATCAATTAGCCTATGGTAAGATTGGTTTCATTATATGTCATTTTGCCTAAGTCACAGTTTCCCAGAATCTATCAACAACATTAATTGATGACTTACTGAAACAGGAATCACCTTGAGATCTTGTTAAAATCAGGTTACTGATTCAATGGCTCTTGCATAGGACCTGAGGTTCTGCATTTCCCCCCCTAATTTCAAGATGCTGGTTCCCTGGTCCCCTTGCTCTACTTCTTAAATGGTAGGGAGGTAGAGAGTGGCTATCAAGAGTCTGTGTAGGAGTTGACCACCAATCCCATTCAATGGAATGCATACAGTGTGTTCTGAGATACTGGAAAGGCCTTTGCAAAAAGATTTTGTCTCTTGATATTTATGAAGCACATTCATCCGACCACAGAAGATACATATCAACTTTGACAGAAAATATGAACACATTCAAATGATTTATACCTTTGAAACATAGATCGTTGTGGGGTTCATAACCCAAGTATAACTTTCCCACAGATTCACTCAATTTCCTTCCTCTTTCTGTGCAATATATTGTATATTGCAAGAAGCTCACCTCCACTCACCTTATTCCTCAGGCTTTCTTCTCAACTATCTTCTGTATAGATTTAACCAGTGGGAGGCGTTGGCAGGAGATTGGAGAGCAGGAGAAGGGGAGATTTCAGGGTATTTCTTTCCCTCTTTCACTGCTTTGGGCAACAGCTGATACAGAGTAAGTGGCCAAAAAATACTAGCTATTATTAGGTCTTCTAATAATGATCTTCTAAAATCACTTTTTCAGTGGTTACCCCCATTGATTTGCCATGAATGTCTCTTCAGACATCTTTGCAAAGAATTGAGCCTGACTTTAGATACTCATTCAAAATCAAAATCAGTAATTTTAGGATTGAGGACTCTGGTATTATTTAAGAACTCTTAACTGTACCAAGCCTCACTCCCATTTCTGGCTTTCCCCTATATATCAGTTAAGTAATAACTCCAATAGTGTAAAATTTGCAATAGTGTTATGTAACAAATCACCCTAAAACTTATTGACTTAAAATTATCACCATTTATAATTGCACACAGTCTGTGGGGTCCCGTGAGCTGTTGTGTTGTTCTGGCTCACTCATACATTTTCAGTCAGCTAATGGGTGGGCTAGGGGCTGGCTTATCTAGCATAAGCGCAGCTAGGATGATTCACCTCTGCTCCATATGGTCTCTCATCCTTCGGCAAGCGCTCCTGGGCTTATTCTCATGCAAGAAACAGGATTCTAATAGAGAAGGAAACAAGACTTCTTGAAGCTTAAGCTTGGAGCTGGCTCACTCATTTCTAACACATTTTTTTAACCAAAGCAAATCACAAGGCAGGCCCATATTCAGGGATTAGGGAAATAGGTTACAACTCCTGATGGTAGCAACTTTAAAAGTCACATTGCAAAAAGATGTGCATACAGAGAGGTCACCAGTGCAATCTACCACACCTTGCAATCTATTAAGTTTCTCACCCCCTCACAAGTAAGGTATTCAGTTAAGATGCATTCCTATGTATTCAGATTTCTAATCAACTAATCCTGATTCTCACGTAATATTGACACAGTATCAATATTCTCAAAAGCCAATAGTCTAGAGGGTCACAAAGATCCTCAAAGATACTTTATGCAAAATCCTAGGAGTATAGAAACAGTACCTTGGTTTATGTATACATTCAGTATTTATTAAGTGTTTCCAATATGGTATAATGTTAAGGAATGAGGATAGAGTTATGAACAGACAGACACTTGTCTTTATGGATCTTACATTTGGAGGGGGACAAACATTAAAATGGATTATATAATTACAAATGCAGCCGTTCTCATTGTCTTTTCAGATTTCTCAGGGTGTAGACTGAGCTACTATAATAAAAATACCCCAAGTTTCCATGTTTCAAACAATATAGATATGTGTATCTTTCCCACATAAAGTCCAGCCTAGGTACGTAGTCTCTGCTCTAAAAAGGAACACAGGCTAGCAAGGCAGCTATACTATTCTCAATATAATACTGCATTTCAAAATCTCCATGCTGGTCCCACAAATATCCATGCACTCTCTTTCTTATCATCAAGAGAACACACAGTGCCTTCCCAAGAGAGACCAGTCAAAGTCTCATTCACTTACTGCATCCAGCTAAAAGTCCATTGTCTGTGGATGATGCACTGTCTTCTCCATCAGATCAAGATATGGTTCCTCATGGTCCAGTGACCTATAAAGTGAAAGTTATGCTATCTGCTCCTACCACAACCAATTCTCTCTTTTTAAAATTTTTTTAAATTTTTGTGGGTACATAGTAGGTGTATGTATTTATGGGGTACTTGAGATGTTTTGACACAAGCATGCAATGCATAATAATCACATCATGGAGAACGGGGGATCCACCCCCTCCAGCATTAATCTTTTGTGTTACAAACAATCCAATTATACTCTTATTTATTTTTAAATGTGCAGTTACATTATTTTGACGATAGTCACCCTGTTGTGCTATCGAATACTGGGTATTATTCATTTTTCCTAAGTATTTTTTGTACCCATTAACCATCCCGCTGCCCCCTCCCCGACTCCTCCACTATCCTTCCCAGCCTCTGGCAACTACCTTTCTACTCTCTATGTCCATGAGTTCCATTGTTTTGATTTTTAGATTCTGCAAATAAGTGAGAACATGAGATGTTTTTCTGTGCTTGGCTTATTTTGCTTAAGATAATGACCTCCATTTCCATCCATGTTGTTGCAAATGACAGGATCTCAATCTTTTCTATGGCAGAATAGTACTCCATTTGTGTATATGTACCACGTTTTCTTTATCCATTCATTTGTTGATGGACACTTAAATTTTTTCCAAACCTTGGCTATTGTGAATAGAGCTGCAATAAACATGGGAATGCAGATATTTCGTCAATATACTGATTTCCTTTCTTTGGGTATATACCCAGCAGTGGGATTGCTGGATCATAGGGAAGCTCTATTTTTACTTTTTTGAGGAACCTCCAAACTGTTCTCTATAGTGGTTGTACTAATTTATATTCCTACCAACAGTGTGCAAGGTTTTCCTTTTCTCCACATTCTCTCCAGCCCAGGCACAAAGACAGCAGTAAGTGCTGGACGACCACCTATGCAAGACCTAGACTATAAATCCAGTACTTCTCTCCCTCTCCACACCCCCATACCCACCACTCCATTCTGAGTTTTCAAATGTAAGCTAAGCTAAATGATTCAATAAAGCTTTTTGAAGTCAAGGATGAGAAAAATCGTTGCTTTTTATGTAATCCCACCATCAAAGTAATAATTGCTTAGTTCAAATTGTGGTGATGCAAACAAGGAAAGCAAGAGAGCATAAAACGGGTGGATCTGACGCAGTCCAGAAGTGGAGGCAATGGTTGTTTTTAGATAATTATTAGAGAAGATACTGTGATTTGGTTTGAAGGCAAAGCTCACTGAAGTTCTCTAGTTCTAGATACACCTATCGAAAAATTCTTACCCAAATAAATGTCTCAGTGATAAGAGCAGCCTTTCCCCAAATGCCTAAGTGTTTTTGTTTTGTTTTTGTTTTGTTTTGTTTTGTTTTGTTTTGTTTTTGTTTTTGTTTTTTTTCAAAATCTTCCTCTGGAATGGATGCTGACCTTGTCATTGACTTATTCTTCACCACAACTCAGTCATATTAATCTTGAAAGAGACAGAGAGGCCACTATCTCTGCTAATAATTTACATAATTGTTTTTCTACAATTTGGTGCTAATTAAAATGTGAAAGGGGTAGTGATGATATAGGTAAATGTAATAAGGTCATTCTTTGTTCCTGAGAGCAAAGATAATGTCACCAGAAAGGATTGTCTGTATATTCACATAAGAGCAGGAAACAGGAAGAGAGACACAGTAAGGTAAAATAGCATACTAGTATATCACGTAGTCTGGTATAGCCAATGTAGAATATTTATTTCAAAAAACAAATAAAGATAAAGTTCTGCTTCACTTTGAGAAGCTGTTTTTTTTAATCCTGTATAGTTAGTTCGACATGTTACTACTCTGCCTGGTTCAAATTTTGATTTCACTCTGTTCCAGTTATATATGCTATGCAACAAACCACTCTAAAAGTTACTGGCTTAAAATAAGATAGTTTTACGATTTCTCATAATTCTGAGAGTTGACTATGATATTCATCTGCTTCACCTGATATCAACCAAGACACTGGGAAAGCTGGAAAGTCCAAAATGGCCTCACTCACATGACTGGCAGTTGGTGCTGCCTACCAGCTGAGAACTCAGCTAAAGCTATTGGCCATGAGCCTCAGTTTGTTTCCATTGTCTTCTCCATGTGTCTCCTTTGGCTTCCCCACAGCTTGGTGGTTGAGTTCTGTGAAGAAGCCTTCCAAAAGAACAAGCACCAATCTTCAAAGACTTATCAAGCTTCTGTTTGTATCACACTTGCTACTATCCCATTGGCCAAAGCCAGGCATATGGCCAAGTTCAGAATCAAAATGAGAAGGGACTACACAAAGGCATGAATCCAAGAGGCGTGATTAATTGTGGGGCTGCCAAATAATCGCCTTCCACAAATTCCTTACTAGCTGTGTCATCTCTCTGTGGTCTCAGTTTTCTCACCTGGAAACAGGAACAAAAATGGCCCTACAAAAATGGACTGAGATATATTAGGTTGGTGCAAAAGAAATTGCAGTTTGGGACCGTGAATTTTAAATCATTATAACTAGGCTCAAGCACATCTTTATTAATCAAAGTAGGAACCGTTACAGTCAACACATTTTTGCCAAGAAGAAATAAGTGTGTTTATTCCTGTAGCATAAAAATTCATGCTTTGGGATTCAATGAACTCTTGGAAAGCATTTTCTTCATCCTGCTAGTTGTGGAAGCATTTTCCCTGTAAAAAGTTGTCGAGATGCTTGAAGAAGTGGTAGTCAGTTGGTTGAGAGGTCAGGTAAATATGGCAGATGAGGCAAAACTTCCTAGCCCGATTCATTCAACTTGTGAAGCGTTGGTTGTGCGACGTGCGGTCGGGCGTTGTCACAGAGAAGAATTGGGCCCTTTCTGTTGACCACTGCTGGCTGCAGGCATGGCAGTTTTTGATGTATCTCATCAATTTACTGAGCATACTTCTCAAATGTAGTGGTTTCGCCGGGATTCAGAAAGCGGTAGTGGGTCAGGCCAGCAGGAGACCAGTGAACAGTGACCATGACTTTTGGTACAAGTTTGGCTTTGGAAAGTGCTTTGGAGCTTCTTCTCAGTCCAGCCACTGAACTGGGCATCGCCAGTTGTCGTTTAAAATCCACTTTTTGTTGCACGTTACAATCCGATCAAGAAATGGTTTGTTGTTGTTGGCGTAGAATAAGAGAAGATGGCACTTCAAAATGACGATACTTTTATTTTCGCTCTGCTTATGAGGCACCCACTTATCGAGTTTTTTCGCCTTTCCAATTTGCTTCAAATGCTGAACAACTGTGAAATGGTTGACATTGAGTTCCTCGGCAACTTCTCGTGTAGTTGTAAGAGGATCAGCTTCGATGATTGGTCTCAATCGGTCATTGTCAACTTCTGATGGCCAGCCACTACGCCCCTCATCTTCAAGACTCTTATCTCCTTTGAAAAACTTCTTGAACCACCACTGCACTGTGCGTTTGTTAGCAGTAACTTGGCCAAATGTGTTTTTGACATTGCGAGTTGCCTCTGCTTCTTTACAATCCATTTTGAACTCGAATAAGAAAAACGCTCGAATTTGCTTTTTGTCTAACATCATTTCCATAGTCTAAAATAAACATAAAATAAACAGCAAGTAATAAGTCATTAGCAAAAAAAAAAAAAGTGAGAAATGCTCATTAAAATGATGTATAACATAATCACATTTATTTAAGAATGTATTTCAATATCAAATGGCAAGTTCCATGAATGTGAAAACAACACTTACTTTTGTAGTCACCTAATGACACATTTAAGAAGCTGAAACCTGAGCTCAGCACATGGTAAGACATCAGTAAGTATTAGTTATCATAATTTTTTTAGTAATTTTCCTACAGAGCTATAAATAAAATGAAATACTTTCCAAACAGTGATAAAACTATAAAGCAGCAATACATTATAAGCTTCTATCCTAATCTGCCTTCCCCTCAGGGCCTTAAAATGTGTCATTTCTGTAAATGTTACCTCTGACATGAAAGCACCAACACACTGTTCAGCAATTACAAGTTGATTGTGACAAGAGCCTCACTCTCCCTATTTCTTTTTCTCTTCCTGTCTTGCTTTCCCTTTTCCCCATCCTTTCACTCACTTTGATAAGGCAAACTGCCATGTAGTCACAAAATCCTAGACAAACAAGTCTGTACCTATGTGGGCGATGCTGTGGATTTAGTAAGGGAAACAGTTCCTTGATAAATTTCTCCTTTAGCCCTGGGTTTCCAACCCCTGTGTCATTCAGCTATAGAAATCTTCTGATATTTTCTCCCACTGGTCATTTTCACTCAGGCTGCCATCAAAATGAGACTACCCAATGTTCTTTCCATTTGTTCTGTTTTCTTCCTCGCCTCTGATTCCCTGCCTGGTCCACTTAGAAAGTCTACCTTTTTTCCTTCTCTCTTAATACCACCAATCTCTAAATCTGACTTCTCCTTTCTAATCCCATAGAGCCTGCCTTGTCATCTCCAAACAAGATCCATCTTGGCCTCCTGTTATCCTCAGCCCACAGCAGTATTTCACTTACAACGTTCGTTAGTTTCTACCTCAGATGTGTCAGGCATTTAGTTTGTACCAATATTTTATTTCTTTTTATATCTACACCAAGCCTGCACTAGACGGTCCAAGGAGAAATTTAACTGATTCCTGTTTTGAAGTCCTCCCCACTCCTTGGGAGAGTTAAAGATTCCTCAGTGTGTTAGGTAATGATAGTTAATATTTATTAATAACTTACTGTGTATCGACTGTATTCTAAGTGCTTTGCACTGTTAGAAGGAGAATAACCTAAGACTGTGCCAAACAGCAGTCTAGAACAAAGCTGAATTCCTTGCTTGCCTGGCAAGGGAGAATGTGGTACATACTAAAGGATTAATACATGTTCACTATTAAATTGATTGATTGTGGTGGTGGTGACAGTGGTGATGACTTTTCAAGTGTGGGTAAAGTAATTTTTTCCAACAAATCCACATCCACATATTTAAGAAAAGAGAGACATTTCATTCTATCTTTTTGTGTGCCTTTGAGAGGACACCCCTGGCACCCAACTCCCAGGCAAATGCCACCATCTGTGTGATTTTCCTTCATTTGCCAACGAAGGCACAGCAGGTACTACTAGGTTAACCTTTGCTTTCGCAAGTCTTCTCTCAAAATAGTAAACACTTCAGCTGTTGGAAAGCTCTAATCTCAAACTGCAAATTTAAAAATCTCTCTCTGGAGTTCAAAAAATAGAAAGAAAAAATAAAAATCTCTCTCTTCTGGAACATAATGTTTGAACTGTTACATATTATTCACACTATTTCACATTATGGGATTATGAAATATGGTTTTAGGTGTTAGAAAAACGAAAGAAAACTATTATTTGTTAACACTAACCGAGAGATTTTTATGATATTCAAGTAAAATGATAGAATGAATTATTTTAAAAATGCATGAATCTTCACCTTCTGTGAAGTGTCATGGAGGATTAGTTCTAACTAATATGCCTGTAAGTAACTGACTTAATGCGTCTATTGGTTCTCTTAATGCTGTAAGTGACAGAAAACTGGTCTCAAACTGATTTAAACAATAAATATGATCAAGGTTCCGGTTTTTTGTTTCTTGTTTTTTTTTTTTTTTTTTCACATTTCTCTGGGTTCTATTTTTCTGTGTTGACCTAGCAGCTTCACCTGACTTCCCTCTTGGTGACAAAAATGGCCTGAAGCCGTTTCAGAACCCACATCTGCAAACTTACTTTTGATGAAAATCATCTCTTTAGGGACCTTCTTTCCCAAAGCATCCAGGAAAGACTGCTCTGAAACTGACTGGCCTGAATTAGGTCACATGCTCATTCCTGTACTAAATCACACCTCACTTCTACAGCTAAAAGTCATTAAATCTCAACCAAACTCTACAGCTGCACCACAACAAAGGTAGAGAAGTAGGTGCAAAGTTCCTCAAAGGAACGTAAGGGTGAAAGATGATTGACTGATAAACAGACAGGTAGACAGAATAGATAGATGAATTAGGAAAAGATAACCAACCAATATCTGTCACATTGCTTTGACTTGATTTTTTAGTCAATTAATGAAACTGAATGGTAATTTTGACATTACAACAATACTTTCCAAATGTAGGCAGGTTGTGGAGATCATTTAAGGAAAAAATGTATGAGGTGTTGTAGCAGATACTGTCGGTGCCCCACCGATATCCCTTTAGCACTTACCATTTTTATACGTGCTTCTTAATTTCCAACTTCCTGTACTTGCATCTCTTTGCTTGGGGCTATCTCTGCTCATTCTTGGGAGAGAGCAGAAATGTAGCAGTTATGCCCCTGTAGAGCAGCAGTTGATAGATCAATACCCTGTCCCCCTTGCCCTTCAGATCTAATAACTCCAAGCTTAATTCCCTACATCTTTCATATAAGTATATATATAAGTATATATATATACTTGAAGTTCTAGGGTACATGTGCACAACGTGCAGGTTTGTTACATAGGTATGCGTGGGCCATGCTGGTGTGCTGCACCCATTAACTCGTCATTTACATTAGCTATTTCTCCTAATGCTATCCCTCCCCAGCCCCCCACCCCACGACAGGCCCCAGTGTGTGATGTTGCCTGCGCTGTGTCCAAGTGTTTTCATTGTTCAATTCCCACCTATGAGTGAGGACATGCGGTGTTTGGTTTTCTGTCCTTGTGATAGTTTGCTCAGAATGTTGGTTTCCAGCTTCATCCATGTCCCTTCAAAGGACATAAACAACTCATCCTTTTTTATGGTTGCGTAGTATTCCATGGTGTGTATGTGCCACATTTTCTTAATCCAGTCTATCACTGATGGACATTTGGGTTGGTTCCAAGTCTTTGCTATTGTGAATAGTGCCGCAATAAACATACGTGTGCATGTGTCTTTATAGCAGCATGATTTATAATCCTTTGGGTATATACCCAGTAATGGGATGGCCGGGTCAAATGGTATTTCTAGTTCTAGATCCTTGAGGAATCGCCACACTGTCTTCCACAATGGTTGAACTAGTTTACAGTCCCACCAACGGTGTGAAAGTGTTCCTGTTTCTCCACATCCTCTCCAGCATCTGTTGTTTCCTGACTTTTTAATGATCACCATTCTAACTGGAGTGAGATGGTATCTCATTGTGGTTTTGATTTGCATTTCTCTGATGACCAGTGATGATGAGCATTTTTTCATGTGTCTGTTAGCTGCATAAATGTCTTCTTTTGAGAAGTGTCTGTTCCTATCCTTGGCCGACTTTTCGATGAGGTTGGTTTTTTTCTTGTAAATTTGTTTAAGTTCTTTGTAGATTCTCGATATTAGCCCTTTGTCAGATGGGTAGATTGCAAAAATTTTCTCCCATTATGTAGGTTGCTTGTTCACTCTGATGGTACTTTCTTTTGCTGTGCAGAAGCTCTTTCGTTTAATTAGATCCCATTTGTCAATTTTGGCTTCTGTTGCCATTGCTTTTGGTGTTTTCATCATGAAGTCCTTGCCCATGCCTTTGTCCTGAATGGTATTGCCTAGGTTTTCTTCTAGGGTTTTATGGTTTTAGGTCTAACATGTAAGTCTTTAATCCATCTTGAATTAATTAATTTTTGTATAAGGTGTAAGGAAGGGATCCAGTTTCAGCTTTCTACATATGGCTAGCCAGTTTTCCCAGCACCATTTATTAAATAGGGAATCCTTTCCCCATTTCTTGTTTTTTGTCAGGTTTGTCAAAGATCAGATAGTTGTAGATGTGTGGTATTATTTCTGAGGCTTCCGTTCTGTTCCATTGGTCTATATCTCTGTTTTGGTACCAGTACCATGCTGTTTTGGTTACAGTAGCCTTAGTTTCCTACATCTTCTTTTAGGGATAACAGGGAGTATTAAGATTCAGTTGTTCACATTGATGACTTGCATGATAATATACCCTTTATTGGCTATCTTCCCTATTTCACTTCTTCTCACCCTGTTGATGTGTCCTGGAATCACATCCCAAAACTACTTGAGCTCAAATTTTTATTTCTGGGTTTGCTACTGGGAGACCCAAATCAAGACAGTTGGCTTCAGTACTCAGGTACTTACAAGGAGATCATGGATATCAATTGAATCAGAATTCCATGTCATAGCTTTTCAAATTTATATCACAATAAGTTGAAAAGATGTTGATTCTTCCTTCCACAGTATTTTCTGTTTCTGTGTGTCTTACATTCTGGTGTCTCAAAACATGGCTGCAACCAGGGAAGGAATTGAAATTTGGAGTAAATGTCCTATTTTAGTAGGTCTACATTTAAGACATGGACCTGAAATTGAGATCATAAACAAAAGTAGATGTGAGCATAAAGTAGAAGGTGAGGTTGGAGGGGGAAATTGTTTGGATTTACTGTAACCAATGGAGCTGCTTAGTCTAGTCAAGGAATTTCAATCATTTCTGTGGAGACTAGATGACTTATGTTATACAAGGATATCTCTGGAAAATTCACTGTACAGTTTTACTAAATCTGGCTGATAATATGTTCACTCAATGTTATGATGTCAATAATAGAATGGATATTGCCTTTAAAGACAATTTTAAAGTAAATATCTCACATATTCCTACTCATTTATCAAGGGCTGTGTCATTCATGGCAATATAAGATAATTCTTTTCACTTTCAAAATCTTCCAGATGCAGAAACTTTCCAATATTTGCTGTAGATGAAAGTGTACAATTTCACAATTCAATGGGACAAAAAGAATTAGGAAAAATATGTTTCAGAGAGTTTATTTGGTATCATCTACAAGACCTGGTATGAGACCTGGTTGGTGTTGTATGGAATGAAATATATCAGTCTGTTCTCACACTGCTAATAAAGACATACCTGAGACTGGGTAATTTATAAAGGAAAGTGATTTAATTGACTCACAGTTCAGCATGGCTGGGGAGGCCTCAGGAAACTTACAATCATGGCAGATGGGGAAGCAAACACCTTCTTCTTCACATGGCAGCAGGAAGGAGGAGAATGAGCAAAAGAGGGAAAAGCCCCTTATAAAACCATCAGACCTCGTGAGAACTCACTGTCACAAGAACAGCATGAGGGTAACCGCCCGCCGTGATTCAATTATCTCCACCTGATCCCTCCCAGGACGTGTGGGGGTTATGGGAACAACAGCTTAAGATGAGCTTTTGGTACAGACACAGCCAAACCATATCATAGAGTTTCGAATCTGAAAAACAAAAGAAGCTAATTTAGTTTCAGAAAGCTGAGATTTCATGAACCATTTAAAAATTCACTTTATAATTTTTCATGCATTTTGAAGCCTTTATCCTTTAAATGGAAATGGAATAGAACTATTATTCGTCATTTCTAAACTGTGCATTCATCAACAATTTTCAGAAGTTAATTCCAACATGTCTTCATCAACTCTATATTACATGTTAGTACACTACATCTCTATTTTCATGCTATAATTTTTTACTTTTTCCTCACACTTTCATCTCACCCTCTCAAGATGTGTTAATCCCCTTTGCTCTTTTCCCCATCTCGTCTCTGTTGCCTTTCTCCCCCCTTCCTTTTTTTTTAATTTCTGTTCTCTTTTACCTGAAATCTCCCTCTTCATCTTTTGCTACCAATTATGTTCTTAATTGGTTGAAGTGAGCAAGGTAGGAAATTCTCCATTTTGATTCCATTCTCTCACATGGTTTATCTTTAATATGTTTTAATAAACAGTTTAACATAAATCTTACTTCCAATTTAACATGTAAAATTTAGAAAATTGGTGAAAAATATGCCTGCTTTTTCACCCCCAAAGAACCAAGTTTAAAAAGTTTTGTGACTTTGAGGCATCCTTTTCCCTAAAAGCAAGCTTAACAGATTCTTAGCATTCGTCTCTGTGTGAAATTGTGGAAACTTTAAAAAAACTATTTGAAGTACCAACAACTCAAAGATAAATTGTCTGTTTTAAATGCAAGGTGCTAAAATAAAACTAGAAGATTGACAATATTATTCATCTTTATCACTGTTCTACTTAAAATTTGAAAATTAATGTTAGAAATGTGAGAGGGTGCATGAAACCTTAATGGTTTTATCATTTCATCTGAGTATATATTTGATTTCTTCTTTCTGACATTGAAACTTTAAAATTCGCCACTATTTTTCAGTAACTCGTTAAAATATGGTCCGTTCTTATATTTGCAATACTCCTATACTGAAAACCCTACAACTTCACCATTATTTAATTTTTATGTTACTATATTTGTTTCTTAAAAAGATTATAATATTATGTATTAGTTGTCTATTGCTGCATAACAATTACTACAAAGATAGGGGCTTAAAACTGTATCTTTAGAGTATCAGGATACATATGGGTCAGAAGTCTAGGCATAGATTATCCATATTCTTTGCTTCGGGGTCTCTCACAAAGGCTGCACACTAGGTGTTGGCCAGGGCTAGGGTCTCATTTGAAAGCTTGCCTTGGAAGGACCTGCTTCCAAACTCACCTGTTGTTGGTAAGTTTCAGTTCCATGTGGGTTATTGGACTGTAGTCTTCCTTTTCTTGTTGGCTGATGGCCACGTTTAGTTCCTTCGGTCTCTAACATGGCAATTTGCCTCATCAAAATCAGTGAGAGAAAGTGGGGGAGGGGGGAAAGAGACAGAGAAAGAGTGAAATTGCTAGCAAGACAAAAGTCCCAATCTTATGTAGCCTAATTGGAGAAGTGATATCCTTTTGTCTTTGACATATTCTGCTTGTCAGAAGCAAGTCAAAAGTCTTGACCACTCTCAAGGGGAGGAAATTATTAAAGGACTCAAATACTAGGAGACAGAGATCACTGAGTGCCATTTTAGAGTCTTCCCACCACGGATTATTTCCCTTCACCTGCTGGCATTTGAAAATGCAGCTAATACTCTGGGATTCTCCAAACCTAATTTTTTTGTATAATTAGAGAAGTATTTGTCATAATCTGTTAAGTGTAGTAATATATTAAGAAATTGAATTTATTCCTTCATATTTCAAAAAGTACATGGGGTTGGGGGACAGCTATGTTGTCATAAACTTTAATACATACATGATTGGAATGGATTATGAAATATTTTTCTCTAAGAGATAGTATAAGGCTGCAACCACTGAGGCTCCCAAATACAGATGATTCATATGTATTTAGTTTTAATGCAAAGCTTCTCATGCTGATTTAAACTCTCATATTTTCATATATGGTGTTTTATTTTTTATATAATGAATGTCTATAAAATTCCTATTATTTTTTCAAAAGTATTGTGGCAAATATTTCCTAGTAAAATCTAAAGATATCTTTGACGTAATTTTTATGCTCTCATTTATGTTAAGAACTCAATATTGAAGTAATGTTCTTTCTTATTTCCTAGTAACTAAAATCCTTACTATATTCATGAAGAGCTGTGCCTCTATTAAAAAGCTTTTATTGCAAACAGAAATGTCAAAATACAGCAAAGGTAGAGCTATGTATGATTCTTCATCTGTAATGTAATTTTAAGTATACATTTTATTGCATAAGCAGAGATTTATACCCACATTTGCTTTCAGTATTCACAGAAGAATTTTCATATGTATTTCTTAAAATAACAAAATGGCTGCTTTGGTGTGGGGATAGTATGGTACAGCATTTATTGTGAAAATGATTCTTATCTTCCATCTTTTTCAAATGGTGAGTTCAGTATGTTTAACATTGCTGGTTTTATAATATTGCGAATATTTTTGAGAGGAAGAAACAATAAGAGACTGATAAGAATAATTCATATTTGCTCAAAGTTTAATCAGTTTTTTATTTGAACAAAAACTTGGACGAAATGTCCAACTTTCCTTTGAGATCAGTGCTCTCCAATGTGGTAACAACAGCCTACCATATGAGCATTTGAAATATGGCTAGTCCCCACTGAAATGTGCTGTAAGTATAAAACACTCACCAAATTACAAAACCTAAGTATGAAAAAAATAAAATATCTCATTGGTACTTTTTATATTGAGTACAGGTTGAAGTGACAACAATTTGGCTATTTAAGTTAAAGAAAATATAACATTAAAATTAATTTGACCTGTTTTTTACTTTTGTAATGTGTAGAAAATTTTAAATTACATGTATCGCTCTCATTATAATTTTATTGGATGTCATTGTTCTAGATAAACAATGGCAATGTTGAGAGGTGTCATAATAGGGACAATTGTCTCTGTGAAGAAGAAATTATATGAACCCTACAACATGTATTAGCCGCAGAGTTGCTTAGAATTGACTTACTCTGTCTTGTTGAAAATAGGTTTTCCCTTAAAATCTCTGCCTGATGTAGCCAACCACGATTCAATGAGCAAACAAAAATCTTAAAGGGGAAAAAATCATTTTTTGAGTCTATTTTACACACCCAGTATCAAAAAGAAAAATATAAATCCACAACTAGGATTATACGGGATGTAATTCTTGGATTTCTTTTGGTCTTATAATGCTTTATACCTAGGAGATGTTCAACAAATTATTATTGAATGATTGTAGTTTAACCGTCAGTTACATTTTGCAGCAATACATTTATTAGTAGCAAAATCTGAGTGTTTACTAATTTTCATCACCTAATCAGCAAATTAGTACTGCTCTTATATCGCTTTGCCTACGCTCTACTCACTGGTTCAATCAGCTAATTTTTTCAGAATTTTATGGTTTATAAACCACTATATGTTGCACAGTATTTCCTATACATTAGCTCATTTGAGTCACAGAAGTTATAGGAGGTGGATCTTGTCTTTCTTTGTTCAGAAAGAGAAATCCAGGTTCAGCGAGGTTAACTGGCCTTGTTTAAGATCAGCACGTTGCTAGGTGACAGAAGGTGTTCACTTCTCACTGAACTTTGCATATCAAAAGAGATTTAAAGAATTCACTTTGGAGAGCGGGAGTTATGGGGTGAATATTTTATCATGTTGTCCGTCTTAATAATCACCAATTTGATACTAAGGCTGCTAGTCATCTCTAACGAAGAGAAGTTACTTTGAAGTTGGTTGATTGATTGTTGTTGATTGACAGAAGTATTAGTTTTCAGAATGAACTAATTCATTAAAGAAATAAAACATTGGGTTTGTTCATTCCATAAATAATTGAACATTTATTATGTGTATGATACCAGCCTAAGCAGATACCTAAAAGGAATGGAGATTACTATAGTTAATAACAATGCATTGTATTCTTGAAAATTGCCAAGAGATTACATTTTAAACATTCTCACCATAAAAAAATGATAAGAATGTGGGGTAATGCATATGTTAATTATCTCAATTTAGCCATTCCACAGTGTATGCATATTTCAAAACATGTTGTACACAATAAATACATACAATGTTATGTGTTAATTTAAAAATAAATACATTAGAAACGGTAAAAGTCACTAGGATCATGGAAATAAAAATGTTTACATTTATGTAAATATTAGTAATATAATAGAGGGCATATCCAAAATATAGTGTCATATTAATAAGATGTTGTATGATTATTATAGACTACAAAATAATAAAGGAATAGACAGAATGTTTCTAAATAAAGAATAGAAATTACAGTGAAGCGGAAGAGAGAGTAACCCTAAACCCTTCATAATCCTCCCTTTGCCTCGTAGTATAGCTTGGAAAGTAATTATGTGGAAAGTTGAGATTGCAACAAAGGACGGTAGTACAGGAGTTGCCCAAGGACAGACAATTATTTTCTCAAATAAACTATAGCAGAAGCAAAATGGCCTTGGACCACAAAAGAAGGCCCTCATGTAGACATTGTTCTATTCTGAAGTAGAATTTGCAGTACTCAAGAGAAGAGGAAAGATTATTATAGGTGGAGAGACTGTAAACAAAATATTATGGTAGGATTCCTCCTGAATAGAGCAAGGTGATTGTGTTTGACATTGAAAAGGTATGTTTGGGCAAGAGTTTGAAAACCTTTAGCCACCATGCTAAGAGATCTTAAATCTTTATCTCTGAGTAAGGGCGGTGGTTGTGGTTAATGATCCTTGAGCACAACTCTGTCCCATTAAAGACAGTAGATTCAACTGCTTCTAGCATTAGTCCATATCAGGGAGTAAAGTGATCCGATACATTATTTTCCCCCAGTAAATGGTTCATAAAGGAAGGCCTTGGCTCTGCCTTGTATGTCTACATGGGAGAATATACCAGAATGTCTAGAGGAGCATGGGTAGCGTAACCTTTCCCCATATGCACATACAACAAATACTGATAATCCACTCACAGGGGAGGGACTCATTTTTAAGAATTAAGTTTTATTTTAGAAGACTCAGTCTGATGGCAATGCAGGGGTTGAATTACAGCAGGTAGAGACTGGAGGTCTACAAACTGGTTTGAGATATATATTTTTTCCGGTGGCCCAGATAATAAGGACTTGAACAGACTTCTTGCTCTGGGAATGTAAAAGGCCAGGCTGGATGTAAGAGGTTAGGAAGTTCCAAACTGTCCCACATTTTCCTTTCTTCTGAGCCCTCCAAACTGTACCAGACTCTGCATGTTACGCACTTCCAAAGTCGCTTCCACATTTTCGGGTGTCTTTTCAGCAGTGCCCCACTCTACTGGTACCAAATTACTGTATTAGTCCATTTTCACACTGCGGATAAAGACATACCCGAGACTGGGCAATTTACAAAAGAAAGAGGTTTAATGGACTTACGGTTCCACTTGGCTGGGGAGACCTCACAACTATGGCACCAGGCAAGGAGGAACGAGTCACATCTTACGTGGATGGGCAGCAGTCAAAGAGAGAGCTTTTGGAGGGAAACTCCGCTTTTCAAAACCATCAGATCTCATGAGACTTATTCACAATCACTAGAACAGCACAGGAAAGACCTGCCCCCATGATTAAATTACCTCCCACTGGGTCCCTCCCATAACACATGGGAATTCAACATGAGATTTGGGTGGAGACACAGCCAAACCGTATCAGTGATGCAAAATAAAAGAAGACTGTGGAGTAAATTACACATGGAGAAAAGGAAGAGGAACTAGGAAGTATAGATACTGTGAGAATTAACTCTCTGTTCTACAAAAGAAGAAATGGGCTTAAAGTGGTTCCCCCCAAAACTAAAATCCAAAGGCACATAAGTCATAATGCACACTGTTACACCGAGTCCTTCCAGCTCTTAACTTACTTGTTTTACTGCACTACACTTGACTTGAGTTTTAGACTTAGTAAATCTGAGGTAAATGCAGATTGAGAATGAGAACAAAATGTTAAAAAGAGAAGCAGTCTCATTTTCTTACTACTAATAGGCATTGCAGTTTGTGTGGGCTCTAGCAGGGATGTTTGTACCACTGGGATCTAAGCATCTATTTCTATATTATAAATAGAAAAATTAGGTTGAGCTATCGCGACTCCATTACAAACTTATGGAATTAGATTCTCTGGTATGGAGCTTGGATATACATATTAAAACAAAATAAAACAAAAACTCCTACCCAATTGATTCTGCTGTGTGCTCTAGTTAAGACTGTTATGGTTAAGAAAATAAATAATCGCTGTATGGAATGTATATCGTCCTATTTTAAATTAATAAAAAAAATTTTGCAGGCCTTCCCACCTTCCAACTCCTAGAGACAACAAATCCAGATTTGAAAATCAGTCATATTAAATAGTTGTATCGATATTTACCCTTTGTTTCTACGTTATTATTTTCTTCAATTTTCACACGTATTTGTTCATCAGTTGGTTATGATGGACTTCACTTTTTTTCAGTCTTACGAATGAGATTTCTCCCTCCAAAAATCAATAGGCACCTGCTGATTTTATTTATTCCAACATGAAGTTGCAGAAAATGAATATGGCCAAAAATGGTTAAAAAAAAAAAAGCCTGTTCTTCAAAAGACTAGATCGTCAGTTGAAGCAGAAAATTATATTCAGTGCACTGGATTTATGCATTGTTTTAGCCTTCTCCAACCAATTTAGAAATGCATTTTCTTATAAAATTGAGATTATTACAAATCCTGTGCTAAGCAGCTGAAATAATGTGCCTATGCCAAGGTCATATCTTAAAAGTTTGGAGGAGCACACTGCAATTGAATATAAGTTTATAAATGTATTCCACATACTTTTCTGATATATTTTAATAATTTAATTTTTACATTTTACCTATATTGTCTTCATTTTCACTTTACCTTTGGTGGTGTTTCATACATATTCATTGTTTGGAAGAAATTAAGCAGACAGTATTCTAAAGTCAATACTGAGTCTGCTAATGAAAATGGTTAAGTTAATTAACTAAATGGCAACCTTCACTGAACTTATTCAAAGCTATTTCCCCTCATGATGTGTTTTCCTGAAGAAATGATGCATAAAAACTAAACCCCTGTTATTCGCTATTCTTCTGTATCAGCCTCTAAATTGTCACTTTACATGTTACAACCTGTTGCATGATGATTAATTATGACAATTTAATGGCATGTAAAGGGTAAAACCCTAAAGGATTACTCAAACCATCATTCCTTAAGAAAAGAAATTGTAATGCCTAGGTTATCTTCTAGGGTTTTTATGGTTTTAGGTCTAACGTTTAAGTCTTTAATCCATCTTGAATTGATTTTTGTATAAGGTGTAAGGAAGGGATCCAGTTTCAGCTTTCTACGTATGGCTAGCCAATTTTCCCAGCACCGTTTATTAAATAGGGAATCCTTTCCCCATTGCTTGTTTTTCTCAGGTTTGTCAAAGATCAGATAGTTGTAGATATGCGGCGTTACTTCTGAGGGCTCTGTTCTGTTCCATTGATCTATATCTCTGTTTTGGTACCAGTACCATGCTGTTTTGGTTACTGTAGCCTTGTAGTATAGTTTGAAGTCAGGTAGTGTGATGCCTCCAGCTTTGTTCTTTTGGCTCAGGATTGACTTGGCGATGCGGGCTCTTTTTTGGTTCCATATGAACTTTAAAGTAGTTTTTTCCAATTCTGTGAAGAAAGGCATTGGTAGCTTGATGGGGATGGCATTGAATCTGTAAATTACCTTGGGCAGTATGACCATTTTCACGATATTGATTCTTCCTACCCATGAGCATGGAATGTTCTTCCATTTGTTTGTATCCTCTTTTATTTCCTTGAGCAGTGGTTTGTAGTTCTCCTTGAAGAGGTCCTTCACATCCCTTGTAAGTTGGATTCCTAGGCATTTTATTCTCTTGAGGCATTACCATTCAGGACATAGGCATGGGCAAGGACTTCATGTCTAAAACACCAAAACCAATGGCAACAAAAGCCAAAATTGACAAATGGGATCTAATTAAACTAAGGAGCTTCTGCACAGCAAAAGAAACTACCATCAGAGTGAACAGGCAACCTACAAAATGGGAGAAAATTTTCGCAACCTACTCATCTGATAAAGGGCTAATATCCAGAATCTACAATGAACTCCAACAAATTTACAAGAAAAAAACAAACAACCCCATCAAAAAGTGGGCGAAGGACATGAACAGACACTTCTCAAAAGAAGACATTTATGCAGCCAAAAAACACATGAAAAAATGCTCACCATCACTGGCCATCAGAGAAATGCAAATCAAAACCACAATGAGATACCATCTCACACCAGTTAGAATGGCAATCATTAAAAAGTCAGGAAACAACAGGTGCTGGAGAGGATGTGGAGAAATAGGAACACTTTTACACTGTTGGTGGGACTGTAAACTAGTTCAACCATTGTGGAAGTCGGTGTGGCGATTCCTCAGGGATCTAGAACTAGAAATACCATTTGACCCAGCCATCCCATTACTGGGTATATACCCAAAGGACTATAAATCATGCTGCTATAAAGACACATGCACACGTATGTTTATTGCGGCGCTATTCACAATAGCAAAGACTTGGAACCAACCCAAATGTCCAACAATGATAGACTGGATTAAGAAAATGTGGCACATATACACCATGCAATACTATGCAGCCATAAAAAAGGATGAGTTCATGTCCTTTGTAGGCACATGGGTGAAATTGGAAATCATCGTTCTCAGTAAACTGTCGCAAGAACAAAAAACCAAACACCGCATGTTCTCACTCATAGGTGGGAATTGAACAATGAGAACACATGGACACAGGAAGGGGAACATCACACTCTGGGGACTGTTGTGGGGTGGGGGAAGGGGGGAGGGATAGCATTGGGAGATATACCCAATGCTAGATGACAAGTTAGTGGGTGCAGCGCGCCAGCATGGCACATGTATACATATGTAACTAACCTGCACAATGTGCACATGTACCCTAAAACTTAAAGTACAATAATAAAAGAAAAAAAAAAGAAAAAAGCAAAGAAATTGTAAAATGTTGTTCTATCAGAAACTCGGCTAATTATTTTTAAATTTTAGATCAAAAACTCAACTAGTTTTAATGTACTACTTATAAGTCAGATAAAATCATTTTTTATTTTTGTTTTCTTTTTGTTTTTACATCTGTTAGAAACGATGGGGTCTTCAAAGTAAAAGAAGAGATTTGCAATGCCTATACCAAATTAGTTATTTTAGGATACTGAATGAAATGGTTTTCTATACTCAATAAAGGTAAAAGAATAAGCAGAGGTAGATCTGGTTTTCTGAAACTTGAAGCACATTCTAATTTGGCAGTTTTCTTTAAGTCAAAGAATATAACAGGACAAATATAAAATTAGGTATGAACATGATTATAGAAAGAAAGGAAATCATAACAAATTATACGTTTTTAAAAAGATGACAGATAACCACATACATCACAAAAATTGAAAAAAATAAGCAGAATGTTTTCTTAATAATGAACCATCTCTGCAATACTAGAATATACAGTGTCTGAAATAATTTTTTCTATCTTTCTGGATGCATCCTCTTTCAGCACCTCTTCATGTGAGAGCATCAGAAAATAATTTACTCTTTCCCCCAGCATTGTTGATTAAAATTTGACTTCTATCATTGATAGTTTAGAAAAGTTTATTTTACATTTTCAACTTATTATTGGTGATGTCACATAAATTATTACAATTTATTGTCCAATTTAGGAAGACCCTGCCAAGTTTCTTTCACATATGAACTGTAAAATTTAAAAGATCATTCAAGTTATCTTGTACAATAACTAATACATATTTTTCTTTTAGTCATACTAAACCCTGATGCTAAGGATCACCCAAACTTTTTCAGGGAAAGAAGTAGCTTGCAAATAAATCAAGGACCATTTATCCTTACTTTTTGGAAGAAATGGAAAAGGATAAAGTGTTAGTTTAAATACACTCAAGAACAGAATGTAAGACAAGAAATTGGAAGCAGAGAAGTTCATCCTCAAATGTAAGAGTGAAAGAATAGGGTTAATGAAACAGGAAAGGGGAAATCCAAGAAAAATTATGCCGCGCTTTAGAGAATCTCCTAAGCACAGAGATATTGGCAATGTGCAGATGAAATAGCTGTCACAGGTCAGCCATGTCAGAGGTGATTCCAGCCACTAAGTATCTACTGCAGATTAGATATTTGGAAAGCAGAATGAGCTCTGTTCATGCCATTACTGGGGCTTGACTTCTTAATGGTTTCAAGTCCCCCTTTGACTCTAATCCTTCTAAAGTCAACTTTGTATAAACTCTTTTCAAAAGTGTTTATCCCTGTAGAATAAGTTCAAAACTCCATGTCATGGCACACAAAACTCTTCAAATCATATTCAGCTGGTATTGTTTTCTTCCACATTCCAGTCATAACTAGGATCCCAAGAATTAGCAAATAAAAATATGAAACATCCAGAATTCTAAGCATAACTATGTCCCAAATACTACAACAAAAAATACTGAAAAGTATCGATTGCTTATACAAAATGTAAATGGTATCCTGTATTTTATAAGGCAACCCTAGTCATAAGATCTCTTTCTTCTTCCTCACACACTGTCAAGCTTGAGCCAACAGAGTACCTTTTAATGGGCTGCGCAGAATAGCTTTCGATAGTTTACCCATTAATTAACAGAAAATTCAAATGAGATATCCTCTGTGAAATCATCCTTCTCTCCTGCCTCCTGTCTCTCCATTCTTTCTCCAGGAGACAGAGGCCCTCCAGACTCCATGACTTTGTAGTGTATTGTGTCTGTCTTTATTAGAGTATTCATCACTTGGTAATTGAATTCTGTGTTTAAATACATTTTTTTTCTTCCAGAATAAGTGTTCATAGAAGGGAGGGATGATTTACCTAGCATACTGCCTGGCATATAAAAGGCCCTAAATAATTTTTCTTTTAACCAGTAACCAACTAACCAATTCAACAGTTTTTTAAATGAGTGAAACCACTTTTTAAATTTTTTTTTAAATTCATGCTTCACCTGTAAAAATATATAGATGAATTGCAATCTGGAACTCTGAGTAATTTATATAAAAGTGATGAAAAAGACCATGGCTTCAGATTTGTTGTTTTAATTCCAGCTTCAGTTCATACAAACATTACAAAGTCGCAGTATCTACTGTGTAAAAAGTTTCATCCCAATGAAGAAATTAAAATGTCTGTCTAATAGAGATGCTCTAATGGACAGCGATGTGTAGACTTCAGAAGAATCTCCTCACACAGCCTTGGAGGCATAAGTTGGGAACAGAGCAAGTTCTGTGTTTGCCTTTCAAAGGAATGTTCCTTTCCCTTTCATTGACAAATATTATAAAGATGCCCCAAAACTTCTGTGAGTTTCCCCCGGGACGTAAGGTCCTCTGCATTTTCCTAACTTGTTTCTCAAAGCGGTGGTTCCCAAGGCCTGAGAATAGCTGTGTCTCAGCTCTCTCCTGGAAACCAGAGCCTAAAATGTTGCCACATCATCGGGAATGTAGCTGCATACTTAGCCAGAGCCAAGAGATGAGCCCCACTCGCAAAGCCCATGGGCTGGACAAAATTGTTAGCCATTTGGTGTAGGTCATTGCACTAGGTCCATTACACAGGTTATCTGGCAGGAGTCCCGGCTTTGGAGGAAAGACGTTTAAATCCTGTAAATAAATGGCTGGAACACCATGGCAGTTGATTGTGTTAAGCCCTCATCCAAAATTGCTTTGTTAGGTTCTATTCTATTGCTCATTATCTTGCTGTGAAGAAAATTAAGCTTACATCTGCTTAGGGTGACAGGGTATCCTGTTGTCACAGGATTTTCCACATTTTAGGCCTATGTCACAAGCTCCCAATAAACCCTCAGAGAAGATCTTTTGTGTTCACAGGCATCCAGGTGTCAGGCAGACACAGTCTTTGTCTTCTTGAAGCTCAGTGACACGTTCAGGGCTGTGTATACTCCTCCATTCCCTGCCAGAGACAAAATGTTTGTGGAACAGTCAAGCTAGAAGGGACCTCAGAATTAATCTGATCAAATGTCTGCATTTTTCAGTTCCAAGGATACTCAGGGAAGGCCCTCGGATTCTATAAGTAGCGGTAGAGGTGGTATTAGAAGTCAGGTTGCCTGACTTCCAAACCTCTGTTAGTTACTGTCCCTTCCCCTGCATGCAGCACTAGTGTAATCCCTCAACTCTCACTTCCCTTTTTCGCCACATGCCTCTCTCTCTTTCCTTCCCTTGATTACCCTGCCTATCCCTCCTACAAGGGAAACTACCACCAGGCATCCTCATCTGAGACCCGGGAATGGAGGCCAGGTCTTTTCCCTCCCTCCCTCCCTTTCCCCTTTTTTTGTGTGACAGTAACATTATTCAAGTACAGCTCTTCCTTTTTTCAGTACCTTCCCCCTCAGACCAGAAGTTAATGAAAAATAGGGTTGCGTGATATGCAGCCTGGGGGCCAAAAATGTAGGACAAGCAGTGTGCTTCAGACAAAACTGTAGGGTTCTGGTTTCATGCACAACCTTGGAGGACGGTGGCTAGAGGCCCTAGTATGAGAGATCAATTAAACATGGAGGCCAGAAATTAACCACATGGGATTAACATACGTAAGGTTGCTTCTTTTCAATGAGTCTAGGAAACACACTGGGGACACCTTGTTCAAGACAAGCTACTATTTGATGCTCCTTCATACGCTTGCTTAAAATATTTGTTCAGCATTTATTTAGTGGGGGCAAGAAAAATTGATGTTATGTTAATAAGAAAACCTCTTTACCTCTTACCTTTTATTAAAATAATCAACTTAGAAGATATACTAAAACTCACATGACTTTTGACATCTATGGATGATCTTTCATTTAATATTTTTCTGCTATTCCTACTATAGAATAAAAGCTGCTATTGCATTATTACAGAGCGTAATGTGAGCCACATATGTTATTTTAATCTTAATGGCCACATTAAAATAGTAAAAATAAACAGGTGAAATTTATTTGGATTATATGTTTTATTTAACCCAGTGTATCTAAAATTGTATCATTTTGACGTTGCAATCAGTGCAAAAATACAGTCATGCTATGTGTAATGAGGTTTTGGTCCATGATAAACTATATATACACTGGTGATCTAATAGGATTATAATACAGTAGGTTTACCATACCTTTTTCTATGTTTAGGTATGTTTAGATGCACGAGTACTTGCCACTATGTTAGAATTTCCTGTAGTATTCAGTACAGTCACGTGCTGCACAAATTTGCAGCCCAGGAGCATTAGGCTATATCATGTAGCCTAGGTGTGTAGTAGGCTATATGTACCACCTAGGTTTGTGTAGGTACACACTATGATGTTTGCATAAGGATAAAATCACCTAATGACACATCTCTCAGAATGTATTCCTGTCATTAAGTGATGCATGGATGAATTAAAATATTTTGGATTCTTTTTTTTTTTCAGTACTATGCCTTCGGAATCCAATATGTATTTTACAGCATATGTCTATTCCAAATAGGCATATTCTGGGCTGGGTGCTCAATAGCTACATGTGGTTAGTGGCTACCATATTAACCGGTGAAGTTCTATGCCCATCAAGGCTACACGTAATTTACAGGGTATAATAGTATTTTAAAAATTAATTTTTTTCTGGCTTTTATGTTGACATATCGTTTCCATTTTTTAAATTTTTGTTTTATTTTCTTTCACTGCTTTGGAAACGCACAACTTCTTGGAATGCAAATTAAAAGATATCAAATAATGATGTAGATAATTTGTTATTGCTAAATGTCTACCACTTGAAATATTCAAGTTTCAAATTTCAGCTAACTGCGATTGCAAGCTTCAGCTAGCTGGTCCCAGATGGATGGCCCAGCTAAATCAGACATTTGTACATACTGGCTACAAAGTGTCCCAAAAACAGACCAGGAGGGTCGTGGATTTAAAAAAATTTCCACCAAAGGATGCTGTCTTGTCCATTTTCCAATTTGGGTAAATTAATGGATACTGCATTTAAAAGTTTTTTTATTTCTCGTACATTGAAGCCCTGTACTGCACTCACCAACTCACCCGTTAAAGCGGCTCTGAAATACAGGCAGGACCAAGACTTAGATGGACTGGAGGTTGGGCCACAACTCCTTGAACACCTAGAGCAGAGGTCAGCAAACTTTCTATAACGGTCCAGATGGTAAATGTTTTAGGCTTTGCAGGCCAATAGGTCTCTGCCACGACTACTTAACACCGCTATTGTGGATCAAAAGCAGCCCTAATACGTAACTACACATAAACGAATGGGCATGGCTGTGTCCCGTGACAATTTACTTGGGGACACAAATTTGAATTTCATATAATATTCATGTCTCACCCATTTATTAATTATTTTCAGTTTCTTCAAATGTTAAAACAATTGTTAGTTCTCAAACTGTACAAAGACATATGGTGGCTGAATGTGACCCATAAGCCATAGTTTGCTGCCCTCTGCCCAAGTCTCCTGTTGAAATGGGGTTATGGCAACAATCCTCGCAGAATATAAAACTATTTTGGCACCTGACTTTTGCCCTGATTTTTTTATTGTTTCCAGAGAAATCAAGTATTTTTCTTTTTCAAATTTATATCCATATTCTCTTTTTTTCTTTGCTCTCTTCTCTTCTGGCCAGCAGGAAGAGACCAACCCATCTTTGAATTGTATTCACTTTCCTCATACCGTCACACAGCTAGTAAAGCTACAACTTCACATATGCCAATGCCAACTCTTCCCGATGTTGTGTTCAAAACCTTTCTAAGCATCACCATTCCCAGGAGTAGCAATTCTATATGATATTATTATTTTACTTGTTGGTAAGGTTAAAAGTTCCAGGGATACTGATTTTCTTCTTTGTTAGCCATGTTTCATTGAGTGGATAAGCAATATGCATTTGCTTCATAGTATAAATAACAATAATGCATCAAATTGCAACAATATGAATATTACACATAGAAAAGATAAATGTGAGTTATGTAGGTCATGCCATTTGATAGAAAATTTTTTTTATATTTATATGTTTAAACATGACAATAAAATGATTCCATTCAGATGAAGGCAAAGGAATAGGATTTCTTTTCAGTGTGGTGGTTTTCTATTTTTGTTTTGTTTTGTTTTGTTTTTTAGAGAATGAGTTTTGGAGAAAAACAAGCTTTCTAGACAGAAAATATTGAAATTAAAACCAGCAATTCATGGTCATATTATTGAAACTATCAAATTGGTATATATATTTGAACACTACTGATTATTTTCTAAAATGTTACGCTTTCAAAAAATCATGAAGATTGGCAAGTTTTTTAGATGCATAAGCAAATAGTGTAGTACGGCTTGTAACACTGTTCAAGATAACTTTTTTATAATGAGTATGGTCTTTCTCTGCCCTGTCTAATACAATGTGGGTTTTGAGCATTGGAAATGTGGTAAGTGCAACTAAGGAACTGATATTTAAATTGTATTTAAGTTTAATACATTTAAATTTAAAGTTACATTTTGATAAATTGCTTTGTTTTTCTTTTTTCTTTCTTTCTTTCTTCTTCTTTTTTTTTTTGTTTTGTTTTTTTTGAAACAACAATCTCACTATGTTGCCTCCCAGGCTGGTATCCAACTCCTGGGCTCAAGCAGTCCTCCTTCCTCGGCCTCCCAAAGTGCTAGGATTATAGGCAGGCACCACCATCCCCAGCTAAATTGTTTCTTAAATGAAACTTCTGAATTTGAGGATACGTGATTATGTGGTGTAGTTTTCCCTTTCTTTCCCCCCCTGAAATCCATATTCTGAAGTACAGTGATTTATATAAAAGTAAAAAGAAGGAGACTGTTTTTTTTTTTTAAATTCTATTAAGAAACCAAATTTTAACAGACACCTCAGGGCCTAAATAAATATCAAGTTATTGTTATTTGTTATGGTTCTTGTTGCTTGGGTAAAACTGTACAGATCATGACTTAGTTTTCCTTGAATTTTTATCAAACAAATGAACAAAATGAGCAAACAAAAATATTAAAAATGATATTTCCTACGAATCCAAGGGACATTTTTCTGTATCAGCCAGGCTGATGCTAAGGTCCTTCAAGCAAATAAGATCAAAGATTTCTGATTGGAGAGTGTGGGAATAAAGTAGCCCTTGTTTAGTGCTACTTTGTAGAGCCTTTGTTTAGAGTACGGCTGGGAGGGAGGGAGAGAGGGAGAAAAATACGGGGTTAATTTGTAACAACACATTCTGTGGTGTGCGTGTGTGTGTGTGTGTGTGTGTGTGTGTGTGTGTGAGAGAGAGAGAGAGAGAGAGAGAGAGACAGAGAGAGAGATTAAATTACATTTAACTTCTTTAAATTTTATTGTCCTCAGGGTTTAAACAGTATGTGACCAAAATCACATTATTTAGTGAAGAGTTTGTGGGTAGGTGGATAGTTAGATGGGTATAAATCCCTATAAAATCCATTTTAGAACTATTGAGGTTTGAGCAAATCAATGTCACCTATTCACTTCATTTGTCTAATGCCTCCAGGAGCCATTAAAGGGCTTGTTACCTAACTTTAGGGTAGGTTTAGATCAAGGTGAACAGTCAGAAAATATTATCCATGTACTCACGTATATTATTAAGTATTCTTTGACCATGGAGTTAGATGCTTATACTGCAAACAAATAAATTAATGAATAACAGTGCTGCTCATGAACACCAAAGTTTACTGAAAAGTCAATATGGTTTTAGTGTGGTAATAAGGGCAGAGTTCTCCAAGGACTGCCAACCTATTTATTGTACATCAAATTTTACTGACTTTGAAATCTTGCTAGAAATGTTCATTTACCTCGTAATGTATTATATGTTTGAGGTCTTGAGAAAAATAACAAAATCCATGTGTGGTAATGAAGTGGTTATGCAATAAAACTAACATACACTGTGATTTGACACAGGGGACTTCACTGTTATCAGATACTTAAAACTGGAAACAATGTAGGAAATATAGATGTATAAGCATCGTAAGTAAAATCCACATGCTTTAAAAAGGAAATCCACTTACTTTTAAAGTAATATTCCGAGAGCTATGCCACTGGGGGCTGAATGTCATAAAAATGATTTGTAATTAGTCACTTTTACATTGTATATGGATTTATAGTTTTAAAATATCTGGTGGCATATAACCACAATGTATTTTTCAGTCATATATTCATCATTATTTTATTAAATTTCCAGAGGGAAAGAAAATAAATGACCTCCTAGTGAGGGATATTTTACCACGAGACCAGTTGTAAAAATAATCGAGTTTTGTGCCTGGGAAGATATCTTTGCTAAGTCTAGTTCTCCAGTGACATTAATTTATTGTTGTTAAGAAATGTGTGAGGCAAAATGAACTCTCCAAATATTTCATACTACGTGCATTTTATCCAAAAGAAGATAATGGTTTACATGAATTATTTAATTGGTATTACTAATTTGGGGGAGGTGATTTTTGGTTGGGGGCAACAGAATATTTGCCTAAAATGCATTCAGAGTGCGCTGTTATTTAGCTATTTTCAAGGTAGAGGGATATTGGCATTGGAGACTTACACGTAGCCATACAATGGCCAACTTCAGTCAACTACAGAAGCAATACAGGGCAGCGGCTGGAACAAAATAGCTACTAGGTAAATATTGATTGAATTAATTACACGGATATTACCACTAGTCCTGCAATTAATTAATACCTAGCCCTGTCTCCAGCCCCAGAATCCATGACATCAAGCTAACTAACAGAAAACATATCAAGAATTTTATTCCTTAGTCCTCTTGACTGACCCTCAAGAGGGTCTACCCTCTTCTACTCTGTATTCCTCACATCAAATTTCACTAGTCCAGCCGCCAAGTAACACCTGTTCTGACTGTGCTAGTGAACTTGGATATTCACACATAGCCTAAAATGGGAAACAGAGTTGGAAATGTCATGTATAAGGACATAAGCGTTTTCAAAGTGTACAAGAACATAAGCGTTTTTAGGAGATTTACCTTCTCTTTTCTGTTTTATTAGCGAATGATTGATTGTTTTGTATGATTGTTCATTTAACAAATGCTATATCATGTAAGAAAAGTTACTAACGGTATATAAAGATGTAAAATTCAATTGTGGCTGTGTGTATGTGTGAGTATTCTAGCTTTTGGGGAGAGACAAGAGAAGAAAGAAGACATAAGTTGGAAGAGAACAGTAAAATAAAGAAAAAAGTAATAACTGACGGTGTCTAATGAAGTAGCCCAGGTAATTAATGCTAGAGTTTATTAGATAGAATCATTATTTCCTTCCAGAGGGATTAAGCAATCTTCTCTGAGGAGGTGGAACTTTTATTACCCAAAACATGAAGGATTGGGAAGAGTTTTATAT
This sequence comes from Homo sapiens, assembly GCF_000001405.40. NCBI lineage: Eukaryota > Metazoa > Chordata > Mammalia > Primates > Hominidae > Homo > Homo sapiens. The sequence goes on along the minus strand of NC_000023.11, from coordinate 31,887,562 downwards.
GTGTCGATAAGGAAAAGAGATATTTTATTGAGGGAAAAGAAGACATTTTAATGGCAGAGTACACAATGTCAGAGGAACAGACCAAAAGAAGTGCTTTGTTATTAGGAAGATTTGAAGAATGGAAGATAGCGTCAGATTGTTAAGAACCATTTTTTAGATAAAGGCAGGCTAAAGAAGTTGGAGGCTATTGGAAATCAGTCACACAATTTTAAGCAAGAGAATCAATGAGTGGCAGTTTTGAAAACTGAATTTGATAGTGGCAAGGAAAATAGGGCTCTATCATCCCACTTACTTTCAAAGTTATGAAGAAATTGTAGTAAGCTCCAGTCAGTACCTAAAGGAATTTATTTTGTGAAATTGTGTAAACAAAAAGCAAACCTTCTTTTGCACTCATATAGTATATTTTCTCAAAGTCATATAGCTAAAGGGAATGAGAGGTAAAATAGTACAGTGGTTAACAGGATAGGCTTCAAAGCCTAACTTCTTGGGTTCAAATCCTAGCTTGGTTACCATTTCACAGCTATCTGACCTTGTACAAGTCACATGCGTACACTGGGAACAATAATACTACCTGTATTATAGAGTTGTTATTAGATGTTGTTGATAGATATGTTGGGCACATTTTAGGCACTACATACATAAACCTCTTTCTATAGAAGTATACATGTGTACCTATATTTAAAATAATGATTTTCTTTTTTAAAAGAAGCACATATTCATTGCAGAAAATTTTTTTGAAATTTTAAAAGTAAAATCTCTGGTCTAAGTGCACTAAAATGTTTTAGACTTTAGATATGAACTACAAAAACCTACCTCATCGACACCCAACCCCACTCCCAGAGATATTTCATTTTATTTGCTTGCTATCAGTAATGAGAAGACCCAATTCACCACACAATTTCTGTTGTATGAGACTATTGTATTGCAGTGCAAGATAGTGTTTTAAATCTTTGTTAAATCAATAGGTGCAATATTACACCTCCCTGTTTGAATTTTCCTAGTGAAGTCAAACAATTTTAATAGGCCTATACATAGGTCAGTTATAGTTCTTTCCTAAATGGTCTATTCCTCATTATCCTTTTTAATTGAGTATTTGTCTTTTTTTCTACTGATTTGTGAGAATGTTTTTATCTTAAGAGTGTCAAAAAGATGAATTGTTTTTGCCTTTTTCTTTGGCTTGTTTGATTTTTTATGTAAAGAAATTTTATACTGCTATGAATGTAAGTCATTACTTTATGGCTTTTAAATTAAAATTATAAGAATAGCCTCCCATATTTTCATTACTTTTATAGTTCAATTTTTTTACATGTAACATTTCATTCATCTGGTATTTAGTTAGGAATTGTGTGAGATAGGATTTTAAAATTAAGTTAAAATTCAATCAAGTCTTTATTTTTTAAGTACAGAAGTTTCCGAATTCAGCATTTACATTAAATTTTTTGAAAATAATGCTAAAATATCATGTAAATTATTACTTATTGGAATTGAAAATTCCCTATTATTATTTTTAATCTTTATAACAACTTATGTTATCTATGCTTCTATTATAAAATAAATGACAAGCCAACCAAAATAGAGAAGATGCTTATCACAATTATATCATGATAATTTAAACATGATTTTGGATTAATCATAATCCAAAAATGCATTTGATAAGCATTCTAACTGTTCTTCTAGTCCCCATAAAATTAACAAATGGCAAACAGTAATGTTTTAATTTTCAAAATATTCATATTAATATTCATTTTCAAAATATGTTTACTTGCATGCATTTCATTTATATTATTTCTTATTGAAGTTGACTTCTCAATGTATATTGCTTTAATGATACTAAGTATTAAGGGTATAGATTGTACTCACACAAATAACTATTGAAAAGCATAAGTTTAAATAGATCCATTTATCAAATGATGTCTTTTTTTTTCTTTTTTTTTTTTTTTTTTTTTTTTTTGTGAGACGGAGTCTCGCTCTGTCGCCCAGGCAGGAGTGCAGTGGCGCGATCTCGGCTCACTGCAAACTCCACCTCCTAAGTTCACACCATTCTCCTGCCTCAGCCTCCAGAGTAGCTGGGACTACAGGTGCCCACCACCATGCCCGGCTAATTTTTTGTATTTTTAGTAGAGACGGGGTTTCACCGTGTTAGCCAGGATGGTCTCGATCTCCTGACCTTATGATCCGCCCGCCTCGGCCTCCCCAAAGTGCTGGGATTACAGGCGTGAGCCACCGCGCCCGGCCCAGATGATGTCAATTTTGAAAGATACTGGAAAGTATGTTTTGGGAGGGAAGAGGGAAGGAAAGAGTAGAATATGAAGTCAGTAAAACCTGGATATTTAGTGCCATCTTTGTTACTTACTAGTAACCTTATGAATATTATTTATATTGTTGATCCTTAATATCCTCACTTGATAATTTTAGAAAATGTTATGTACTTCATAGGATCATGGGTAGAATAAGAAAGTGAATATAAGTAAAATCCATCATGAAGTACCTGAAATATGTTGTAAACCTAAGTTATAATAGTAATTTTATTGTTGCTAATATTTCAGAGGAATAGCCACCAAACCAGTACTACTTATTATTTATTTCTATTTAACATATAAAACATATAATATTCTTTCTGAGTGGTAACTTTGAAAAGGGACAAAAATATTAAAAATTACATTAAAATCATGTATAATTTATAATACTCCTTTCAAGGTTACTAAAGTGTGCATGTATTTCTAATCATTCACAAATATGAAAATCTATGTGTAAATTTTTAAATTTTCTAAAAAATTGACAAATAAAAATTGTATTATTGTCATGGTGTACAATGTGATATTGTGAAATATCACATATTGTGAAATAAACATTGCGGAATGACTAAATCAAGCTATAGAACATATTCATTACCTTACATACTTATTATTTTTTGTGGTAAGAACACTTAAAATCTACTTTTAGTAATTTCCAAGTATACGTTATTGTTACTAACAGTAGTCACCCTGAGTTACAACAGATAACTAGGATTTATTCCTCCTGTCAAACTGAAATTGTGTATCTTTTCATCAATATCTCCCAAATCACCCCACCCCCAGGATCTAATAACCACCATTTTTCTCTGTTTCTCTGAGTTTGACATTTTTAGATTTCACATATAAGTGAAATCATACAGTATTTGCCTTTCTTTGCCTAGCTTATTTCACTTGACATCATGTCTTCCAGTTCAATCCGTGTTGTTGCAAATGACAGGATTTCTTTCTTTCCTAAGGCTGAATAGAGTTCCATTGTGTTTATATACCGCAATTTCTTTAACCGTTCATTTATTGATGGACATTTAGGTTGATTCCATATCTTGGCTATTGCAAATAGTGCCGCAGTAAACATGAGAGGGCAGATATCTCTTCAAAATACTGATTTCAGTTCTTTTGGATATATGCCCAGAGATAAGATTGCTAAATCATATGGTAGTTCTATTTTTAATGTTTTGTGGATCTTCCATACTGTTTTCCACAATAATTATACTAATTTACATTCCCATCAACATTGTACAAGGGTTCTCTTTTCTCCACATTCTGGCCAACACTTTTCTTTTGTCTTTTTGATAATAGTCATTCTAACAGGTATAAGATGATATCTTATTTTGGCTTTGATTTGCATTTCCCTGCTGATTAGTGAGGTTGATCATTTTTTTTTTTCATATGCTTGTTAGCCATTTGTATGTTTGCTTTAGAGAAATATCTATTCATGTCCTTTGCTGTGTGTCGATACTGATATGTAAAATATGCATACAAAATCAAAACCATAATTTATTTTTAATATATTTTTAATATGTCATTAATATTTTTCAGTGTAATAGGATGTTTTTCATAATATTTACTTTAATGGACGCAACATATTTCATTATGTAAAAGCAGTTTATTCTATTTGGGGAGATTTCGTTTCACTTTTTCGCCAGAGTGACATAATTGAACATTCTTGTCATAGGTCTCTGTGTTTATCTCTGATATTCCCCTAGGAAAATTCATAGAAGTAGCATTTTGGAGTTGAAGGGAATGAGTAATCTTAAGGCTTTTAAAGTAGTTTTATCAAATTTTCTAAACTGAAGTATAAAGACACATAGAAAAGTACACAAATCATAAGAATAGAAATTCAGGGATTTTTAAAAAAAACTTAGTGTATCCATGCTACTACCACCAAGTTCAAGAATTAGAACATTACCTCAGGAGCCCCTCTCATGTTCCCTCCCAGTTATGAGCCTCTCCCCTGCCACCACCCTCTCCCAAAGATAAGCACTCTTTTGACTTCTAACACCTAGATTAGTTTTGACTTTGAAATTACTATAAACAGAATCATCCAGTATATGCCCTTGTATTTGACATGTCCTGCTCAACATTATTTTTGTGATATTATTCTATGCTATTGCCTGTGCCATAGTTAGTTTAGTTTTTCTATGTATGGTATTCTATTGTGTGAATATGCCACAGTTTATCCATTCTGCTAATCAATGGACATTGGGCTGTGTCTATTATGGGGCTATTAGGAAAAATGCTGGTGTGATGTTCCTGTCCTTTGCTGCATATATGTATATATTTATTTTTAATATACGTGGAAGTACAATGGCTAGGTCATAAGATGTGTACATTTGGCTTTGGAATCACCAAAAAACAGTTTTTCAGTGTGGTCATTTCAGTTCATTTTCACCAGCAGTATATAAGACTTCTAGTTGATCCACATATTCATCAAGAGTATGTATTTTCAACCTTTATCCTTTTAACCATTTAGGTGAATGTGAAATGGTATTTCATTGTGTTTTAATTTGCAATCACCTGACGATTAGTGCCATTTTTATATCCTCTTATGTGAAGTCATTATGCAAATCTTTTGCCCATTAAAAATAATAGTTGTCTTTTTCTTACTGATGTAGAAGTTATTTGGATACAAGTCCTTTGTCAGATCTATGCATTGCGAATATCTTTTTCCAACCTAAACTTTGCTTTATTTTTTTCTCTTAACAATCTTTCCTGATAAATGGAGTTTGATTTATCAGTCTTTTCCTTTATGGCTAATGCTTTTTATGTCTTGTTTAAAAAATAATACATTAACCTAAAATTGTTGAGATTTTTTTCTATATTTTCTTTTGAAAACTTTATTTTTTTGCCTTTTACATTGAGGTCTGCAAACAATCTAGAATTTATGTTTTGTGTATGATGTGGAGAGTCAAGGTTCATGTTTTTCAAATGACTAATCAGTTAACTTGGTGCTATTTACTGAAAAGATCATCCTTTTCCAACTTAAGTGACACCATCGTATAAATTAGGAAACGCTATATAGATGATTTGTTCTCACTTCAATCCCACACAGGCTTAATTATAATAAATATTCATGTCTGGTGGCAAACATTCTTAAACTTCGTCGTTCTTCAAAGTTGCCTTGGATATTCTTAGCCCTTTGCACTTACATATAAATCTTAGGATTGGCATGTCAATTTCTACTAAGAAATGGTTGCTGCAATTTTGATTGAGATTGCATTGAATTTATAGATTATTTGAAGAGAGGGCAGATATCTTTACAGTATTGGACTTTCTAATTCATGAAGAAGGTAGTCCTCTATTTGTTTACATTTTCTTCACTGTCTCAGTAGTGTTTGTAGTTTCCAGGGTAGAAGCTTAACTTTTCGGTCTGAATTACCAAATTACTAGCAACATATATAGTCATGCATTTCTTAACAAATGAGATATGTTCTGAAAAATGTGTCATTAGGTGATTTTGTTGTTGTATAATCATAGAGTGTACTTACACAAAGATAGATGGTATAGCCTACTGCACATCCAGGCTATATGGTACAGCATATTGCTCCTAGGCTACAAACCTGTACTGCATGTGACTTTACTGAATACTGTAGTCAATTGTCACACAACAATATTTGTGTATCTAGACACAGAAAATGTACCGTAAAAATACAGTATACAAATGATAAAAAATAGTACAGCTGCATACGGTATTTACCATGAATGGAGCTTGCAGGACTCAAAGTTGCTCTGGGTGAGTCGGTGAGTGAGTGGTAGTGGTGAGCAAATGTGAAATCTAAGACATTATTGTACGGTACCATACAGTTTACAAACACTGTATAGTTAGGCTGCACTAAATTTATGAGGACACATTTTTATCTTTTTTTTTTTTTTTTGTATTTTTAGTAGAGATGGGGTTTCACCGTGTTAGCCAGGATGGTCCCGATCTCCTGACCTTGTGATCCACCCGCCTCGGCCTCCCAAAGTGCTGGGATTACAGGCGTGAGCCACCGCGCCTGGCCCATTTATTTTCATTAATGATAAGTTAACCTTAGCTTATAGTAACTTTTTTACTTTATAAACTTTTTTTTTAAGTTTTTGACTCTGTAATAACACTTAGCTTAAAACATGAACACGTTGAACACCCGTACAAAAATATTTTATATCCTTATTGTAGCAGCTTTCTTATTTTTAATATTTTTGCTGTTTAAGCTTTTCTGTTAAAAAGTAAAACACAAACACGCACATGAGCCTAGGCCTACATGGGTCAGGATCATCAATATCACTGTCTTCCACTTCCACATGCTGTCCCCCACTGGAAGGTCTTCATGGGCAATGAAACATTCATGAAACTATCATCTCATAGGATAACAATGCCTTCTTTTGAACTAATTAAGAATATAGTAAATACATAAACCAATAACAGTTGTTTATTATCATTATCAAGTATTGCATACTGTACATACTTGTCTGTGCTGTATTTTTATATAACTGGCAGTGCAGTAGGTTTGCTTACACCAGCATCACCACAAACGTGAGAGTAATTCATTGCACTGTGACATCACTAGGTAATAGGAATTTTTCAGCTCCATTGTAATCTCATAGGATCACAGTCAGTCTGTTGACTGAAATGTGGTGAATGACTGTATAATAGGGCTCCAAGGAAGATCATAAAATTGCTTGTTTTCCAGAACTTTGACAAAGACCTTTTACAGAAACTAATATAATAGATAAATAATAGTATAACATTGCTGTTTTCCTTTGCATTTCATTGATTACTAACTGTCTGGATTTTTTCTTGTTTATTGGCTGTTTACATTTTTGTCAATTTCTTTTTATGTTCTTTATCCAGTTTTCCAGTAGATTTTTCCTTTTTTTACTCATTAAAAGATTTTTTTATATGCTAAAATTATTACCCTGTGTCTGATATATGCTGCAAATATTCCCAGTTGTCATTTGTTTTAATTTTGATTAGTGGCTTTAATTTATAAGTGAATACGCATATTATATTCAATCTTTTTATATTCTTTTTTTGCTTCTAAAAGGCTTCCCCACGCCAATATTTTATTCCAGTTCTTCTTACTATTTTTATGCTTAACACTTTAATTTTTCTAAAATGTTTTGTGTTATGAAATCCATCTTAATATGTTTATTTCTAAAACAGACACTTTTGCTTATCTTAATATTAAAACATATACATTTGAAATTAACATTCAGAGATTGAAAGAATAAGGAAAGTAATCTTGTGTGAAATTAGGTCAAGATGTGCTTAGATACTAAATTAACACATAAGGGAATTGAATGTGTTTGTTTTCTTTCACCACAGGGAACATGTTATATGAAGAGCATGGTTTTATAATACATAAAAGGATTATTAGAAAAATGATGTATTTTACCGGTCAGGTGTTTGTGTCTATACTTTGATGTGAATGCAAAATAGTAAATATAAATGTAAATTAATTTAAAACACATAGAATCTGATACAAACCTTAATCTTTTTCCACGTTATACATTACTCACACCTGTTATATTTTTCCGTGAAGTATTTGGAATACTCTCGATTCCTGGAAACTGTTTTAAAGTGCAGAAGAGCACAAAAAAAATATGTGTTAAAAGTTCTTGATTTCCACCCAACCATTAAGTGATATTGCCAAAGAAAACTCTTCAGAGCATTTTTCACTGATGGCTTTAGATATGTTATACCAGAATAATAATGATTCATTATTAAAATATGCAAAGTGTAATTTCTCAACAACATTTTGTGGTAGGAAGATGAGCTGGTACAGTAGTTTTCCTTATTAAATAATTTTTTACAAAAGTAATTGACATGGTTTGGCTGTGTCCCCACCCAAATCTCACCTTGAATTATGGTAATCCCCACATGTCAAGGGTGGAGCCAGGTGCAGATAATTGAATCATGGAAGAGGATCCCCCATACTGTTCTCCTGATAATCAGTAAGTTTCACAAGATCTGATAGTTTTATAAATGTGAGTTCCCCTGAGCAAGCTCTCTTCCCTGCTGCCATGTAGAATGTGTTTTTGCTTCTCCTTTGCCTTCTGCCATGATTGTGAGGCCCCCCCCCGCCATGTAGAATGGTGAGTCCATTAAACCTCTTTCCTTTATAAATCACCCAGTCTCAGATATGTCTTTGTTAACAGTGTGAGAGCAGACTAATACAGTAATGCATTTACATTGTTCAAAATATAAAAGGTACAGTAAAAAATATCTCACCCTACCCATCATCTGCTCTACCCTCACTGCACATTAACCTTAATTCTAGAAACAAATCTACAAAATAAATTCCTGGGAATAAAATTTCCAGGTCAAAGTTTACATGCTTTTTATAGATATGGCCAAACTGCCTTCCACAAGAGGTACACAAATGTATACTTCCCACCAGCCACGTAGAAGAGTCTGCATTTTCCCACAGCCTTGGCAGCATAGTGTACCTGCAGACTTGAATTTTTGCCAGTGCAATAGATGAAGCTCTAATTTTCATTTCTCTCATTATTACCAAGGCTAAGCTTCTGTTCATGCTTTTAAAATCCTTTGTATTTTCTTTTCTGTGAACTGTCCTTATCTTTTGTCCAATTTTCTTTTGGGTTGTTGGCCTTTTTCTTATTACTTTGCAGAAGGTCTTTCATGTGTTAGGAAAATTAGTCCCTTAGACATGAGTCACAAGCATTTATTTTTCATAATTGTTCATTTGTTTTTGATTTTGCCTATGGCTCTTTTGGTCGTGCAGAAGCTTTTGATTTTTTATATAGTCCAGTTTACTGATATTTTTGTCTGTTAATTAAAGTTATTTAACTTGAGGATACAATTTACATTTTTTTGTGGTTGACTACTATAGACATATACTGCTTCTTACATTGAAAAAATAATAATCCTGAATTTGGAAATTGTTTTTAACAAACTTTTGGTGAAGGTCCATCATATTTAGGAACAGAGCTTGTTTGACCCAGAAATCAAAGGTCAGTGAGAAGGAGCAATGTAAATAGAAAGTTAAATAGCATGAGGTAAATGTTATGATGGTGGGAAAGACAAGATCTGAGAGGATAAACCTAAAGCAACATCATAATTAAGCTGAAAATTTCGTCTCATGATAAGCTATCATTTCATTATTCCAGATATTAGTCAAATCTGACCCATTACACTGTTTTCTGTCAGGAATTGTTTTACCTCTATTACAAGGAAGGGATAGTATGGGAGGATGATAAGGAAACCAGCAGTCTTAGTTAAATGTTATACAGATTTCTGTGCTTATATATGAAGCCTAAATGAAACGTGAACAATTTCATGATCAGATAAAAAGGAGTTCATCGCTCAGTTTTAGAGATTTTAGGAAAATATGATGGCTATTATCTCAGTAGCTTCAGAGTCTAGAGGCATTTAGATGTTGTTAGTTGAAGCTGTAAAACGCTTTTTACATCTACTTGTGAGTAGAAAATGATCCAATAAAAATAAAATGTTTAGTTACCTCCTTTAAAATGCTTGAAAAATAAGTTGAGGACATCATTAGATCATGTATTACAGACGTAGGAGTATATTTGTAACATCACCTACATCACACATACCTGTGTGCGCGCGTGCGTGCACACACACACACACACACACACACACAAGAGTTCAGCACCACAGGTGTAGTTATGGATGTGAACTCACAAAACACAAATCAAGCAAAGAGAACAATATCTCAATTCATGATTCATGGACATTCTGTGCTATCTGAAACACAATGCTTCTTTTGCCCAACTCTCACCCACACAGGGAAAGGCTGCCAGGAATGAGAGGCAAGAAGTGTGCAGGTCACCTTCAACAGGAGCCACCACCTGTATTTCCCATCAGTCTTTTACACCATTGTAGTCACGTGGATCCAAGGACTGTATTCCAACTGACAGCTCCTGCGATGAGGTGCAGTTCCACACGACAAAGCCAGGCCCAACATTTCCCATTCATCTTAAAGTTAGTGTTTCCAAGGAAACAGTGCTGTGGGAGCCTAGGGTCAGTCCCAGACTGACCTGCAACAGCCCAGGCTGGATGTTAATCCTTTGCTTATACAGTCTCATGAATTTTTCACAACATATATACATGCATTTACAAGACGTTTCACTGTACATATTGTTTACGTATACAATCTTGTTTAAAATTCATTTTTCTGTACATTAATTGATTTTTTTCTCGACAACTTTCTCTTTTTCATCTCCTAACTCTTGCATCCAATTAAACAATGTACTGTTCATTAGTGACTTATTTTAAAAGTATCTAAAACAATTGTTCCAAAGCATGTGACATTGTTTATGTGACACACTGGTATATTATCTAGTTTATTTTTAAAATCTTCTCTATTATTATTCATAATATATTATTATGGAACAGATGTATATTATAAAATTTTATTCATATTGCAGTGTAATATTTTGTATTACAGTGGTATTGTTAATAGTCTCGTAAAGAGCTATCATTACAAGTTTAAATTCTTTATTCTGGGATGCCAGTTTTAACTCTTGATATTCTGAAGAAAATAGCTTTACTCTTGTTTATTCTGGCTCTGTTTTTTTGTTTTGTTTTGTTTTGTTTTTTGTTTTTTTTGTTTTTTTTTTGTAGAGATGGGAGTGTTGCTATGTTGTCCAGGCTGGCCTCGAACTCCTGGGCTCAAGCAATCCTCCTGCCTCAGCCTCCCAAAGTGCTGGGATTACAGGCAAGAGCTACAGTGCTCAGCCTATCCTGGCTCTTTATTTACATGTAAGCTTGAGCAATAATCACTGCTACTTAATAACTTTATTGTCATTCATTATCATGCAGAGTATTGCTCTAAGGTATGTTCAGGGATGACGTTACTGAGTCCTAACAGTAATCCTATGAAGCAGGTGCTATCATTGTCCCCAATCTACAGAGGAGGCATTGAGAGTTAGAGAAAACTTGGCTAAAATGTTAGGCAAGAACTAGAACCAGAATTGAAATCCAAGTGGCCTAACTCTAGACCTCACAATGCTTAATACCATGTCATGCTGCTTCCTAACCTATTTAATGTTTTTTTCAACCCCAACGTCATCACCCATGTGTGATAGTGGGATCATAATAATATCTATGTCGTAGCATTGTTGGATGGATTAAGGAAGTCTACAAATGTGAAACTTCCAAGGATGATGGTTGGCATATACTGATCTCTTAATAAAAATAACCTATAATCATTCTGTTACAGTCTACTCTAATCCAAATGTTCTTTTTACTTCTCATCTCAACCACCTGCTTCTGTTTACTAGGACTCACAAACTATAGCTCACAAAAACGCATAACTTACCAATTTTCCTTGTACATGAAGGGACTTCCTTTTACAATCTTCCATGACATAAAAGAAAGCTAGAAGCAAGTATAGTAGAAGAAATGATTGCTATACAAACAAAATTATAGTTGGTTTGGTTTTAATTTTAGGATGCGCATTGAATAAAAATCACTCATTTGGGATTTAGAAGACCTGTGTTATATATCTGGTGCTAATGCTGAATAACTTGGCTTATTCATTTTTATAACTGCAAAGGAAGCGCGTATGGCATATAATACACAACACACCAGTATATTTAGTAACTGAGTGAATAAATGAAAGATGTATTTCTTTACTTTATCAGTTGCAGTTGGCTATGCCTTTGTGTAAGGTGTGTGTTTTGAAATTCCAAAAAGGTATTAGTTTCTTTAAAGCAAAGAATTTTTGTAGCAGGTTAATGAATAATTTTGAATACATTGGTTAAATCCCAACATGTAATATATGTAAATAATCAATATTATGCTGCTAAAATAACACAAATCAGTAAGATTCTGTAATATTTCATGATAAATAACTTTTGAAAATATATTTTTAAACATTTTGGCTTATGCCTTGAGAATTATTTACCTTTTTAAAATGTATTTTCCTTTCAGGTTTCCAGAGCTTTACCTGAGAAACAAGGAGAAATTGAAGCTCAAATAAAAGACCTTGGGCAGCTTGAAAAAAAGCTTGAAGACCTTGAAGAGCAGTTAAATCATCTGCTGCTGTGGTTATCTCCTATTAGGAATCAGTTGGAAATTTATAACCAACCAAACCAAGAAGGACCATTTGACGTTAAGGTAGGGAACTTTTTGCTTTAAATATTTTTGTCTTTTTTAAGAAAAATGGCAATATCACTGAATTTTCTCATTTGGTATCATTATTAAAGACAAAATATTACTTGTTAAAGTGTGGTAAGGAAGACTTTATTCAGGATAACCACAATAGGCACAGGGACCACTGCAATGGAGTATTACAGGAGGTTGGATAGAGAGAGATTGGGCTCAACTCTAAATACAGCACAGTGGAAGTAGGAATTTATAGCCAAGGAGCAGTGTAGGAGTCAGTAGATGGAAAATTATTAAGAGGAAACATCAGGGGTAAGTGGGATTCTGGCTAAACCAACCTCACAGGATTCTTGCTGAAGATAGGCCAGGGTTATCTTATCAGACAACCCTTGGGGAATGGTGGAGAATACTGAGGGTGATCAGGTACCAAGGATAAAGGGTTCTTGTAAAACTGACAGGCTTCTTTGCTGAACCTGGATTTTACAGGGGAGTGCAAAGATGAGCCCAGGCGAAGGTTCAGAAGCCTGACTAAAGTTTAGTCAAGCAGGGAATCTTTGTCATCATCATCATTGTTGTCATAATGATAATAATTATTATTATTTTACTAGAATATGTTGCTTTTTCCTCAGCATTTACTAGAAATAAGGTCTTCATTAAACTTATGTTACTAGAATGCCTGCATCATATTTGTTACTGTGATTCATTTTCTATCCCTGTTTTAATTGTGCTTAATACATATTCATAGATTCCTTATCCAAAATTGAAGTTGTTTATGAGATTAGGTTCCTAAAATATAATGTCTGGGCTCTTTTGTAGACATTGTAAAGCCCTCTCAGACTGACTACACTTTACCTTTCTATCTTCTCATTCTGCCAGCAATCTCCCCGTATAGTCTGGCCACATCAAATTACCTGGTACCTTTCCATCCATGTAATTTCATGTCATACCTGTGATCTTGGTTTTCTCTCTTCTTTAAATGACTTCTTTCAGTTTATTTTGATATAATGAATTTTCTTCCATTCTTTAAGAATGAATTCAAAGTCATTGCGTCTTCCAAGTTTTCTTCCGTACCCCAAGTAGAGTTAGAATCCCTGTTAGGATTTCTTATAAACCTTTTTATTCATCTCCCATTGTTCATATGTTGATTTACACTTAAATTTTATACACCTGAGTATTTCATTACACATCTGCACTGTTCTTTGAGTGCAGAGGGCATTCTCTTATTTATCTCTGCTTCTCCACTCATATCATACACACTCAGCCTAGGATCCAGTAAATGATGCTTACTTGTGAGTGTTTTTAAGTCAATGAATAAAGACAGTACCAAGACACCCAGAATACGAATGAGATACTGCAGGTAAGCGTAAGGCTTCAGACAATCCTGCCAATTGAACACCACTATCTCCTTCTTCTAGTGTCCTTGTAAATGCTGATTGATCTTCTTTTCTCCCTTTCAAGGAATCTATTCCAAAGATTCTTTCAATATGCTGCCCCGTTTTGCGTCTCCTTATTTGCCAAAATCTTTAAGTAGCCAATCAAATAAACCGAATCGTTGAAATTACAATCTATTAATGAATGTATTGTTGGGCAACTTCAGAGTAAAAAGGATAAGTAACATTTTTGAGTAGTTTTTTCTTTTATTTAATTGACTTTAATTGTTAAATTTATTTACTGTCCAGTATTGTAAAAACCTAACATTTTAATCTCCATTTAGCTGTTGTTTTGCTGGAACTGAGAGCAAAGGGAAAAGGAAGTTTGAGAATATTCTAGTGAAGAGGAAGTAAAAGTTTCGGGAAGATGGGCATGAGTAACAAGGAGATAGAGGGAAGTTTGCTACAACTAAAATGAGTTAGATTAGCAAAATGTTCTCGACTATGTTTACCTTACTTCCTCCTGACACTTATGTCTACCATTCTGATAGCTACTCCTCAAGAGCAGATGGCACTGTGGAAGTCACAAGTAGACATCATTTCACTAGCACAAAACTCAGCCTGCTCAGCCAGTGGCACAGTCTTGGGTTCAGTCTGATGATTAAATTTACGAGACATAATAGGCTTTACCCAGTAACAAATTTAGTTAGCTTTAAGAAATTATACAGGATGGGTAACAACAGCCTGCACATTAAAGGCACAGTGGAAGTCTTGATACCAAGACGTGGCTTCTGATGTCCCATCACCCTGAATTTTAGTCATACATGATCACAAGGGGCAAGACTGGGTGCGTACAAAACACATCATCGTCTCAGGGAAGCCATCAGTTCTAGGATCCTGACCATTTCTCCACTTAGCTAGTACATATTGTACTCAGAGGTGTTTGACTAGCTCCTATTCACCAGTACAATTACATCTCATGAATACTGATTTTTCACTGCTCAATAAACAACCCCAACAAGAAAGTACAGTTACTTGGCCCAATACACAATAACCTTAGCCAAATTCTCAATTATCTTATATCCAGTATATTCTTAAAAAGTAACTGGCGTAATATTGCGAAGAGGAAAGGTCATAAAGTCTTTCCTCCCAACCAGAAATAGCTTTTTGTAGCTCACGGTAAAAGCACATTCTACTCTTTTAAATGCAATCTTTGGTTAAAATGTGCCTCTTTATTATAATAGTTTAAAAAATACTCAATGCTAGCTATCTCTCTTCCTGGAACACATTTAAGAAAAGATTTTTTTTTGAATCCCTTGGTACAAATAGATCCTGTTTACTCAATCAAAATGACTTTTGTCCCAGTCTGTGCCCCCCGGAATGGTTTTCAAATAATGAAAACCTGCATTGTGTCTTCGATTGTCTATGGCCCATAGGGCTCTGCCAAATGGGTCCCTGCAGTTTGAAGTGAAAGCCATACTCGGCTGTGTTAATCACTTTTCTTTATCAAAGCTACAAGTCACCACTCACTGCTGTGTGTAGTTTCTGAGAGTCATGATATTTGCCTCCTGCAGCTTGTTTTAAATCACTGAGGGGAGAGGGAGCTGCTTTTTTCCTGGCAGAAAACTCCTTGGCTTCAGTCCTCTGAGCACATTCCGAGTTTCTTATCTCTGGAGTGCAGACTTCAAAAATACTCTTTTAGCCTTTTTCTTCTGCTTGTGGCTGTGTTCAAGGTGGGGGGAGGGGAAACATAAAATCATAGATTTGATGACTTGAGAGTTTCTCCCAAAAATTCTCAAACCCCCAGCTTATAATTAGGAAATGGTGACCTGTGTGAATAATAATTTACCTTGTTTTTTATCCCTCTTTGTCTAGCTTCCATTCCTTTCACTAATAAATGATTTATTAAGATTGCACAGTTTTTCTGATTTAAGATATAGGATATTAGTCCTTACAGCCTGCTGTATTCCTCTGCTTAAAGGAATTAAACTATTTTTCCATTAAAGAAAGATGGGACACTAGACTTTGCTTTACTTAGTTTCAAACTACTGAACACCAAAAATAAAATTTTTAAGGAGTTTTGAGCACATGCCCTTTTTTTTAACACAAGGTAAAAAAAAAAAAACACCTTTACTAAAATCTTAAGAAAGAGTTAATGCAAAGGAAGTAGATATACGAACAGCCACGCCCCTAGCTCCAAATCCTAAATGTAAAGAAACTTGCCTTGTCTGGCCATGGTGGCCATAGCTGCCTCGGAAACAAAGGGTCTGAGGCCTTGCCATTCGGGTAGTTTGTTTTCTCTAGTCAAACTCTGAGCACACCTGTTAGAAAAATATGTAATACCCTCTCTCTGTGAGCCTCAGTTTTGTCTGCTTGGTACTTCACTCTTATTGATGAAATGCAGCTAGCTGTGTAGTGAAACCCAGATAAAAAAAAGCTTTAAGGGCTGTGTTCTAATACATTGTTTATGCTGGAGTGAAAATTGACTGCACATTGCTTGGTTTGTGCAATTTACTCCCGAAATATTCCTATTCAGGAAATCCTGCAAATAGCAATATTCATCTTGAAAATCACCTCACAGAACCCTTAGCAAGCTGAGAAACATAATCAATGAGATCGTGATGTAGAGGGTGAAAATTAGGCGTAATCACAGCCCTTTCCCATCAGTCAGCCCACTAGAAGGCATGCCTTTGAATTTTGATTTTCAAATATACTCTCAATTTAGACATAAAATATGTTGATTTCAGATTTCAGAAATGATAATTGAATGCTAAGATCCCGGGACCAGTTTAGAATTTCTATAAAGGGTCTTATGTTTTTAACCTTTAATGAATGCTTTCAATAATGAGCTAGAGGTATACTATTTATCTGACATAAGACTGACTACTGCTTTCCAAACTTTTTATTAAAATATGAGGTGTGGCGGGACACATAATTTTATGTTAAGGCTTAGTGACTGAAATACTTTCATCTTAATCACAGGGAGGGGGTTTTTTCCTCCCCTCAAGAATCACTTTCCTTCTGTGGTTTATAAATAAACATGACATGTGGCTCTGCTGGCTCTTCCTTGCAGTATAAGGAGCATAATTGCCCATAATGTCAAATCCACACTAAAAACTACCAAAGGACTCAATTGTAGTGACTGACCATTAAAGTCACTGAACACTGTGTGTGTTCACATTGCTGTGAGTGTTGTCAAAGAAAAATAGCACTAGACAACAGACAAGAAAGACTGTGTTCAAAACTTTTGCAATAGAGGAGACAGATTGAACTCAATTCTGCTGAAATAAAAGGCAGGAGAGCCTCTAAGTGCTGAGATGAGTTAGTGAGAAAGTACTAGATATCAGGAGGGAGGTTAGTCAATGTGCTTATTTAGGCCATCTGTGTTTGCTGATTGGCACTTATCAAAGTTAGATTCCTATCCTCCCAACAGAAGACTAGCAGATTGGGGCACTATCTTTTTTGATGATTCTATATCAAAGTGCTAGCTCCCAAGTCCTTGAGAAAGTTTATTCCTGAGGTATAAAAGTGGCAAGAGGCTAGGAGAATATTTTTGTCTCAAAAAAGTAGAGAAATAATATATAAAGTTTTCTAGAGTAAATGCTCTAAGAAAAGGAAGGTCAGGTCTAAAGTCAGGAAGAAATCTGTCTCAAATGTAGTCAAACTCAGGGTATTTTTAAAGCTTTCTTTGTCAACCCTCCATTTTGTTCAAGGGAAACCAGTTTTCCCATTGAAAAACTTAGGAACGCCAGTTCATCTAGTTCATTTCAGCAGGTTTCTGTTGTTGAAGGACTAGCTGAACGAACTCTGACACTTGGTAGTAATCAGACATTTCATGAAGGAGATTTCCATGAAAGTTAGAAGGAAGACGAAGATTAATGGTTGAAGCAGACTGCAAACTCAGTTTTTGAGTCCAGAGGGCAGCAAGTCAAAAAGATTCCTAGAAGCTGGGCTGTAGGCATTCTCAGATGGTAGAGTGAGGATGGCAGTAGCAATCCGATGGATTTCTTGGAGCATGGCACGGAAGAGGTTGGAGTTTACTGAACTTTTTGCATGGCCTACAAAGCAGCAGCTCCAGGCATGAAAGTTGTCTATACATAATTTGCTGTGGTGGTGAGTCCTTTGTAGTTTATAGCAAGTCATCCAGCTTCTGCTTGCAGGGCTTCTTTAGATATTGTGGGGAAATGGCAGCTATAAGACAACCTAGAGAAGAGAGTCCTTATCTCAGTAATAATATGGGCAGTCACGTTTTAGTTCTCAGTGTCACCAAGTCAGGATGGTGGGAGAAAAATTTGAAATGTTAATTTGGAGAATCGCAGCCAGATTGTAAAGGAAATAAACTGAAAATTGGTAAGGACGGACAAAATGTGTAAGACAGCAGGATCCAGATCAATTTACAGGTAGGTAAAAAAAAAAAAAAAAAAATCATGTCGTTTACAAAGAAATGCAAAATAGATCAAAGACAATGAACAGGACTAGAATCTGATAACCCCAAGGGTTACTGAAACTCTATCTCTACCATCACCCTTTTGATCAGTGTTAATCAAAGTAAGACTTTCCTTGTTTATAAAATAAGACTGGCCTATTTATTTATATAGGGGTAGCAAAAATGGTAATTTACCAAATAGGCTATTTTAAGTGTGATTAGCTGGAAGTTTTCATGAAGAATCACAAGCTGAATAAGTTTCAGAGATATACTGTACAGCATAGTGCCTATAGTTAACGATACTGTACTGTACAATTAGAAATTTGCTGAGGGCAGAGTTTAAGTGTTCTTACCACAAAATACTACTACTCTCTTTTAGGAGCAGTGGTACATAAGGTGAGAGGAAACTTTTGGAGGTAACGCATAGGTTTATGGCATAGATTGTGGTATTGGTTTTGTATATATACTTTATCTCCAAACTCATCAAGTTCTATGCATTAAATATGTACAGCTTTCTGTTTGTCAATCATACCTCAATAAAGTAGTTTAAAAAATATGAAACCTCAGATTTGATTTTTTAAAAGTCTCCAAAGTTTAGGAAGGCAAGTCAAGAACTTGACATCAGATTTTACCTGAAGTAAAATACCTATAGATTCAGCTGAAGTGTTCTGTTTTCCAGGTTCCTAAAATACCCTTGGTTTCCTGGGTCTCCTAAGAATAGACCTTCCTTACTCAGTTGTAAGATTGGGAATTCTGTAAGCCAGGTACCGGGACAGTTTTCCCAAAAGGGGCTTATATTAGCTCCATATAGTCAAGAGTAGCTCCTTAAAACTGGTCACATCTGACTCTATGCACTTAATTCTCAAATATGACATTCCAGTCAAAGCCTTGGTTATATATTTTTTTCAATTATGTCTTGTTACCTAAATATATTTATTGAGCCTATGCAAATAATTATATTGCCATGAAAATAAGAATACTCGGTAAGAATTTCTGAATTTTACAGGGATCAGGCAGGGATAAAAAGATTAATGTTTCATTCTGTTTACAAAAGCATACTCTAAATTCTCATGAGTTATAGATAACTTAAGAGAAAAAGGAAAGGCGTTTCTTGTATTTAGCAAACAGAACATTAAAACATGAGGAATATTTTAAACAAAAGCCATAATCAAATCTTTTATCAGTTCATTCAGGCCCATGTAGTTAATTCTTGTCTTGCTTGATCTTGAGTTAGTAGTTTCATGAACTCATCAGCTTCTTCACAGAGTTTCATAAATCCTGACTTTGTCCAATGGTATAATCTCGAAGTTATTTAAGCAATGGCATCAGAAGTCTGTGTCCCAGAGTACCTGTCGTAGTACTTCCTATGGGTCTCAAAGATGGTCCTGTTTTACTGAAGATGATGCATTCTGACCTCTAACTGATTGTAAGAGCACTCAGGGAAGCATCAGCATAAACCAAAAACTATCTGTGAACGACAAAAGACTTAAAATGGCCATAATTAAAGATCTGATTCATTCGACAAGAAATTTTTTTTTTCCCTGGTGCCATGCCACATTTTAAAATAACAACTGGAGTTAGGACTGATGACATAATATTATTATCGGATAAAGTAGCACCAGGATGTGTCATGGACACCTAGAGCACCTAGAGCACTAACAAAGTTCTAAGGATTTATTATAATTTTTCAAGTATTTATACTAATAATAGTTGACCCATACAACTATAACCTAGTCAAGGTTCAGCATCTCTTCTTGTCAAAGCTTTTTATGCAACTCAACATACCAAATGAACCTAGTTATTTTTAACATCCTTCATTTTACAAGGGTGCAGGAACAAATCCTTTGAAATTTTTCAAACCAATCTGAGATTAAAAAAAATTTTATTTAAGAATTGACCTGGGAAAAGCAAAATATCAAAGGTTGTAAAATGACAAAAGGTTTGAATACTTGGCTGAATAGGATCATTGCTCACTATGAAAGAATGCATGGCTACCTATGTAACCAAGATGACAATAAAAGATTTCAAAAATAAATGTAGAAGGCCACATGACGGTAAAAGTTTTTAGTTCTTTCCAAAGAGAAAACACTACTTTCTAAAAAAATTCAAGGACATACAAAATCAACACAGGTACTTATTCTGATAAGAAACAATATTTGTTTCCTATACAGATTACCCAAAATATAAAAAAAAAAACAAATTTTGCAATCTCTTATTAAGAGAAGACCAATAGAAAAGATGAAAATGTTAATTAGTTTGACCGAAATAATTGTTTTGCAATTTTGTGTGTGCGTATATATATATATATATATCAAAATATGTTGCATACTTAAGTATATTCAATTTTATTTCAAAAGAGCAGACCAATAATCCAAGAATATTTTATCATTTTTTAACAAAAAGAAACTACAACTCATTTTTGATCAATACACTGTTGATACTAAGGGTCATTTGTAAGAGTTTACATACACATAAATCCATTCCGTTTTAGCCAGCATTGGCTATTAACATAAGACTCTCCTTCCACAAATCTTCTGCCATTTCCAATGTTCATTCAGATTTTGTCCTATACCTTCCTCTTCCTCATTTTCACAGTCATTTTAATTTAGGACAAAGTTATTCTCTTTTTCCTTAACAAAAACACATCCAACATACCTTGTATATTTTGCATACAAAGTTGTTTCCCTTTACCCCTAATGTTTCTGGAAGTTTTATTTACATATATTGATTATATTTTTAACCATTAGTAAGTCTTATTTTATAGAGAAAACTAGGAATTAGCTAAGTGTGAACTGTTTGTCATATACCAGTATTTCATAGCCAACTAGCAAAGCTTATGAATACAAGTTAAATTCACCTACTCAATATGAGGGCTAAAAGTTTACATCAATATTTGTGGAGGAGCCTTTTAAGATTTTCTTTTGCCCTGATATGTAATTTATGGAGGCTGTGTTCTAAAATTTGAGTAAATGACTGAGGAGATACCTAGTGGCCATCTGGGTATCTCCAAATCCCATCTGAACGTACACGGTATCCAGTCTGTTTCCAATTAGCTTTTTCAACCTCAGGTGGTTGCTTCTGGGGTTTGAGTTTTCCAGAGCCCCCAGTAGTGGCAGGGAGCATAACGCTTTAGAGACCATAGAGAGTTGAGAGACTGGAGTAGGAAGAGAAAGGTCTGTCATGGATGGACAAAGAGATGGAGCAGGTACGGGTTTGAAGAGGAATATGCTGAAGGATTTAAGGGAGCTAAAGGGAAGATCAAAAGTAGTCAAAGGAAGAAGGAGGAATGGTGGTGATGGGAAGGGAGAGGTCTTAGATGAGCCAGCTTAGGGAGTGCTTATGTTTTCGGAAGAGGCCATTGAAGTTCATCTTTAGTAAAAATCAAACTAACAAGAAGAGAAGCCTAGTTTGTGCCATAGAGGTGAAGCATCTAATCAGCAGTAGTCTTCAGAGGAGGAGAAACAGAATAGTGAGAATGTCTCCTGGAGGAAAGAGGCACCGAAGGAACAGCAACAACAAAAAAAGGAAACATGAATGAGGTCTCTACAAACGTGATCTGTACAGAAAATGATTTCTCTAAATACTGAAAATCTGAAGTTGAACCAAATGAGATTTCAATAAGAATTTTCCATGTTCTAAACCAATGATGCTTTTCAAACAAAGAAGCCTGGGACTCTAGACTCAAGAATATACTCAGATTACTGAGAATCAAAATCTGATGTTACCATGCTTCCACGCTTTCGTGGGTAAGGAGTCAGACTTACCAATGGATTCCCAATTAATCAGTCAGGAGTGTACTCAACATTCACAAAATTAGCTTTGCAGAGGTTAATGTCATTAAATTCACTTTAGAATGGATAATTCAAATTCAAATAGTAACTCCCTTAGATAGATGTGTACTAGCTCAAGTTCACCTGTTATCTGATTTCATTTTTAAAAAAAATTTTTTAAAAGTGGTGTTCGGGAGGTAAGGAACAAGGAAGAGACCTTTAGAAAAAAGTTTCAGTGTTTTATATTGGATATGAAAATATCAGTGGAATGTGTCCTGAAAAACACTGGATGACAGTTACTGGACAAAAAGACAAATTATTCCCTTTTACCATGCAACTGAACACAGATTTATTGAATGTTTTTCTCCTGAGTTTAGGTTGCCTCTGGGCAAGAGTATAATTCTGGCTTGATAACACCTTGAAGCGTGTTTGTTTAAGTTTGTGGATAGTTTCATCTATTAGTGGAATTAGGCATCTGCTTCTCTTTATGAACACTGGGTACCATAATCTTCCTCTTACTTTTTGTTTTTTCTACTCAACTCCAAAAACCATTGCTGAGTTGAAGTAGAATAATAAGGGGAAAGAAACAAAAGACTAAGTTTGAATCCCAGTGCTGACACTTACTGGCTTTACGATATTGTTTAACTCACTTACCCTTTTTAACCTGACCTTCTTCTTCACTAAAAATGAAAAATTGAGTGAATTTCCCTGGGACTCTGTTAGATAAGGCAAAACTAAGATGGGAACACATTTCCTAAGGCGTAGAAAAAGACAGTGAATGGGACCTTTCTTGTTGTATCAGGAGTTATGGTAAGAGGTACTAACAATAAAAATTAGGCTTTCAGCCAGGCATGGTAGCTCACGTCTGTAACCCTAGGACTTTGGGAGGCCAAAGCAGGTGGATTGCCTGAGCTTGGGAGTTTGAGATCAGCCTGGGCAATATAGCAAAACCCCATCTCTACTAAAAATAGAAAAAATTAGCCAGGCATGGTGGCACGCACCTGTAGTCCCAGCTACCTGGGAGGCTGAGGCATGAGAATTGCTTGAACCCAGGAGGCGGAGGTTGCAGTGAGCCAAGATCACACCACTGCACTCCGGCATGGGGAATAGAGCAAGACTTCTTTAAAAAAAAAAAAAAAAAAAAAAAAGGCCTTCAAAATACCCCTACAGCAGCAAGTTGGTACCAGAAAAACACTCCAAAAAAGGGAGTAGATGGTCATGAGATTTTCATCGTTCACCAACCTAACTTGCCCATATAAGGAAAAGGATAAACTTGAGAACAGTTTCTTGAATGAGAATTCCTGGAACAGATCATTCAAATAGGACTAACAATTTGTTGGACATGAGAAAACTTCTATGACTTTTACTGTTCCCTTTCTTATGAGGGAGGGGAGAAGAGTGCTTTTCCTCTTTGCCAAGCCAAGGAAGAGGGCTTCAAAGAACCTCTATTATAGTGGCATTCAGACCATTGTATTTATAAAAAATAAAAATATTTTAGAAAATTGAATATCTGCTTGCACATTTTAAAGATGACATCTATTTTCTGCCCTTGGGATACAGTAAATATTGACATTTTAAAAGGGTTTATAGTACAGTTTAGAATGTATCCCGTGGAATCCAAATACCATTGCAATATAATGTCTACCATCATATACTTAAAAATACATGAAAAAGCTCATATTTAATAAATAGAAGTTTTATATTATTCCTTTTTATTTAAATCATATTTTTCAACTTCCCCAATGAATTGTATTCTAATGTGATAAATATGTGATACATATTTATGCTATAAAGTTTTATTAGCCACTCTATCATAATTCTTTATAAAATTATATTTATGTGGACTTAAATTCAATTTTTAAAAACAATTTCCTGTGACTACAAGGCTCTAAGTATTTTTAAAATTCTCTAGATTGAGTAGTATTTAAAGTATTAATAATAAATACACTTAGTAATAACCAAATAACCTAAATATATGTACCTTTTGATAAATAATTATTAAACATACTCAGTGGATAGTTATTGAAAATGAATCTATTATGAGATGGATGGGTATTTGATGGTACCTTGAGTAAAGAAGGATTTCAGTCGCTAATATTTTGAATTGTACTTTTATTTGGCATAAATGTATCTTGACTACAATGCACCAGTGGGATAGGTCAGAGAGGTGTGCTTTTATTTTGTAAAGCGGAAGAAAGTCTGTCATTAACCAAAAAGTGGGCAAGAAAATTGGAATGAAGTGCCTACCACAGGAACAAATCCAGTCAAATCTTTTTTTTGTTTGTTTGTTTGAGACGGAGTCTTGCTCAGTCGCCCAGGCTGGAGTGCAGTGGCGTGATCTCAGCTCACTGCAAGCTCCGCCTCCTGGGTTCACGCCATTCTCCTGCGTCATCCTCCCGAGCAGCTGGGACTACAGGCGCCCGCCACCACGCCCGGCTAATTTTGTGTATTTTTAGTAGAGGCGGGGTTTCACCATGTTAGCCAGGATGGTCTCGATCTCCTGACCTCATGATCTGCCCGCCTCGGCCTCCCAGAGTGCTGGGATTACAGGCGTGAGCCACCTCACCCGGCCGCAACATGCTGTTTTAATGAGCGCCTGGGTGCGGGCAGCCTCAGGCCTAAAATGGCGTTAGCCCCAAGTGAGGACTGGACAAAGGTTTTATAGTCTCCTGTAAACAGGAAGTCTCCTGGCCTGACGTAACTGCTGCATTGTACCCGGATGGCCTCTTTCTCGATCTTCAGAGGTACTTGTCTTCTGGCCGGCTCTCTTCCTGCTTCTGCTATTTCGCCGGTGCATGCTGCTCAGGCAAGTAGCCTTGTGCCTTAGGAATGGGCCTGAGAAAGGAGGAGTTACTCATCTCCTTAAGCTTTCAGGCCCGGGAGAGAATCTTACAACCCACTGATGAGTTATGAAATCCATTTAATGGGTAAAATAAAATAGAATAAGATAGCATAGGGTACCAAAGAATATAACGCAGGTTATTACATTGTGTTACGTGTGGTATGCTTAAGTGTTGTTTTCTGGAACTGTTGTTATCATTTGTATTGTACTTCATTTTTGTTTCGAATTTTAAGATAATCTGCACAGTTTTATAGAAAATGAGTTAATTAGTACTGTATCAGTGATGTCATACTGGGTTAATTATTACAAAGTTGGGGGTAAATTTATCCCTGTATAACAGACTTTAAAGATAATATAAATAGGCCAGGCGCAATGGCTCACACCTGTACTCCCAGCACTTTGGGAGGCTGAGGCAGGTGGATCACGAGGTCAGGAGTTCCAGACCAGCCTGGCCAAGGTGATGAAACCCCGTCTCCACTAAAAATACAAAAATTAGCTGGGCATGGTGGTGAGTGCCTCTAATCCCAGCTACTCGGGAGGCTGAGGCAGGAGAATCCCTTGAACCTGGAGGCGGAGGTTGCAGTGAGCCGAGATTGCACCACTGCACTCTAGCCTGGGTGACAGAGCAAGACTCCATCTTTAATAATAATAATAATAATTTTGTTTATTTATTGAATAGATACTTTCTTCCAGTACAAAATTCAAAAGCATTGAAATCCTCTGTTGCATTGTTGTCTTTCAGCCACACAGTTTCTCTCCCCATGTGCTGCCAAGGTTTTCAGTTTCCTGGGTAGCCTTCCAAGAATAGGATGTAGGTGTGTGTGTGTGTGTGTGTGTGTGTGTGTATATTATTTTCTACTCTTGTCCTCTTAAAATAAAGCCAGCTGTTAGAATACTATAAATACTGTTTCTGCATCCTTCAAAAGATGGTTCTTTTGAAGCCCTTTTCCTTGGCTTGGCGAGGGCAGAAGGAAAAGCACTCTTCTTCCTCCTTCATAAGAAAGGAAAGACTAAAATGCCTGTGTGTGTGTGTGTGTGTGTGTGTGTGTGTGTGTATAGCACTCTTCTCCCTCCCTTATAAGAAAGGGAAGAGTAAAATGCTGTGTGTGTGTGTGTATATATATACACACACACACACACACACACACACACAGGTGATTATTTTCTGTATTAGTAGTTAAAGAACTGTCTCTTTTTTTTTTTTTTTACAGTTGCATACTATTCTGTTCTAAGGATATACCATAATTCACTTAAGCAGCACTCCAATTAGTGAGCCTTTAGTTTGTTTCGACTTTTGGCTAAGATAAGAAAATGTATAACTTTGTGCACATCATTTTACACGTTGCAAATATATCTATGTGATAAATTCCTAGCCGTCGAATGGCTGCGTCAAACTGGCATTTGTCTTGTTAGTACATTTTGCCAAATTGCTCTTCATAGAACATCTCGTCAGTATTAGGAAAGGTTTCTTTTCCCCATACCCGTGCCCACTCAGTGTGTTATCAACCTTTTTGATCTTCTAAACAAGAAAAATGGTGATATCTGTCATTTTAATTTGAATTCTTTATTCATTTTGTGAGTGAATTTGAATTTTTTCATGTGTTGCAGAATCATTTTTATTTCCTTTTCTATGCACTGTTTGCTACTTTTTTGTTTTTTGCCAATGTTCTCTTTTGGGTTATTGGTCTCTTTCTTACTAAGGCAAATATAGTTTACAACTTGAAGTAAAAACATGGTTTTCTATGATAAAGGTTTTAATGAATGTTTTCTACAACAGACAGATTCTAGTCTTAAGGTTATAACCTGAAAACATCAAAACTAACCTTTGAATTGCATAGGAATGGTCTTTGCTCTTCTTAGCCATCAATCCTGGACAGAAGTTCAACATGATGACAAATTGTAGCACAAGTAGAGATTTAAAAAATTTTTAACTAATATGTAAATATTTGCTTTCATTTTCTTATTTATCTAACAATACATTGATGGCTAGAACAGGGTTTGTCTTTGCAAAGAGCCTGTGTCAACTGACTCCCATTCTTTCAAAATACATTACCTAAAGAAGGTTTGTGGCTTCTCTTTGCATTGCATTTTCTAGCCAAATCTGAAATAACTATCTGGAAGCTTAACATTTTATTCCCACACTTATTTTTCCTTGTGAAAATCAAAACTGCACTTTCCCAGTCTTCATGAGTAACCACAATGGTTTGCCATTTGACTTGCCAGTTGTATTAGCATACTGAGATGTAATTTATCTGCATCAAGAGAGTTAATTCTGAGCAGCTGGGGGCTTTCTAATCTCTTTACCCATCTTGGACACCAGTTCCCTCTCACTGCTATTTGTTTTATTCTTTGCAGTTAGAATACCATTCCTCTTGACATACAAGAAACAAACCCAATAGAAATTAAAAGGTTCCAATTTCTATTTTCCATTCACCAATATTATACCATTTTCTCCTAAAGCAGTTCTACTCTCTCCTAGATCATTCTCTTGCTTTTGAAATAAACCTTAAAAAGTCATTTTGTCACCCTAAATATGTTTATACTTTCTTGAAATAATGCTTTTACTGCATATTAGAATTTTAGTTTTTACTTAGCAGTCCTTCACTACTCCTTTAGAAGGAAATTTAGATAATACTTTGAAGGAAGTTATGAGAGAACGTCAGAAGCCATGCTATCAGTTTTTTTTTTTTATGTACTCTAAAGAAAACTCTGCTCTGCCCATGGGTGTCATCTCTTTCTGATTCTGTGTGGAGGAGAAAAATGGGAACACTTCCAATCATTTTCAAACAATTTCTGCTTAAGTGGATGAATGGACCACCTGGTTTACTAACTATAATGCCCAGGGGATGGCTTTGATTGGCAGACAGAACGCGGTGCAGAAACAATGGAAGTTAAATGAGGAAGGTTTTAAACTTGCAAGTTACCTCCCTTGGTGGCATTGACTGTTGGTAGAAAATAACACGTTGGGATTTCAGATACATTCAGACATGCTCTGCACTTGCAATTTGCAATACTTAAAACAACACAATTCTTCTAATCATAACTTTTTAAAAAATTTGGCCACCTTTCTCCATTGTCTCATAAAGCTATATTCATGAAGCTGTTTATTCACAAAGTCGTATCATTTAAAGATAAGTGTTATATCCATAAGTATGTAAATGAATTAAAATCTGGGAGGCTAACACTTATCCATTCCTTATTCTACTATATCCTATCTAGAGCCATGCTTCTTAAAATTTAATGTGAAACTGTTATTTCTGGTCTGTGGAACCACAGTTTGAAAAGCACTGTCATAGATTCTTAAGTAGATACATTTTCATGCATACAATAAATATGCAGGAGAAGTTAAATGGGTATGTCCGGGAGTCAAATATTGATTCTCAGAATGAAAACTTCTTCATTTATTTCTCAGTGATCTTCATAACCCTTTCCCATACTGGGCAGTGAGAAAAAATTATCATCTCACTCTGAAATAGTGATTTCACCAGTCTCTTTTTATGGGTTGGGACCTCATGGATAATGACCAGTCTTTTAGATTTCCTTGCTCTCCTCCTGCTCCTCTCCAAAATGGCAGCTGGGTTGACAGATGAGGAAGCATTATACATGACCTGAGATCTCTATGCAGGTACTTGCAGTCTCCTCTGACCCTCTGCTCTCTGGAACAGTGCCTCTTGTCTGCCTGATAAGTCTCTACCCTGCTGACCTTGTGGCTCTGAGCTTGTATTTTCATCAGGAAATACGGTTCTCTGCTGACTATATCAGTTACTAAAGGGATTCTTAAATCTCTGAGTTACTGCTGAAGAACACTTAGAATTCTAAATTTGTAATTATGATACCTCTAAAAACAAGCGTGATTATCCATTATGTATAAGGATGCCTTCCAAAAAGTTGGAGCAACTTGAAGCCACTTGTTACATTGTCATTTAGTGGAGGAGGGAGTGAACTTGGTGTTTACAGGTAGAACTCTCTATCAGGTGCTGTGAGGAAAAACAAAAGCAAGATAAACTGTGGCCATAATCTTTGTTACTTTATTTCCCAATGGGGAGAAAAAGACAAATATATATATTTGTCAAAACTGAACAGATGTTATTTGAACATTATACTGTATATGCCATTATAACTATAATGTATATAATACATATATATAAATTATTGAACACTAAAAAGAACACTTTAAGAATTATCTATTTTATTTTTTTTATTATACTTTAAGTTTTAGCATTAGGAGAAGTATCTATTTTAAATAAAGCTATTTCACTCTTCAGTTTCCATCTCAAGAACTCATACCAATTTAAACTTCCACTCATATTTGAGAGTTGAGAAAAATTACCAAATGATAATAATATATTATCTAAAAAATAATTTAAAGATGCATGTCTCTAACAAAACTATGTAACATTCTGAAGGGTTTTAAGTAATACTTCATATATCCTAATTCAGAATAAACTTAGATGTTATCAGTATGAAAATATATCATAAAGTAACATGATTCTCTCCAATGAAGATGTAATCATCCAAACTTTATGCGTTGAATTTACGGCTTAGAAATGCCATAGCAATATGTCCTCTTGAATATACAATTCTATATACTGAGATTTCACTTAGTATATTAAGTTCTGTATCACTGAAGAGTATATTATGATTCTAATTAACAAATACAATTCTATTTTATATAAGTACCCCTATCATCTACTAGGCAAAGTTAGCTGATGTTACTATGCATTTTTTTGTCAGCTGTACTCAACTTATAATAACTTTGTATTCCAAATACTTCAAAATTGCCATATGCTTACTGTTTTCCTATTCACATCATTTTCCCCCCTATTCTTCCTGACCCTCCTTTGAGCAATAGTGTCAGTGGGATTAGACTCATGCATTCACATACTGAATGAATGAATCAGTATGTGATTCATGATATAGAAAATTTAAATTCCTTATATATTTCATATATCATATATATGATATATGTATCTGTGCATATAGGGGATATTAAACACTTCTCTGTATATATCTGACATATATTTTGAAAAGGAAACACCGTAGGGCCAAGTTAACTGCTTCAATTATTACTTAGTGTAAATGCATTCAGTTTGTTCTGTAATTTCAAAATGATACATATAAAAAAGTAGAGTTTGCATGTTTAATACATCTGAAGCTACAGTTTCCAAATTCTGAACACTTTGGTGACCCCCTTGACACAATGAATATTTGGCAGTTACCGAACATAACAGGGCACAAATAATATAGTTAATGAAAACATCCATAATTATTTAAATTAGGCTATTTTAAGAAAAGTTTTAATTTGAACATTAAACAGCTTAAAATCATTTATAATAATTGATTATGTAACATGCTGGTCATTAAAATGAGATTGGTATTCTCTTTTTTTTTTTTTTTTTTTTTTTTTTTTTCCGAGGTGGAGTCTTGCTCCATCACCCAGGCTGGAGTGCAGTGCTGCGATCTCAGCTCACTGCAGCCTCCGCCTCCTGGGTTCAAGGGATTCTCCTGCCTCAGACTGCCAAGTAGCTAGGATTACTGGTGCCCACCACCACACCCGGCTAATTTTTGTATTTTTAGTAGAGACAGGGTTTCACCATGTTGACCAGGCTGGTCTCAAACTCCTGACCTCAAGTGATCCGTCAGCCTCAGCATCCGAAAGTGCTGGGATTACAGGCGTGAGCCACCATGCCTGGCCAAGATTGGTATTCTTGACATTAATAATTTTGGTAAGCATTAAGAAGGCAAAACATGGAAGCACTCACAATAATGTATAGGATCCAAGTAAAATTCTCCTTACTGAAACATGAAACTACAAAGCCATGTGCGCATACTTTTAATTTTTAAGATTTGTTTGAAGGAACTTTTGTGAATGACAAGTAGAGAAAGTGTGGATAGATAGCATCTCTGTCTTTAAAATTATTTGATGAAATAGGTGATAAGAAACACAAAAATTAATAATTCATGTGACCTTTATTACAATACGTCTTCTGGTATTAGCATAGTAATAAGTATTAGTGATTTACATAATTGGAGAGATAACACAAATACAAATTATGCACACACACATACATACATACACGTTCCTGTGCTTCACTCAAAACTGAACAGATGTTATTTGGACATTGTACTGTGTATGCCATTGTAACTAAAGTCCAATTTGTTAGAGATAGTATTGTTATTTTATTATCTTTAGTATCTTCAATGAGTCCATTATGAATAGTAGCATTAACTTTGCTTATGACTAGCTTAAATAGAACTTTGGACTCCATAAAAATACGAACAAAGATTTTTAATGGCTTTAGAATACAGAAGTAATCTGGTAAAAGTATTCTTGATTTTAATAGAAACCAAACAATCAATGTGCCCGTTAGATTAACAGTGAATAATCAGATTGTTCCAGCTCTTCACTAATGAACAATGCTGAAACAACATTCTCTGTAGGTCTCCTCAGATAGACATATGAGAACACCTAGAAGTGGAATTGTTACCTCATTAGAGTATTCACATTTTTAATTTTATCATATATTGCAAATTGCTTTTCCACCAGCAGCAAGAAGTGGCAGGAATTTATTATTTTAATTTGCATATCCCTGGTTGAACAAGTTTTCAAGTTTGTTGGACAGATTTTTCCTTCTGTGAGTTGACTCTTCATATATTTACCCCAATTTTCCGTTGGATTGTTTACTTTCTCTTACCGATTAATATGAGTTGTCTGTATATTCTAGATTCTAGTAGAGTTCTGGATTATATGCACCTAATATATAAGTCTACAATTCCTTATCCAAAATCTTATCGTTGACTTTTCAGGAGACTAGTGAAAATGGCTACTTAGTGGAACATATGGAAATCATGAGTTATAAGTGTATAAAGGCTAAGTGCAACAGTCTAAAGACCTGGTATCACAGATGAAGACTGACATATTGAGTAAACCAGGAATTGGCTTTATTACATAATGTGTCCTTTTTCTTGATTTCAGAAACCCATATATTTGCTGTTTCCTGTACATGTTTAGGAAGAGTATTCAGAAGAGAGAATGCAGATATATTGTTGCTGTTTTTTTTTAAAAAAATACGAGTTTAATTCAATTACCCATTTGATTGCTTGAGTTTATTAGTTATGGTAGCACTTAGAAAGAGTTGTTTTAGATAATGACTATGATTTTGGTACAGAACCTAATAGTAAAAACAAAACATCTTTAATTTTATTTAAAGTGCATGTCAGTCATGAAGTCAGAATTGAATTGCTCTTTTCTTTGCTTTTAATGAAAATTAGCCTAATGGCTGTTTTATCTTTAAAAAGCAACTTCTAGTGTTTAATAATAACAGATTTAAGTAAATATTCTGTTAAGACTTAAAGAACCATGTCCAATTACTATATGGATAATAACTTAGAGATGCTCTATATTGGTTTAAAATAATGCAAATATCACTGGCCACTATTCAGAGATATGTCAAAATCACTTTTGTTTAATATGTGCCTTTCTAGTCCTTAGATCTACTGTATTCCCTAATCCTTTTGGGGTATATAATCCAGAGATATTAGGACCCATTCAGCCAGAAACTGAAACATGCCATGATGGTTAGAATTCATCAGAACCACACTCAAATGAATGTTAAGAGACATAGCGTGATAAAAGTGCATCTGAAAGAGTATATGAACAGATGACATTACATACAATGTTGTATATAAGAGAAAGGAAGGAAAGACATTCATATCATGTCATATTAATTCATGTACACTGAAAATACAGACCGTGAACAGACATTCTTTCATTTGTTCCTTCATGTATTCAATAATAGAATGCTTCTCTACCACAGATGATTCCAGGGGAATTTGGCAATTGCTGGAGATATTTGTGGTTGTCACACATGGGGGAGGAGAAAGTGCTACTGGCATCTTGTGCATAGTGACCAGGCATGCTGCAAAACACCCTGCAGTACACAGGGTAGCTCCCGACAAGAAATAATTATCCAGTCCCAAATGGCAATAGGGCTGAAGCTGAGAAACCCTGATTGAAACTCACATTACATCCTAATCGAAACTACTTTGTTCCGTTCTGAGCCGTAGGATTCATCAAATAAAACCTACTTTTTATTGGTACAATATTTAAATCCAGAGACCCTGTAGCATAGTAATTATGTATGCAGGATTTGCCTCAGAAAGACTAGGGTTCAAATCTCAGATTCACCATATGTTAGGTTGTGCCCTAGGCAAGTTTCTGACCTTTCGTGACTCTAGTTTTTTAATCTGAAAAAATGGTAATAGTATTGCTGAGAGGCTCTGCAATGGAGATTGAGATTAATTAAGATGATTTATGTTAAGTGCATAGCAGAGTGTTTGCACTTAGTCAGTTTCCAACAAATGGTAGCAGTATTACCTTTACATGTACTAAATCATTTCATCCTGACCTACTATGAAAAGCCTGATCACTTTCCATATTTTACTGTTTTTAAGATACCATTGATTAGAGTATGCATTGTTATTTTATTTTTCACCAAGAAAAATGTGCTGCCGTTTTAGACTATGACACGCTATCATTTATAAAACGTGTCCCAATTTCAGAGCAGCTAACCTGTTGAAATAAAATGTGAGTCTTATAATTGATTATTGTAAAACACAACAGTAAGTCTTCTTTGATTAGGTGCAACTGAACAATACTATGACCACATTCAGTAGCAAAGGCACTTAGAAGGATATAGGAATATAGCTTAGCAGGAAGGTAGCATCGGGTATCTCTCTTTAGTAGGATGAGTATGCGTAGCAATCTCTGAAGCACCCAGGG
This sequence comes from Homo sapiens, assembly GCF_000001405.40. Lineage (NCBI taxonomy): Eukaryota > Metazoa > Chordata > Mammalia > Primates > Hominidae > Homo > Homo sapiens. The sequence goes on along the minus strand of NC_000023.11, from coordinate 31,854,009 downwards.
AGCCATCCAAGAGCTATTCACTTTGCAGCACCTGTCCACTCTCTCATGACATCTCAGGTGCACAGGAAGGAAACAAATCGAGATGCTGGGTCAACCCTGGCCTAGAAGCCTTATGCATCCCAGAGGCCAATGCCTTGTAACATAGTTTCCAAGGTCCTCAAAAAGGACATGCTTAGTTACAAGAATTGTTGTACTTGGGGACGCCCCACAATTATGGTTTTCCATTAGGTATTTATAGTTCATATGTAGAACACCTAACCAAGGTGTAATTTACCAGTCCCCATCATTTTTTTTTTTAATCTGAAGCAATGTTGCCTGCTCACACATTTGACATTCCAACTTTATCAGTTTTCTAGGGAGAAGGGAGCTAGAAAGTTGATCAAAGTACAAATTCTCATACAGATGGACAAAGGGTGTTTTTAACCCTTTACTCACAGTAATATCTGTTAGTTTCATTTATTTTATATTTAAAGATACTGAAACCTGAAACTTAGAGCAGTTAAATGACTTGCCCCAACTCATGGGCTAATAAGCCTAGAACCCAGATGTTCTTATTTCTAGACTGATTATTTCCAACAACACTGTAATATCCTAAAGCAAGAGTCAGCAAACTATGGTCCAAGGGCCACATTTAGTCCTCCACCTATTTTCAGAAATAAAGAGTTATTGGAACACAGCCACATTTATTTGTTCATGTATTAGACCTGACTACTTTCATGCCACATTGGCAGAATTTGAGTTTGGCCCACAAAGTCTAAAATATTTACTATATGGTGTTTTATAGAAAATGTTTGCTAACCTCTGCTCTAAAGTATAATTACAAATTGGCCAGGTGCAGTGGCTCACACCTGTAATCCCAGCACTTTGAGAGGCCGAAATGGGTGGATCACTTGAGGCCAGGAGTTCGAGACGAGCCTGGCCAACATGGCAAAACCCCGTCTGTACTAAAAACACAAAAATTAGCCAGGCTTGGTGGTGCATGCCTGTAATCTCAGCTACTCTGGAGGCTGAGGCACAAGAACCGCTTGAGCTGGGGAGGCAGAGGTTGCAGTGAGCCGAGATCATGCCACTGCACTCCAGCCTGGGCGACAGAGCGAGACTGTGTCAAAATAGTAAATAAATAAACAAATAAATTCTAATTATAAATTGTTTAACTCTTTCTATGAGTCTATATAAGGAGTTTATAGAAAAGCATTTGTTTCTAATGTTTGATTATTAAAAATACCCCTGTATTTTTTATTTTATTTTAATTGACAAATAATAAGTACATATATTTATGAGGTACAATGTGATGTTTTGATATATGTTTACATTGTGGAATAATTATGCATACTTGAAGGATTTTAGAGCCACAGAGCCTGAACCTAACCGTTTCTCTACATCAGTGTTGGCCAACTTTTTTCTTTAAAAGGCCAAATAGAAAAATTTCAGTCAGTTTTTGAGGCTTCATGGGCCATTTGGTCTCTGTTGGAAATAGTCAATTCATGCTAGGATTGGAACCTAGATAACCAGACTCAAGAGCCCATACTCTTCACCAGTAAGGACTTAGGAAGGCAGCAAGACCTGGGAGTACCAGTTTAAATGAATGTTCTTCTAAGCAGTGTCCTGTGCTGCTATTAAACCAGACCAGAGCTTTGGCCCTTAGTTAAGAACTGTATGTATAAAGTTTTCCAAAATAATGGCTTCAGGTTTTCACAAAGTCCTTCCATCCAAACAATGCAGATTGTACCCCCTTAAGAATCTGTTCTTAACTGCCATCTGTTCTCTGCATTCTTAAAGTCTAATCTTAATACAGCAGCCAGAATGATCTGTTTAAAAATAAGTCAGATCACATCACTCCTCTGCTGAAAACTCTCCTATGCTTCCTAATCTCACTCAGGATAACAGCCAAGATCCTTCCAAAGATGCAGGACCTATCCTCCTCCATCCCCAACTCTATGACTATCATTCCTACTACTCTCCCCTTGCTCACTAGATTCCACTCACCCTGGTGTCCTTTTTTTTTTAATTGAACATACACATACACTCCTGCCCCAGGGCCTTTGCACTTGCTGTCTCTGCACAGATTGTTCTTTCCTGAGATAGCTACTTGAATCGTTCCCTCACTTCCTTCAGATCTTTATTTAAATACCACCTACTCAGTGAGGCTTTCCCTGCAGGCACTTTCTAAACTCTCCACATGCCACCTCCCTTTGCCCCATACCTAAGTCTCTTATTCCTATCCAGTGCTTTACATTTTGTTCTTTAGCACTTTTCACTCTCCAAAGCACCTTAATTTCTCTTTTACTACACATTATCACCATTAGAATGTAAGTTTTATGAGGACACAAAAAGTTTGTCTGTTTTATTCGCTGTTACATATCTAGTACCTCAAACAATGTTTAGCAGACAATAAGTAATCTGTCAATATTTATGGAATGACTCAAGTGATTTTTTGGAAGAGTTTTGGTAATATTTCATTTGCCAAAAGAATTCTGCCAAAAAGACTTTGAAACCCCCACTTTAAGGTGGAGAGCTTCCATAGAGGCTTCTGGATGTTACTTGATGGTCACACCTATGCCCACTCTTTCACTGGCCTTGAACATTTCAAGTATGCAGCTTAGTAGATTATATCTTCACAGTTTCACAACACTTTCCAGTTTAAAAATCAATGCTGCATTATGCTTTGTATATTTGGACAGATTATTTTTGAAATCCATAAATCTCTAAGTTTTTTTTTTTTAAGTCTCCCTTTGGTGAGCTGCCCTTGATTAGTTCAAAATGGGAAGAGAGAACCTGTCATTCTTTGTCAATCAGGTTGGCACGTACTTGACAGCATGCAGTTATAGTGAAAGAGAGCTGTGTTGCAGTGGTCTAGCAAACCTAATTGTAGTTAAGTAAAAGAACAGTCACCCAACATGAGAGGAAAGACAAAGAAACTCAACTGAACAATGTTGTGTTTTTCCATCCATCAGCCTTCATTTGTCAGAGTCTGACTGACAATCTGGACTGCAGAAATCAGGCTCTAACACAATATTGATTCCATTTCATATTTTGTTTCTTGCTACACTTTTTAGCAAACAGTTTCTGTATGGAATGAGAGATAGTGCAGTCAATATATGCGACCAGGGCACATTTATATTAAAGGCTTACTTTGGTTTTTTTGTCCCAGAAATCACATATTGTTTGTTTGTTTTACTATAATATTGTAATTGTCAGCTCTTGCTGCAGTAACAAACAATGACAAAATTCCAGTGACATATAACAACAAACATTTATTACTCACTCATGTGTCTGCAGATCAGCTGCAGCTTTACTCCACACTATGAATCAAGTTAAGGTCTTTTCATTCTAGAATATGGATCTGCTCTAAATGTCTTCTCATCCCAGGACCCTAGCGGAAAGAGCAGCTTTTATATGGCATATTATTCTCTCATGATGGAAGATAAGAACAAGGGGAACCAGCAAATCTTGAACTGCCTTTAAAGTTCCAGCTAAGAGCTGCCACACAGTCCCTTCTGTCTGTCCATGGTCTATTGGTCAAAGGTACACAGTCAAGCCCAAAGTCAATGGGAAGGGAAGTATATTCACTGCAGGGCAGCCATATTAAGAGAGGAAATGAATAATAATGAACTGACAAATCAACCATAGTATCCACAAATGTCTTAGGATTTCATTGATTCCCAAATGCATTTTTTAGTATTTCAACACCTCTGAACTTGAGATATATCGTACAATAGATAATGTTTACAAAGTGTAGGTTTTTTTGTTTTTTGGCTTTCTTAGTTTACATAACAATAGTGGCCCTTATCATCAATGATAGATTAGATAGAAAAACTGTTAATTGTGGGGTTGACAAAATAGCCAAATGGTAGAAGGCACTCCTTATAAGTAAGTAAGTTATGAGTGGGAGCTAAGTGATGAGAACACATGGACACATACAGGGGAACAACACACAATGGGGCCTATCAGAGGGTGGAGGTTGGGCGGAGGGAGAGAACCAGAAAAAATAACTAATGGGTACTAGGCTTAATATCTGGGTGACAACATAATCTGTACAACAGGCCCTCATGACACAAGTTTACCTATGTAACAAACTTGCACGTGTACTTAAAATAAAAGTTAAAAAAAATTAAGTGAATGGACACTTAATGTTTACAAAAAAGTTGTCATTTTTATCTTGAATTTCTTTTTTCTGTAGCAATATTTATATCTCATTCAGATCAGCTTATTTGATTAGAAAACCAAGCATTAATAGTAGATCTTATGTCTATTTATTCACATATTCATATACCTTCATTTATAAATATATATTCATATATATTTAGAAGATCAATTGGAAAACATAAGTGCCATTCCCTTATTTAAAACTCTTGTAGCTTCTCCACTACAGTTCTGAGGGTGGTATACAAGATCCTTCTTTTCTCTGGCTTTTGCTTTCTATTTCTACTCCATTACTTCCCATTCCCCTACGTGATAGCTCCGTACTTCTTCTGCTTCCTGTCTTTGCATGTTCCATGTTCCCTCTTGGAATACATTCTCTCTGCCGTCCATCCCCTTATAATGAGGTGCATGAGCTGTTTCTGCTCCCAGCCTTTCTGTCCTGACCTTCTTGTCTATCAAACACAAAAGTGATCAGTTCCTGCTCTGTGCTCCATTATACATTGCACTTTACTAGTTGTTATACCTGACCTGCTCTAAATGTAGTATATATTTGTGTGTCTGCACTCCCCATTCCTACCCCAGTGAAACATAGTAAGCACTGAATAAATGTTTGTCGAATGAGCAAATAAATAAATAAATAAATAAATAAATGTTTGAACATACATGGAAAGGTTGTTTATGTCCTCCTTATAATGTGCTTTGAGATATATATTCTTAATATATATATAATCATATATTCTAAGGTTATTAGTAGGTAAAATGAAAATTTAAAGAAATTGAGTACAAGAAAGGAAAACAAGGAAGAATTTTTTCCTTTTTGTACTATTTCTAAGAACACCAAATTTCTAGTTAAACACACGCACACACAATCGGCATGATGTAGAATTAGAAATATGTTGAATAAATCAATTATTAGAAAATGTAAATATATATTAATTTGCCTCTGACTTGCTACTTTTACCCTCAAGGGTTTTTTTTTTCTACCTCTTTTCATCACTAATCTTTGCTTCACTGCTTGTCAGATCAGCAACTGCCCATTATTAGTAATGCCATTTAATAAGAGATAAATAAAAGTAAAGGTGCTTAGAGTTACTCCATTTCAAAAACCTATCAGGGCTGGATTTCAGAAGAGACCATGAAATTCTCCTACTGTTATTGAACCATTACTCCCTATTACCTAATTAATACAAGTTATTTTCTTAAAATTATACCTGACATTGTAGTGAACTATCAATACTATGAAGAAAATCAAACTCTCCTCGTATCATAAGGATCTTAACACCTGGTACACAATCTTGCATTGGAGGGGACATTAAGAATAAGGCATGGAGGAAAAAAAAACCTTAATGGAAATGTTCTGTTATTAGAAATGAGACTTTTTGGTGGAAATCCCATGACGACTTTCTTGTCTGAATGTTCTTTGAAGTTGAACACTTTCTCCTTACACAAGCCGGCCACTATAATTAGCTATGTTTCCATTTTAGTGGTGGCCTTCTTCACCTTATCTGAAATCATATAAAGATGTGAGGCCATTTGCGAGATAAAAGGTTTGCTCAAACCAGTTCTCTGACCTGGATATCAGAGGTTTGGCAATCATAAACCCACTAAGAGAAACCCTCAGAGCTATTACAAGGCTATGTAAAACTTTATTTCATTTTTTGTGAGAAGGGACAGGATTTTCTCTCATTTATATTCTGGAAGAATATTGTAGAATGTATTTGAGTTCAAGAGGAGGAGAAATAATTAACATAATATTAAGAAACGTCAATTTTGGAAAGAAATAATAAGCATATATGCACATGTGCGTGTATGCACACACACACACAGTATACACAACAGATTCAGAAAGAAGGAAATAGAGATTTGGTGACACATACTTCCTGGATATAATCTCAACTCTGCCATTTGCAAGCCACATGGTCTTGGATAATTGACCTAATCTCTCTCAATTGCAGCATCTGTGAAATTAGATAAAACTTTCTTTGTAGGAGTGTATGTGTGTATGAAAAGCACAGTGTTTGACATATAATAAATGTTTTAGCAACTGTAGCTTGTTAATATTATCACAGCAGTTAATATCACTATAGCAGTTAGTTGCCATTTTCAGCACAGCTAATAATTTTAGTAGCATTTTCTGATCTTTCCATCTCATGTGGTTTCTTTGGAGTTGTTTCTTGCTTTGTTTTTTAGCTTTTCTATGTCACATTTTATTTGCATGGAGAAATAACAAATTTTACAATTTATTTCACATATTCTTTAATTTTTAGGATAATTGTCAGTTTCTTACAGTTTATTTTCCTTATACTCACTGAAGAAAATATGTACGAAAGAATATTTTCAGTGAAGTTAATTGGATTTACTACAGTTGACCCTTCAAGCAATAGTATCTTGCCCTTAATAACTGACCTATCTTTGAACTAATAAATTCAACCTGCAAATAAATGTAGTGAGGTAAATTGTAGAAATTTATCTTCAAAATGGTCTTTCTAAAGTGATCTATCAAAGGTGCATTTAATTAGAGGTCCAGTTCTCCAAAAATGTGCCAAGGAAAAGTAGCCACAAAGAATTTAGAGCTGAAATGAATTCTTTCACCCATTGCTCTGTTTCTATAGAACTGAGAATAAATCTCATATGGGTACTTAAAATCTGTACTATGTCATTGAAGGATGAAAAGATGACAATAGTGATGATAGAAGGACACGGTAATAGGAAACATTTCAATAGAGGGAAATGATGTGAGTATGCAATGTTCATTCACCAGAGGACTAAATCTAGGGCTATTTTGGTGACTTGAACAGGGAATATTCTACTTCCTGCAAGTGAAAAATATGGACATTTCATTTGGCATGCCACCTGCTCTTCAGTCCATCATGTAGCAAGCACCCACTTAGTACTTTGGAGCTCTAAGTAATACTTGGACTACTCAAATGCCAGCCTTGTTGCCATTTCTGTTTATTCGCCAATAACAATTTTATTAATTAAAATTTGTATGTGGATGTCTTAAGGAAATTCCTTGTAGTTGTCAAAGCAGACTCCTGATCCTATCTATCTGCCAGTGCCTTCTGAGTAGTGGTATCTATTCTTCATGATTTTTGGAACTATTTATGGGTGATTGAAGAATATGGAGTGGATAGAGAAGGATGCTAGTCATTTGGCTGCACACAAGAAACACAGATGAAATTTTTGACTATTTCTGTTCATTTTCTAAAGGTACAGAATTTTCACTGGATTGTACTTGTAAGCAATTTTAAAGGAAGAAATATCCAGCCTTTTGAATTTGTTACAGTGTTGCAAGACTTTTTTAAAATGTTAAGAATTTTTATCATATAGGATGAATTAATACTCTCATAATTTTAGGTTTGTTTCTTCCATAATTAATAACTATCCTTAAAGATTGTGTGTGTGTGTGTGTGTGTGTGTGTGTGTGTGTGTATTTCTTGATTTTCCAGAGCAAACGTTCCCATTCATTTGTTTTACTCACCTTGTTATAGTTGCTCCCATTGTAAGATATATCTAGTAAGTTTACTGTTGTTACCTAAATCTGTTTGCTGAATTTTAAAAATGGGAACATGTAGTAAATTTGGGGGACCACGAGCTAGTATTTACAAAGTAAACCGAGAACATTGGATATAAAACCTTATTTCATTTAACCTCCAATGAAGGATATATTCAGTATTATTATTTGTATTATTTCTTGAGCTTCCTTGCTTATCTGTAATATGTAACATGGTGGCACCCCTTTTCATATAATTCTCTCCTCACTTCTATTTTGGGTTTTTACATGTTCTTGTTTCAGTCTCTTCTGCTCTTTCTATCTTTTCTTGGTTCAACTTTCTTCTCTTATCCTGTGGAGGCGAATACCTAATTCTGGCTCTATCCTCTTCAGTCACTCTACAAGTATCACTGGGACAATATTGTCCAACTACTATTTTTACCTCCAAACCTGTATTCTTAGCCTTACCCCTAATCTGCACACTACGCTTCTTTTTGCAATTACTTTCTGTACATTTGCATCAGTGTTAATCACAGGCATCTTGACTCATGTCTCCAACCTGAAAACATTATTCCTTCCATATAGGGACAGGCTCCTCTGTCTTCCCTGTACCCCTAGACAGTTTCTCCCAAGTTATAAAATCTTGGTGATTCTGAAAATTTTCTTTTTCCCCATCAAGTCCTGCCAGTCCTTTATCCACAACATAGGAATAATACTTCCTGAACATCCGTGCTGCTCCTGTTTGTTCAATAAGTACTCGGACCTCTAAAGGCATTTCCTATGTTTCTTCCACCAGCCCCTTATCCTTAAAATCTTGCCTCCAATCTGCCGCTAGAGTTATCATCTTAAAAGAGTCAAATCAGGGTTGGTATCCAAGAAATATTACAAAGTACTAAGCTCTTGGTATATACAATCAACTTGAGAGAAAGAGAGGGACGGGAGGAGAGGGAGAGAGAGAGAGAGAGAGAGAGAGAGAGAGAGAGAGAGAGAGAGAGAGACTTTATTCTGTCCTCTATAACACCTGAATGATTCTGTACATATTTATGTTAACAGAGCATTGTACTACTTCAAATCCTTATACAAGCAAAACTCCTCACCGCCTTTTGGCAATGGAACTTGCTTTTCCCTCTGCCTGAAATAGTCTTCAGTATGTTGACATGACTCATTTCTTCACTTCATTCCATTTCCTGAAGAGAGGAGCAGTCTTCTGTGCTCACATTGCCTAAAATAGAGCCCACTGTCACTCTCTACTTACTCTTTTTAATCTTTCTTCATAGCATACATATACATATATATACACACATATACATATATATACACACATATACATATATATATATATATGTATACACATATACAGGCATACCTCTGAGACACTGAAGGTTCAGTTCCAGACCACCATAATAAAGTGAGTCACATGAACTTTTTGGTTTCCTGGTACATATAGAAGTCAGGTGTACACTACACTGTAATCTATTAAGTATACAATAGTGTATGCCTAAAAACTAATGTACATGCCTTAATTTAAAAATATGTTATTGCAGTGTTCAAGCTGAGAGCCAAATCAAGAATGCAAACTATTTACAATAACCACAAAAAATAAAATATCTAGGAATACATCTAACCAAAGAAGTGAAAGATCTCTACAGGGCTAACTACAAAACACTGCTGAAAGAAACCATAGATAACACAAACAAATGGAGAAACATTCCATGTTAATGGAAAGGAAGAATCAATATCATTAAAATGGACATACTGCTTAAAGCAATCTACAGATTCAATGCTATTCCTATCAAACTAGCAATGTCATTTTTCACAGAATTATAAAAAACTATCCTAAAATTCATATGAATCTAAAAAACAGTCTGAAGAGTAAAAACAATGCTAAGTGAAAAGAATAAAGCATGATATTAACCAACTTCAAACTATACTATAAGGCTACAGTTACCCAAAGAGAATGGGACTTCTACAAAAACAGAAACTTGGACCAGTAGAACAGAATAGAGAACTCAGAAATAAAGCCGCATACCTACAGCCATCTGATCTTTAACAAAGTAAACAAAAAAAAAAAAAATGGGGAAAGGACTCCCTACTCAATAAACGGTGCTGGGATAGCTGGCTAACCGTATCCAGAGGAATGAAACTGGACTCCTACCTTTCACTATATACAAAAATTAACTCAAGATGGATTAAAGATTTAAAAAAATAAAATCTCAGCCAGGTGCGGTGGCTCACGCCTGTAATCCCAGCACTTTGGGAGGCTGAAGCAGGTGGATCACGAGGTCAGGAGATTGACACCATCCTGGCCAACATGGTGAAACCCCGTCTCTACTAAAAATACAAAAAAATTAGCTGGGCATGCTGGCGCATCCCTGTAATCCCAGCTACTTGGGAGGCTGAGGCAGGAGAACCGCTTGAGCCAGGGAGTCGGAGGTTGCAGTGAGCCCAGATTGCACTGCGCCACTGCACTTCAGCCTGACAACAGAGCGAGACTCCGTCCCTAAATAAATACAATACAATACAATAAAATCTCAAACTAGAAGAATCGCAGAAGAAAACCTAGGAAATACTATTCTGGACATCAGCCTTCAGAAAGAATTCATGACTAAGTCCTTAAAAGCAAATGTAACAAAACCAAAAATTAACAAGTGGGATCTAATTAAACTAAAGAGCTTCTACACAGCAAAAGAAACTATCAACAGAGTAAACAGACAACCCACAAGATGAGAGAAAATATACACAAACTATCCATCAGACAAAGATCTAATATCCATAATCTATAGGGAACTTAACAAGCAAAACGCAGATAACCCCATGTAAAAAGTGGGCAAAAGACATGAATATATAGATACTTCTCAAAAGAAGACAAACGGGTGGCTAACAGATATGAAAAAATGCTCCACATCACTCATCATTAGAGAAATGCAAATCAAAACCACAATGAGATACCATCTCACACCAGTCAGAATGCCTATTATCAAAAACTCAAAACACAATAGATGTTGGTGAGGCTGCAGAGAAAAGGGAACATTATACGCTGTTGGTGGGAGTGTACATTAGTTCACCCACTGTGGAAAGCAGTTTGGGGATTTCTCAACTTAAAATGCACTGTCATTCAACCCAGCAATCCCATTACTGAGTATATATCCAAAAGTAAATAAATCATTCTACCAAAAAGACACATGCACTTGTATGTTCACTGCAGCACTATTCACAATAGAAAAGCCAAGGAATCAACCTAGATGACCATCAATGGTGGACTGGATGAAGAAAATGTGGTACACATACAATATGAAATACTACACAACCATTAAAAAGAATGAAATTATGTCCTTTGTAGCAACATGCATGCAACTGGAGGCCATTATCGTAAATGAATTAGTAGGAACAGAAAACCAAATACCACTTTGTTCTCACTTATAAGTGGGCCTAAACATTGGGCACTCATGGACATAAAGATGGCAACAGTACATACTGGAAACTAGTAGGGGAAGAGATAAGGAAGGGGCAAGAGTTGAAAAACTAACTATTAGATACGGTGCGCACTATCTCAGTGACAGGATCCATCATACTCCAAACCTCAGTATCACCCAATAAATATATAAATGTAACAAACCTGCACATGTACCCCTTAAATCTAAAACAATAGTTGAAATTATTTAAAAAAATACTTTGTTGCTAAAGCTTGCTAGCAGTCATCTGAGCCTTCAATGAGTCTTAATCTTTTTGCTGATGGAGGGTCTTGCCTTGACGGAGATAGCTGCTGACCGATCAGAGTAGTAACTGTTGAAAGGTTGGAGTGACTATGCCAATTTCTTAGAATAAAACAACCATGAGGTTTGCTATGTTGGTTGATTTTTTTCACAAAAGATTTTTATGTAGTGTGTGATGTTATTTGATAACATTTTACCCACAGTAGATCTTTCAAAAATGAGGTCAAGGCTCTCATACCCTGCTGCTGCTTTACCAACTAAGTTTACAGAATATTCTAAACCCTTTGTTGTCATTTCAACATTGTTTACAGCGTCTTCACCAGGAGTAGATTCTGTCTCATGAAAACACTTTGTTTTGCTCATCTATAAGTAGCAACTCTTCATCCATTGAAGTTTCATTATGAGATGACGGCCATTCAGTTACACCTTCAGGCTCCACTTTATTCTAGTTCTCTTGCAATTTTCTCCACATCCAGTGACTTCCCCTACTAAAGTCTTGGACCCTCATAGGCATTCATGAGGGTTGGAATAAACTTCTTCCAAACACCTTGTAATGTTGATATTTACCTCTTTCTATGAATCACAAATTTTCTTAATGGCATCTGGAATGGTGAGTCCTTTCCAGAAGATTTTCAGTTTACCCAGATCCATCAGAGGAATCGCTACCTAGGGCAGCTATAGCCTTACAAAATGTACTTTTTAAAGAATAAGACTTGAGAGCTGAAATGACTCCTTTGTCCAAGGACTGCAGAATGGATGTTGTGTTAGCAGGCATAAAAACAAAATCTCTTGGTACATCTTCATCAGACCTCTTGGCTGACCAGGTGCATTATCAACAAGCAGTAATATATTGAAAGAGATTTTTTCTTCTGTGCAATAGGTATGGCCAGTGGGCCTAAAATATTCAGTAAGTAAACCATGCTGTAAAGAGATGTGCTATCATCCAGGCTTTGTTGTTCCCTTTATAGAGCATAGGCAGAGTCTATTAGCATAATCTTAAGGGCCCTAGGATTTTTGGAATAGTAAATGAGCATTGTCTTCAATTGAAAGTCATCAATTGCATTAGCCCCTCAAAAGAGAGTCAGCCTGTCCTTTGAACTTTCGAAGCCAGGCATTGACTTCTCTCTAGCTATGAAAGTCCTAGATGGCATCTTTTTCCAATAGAAGACTGCTTCATCTACACTGAAAATCTGTTGTTTAGTGTAGCTACCTTCATCATCTTAGATATTAGCTTGATCTTCTGGATAGTTTGCTGCAGCTTCTCCATCAGCACTTGTTGCTCCACCTTTCACTTTTATGTTACGGAGAGGGCTTCGTCCTAAAGCCTCATGAACAAACCTCTGCTGGCTTCCAACTTTTCTTCTACAATTTCCTCACCTCTCTCAGCATTCATACAACTGAACAGAATTGGGCCTTGCTCTGGATTAGGCTTTGGCTTAGGAGAATGTTGTGGCTGTTTTGATCTTCTGTCCAGACCACTAAGACATTCTCCATATTAACAATAAGGCTGTTCTGCTTTGTTATCATTTGCATGTTCACTAGACTGGCACTTTTAATTTTCTTCAAGAATTTTTCCTTTGCATTCACAACTTAGCTAACGGGCACAAGAGGCCTAGCTTCCAGCCTCTCTTGGCTTTCGACATGCCTTCCTAACCAAGCTTAATCATTTCTAGCTTTTGATTTAAAGTGAGAGACATGCAACTCTTGTTTTCCCTTGAACATTTAGAGGCCATAGTACGGTTATTAACTGGCATAATTTCAATATTGTTGTGTCTCAGAATAGGGAGGCCCAAGGAGAGGAAGAGAGGTAGGGGGATGACTGGTCAGTGGAGCGTTCAGAATACATACATTAATGGATTAAGTTTGCCATCCTATATGGGCACTGTTTGTGGCACCCTGAAACTATTAAAATAGTAACATCAAAGATTACTGATTACCCATCACCATAACAGTTATAAAAATATTGAAAAAGCTTGAAATATTGTGAGAATTATCAAATTGTGACACAGAGACATGAAGTAAGCACATGGTGTTGGAAATGTTGCTGATAGACTTGCTTGATGCAGGGTTGCTACAAACCTTCAGTTTGTAAAAAAAAAAAAAAAAAAAAAGCAGTATCTGCAGAGCCAATAAGGCAAAACTCAGTAAAATGAGGTATACCTGTACATATACATACATGTGTCTATATATCCACTCACACATATGTGTATGTGTATTATATGTGCATATTATACATATATGTTGATATGTGTATTTATCATATCTAATACACATATATGTATATACATGTATATCACACACATATATTCATATTGTAAATTGAAAATTTTCTAGTGCTGTATCCCAATCTCTAGCTTATAAATATATTGAATAGATGATGCAGCAGGTATCTTTTGAATACGCACTCCAATTTTAGAAATATAAATCTTTTTTAAAGGTTGGAATAATATAAGTAGTTTGGTGTTCAGTGCAAAAGGTTTTAATGTATAAATACTATGAAAACAAAAGTTAGATCAAATGTATCAAATACAAATGATCTGTATTGGGGGACAGAGGGACACATTAAATTTAAGGGAATATGAGGAGAATATTGACTTCCTATGCTCGATGAGTGAAAAAGAAAAGTGAAGTGGGAGTGTTTGAAAGGAAAGATGAGCTTTTCCATGCTAGTACATCACAGGTTTTAATACTCATAGAAGTTTTTAGATTTGTATAGGAAATATGATCCTCCAGCCTTTCCAAGTTTACTCTTCTACTGGAATTACAAATCAAAACTAATAAATGTTTACTATGCTTCAAGTGCAATAGTTATAAAGTACCTGATTAGAGGTCCCACATTCAGATGTTGGTTATATAAAATATTCATGCTAAATCATATAAATGCTAAAACATTTGTATTTGTGATGTTCTCTTGGATTGCTAGATGGAGATTAAATTATACAAATTCAGCTAAGAAGAAAAATGTGGGATAAATGGAATTTTAGTTTAAAGGAAGTCAATGAAAGGATTAATTAAGTATAAAATAATCCCATTTTAATTTGTCATAGAAATGAGTTTTCTGAGACATTGTTGTAATCAATAACGTGAAGATGTAAAATTTTGCAAAAAAAATCATTACGGGAAATCCAAAAGCAGAAGAGTAGACTCTGTATTTAACTCTAGCAGATTATTTAGAAAGAAAATAGTCTATGCCATGAACCTTTCGACTGTCTGCGTGAACAAATGTCTCTAGTAATACACACTCTTAACTCAATTCCCATAGGCTCAAAGTTGCAACAGTATTTATTTGCCCGTTCAACGGTTTTTTGTTTAGCACTTACTATGTGTTAGGCACTTCCAGGGATATGAGTGAACAAGGTAGTTATGGGTCTTACTCTCATAGAGGATAATTCTTTAGGAATGGTCAAAACTATACATATACACATAATGTGATTAATTGTGATGTGTTTTGAAGGAGGAAGCAAAGGAGTTGGAACAGTTTAAATAAGACTGTAGGTTGGCAGTGGGAACAATGGTCTTTGCTATCATTTTTCAAAAATTCCAATGAATGGGAATGACGACTGTTGCATTAAGTTGCCTGTCTCCCTCTGACCCATAGTGATTCTCTATTATCAGAGAGGTAGGGCATGTTTTTCAGCATATGTGATAATATCAAACAGATTCAGATGGTGAAAGTAAAATTTCTTAATGCTTAGAAATAACATAATTTGATCAAATCATTTGGATATGTTATTAAGTTGTTGTAAGATATGAAGACGTAGCTGTTACTACTGCCAATAGTATAAACTTTGGATTCAGACCTAGCTGTGTTTGAATATTAACTCTCCCACATCCCACGAGGTTGTGGGCAAGCTATTCACATCATTGTCACTACCGTCACTACTATCCCACCCACCCTTGCTTCATTTTCTTATCTGTAAAGTGGCAATCTGTTGGAATCAGGGTTGGGGAAGGCAAATAGTAGTCATTATACGAATGGTAACTATGCTATCATCAATAATATAGTCTACAGCTATGATGAAGCTAATCAGAAAACATTGTCTATTACCAGTAATTAGCTATATCAATAACTATCACAAGAAAAGTCCCAGCTGTCAGTGAATAAATAGAAAATAGTGCTTTGTCTTAGAGAAACACATACAAAATGAATGGTGGTGACAGTGCTTTAAGTTAACTTGTCAGTTTATATGTGTAATGCATATATAATTTCAAATGTATAATTTAGACATTGTACATGTATATTTGGCCTGGTAATTTATGGTATACATAAATGATAAATGTATAGGTTGAAAATTCAGTTACTTTTTTTCCTTTTCTTAAATCATTTTTACCTTGCTGAAGATATGCTCTTTTCTCTACTTCCTTAGAATAATATATTTTATTTTCTCTTAAAGTATTTTGAGACCATATCACCATTTACTACACCAAAATGTTTTTTTGCAAATGCGGTATTCAAGGGTGAATTTATAGTGGCTGGGGACCTATTTGGAATTCAGTAAGTAAAACTAGATTTTCCTTATTCCTCATCTGAGATCAGAGCTATTTCTACCTCTAGCAAAGACATACAGTCATTCCGGGTGCTGCATTTTCAGGGAACAATGTGTTTTCTTGGCAAGGGGCAGTAAGACCATCAATTAATAGTTCTTCATGTAAAGTAGCTAAACTACTGTTATAAAGGAAGTGAAATTTGCATACATAACCATTAACACATGAGGTTAGTTATGTACAATTTTGACCAAAGTGCCTGTTTGCTGCTGGTATTTATTATAATAAGAACTGGAAAAAAATAGTCTATCTCAAGAGCATGTGCTGAGCACCCGTAAATTGCAAGAGACTGTACTGGGCAGTATGAGATTATAGTAATTTGGGATTTCCTACTAATGAACTGAGAGGGAACAGGTACAAACACAGTATACGAAGGAAACAGTGGCACGGAGACACTTAAACACAGCAGTGCTGGGAGGCTCCGGGGTAGGGGAGGGAGGAAGAGAGATACGGGTTAATCAGGAGCTGCTCTCTGGGGAAGATTGCCCAGGCCCTGACTGATGCCTGACATTGATTAATTGATACTCTATCCTAGTGTTTAACAAGTGTTCCATCCAAAAAGTCTTCTGTAATATTTAACTTCACTTCCTTCAGCTTCAATTTCTGCACAATTCTTTTGTCGTCTCATCAAGAGAGCTAGTCAGCAGACAGTAACAAAATGCTTATATTCATATACCTGAAGGATTTTTTTTTGTCATGCTTCAGCCTTCTCCAGACTGAAGAAAAGCAAATAATAAACAAAATTAATCGTTCTTCAGAAGGCCTGTTTGACTCATTAATAAATAATAAGCTTTGATACTGTGCTTTAAGTGTTTACCCTTTGGAAAGAAAATAATTTTGACAGTGATGTAGAAATAATTATTTGATATTTATTTCAAAACAAAATTTATATCCAATACTAAACACAGAATTTTGTAAAACAATAAGTGTATAAAGTAAAATGAACATTAGGATTATTGAGATTATTGTAGCTAAAACTAGTGTTTATTCATATAAATTATGTTAATAAATTGTATTGTCATTATTGCATTTTACTTTTTTGAAAAGTAGTTAATGCCTGTGTTTCTATATGAGTATTATATAATTCAAGAAGATATTGGATGAATTTTTTTTAAGTTTAATGTGTTTCACATCTCTGTTTCTTTTCTCTGCACCAAAAGCTACATTTTTGTGCCCTTATGTACCAGGCAGAAATTGATCTGCAATACATGTGGAGTCTCCAAGGGTATATTTAAATTTAGTAATTTTATTGCTAACTGTGAAGTTAATCTGCACTATATGGGTTCTTTTCCCCAGGAAACTGAAATAGCAGTTCAAGCTAAACAACCGGATGTGGAAGAGATTTTGTCTAAAGGGCAGCATTTGTACAAGGAAAAACCAGCCACTCAGCCAGTGAAGGTAATGAAGCAACCTCTAGCAATATCCATTACCTCATAATGGGTTATGCTTCCCCTGTTGTACATTTGCCATTGACGTGGACTATTTATAATCAGTGAAATAACTTGTAAGGAAATACTGGCCATACTGTAATAGCAGAGGCAAAGCTGTCTTTTTGATCAGCATATCCTATTTATATATTGTGATCTTAAGGCTATTAACGAGTCATTGCTTTAAAGGACTCATTTCTGTCCTGGTGTGCTGCCATCAATACAAAAGTAGTCCCACCTTCAAGGTAGATTAAATTCTTTGGGGCTTTATTGCTTTGCTTGCCAGCCTTGATGCTTTTCATATTGTTTGGTTTAATTCAAATCAAGCTACTGCATCATAGTGTCTGTCTCCAACAGCTGTAAAGAATCACAATATGGTCCGTGACCTTTCTTTTCTTTGTTGCTCTTTCTTATAAAAGAGTAAAATCGGCATTGAGGCTTCAGTATTTTATTGGGTCAAGAATTTTTAGTGAAATGTCATGTAATTGCTTATTTCTTTGGCAAAAAGCTGGCCTGGGATAAACCTTTCTACTTTTTTTTCTTCTCCATATCCATGTTGAAGTCTAGGTCACATTTATTCACAGGCTATTACATAAGGAGGGAGATGGAAAGCCAGGTCAGTTTTCAAAAAATAGCTAATCAATGGCTTCCATTTGCAAATGAGAGTCCAGTGCTAAATATACGTTAGCAGTAGGTTACCTGATTCTCTGTACCTGACCAGAATTATAATGGCTCCCATTATGATGAAGGTTCCTGAGATCCTGTAATCATGGCTGTTTATTGATCAGTCTTGGTTTCTCAGTTAATGTTGCAGGCTTGGATACAATGAACCTCGTCCTCATGTTTAAAACTGCTTGAAAACAGTTCAGGTCAATAACCTCATTATACAGAACCAGTTTGTCCTTGCAAACAACATTACCATGACTTAGATTCTGTCTCTAAGGTCGCTGCTTAGTTTCCCTTGCGCTTGGCCCAAGCTTCATTTCTAGAAGATTGTTTGTTTTCCTTACAGCTTACAAGAGACTTTTCCTTAGGTAGAGTTGAAGTTTGCACCTGAGCTTAATGTCCAAACACCAGACACTGAAAATCACAGGTTTCTCTGTAGATATCAACATACTTTTATTCAGAAATATATTGCAACCACTCCAAAAATCTAGAAAAGTAGTTTGTATCCAGTTCAAGCCCAGTATAATCATTTTTCATAAGCTAACAATGTGCTCAGTATTTAGTTGGAAGAGCTAGGCAAAGTCCTGAAAGCAGCAAATTTCAGAGTTTCCGTTGATGTTCTGAAGAAAGCCAGCCCTCAGAGCAGTTAATATGGTGACTTTCATTGTAGCAAGCCATGCAGTGCACAAATGGACAATTGCATACGTTTCTATCTACTCTTTGTTGATCCTCAAAGACTTTATGCCTTATGGTGTATGACTATGAATTAAGGTTTGTCACTAATTGTTAGAGATCACAAAGGTACATGTAATTTGGCTTTTACTTTTGTGCCTTTGTAAAAGAGAGAGAGAGAGATCTTAATTAAAAGCCACTGAGAAAATTTTTGCTTTCATTATGTATAAAACAATCCAAATGCTTGATGCTAACTTATCGCACCTCCACCCACACACTCAACTACTGGGCCACTTGGAGATCAGAACTGGGATCTGCCATGCCTGAGCATATCTGCTTCCTGCTGATGCATTAGTGATGTAAAAGGAGAATTACTTTTCTGAAATAAAAAGAAAGAACCAGGAGCTGTTGCTTTCCTTCTCTTTCACAACCCTTAAAACCATTTTTGTAGCAGACAGCACTGTTTTTTTCCTTCCTTTTTTTTTTTCTCCTTCCCTGTTTCCCTATTTTCTCTCAATTTGACACATTGGGAGAAGCTGAACTTAAGGGAAAATTTATTCCTGTCTTCCCATTTCTCCCTTGGATTTGGAGAAAAATCAACATATCAAGTTGGCTGGGCATGGTGGCTCATGCCTATAATCCCAGCACTTTGCGAGGCCGAGGCAGGCGGATCACCTGAGGTCAGGAGTTCGAGACCTGCCTGGCCAACATGGTGAAACCCTGTCTCTACTAAAAATATGAAAATGAGCCAGCTGTGGTGGCAGGCGCCTGTAATCCCAGCTACTTGGGAGGCTGAGGCAGGAGAATCACTTGAACCCGAGAGGCAGAAGTTGCAGTGAGCCGAGATCGCGCTGTTGCACTCCAGCCTGGGCGACACGAGCGAAACTCCGTCTCAAAATATATATATATCAAGTTGATAGGGGCAAAAATGCAAGAATGATTTGAGAATTATGGGGTTTAAAAAAATAGTTGACTCACGCACAACTTTTGCTGTGGACCATGACCTTGGAAACATCTGAAGATTAGCTGGGGTTTGCGGTAGCCTGAAACACCTAGAGGCTCAAAAAATGACCTCACAGTTTTGAACATGACACCCAGCAATACAAGGCAGAAAGCTGTGAGGGCTGTTTAAATCTCTGCATGGATCAAAAATTTATTTTTAAAGGTTAGAGATGATTTTTCTGAAGGACACTCCATTGCTCTGATAGAACGTGAACAAAGCCTTTTTAAACTTTGAGTCCATATATCAAAATTTAAAATTTGTCCTATTTATAATGCCTCTTCTTCACTCTGGGTCTTGTTACCTCTTAATAGAAGAGGAAATGAGTCTGAGTAGCCTGCAGCACATTTTCATGAGAGAATTGTGTTTCTGTTTTTGTTTTTTGGGGGAGGTGCATTTGGAAACTGTAATAATTATGAAGAAAATGATATTCTTTAAAAAGAAAATGAAAATCTCTCACGATGTATATGCAAGATCTAGTATTTAAATGCATAATTAGTGTGTCCACCGCTTACAAACATTCTAATTAAAGACACATCAGGGAGCAATTCTGTTTCTTAGGAAATTGACTTGTCTATTGGCACCTCCGCATTCTGCATCAGACAGCCTGTCTGTCCAGCTCCTACGCTCACCTCCCAAGCTGAGTTCTGATTGGAAGCTGGGTTCATCCCTGCTCAGTTTCTTTCCTCTTTCTTCTTTCCTTCACTTCGTCAACTTCTTTAAGATTTCTTTTATTTTCAAAGATGGTATATTTCTGGTTTCTTTTTTAAAATCTCTGACTAACCAACTTCTTTATTTTCTTTGAGGACTTCCTGTAAAAGGTCAAATACATATTATGAAATGATAATACTAATGACGTATAGGTAGTACTAATCTCTGCTGCAAAATAACTGGAAAAATCTTAGGATCGTATGATCAAATACCTCTCCATCTTTGTTTAGCACTTCAACTCTCTTTCTCTCTCTCTGTCTCTCTCTCTCTCTCTCTCTCTTTCCCTCCCTCCCTCTCCACTCTCTCCCTCTCTCCCTCTCTCCCTCTCTCCCTCTCTCCCTCTCTCCCTCTCTCTCTCTCTCTCTCCCCCTTCCTCCCCCATCTACACACATACTTTTATTTATTTGTATGTTATTTCTTCATCTTAACTTCAGAAATTACTGAAGACTGACTATATGAGTTATATAAATTGTTTAAAATTTTGCTAAAGTTATAGTTTTGGTATAATATATTACATTAATGCCATAGATGAAATAGTCTTTAATGTGTTCCATTTTTCCACACAGTAATAACTAGGTCCTCAATAGCACCCCATTTAGCAGTTTAAAAGCAGCAAAAACAACTGCTATCAGTAACAACAATATAAACTACAAAAGAAGCCATTTGTTATTTGATTTTTATTATAAAATTGTATTTTTAACTGTCTTGAGCTTAAGCATTTAGGTGCCATTTTCTTGTATTCATACTCATTTTTAACTTAAGTTGGAAAACTACACTTTCAGTTAACTTTTAAAAATATGTTTATGTACTTTCAATGCTTACATCACCTGCCATGTATTAGAACTGAGAGCATTAATGGAATTTTAAATGTCTTGGTTACTTTCTAAAGTGATAAAATGAAGCCAGCTGGTTTGCTTTGCTAACTTTTTATATTATCAAAAAATGTTACTTACACAAACCTAGTAATATGTTTTACTTACTGCTCTTGAATTATTTTTCAATGTAACAGAAAAAGGTGTGAGGAACTTTCTGTATTTGGCCAAAGCGTTCCATCCCAACCTTTAACACAAAATAATTGCTGTAGACAAATGGTCAAGAGGGCAATTATAATCTTCCAGGCATCATTTCCTCAGATATGAACTGCAAAATGACAGCATCATTAGTCATTTTCAATTACAGTCAGTCACAACCAGGGATGATTCATTTTCCCAGCTGTTTTGTTGTTAATTAACTAGATGAAGCTGTTTTTTTTTCTCCCAATGAGTTTGTTCTACTGCCAACATCAACATCTTAACATTTTTAAAAACTTCCTTAGGGTTTATTTTTTGCCTAACAATCTTTAATATATTACTCACAAAAGATGTGCATCTCAAGATTTATCCACGGTATAGCAGGTCAAATGGTATTTCATTGGTCGAAATGTTGCCGAAATAAATATAATTACACTTAAAACAATACTTGGATTTCATAAATCATCTGCCATGCGTACAATCTCATTTACCTGGTGTAACTTCACTTGTAGCAACAGAAATCAATAGAGAGATAACAGACAAAAATTGTCCCCTGAAATGAACAAGTCTATTTTGACTGACTCATTTATTGAGCACAATTTCCATGCCAATAACACCAGAATAAGTTGGGAGAGGACTTCTAGAAAGAAGATAACAATATTAGAGGCATTTAATAATTTATAAGTAAATGCATAGCAACATTTTATTTTTTTAAATTACAAGTTTGCGACTGGGCGCGGTGGCTCGCGCCTGTAATACCAGCACTTTGGGAGGCCAAGGTGGGCGGATCACAAAGTCAGGAGATCGAGACCATCCTGGCTAACATGGTGAAACCCCATCTCTACTAAAAATACAAAAACAAAATTAGCCGGGCTTGGTGGCAGGCATCTGTAGTCCCAGCTACTCGGGAGGCTGAGGCAGGAGAATGGCATGAACCCGGGAGGCAGAGCTTGCAGTGAGCTGAGATCACGCCACTGCACTCCAGCCTGGGTGACAGAGTGAGACTCCATCTCATAAATAAATAAATAAATACAAGTTTGCTTTACAACTGAAAAAAAAGTCTTGGAGTATAAGAGGTTGAATAAATGCTAATCCCAATGCATAAACTTGAGGAGAGCTTCACTTTCCCAATGAGAAGAGAAAAAATTTATAATAGATTTTTGGGCAACTTGTAAACATAAACATTTAGAAATATGGATGAGATTGTCAAATGTCTAATTATATTCAATTTCTTAATTGAGTAGCATTTCCATATTTGCAGTCTTACATTTTATAAAATAACACACTCATTTAGAAATACCTGGCACATTTATATTTTATGAAACAATTTCATTCAAACCCTTCGTATGTATATTCTAGAATTGTAGAGCTCATCACCTTGCTAAGTTATTTGTAATATGGCATTGTTTGAATCCCTACATAATACTCTGAAAGCCCTCTGGCCAAGATTACAAGCAACATATCTGTAATCAAAAAATTAAGAATATTTACCTTATTGCAGCAAGAGCGTAAAACACTTCAGAGTGTGGGCATCTCAGTAAGAGGGCATTGGAAAAAGCTTCTTACAGAGTTCAGCTGGCTGCATGATTCTAAGGAGGAATTCAGAAAGTAGAAGCCATTTCTGGATTAGATGCTTTCAAGAAACAGAGTCAATGTAGTGATTAGGTATCTTAGTGTTTATCTAGAAGATGAGATTAAAGTAGGGCTAGACACGTCGTTGGTAAAGGAGCAGCAATGCCTCATATTAGTCATTTCTGTGATAGCAGAAAGGCCTTGTCTCTGTCTTGTTTCAAACACGGCCATGGGGTGGCCTTGTGTCTGCCTAGTTTATTTCTATGAGTGTTTTTTAACATCCAGCTGGGACCATCATGGCCTAGCTAGCTGCCAGCTGCCAGCTATCAGCAGAGCTATTTTTCACGTTCTCAATGCTGTCGCTGAAATTTTTATCCCAAACTTCAATACCCATTCACAAAATATTAGGAAAACTGTTTTTTTCATTTTTCTTAGATATGATTTTGGTTGTTTGTTTGTTTTTGAGACGGAGTTTCGCTCTTGTTGCCCAGGCTGGAGTGCGGTGGCGCGATCTCGGCTCACCGCAACCTACACCTCCCAGGTTCAAGCGATTCTCCTGCCTCAGCCTTCCAAGTAGCTGGGATTACAGGCGCCCACCACCATGCCCAGCTAATTTTGTATTTTTAGTAGAGATGGGGTTTCTCCACGTTGGTCAAGCTGGTCTCGAACTCCCGACCTCAGGTGATCAGGCTGCCTCGGCCTCCCAAAGTCCTGGGATTACAGGCGTGAGCCACTGCACCCAGCCAGATGTGATCTTTTAAAAATTCCCAATAGACTAACATATTCTTTCTGCTTTTTAAGTTGTTTGGCTTTTTAACAAATTCTTTGAAAGACTCGTTTACAATGATCTCTGCCACGAGTGATTGTGAAGCTATACATTAGGAATGATTGCTAAAGATTTATCAACTTTCTTTGCCTCCCTTTTTAATTAAGCAAATTCTGTCAGAATACTTATGTAAGCATCACATCTCTTGAGGTTATTTCAGGCTAATATACAACATTGTGGTTCCGAATAAAATAATTGAGACATAAGAGATAGTATAAAGTCTTGAATATGAGCCAACTTTCTTTTCTGAGAGAATATTTGAGTGAAAAGTCTCATGTACTCAGTAGCTCATGCTGAAATTAGGGAAGCATTTTAGAGATTTGAATTTCACCTCTTGTCCTCAGTTGTATTAGTTACACTTAAAGAGAGAGACAAAGAGACATAGATGTTTCAGTTACAATATTCGAATGTATGCCTGTATATATACAGCCGTAGGTAGAGTCCTTTATTTATTCAGTAGATATTAATTGCATGCCAACCATTGACACAAGATATATTTTTAAATTTTGAAAATCTCAAACTCAAATAGAGTTTAAAACTATATTCTAGTTTACTTTTTTAAACAAATGATTTTTTATGATTGTATTAAACAAATACATTATTTTTCCTTACTTATTCTACATCAAATAATATCTATTTCTAGAAGGCTTTTTTCCTTGTCTTAATGATAGAAAACATAAAAATCATTTAATATTTTTTAAATATCCAAAAAATATGAGGCAAGAAAGCAGCCACAATTGTAGCTACCTTAGGAAACTTAATTAAAAAATTTTTTTTTATTTTTAATTTTATATGTGTATAATTGTACATATTTATTTGTGCGGTACAAGTTATATTTTGCTTATTTTTTATAATTTCAGTAGTTTTGGGGGTATAGGTGGTTTTTGGTTACATGGATGAGTTCTATAGTGGCGAATTCTGAAATTTTTTATGTATCCATTTCCTGAGTACTATATACTGTACCCAATAAATAGTCTTTTATCCCTTACCTCACTCCCAAGCTCCCCACTTAGAGTCCCCAAAGTCCATTGTATCACTCCGTATGTCTTTGTATCCTCATAGCTTAGCTCCCACTTACGAGTGAGAACATATGGTATTTAGTTTTCCGTTCCTGAGTTACTTTACTTGGAATAGTGGCTGCCAGCTCCATTCAAGTTGCTGCAAAAGAGATTCTTTTTTATGGCTGAGTAATATTCCATGGTATATAGATACCACATTTTCTTTATCCATTCATTGGTCGATGGACACTTGGGTTGGTTCCATATCTTGCAATTGCAAATTGTGCTGCTATTTTTGTGCTGCTGCTTTCTTTTTTGTTATTTCCTTTTCTGGTTTTGGTATTAGGGTGATACTGACTTCATAGAATGATTTAGGGAGGATTCCCTCTTTATCTTTTGAAATAGTTTCATTATAATTGGTACCAATTCTTCTTTGAATGTCTGGTAGAATTCAGCTGTGAATCCATCTGGTCCTGGACTTTTTTTTGGCAATTTTTAAATTACTGATATTCAACCTTGCTGCTCGTTACTGGTATGTTCAGGGTTTCTTTCTTTTTTTTTTTTTTTTTTGAGATGGAGTTTTGCTCTTTCACCTAGGCTTTAGTGCTGTGGCATGATCTTGGCTCACTGCAACCTCCACCTTCCAGTTTCAAGTAATTCTCCTGCCTCAGCCTCCCAAGTAGCTGAGATTACAG
This sequence comes from Homo sapiens, assembly GCF_000001405.40. NCBI lineage: Eukaryota > Metazoa > Chordata > Mammalia > Primates > Hominidae > Homo > Homo sapiens. The sequence continues at coordinate 31,828,538 of NC_000023.11, read as the reverse complement.
GTGCCCACCACCACGCCCAGCTAATTTTTGTATTTTTAGTAGAGTCGGAGTTTCACTGTGTTGGCCAGGCAGGTCTCGAACTCCTGACCTAGTGATCCACCTGCCTCAGCCTCCCAAAGTGCTAAAATCACAGACGTGAGCCACCGCGCCCAGCCAAAGCGTTCAGGGTTTCTATTTCTTCTTGATTTAAACTAGGAGGGTTGTGTGTTTCCAGGAATGTATCCATTTCCTCTAGATTTTCTAGTTTGTGTGCATAAAGGTGTTCATAGTAGTAGTGAATGATCTTTTGTATTTTTGTGATGTAGGTTGTAGTGTTTCCAGTTTCATTTCTACTTGAGCTTATTTGAATCTTCTCTCTTCTTTCCTTGGTTAATCTTGCTAATGGTCTATCAATTTTGTTTATCTTTTCAAAGAACTATTTGTTTCATTTATATTTTGTATTTTTTTGTTTCAACTTCATTTAGTTCTGCTTTGATCTTTGTTATTTCTTTTCTTCTGCTGGATTTGAGTTTAGTTTGTTCTTGTTTCTCTAGTTCCTTGAAATGTGACATTAGGTTGTCAATTTGTGCTCTTTCAGAATTTTTGATGTAGTATTTAACACTATGAACTTTCCTCTTAGCACTGTTTTTGCTGTATCTCAGAGGTTTTGATAAATTGTGTCACTATTAATCATTTCAAAAAATATTTTAATTTCCATCTCAATTTCATTGTTAACCCCAAAATCATTCAAGAGCAGATTTCTTAATTTCCATGTGTTTGTATAGTTTTGAGGGTTCCTTTTGGAGTTGATTTTTAGTTTTATTCCACTGTGGTCTGAGAAGATACTTGATATGATTTTGATTTTCCTAAATTTATTAAGACTTTGTGGTCTCTTGTATGACCTGTCTTGGAGAATGGTCCATCTGCTGATAAGAATGTATATTCTATAATTGTTAGGAAGAATGTTCTGTAAATATCTGTTAAGTCCATTTGTTCTAGGGTGTAATTTAAGTCCATTGTTTCTTTGTTAAGTTTTTGTTTCAGTGACCTGTCTAGTGCTGTAAATGGAGTATTGAAGTCCCCCACTATTATTGCATTGCTGTCTATCTCATTTCTTAGGTCTAGTACTATTGTTTTATAAAGCTAGGAGCACCAGTGTTAGGTGCATATAAATTGAGTACTGTAGTAAATATCTTCTTGTTGGACTAATCCTTTTATCATTATACAATGTCTTTCTTTATCTTTTATTTACGGTTATTGCTTTAAAGCCCATTTTGTCTGATATAAGAATAGCTACTCCTGCTTGCTTTTGGTTCCCATTTGCATGGAGTATCTTTTTCCGTCCTTTTACCACAAGTGATATTTTGATACAAGCATATAATATATAATGATCAAATCAGAGTGATTGCAGTATCTATCACCTTAAATATTTATCCATTTTAAATTTTAAAAGGAAAGCTATATTCAGAAATCACTTTTTCTTGTAACTAATTCCTGTTCTTCATAAAGCAGAAATTTCATAGTTTGATATAGTTGTCTTAACATTTAATGAATATTTTCAAGCAAAGTATATACAATGGAGAATAATGCTCAGCTGCAAAAGTCACCTATAATAAATCTGATTTTTCCATTTACAAACAAAAGAATTCCCAAAGTTTATCCATTTTGGTAGAACACGAATTCACTCTGTTGAGTTTGGAGCTCTTGTGCGGAAAACCTTGGACCTGCAATTTAGTTAGCATATTCAAAGTTTTAAAATTATGGAGATGTAGTCAAGAATAGGACTTGATAACTATTATCCCACTGATACGCTATTTAAATAAGTTGGGATTTAAGTACTTATTTGATTTCCTTAAATTTGCTTATAGATGATTAACATGTATTGCAAATTGTTACCTTTTACAGATTTCTATTGAGCACTGCTTAAATTTTATTATATGATGAACACCTGACTAGTTGCTACAGCCAAACATTTTTTGTTATGCAAATGAATTTTACAGCTTAATTGGAATGATGAGAGAATTGAAAATATGGGCAAATGCCAGAGAAGTGAAAAGCAAAATGAAGCAAAACAAAAAAGAACTTGTATAATATATAAATAATCCATTTCAACTCTACAGTACACCAAACTCTTGAAAAAGTAGCAAGATTGTTTTTGTGAACAGCCAAATCAAAAACTGTAGTCATTTCATAAGTATTTGCTAATAATTATAAAAGATTGGAAATTATACAGTTCTGAGCTTATTGAACCTTTGACCCATTGCAGTGTCCTCAGACATTTGTGATACATTGGTAGTGCCATTTAATTTTAAAAATCCACCTCTACATTAGAGATTATAGTAACCCCTCATTTACCTATCTGGAAATAAGAGTGGGAAAGATAATATTAGAGTAAATGGACAGACTATTTAGAGTTTATGTATTAATAAAAGAGAAATTGCATGTACAAACATGTTATTTTCTAGGTAACTAAAACCTAGTCCTTTAATAAAGCACTGAAAAAAATTTTATCGTAACTATTTTAATGAGAACTTTTCTTGAATATCTTCTGTTTTGCTTCATTGAGCAGCGCATAATATCTAACCAACAAATTTATAGTGCTTTGTAGTTCACAGCATTTTTACCATATAAAATATCTCGTTTAGTTTCTCCAACAAAGCTATGAGTTAGGTGGTATTATTATATCCATGTTTCAAGGATGATAAATCTTAGTGACCCATCTCATTTTCCAAGGATCACACAACCAGTAGTAGTGAATTAGGAACGAAACCTAAGACTTCTGATTCTAAATCACAATGTAAATTAACTTTTCTTAATTTTCAGGGGTGTCGTTATCACATCAATTTTTGCTCTGTTTAGTGATACAGTGTTATATGAGGAACATGAAATTCAAAGCACCCTTTCTTCAGTTGAGACCCAGTTGAAGTGGTTAATTTGCTTTTAGAAGCTAGACTGTAAGATAAATACATACCTTTAAGTATTAAAGCTAACTCAAATCACTGAGATACTTACACCATGAGAAGAGAGTGGAACCTAAGTCAACTGGTAGAAACATAGAAACAGCAAACTTTGATCTCTCTTTATCCTCATTCTGAGGGGCAATATGCTTACTGAGTGGAAAGATGGGCATACCCCCAGCAGTATTTAAATCAATCCCTAATCTATCACTATCTCTCCTTTTCTCTCTATCTCAGCACATATAGGTGATTTCCTATAAATTAAATGGTGTAGGATGAGATTTCATCCCATGTTGAAAGGTCATTTCATTGATAAATGACTAAGATTACCACATTTCTCAGTTTTAAGTTTTTCATGTTCATTGTCTCCTATTGCTACTTTCTGTTATCAGAATGATTACTTCTCATTGCTTTTAGTATTCTGTCTTTGTAGGGTTACAGAAACTTCACAGGGAAACCAGAAGATCAAATATATTACTCACTAGTCTCTTAGAATATTTAATTTTTAGTGTTTAGGTTCTGATGTCAGGACAGGAAAATATCTTCCGTGAGTGATGACTTCCAAGGGTGGTTTTCCTGACTAATCAGAGGCATTATTTTTTGTTTGCTTTTGGGTTCAAGACTGATTTTTAATAAATAAAAAAGTTACATTTATTGATATGCTAGTAAATATTTACATCATGCATTCTGGATAAAAACATTGAAAGCCTTGATTTGACTTGATGTCAGACACAATAGACATAGTCTCAAGAGCACTGATGATAGTTAAATTAGGAAGTGATGAATTCTTACTATATATTATCTTTTGTTCTTAGCACAGTTTATTTTATATTTATAAAATTTAATTTATATTAATGGTTATGTTTAATAACCGATTAGCAAAATTACTGAAATGTGACAATAATATCTCTATTCCTGTTTCTTTCCTGCTTTATCCTTTTAAAATATATTATTTATAAGTATATTTTAAATTTATAAAAGCTACATTGTGCTATAAATCTTGTTTCTTAGCTTTTCTAACATTCATAATTGTGTTTTAAAGATCCACCCATGGCCGGGCGCAGTGGCTCATGCCTGCAATCCCAGCACATTGGGAGGCCAAGATGGGCAGATCATCTGAGGTCAGGAGTTCAAGGCAGCCTGGCCAACATGGTGAAATACAAAATACAAAAATTACCCGGGTGTGGTGGTGCGAGCCTGTAATCCCAGCTACCGGGAGGCTGAGGCAGGAGAATCACTTGAACCCAGGAGGCAAAGGTTGCAGTGAGCCAAGATCTCACCACTGCATTCCAGCCAGGGCAACAACAGTGAAACTCCATCTAAAAAAAAAAAAGAAAAAAATCCATCCACATTGCTCTACATATACCCTTATCCATTTCTTTCACATACATACCCATGTTGGCCTCAATTCCCCACAATGCAGCAACAAACTTTCTTGTACTTCCTTATGACCTTAAGAATGTGAGAGAAACTTCTCCGGTATACACTGGTGAGGGAATATGATCAGCAGGGTTTTTTGTTTGTTTTTCTGTGTTTTGCTTTTTAACTTATGCCCACCTTTCTGTTGGCAGTCAGCAGCCACATCTGAAGTTATAGCTCTCTGATTTAGACAAGGCTTATTCTTCCCTTTGTTACAACCTAGTCCCTATAGGGACCTGAATTTGTGACCCTAGTCTATGAGATTACTTTTTAAATACAGTTTGGTTCAGGATTTATAAAAGCCTAATAAGGCTGGGTGTGGTGGCTCACACCTGTAATTCCAGCGCTTTGGGAGGCTGGGATGGGCAGATCACTGGAGTCCAGGAGTTTGAGACCAGCCTGGGCAACATGGCAAAACCCCGTCTCTACATAAAAATGTATGTACTCAGTAGTACTACTCAGTAGTAGTACTGAGTAGCTACTCAGGAGGCTGAGGTGGGAGGATTGCCTAGGAAGTCGAGGCTGCAGTGAGCCGAGATCTTGCCACTGCTCTCCCGCCTGGGTGACAGAGTGAGACCCTGTCTCAAAAGAAAAAATAAGCCTAATAAAATGATTGCACGCCTGGAAAACCTACATAGGCTCCTTCAAGTCCCATATATATATAAAGTCATCCATGGTATGTAGTTCACATTGAAGTCAAGTTGGGGGAAAAGAAACTTATTTATCTCTTTCTCTTTTCCTTTATTCAAGTAGCAATTTTCATTTAATTTTATTCAATTCAGAAATATTTACTGAACTCCTCTTATTAGGAAGCACTAGACTGGATATAAAGAAAACATCGTACAAGGCATAGAGGACTCAGTCCTGCCTTGCGAAGGGCACATAGTCTGACTGGAAAGACACATGCTGACAGGGTAGACTGTGTTAGGAATAATGCTCAAAATCCTGAGGACATTGAACACTCGAACAAAGGATTCTTAGCAAAGCAATTTTACTTCTGCACAGAGGGGTGCCTCCTTGGCCAGTTGCCATGAGAGCACACCTGAACAAAGGGGCATGAGAGCCTTTATTCCTGACGCAAGTCCTGCCCCTGTACCCTTTCCCCCCATTGGCTGGGGTTGGGTCGTACAATCTAAACTAATCCCAGTTGGCTAAACATTTGATTTTTTTAGATAGGGTGGGCACGTAAAATCAAGTGGAGAGGAAGGGGAAGGGGCGTCTGTAATGAGCTAGAAAGTTAGTCCTCTTTCCAAATAAGGAAATGAATGTGAGCTGGTACTGAGGTGTGCCTGGGCATCTAACAAAGGTAAAAAGGAAAAAGGAGAAAAATCAGGGGGTACTATGAATTAAAGAATAAAAGATTGATCAGATTATTTGAAGAGAAACCTCATCATATCCCACAACTGGAAGAAACAATTTGATGGCAAGTTTCTCTTCGTCGTTTACCAGCTCAAAATCTCAACTATCAAAGGCAAGAAAAATACACACACACACACACACACACACACACACACACACACACACACACACCCCTCTGCCTTTTTCTGTATGGCCAAAGCCTTCAGTCCAGCTGACCACTTCCCACTCCAGTTACCATGTTAGCCTCCCAACTTGTATCTCTGCACCCTTCTGATAAAGCCTCCACAATGCAAAACACGAATCGTATCATATGGCTCTTCTTCTCTAAACACTTCCATCTACTCTGTGGTTTTAGAAGAGAATGTAATAGTCCCACATTACAAGGTCTTAATAAATTGCATTCTTGCAGCTCTGTATCATTACTTGTAAACACTGTAGTCTAGATAGCCAGGACACACTGCATTTCTTTTTTAAGGCTCGATACCTCTTGCCATTTTGCACGTAGTTTTCCTTCTGTCTGAAATGCCCTTTTTCCACCTGGCGCTTGAATGGCCCCTTCTGAAAACTTCCTAGTCGTCTTTCAAAATAAATTCAAATGTTAGCTTTTGTGGGTAACCTATTGACCTCTCCAGGCTGAGTTAAGCTGTTCCCCCGAGGTGTCTTGTTGAAATCATTATTTTTTCCTAAAATCTCTGTTCTAATTTACTTACATGTCTGTGAATGCTTAGAGGTTACGAACTTCAGTTTTGTAAGCTTAGTAACTGGCACAAAGTCTGGCACAGAGTAGCACCTGAACAATTATTTTTCTGGAATAAATAAAGTAATGGTTTCATTGAAATGATTCGCATTAAATTAATGATTAGCATTAAACTACAACGTGTATATGAAACATTCCAGTTAGGTTGGGTTCATTCCATTCCTATTTAAAGAGTTTGTAGTTTCTGGCTCTTTTCCAACTCTGATTCTTCAGACTAGAAATGCAATTTCTGCTAATGTATTTATTTTAACCAAACCCGACATCAATCAAGTTATTTGTATTCCTCATAAGGTAAGCATAGGAATTTACAGTGATACAAAAACGCAGCTATTATCTCTTATAGGCACTGGTAAAGCTTTTGTGACTAGTGCTACTATACTGGTAAGGTATTGCTGCTTGTAATGAACTAAATATTTCAGTGGCTTAACACAATAGGAGTTCTTTTCTTGCTCACATGACAACCCAGCGTATGTTTTCCTAGTCAAGCAGCTTTCTTACATATGTTATTGCAGAAACCTAGGTCCTGTTCATCTTCTTCCTCTGCCTGCCATTCCCTTGGTAGCTTTTCTCTGCTCGGGTTTCGCAAGAGGATGAAATCCTATTGAAAATGATCTGAGGGTCTATTATGTTCTCAAGAATGGTACATATCTAGTCTATGATAAATGCTCAGGTAACTGATTAGGTGTAATAGATATCTTAGGATTTTGTCATGAACAATCAGCATCAACACCACCTGGAAAATTGTTAAAAATGCAAATTATTGGGCTCCACCCAGTATCTACTAAATCCAGAACTCCGGGGCTACCATGCAGCAATTAGCAAGGTCTCCAGGTGATTCTGTTGATCCTAAAGTATGAGAACAACTGCCCTAGGGCGTTAGGACTTAATTCTCTCCTCAGTAAGTTGTAAAGATTTGCCGTAGGACCTAAGAGTCTTCTGCTTCCAGCAATAGAAAGGAAAAAAAATGTGGAAACCTCACTAAATTTTTCAAAGCCTCAGCCCCAAACTGACAAACAACACTTCTGCTCACATTCTGCTGGCTATAAATTATCGTATAGCTAGCTGCCCAGTGAAGTGGAACCAGCTCAGGACGGCCTACTGTTATATTGCCAGGCATTTTTTGAGCCACTTGATGTTATCTTCTTGGTAATTTAAATTTAACCGTGGTAGGAATATTTACACCACAGAAATTGGCAAACACTAAAAACAAGGTGTTTTTAAACACCCTGAGATCAGAGATCCAGTTGATATACATCTACCAGCACACCACTGGCCATATACAGGCTTGCCTTATGCCACGGGGAGCTCTGCAGCTGAAGTAGCCCTTCAAACTTGTCCTGCTTTGAGCCAAATTAGGCCTCTATACTTTCACCTTCATCAGTCACTGAATGAGGGCTGCCTGGGGAAAGGCATGAACTTGGACAAGGCAGCTCTCTGCAGCTCAGGCAGTCCCTGAAGGGACTGACAGTTGAAGAATGTCTACTGACATCATTTCCATCATCTAGAACAAGAGTCTTTCTTTGAAGGGGGCTCTGAGTAGCATATTCCCGTGTCCACTGCAGCCCCTCCCTTTAAGAGACTCTGATATAATTGACTGGGGGTGAGCCAGTACATTAGGATTTTCCTAAAGTTATCTGGATAATTTTAGTATGCAACCACAATAGATACTCTTCAAGAATTAAGCTAGTTGCTGAGAGGGAACTGTTTTTTGTTGGTTTGTTTTCACTAATGTTTGCACTCTACTTCCTTTAAATAAAATTATGCCTGGAGAAAGGGTTTTTGTATGGAGCAATTGATAAATATTTGTAGGGTGGTTGGCTAAAATAATTATAATTCCTTTAAAAGAAATTCTACCCACTAAAGTTAATTTAGAAGTAAAATATAATAGAAATCCAATAATATATTCACCAAATGGATTAAGATGTTCATGAATTATCTTCAAAGTGTTAATCGAATAAGTAATGTGTATGCTTTTCTGTTAAAGAGGAAGTTAGAAGATCTGAGCTCTGAGTGGAAGGCGGTAAACCGTTTACTTCAAGAGCTGAGGGCAAAGCAGCCTGACCTAGCTCCTGGACTGACCACTATTGGAGCCTGTAAGTATACTGGATCCCATTCTCTTTGGCTCTAGCTATTTGTTCAAAAGTGCAACTATGAAGTGATGACTGGGTGAGAGAGAAAATTTGTTTCAATTCTAAAGATAGAGATAAACCTTTGTGTTATTGACTGTGCAAAAAGTCTTAGAGTACATTCCTTGGAAATTGACTCTGATTCAAAGTGTTGCATGACAACGGGATATGGGGAGTGTTCTCTGGAGATACACCCACAAGGAAGAGAAGAGCACAAGGGAGATTGTGGGAGAGTCTGAAATGTGATTTGTCTGCAGCAGAGGCCTAAGCCAGTCTCGCAGGAGCCCTACATCTGGGCTGGCTGTGCAGAGCTGTCCTGAATTGCAGGCAGTGGGCCTGGCCCTTGTATTCCTGATCCAGCCAGCCATTGGCCAGGGGCTGGCTGCTGCCTGAGAGTGGAAGGACAACTTGGACAAGTTTTCTGAGGCCGAAGGCAATTCTTAGTAAGGAACACCATTAACAACCAATATTCCTAGCATCCAGGGATGTGTGCATTGTTCCTGAAGAGGGACAAGTATGTCTACAAAAATCACAGAAACCACAGAAACACACACAGTCCTACTAGCACCTCTCCCTGTCCCATTTGCAAACAATTTAAGAGCTCTCCCATTTTTAGTTCAAGAAAAAGAAAAATGGATTGGGAGGACCACAAGCTGACTTGGGGGAGGAATATTTCCTCATTTAGCTGTAGTTTTAACTTTTGTTTTCACTGCATATTTTCAGTCTATTTTATTTTCTTTCCTCTTCAGTTGTTGATAGAAGGTATTCATAAATTCTCATGGCAATGTTAATGCTGGCTTTGACTCTCAGGGGAAAGAGGCCAGAAAACTTCTTTGCTGTACCATTCCATAATTAGGCAGAACTAAAAACATCTTTGGGTGTTGTTTTTTGTTTTTGTTTTTTTTTTTGCCTTGTCTGCTTTTCAAAGATCAAATGATTGAAGCATTAAAGCATGGTGACTGGTTCTTCAGGTAAAGTTGATTTTTATTTTATGTCAAGTAGAAAAATACTGAACTGGAAGAATCACAGCTGGGGTAGCACAATCATAATTCATTAGAAGGCATAAATAGTGCTTGGATTAAAAGAAGCCCTACAATCTGGGGACAGTGCATCTCATGTGCCCTCTGGGATTACTCGGCAGTCATCAGAGTTAGATTTAACGACTTTGGAGACTTAAGCATTATGGTTTTTTTTTTTTGTCAATCTGGGACACTGAAATTGCTGTATCAGGGTTATACTCAACTGTGTCAGGTTTATTTGTTTTTATGAGCTGTAATTTTTGGTTCCCTCAGCGCATATGCATAGTTTGTTCCTATGTTATCATTTATTGGTGTCTGTTTTCTGGCTGTCTCTGGTAGGTTCAGCCTCAGACTCTGTAACTCCATGAAGAGATTATGTTCCAATGATGTTTTATAAGTTTGTTAAACTCTGAACTCATGAGTTTATGTCCCATATAAGCCACGTTACACATGGTAGGAAGGCTCCAAAACCAGGGCGCCGAAATCCATTTAACGTGTAACTTACCTAAATGTAACAATGTTTATAAGAAAAATACATTGGAAGTTCCAGTTTTGACTTCCAGCAACATATATAATTCATCCACTTTATTTATTAACTTCCATGTGTTGAGCATCATACTGGTGCTGCGAGTACAGCATAGAATAAAAGTCTCTCCTTTCATAAAACATATATTGTAATTGAAAGAGAAAGACAATAAACTAATGAAGAAAATATATACTGTCTCAATAATTATAAGTGCTGTAGAGTGTAGTCTACAGATTGATGTCAATGGGTATTTGTTAGACACACAGAATCTGAGGCCCCTATCCTAGACCCACTGAATCACAATCTGCATTTTAATAGAATCCCCAGGTGAATCCTGTGCACACTGACATTTGAGAAACACCATTACAGAGAACAACTAAGCAGGGAGATGGGATGAGGGTATTATTGTCTATAGTGTGGTCAGGGAAGCTTGTCTGTTAAGAGAACATCAGAAAACTGATGTAAGTGAGGAAGTGAGCCTGGTGTATTTCTGGGAAAATTATTCCAGGCAGGGAGAGAAAAGACTGAGCAACGATACTGAAGTAGGAACAAGATGACGGAATATTAAGGAGATCAGTGAGACTAGAGGAGTGGGTCAGGGGAAGTGTGATGGAAGCCATGAGAGATACTCATCTTTCATAGCACTGCCCTACTTCCTTCTCCCCAACATGAGGGTCTCATCACCCCCCACCACTCTTGTCTTCTCCTATGTCCTCCACATTGCTGCCAGTATGGAGAGTCTGGGAATGCCCTCAGCTCAAAGCTGTTTGGTGATAGCTGGCAGAGTTGTGGTAGTAGCTAAAAAAGAATTAAGGGAAAGAGGAATTTTCTCAAAAGCAGGTGCTTTTCATCCTCTTTAGCAAACCGAAACAGATCTGAGCATTAAGTCAAGATGTTAAATACACAAATGTTGAATGAAAAAAAAAACAAAAGGTAGTCATTTAAATTCAGAGCTGCTTTTATTAAAATAAGATTTTCTTTTTTCTTTACTGTGGTAGTTCAAATATCAGAATAAAGAATTGTTTCTATTCCCGACTTCCTGACTTGCAGGAAGTTAATCAGAAATAAATGCAATATAAAAAAAGAAAATCTAATTTGTATTATGCTTCTTGTATATGTTTATTATTTCATGTACTGTATTACAATGTAATAGAATTTATAATTCATTATAGCAGATTGTTTCCATTGCATTCCTACTATTAAATATGTAGAAGCTACACATATACTTGTAGCTTTAACATATATGTCTTTATCCTCAAAATAACTGCAAAGAACATATAGATAATTTTTAAAGATTAAGGAGCCTGAGGTTTAGAGGGGAGATAGCTAGATTAAGGCCACACAGCTAGAAAGCAAGCAAGCAAGGGTTTCAGTCCACATGTCAAGCTCCACAGCCTGTGTTTTGTTTTGTGGCTGTGCTTTACACTATCTCTCTGTCCAAGAACCTAATGGAAAATTACAGATACAGATGCAGCTGGCCAGCAGTTAATATAATTTAACTCAATCTTAAATTTATCTGGAGTAAAAGTGATACAAGTTTCCGTGTTTTTTCTTTTCTTTCTTTCTTTTTTCTTTGTGTGTGTGTGTGTGTGTGTGTGTGTGACAGAATCTTGCTCTGTTGCCCAGGCTGGAGTGCAGTGGTGCGATCTCGGTTTACTACAACCTCTGCCTTTCAGGTTCAAGCGATTCTCCTGCCTCAGCCTCCCAAGTAGCTGGGATACAGGTGCGCACCACCATGCCCAGCTAATTTTTGTAGTTTTAGTAAAGACGGGGTTGCTCCATGTTGATCAGGCTGGTCTTAAACTCCTGACCTCAAGTGATCCGCCTGCCTCAGCCTCTCAAAGTGCTGGGATTACAGGCATGAGCCACCTTGACTGGCCTGTTTCTGTGTTTTTTCTACTTAAGAAGTAGAAAAAATTGGTTCACTCTATTTGAATTTCTTAGAACCATAGAAATCCAAACTTGGAATAATTATTGCAATTATTATCTAGTTGAGTATTCTTCTTTTATAGATGTAGAAGCTGAGGCCTAAAGTTGCTTGTTTTGTTTTATGAACACTAAACCAAACTACCTTGTGGCTGCTTACTTAAATTATAAATTATAATGGGGTGGCCTTGCCTGAGCTGTATAAATTGTTTTAATTATCAGGACAAATCAACATACTGGAAAAAAAAAGCAAAACTTGCAATTGTTGTTGCTTAGACACCTGTCCATATCAGTTTCTATTGTTGCATAGAAGCACCCCAAAACTTAACAGTTCAAAACGAGTGATTTATTGCTCATAATTCTGTGTGTCTGAAGTTTGCTCTGTGATTAGCTGGATAGTTATTCTGATGGTCTTGCTTGGTGTTACTTATGTGGATGCAGTTATCTAGCAAGTGAACAGGAGCTAGATGGTCTAAAATGCACTCTCTCAGATATCTGACAGCTGGCTGTTGGTTGCAGAACCTTGATTCTTCATAAGGCCACTCATCATCCTGTAGGCTAGATTAGGCTTCATTACATGGTATTCTCAGGGCAGTTTTCCAAGAGAGGGCGGGTGGAAGCTACAAGACCTTCTGATGCCTAGGCTTTGAAACGTGTAGGTTACTTCTGCTAAGTTATATTGGTCAAAGCACCTCAAAAGATCAGCCCAGATTCAAGAGATGAGGAAATTACTTCATCTCGTGAAAGGAGGAGATGCCACATCGCATATCAAAGGGGTATGCATATTGGGGATAGAAGGTTTTATTGTCACCGTATTTATACACAAATCACTACATTGGGGAAAAGGAGGGAAACTGGAGATCAAAAGTGTTGGTCTTAATCCAACTTAATTCTCAAAAATTACCATGCGTTAGAACCACCCAGTTCTTCGCAAAGTATAGATTACTGGGCTTCAACCCCAGAGTTTCTGATTTACTAGCTCTGGGGTGAGACCTGCATCTCTCTCTCTCTCTTTTTTTTTGAGACTGAGTCTTGCTCTGTCACCCAGGCTGGAGTGCAGTGGTGCAATCTCGGCTCACAGCAACCTCTGCCTCCTGGGTTGAAGCGGTTCTCCTGCCTCAGCCTCCTGAGTAGCTAGGATTATAGGCACCCGCCACCACGCCTGGCTAATTTTTGTATTTTTAGTAGAGACAGGGTTTCACCATGTTGGTCAGGCTGGTCTCGAACTCCTGACCTCAGGTGATCCACCTGCCTCAGCCTCCCATAGTGCTGGGATTACAGGCGTGAGCCACTGTGCCCAGCCAAGACTTGCATCTCTGAAAAGTTCCTAGGTTATGCTGATGCTGGCCTATGCTTTGAGAACTACTACCACAGACATACAGTGAGTGGGGAAGAATAAATTCATCCCTTCTGCTGTGTGCAGCAAGGAGTGGGATTCCAATGAGATCCAGTGCTGTGAATGCTAAAGGGAAATCCATCTTATTTTAGCACCTCTACTCCCCATCTCCCCACCCCGAGGATGTTATAGCTTAGAAGTTCAAGGAGATGGACAACACACTAAACCAGGCAGTATTTGCCCTGCAGAGCTGTTCAGTGTTCCTGGATGAGACCTCTGAGAAGAAAAGCCATAAGTTCCTCTAGAGACTTTCACAATCATTTAGGTAGACAGGACTTTGCATGGGTCTGAAGGCTTGCATGGCAGATGGAGGCAAAGAGCCAGCAAATCTGGTTGTAAATGTCAATGTGAATCCTTTCTTATCCACAAGCTGCTGGGCCTGAGAACATTAATGTTCTACAATACCCGATTTAGCATTTTTGAAAGAAATTGCATATAGACATGCTTAATGTGAAGACTCCAAATCAGGATATTTGATTCAAATGTCTCTTGGTAATAACTATGGAATGAATAACCCATTGTATATGGACATATAGAAGAGCCAGTTAACAGAGTTTTCTTTTTTTTTTTTTTTTTTTTTTTTTTTTTTTTTGAGACGGAGTCTCACTCTGTCGCCCAGGCTGGAGTGCAGTGGCGCGATCTCGGCTCACTGCAAGCTCCGCCTCCCGGGTTCACGCCATTCTCCTGCCTCAGCCTCCCCCGTAGCTGGGACTACAGGCGCCCGCCACCACGCCCGGCTAATTTTTTTGTGTTTTTTAGTAGAGACGGGGTTTCACTGTGTTAGCCAGGATGGTCTCGATCTCCTGACCTCGTGATCCGCCCGCCTCGGCCTTCCAAAGTGCTGGGATTACAGGCGTGAGCCACCGCGCCCGGCCCAGAGTTTTCTAGTTGATTAAACACTGGTAAAATCATCTCTTCCTGTAATTAAGTTTGGAGAGAGCAAGTCTCAAGTGTAATTAGGAAAGCACAGTATTGGAGGTCAAGAAGCCTAAATTCTGATATCTCAGTTGTGCTACCAACTATATAAGGGATCAACAGACTGTTTCTGCAAAGGACCGATACTAGATATTTTCTGCTTTATGGGTCATGTGGTCAACTCTGTCATTGTATACTAAAAGCCACAGACAATACCTAAATAAAGGGACATGGCTGTGCTCCAGTGACACTTTATTTACAGAAACGAGGCAGGTAAGATAGATTTGACCCTTAGTGGGCTACCCATTTCCCCTTAGCACTCAGCCTTCCTATAAACCATGAAGCGTCTAACTACAAGTACCTGTGAGTCTTCCTGAGTCCTTTCTCTGCCTGTAGGAGTAGCTCTCCCACTTGCAGAGCAGGCTGGAAGCTGGGGAGGAGATTATCTCTGGAATAGCACTTAACCAATGGACAAAAGCTGGGGGATAAAGGTGTTGGTCTTCATAGTTTTCATACTGCTATGAAGAAATACCCGAGACTGGATAATTTATACAGGAAAAAGAAGTTTAATGGACTCACAGTTCCACATGGCTGGAGAGGCCTCACAATCATGGCAGAAGGCGAAGGAAGAGCAGAGGCACTTCTTACATGACAGCAGGCAAGAGAGCATGTGCAGGGAAACTGCTCTTTATAAAACCATCAGATCTCATGAGACTTATTCACTATCAGGAGAACAGCACAGGAAAACCCCACCCCCATGATTCAGTTACCTCCCACATGGTCCCTCCCACAACACGTGGGGATTATTGGAGTTACAATTCAAGATGAGATTTGGGTGAGAACACAGCCAAACCATATCAATAAATATCCCACCTTCTTCTCCCCTTGGGTAGGACACCTCCAATGCATGTTCCACACTAAAAATCTCCAGTGAATTGGGCAGTTGACCACAATGATAAGCATACTTATTAGCATGCCTCGTATAGGCTTCCTTCCGATGTGTAGGCTTTCTTCCCATTTTGGCAGAATCTGGACCCAACCCCACATCTCCTGAGTTTGATTTCAGTCCTCTTCAGTATTCTCATATATCTCAACTTTGTTCCCTGCTGAGATACAACTGACAGATATATATGTATCTTCAGCTCTGCAGCTCTATCTTCTCTTCTACCATGGCTTTCTGGGATCAGCTCCCAATTGAATTATTTGTATTTAAATCCTTGTCTCAGGGTCTACTTCTGAGCAAACCTAAATTAATACAAGTCTTAGAATTAGTGCCACAGTTATACCTTTTGAGTAAGTTATGTTGCAATTCCCATTTTATAGATGAGATAACCAAGGGTCAGAAAGGTTAAATAATTTGTCCAAGGTTACAGAGCTAGTCAGTGACAGAGTGGGTATTCAAAAATAAGTCTCTATGATTCCAGAGCTTATGCTATTAATCAGTGCACCATGTATCAAGCAGTGATTTAGTTATCTTCATTTGAATTTTTTGAAGTCTCTATTTAAATTGAATATCAAATCCTCACATATAAGGTTATTTATACCTTTTTATTTGTTTTATTTATTTATTTATTTTTGCTTAACTTTTTTTTATTATACTTTAAGTTTTAGGGTACATGTGCACAATGTGCAGGTCTGTTACATATATATACATGTGCCATGTTGGTGTGCTGCACCCATTAACTCGTCATTGAACATTAGGTATATCTCCTAATGCTATCCCTCCCCCCTCCCCCCACCCCACAGCAGGCCCCAGTGTGTGATGTTCCCCTTCCTGTGACCATGTGTTCTCATTGTTCAATTCCCACCTGTGAGTGAGAATATGCGGTGTTTGGTTTTTTGTCCTTGCGATAGTTTGCTGAGAATGATGGTTTACAGCTTCATCCATATCCCTACAAAGGACATGAACTCATCATTTTTTATGGCTGCATAGTATTCCATGGTGATTTATACATTTTAATTTGAACTTCACTCACCTCTACAAAGTTAAATAAAGCATTCCATTTCCATTTCAATAATACTTTAAATATCTAGGCAGTTAAAGCATGAGGTTACTTGGCACTTAAATGTACTCTTGTCATACTACTTTTGTTGGCTTAAATTGCAAAAAAAAAAAATGGTTAATTTATTGTGACAATACCCTACATTTATCTGCAGTGATCATTTTTTTTGTGAAAATGGCCTTCGTTTATCTGCAGCAAAGGAAAAAGAGGATGGCAATTAGTTCTTGCATTCTTATTCCTCTCTTGGGTCCTGATCCTTCTCATTAATAGAAACATGGCAGGGGAGGGGTATATAACCCACACCCTTTCCTGTTGTGGTTATGTTTCCACTGTTGATTCTGCTTCAGGTGAACCTTTAGGATTAGGCAAATAAATTTCCGTGAGGCCAAATCTTTTTCTTCCTCATTAACAGATGATTTCTCTGCTAAAAACACTTACGACATGGCTATACTATTGCCGGTTTTATAGTTACAGGCTCTAAACCTTGAAAACTTCCTCAAAGTCTAATACGTCAGGAGCAAGCTTTTGTACAAAAAATGTGAAGACCCTTAATCAGTTCCAATAACAAAATAAATCCATTTTAAACCCTATCCCAAGATACTGCAAGGCCTTGGAGCAGCTGGAGAGACTCCTTAACTCTTGACATTAATTAATTAATTTAAAAATTCATATTTGTATGTATCAGTGAGGTAAGAGTGCTTGAAATATAATGAGATGTGTCACACTGTAGAAAGGGGAGTGACAACAGAAAGCCCTGGCTGGTGAGGCCCCAGCACTTCTCACACTCATCAGAAGGAAGTCTTTCCATGAAGGCAGTAGGGGGTCCCTGGTCCCAGGCCAGGTCCTTCAACAATGCTCACTGGTTAACAGGAAAGGCACTACAGTGGCATCATTGTTAACATCCAAGACAGTGATAGAATGTGAAACTTCTACTGTTTAGTATTTAGTATTCAGCATTTAGATGTTAATTATCCATTTTGTGATGAAGTTCCCTTTCTTCTCCCTCTCTTAACCTTTTGGTAGTTTTATTGCATGGTTACCATTTCCAGTTAGGGTTGTGCTTTGGGGTCTGAACTGATGAAGGAAGAGAAACTCTAGTTCATCATTTCTAGGAAAAAGAGAAGGCTAACATCAATTCTGATGATTAGAGATTTTTTGATTACCTATGTCCTGCATTTTAACAGAAATAAAATGTTAATTACAGTAAACTTACTTTAACCTTCTTATGCTATTTAACACTCTTCAAGAAAGGACTTTTGCTTGAAATCACTACAGAGTATACCATAATCTTGACTGTCATACTCTGACCAAGAAACCAGAACTATTTAGGCATATTTATGAGAGTAAGTACCCTACCGCTCAAAATGGAAGGCTTCAACATGTATTCCTAATATTTCCTAAAACTTCACTGAATAGTTTTAAAATTGAATATAACTTTACCTTCAGAGAGAAACAAGATTTCGAAAGGAAATTGTAGCAGTTTTGTACTTCAATTGTCGATTTTAAGATTGTGGTCTGAAAAGTATTTGAACAGTCATTCTTTCTTTTCCACTATCTCAGGAAAGGCTCTCATTCTATTAGAAGCAATCTTAGAAGCGTAACTGCCAACTCTCTTCTTAAAAAGTGAAGAGCAGATGGAGTTCTACCAATCTGCTATACTTGACAGTTTTTCAACTACCTAACCTAAGTTCCAGTTACTGTCTAAATTATTTTTATTCGAATAGGAAAAATACATTTATGCTTACTGTACATTTCGACAGTGTTCATTCTTTGAGGTCTGTTATTTAATCTCCTTCCCACTTTTCTTTTCTATCTTAAATCAGATGAGTCCCCATGGTCTGGCAACAAAACAGCTGTTTCTCAAATTTTTAACGTCTCTGTGGCCCTCCTCCTACCCTTCCAAGTGTTTTCCATACTATTTTTCTGTTGTGGGCTTCAGAATTGGATGCTGTTCCATAATTACTGGTCTTCCCATGACTCTGTCACATCATAAAGTCTATATATACCCTTTTCCTACGTTTACATGCCAAATACCAGGTGTGTCTAGCTTTAATTCAATGACTAGCATATGGTAGGTATTGCACTAATATTTTTTGGTCAAGTGAACATATATTTTACAGATAGATCAAATACATCAACCTTCCCATGTAATAATAATAATACCAAGAAGATTAAATGATCGCGTGCTTGACCAGCTGTTTAGTGGCAGAATCTGGACCCAACCCCACATCTCCTGAGTTTAATTTCAGTGCTCTTCAGCATTCTTATATATCTCAACTTTGTTCCCTGCTGAGACACAGCTGACAGATATATATATATATCTTCACAATCTCAGTAGTAAGCCCTATTTTTTTAAGATTACAGTGCTGATCAAAGAGGGATATTCTATGGCATTGATGCAAATCTTCCAGGCCAGATATAACCCCTATCTCCTTAAACCCTCATTCTTGACTGTGTCTTGAAATCAAATTTGAGAACCTCTGCTTTACATGCTACCTTCCTCTTAAAATTCATAAGGTTTATTCCTTCTCTCATCTTCAGTATTTTTATGAAAATATGTTTTACTCTTATTTCCAAAGTGCTTGCCAGCCCATGCTGAGTTCATTAGACAAACAATCTAGGTATCCTAATATTTAGGTAAAATTGCTAGCAGCACTAACTATACCAGTACCCACTTAAATTGCAATATAAACCTACAATAGGAAAAAAAAAGTCAAAATTATACTACTTTCAATTCCTACTTCTGGAATAATTATCACACCTTCAAAAAAACTCATAATTGTTCTCCAATATTAAAAACCAGGAACTAAATTACATCACTATATATATATAGCTATATAGACATATAACTGTATATAGTTTATATATATATTACATGTCACTATATATGGTTATATATACAGATAGCTATATCTCTATATAGTTTTTATATAGGAAACTATATATATAAACTCATATATATTTATATATAAACTCATATATATATAAACTCATATATATTTATATATAAACTCATATATATTTATATATAAACTCATATATATATAAGAGATTTTATATGTATATATGAGAGACAATATTGAAATAAAACAAACTAGCCAATCTCCAATGTCCCTTCATTTTCCCAGGACTCTTCTTTATTCTCAAAGAAATGTATGAATACACAATATAAATAAATGTTCTATAATGTTCATTATGGATTATAATAGTTTTCTTGTCATACTGAAGTGAATGGGAATTGTTTCTTCGATTATTAGCATACTTTTCATAACTATGTGATTTGGTGATAGGCACTTTTGCTTACTAAGTTCAGCATGATCAAAACAGAACTCCTATTATTTTTATTGTTGATTCTTATTTCTTTAAGGTAAAATATGCCCTTTTCCTTTGAACCTGCACACTGTTTAACAAATAAGCACATAACTCAGGATTGAATTGTACACTTCGATTTGAGCTTTTTTTTCAAGGTCAGGACCCAGTTTCACAAGAAGTTTTATTTTTTCCAATACAACTGACATCCACTCCCACCAGCTGAAAGACAAGAAAAACTTGTCTAATAAAGCTTTCAGATTCAATTTGCTGCCTGCATACAGCTTGAGGAATCTCTGGAGGTCACTCACAGCATGTGTTGCAACCCCAACAGGGAGAAGTAATGAAAAGATTCTAGTTAAAAAGCTGACACTGCCCCTTCCAACCTCTTTGAATGTGAATATAATAAGCCAGTTTACAGACGCAAATCTCTATGATTCTGGGGATTTCCATCTTGATCTCTGACTCCAAGGAACATTTGAATGCATGGATTTGTATCCATTATCTGGGTGAATAAATGCTTCATATTGAAAAAAGGGGTGCTTTAACAACATAAGTCTGATGTAAATCAGGCAAAACAACATTGTCACTTCATGTTTAACTCTCCTGGAGGGTCTCTAAGGTCTCACAGTTTGGTTCTATTCCAGTAATATATAGGCCTATCATAGCCATTTTCAAAAATAATACCTGCTTTCATTTCGATTATTCCCCCTAGCTTTTGCATTGACCCGAACATACCTAATATTTATCTTAGGGCTAACACGCATTAATGCCTTGCTCTGTACCAGGCATTTTGCCAAGTATTCTTTGTGCATTTTTCTGTTTAATCTTACAGCAGCCTTATGAAATAGGTACTACATTATTATTATTTTTCACCATGAGAGGAAATGAAAGCCTAGAGAGAATGGTTATCCAAAAACACCCAGCTACTAAGTGGGCACAGCATGGCCTTGAACCTGAGTCTTTATAAAGTTCATGCCTGTCTTTTACCTTTATGTTAAACATACTGAATCTTGGTCATGCAGTCTATGAATGAAGACTCCATATACTCTAGGACCAATTCTACCATATTGTGCATGCTTTTGTACATATTTTCCAAATGAAATTAAACAACAATACTCTCTCTTCCCCTTTCTTTTCCGTTTTGCATGACATCTAAATCTTTTATTAAATCTCCGTGGGTGGAATTGGGCCTTAAGTAGTAGTACCTTTGAAGCTTAATACTATAACCTCAGAGTTACGGAAGTGGTTTCAATATGAAGAAATATATACGTTCTTTTCTTTTCTTTTCTTTTCTTTTTTTGGCTCCTCTAGAATAGAAGGCAATCAGGAGAGAAAAAGACATTAAGATGATAGGCTTGATTCTCCCACAGTGTTACTACTTAGCTTTATTTATTCTCCCACATCTGTAACTGTCAATTCAAGGTCAAAAAGCCAGTACAGCAGCAGAATTACAAAAAGTAGATCTGGAAAATCTATAGGGTACCATAGTCCAGCACCCTGCTGCAAGTCAAAATCAATTAAATAAATATGTTTAAACAGCACTTCATTTAATCTTAAGGGCACCACGACTCCCTTGGAAAATTCTTTTTTGTGTTCAGACCTGATTCTCTGAAAGTATTTTCTAGTGTTTTCTTTGTTCGGTGGCTGTGGTGAATAAGTGGACCCAATTGCCTACAGCATGAAATCGTAGAAATGAATATGGGCTGGAACTTCAATCAATCACACAAACCAGAAACATAGAGTTCATCACCTCTTCTGGAAAGCGTCCCCTTCGGCCGTCAAAAGGGTAGAGTTTCCTCCAACATATGTTCATACTTCCCTTTGCCTCCCATCTGCAATTTCAACCAGTCTGTTGCTCTCGCCCTTTTTAGGCTTCACATACCGGATTTCTTCTTAGGAGCTCACTTGAAAAAAGGGTTGTATGCTTTAAAAATACTAAAAGTCACTGGACTAGATGATAATAAAATTTCTGTAAAATAAAAAGGGAGTTAACAGAGGTGTTACCACTTATCATAATGGATATTGTTGACCTTTCCTCTAGCCAGTGTCCCACTTAAGCATGCTTCTTGGCTGGAATTTATTTTTCTCATCTGGATAAATCTGAAGCATTATAGTAAAACCCAGTGTGAGCAAGGCCATGGATGCAAGTGGATTGAGATGAATGAGTGGATAGACCTGCGTGGGCAGAAATAATGAGGTCAGCAATAAGCCATACCAAGGGATGCACACTCAAGGAATAAATTGGAGGTAGCAGAATAACTGAACAAATGATACATTTGATCAGACTGTCACATGAATATCAACTGAAACAAGTTATGACTGTAGTTAGTGAACCCTAGAGTGAAGAAAACAAAATATTGAAATCCATCTGATCAAAAAATAATAAAATTGTTTACATGTATATATTATCTAAAATTTCCCTTAAGAATGAAGATTATAAATTCCCGCAGTTGAGGAAACTGAATAAGAGGAGAATCAGGACAGAATCTTTTCTCTTCGTATTCCTAGTCCATTTTTCTTCTAACTACAGTAGTGAGAACAAGAATTTATTCACCAAATCATAATACATTGCAATTAGGGGATGCCATTTGAATCTTGGAAGACACGATTTGAGGCAAATAAAAAATCCATATTTATAAAGTCAATTATTGGTTTATATAATTTACTGTTTCAGCGGGAGGTATAGGTTAGTAATGTAAGTCACTTCAAGAAGGTTTTGGTCGAAGTTTTGCCAATTTTTTCTGTAAAAAGCCAGATAGTAAATATTTTGGGTTTTACAAGCCAGAAGATCTTTGTTGAAGTTACTCAACTCTGCTAATGAGGTGCAAAGCAGCCATAGGCAGTTTGTAAATGCATAAGTGTGGCTGTGTTCCAATAAAAGTGTGTTTGCAAGAACAGGCAGTTGGTTGGATTTGGCCCACAAGCCGTAGTTCACTGACCCCTGTTTTAGATAAATACTAGTCAATAGATTCCTTGTAGCTAATAAAGGGAATATAGATTGTTTAATGTGTTTCCCTAATCTTCTTAAGGCTTCCTCCAGGGGAAAAAATATTTCTTATCATCAGCAGTGTTATTAATGCTTACTCAGAACAAAGAATACCACTTACTTAGCATAGAATGGACATTTATAAAGCCACTCATGGAAAGAATAAAGAGATGTGAAATACCTGGTACAACTCTTAAGAGTGTTCCACTATCATTTGAAAAAATGATGAGTAGTAGTTATATAAAAGGACTCGAGCCTAAAACATTTGTTCTCACTTTGGATAACGTTTTCCTATCTCAGCATCAAAAAATACAAAGAAAGGGGATAACTAGGTCTTAGATTTTCTAAATTCTCATGACTATAAGTCCCATATATTTAGATATTGAAGTACCCTTAAATATACCTAAGTAGAAGTAATAATTTCGATATTATGGGAAATCTAATTACTGCTCATAGTTCTCGAGATTAAAATGTTATACACCACATCTCAGCTTTCTTTGAAACTTGAAATGGCATACTTGTACAAAGGTAGAATGGTCTCCCAAAGCAGCGTCATAGATTAGCAGAAAAGAGCTATGATAATGCCACTTCAACTGACTATCATTTAAATAATGAATTAGTTAGGAAGAGTTAAATTATATAGTTACAGGCAGCAGGAGATGTCACCATCAGGGGGATAAGAAGCCATTTTCCAGTACACTATTTGACTTAACTGGTGCAGTTCCTTCTTTAACTGTAGGTTACTCATTTGTATCCTTAATTTATCAATATACTAATCTGACAAATAATTTATTAAGGATTACTGTGTGCCCTCCTGTGTGTTAGATTCTAGGGATACAATATGGATCAAGATAAGCGTGATTCCTAGACTCCTAGAAAGTAAGAAAACTAAATAACTGTACGTGACAAATACTAGGATGTAGAATACTAGGGAAGAATCAGGAAGAATCACCTCACCCAGTCTGGAGTATTGCAACAGAGCGATGTCAGAGGAAAAATTCTGGAAAAAAAAAAAAAAAAGGAAATTTGAAGATGAGACTTGAAGGATAAGTAGGTGTACCTAGGCAAACAAGTAGGGGAGAGTGTTCCAGGCAAGAGAAACAAGTAACAGTTGGAGGCAAAATGGAGCCTAGCACGTTTTAAAAATATCAGTATGGCTGAAGCACTGAGTTGGGGTTGGGAATGGGTGAGGAGCGATGTGTCAGGGAGGACATTCCAGATGATGCTGGAAATGCATGCATGTTCGCAAACTGCATTTTAAGACATGTTAGAGAAATCAAACACATTTTATTTGAAGGGTAATTGAAAGCCACTGAAGCATTGTAGAGAGACTAGTGACATGAGCATATTTGGGTTTTAGAGGGATTACTCTGGCTGAAGAATAGGTAACTGATTGGATAAGAGCAACTTTGGAGGCTATTCCAGTGGTTCAGGTGATAGATAATAATGACCTAAACTAAAGAAGTAATAAAGGGAATGGAGACAAAGTAGACAGATTCAAGTGATACTTGGCACGTGGAAACAACAGGCCCTGGTAACTGATTGGACATAAAATGGAGAGATACAGAGAACGCGAATAGAACACCCAGGCATTTGGCTTGATAAACCGAGTAGACCGTGGTAGAAATTACTAAACTATGGAGTATTTTAGGGTTCAGGGGAACTGTGAGTTCAATTTTAGACATCTAGTTTTGCAAGGCCACTGAGGTAACTGAGCATATGAGTCAGGAGAGAAGTTTAGGCTAAAAATATGGATGCCAGAGTTAACCAGCGTTATGATAAAACAAAGCTGAAGTCTCGAGGGTAAGAACACCTAAACATCTAGGCTGGAGAAGGCAGCAGGTAAAAAGTAAAAGGAGAGGCCAGGCACGGTGGCTCACGCCTGTAATCCCAACACTTTGGGGGGCCGAGGTGGGTGGATCACCTGAGGTCGGGAGTTTGAGACCAGCCTGACCAACATGGAGAAACCGTGTCTCTACTAAAAATACAAAATCAGCCAGGCATGGTGGCGCATGCCTGTAATCCCAGCTACTCGGGAGGCTGAGGCAGGAGAATCGCTTGAACCCAGGAGGTGGAGGTTGCGGTGAGCCAAGATTGTGCCATTGCGCTCCAGCCTGGGCAACAAGAGTGAAACTCCGTCTCAAAAAATAAAAAGAAAGAGAGAGAGAGAGAGAGAGAGAGAAACAGAGAAAGAGAGAGAGGAAGACAAAGAAAGGAAGGAAGGGAGGGAGGGAGGGAGGGAGGGAGGGAAAGAAAAGAAAAGGAGAAAAATTCAGGAGAATGGTTACTTCCAGGGAGATGGAGGCGATTGTGCTGTGGGGAACACAAGGGTGGGGTCAAGGTATTAGCAGTATTCTATTTCTTGATTGGGGTTGTATTTACATAAAGTGTTGCTTTATAATTATTCTTCACACTTTATGTGTACGTTCTATGTAATCATCTATAGATAAGACAGATTTCACTGTAAAAGAAAATAAAAGCTTCCAAAAGATTATCATCACAATTGTAACAGATTCCCCTGGTGCCTGGAGTCACACGCCATTTTCCTGCACTGCAGTTGCAGCTGCAGTGGACAGCCCTGTGTGAGTTCAGACTTGCCTTTAGCTGACAGCATCCCATGTCAAGGGAATGGCTCCCATTTTTCTACTTTCTATCTAAGGGACTTCTCTGACATCCCAGGAGCCCACAGATTTTGTGAGCTTTCTCACCCTTGAAGTTTTAGTGAGTGAGCAACCTTCAACCAATGGAGATGGGAGCCCATGGATATATTTTTAACCACTATTCCTTCCGGGGGCAAGGGGAATTCTCTGTGATTCTCAGGAACATACAAAAGTTCTGTCAAAATACAGTCCCCATGGTCCATAAGCATTACCTTGATGATAATACATTTGATTGGCATTTCCTCCCCCTCTGTCTCACTCTTTTGGTTTTTCATTCTTGCTTCCTAGGGATCAGCTTCCAAATGAGCTATCTGTACCCAAGTCCTCATCCAGGCCCTGTTTTCAGGGGACCCAAAGACAACAATAAGAAAAATGGAACTGAAAGAGGAGAAGACTTTAAGGCATGAAAAAAGTTCCTCTGTATTCCATACTGCATATTTAACTGCCTACTCAACAGTTCCACTTAGATGTCTCAAAAATAATCTCATGATCTTTTACTGCTATGAAATGCATGACCTTCCCCTGATATATTCCTTTCTTCAGGTTTTGTAGCACCACTTAGCTATCCAGTAACAAAATCTTGGGGGTCATTCTTAAAACCTTCCCACCTCACCCCTGCTGGACATCCACCACTAAGTTCAGTTGATTTTTTTGCTCCTAAATATTTCTTGGTTCAGCTTTCATTTTTAGATTTATCCTGCATACCCCTGTACAATCTCATCATCTCTTTCCTGGACTGTTACAGTAGTCTTATATTAGGATGATCATAGTCTTGATTTGCCTAGAGAAAACATGCTTTATGTCATTGCCTCAGAGTGACTAATAGTCCCACCTTTCACTTGTAACACTATGCAGGTTATTGGGTTAAATAATACTGTCATCCAAACCTAATCTCTCCTCATTCATTTCTTCTCTCCTATGCATCTTAGCTGTGTGAAAATTCAAAATATAAATTTGATGACAGACAGAACTCTGTTTAAAATGCTCCAGTACCTTACCATTTATCTCAAAATAAAAATTTCAAAAAAAGAAATGATATCCCACAGGATCTTGTATAGTGTGACCCTTTCCATTTCATCATCCTTATACCAGATACTGTGAACTACTTACTCTCTTATCTCCACATTGACCTCCCTCCTAGTTTTGTTTTGCTTATGAAAGTGCTTATTTTCTGTTTTTTAAAGCCATTGCACATATTGGTCTCTCTGATTGAGACACTATCCTTTTGAATTTTTGACCTCATACCTACTCACTTTTCAGGTCTCAGCTCAAATGTTATACTCAGGAAAGACGCTCCTTACCTCCCAAACTAGGTTAGTGTAAATGGCACTATTTATACTCCTCTTCCAGAGCACACACCAAATCTTATATTTATTTGTGGGACAATTTGAATTCATGTTGTTCCCCCTACTCAATTGTGAGCTTCTTGAGGACATACTCTGCCTCCTCCTTACCTAGCTTTATTGAAGTATAATTGAGAAATAAAAACTGTATGTATTCAAGGTATACAACATGATGATTTTATATGACTATATTGTGAGATGATTACCACAATCAAATTAATTAATACATCTAGCACAAGAAATAGTTACTATTGTGTGTGTGTTGGGGGGGGGGGATGAGGACACTTAAGATCCAGTCTTGTAGCAAATTTCAAGTAAACAGTAAAGTATTATTAACTATAGTAACCATAATGTACATTAGATCCCCAGACATCTTATAACTGAAAGTTTGTGCCCTTTGACCAATGATATGGTTTGGCTGTGTCCCCACCCAAATCTCACCTTGAATTGTAATCCCTGTAATTCCCATGTGTTGTGGGAGGGACCCAGGGGGAAGTAATTGAATCATGGGTTTGTTTCCCCCCATGCTGTTGTCGTGATAGTGAATGAGTTCTCATGAGATCTGATGGTTTTATAAGCATCTGGCATTTCCCTTGCTGGCACTCATTCTCTCTCCTATCACCCTGTGAAAAGGTGCCTTCCTCCATGATTGTAAGTTTCCGGAGGCCTCTGAAGCCATGCGGAACTGTGAGTCTATTAAACCTCTTTTCTTTATAAATTACCCGGTCTTGGGTATTTCTTCATAGCAGCATGAGAACGGACTAATACAGTAAATTGGTACTGCAGAGAGTGGGGTATTGCTGTAAATATA
Organism: Homo sapiens; assembly: GCF_000001405.40. NCBI lineage: Eukaryota > Metazoa > Chordata > Mammalia > Primates > Hominidae > Homo > Homo sapiens. Next base: position 31,801,044 of record NC_000023.11, on the reverse strand, counting down.
CCTGAAAATGTGGAAGTGACTTGGAACTGGGTAAGAGGCACAGGTTGGAACAGTTTGGAGGGCTAGAAGATGACAGGAAAATGTGGGAAAATTTGAAACTTCCTAGAGACTTGTTGAATGGTTTTGACCAAAATGCCGATGGTGATGTGGACGATGAAGTCCAGGCTGAGGTGGTCTCAGATGGAGATTAGGAACTTCTTGGGAACTGGAGCAAAGGACACTGTTGCTAAGCTTTAGCAAAGAGACTGGCAGCATTTTCCCCTGGCCTAGAGATCTGTGGAAATTTGAACTTGAGAGAGATGATCTGAAATTGGAACTTTGTTTTAAAGGGAAGCAGAGCATCAAAGTTTGGAAAATCTGCAGCCTAACAATGTGATAGAAAAGAAAAACCCATTTTCTGAGAAATACAAGCTGGCTGCAGAACTTTGCTTAAGTAAAGGAGCCAAATGTTAAGCGCCAAGACAATGGGGAAGATGTCTCCAGGGCATGTCAGAGGTCTTAATGGCAGCCCCTCCCATCACAAGCCCAGAGGCCTAAAAGGAAAACATGGTTTCACGGGCCAGGCACAGGGCCGTGCTGCTTTGTGGAGTCTCAGGACTTCGTGCCCTGCATACCAGCTGTGGCTCAAAGAAGCCAAAGTACAGCTCAGGCTGTTGCTTCAGAGGGTGCAGGCCTTAGTGGCTTACATGTGGTGTTGGGCCTGGGGTTGGACAGAAGTCAAGAATTGAGGTTTGCAACCTCTGCCTAGAATTCAGAGGATGTATGGAAAAGCCTAGGTGTCCAGGCAGAAGTTTGCTGCAGGGGCAGGGCCCTCATGGAAAACCTCTCTGCTGGGACAGTGCAGAAGGAAAATGTGGGGTCGGAGCTCCACACAGAGTCCCCACTGGGGCACTGCCTAGTGGAGCTGTGAGAAGAGGACCACCATCATCCAAACCCCAGAATAGTCAGAAATGCTGATAGTTTGAACCATGCATCTAGAAAAGCTGCAGATACTCAGTGCTAGCCATGATAGCAGCTGGGAGGGGGCTGTACCCTGCAAAGCCACAAGGGCAGAGCTGCCCAAGGCCATGGGAGCCCACCTCTTGCATCAGCATGACCTGGATGTGAGACATGTAGTCAAAGGAGATCATTTGGGCAGTTCAAAGTGTAATGACTGCCCTATTGGATTTAAGACTTGCATGTGGCCTGTAACCCCTTTATTTTGGCCAATTTCTCCCATTCGGAACAGGTGTATTTACCCAATGCCTGTACCCCCCATTGTATCCTGGAAGTAACTAACTTGTTTTGGATTTTCAGGCTCATAGGCGGATGGGACTTGCTTTGCCTTAGATGAAACTTTGGACTTGGACTTTTGGGTTAATGTTGGAATGAGTTAAGACTTTGGGTGACTGTTGGGAAGGCATTATTGTGTTTTGAAATGTGATGACATGAGATTTGGGAGGGGCCAGGAGCAGAATGATATGTTTTGGCTGTGTCCCCACCCAAATCTCACCTTGAATTGTAATCTCCAAAATCCCCAGGTGTCATGGGAGGGACCCAGTGAGAGGTAATTGAATCATGGAGGCAGTTTCCCCCATGCTATTCTCATGATAGTGGGTGATTTCACATGAGATCTGATGGTTTTATAAGTGTCTGGCGTTTCCCCTGCTGGCACTCATTCTCCCTCCTGCCACCCTGTGAAGAGGTGCCTTCTGCCATGATTGTAAGTTTCCTGAGGCCTCCCCAGCCATGCAGAATGGTGAATCAATTAAAACTGTTTTCTTCATAAATTACCCAGTCTCGGGTATTTCTTCATAGCAGCATGAGAACAGACTAATACAACCAACATCCCCTCTTGTCGATTTTCATTGAATCCCCATTACCTGGGAATGAATGAGGAAGGCAGAAATAGAAATCAGCGTATTGTTCAATATAGAAATCCTGAAGTTACACAAGATAATTACGAGCAAGACTCAGTACAGAGAAGGAACCCTTGAGCTGGGGATCAGAGTCTTCTGGAAACAAGGAGTACCAAAGGGGAGTGAAAAAGAGAAGTGGAGAATGAGTAGTAGCAGTAAAAGAGGAAGTATGTAAAGAAATGGAAATAAAGATGAAATAAACTGTCATCTTGTTCCAGAGACAAAGCTAGCTAGGGGAGCTAAGGAAATTTAGAGGGATAAAAAGTCTCATCCAAACCTTCATAATGAGCTAAGGGCTAGTTTTTCATAGACCCTAGCCCAACTTGCAACCCTCTCACTCTCTTACTTTTTTCCTGGCTCTGTTTTGCTTTACTGCCTTTCATATAATCTAAAATGATGTTAAATGTATATTTCCTGTCTCTTTTCTATATCACAATATAAATTCCATGAGGCCATTGCCTGTGCCACATTTACCACTGTACTCCCAGTGCCTAGAATGGTGCCCAGATCAAGTAGACTCCCAGAGTGTCTGTTGTCAAATGATTCTCAGTCCAGTGATGTTTGCACTACATGGTGCTGCCACTTTTTTTTTTTTTTTTACTTCATTCCATTTGGAATTTGGATCATTTTGCCAACTTTAGGGTTTATTCCTCTTTATTTCCCCTGTGTTTGCTGAATATCTGACTATCTATTTTTCTCAGCTCTCTTCTCCTCACACTTTGCCTCCAACTTCCTCTCTGCTACAAATTATACTTAGCACAAGACTGGAGCCACTTTTCATTGATTTTGATGTCAGTGCTTGAGTGACAACTCCATGTGGAGAACTTTCAACCTCCTGCTGTCTCGTTGTTTGCTTTGAAAAAAAAAAATACTCATCTTCTTCCTGAACCCACTGGGTAAATTTATGCTCACAAAAAAGACAAAACTTCTAGAACAAAAACTGTATGAGCTTCAAAAGTATTAGTTTTCCCTTGATTTTGAGACTCAAAAGTACCATAGAAATTTTAAAAGGGGGATGAAGTAATTTTGTCATTCAACCCGATATATTTTACAATTTGAATGTCAGAACCATGAAATGTCTTTTCAGTGTACTATCATCCTCACTATTTCCACCTATAAAAGAAAAGCAAAAATATTGTTTGAGAACAAAAAAATATTGCAGTAGCGGAAAAATTCACTTTAAGTCTTTTTTTGGAGGTTGCCACATCACGCCTGTCTTCAGCTCCTCTCACTGAAGATTCTTTGTTTTCTTGAAACCAGTTGGTCACTTCCAATTCTTACCACCTATAAATCTTCCTGGTTCTTTATATTTCACTTTATATGTCCCTTATCTCCTCTGATTTTTGTTCCAGTCTTTCATTTTTTACATTCTTTGTCATCCTATATGTCAGAAAGAATCTGCCACTCCAAATTCCTTAATATATTTATCTACCAGTGTTTATTTGCCTGTCACATGTACTCTTCAGTAATCCATTGACTTGAAAACTTTCTACTCTGTCTTTCTTACTATAGTTTGCTTCTTGAGTTCAAATTATTAATATATTAGGTCAAGTAATTCTATTTTTATGCACATTTTACCTAACATTCTTGGTAAATATAATTGTTTTTTAAATTGCATCACATGGTGAGTATTAATTTAAGACGTAATTAGTATTAATCTACTGGACAAGATTTTATTTATTAACTGTTTTGCCCTTTGCTAGGGTTCTGTAATCTCACCCTCAGTGCCTTTAAATAGTCTTACCCAAGGATCACCTATCCCTCTTCAATTTAAATTCTCTATTGTGTTAGTTTCTGAGATTGCACATTCTCTGGTTTGGTTTGGTTTTTCAGTGATCTCTGTGGTCACTTCCAACCATTTCTACTTAGTTTACTTTTTTCCCTGTTAGCCCTCTTCAGTGTTAATATCACCTGGAAGTTAACCCATTCCTAGTCTGCATTGCTCTATGGCCAGCATCTTGGCTGATTGGCCATCACCTATCCTGTACTTATTGTCAATTTTTTTAAATTTTTTATTGTGGCAAACAGCACATAACGGAAAATTTACCATCTGTCTTTGTTCATGTATGTTGCTATAAAGGAATGCCAGAGACTGGGCAATTTATAAAGAATGGAAGGTTTATTTGGCTCATGGTTCTGCAGGCTGTACAAAAAAGCATGGCACCACTACCAACTTCTCATGAGGGCCTCAGGCTTCTTCCATTCATGGTGAAGGGCAAAGGGGAGCTGGTGTGTAGAGATCACATGGTTAGAGAGCATAAACAAGAGAGAGAGGGGAAGTGCCAGGCTGTTATTTGGCAACTAGCTCTTGCAGAACCTAACAGAATGAGCAGTCACTCAACCTGCCCCCAGGAAGGGCATTAAGCCATTCAAGAAGGATCCACCCCCATGACCCCACACTTCCCGTTAAGCCCCACCTCCAATATTGAGGATCAAATTTCAACATGAGATTTGGAGGGGACAACATCTGAACTATAGCATTATCTTAATTCAAATAATTTTACTACCAATTCCATTTATTAGAGAATCTAAGATTAAGACTACTGAAACTATGCCAATGATTATCTCTAGTTCAGGCTTCTCTCTTCAATTCCAAACTCATATTTTCACCTGCTGACAAGCTACCACGTAGATGTTCCACAGGTATTTCTAACTCAGGATATGTAAAATTGATGTTATCATTATTTTCTGAAAATCTATTCCTCTTACTATATTCCCTATTTTTGTGAATGACACAATCTAATGGACTGGCCATGTTAAAAATCAGGAAGTTTTTCTGGCACTTTCTTTATTCCTTAATATTAAGCCCCACGATAAATTACCAATCCTTTCGATCTTGTTAAGACAAATAAGCTTGAAATTTCTTATCTCTTATTTAGCACTGCAATTTTGTTTTCTCATTCATTCAGATAGCATCTTCTACAAAACCTCTTCACTAGTTTTTCTGTCTCTCAGCTCATCTTGTACACTGCAAATCCATTAAAACTACACTTTTTAACATGCCAATCATAATGTATTAGTAAAGGTTGTATAATAGTTCTCTTTCTCTTCTAGGATAAAAGCTAAATTTTTCAGCTTGGTACACAAGGCCGTTCATGGATTTGGTACCTACTAGTCTATCTAGGGTATTTCCTACATCTTCCCTCCTCTCTCTTGAAAAATCAAGTAATACTAAACTATTTGTAACTCCCTAATCACCAATTGCTGCCTTTATACTTTAACATATATTCTTCCTTTTGCTAGAAATACATTTGTCATAATAGGCTCTTTGGTAAACTTACCATTACATTCTCAGTTTATAATATTATTTGTGTAAGTACCTTTTTTCCTACTTAGTCCTCCAGGGGAATGCATGTGCTTCTCTCTCCATATTATCATTTTAAAATTTACTCCTATTTCAGCAAGTATCATAATATTTTACTGAGATTAATTGTTGGCATATTTATGTTACCCTGGTGACATATTTAATAGTTAAGATGCTTTGGGCTGCAAGAAAGAGAATGCACTTTCAAAGTGGCTTCAAAAATAAGAATAATTCAACTCACATAACTGGAAGTTCAGAGGTTAAAGCTGGCTCCAGATGAAGTACAAGCAGAGCTCTGTCACTCTTTCTCTATGACTTTCTTTGTCCTGATTTTTTTCTCTGCGTCAGCTTTGACCTCCTCACTAGTTGCCCTCCAGGTTCCAAGATGACTGCCAGCAACAAATGGGTAACATAATTTCTTGTTACAGTGAGAGACATAAACACTTACCTCACAGATTCAGAGATTTCACCCTCAGATAAGAACAATCAAAATTTTAATTGTGTATCTACTGTATCATTAGTATATGTATTAGGTATTCATATATATCTACTATTGTACTAAAGATGATTCAGAATGGTTTCATAAGCTGGTTGATTTAAACTTTTCTTCCTGAACCAAGAGGATGAGATTATCTTGACTGGCTTAGAATCGAAGATTTAGGTGAATCTAAATCCATCTCCAGAACTGAGGATGGATTCCGTAGAAACTTGAAGACAATTGGAATTCTCCTAGAAAGCAGAATTTCAGAGTGGGTGTAGGGATATCTTTGAATGGAAGTTGTTTAAGCCACCAACAATATTCACTCCATTGGGGTGACACTGGGCCCAAAGGTACCCAGTTAATATTTGTTCAACGAACCTATAGGAAGACAATATTATCTGCAAGCTATTTATAAACTAAATGACAACGAGAAGTATTTTTAGAAAAGTTAATCATATACAATTTAGTCATTCACATTGGGAGGCTCTTCCTAAATTTCGTTTCTGATCCTTATCTTGATCTTTGACGCAATCATATCTTGGCCTCCATCTAAAAGCCAGTAGAAGCCTCTGGCCATTTTTTAAACAATTGGTTTAACAACATTAATTGGAATCTATATAGCTCAACTTAAAAAAAAAAAAAAGAGGAACTAGCTTATCATAATACAATATTGTCAAGGCAAGTGATACTTCCATGCAGCTATTCAGCATTTGGTGTATTCTTGGTTTCTGCAGACCTAATAAAAAGAGATTATCTCAGCGTCCTCTAGGTTTAATTTTAAAAAACAAGAAACCATGAACAATGAAAATGATTTCAAAACATCTTCACTCACATCTAAAATATGAAATAGCTAGATCAGAGGTTCTTAATAATTTAATCGGTGAAGCATAACTGAAGGATTTAGAAAAAGTGCCTAAACTATTAAAAGATTCTTCAGCTGCTGCTTAATGTTGATATCAAGTTATTTTTTACACTGGCAAACAGCTAAGCCATTCCCTGGTCACATCCACTTTTCAGCATTTAGCGCTCCTCTCAATCATCCCGATCACAGCCCCAGGAATGTTTCATGGCATCTCCGCAATAATAGTATATTACTATTGGGTCCTGAATTTTGAGGTAGTTTATCTTTCAGAAAGGATATGAATAGAGCAATAAGTCCAAGTAGAGTGGGCTTTATTAATGATGCCCAAGATTTTAGACGTATACTATAATCTTCAATCAATTTTAACACCACTTCCCTTACCCTAGTTTTAGTCTAAACCAGTCCAACTGTGCTGTAGTCTCAGATAATACAATGTTAGATTTTTTTTTTCAAGATATAGAATTGTCGGGAAAACTTGTATGTAACCTATACCAATCTAAATTTCTTAGCATTTAACTCTAAAGAGTAAAGCTTTTAGCACTTCCTGTGTAATACAAGGGCAAGTGCTGATTTCTCTGAATATAATTTTCCTTTGTTAGCACATATGTTCACTGTTTAATAAAAATAAGAATGCTTCAATTATCTCCTTTTGTCAAGGGCCTGAGAAATAAAGAAATATACAGAGGGTCCCAATCTAAAAATGTTTTGATTTACAATGGTTCGGCTTAGGATATTTTTATTTTACAATGGTGTGAAAGTAATATGCACTCAGTAGAAATCATACTTCAAGTACTCATACAACTGTTCTGCTTTTCATGTTCAATACAGTATTCAATAAATTACATGAGATGTTCAACACCTTTAATAAAATAGGCTTTGTGTTAGATGATTTTGCCCAACTGTAGGCTAATGTAAGTGTTCTGACCATGTTGAAGGTAGGCTAGGCTAAGCAATGATGTTCAGTAGGTTAGGTTTATTAAATGCATTTTTCAATTTATGATGTTTTCAACTTATGATGGGTTTTTCAATTTATGATGTTTTCAACGTATGATGGGTTTATCAGGAAATAATCCCATTGTACGTTGAGGAGCACCTGTATCAATATAGGCATTTACACAACTCTCGTACTGATAGCGGCAGGAGGCAGAGAAGCTCTAGGCAGAAAAGGGATGGTCCCCAGCGAAAACCCCACCCTCAAGCCAAAAAGCCTGAAACCGCAGCTCAAAGTGGGAACTTATATCCCAGTTTTCCTGCTCGAATGTTGCCTTTTTCTAAACCACCCATGGCCCCACCCCACCCCATCCTGTGCCTATAAAAACCCCAGACTCAGCTGGTAGACAGGACTACAGCTGGACATCAGAGAGAAGCAGCTTGACTTCAGAGGGACAACTTGATGGCATAACTTTAGAGAAGAATCCGGCTGGACTTCAGGGGAAGATTACTTGCCACCCCCATCCCCTTTTCAGCTCCCCTTCCCACTGAGAGCCACTTTCATCGGCAGTACAATCCCTCACATTTACAATCCTTCAATTTGTTCATGTGACCTCATTTTCCCTAGATGCTGGACAAGAGCTCAGGAGCCACAAGTGTGAATACAAAAGGCCCTTTGCCCTTGCTGGTGGAGGGCAGCTGCCTCCTGTGAAAAGACAAATGGCCCACTGAGCTGTTAACGCCTAAGCTGTCCGTGGATGGCAGAGCTAACAGAGCACTGTAACACACCCTCTGGGGCTTCAGGGGTCGCAGACGCCTCCACCTAGATGCTGCTCCAGTGCTCATGCACTCCAGTTCCCACCTCGTTTGCTTGCACACTCCCTCCAGTGAGGAGTTGAGAGCAGTGGGCTAAGTAAATAAGGCACCCCTGTTGCGAGTTCCACAAAGGGGTCAGGGAAATATCCTGCTTCGTTACTAAGTAGGTATAAACCCTTTACTAAGTTAGTAATTATTCAGTAATAATACTTAAATGAAAGCTATTCTGTTAGACTAAATTCAGATTATCAAAGACACGACAGAAAACAGCTTTCTCATTCATGAACCTATTATTTCCTTTTGTAAAATATGTTAAATGAAAATACAGCCGTCATGCTAATTTCTAATGGTAGAACATATTTTGAAAACTCCTTTATGTTTGGAAGATTTTGCTTTAGTGCAGATAATCAGAATGATGTGATATACTAAGAAATAATTTTTAAAATGAGATGTGACATTTCTCATAATCTAAATAAGAAATGGCAAAACATTGTCCTAAGCTAAATAACTCATATGAAGTGATAAAATATTGCTTTCTAAAGGTCCATGATATGTAGTGATTTCTAATGTGTTTAATAGCATTGATCCTATTGGGTAATTGGGTGGTTCTAACATGTAAGGAAGGCCTCCAGTACTAATTTCATGTACTGGGAAACTACTGGGCAGGGATGAATCCCTTAACTCCTAAGTAAGACTATCAGATCATATAAATCTGCTTTTTGATTTGCAAAGACTCTTAGGCATACCTCTTGAGAATATTAAACATCTACTAAATTATATGTAAAGCATTTCAGTCTAAGATTTACAATGCTCAAAGGAGAAAGATTTTAAAGTTCAGCATTGGAATTTCCATAATTTCCTTCCAATTGTAGAATTTTACAATTGAGATAGCAAATAATAATATAAATAAATATGTAAGACTGAAATCAACATAGGAGTTTGGAAAGAAGACTGTATGGGTTAACTAGAGTTGTCAACAAAGACTTCACAGAAGATTGTGATCGTAGACATTAGTAAGGAATAAAATGGGTGCAAAAAAAAGTCTAAGAAACAACAAGGATAAATTTATTTTGTAAAGAGTGAAAGCATATTGGGTATTACATAAAGAGACTGGCTAGTTTGACACAATGTGTACTTTTGGGGTAAGCAGTGGGAAATCACTTTCTGTAAGTAAAGTGGAAGAGAATTCAGGTATTGGATATGGTCATATAGGATTTTTCAACCTTTGTTTTGCCCCCATCCCTATCCTACCAGTATCATCACAGATGTTGGCAATATTCACTCACTTGCCTGAAGATAGATATTCATGTCAGGGGCTACAGATATGTAAAGGTGAATGAAGTTAAATAGCAAAATTCAAGCACACTAGTTCTGACTGTGCACCCTCTCTCACTCAGAAAAGCACTTTGGAATGCGAGAGTACTCTTATATTGACAACCTTTAGTTGGTTCTAATTTATAAAAAAATATAAAAATATTTAGACAATTTGGATATTTTATATCTATGCCACAACCCATTGTCAAATGATTGAGATATCATTGTTTGGCAACAATGAAACTGAAATCAACTCTAAGAGTAAAGAGTACGACTTTTAAAGATATTTGGTTAAGAGTAATGTTGCAAGGCAGAGACCAACATTATAGAAGTTCTCAACCTGTGTGCTGGATATAGCTAAAATTTCCCAGGACCATTGAAAGAAATTCTCAAATCCACAACCACCTCAAGTGTTGTCTGTGAATCAAAGGAGTGATGCATTACCCACAAACATGTAGTAGACATTTTTTAAGTGATGTAGATGCTACTGCAATTAATAAATGCAAAATTATATTACAATATTACTGAATTCAGAATAAGTTGATTTTGTCACTATTTTTCTCAATCTACGCATGCTAGATATAAAGTTATTATATAGAGACGTAACATTTTTAATATTTCAGAAGCATGCTCATGATATTGTAAACCAGGCACTGTTAAAAGATCACTGGATTGGGAATTAATAAACCTGGGATCTAGTCCTCATTTGATCTCTTGTTGGCTATGGTTTGGGGGTTTTGGGCAAACTATTCAACCTTTTCTGCCTTGGTTTAATTGATAAATGATGGTGTTTTCCCAGATAAATCCCTTCCCAACTTAATATTACCAGATGTAGCATCTATGGTTTAGAATGTACAGTATAAATTAACCTTCCTGAAGATCTTCACAAGTTACTATAACCTATATTTTCATGGCACTGAAAACTAAGTTTTTGATAGCTTACGTTTTTATAAATAATTTACTTACTCATTTTTATCATAATAATAAATCTGATTCACTAATCACCAAAATATCATTTTTGAAAATAGATGCATGAAAGGATCCGAACTTGTTATGGTTTTATCTGTTCAAGTCACCTAATTTTGGTAGCCACAGGCCCCCATTGTCAATAGGGGAAGATTATCCATTTTAGCAATACAGTCTCTGATAACTTCAGCCCATATGCCCTTCAATTCCACTTTTACGTCAGATTGAATGGGAATGTGAGGCCCCCAGTAGTAAACTAACCCTACTTTCTCTTTGGAAATTGGTCTTTCTACCTAGCTCTTTGCCTCTGTTCACGTTCTTGTATTCCACAGAAAATATATACATTAGGTGTTAAAATCACAATGATTAACAATTTTTAAGTAGAAATAGTTATTAAGTATAGCATAATCATGCCTTTGAATTAGTACAAAAGTAGGAAACAGAGCTTTAGTGACTTTTTTCATTCTTTCCACCATTTACAGGGCAAAAATGAAGAATTTTACCAATTCAAAACTATGCACATGTATAGTTTCCACCAGTATTTAGTAGTTATGTTTCTCAAGATGTATAATTCCTTTCCTTTCTGTTTTCTGTAGTTTGATAAACCCTAGATAGGAGTTAATGTTGTTTCAGTTAGGTTTATTATTTCTTTTATGTGGTTTAATTTCATGCAATAAGCTAGAGATTTTGTAACATAACTTGATAAAAATTTTCTCCCTTCGTATCTTTTTGTTTTAAAATAATGGATTAATATAGATTGTAATTTTACAGTAGAGGAAATACATTTTACTTTTAGTTCTTATCTAGATATCTTAGGAAAAAAGAAACATCATTTTTAAGGATTATTATTTTTCTACTAATGAAAAAAATAGCATGATTTTCCATTCTGGACTTTGTAATTAACTTTACCTTGGAATAATTGAATCTTAAATATAACTTCATTGAAAATTTTATTTTCAAGTAACATTTTAAAATGCAAAATTTGTGTGATCTCTACTAAAAAGAACTCTCACATCCCAATGTGCTTATAGCTACAATAATTGGTTAAAAGAGACAAATTATAAAGAAGATATAGGTTGTGACATTGAAATTACAAAATGTGGATTAGGGAAGTAAGCGTGTAGAGTTTTGTATGCAATCAAAGTTAAGTTATTACCAGCTTAAAAAACCCTTACGTAAGATGTAAAGAAAAGCAAAAACCTATAGTAGCAAAAGCAAAAACCTATAGTAGATATACAAAAGGTAAAAAGTAAGGAATCAAAGTATACTACTGAGCAAAACAGTCAAACCATAAAAGAAGACAACAAAAAAAGGCATATAGAACAAAGGATCTACAAAACAATTAGAAAACAACTTTTTAAATGGCAGTAGTAAATTCCTACCTATCAATATTTACTTTGAATGTAAATGGATTAAATTCACCAGTCTAAAGATAGAGTGGCCAAATGGATTAAAACAACAAGACTCAACTACATGCTGCCCATAAGAGACTCACGTCATCTTTTAGGACACATGTTGACTGAAATAGAAGAGATAGAAAAAGATATTTTGGTTTCCATGCAAATGGAAACCAAAAGAGAATGGGGATAGCCATACTTCTATTAGACAAAATAGGCTTTAAAAATCAAAAACTAAAAAGACACAAAGAAGGTCATTAAATAATGATAAAAGGATCAATTCATCAAGAAGGTATAACAATTGTAAATATATATGCACCCAACATTGGAGTACCTAAATATATAAAGCAAATATAAAGTGATAAAAAGAAAGAGACAAACTACAGTACAATAATAGTAGGGGACTTCTACCCCAAATTCAACAATAGACAGAAAATCCACATTAAAAAATCAATAAGAATGCATTGGACTTTATGCTTTAGATCAAATAGACCTAGCAGACATATACAGTACATCTCATCTAACAGCAGGAGAATATACATTCTTATCAAGTGCACAAGAAACAATTCTTCAGGGTAGATCATATGTTAGGCCACAAAATGAGTCCTAACAAATTTAACAAGATTGAAAGCATGTATTTTATGTAAAACAACGCCATCATGGAAAAAGTACTAGTGTAAACAAGGTTTAAATATGATTTACTGATTGTTTAAAAAGGAATTATCTTAGCCCTGATCTGATGGGATTTCCCCTTTGTAAGCAGCAAAAATAAGTTCATAATGAAGCAACTGTAATAATACAGCTTCACAGATCTTTCTGAATAAACAGAGTTGGATATGTTTCTACTTCAGAAACCATTTACTGTGGGCTCACAGCTTTTCCATACACTCTTTACACTCTTAATTTTAAACCCATTCATCAAAAGGATTAAGACAATGAGATTCAAGTCCAAGACAATAGGAAGTATGTGCATCAAAACTGTCATGCTAATGCTCTGAGGAACATTGTTATTTCAATAGCATAATTTAAAACCACTGAAACCATGTTTTATTTATGATTACCTTTCATACGTTCAAAAAGAATTTGAGATGGTTTGGCAGGGATGTCTTAAAGAAACAAACACCAAATTTTTATTTGTTGTGCTTCTAACAAGCAATTTTTCCTACGTAAGTGTTACCTGTTTTCTCCCCTTGATTTTGATCTCTTTTGTATGGTTGGTAGTTGTCGCACTTCTGGGCATAGTATGGTTTTCTACAAGTTAAATAAAAACATAAATTGATTTTGATGTAGCTAGTTCCACTATTTCAGTTAGTGTGTTTTCCATACCTGCAATTCATAACATGTTTACTGACCCAGAACGTTAAAACTCAAGTTTAGTTCAATACAGTCACTTCAAACCAACTTAAGATAGCAGTTACATTTCCAAGGTCATTATGAAGACGGAGTTCAAGACTTCAGCAGTTGAATTTGTCAAGCTCATGGGTCTTTTAGTTACAGGAAGTGTGCATATTTCACATAAGAAACAGCAACTCTGATGATACATTGAAACTCAAATATACCCAAGGAGTGTAAAACTACTTTATAAGCCCTTAAACAATAAATATGCCAACAATCCTCTGCATACTTTTTGTCATTTTTTAGAGCATTCAATTGAATTATATAACATGTGATACCAATAAATAATTAACTTTTTATTTATTTATTTAGAGAATGATTCTTGCTTTGTCTCCCAGGCTGGAGTGCAATGGCATGATCTCAGCTCACTGCAACCTCCACCTCTTAGTTTCAAGTGATTCTCCTGCCTCAGCCTCCCAAGTAGCTGGGATTACAGCCATGCACCACCACGCCTGGCTAATTTTGTACTTTTAGTAGAGACAGGGTTTCACCATAATGATCAGGCTGGCCTTGAACTCCGGACCTCAGGTGTTCTACCACCTCAGCCTCCCAAAGTGCTGGTATTACAGGCATGAGCCACAGCGCCTGGCTTATAATTAACTTTAAAAAATATTCTACTATCGAATGCCTGAAAAAATCATATTACTTCTATGTATTAAAAACAAACTATTACGTAAATAGACCAGAGATACGGTGTCAGAGATGAGATTCCTTGGCAACAGTCTCTGAGACAAAAAGTTGCACACAGAAAGTATTTTGAGAAGTATTGTTGCTATTTATAAGGAAGTGAAGGAGGCAGTATTGGGCAGAGAGAAAAGCTCATCCACACTGCAGTTGCTACTGAGGCTTCAGCCCATGTGACAGGGACACTGGAGCTGGGATGGTCTTTCAGAGTTCTACCAAATTGAGGCAAATGGGCGAGACTTTTGTATCTTTGCACTAGCCAAGAGCAGGCACCAGGGAGAAATGCAGCTGTGATCCTTTTGTAGATATTATTATTCTGGAGTCAATGCAACCACACCACAAATACTAGGAATAATATTGGTAGTGTGGGTGCATCGACTCCAGAAGAGGATCTTGATGAAGCATTACAGTATCCACTACAGAGAGGCACTGGCATATTCTGCTTACCCCACAAATATTGCAATGAGGATGCAAGTAGGAGTAGTGAGGACATAAAATAAATCGATTATTTTCCACTGGGCCTTAATATATCAGAACCATTGGAATTTACAGGATGATATTTATTATAGTACTCAAAAAAATCTCTTTTAAATCTCCTTAACTCAGAAGGGAATTTTAAAAAGTCCACAATTCACCTGGTCTATGAATTCCCTTTTAAAATAAAATGTGGTTTAATCAAATTTACAAGAAAAAAACAAACAACCCCATCAAAAAGTGGGGGAAGGATATAAACAGACTCTTCTCAAAAGAAGACATTTATGTGGCCAAAAGACACATGAAAAAAAGCTCATCATCACTGGTCATTAGAGAAATGCAAATCAAAACCGCAATGAGATACCATCTCACATCAGTTAGAAAGGCGATCATTAAAAAGTCAGGAAACAACAGATGCTGGAGAGGATGTGGAGAAATAGGAACGCTTTTACACTGTTGGTGGGAGTGTGAATTACTTCAACCATTGTGGAAGACCGTGTGGCGATTCCTCAAGGATCTACAACCAGAAATACCATTTAACTCAGCCATCCCATTACTGGGTATATACCCAAAGGATTATAAATCATTCTACTGTAAAGACACATGCACACGTACGTTTGTTGCAGCACTGTTTACAATAGCAAAGACTTGGAACCAACCCAAATGTCCATCAATAATAGACTGGATACAGAAAATGTGGCACATATACACCATAGAATACTATGCAGCCATAAAAAAGGATGCGTTCGTGTCCTTTGTAAGGACATGGATGAAGCTGGAAACCATCATTCTCAGCAAACTAACACAGGAACAGAAAACCAAACACCGCATGTTCTCACTCATAAGTGGGAGTTGAACGATGAGAACACATGGAGATGGGGGAGGGGAACATCACACACCAGTTGGGGGATTGGGGGGCAGAGGGAGGGATAACGTTAGGAGAAATACCTAATGTAGATGAAGGGTTGATGGGTACAGCAAACCACCATGGCACGTGTATACCTACGTAGCAAACCTGTACATTCTGCACATGTATCCCAGAACTTAAAGTATAATTTAAAAAATGTGGTTGAAAAACAAAACCCACATAATACAAACTTTGCCAGCTTAACTGTTTTATGTGTACAAACCAGTAGTGTTAACTATACATACATTGTTATTCAACAGATCTCTAGAATGTTTTCATCTCTCAAATCCGAAACTCCAAACCCACTGAAGAGCTCCCATTGCTCCCTGTACCCCAGCACTGGCAATATGACCACTCTACTTTCTGTCTCTAAAGAGTTTAACTACTTTAGATACATCATATAAAAGGAAGCATGCAGTATTTGTCATTTTATGACTGGCTTATTTCACTTAGCATAATGTCTTCAAGGTACACCCATGTTGTAGCATAGGAAAGGATTTCCTTCTTTTTTTGTGGCCGAGTAATAATATTCCGTTGTGTCCTATACCACATTTTTTAATCCGTTTATCAATCAATGGACATTTTAGTTACTTCAATTTTTGGCTATTGTGAATTATGCCGCAGTTAATATGAGTGTGCAAATATCTCTTTAAGATCCTGTTTTTAATTCTTTTGGATATACAGATGCTCATTGATTTACACTGGGATTACATCCCAATCAGCCCATCATAAGTTGAAAATATCATGTCAAAAATTAATTTAATATGCCTAAGCTACCAAACATCATTGCTTAGTCTAGCATACTTTAAATGTTATCAGAACATGTAGATTACAGTACATCTGGGCAAAATCATCTTGCAACACAGTACATAGTAGAGTATCAATTATTTATCCTCATGATAAATATCATGCTGCAACCCAATATGTCAGAAGAGAGTATCATACTGCATATTTACTAGCCCTAGAAAAGATCAAAATTCAAAATTTGAAGTATGGTTTCTTAATGAATGCATATCGCTTTCACACCATTGTAAAGTCCAAAAATTACAAGTTAGACCTTAGTAAGTTGGGGACTAACCGTACACCCAGAAATGGGATTGCTGGATTATATGATAATTCTATTTTTATTTTTTGAGGACTGGATTATATGATAATTCTATTTTTATGTTTTGAGGAACTTCCATACGGTTTTCCATAGTGGCTACACCTTTTCACATTCCCACCAACAATGCAGAAGTGTTTCAGTTTCTCCACATCCTTGCCAGCACATGTTATTTTCTGTTTATGATCGTGGTCATCCTCATGGTTGTGAGGTAATATCTCATTGTGGTTTTCGTTCTTCATTTGCATTTCCCCGATGATTGACGATGTTGAGTATGTTTTCAGATGCTTGTTGGCTGTGTATATATTTTCTTTGGAGAAATGTCTATTTAAATCCTTGCCCATTTTAAAATCAGGTTAATTGTTTTTGGTGAATTCCTTATTAATTACTCACCTCAGAGCCTTTCTTCTTAAAATACAGATTTCTCAGAACCTTTCATCTAATTTACTAAATGTTGATCTTGAAGAAGTATTTTAATTTATCTGAATTTAGTTTCCCGTTCTATAAATTGATAGTAATCATGTTTTCCCTATCCACACCAGAGTGGTATGATGAGGAACCAATGCAGAAAATGACTAAAAAGGCATTTTTATGCTGTCCAGATCTTGTGCAAATATATTATAATTGATTTGAACCAAAAGAATCTACATTTTAAGACTATTTAATATTGTCGCATTTACATTGCACTAATGGTTCCTCTTTTTTCTCACTGATGAAGTTCTAGATTGAAACTCTGAGGAAACTGTAAATCACAGTTACATAACTCTGTTATATTAATTTATATAACTTCTCTGTCTCTCTCTAAATATATATATTTAGACTATATATACATATGCATATATATATTTAGAGAGAGAACGAGATTACACTTAAGGACTCTGCTTAGTACATTGCAACTTGCACCTCATTCTAATTGTGAAAACAACAACAAATTTTGATTGAGACCCTGTTATTTTTCAGACCTTTGGTCTTGTGAGGAAGGAAAAGATGATTCTGATACTTATCTCAAATAGCTTATCATCTCCTCTGGTGGATGAGGCTTGTGAGGGCCTGACACATGGTAGAGGATCTTATTCATTATATAACAACTTTCAAAACACATCACTAATTATTTTTCTGCTTAAGGTGAAAACGTAGCTCTCCCAAACAAATAAGAGATTTAGACTGAATTCTGTAGAAAACACTGCTTACCTCATTTTGCTTAGTTTTCACTGCAGAGTCTTGTCTCTAACATTCAGGTAGGAGGAACTCTATTTTAAAAAATTGAATAAACAAACCCAAATCAGAATAAATTATTTAATTCAGGAGTTTTTTAAGGTGCTCAGAATTTTGGTAGAATAGCAGTGTATTTTCTGTAATAAGAACTACACAATGTTCTCTAGCTGGTTATACTCAAATGGTTATATGGATTTTATTCTGATATCAGTTTTGCAATTGATGACCACCCTTCATCAATAGCGTGGTCTTTATTATGGTTTCATCTGGCTTTTTCTTCCCTTGTCTTCTGCACTGGGCTGCCTACTTCTTGGCTCTTATTATTACATACTCTACTTTTTTCATATACAAAGGTCTTAGTGCATTAATAGTGAGTTTCTGCTAAAAGTGTTACTTTCTTCAAATATCCTGTCAAATGCTGGCTGCCTGATTTATTGACCTCATAGAGTGACTATGTGAATCTTCCATTCTCTGTGGAATTCCATTCCACATTTTAACTTAAAGACTCCGTCTTTTCCAGCTGTGTTCTCTCTGCTGGATAAGCATTTTTCTTTTAATTTCTGTGGTAATGGGAAGGGAATTTTAAATCCTGTTTTGCGTACAAGTGTTTAACAGGTAAAAATGGATGCTGTGTCAGCTATCTATTGCTGTGTAACAAGCTACCCCAAATGTAGAGACTTAAAATAAGAATCATTTTTTTTTTTTAGCTCATGATTCTTGATTCTGCTTGGGGCTTGGTTCATCGAGGCGATTCTTTTGCTAGACTCAGCTGTGCTCATTCATGCACTCGTGGTCAGCTGGTAGTTGATGACCACATGTGGCATTCATATGTCTGGTATAACTTTTTGGTTATAAGTTGAGACGGTGTGGGTGACAGGATCACTTGCCTGTAATTATTCATCAGGCTAGCATAGTTCCATAGCGGTGGAAGAGTTCCAAGCATAGCCCAACACCCAAGCATTGTTAAGCCTCTGCTTATGTCATGTTTGCTGATACCTCATTAGCCGAAACAAGTGACTTGACCAATCCATATTCAAGGAGTGGAGAAACAGACTATGGCTCTTAATGGGAGAATCTGGAATATCTCTTGACAAAAGTGTAGATGCAAGAGGAGAATCTGTGGACATTTACTCTCCAGCAGAGATGTTGTCATTTTTGTCACTAAGACAGTTCCTGTGTAATATTATTTATTATTCCTTGGCAGCCATAAGTTTGTGGTTTACTTATGGATACTTCAGTGCCTGCCCAATATCATGTTGGAAAGAGAAGCCCTTAACAATTTCTCTTAATTTCTACTTCTGAGGAATGAGAAAAAAAAAATTGGATAGGCATAAATGATTTCCAGCACAAATTCTAAGCAGCTATTTGAGAGGTGGGTGGGTAGGGAGAGATGGAAAATCCTTTTAATTGAGACATGCTCAACCATAAGCAATTTTTCTTTCCTCAGGAGACATTTGGTAATGTCAGGAGACATTTTTGGTTGTACATCTAGGAGGGAGCTCTGGCCAGAGATACTGACAAGCAATTCTGATCCTACAATGCACAGGACAGCCACTCACGACAAAAAATTATCTGGGACAAAAATGTCAATAGTGCTGAGATTGAGAAACCCTGCTTTTCACTGAGCGCATGTAGATGAATTCATATAATGTTAGTTATAGAAGGGCACTTAGATGATGCCAACTAAAACAGGAAAAGGCAATGATTATTTCTCTATTCAAGTTAGTGAAGGAAGGATATGTTTAAAGTCAGGTTGGAGATATTTCTCAAGGGTAATATTTAAGTTGTGAGTGGATGCCAGATGCGCTTGATTGTTACAATCCATATTTTTATAGCTATATCAAATGATCTTCTCTCCCAAATTAAAATGGATATTAGATATATTTCATGGATACCATATATTATAAGCTATAGCTCTTAGAAGTATTTGAGTGATTAATAATTCTTGCATATTGAATGAGACATGTAAGAAAGATACCTGATGTCCTATGATTCTTAGAAATATGTGCAGTGGTTAAGCACATTGTCTTGGAAACATCACTTGTTAATGTGAGATCCTGAACAAGTTTCGTTACCTTGGTAAAAGGGGGATGATAACATCTACCCTGAAGATGGTTTGGTAAAGGTGAAATAAAAGAGGGTTTATGAAGAACCTTGCCTAGCACATAAGAATCACTGAGTAAATGATGGGGGTGATGGCAGTGTTGGTGGCAATTATCTTACTTGTAAGTAGTAGCAAATATTTATTTGGATTATATTTTTAATAGCAAGAAAGAATCTATTAAAATGTAAGCAAATAGCACCATTAAGCTTTAAAAATCCATAGCTCCCAAACTTAACATTTTTTTTTCTTAAATCCAGAAATACAAATGGTTATCATGAATCCTTGAGTTCCAGTACTCCGGCCTTGCCTATGTAGAGTACAAGCATTTATTTTTCTAAAATGAGAATTATTGATGTTAGGTGTGTCATATATTTTATTTACTCTTTAGAGTGACAGAAAAGAAAGCAGACAAAAATAAGTGTTTATGTGTTCATAGTGTTTGTTTCTAATTTTCCAACTTGTATGTGCAGACTGTAAATATTTAGAGGGAAGACATGAAATTCTTCCTTACCTACACAATAGATTGTCTTTCTTAGAATCTAGACATGATTTCAAATTTTCTTCAGAAGTTCTCTTGAATTCTTACGGAATTCATTAATCCAAATGCCATCCTTTCAAATATTCAAAAAGAAAATATTCTCCAATGTTGCTTACATGGAGGAGAGTTATTTTATCTACTAGTGAGATGGAAGTCGCTAACAATCTTTCTTATACCCCATAGTATTAAATAGTAATGCAATTTGATCACATATAACATTGCTCTCCTGTTGACATGGAATGATAAGGAGGAAGGGAATATCTAACAGCACTTTTTAGATATTCTCTCATAGAATTGTTAATGTGAGCCCAATAACTTATTTTGTAAGTTGAGTGATTTTTCAAATATAAAAGTGAAGCAAACAAAAAAAGTTACCCACATTCATTCAACAAAGCTAGAAATAGAGTATGTGCTTCTTGCTTTCTTATCAACCAAAGGAGACCTGTGAATTACAGGAAAACCATGTGTGAATACTTCAAAGGAAATATGCCAAACACATTGTGTGTGTGTTTTAAAAGATTTAGTAGCTCCTTTAAAGCTCTAAGTAAAGCTGTTAGTCTGACTAATCATGTACCCCTGAAACCAATTAAATTTTCAGACTAGAGAAGTGTTCTTCAAACACTTGAAAAAAATAAGAGTTCCTTCCTAAAGCCAACACCTTTTAATTAACAAAATACTCAGAGCAAAGCTGTGGTTTGCAATAGTATATTACACCTACTGTTATTCATGCTACCATTCTGGTGTGCCAAACTCAATTCATTTCAACTATTTTGAGCTTGATTTTCTGTCTGCTTAACTATGGAGGGAAAACCACAATTTTAGTAGAGTCATTTTAATTTTCTAATGAATGCATGAGAAAGGTATTATGCTACATAGTATGTCCTCAGACTATTCAGATGCCCTCTCTCTCTCTTGCTCTGTCTCTGTCTGTCTCTCTTTACACACACACACACACACACACACACACACACAATGTGTGTATCTATCTGTCTACCTAGATATACAGTTTAATTTTGTACATTGTAATACATCTGGTTCTGGCATAAGGTGATTGAGCAAAAAACAAACAAACAAAACCCACCCAAATCTGTTACTGGAGGAACCTTTAATAGCATAACATCAGAAAGACTATTTTCAGTAAGGACCCTAGGCAGGAAAAGACAATTCCTCCAATGGACTTGAGAAGAATACCCTTAGTCTCTGAGGTGGTTAGAGAGGCTGAGATCTGAACCAGCTAATACCAGAGCCAGCTTCTTGTAACCCAAGATAGGGGCATAAGAAACGGGGTGAATGCCCAGGCATGAACAGACTTGGGGTTAAGATTAAATAGGGTACACGGGAAAGGATTTCCGCCAGCTGGAGGGGAAGCCATTTCCCATGCTCCTTAGGGATGACAACAGGAGACCCAGCCCAGAACATCATTGAAAATTCTATGTAATAATTTATATATCCTAACTCTTTACCCGTTCGTTCTAGATTATGGATTCAGGCACTCTTAGCAAAACAAATCCTCTTTCAGTCTTTTAAAATATTGACTTAACAGGAAATATCCTTGGCACAACAATACGACCCTGCCTGACCCTTAGAACTGTGAACAGGTTGCTCAGACTGTACAAAACCACTAACAAATCTGACCAGCCTACACTTCACTGAAAAAGGTGATTTGCATATATTTCTAGTACTATGACATGGTGGAAAAGAAAGAACCGCATATGTGTTAGATAAAGGTAAACGCATCTGAAAGTGCAGTAAGAATCAATGTGATATATACAATAAAATAAGATAAATAGGCCGGGCATGGTGGCTCATGCCTGTAATCCCAGCACTTTGGGAGGCCGAGGCAGGCAGATCACGAGGTCAGGAGATCGAGACCATCCTGGCCAACATGGTGAAACCCCGTCTCCACTAAAGTACAAAAAATTAGTTGGGCATGGTGGCAAATGCCTGTAGTCCCAGATACTCAGGAGGCTGAGGCAGGGGAATCGCTTGAACCCGCGAGGCAGAGATTGCAGTGAGCTGAGATCACGCCACTGCACTCCAGCCTGGCAACAGAGCAACACTCTGTCTCAAAAAAAAAAAAAAAAAAAAAAAATTTCAGGACTTCAAAACTTCTGTCCTTTGAAACACTTTGATTAAAAAATGAAAAAAATATATACATGCCTGAATCCAGAGGCAAGTCTTTTTAGAAAACATAAAATATTTTAAGTAATGTTTTTCTGAACAGAAATGGCTCTAATGTGAGAGGTCGATGAAGATTAGCCTCTTGCTTCTTTATGTTTTAAAGTATATTCCTTGAGACCCAAAGTTTCTGACTTTAGAATCCAACTCTCAACTACTATCAGCTATCCTCTAGACACTTTCAAAATCCTCCAAAACCTAATAGTGGTGCAAGATTTTGTCCTTCCTAGTGATAACTAGATTTAAGTAAGAAAACGTTAAAGACTAAAAAGTGTTTAGGACCCACAAGAAAGGTGTAATTCTGTTCCTCATGGAGATATTTTAGTTACACACTTCTTATTCTGGTCCTCCCCAAAACACAGAAATCTAGAGTTGACATTTAAAGAGAAAATGAGATTTTTGTCTGGAAACAGGAGAGAAAAAGTTTTCAAGAAGTATAGAAAGCGTATGAAAGGACACAGGTTTGAAATGGCCTGTGCTCATGAGAGAATGCACAATAGACATGGGTGTGGAGGAGCCTGGAAAGAATGGAGAGAGGTAAGTCTGGAGGGTCAAATCTGGTTCAGAGTACAGAGCATAAAATCCCATACGAATGTAGAACATGAGGAGCCAATAACCATTGTGTGAGAAATGCAGGAAAAAGAGGAAGAAAAAAATCCACATAGTGTACTTACAGTCAGAACAATCCTAGGAGGTGACTTACATGTATGATGTCATAAAATCCGTAACACAATTCCATTAGATTGGTACTGTTTTCATAGTTACACAGGTGAAAACTTTTGAGGGTCAAGATGTTCATTGTAGCAGGCATAGTATAATTCCTTACCTCAAGATGCCTCCAATGTCAGTGAACATTACTTTTCCAAGATTGTCTATTTAGGAAAAAGTAAGGCCAGTTGTCTATGAAGGAAGTACTATTATAATCGCCACTTTACAGAGGAGTAAATGGAGATTCAGAGAGGTTAAGTCATCTGACTATAGTTACACAGCTAAAAAAAAAAAAAATTATAGAGCAAGGATTCAAATACAACAATCTGGTCCTAGAAAGCCTAAATATTCTACACCCTGCTTTCTGATTCAGAGCTATTTCCTGCTTTTCTCCCTTCGATAGGAAAAAAAATGTATGTGTGTGGGGTTGGGGGCAAATAAATTGACTGGCTGTATTTTCTCTCTTTAATATTTGATCTTTCATTGTCTGCTCCAAGCAGTGGGTCTTCCTCCATTATCTTCTCGTGAAAATAGCTAAAATCACCTAACTAGTAAAAACCTAGGCATGTTTTGTGTTCTAGCCTCCATTCTTCCATTCTAATGGGTGGCTGTTAAATTTTAGTACTCATTGTATGTAGAAGACCTCTAAGTTCACTAAAGAGCTTACTGCACATTGACTTTTCTTTAGATTCAAAGGGAATCAATTGAGCACCTCCTATACTCCAGGACATGTGCAAGATGCAAGAGATAGAGCAGTGAGAAAGTCTGATAAGGTTTCCCCTCCCTTTCCCAGCAGTGTACAGATAGATGTTCTTCAGGTGGTGCATGCTGGAGAAGAGAAGACCAGAAATACTGGCCTGACGGGTCTATAGATGAGATTATCTGCCCATGACTGGCGCAGGGATGGCCGCATTGCTAGACCTCTCCATCATCCTCTGAATATGCTTCAGCTAATTTATCATCCCAATGGCATATTTAGTCATCATGAACCATTCTCTCTTTTTGAGTCTCAGGCCCTGGCCTTGCTTTTCAATAGACTTCCAATAGATTCCTTCCTCCTTCCTTCCCTTACTGCCTGGCTTCCTGACTTCCTTCCTTCCTGCCTTCCTGCCTTGTCTTGCCTTGCTTTTCAATAGATTCCCTCCCTCCCTCCCTCCCTCCTTCCTCCCTCCCTCCCTCCCTGACTTTCTTCTTTCCTTCTTCCTTTCTGTCTTTTTCCAAACGTGCTTTTCAGGAAACAGTGGTCTGCTTGTTGAAGTCTGATAATTCTCTAGTTCCTCATCCTTCACTTTATTGAAATTTAGTGTGACATGATCATTTCCACCTCATTAGGTACTTCTTTCATGGTCAGAAGTAAGTCTGGAGAAAAAAAAAAAATCTCTTGTCTCTGCTCTTATTTGAGGGTCAAATTTTCAATAAGTCACTTTTTAAAAAAGCATTTTCTGACACTTCCCATAAGCTTGAAATCCTCCTAAATTGCTGTATATTGCCTCAGTATACCTTGTGTATCTATTTTAGGAACACTCCATCCACATTTGCCAGTCAGCCTGGTGTTCTGCAGTTAGTTCCTACAGTGATATTTTAATTTAGCTCTCTTTTCATCCTCACACATGCATCCTCTCTGGATATTTAGCTCCTTTCCTGGAATCCCTTTTAAGATTTCTAGATCTTTTTGCTTCCATGATTTCTTCTCCTGGACTGTGACACAAAATGCTATTTCTTCTTTACATTACATTTAATTCTTTCTAGAAAGAGCCTCAGAGTAGTCAGATAGCTTTGAGAAACAAAACTTTTTCTTTATTGCCTCACTGTTACTGCCTTTCAATCATTGTTTCGTGACACAAATTTTTTTATTCTCTCTGACAATTAAAACACTATTTTTTTCTGTCTGCATTGATCAAAATTAGTTCCTTCATTCATAGAAAACTCTTGGTGTCCCTGAGAAGCTTGAGAGACAAGAAACATTCTTCCATTCTACTCATCTTCTTCTCTAATGAGGAGACAACCTTAAAAGCACAGTTACATAGCCATAAAAATTAATGATTGGCTACCTCAGAATGAAAATTCAATGTCTCATTTTTTTTTAATATTCTTAGAATCGTTCACTGGTTGTCCAGTGTGAGTCTCCTGTTGAGATGTCTTTTGCAGCTTTCCTTGAAACCTTTCATTCCAAACTACATAGTCCAATAATTTTGCCACCAATCTTCTGGTTATATTATGCTCTTGAGTCTGTTGTCTATAAACTTGATTAGGCATTCCTTCCCCTCACCACTCACCTCTGATAACCCAGCTGTGTGTTGGTATTTAGTATCAATTCACACCAGCAAGTTCAGCCCTCTTCAATCAATATAGGGCCACACACGGACTTTTGACTGACTACTCCCCAAGTATTTCACATTTTGGGGCCTTATCTCCAGTTTCTCACCACAGTTGTTCATCACTGTGTTTCTTACTAGCCAGGCGTTTATAAAAACAGTAATACCTAACACTATTGATCACCTACTATAGTGTCAGGCGCTGTAATAATATTATTGTGATGATGATGATTATGCTGCTCTTTCTGGCATTGTCATACGTGTATTGCTTGTACTACTCACTGAATCTACACAACTGCCCTTATGACATTTACCCTGTTATTATTCCTCTTTTAAGGTAAATACATGAAAAATGCTTCCCACTTTGCCTTGCTTACTGCTTATTGCTAGTACTGAACAAATGTTAGAACTGAAACTTAGAGAGGTTATGTGGCTTTACCAAGGTCCCAGAGTTCCTAGGGCAGAGAACAGGATTGTCTACCAGACATTTTAATTCTAGTACTATGCATCTTAACCATTACCATAGGCTGACTTACTCTACAGTGTCCAACACTATTCATATTAAGATTTATTTAATGACTTTGAAACAGTATTTCATGTCTAAATAGAAAAACTACTAACTCGCATTTTTAAGAAAATATTGTATCTTGGTTTTTCTTCACTGCTGGCCAGTTTACTAACAATCTGAAATAAAAAGAAAAAAATATGATAAACTGCTCCCAGTATAAAATACAGAGCTAAGACAAGAACGTTTCATTGGCTTTGATTTCCCTAGGGTCCAGCTTCAAATTAATTTACTTCCTATTCAAGGGAATTTTAAATCAGAAAGAAGATCTTATCCCATCTTGTTTTGCCTTTGTTTTTTCTTGAATAAAAAAAAAATAAGTAAAATTTATTTCCCTGGCAAGGTCTGAAAACTTTTGTTTTCTTTACCACTTCCACAATGTATATGATTGTTACTGAGAAGGCTTATTTAACTTAAGTTACTTGTCCAGGCATGAGAATGAGCAAAATCGTTTTTTAAAAAATTGTTAAATGTATATTAATGAAAAGGTTGAATCTTTTCATTTTCTACCATGTATTGCTAAACAAAGTATCCACATTGTTAGAAAAAGATATATAATGTCATGAATAAGAGTTTGGCTCAAATTGTTACTCTTCAATTAAATTTGACTTATTGTTATTGAAATTGGCTCTTTAGCTTGTGTTTCTAATTTTTCTTTTTCTTCTTTTTTCCTTTTTGCAAAAACCCAAAATATTTTAGCTCCTACTCAGACTGTTACTCTGGTGACACAACCTGTGGTTACTAAGGAAACTGCCATCTCCAAACTAGAAATGCCATCTTCCTTGATGTTGGAGGTACCTGCTCTGGCAGATTTCAACCGGGCTTGGACAGAACTTACCGACTGGCTTTCTCTGCTTGATCAAGTTATAAAATCACAGAGGGTGATGGTGGGTGACCTTGAGGATATCAACGAGATGATCATCAAGCAGAAGGTATGAGAAAAAATGATAAAAGTTGGCAGAAGTTTTTCTTTAAAATGAAGATTTTCCACCAATCACTTTACTCTCCTAGACCATTTCCCACCAGTTCTTAGGCAACTGTTTCTCTCTCAGCAAACACATTACTCTCACTATTCAGCCTAAGTATAATCAAGGATATAAATTAATGCAAATAACAAAAGTAGCCATACATTAAAAAGGAAATATACAAAAAAAAAAAAAAAAAAAAGCAGAAACCTTACAAGAATAGTTGTCTCAGTTAAATTTACTAAACAACCTGGTATTTTAAAAATCTATTTTATACCAAATAAGTCACTCAACTGAGCTATTTACATTTAAACTGTTTGTTTTGGCACTACGCAGCCCAACATATTGCAGAATCAAATATAATAGTCTGGGAATTGATTATTATCCACTCTTCTAAGTTGTCTGTGCCAATTTGCCTTCTCCAATGATAAGGATAATTGAAAGAGAGCTATAACTTAAAAAGAGAAAAGTAACAAAACATAAGATATTTAAAATTACCCTAGATCTTAAAGTTGGCATTTATGCAATGCCATGTTCAAATGAACATGTTTTTAATACAAATAGTGCATTTTTCAGCCTCAGTGTAATCCATTTGGTAAAATTATGACATCAACTAGAAACATTAGAATACATTGATGTAAATATGGTTTACCTAGCTAGATCAAATATACTATATATCTTTTATATTTGTGAATGATTAAGAAAAATAATGTTGGAATTGTTATACATTAAAGTTTTTTCACTTGTAACAGCTTTCAAGCCTTTCTAAAGAAATACAAAGTTGTGCTGAAGGTATTTAGGTATTAAAGTACTACCTTTTGAAAAAACAAGAAGTGAGGCAGACAGAGTAAGGGGAATTTCTTTGTAAAATAAACTTCACCAATTCCATAGGAATAAAAGTAATTTGATAGTAAACAACCTGCATTTAAAGGCCTTGAGCTTGAATACAGAAGACCTGAATTCAGTGCCATTTGCAAATGATGATTGTGGTCAAGCCATCTCTGGATCTTCGTTTCCTATTCTGAGTACAGAGCATACAGAGTACACATTCACATTCACAATATAGTTATGGATATGGATGTATATAAATATATGTAAATACTACATATATGTACCTAAAATTTGTTTTACTTCTGCTTTAAAAAAAGTAATTATAGCCACATTTTTCAGAAAAAGTAACTGAGGCTCATAGATGTCAAATTCCCAGTAAGTAGCAGAACAAGGATTCAAATCCAAGTCCATTTGATTCCTAAGCTTGTGTTATTACTTGCTACTGCAGAGAGTATACGTAGCAAGTAATATATGTACTGCAAGCAATACATACTATTGCTGCGGTAATAACTGTAACTGCAGTTACTATTTAGTGATTTGTATGTAGATGTAGATGTAGTCTATGTCAGACACTATGCTGAGCATTTTATGGTTGCTATGTACTGATACATACAGAAACAAGAGGTACGTTCTTTTACAATACCATATTGAGTTATATAATACTCCCAGGACTTTTATTTACCAAAGGAAACAATATTTTATAATGTTTAAAGCCCAGGTTTTGAAGTTACATTGTCTGGGTTCAAAGCTTGGCTCCCAAGCTGTGTGACCTTGAGTAAGTTATTCTGCCTACCTGAGCCCAAGTTTATCTAGCTATAAAATGGGGATAGTTGTACTATCTGCCTTGCAGTTTGTCATCAGGATTAAGTTGGTTGGTACATGAAAAATGCTTCCCACTTTGCCTTGCTTACTGCTTACTGCTAGTATTGAACAAATGTTAGTAATTATATTTGGTTCCACCACGAACTCTAGAAATCTAACCAATGATGGCATTTGTATTATGCAAACTGTATATCACATCATAATATTATATGGAAATGAGAGCTTGTTTCCGCTTCTGTAGCCTAGTCTACCATTGACATAGCTTCCTGCAGAAGTTACCAGATAATAGATTGGGAGAGAAAGTCCACACTTCCTTGTGACGGGTTTGTGAGTCCAGCATTTAGGGAAGCCATTGATGTGCTCAGTAGTCTCCAGAGTTCTCTAAATAAATGTGTCCTTTTCAGAAAGGACTACTGATTTGATGCCCCCTCACAGAGATCGTCTTTAAATATAGGTCAAAAACTAATGTAGAGGGCCAGGTGCAATGTTTCACGCCTGCACTCCCAGCGCTTTGGGAGGCTGAGGCAGGTGGATCACTTGAGGTCAGGAGTTTGAGACCAGCCTGGTCAACATGGCCAAACCCCATCTCTACTGAAAATAAAAAAATTAGCTGGTGTGGTGGCCCATGCCTATAATCCCAGCTACTAGGGAGGCTGAGGCAGGAGAATCACTTGAATCCTGGACCAGAGGTTCCATTGAGCTGAGATCACACCATTGCACTCCAGACTGAGTGACAGAGTGAGACTCCATCTCAGAAAAAAAAAAATTTAGGGGGAAAAATCAAAAGCCATTTCTGAGACACAAAAATACAGGATTTATAAATTATATATGGTATATATAAAAATATTTTTAAAATAGTATATATAGCATATTATATATAATGATATGTAATGTTCATATATTACATATTTATAAAAAAATCTAATCTCCCTTCTCTTGCTTGCTGAATAGGGGGATGCTTTGCCTGCCTCTTCCTCTTATATTAAAAAATAATTCTTAAAGACATTGTCAGTTCTTGGCTTTTATAGCCTCAATCACCAAATTGTCGGTAAAATGGCCCTAAATAATCATTAAACAAATGTGTGTGAGAGGGGAAATAAGAAGGATAAGTAAGTATGGGGAGGATTTTGTTATAATTTCAGGAAATCAATATCAATTTTATGTAAAGTTTTAAATAAAGCAATCCCAACTTTAATGTTTGATGTGTGAAAAATTAGGCAAAATTCCAAAAGGGCTTTATAAACTGAAAAAAACTTTACTAACACCTATCCATTTTTATTATTTTAACCAACTTCTATTGAGCTGCCACTAAGTACCTGGGAAACATAAAGTTGTACAACATAGAATGTGCAGGTAAAAGAGGTTGAAGGAAGAAAATAATAACACTATGATAGAGATAAATTTTAGGATAATAGCTAACACATATGATATGCCAGTCATTGATCTAAGTACTTCACGTGAATTCTTTAATGCTTACAACATTACTGTGAGGTAGATAGAGAGGCACAGTAAGGATAATAACCTGCCTGAGATCGAGGAAGAAAGACAATGATGAGATGTGAACTCAGGCAGTTTGGTTCCAGAGTCCTCTCCCTTAAACCTCATAGTTTTCAACTTCTCTGATATTGTGTGGGTGATGCTGTTGGGGCTTTCTTCAGGGAAAACTAAGCCAGGAGAGAGAATGGATGCTAGTGAGATATTCCTGAAGAAGGAAAAACTTAAGCCAGGCATTAAAGAATGAGTTGGAATTACCTAGCTAGATAAAACGAGAAGGGCAATCCAGGCAGAGGGAACAGACTGTGCTTTTCACTGAGGTGGAAAAAAAACAGAGTATATCAGAGGAATTGTGATTCCATATGGCTGAAGTTAAGGGTATATGATGAGGAAGAAATTGATGAGGTTGAATAGAGAGGACTGGGGCTAAATAATGGGAATCCTTTGTTGCCAGACTGAGGAATTTTGATGATGGCCTACAGGCAGTGGCAACTCTGAAAGGATTGTAAACAGGAAAATAAAATCATCACATATAGTTTAGTTGCCTATCAATTAGAGCTCTCTGGATGCAAGCAACAGAAATCATTCTCTGATTAAATCAGGCAGAAAGTAAATGTGCTGTAATTAGCACAAAGGCATTGGAACAAAACTTACAAAAGGAAAAAGAATCTGAGCATGCCTTTCTGGGCATGTGGCTAGCAAGAAGTATTCCAGTCTGTTTGTGATACTCTCTTTTCTCCATCCTGTGTGTAACTCTGTTCAAATTTTAAAGTCTTAAAAGAGAGTCCAGTTCACCTTGTTTGGGTCACATGTTAATACATGAGCTAGAAGGGAGCAGAAAACTTTGATTTAAATCCCTCTCCTCCCAAAGTCTCAAAATTAGGGAAAGGCAATTCTCCTGAATAGAAACTGGGTTCTATTGACAATAGAAGAAGGAAATGATTCTGACCAACCACTAAACAATAATTGTCCACTGAACTCAGTCAAGAACATGTAGAATAAGTTGGAGGATAGAGCAAATAAAGGAGATTTGTAGGAGGTAATTATTATGATCTAAAGCAAGCTTGT
Source organism: Homo sapiens (assembly GCF_000001405.40). Taxonomy (NCBI): domain Eukaryota; kingdom Metazoa; phylum Chordata; class Mammalia; order Primates; family Hominidae; genus Homo; species Homo sapiens. The sequence goes on along the minus strand of NC_000023.11, from coordinate 31,769,711 downwards.
TCAACTCATGGCCTGTGAGCCACATGCGTCCCAGGATGGCTTTGAATGTGGCCCAACACAAATTTGTAAACTTTCTTAAAACATGAGATACTTTTTGTGACTTTTTTTTGCTCATCAGCTATCATTAGTGTTAGTGTATTTTATGTGTGGCCCAGGACAATTCTTCTTCCAGTGTGGCCCAGGGAAGCCAAAAGATTGGATACAGCTGATCTAAAGCAACAGGTTCATCTACTCAACTTCACAACGTGTAGACCTGAAATAAAGACCATTCATATACCAATACCTGAAATATAAATTTGTTTGACCATGACACGTACAGTAATTGGTTCTCAATAAATGTGGATAGCTTGATGGATAATGTGAATGCAATGTGATAAGGAAACTTCATATTCAACAAAGACTGGAATGTGAGGATTATAATTCCAAAGCACCAGAAGATAGATAAGATAATGCAATGAGACATTTTATGACTCAAGGCAAAGTTAGTTATGAGATTCAGACCAAACCTTAGACGTGCAGTAATTGAAATATTTGCCACAGAAGGGGTATAAGGACATGACATTCAAGTAAGCTAACCTTTCACTAGCTTTAGACTTTGAACTCAGAAAACATATTTGGTGAAAAGCTTATGGTCCCCTTTAGTATGTATTGCTTGATTAAAGTATTATTTTAGAAAATGGTGAGCTGCTTCCATTTTGAAATAAAAATAATTTTTACTAAGTGAATTATATTCAGTGAAAAAAATGGAAGCTACAATTACAACTTTAATTTTTTTAAGTTTTAAGAATACAGCCATTTAAAAAAATTAAGCAAATCTGCTTCATTTTAGACAGTAGAAAATATACCATTATCTTTTAGAAGAATAGAGATGTGAAATATGCAAATTAAGCCTTTAGAAGTAAAGCACACATGAAGTTCAAAGTTTAATTTCTAGAATTGTGAATCAATAGCAGTGGATGATTTGTACTTTATAGCTTAGTGTCGGAGAAATCTGATTAAAAAATGCTTTTTCTGTTTCATCACATAAACATAAGTAAAATTGCTCTGAAACAACAATATTTGACAAGAATTAGCAGTTTTCTTTTTTGACATAATCTATCAAATGAAGGGAAAAATATGTCCTGGGTTTTGCTTTGAGAGTGATTACTAAATCTGACCCTTAAGGAAAGGAAGGAGAGAACAAAGAAGGGAGGAAAGAAAGGGAAGGAAGGAGGAGGAAAGGGAAAAAAAGAAGGAAGAGAGGAAGGAAAGCAGGAAAAAGGGGAAGGAGAGAGAAAAGACAAAAGAAAGGTAGCAAGGAAAGAAAAAAAGACAAGAAAGGAATATTAAAGAGGACAAAAGAGGAGTGAGGAAAGGAGGAAATGGAAGAGGGATGGTGGGAGACAGGAGGGAGAAAGGTGGAGGGGGAAATATGAAGAGAGGTTCCCAGCAGTGGAGACTAGTGTTGCTATCAACAAATAGAATTTAGATGGCCATATGATATTATTTTTCATAATACTGGTGTCTGATTGCCTGTGCTGAGTTAATTGTAGTCTTTTTTTTCAATTCCGTTTGGCCAGGTGTTCAGGATAATTCACCACAAAATCTCAACCACTGCACTTGTATTGAATAAAGAATTGAGTTGGCAAAGGCATTTTATCCTCCAGTAAGACCTTTCCAGATTGGGGTTGAGACAAATTGGCCAATCTGGACAAGATGATAATAGCATTGTTCAAGATTAATTTTTAACCACACATTGCACTGTTACCTGGGAGATTTCATTATCTAAAAATTGAATGAGCAGTTTTAGTGGGTATAGTGTATATTTAAATGGGACATAATTACTTGAATGAGTTTAATTTTTGTTGTTGTTGTTAAGGTCAAAGTACTTAAAAATTATGATTTTTTAAAACTCTGTCTATACACAAAAAGCATTTGAATTAGCTACAGAATAATTCTGATTATAACTTTTGGTGAATAGATTCAGTCAAAATCTGATTACTAAACAACTTGTGTAGTATAGCCCTGGAAGAATTGATGGGACAATGTGTGGGTAAAGTGGCATTGGCTATTTAAACTAAAAGCAATACAAAACAGAATGTTTCTTGGTTTTATTCTGTTGTCACAAACCCAGCAGAAAGTGGCTATTACAATAGTTTCCCTTATTCAACAAATGAGAGAAGTTATAGACAATTTAGTTAATTGATCTAAAGTCACTTAGTAAATGTAATTGTCCTAACATAAACCCAGACCCCCAGACCTCTTGGGAATAGATAATGTTTCTTACTTCTTTTCTATTTCCTCAGCCACCCCCCTCAACTTCTTACACATCTCATTTCTCCATCCAAATTATAACAAAACAAAGCAAACATGGTTTATTTCCATGGGCATCAAATGGATTTCACGAGGTTGGGTGACAGTCATCTTAGGGTGAGGAGATTGATTATTCTGTTTTTCTCTTTCATCGATCAACAATCCAGCCCTTCTCATCTCATCATTTCATTTCTGCACAAACTTGTTTAAGAAATACCAATTAAGAAATTAATTAAGAAATTAATGTTGTAATCTGTTTGGCTGAAGATATTTACAAATTTTGTGCTTTAATTATCTTCCAACAAATGTACATGTCTCTGGTAGACAGCTTGCGACCATCTGGATGACTGATCCATATTTATATAATTTTCTTTCTTTACCTAATGAGACCAAATCCACTATTATCTTCAACGAAGGATGTAAAGATATGTCAGTGTCAGTAATGTGACTTATTTTATATTCTCTGGTCATAACAAAAATAAACCGCCCCTTAAATAAAAAGGTCATAGAGTTGCAAACACACACACACACACACACACACACACAAAATCATATTTTCTAAGTCTCCTAATTACCTTTTTATGGAAAATGATACCATATGCTTTTTTCTTAAAGAAACTACATAAACTTATAAACTATACTAAACTACACATTTCAAAGTCTATGAATGGAAATGTGTATCTTATTATATTTTAATTCAATTCACTGTAAACTTTTCTGTCAAAATCTTATCAAGCAAAACTGATCCAGGATATTTACATGAATTCTGATGGAAGTCACTGTACTGTGTTTTCCATAAAATACCAGTGGGATTCTGATAAGGAAGTTTATGTTTGCCATTGTGTTTAAATAGAGAATTCTGGGCCGGGCATGGTAGCTCACGCCTGTAATCCCAGCACTTTGGGAGGCTGAGGCGGGTGTATCACCTGAGGTCAGGAGTTTGAGACCAGCCTGACCAACATGGAGAAACCCCGTCTCTACTAAAAATACAAAATTAGCCGGGCGTGGTGGCGCATGCCTGTAGCCCCAGCTACTCCTGAGGCTGAGGCAGGAGAATCGCTTGAACCCGGGAGGCAGATGTTGCAGTGAGCCGAGATCACACCATTGCACTCCAGCCTGGGCAACAAGAGCGAAACTCCGTCTCAAATAAATAAATAATTAGAGAATTCTATTTACAAATTTCCTTTCTTGGATCTAGTTAGGGCTCCTTTATATGGAGTGATTTTTATTGTTTTCATAGAAATACGTAGAATCTGGGTCTTCTCTAACTTTCTTACAGGAAAGCAATGTAATAAGGTTTTTTTTTAATTTTCTGAAAGTTATATAATGTTATTGTTCCCTAAAGTTTAGGACCTGCCTTTTAGGCTTTCCATTTCACCATAACTTTTGGTCCTTAAAGTCTGTAATTGAAGTTACAGTGTGTTATGATGTAAATTTTTCTTATTATTACCTTTAATGTTAGGGTAATGTTAACTAATGTTAATGTTAGGTATATGGTTGTTTTTTTCATTCCTTCGTTCAACAAATTGTCTTTGAAACCCATGTTACAAAGCACTCTAGAGTCAGGTTGAAGACTATTAAGAAAGGAGAATAGAAAGAGACACTAGAGTAATAATTTGGATTTAAATTTGATTTCCTTGTGTATGATAGTGAATAAGTGTGAATAAGATGAGGCAGTGATCACACATCACTATTAGTAAAAGTGTTTCTGTACCTGTATCCACACTTTTATGTATATGGTTACTTATGTTAAAGTGATACATATTATATAAAATTAACGTATACATTAAGTAGATATTTTAATAGTCTGTAATTAAATACTACTAGTATTTTCTTTCCTCCTTCAAGTGCTTACTTTTGATACCTCGAGTTACAGTGTCATAAAGATTCTTTAGAAATATATTGACTGTCTTTTAAGAGCTTTTGATACAATACTGAGTTTACATTCATCTGTTATTTATTGAACACTTGCTGGTGAAAGGCATCAGTGTTATCTGCTCTTAGGGAACAAAAATTAAAAAGGGATAGGCCCTAATTTTAGAGTGTATCCTCTATAAGAAAAACATAAAAGATAGGGCAGTCATGGCCACAAAAGAAAAAAGTGTTATGGTGGTTTCAATCATATATGTATTAGAATGAATAAATCAACTGATCAATTGTGATTTCTTATTCTAAATATGTGCCTGCCTTTTTCATATAGATGAAAATTAAGCTATGTTTATCTTTCCAGGGATCTTGTTGATTTTTATTCAATAACTTGGGAGTGAAAGTTGATTTTTGCATATGTTTTAATGTTTTTAAATTTCATAAATGAATTGATCAGTAATTTCCAAGGTAGTAATGGCTGCATTGTTTTTGAAAAAAAAAAAGCAACAGGATTTGATTGTGCTTTTATGATTTTTAAAGAATTCATTAAAAATAATGCCACGGTTTCTAAAATGATTTGAGTCAATTTCTTATTCGATTTATAAAAATAACTTTGAATACAATTTTAGTAATTCACAAATGCTTTCAGTTCCCTTACCTTTATATTTTATATTCTGTGTAAACAAGTGACATAATATTTAAGAATTATATATCTCCTATGATTTATTCAAGAAAAGAATATATACTGTATTATTTATTTCAAGAACAGAAATGCTTTGATTTAACTGTCATCTTCTCTCTTCAATTATGGAAGCAAAATAAACTGTAATGACCAATGTAACCCCTCCCCCATATCAAGTTAATCTATGTTCAACTCCAGAATTATTTTTGAACACTCAAACTAGAAATTAAAAAAAATTAAATCCATGAAGACGATTTTTGCCAAAAGCATATAGATAAATTGAGTTGATTCTATACTTAAGAAAGTGGAGAGGAGAGAGTAATTTGGAGAGAGTAATTTACTCTTAATCCCATATTTTTTCCCTAAATGTGAAAGAAGTAGATTGTAGTGAGAGGGAAAATAACCTGTAGCAACTTCATTGAGGCTAAGCTTTCTGTCATGTTATATTATACGAAAGTAATGAAATGCTTCCACAGATAGAATCAGAAGTCCCCTCTGAGAAATTCTACATAAAAATTAGCCTGCCACTTTACCACACTTACTCAAGTTTGATTTTTTTAAGTTATGTAATAGATGTTAGGCACTAGAAGAGGACATTTACTGGGGGCAAAGATCAGTAGTTGGAAAGAATGCAAGCAGGCAAGAAGCTATATATAATGAGATTTTACAGTACAATTGTTTTCTAAATGAAAATGAGGACGGGTCCAGACACAATGGCTCACACTTGTAATATCAGTGCCAGGATGGAGGATCCCTTGAGGCCAGAAGTTCAAGAGCAACCTGGGCAACAGAGTGAGACTTCATCTCTACAAAAAAATGAAATAAAAAGTTAGCTGGCTGTGATGGTGTGGGCTTGTAGCCTTAGCTACTCAGGAGGCTGAGGTGACATGATCTCTTGGGCCCAGGAGTTCGAGGCTGCAGTGAGCTATGATAGCGCCACTGGATTCCAACCTGGGCAATGGAACAAAACTCCATTTCTAAAAAAGAATAAAATATAAAACTAAAATAATAAATAAATAAAAATGAGGATATATTTTATTTTAACATTTGGAAACTTTGTAGGTGAGGACCATGCAAACATTCAAGGTGTGAGTTCTGACCAAATCCAATTATTAACCATACCAATGACTTAAGGTTTCTTCACACTCCTTAAAGTTGATTAATATAATGATTATATAGTTGACTGGTATGTCACAGCTTGAAGCCTTTGAGATTTATTCCTGCCTTTTCTGTAAAGGTTGTTTTGTTAATTCCAGTATGTACTGGTCGTTTTTGTTTTGTTTTGTTTTTGTTTTTGTTTTGTTTTTTTGAGATGGAGTCTCGCACTGTTGCCCGGGCTGGAGTGCAGTGGCACGATCTCGGCTCACTGCAACCTCCGCCACCTAGGTTCAAGCGATTCTCCTGCTTCAGCCTCCTGAGTAGCTGGGATTACAGGCACTCACCACCACACCCGGCTAATTTTTTTTATTTTTAGTAGAGATGGGGTTTCACTATGGTGGCCAGGCTGGTCTCAAATACCTGACCTCATGATCCACCTGCCTTGGCCTCCCAAAGTGCGGGGATTACAGGCGTGAGCCACCGTGCCCGGCTGCCAATATGTATTGGTCTTTTTCATCAATGATTCAGTCCAAAATCATTTTGTCCTTTAACTATATATTTTCTTGTAAAGCTGCTTCTGTTGTCTTGAACTTTTCTTTTCAAATGTATGTTGTCATTTGACTTTTTAGATTGTTATTTTCTGGTCCTCGAAATAAATTTAAATTTCCTGTAAAGGAAGGTGTAATATTCTATTTGACATAGCCGCTAAAGATGTACTAGGTGCTTTATAAATATTGTTGATTTACTTTATCTTCACAGATTACTAGTTTTACTTAGTATTTGGAATATGACAACATTTTATAGAGCTATATTCATATATATGTTTATCTTAACTGTTAAATGCAATATGATTCATGTCTTGTTTTGGTCAATGATGAATGAAAGTCTCCTGAGAATTAAATTTACTGCATCGATGCAAAAACAATCATAATTTTAGACACTCTAAGAATTTTAGAAATTAAAGGATTTTTTTTTTCCAGTTTACTCTGTTAAGATTGTGTTTAGCTATGCGTGACAGCATTCTCACTACAGTGGCTTATCCAGATAGTTTCTTTTTCTCATAGAGCAAGACTTCCAGAATTATGTGTTCCAGGGTCAGTGCAGCACCTCCAAAACCGTATGTCCCAACTTTTTCCTCCAACCCCAGTCATCTCCAACATGAGACTTTCTTTTTGTTTTGTTTTGTTGTTTTTGTTTTTGTTTTTGTTTTGAGATGGAGTCTCTGTCGCCAGGCTGGAGTGCAGTGGCGCGATCTCGACTCACTGCAACCTCTGACTCCCTGGTTCAAGGGATTCTCCTGCCTCAGCCTCCTGAGTAGCTGGGATTACGGGAACGCACCACCACGCCCAGCTAATTTTTGTATTTTTAGTAGAGACGGGGTTTCACCATGTTGGCCAGGATGGTCTCGATCTCCTGACCTCATGATCTGCCTGCCTCAGCCTCCCAAAGTGGTGGGATTACAGGCGTGAGCCACCGTGCCCAGCAAGACTTTTTTTCCTGTGGTCTCAACATGGCTACTCTGCCTCCAGGCACTATGTCTGTACTTTAAAATGGAAGAAGGGAAAATGGGGAAAGTAAAAGCATATTCCAGCTGTGTCAGCTCCTGTTTGTAAGGAAAACCAGTGCTTTTCTGGCAGCCCCACACAGAAGAGTTTCTACTTGAACAGTGCATTAACCAGAAATGTGTCACGTGACCATTCCTAACTTCTAAGGATCTTGGGAGGATTGAGTGTTTTAACTGAATAGGTGTGTTTCTTTCTTCATAATTCAAAATGTGAAAATTGGTAACTTAGTTATAAAACCTTGCTAGTCTGAACAGAATTTGGATTTTTTTAGCTAAGAAGGAAAGAAAGGGTATCGGATAGGCAGCTGGCTATGCTAGCCAAGATACTCTTAATAATGCACATTTTTCTTCTTTGGACATAAGCAGTTTTAACTTAGCTAAATATGATGTGATTGTTTTCCTGTCTTCTTAGTTCTGTTTAAATTTGTTTCAGAAATCAAGGAAATAAAATGGAGAAAAAACTCTATTATTCATGTCTATCTTTCTGCCTCTGAATATTTTTATGTTGGAGAAAGAGAAAGCAGTAACTTTCATAATAGCTTACATAGTCTGACAAATTCTAAACATGTCCGTTAGCATCAATATACGTGGTATTAGGTCATCAGTTTTTATATTCTGAATTATTAAGACCCAAATAAACCCACTGAGTTCAAGAGAAAGTATACACTGAGCAATAAAAACATTACCAGTTCTAGCAATGATAATCAAACAAGAAAACAAGTAATATAGTCTGTTTAGAATAACATGTTTTAAAGATCAAGTTTTTCTTCCTTACCAATGTTGCCTTTCTTGTAACACTTTTTTTTCCTTCTTGAGATAGGCTTTCCTATCTTTTGTCACAAACCCCAATATTTACATGGCCATTCGTAGTCTATTCATAGCAGCACCACCCCATGGCCCAAACTTGTAGATATTGCCCTCCTTCTATGGTTGTTCTAATAAGAATAACCACTCTTGTCTCTCATAATCTCAGCTGTTTTGTGCCGTTAAAATGGAAAATAATGAGTATTAAGATACTAACTAGGGGCCAGGCGCGGTGGCTCACGCCTGTAATCCCAGCACTTTGGGAGGATGAGGCGGGCGGATCACGAGGTCAGAAGATTGAGACCATCCTGGCTAACACGGTGAAACCACGTCTCTACTAAAAATACAAAAAATTAGCCAGGCGTGGTGGTGGGTGCCTGTGGTCCCAGCTACTCGGGAGGCTACTGCACTCCAGCCTGGGCGACAGAGCAAGACTCCATCTCAAAAAAAAAAAAAAAAAAAATACTAACTAGGTTTCAGTCATATGAGATGAATAAGTCCTACAAATCTGTACAGCCTAGGGCTTGTAGTTAACAATGTTTTATATTTAAAACTTTGCTAAGAGAGTAAATCTTTTTTTACCTGTTATTATCGTACATGCAAAAATAATAGTAAATAAGGAAGGTAAGAGAAAAATTTTGGAGGTGATGCATAGGTTTATGGCATAGATTCTGGACATGATTTCACAGGGGTATACAGTCATGCATTGCTCAACAACAGATATACATTCGGAGAAATGCATGGTTAGCTGATTGATCTTGTTGTGCAAACATCATACAGTGTACTTACACAAACCTAGATGGTACATCCTACTATACATCTAGGTTGTATGGTATAGCCTATTGCTCCTAGGCTATAAACCAGTACAGCATGTGACTGTACTGAATACTTCAGGCAATTGGAACACGATGGCAAGTATTTGTGTATCTAATCACATCTAAACATAGAAAAGTTACAGAAAAATATTATAATCTTATAGGACCACTGTCCTACATGTATACAGACTGTGCACATGATAGTGGTCCATTGATCAAAATGTCCTTATGCAGCACATAACTGTAATTATCTCGAAACTCATCAAGCTGTGTTCATTAAATGTGTATAGCTTTTTATGTCAATAAAGTGGTTAAGAAATCAATAAAGTGGTTAAAAAATATTTTGACTAGGAAATATACTATCATTTCTAGTTGATAAAAGATCTCAACATTTCCAAAATTGTCCTACAGAAAACCAGGTTCATCAGGTGTTCATACATGATCCTCATGAAAAGGTCAAATAAGCTGAAAAACATGCATAGACGTTGCCTATCCTAGCAATCTATGATGTACATCTCCATAGTAAGGTCACTGAAAAGTCTTTTAGGAATGTTAGTATTGTTAGCTCAGTATTTCTCAGTGATTTCTCCATGGAAACCATTTGTGTAGAGCATCTTGAGGAGCACAGCTGAGAGAACATTATCTTAGTTGGATGTGTATGTCCCTCTGAGTCACTTGATTTCTCTACATATGCTTTTACCAAATTAATCTTTTAGAAATCTTTTCTCTTCGCACTATGTCTATAATTTGTGAAGTTGTTACCAGGATAACATTTGTGCCTCTCACCATGATGTACCTACCAGGGTCCAAGCAGCCATTCCTTCTCTAGAGCAACTGTCTGAGGGAAAGAATTTAACACAGCATTCTACGAAATCATTTTATTTATAAAAATAGATTACTGCTTTACATATAGTAATTTATATTTAGAATATTGATTAATTATTAAAATCTGCATGAGAGCTTTAAAGAGTAGTACATAATATATAGCAGTTTGTACTCAAACTGTCTTCTAAAAAGGATTCACTTTTTGTTTGTATTCTATTGTCCTATTCGTTGATAGTGTTACGTAAGTAATTATAAAACTTAAAATCTGGAAAGAGAATGTGGACTCAGAATGCCATCTCTTTTGTTATTTCAAATGGATTAGAAATGAACATACATATTCATTTTCTTTCATTACACATCCAGAGAAATAGAATGGATTTTATAAATATGTAAAAGCAAGGATTTTGATCACTGATAAAAAGGGAAGGTTTGGTCACTACCTTATTTCATTCCTTTTTTCTTATCCTTTTTTTTTTTTTTGTCAATTATTTGATGACATCTCTGAACATCACCTTTTATTCATGACAAGAATTGGGTATCATGGTAAAGAACACTGTTAATATAATTCAGTTACTTCACCCCCTCCTGAAATATAGAGAAGCTTTAAGACTATGTGAATATTTTTTTCTGGTTTTCTTGTATTTGTAGAAATAGCATGAGCTTTGTTTAAAGTCAGGCATCTAAAACCTTGCCCTGTATGTTATTGACAACCTGCACAAATTTTAGGATCTATTCTATTACAGTTTGTTCAACTGTAAAACTAGGATAGCAAACTCTATGTCATATTTTCGTTATCAGAATTTAAAAAGCATGTTTTAAGATCTTAGTAAATAATAAATCTCTACTCTGTAGTTGAATTTGTTCTATATTCTTTAAGAAATTCCCTTTGATGGTTATGCCAACCTCTGTATTACTTTTCTTCACACTTTAACTTTGCGCTGAAATCATAGTAGTATTTTACGTTATCAGTCAAAATAACAGTCATCCTTAAAACAAATATGAATTTTAGATGATTAAATAGATTTGTATGGAGGTTCTTCTTGCTAATCATAGCAGTTATCCTTGGTGAAAAATGATAGACACTTGAAAAAACCAATTAATCATGATGGCTATTTTTGCATCATAAATAAAGCTTTCAAATTTGAGAGGGAATCAAAAGGGCAATGGTAGTATAGTGTCTCAAAGCCCCTTTCCAATTGATGGTACAAATTTAAAAAGAGAGAGAGAGAGAGAAACATGTTTCACTGTAATTGTTTTCTAAGAGCTTCCAAAAAAGCGTATTTTCTTAATAGATTCAAATTTTTCAGTTGGATTGAAAGGGAAGTCTTGGAGTGTAGTGAGGAGGGCACCTTCTGTTGAGAGGTGTTCAGACGACAGAGTGTGCCCAAGGCCAAAGATGAGATGGTTTTGCGAAAGTCAGTGGCCACAAACAGGTGTGTTTGACCCCTGAGAGATATGCAGGAAGTCTACCCCACTTTAATTCTTCCAAATATTCTTTACCTTAATTCCCAAGTACTTGATAAAGGAGCAATGGGGAGAAAATATGCACACTATTATGGAAAAGTTTTGACCTACACTTTGGAGAGTTTTAGATTAAGAGCATTCTAGAAATCAGTCCCAAATGCCTAGGGTTTACTTACTTAAAGATAATATCATAGTTTGGGTGACTGGGAAGCATACCCTGAGATTGAGGTGAGCATGCAGTATGTCTATTTAGGAGTGTTCTTGGGGTCAACGTGTAGGGGCAGAGGGAGAAGTTGAGCTCTGACGCAGTCTTAGTAAGGGCCTCAGCTGACCGTTCAGGGAGTTCTTAAGCTGGAATGACCCTTCAGAAGTGCTAGGAAACGAAGAAAGGGGACTGGATCTTTATAACCCCGTGTCAAGTCATGCACTGGATGTGGGCTACTCCAGGAAGGCAACGAACTTTAGCAAGATGATTCTCTTTAGCCACGGGAATTTCCATAAGGGGGCTGCTATGGTCTGAATGTTTTTGTCCCTCCAAAATGTGTATGTTGAAACCTAACACTCAAGGTGATGGTATTAGAAGGTGGGGGTTTGGGGGGGTGATTAGGTCATGCGGGCTCTGCCTTCAGAAACAGGATCAGTGCCCTTATAAAAGCGGCTCCAGAAAGCTTCCTTGCCCTCCCACCATGTAAGGACACACCGAAGATGCCATTTAACAGGAGTGGGCCCTCACCAGACAATGAATCTGCTGATGTCTTGATCTTGGAATTCCCAGCCTCCAGAACTATAAGCAATAAATTCTGTTGTTTATAAATTACCCAGTCTAAGGTATTTAGCTATAGCGGCCCAGACTAAGACAAGGGCTGACAGCTGAAGGCTGTCTACCAGCAGCACTCCTAGCAGCTGGGGAACTAAGTCCTTCATTTCCAAAGGGGAATCTAGGCAGCATATTTACAGCTTTTCACTACAGATAAGCTCATTATTTCAAATAGGGACTAGCAGGAAAAAATTAAATTGCCCAAAATTTAGTGGGATGCTGAAATAGATTGTGGTGTGTAAATTGGAGTATAGTGAGGAGAGCACCTTCAAACCAGTATGTACTACATGATATTGTTTTTGTTGCAATATTTATTATATACCCAAACACACATATATTACTTTTAGAAACACACACCACATATATATCTATGAATATTTTATATACACATAGGGAAGGATTGTTGATGTTATTTATGCTATTTTAAAGATCGATGTTTTCATATAATTATGTATTGGTTATATATTATTTCTTGATATAAGGTAAAAAAAAAAAGCAAAACAAACTTTAAGTGATCACTATGAAAAGAATCCCAATGCTGCACATTTAGGTTTATCCAACTCTTCCCATTAAAATATTAAATAGTAGAAATAATTGTGAATAAGAAAGAGCAGATTTTGAAAAATGGAAAGAAATGCTTAAAGACATAGCATTGTTGCCCAACCATCATTATTTAAACATACAGTGTTTGGCTTTGACCAAATTGCCTTCAAACACTTCCTTTTGGCCCAAAATGTTAGGTCATATATACTACCATAAAATTCATGATGCTTACCATGCATTAATTTCTAGTATATACCAGGCATTGTGCTATGCATATCATATTCAATATTTCTAATCCTCTCAAAAGTGGTACAAGCTAACTGGCGTTTTTCTTGTTTTGAAAGGGAGAAACTCAGAGAGGTTAAGTGACTTGCCCAAGGCAATGCCATTGATAAGTGCCAGATTCTATCACAGGTTTATTGGCAACAAACCATATGTGCGCGTGCATGCGCGTGTGTGTGTGTGTGTGTGTGTGTGTACACATACACGAATAACATATATGGTATAAATACGTGGAAACATAATAAACTGCATTGAGCTGCGTTTATAATTAGTATTTAGGACATGTTTGGCAAATAAAAACAGTGGAGATTGAAATGGATTTGCTTAGGAAAAATGATACATTAAAATAGGCTTTATTATGAGTCTTCAACTATTCTGTGAAAATAGATACCCAGGGAAGAAATAATAGAGAATATGAATCTTGAGCAGGCAACTGAGAACTTGTCGAAGAGCCAAGATAAAAATGTCAGAGAGGAGAATATTTTGGCAGCTCAGATGAGCCCCCAGAGGGTGGGAGGCAATGATCTCACCGCAGTCTCGTATCTGAACCCCAGGTTTTTGCATCTCCATAAAGTAATTTCTTACACCCCTCAATAATGATCGGGCTTACTCTCAATCTCTCGCTCTCTCTCTGTGTCTCTCTCACGCACACAAACATGCAGAACATTTCTTGCACATGCATAACTCATAAGACGATTATGTAAATACCAGCCTTTTTATTTCATAACTAAATTACAAGGCCTGGTTATTGTTTGGACTGTGAAAAAATAATTATGTGAATAGGTGCCTCAAGATGAAAGACAAGGCAAGATTGTGAAATTATTCATATGATAGTAATAGTATGCAAAAAATAACACAATCTTTAAAGATCTTTAACGACCTAGTTATAAAACCATGCTTTATAACAAATATAACCATGAGGAAATAAAAAGAAAAATGTAATAATATACTCCAAGAATAAAGTCAAATGTATTGTTGAATGTAAGGAGTTGGTTACACTTCCTTATAGTGGAGGTTATTTTAAAATTTGTGGCTTACGTGGTGTTATGAATTGCCCTAGATCAACACTATTATGCAAGGCCAACTATTAGGTTATTTTTGGTAGATAACCACAGCAAAACTTTAGTATAATAGGTAAAGGTTAGCTACACTCCCATACCCTCACTCTCAGGTGTTGTCATACTCCGTATAAAAGGTTCAATCAAGGGAGACATGAGAATATTCCAGAATCTAGAGGCAGGATGCAGTTAACCTTAGAGAAGGCATCAGACAACTAGAATCTTCGGATTCAATGTGGAAACAAAGCATAGTTTAGGCATTAAATCTTGGGCACCATTCCAAAGAATACAGGTTCCATAACTTACTATATTTTTATACCTAGCAAGCTAGAGATGAGGAATTGCTCTCAAATATTTTAACCAAAGCATGTATCTTAAGTAACACTAATCTCATAAGTGAAAACTCATTTCTAATATTCATTTTGCTCATTAGCAAGGCCTCTAGTGTTGACTGTGATAAAAAATAGTTCAAATGCTGGTAGAACCCACCCCAGGAGACTGGCCTTTCTGATTAAATTCTAACTCTATCCCCACGTGAATTCCTGACTTAAGTAACTGAGTTCCTGCACATCAGAATATAAGTATATTATAGATATAAAAACATATGTAATTAATAAATATTTTAAGTGAGACACTTCTTTCATCTTTATGGCTTAACTATATCAGACATTTGATTATTTTTAGCGGTCTAACTACAAAACAAAACACAAAGCCCACAACTAAAAATTTCTTTGTATATATTGCAAAGAGGCAACCATTTGGTGTCAATTCAATCATGAGTGAAATGCTATTATACGAGTACATCTCCCTGGCTTGTATGGGGGTAATAGGGCATGGAATTTACAGATTCACAATAACTGAGATATTCACAATAACAAAGATATCAATATGTAGCTTTTCCCATAACTTTGTGTAATGAAATCCTCAGTTTGTGCTGTGTAAAAAGCTTATTGTTTACTTCTCATGAAAATCATCTTAGTTTTTATCTTTATTTAATAGTCTGTAATTTGGGGGTAATACATTCGTTTTGTTGATACTATGTGAAGTGGCAAGCAGAAAATTCTAACAGGAATAGATAAGCAAGTATCCTATAAATCAGAGTCAGTGTCTCTCTCTCTCTCTTTTAATGAGTCAGTCTGTCTCTCTCTCTTTTTCCCTGCCTGGCTATCTATCTGTATTTTTCAGTTTTGCTTTGCAAATAAGAGAATTGTGTGTTGTAAACCAACCAACTTACCATTAATTTTCTCTGAATTCAAAAGCAATTACAAGCGGACTCTTGAGTTTGTGCTGCCTGGTTGTCTGCATATAGGCCAGATGTCTAGAATAGGATCTTTATTTACTATTTTTACCCTCCTAATTTCATGGTAACTCCAAGGTAGATGATATTTGTAATCGTACACTACTTGTCAGAAATCTTTCTAATAACACTGCTATTTTATAAAAATAAACATTAATTCAGTATAAAATTTTATTTTAAATTGTTAATTCAAGCAAATCAGTGAGGTAACTTTTACACTGCCGAGCGTACGTGTGTGTGGATTAGTACAGCCATGCCATAGACTTCACTTGTAATCTTTTCTTTATATTTTTTATACACCTGAAATGTTCATCATTGTGCTGTAGAAAACAATCTCATTGTGTTTTTAAAAGCTAGAGTGGGTATTGAGAAGGGGAAGAGGATCATAGAAAAAGTTGGTTAACATGCTACTTAACACTTCAAATCTTTACTCGATGTCATCATCAGCAACATTTTAAATTTATGCTTCTACTAGTTTGCAGTTCTTTTCCTTTGATTATTCTTATGATACAAGCCTTTCCACACAAAATTTATGTACAGGAATTGTGTAGAATTTTTCTTTGGAAAATATGGTGATTTATTACAATTTGGGCAACATCATCATTTTAAAAATTCAGAATTTGATTTTTCTCAGAATCATCAGAAAGAATAAAGCATATATATGGTTCATGTCAGGAGAATTAGAACATGAGAATTAATATATCTCTGATCTTTTAAAATATTTTCATGTTTGTGAATCAGCAGATTTTTCCTAGTTTGAGATTTAAAAAATCTAGATATAATTAAAATCTCACTGATGTTTCACCATCAGATGATTTTATATTTGTATTTTCTTCCACTTCATAACTTGTATAGAGAAGAATAGAAGAAAGAAAAAGGGAGGATTGATAATCTTTCTCTCTCAGTTCTTATAGCACTTCATTTTTTAAACTTATTACTTCCTTCTGCCTGCTTTGTTTGTCTACATGTTTGTATTTCATGATTTCTTAGAAATCCATCTACTGCCATTCTGAAGGTCATTTACCTGAAAATGATAGAAAGCAGCATATATTCAAACAACTGCAGAGTAATTGTCTATATCAGTTATCATTGTTCATTACTTTTCTGTTTTAGGATTGAGGGGCTGCCTCGCCACCTCCCTCACACCCCCAGCATATTATCACAAAGCCTACTGATTCATTCACATCCCTGGGCTGAATTTGCCACCCACTGTGTGTTCCTGTTGTTTTGTGTATGGAAGTGAAAAGATTTAATTTGATGTTGTTGAAAAGACACAGAGGCTAACTTTCAATTTTCATATGTAGTTCTTCCCTCTCCCTCTGCACCACCTCCTTTACTTGTTGAGAAAATTGCCCTCTCCATGGTAACAATAGAAGAAGCTTTCAGATTTTAGTAGTAGTTGTTGCAGAGAAAAGAATTCAAAAAGTAGATGAAGTTTAAAAATGAAAAAGAGAGAGGAAGACAGCTGGGAAGAAGGCTTAATGTTTATGAGTGGGTGTGGAGGGGAAGAACTAAGTTGAATGAACAAAGCTGAGCTAAGGGGAAGATGGTTTTTCTGCATCCCAGAAGGCAATACCCTAGCCTTTCCTGCAGCCTTCACTCCCCAAAAGATAAGAGCTTTATCTGAAATTCTTATAGGATTCATTCCTGAAGAGCAGCTTGTCACCAAACAGAAACACTGTGATTTCCTCAGGGAGTCACAGTTTATTATTATTTTTTTAATGTAACGCTTTTGTGAACTCCAGTTTCCACCTCAATTCAAATGGTCTTTTGGTTACAGGGTGAAAGAGACCCAACAATACACCTTTCCCACTTCCGGAGGCCTTTGGTTAAACCATGTCTGCCACAAGGACACAGGAGCCTGGTATGACTGGTTGTTTTTTGTTTGCTTTTTTGCCTCCTGTGCTTTCTAGATTGTGAGATACTGTAACTCTTGTCGATGACACATAGTACCGAACCCACCCGAAGAAGTATGTCAGTATGTCACATTGTGACAAACAGCTTCTCATGCTAAGTAAATGCAGAACCATTGTGAAAGGTTTAATAATGCCCACTCCTCCCCCGCCAAAGATGTCCATATCCTAATCCCAGGAACCTGTGAATATGTTACCTTACATGGCAAAAGGCTTTGTATTAACAGATGTGGTTAAGTTAAAAATCTTGACACGGAGAGATAGCCTGGGTTACCCCAGTGCGCCCAATGTAATCACAAGAGTCCTCCTAAGAGAGAAGGAGGTGATGATACAAGCAGAGTAAAAGAGAGATTGGAAGATGCTACACTACTGGCATTGAAGATGAAGGACAGGGCCAAGAGCCAAGAAATGCAGGCAGGCTCTAAAAGCTGGAAAAGGCATGGAAAAGAATCCTCCCCTACATCCCTTAGAGGGAATGCAAGCTCTGCCAACACATTGTTTCTAGCTTGTGAGACCCATTTTTTGGACTTTGGACCTCCAAAATTGTAAGATAATAAATTTGGGTTGTTTTAAGCCATTAAGTCTGTAATCATTTGTTACAACAGCCACAGGCAGCTAATACAGCCATGAACATTTAGTAATGACTAACTTTGCACAATTTTAATACAAGCTTCTTATTAAGGTTTATTTTTTCTTAATTACAAGGAATAAAAGTGGGGTCTGGGGGCAATGTCATGGTCCACTCCGTTTTAGCCATATGAATTTGTATTTCCAGCATTAGAACAAAAGGTGACAAATCTGAATGTATTTGTGTGAAATAATAATAAAGCAGAACAAAAAGGGAAAAGTGTCCAGCTGGAAATGAAGTTAGAGAAAGATGAGGAGAAGCAAGCCAATTGTGTAGTTTTCCCTTCTGCTTTTTAAAATCATGATTTGTTTAACCCACTGAATTCTATTTTAGAAACAGGACTGCAAGGAAGTGTTGATGGATTTGGTGGCATGAGAACCAGAGTCACAGAGGCAGGAAAGTAAGGAATAAGTGTTAGAATAGGAAGCAGAGTTGCTTGGGAAGAGACCTTATGACATGTGGACAGGGCTAGACTTAGGAGTCAGAAAGACCTGAGTTCAAATGCTATCCTTTAGTATAGTTTGAAGTCAGGTAGCGTGATGCCTCCAGCTTTGTTCTTTTGGCTTAGGATTGACTTGGCGATGCGGGCTCTTTTTTGGTTCCATATGAACTTTAAAGTAGTTTTTTCCAATTCTGTGAAGAAAGTCATTGGTAGCTTGATGGGGATGGCATTGAATCTGTAAATTACCTTGGGCAGTATGGCCATTTACACGATATTGATTCTTCCTACCCATGAGCACGGAATGTTCTTCCATTTGTTTGTGTCCTCTTTTATTTCCTTGAGCAGTGGTTTGTAGTTCTCCTTGAAGAGGTCCTTCACATCGCTTGTAAGTTGGATTCCTAGGTATTTTATTCTCTTTGAAGCAATTGTGAATGGGAGTTCACTCATGATTTGGCTCTCTGTTTGTCTGTCGTTGGTGTATAAGAATGCTTGTGATTTTTGTACATTGATTTTGTATCCTGAGACTTTGCTGAAGTTGCTTATCAGCTTAAGGAGATTTTGGGCTGAGACAATGGGGTTTTCTAGATATACAATCATGTCGTCTGCAAACAGGGACAATTTGACTTCCTCTTCTCCTAATTGAATACCCTTTATTTCCTTCTCCTGCCTGATTGCCCTGGCCAGAACTTCCAACACTATGTTGAATAGGAGTGGTGAGAGAGGGCATCCCTGTCTTGTGCCAGTTTTCAAAGGGAATGCTTCTATAGTACAAGGCTACAGTAACCAAAACAGCATGGTACTGGTACCAAAACAGACATATAGATCAATGGAACAGAACAGAGCCCTCAGAAGTAACGCCGCATATCTACCACTATCTGATCTTTGACAAACCTGAGAAAAACAAGCAATGGGGAAAGGATTCCCTATTTAATAAATGGTGCTGGGAAAACTGGCTAGCCATATGTAGAAAGCTGAAACTGGATCCCTTCCTTACACCTTATACAAAAATCAATTCAAGATGGATTAAAGACTTAAACGTTAGACCTAAAACCATAAAAACCCTAGAAGAAAACCTAGGCATTACCATTCAGGACATAGGCATGGGCAAGGACTTCATGTCTAAAACACCAAAAGCAAGGGCAACAAAAGCCAAAATTGACAAATGGGATCTAACTAAACTAAAGAGCTTCTGCACAGCAAAAGAAACTACCATCAGAGTGAACAGGCAACCTACAACATGGGAGAAAATTTTCGCAACCTGCTTATCTGACAAAGAGCTAATATCCAGAATCTACAATGAACTCCAACAAATTTACAAGAAAAAAACAAACAACCCCATCCAAAAGTGGGCGAAGGACATGAACAGACACTTCTCAAAAGAAGACATTTATGCAGCCAAAAGACACATGAAAAAATGCTCACCATCACTGGCCATCAGAGAAATGCAAATCAAAACCACAATGAGATACCATCTCACACCAGTTAGAATGGCAATCATTAAAAAGTCAGGAAACAACAGGTGCTGGAGAGGATGTGGAGAAATAGGAACACTCTTACACTGTTGGTGGGACTGTAAACTAGTTCAACCATTGTGGAAGTCAGTGTGGCGATTCCTCAGGGATCTAGAACTAGAAATACCATTTGACCCAGCCATCCCATTACTGGGTATATACCCAAAGGACTATAAATCATGCTGCTATAAAGACACATGCACATGTATGTTTATTGAGGCACTATTTACAATAGCAAAGACTTGGAACCAACCCAAATGTCCAACAATGATAGACTGGATTAAGAAAATGTGGCACATATACACCATGGAATACTATGCAGCCATAAAAAAGGATGAGTTCATGTCCTTTGTAGGGACATGGATGAAATTGGAAATCATCATTCTCAGTAAACTATTGCAAGAACAAAAAACCAAACACCGCATATTCTCATTCATAGGTGGGAATTGAACAATGAGAACACATGGACACAGGAAGGGGAACATCACACTCTGGGGACTGTTGTGGGGTGGGGGGAGGGGGGAGGGATGGCATTGGGAGATATACCTAATGCTAGATGACGGGTTAGTGGGTGCAGCGTGCCAGCATGGCACATGTATACATATGTAACTAACCTGCACATTGTGCACATGTACCCTAAAACTTAAAGTATAATAATAATAATAATAATAAAATCTCAAAATAATTAAAAAAAGAAACAAACAAATGCTATCCTGATCCTAACTGGCTGGCTGTCTTTGGGGAAGTTGGTAATCTTTTCTGTGCTTATTTCCTCATGTGTAAAAAAATGAATATAGTACCCAGCTAGGTAGAGTTGTTGTTGGGATTAAATGATGACTATAAAGCATCTAGCCCAGCTTCGGCTACATTATAGCTGCTTACGAAATTGTAGTTACGATGTAAAAGAGAAAAACACTGGAAAAGGAGGATATGGGCCATTTTATTCCACCTTCACCACCTTTTAGCTTGGTGACCTTGGGCAAATTATGCTTCATTCCGTGCTTCATTTTCCTTGTCTATAAAAGGGTGTAAGTACAGAACCATTGAGGGGTGGTCATTATTAACCTACCTCAAATGGTGTCTGTAAGTTAATATATATTGTGCTTTTCCTATGTACAATATCTAGCACATAATTACAAATCAAATCCATCCCATGTGCAATATCTAGCACATAGGAAAAGCACAATAACTAGTTATTACTCTTGTTGTAGTAATTGCTACGCTGTAGGAGTTTGAATTGTAAGGCAGTGGAGAGTCACTGACCTTTACGAGAAAGTGTAGCAGAACATTTGAGTAGATAGTAATGGGGAATATTACATAAATGGATAGATATTAGGGGCAGATATTACTATTAAAATATTACAGCATGGATATTTATTAAGGCCAAACTGGTTAATTAGTTGCATCTCTCAGGTTCCTAATGTTGCTTAATTTTTTAACCTCCCATTTTGTGCTGCCCTTTGTACGAATATTTAATGCTCCCAACACCTCTTCAGTAGCACATGTACTGTGAGTTTGTTTTGTTATTACTTGTGTGTATTAGCATTCCTTTGTGAACCAAAAGCATGGAATTAGCTGTTGCCTCTAGGCTACCTAGTTTTGTAGTTTGGATTGAAGCCTTCACCTCAGTAACACCTATTCTGTCTACTATCTTACAGAAAACTTGTAAAATTAAGACAGATCATTAATATAGCAGAAAGAGACAAAGGGCAGAGAACATTGAGATACTGGATATTGGAACCACCCAATAGTGTTGATTTATTTATGATTATCAGTTTTTGTCTCTGCCTAGCCTCATGCCACTAAAGTCTCTGAGGCAACAAAGAATAAGCAATTTTGCTCACCTTATACAAATAAAACACAGAAAAAGGAATCACTAGAGAAATGGTACTGCAGCCTTTCTGCAGGGATTACTGCTTATTTTTAAATTACTTAAAAGGTATTGAAATTATTGTTCATAATGAGAAACCTGCCTAATAAAACAGAAAATTAAACTTAACACTTCCCTATAATGTAAACAGCTCGGTTAGGAACACAACATTACAGAAACCACTTAAGAATTGATTGTACTTGTTCTTGGAGCAGAACTAGAAGCTCACCGTTTAGAAGCTGTGCACATTTCCCTATCAAACAGTACATAAAGTTTCCATATTCCTCAGAATCGGCTTCATTTGTGCCATGTGTTTGCTTGGAACTATGCCACAGAAAGCAGTTCTCCCCCTCAAGCTGGGCTCCTTTCATGCCGCAGTGCAAGTGTGTGATATACTGGCACCATGTGCTAATGTAGACCCATTTTTATATGATAAGAATTAGTACGGCCTAGGGAATAGACAAGTATGTCTAAAATCCTCCCCATAGAATATGTCCCTTCCTTTAAAAGCTGTCATACTGTAAGTTCCAGCTGAGTTAAAGGCCACTGTGCTCCTATAGGGAAATATATTCTATTGTAATTTTTACGTTCTCCAATAACAGTCTGTTCTTTGTTTACTGAAGAGAGCTTTCATGTCATAAAATGGTGTTTTTTGACAGAGAAGCAGAATCATTGTTTTATTATAGAAATTTGCTCTTACAACAGCAAAAATAAATAGCTCATCTCTTAAGCTCCTGATCAATGTCTAACACCTCCTACCCCCAGCAACACTTCACTGCAAGTATATTAACACTCTATAATAGCAATTCCACTCACCTACCAAGAAATGATCTTCACAAATGATTTACAGCTAAACCAGAGCTTAAACACATAGCACCCAATCAAGGGCAGATTTTTATCTTTTTCCCAGTCATATAAGTTCTGAGAAGAAATAGATTAATGTTGATCTCCCAGACAACTGCTGAGAAAATGTACAAAGGATGTTGTTTATTTTGAAGAATGAGACCTAGTTGTTAAGCACTTTTTCCCCTTATATGTACGTCCAAAGGTAACCATTACACCATTTTGATGCAAATTTAGGATATATATTTATTCATACCTCTCTTCTCCATTCGGATGTTGTCTGTGTGAGTGCTCACAGACACATGCACACATACACACATGCACTCCTGTTTCACACTTATTTGTAAAACTCACAAGGATTTCCAAGCCATTAATATAGCATTGTTTAAGGTGAACACATGGTTGTTCACCATCCATATGTATCTTCACTTTGTAGCACTCAGAATTTGGCAAAATCAGAAGGCTGAAACCTCATGGATTAAATATATTCTATATAACATATGTCTTAATTGCTGTTACTGTAAAGAAACCTGGACTAGCCATATTTGACTAATTTCTACCTAAGGTATTTGAATTCTTATAAATAGATTCATTGCTTTAATCACACAAGAGTGGTTTATATGAATGTAATTATCTCCACTTTATAGCTGAATAAACTGAGCCTGATTCTATCCCTATATGGGAAACATGAATTGAACAGCTGTGCCAATTATTTTGATAATTCAAATTTCACATCTACCATGTGAAGACAGCAGAAGAGGGTTAGGGGGCTTGAATTATTCTGATTAACTGTGTTCATGAGTGTAATCGCCTCTAGATAATCACTCATTTCTTCACTTCACTTCCCATCTACAGGTAGTATCAGCGAATGGTAACATCTCTTGCTTTGCCTCAGTTTATTGATGGCTGCCGTTAGAAATAAAAAGCATGGTTTTGTTTCAGTACTTAAATGAATAATATCTTCAAAATGTTTTTAAAACGTGAAAAGGTTGAATGCATTTTTAACAAATGTTTTGTTAGCTTTGACTTTTATTTTTGAACAGATGAGCACAATACCCCAGTACTCCTTTCCTAGAAATAGGAGTACTACCTGAAGACTTATTTCCCAAAGAAAAATATCAGGTCTAGTGCAGCAATACGTATTAAGGGCATTGAAAAGTTATATTCACAAAATGTGACATCATAACATATGTTAATACTTCTTATCACTGATAATAATCCTTGAAGTTGTATTTCCAGAGAGATCTCAATTTCTTCTCACACTCTGAAAGTCTCTGTTTATCCTTTAGAGTAGGAATGTAAGAATTTAACAAAACATTCTGAATGTTTACCTTTTTTCTAAACTGAAACTACAATCCCTTTTTACCCCTATATAGTAAAATATAATATTACAAGTAGAATCAGCAAATTTGTTTAATAATTCTTTGGGACAGTTTTTACAAGCAATGGGGTTGAATTTATGTTCCTTGTGTGCAGTGGAGTTATTATATTCTTCTTAAAAAGATGCATGAAGGTAAATTAGAAATGTTTTACATGTTTTCATGACAGGACATTTAATCAAAGAGGAGATACAAGAGGCTTTTCTTGGGTTACTGCAATTTAATTTTCCATTTCTTTCTTGGAAGGGACATTGGATGCAGTTGTACGAGGTTAATATTTCTAACATGCCACTTTTATTGTGGCATTCTTCTGCTCTCAAACCTCTGATGATTTCCCATGGCCTTCAACATGATGTCCTTATTTGGGCATCTAGTGTTCTGAGCCCTCACATTCTGGCCCCAGCTTCCCTTCTCAACTTGATCACAGCCATCGTAATTCTGCTAACTAATTACACAGCTGCCCTTCCCACTCTTTCTCAACCACTCTGCTGTATTCTGACTTCTACACTTTAGTTTTAAAGCTACTCCTTGTCCTGAAATTCCTTCTCCCATTAGGTCATTATTAATTGAGTTCATCCTCTAAGTTACAGTTCATGTTGCTGTTCCTCTATGGCACCTTCCCTGAACCTGGTCCCATATAAAATCCCATCTCTCAGAATCCCATTAGGGTAGGATATGTGGTCTGTAGACTATTACGTTTGTCATTTACATATTGTCTTCTATTATTGGGTAACTGCGTGTGCGAGCATGCATGGGCTGGCCTGAAGGTCACCTCCCCAACTGCATTGAAAGTTCATCACAAGTTCAATTATTTCACTAGAGAGTCTCTTTCATGTCATCCATGAGGCACATTCCCTACTGTGATGTGTTATGCATACAATTATTTCAATAAATATTTTCTAGCTCTTTGATTGACCAAAGCTTAATTACCTGTCAACTCTAGCCTCTTGTATCTGGAATTTCTACAGTCTTTGGATAGTATCTTTAGGATGCAAAATTAGGAGGAGTATGTACCAGGCAAACTATTACAAATAATGCCCTCAAATAGTTACATTTCACTATTCATGTCTTGTAATTTATCTTCTGCTTTGGTATTTTAGTACACTTATGATTCAATTTGCTGTATAGATTCCTCTGAATAGGGACAAGAGAATTCGTCTTGATAAGTGGAAGTTCGAAGGATTCCAAAATGATGTTATTCAAGGTAGAACAAGAAATTAATACTGAAAAAATTGAGGAGTAATAATCCCCAAATATGTACATGCGTATCTCGTTTTATTGGGTTTCACTTTATTGCACTTTGCAGATATTTCACTTTTTGTAAATTGAAAGTTTGTGGCAAGGCTGCATTGAGCAAGTCCGTCGGGCACAATTTTTCCAACAGCATGTGCTCGCTTTACGTCTCTGTGTCACGTTTTGGTAATTTGCTCAATATTTCAAACATTATTATTATTATTATATTTGTTATGATCTGTGATCAGTGACCTTTGATGTTACTATTGTAATTGTTTTGAGATGTCATGAACTGCACTCATATGAGATGGCAAACTTTGTGGGGTGCAGTGGCTCACACCTGTAATCCTAACACTTTGGGAGGCCAAGGCAGGAGGATCGTGTTAGCCCAGAAGTTTGAGACCAGTCTGGGAAACAAAGTGAGACCCTGTCTTTAAAATATATATGTAGAAAAATTAACTGGGCATGGTGGCACATGGCTGTAAGGAGCCCTGCCAGCTGCATGGGAGGCTGACACAGGAGGATCACTTGAGCCCAGGAGGTCAAGGCGGCAGTAAGCCATGTTCACTCCAGTGCCCTCCAGCCAGAATGACAGAGCAAGACCCTGTGTGGAAAAAAAAAAAAAGACAAACATTTTTTCAACTTTGATTTTAGATTCAGGGAGTACATGTGTAGGTTTATTACCTTGATATATTACATGATGCCGAGGTTTGGAGTACAAATGATACTGTCACCCAGGTACTGAGCATAGTAACCGATAGTTAGTTTTTCAACCCTTGTTTCCCTCCCTCCCCACTCTAGTAGTCCTCCGTTTCTATTGTTGCCATCATTATGTCCATGACAACGCACTGTTTAGCTCCACATGAGAACACGTGGTATTTGGTATTGTGTTTCTGCATTAATTCACTTAGAATAATGGCCTCCAGCTGCATCCATGTTGCTGCAAAGGACATGATTTTGTTCTTTTTTATGGCTGCATAGTATTCCATGGTGTATATGCACCGTATTTTCTTTCTCCAGTCTGCCACTGATGGGCACCTAGGCTGACTTCATACCTTTGCTATTGTGAATAGTGCTGAAATGAGGATGAGAATACATGTGGTTTTTTAGTAAAGCAATTTGTTTTATTTGGGCTATATGCCCAGTAATGGGATCACTAGGTTGAACGATAGTTGTGTTTTAAGTCCTTTGAGAAATCTTCAAACTGTTTCACTGTGGCTGAACTAATTTGCATTCCCAGCAACAGTGTATCAGAGTTCCCTCTTCTCTACAGCGTCAGCAGCATCTGTCATTTTTTTGACTTTTTAATAATAGCCAGTATGAATGGTGTGAGACGGTATCTCGTTGTGGTTTTGATTTGCATTTCTCTGATGTTGAGTGATGTGGAGCATTTTTTCATGTTTGTTGGCCACTTGTATGTCTTCTTTTGAGTAGTGTCTGTTTATGTCTTTTGCCCATTTTTTTTGATGGGGTTATTTGTTTTTGACTTGTTGAATTGTTTAAGTTCCCTATAGATTCTGAATATTAGACCTTTGTCAGATGCATAGTTTGCAAATATATTCTCTTATTCTGTAGACTGTCTGTTTACTCTGTTGATAAATTCTTTCACTGTGAAGAGCTCTTTAGTTTAATTAAGTTCCACTTGTCAATTTTTGGTTTTGTTATAATTGCTTTTGAGGACTTAGTTATAAATTCTTTCCCAAGTCTGATGTCCAGAGTGGTGTTTCCTAGGCTTTCTTATAGGATTCTTATAATTTGAGATCTAATGTTTAAACCTTTATTCCATCTTGAGTTAATTTTTGTATATGGTGTAAGGAGGGGGTCCAGTTGCATTCTTCTGCATATGGCTAACCAGCCATCCCAGCATCATGTCTTAAATACAGAGTCCTTTTCCCATTACTTATTTTCATAAGATGGCAAACTTAATCAATCAATGTTTTGTGTGTTCTGGCTACTCCACTGATCAGCCATTCCCTCATCTCTCTTCCTCTCCTTGGGCCTCCCTATTCCCTGAGACACAACAATATTGAAATTATGCCAGTCAGTAACCCTACAATGTCCTCTAAGTGTTCATGGGAAAAAAAAGAGTCACATGTTTGTCACTTTAAATCAAAAGTCAGAAATGATTAAGATTGGTGAGGAAGGCATGTCAAAAGCCAAGACAGGCTGAAAGCCAGACCTCTTGTGCCAGTTGGCCAAGTTGTGAATGCAAAGGAAACGTTCTTGAAGAAAATTAAAAGTGCTACTCTGTTGAACACAGGAATAAGAAAGTGGAACGGCCTTATTTTTAATATGGAGAATGTCTTAGTGGTCTGGATAGAGGATCAAAACAGCCACACCATTATCTTAAGCAAAAGGCTAATCTAAAGCAAAGGACTAATTCTCTGCAATTCTGTGAATGCCGAGAGAGGTGAGGAAGCTGCAGCAGAAAAGTTGGAAGCTAGCAGAAGTATGTTCATGAGCCTTAATGAATAAGCCCTCTCTATAACATAAAAGTGCAAGGCAGAGCAACAAGTGCTGATGGAGAAGCTGCAGCAAACTATCCAGAAGATCAAACTAACATCTAAGTTAATAAAGGTGGCAATACTAAACAACACATTTTCAATATAGACGAAACAGCCTTCTATTGGAAAAGGATGCCATCTAGGACTTTCATAGCTAGAGAGAAGTCAATGCCTGGCTTCAAAAGTTCAAAGGACAGGCTGACTGTCTTGTGAGGGGCTAATGCAACTGGTGACTTTCAGTTGAAGCCAGTGCTCGTTTACCATTCCAAAAATCCTAGGGCCCTTCAGGTTATGCTAGATCTAGTCTGCCTATGCTCTGTAAATCAAACAACAAAGACTAGATGACTGCACATCTCTTTACAGCATGGTTTGATGAACATTTTGAGCCCTCTGTTGAGACCTACTTCTCAAAAAAATGTGTCTTTCAAAATATTACTGCTCTTTGACAATGTCCCTGGTCACCCAAGAGCCCTGAGGAATATGTCCAAAGAGAATGATTTTATTTTCATACCTGCTAACACAACATCCATTCTGCAGTCCTTGGATCAAGAAGTCACTTCAACTTTCAAGTCTTATTACTTAAATCATACATTTCATAAAGGTATAGCTGCTATATTGTGGTGAGTCCACTGATGGATCTGGATAAAGTAAACTGAAAACGGAAAGTCCTCACCATTCCAGATGCCATGAAGAAAATTCATGATTGAGGGGAGGAGGTCAAAATATCAACATTATCAGGAGTTTGGAAGTAGTTAATTCCAACACTCATCAATGACTTTGAGGGTCCAAGACTTCAGTAGAAGAAGTCACTGCAGATGTGGTAGAAATAGCATGAGAACCAGAATGAGAAGTGGAGTCAGAAGGTGTGACTGAATAGCTGTAATCTCAAGGTAAAACTTCAGCGGATCCAGAGTTGCTGCTTATGGATGAGCAAAGATTGTGGTTTCATGAGATGCACTCTACTCTTGGTGATGATGCTGTGAACATTGTTGAAATGACAACAAAGGATTTAGAATATTCCATAAACTTAGTTGATAAATTAGCATCAGGGTTTGAGAAGATTGACTCAAATTTTGAAAGAAGTTCTACTGAGTAAAATGCTATCAAACAGCATCACATGCTACAAAGAAATCATTGGCTATAAAGGAGAGCCAATCGATGCAGCAAACTTCGTTGTTGTCTTATTTTAAGAAATTGCTACAGCCATCCCGACCTTCAGCAACCGCCACCCTGATCAATCAGCAGCCATCCTCACTGAGGCAAGAGCCTGTACCAGCAAAAAGATTATGACTCCCTGCAGGCTCAGATGATTGTTACCATTTTTTTTAGGAGTAATGTATTTTCAAATTAAGGTATGTACATTTTTTAGATACAATGCTATTGCACACTTGACAGATGATAGTAGAGTGTAAACATAACATTTAATGCACTGGGGAACCAAAAATATTCGTGTGCCTCATTTTATTGTGATATTTACTTTATTGCAGCAGTCTGGAACCAAACACACAATATTCCAAGGCAGTCCTATATATTGTTTCATGTCTCTCTTTCTTCTAAAATGTGTGTAGGAGAAAAAATTATATCACTTATGTTACTGGGCCATAATATCAAAAGCCTGCGAATCTGATGCACATGATAAAAACTGGTCTTAAACCTGTCTTGATTATCCTTTGTTAATATGCCAAATTTATAGAACAATAGAGTTTCAAGAAATGTGAACAATGTAGAATAACTAAAAGATCTAACGTTGAATAGCTAAAATTATCAACGCCCTTTATATCACTTTAGAAATGCGTTTGCAAATCATTATCAACAAATTGTAGCATAAAATTCTTTTTTTTTCTTGACTTTGAAATTGTATTTCAAGATCCGCAATTTACACCACATTATTTACTTACTGGCTTGTGAAAGTGAAAGGCATTTTCATTTTTGGATGTTAAGGGTTTTAGTAAATGACAAGTAAATCAATCCTTTAAGTTCCGTGTGGTATAATAGCTTGGAAAGGACCATCTTAATCTTTTTTTCAACACAGGGAGATAATTTATTTTAAAAATAACACACTAATAGTAGATTAATATTATTACCATTTCAAAGAAGTCACCAAATTTGGTAGGCTTAAGAGGTTTTTTTTTTTTTTTTGAGATTACTATGCTCTTTTTTTATTTTATTTATTTTATATTTATTTATTTATTTTTTAGTTTTTTAATTTTACTTTAAGTTCTGGGATACATGTGCAGAACGTGCAGGTTTGTTACCTAGGTATACATGTATCATGGTGGTTTGCTATACTCATCAACCCAACATCCAGGTTTTAAGCCCCCAATGCATTAGGTATTTGTCCTAATGCTCTCTGTCCCCTTGCCCCTCACCCCTTGACAGGCCCCGGTGTGTGATGTTCCCCTCCCTGTGTCCATGTGTTCTCATTGTTCAATTCCCACTTACGAGTGAGAACATGCAGTGCTAGGCTTAAGAGTTTTTTTAACTCCCCAAAATATCAACAAATTGAAACATTACTACAAAGAAATAGAGAAATAAATTTCACTGACTGTCTTATTGTTTTTTAAGTTTGAATAGCTAATAATGATTTCTTAAACAGCTATCATATTTTTTATTTTTAAAGCTAGCCAAATGATCAGTGATTTTTATAATACTGATAAATACTGCTTAGAAAAGGAACATGTGTTCTAGCAATTTCCACACATTTCTGATTCTAATTACTTGTTTCTTTTTGTTTTATTTTTATATTTTTAAGTTTTGTGAGTACCTAGCAGGTGTATATATTTATTTGGTACTTGAGATGTTTTGATACAGGCATGCAATGTGTAGTAAGCACATCATGTAAAATGGGGTATTCAACCCCTCAAGCATTTATTCTTTATGTTCCAAACAATCCAATTATACTCTTTTAATTAATGTAAAATGTACAATTAAATCATTATTGGTTATAGTCCCCCTGTTGTGCTATCAAATAGTAGGTCTTACTCATTCTTTCTAACTAATTTTTTGTACCCAGTAACTATACCTACACCACCCCCACCTCCCCACGACCCTTCCCATCCTCAGGTAACCATCCTTCTACTCTCTATGTCCATGAGTTCAATTGTTTTGAATTTTAAATCCCACAAATAAGTGAGAACATGCAATGTTTGTCTTTCTGTGTCTGATTTATTTCACCTAGCATACTGACCTCCATTTCCAACAATGTTGTTGCAGATGACAGAATCTCATTCTTTTTTGTGGCTGAGTAGTATTCCATTGTGCATAGGTACCACATGTTCTTTGTCCATTCATCTACTGATGGACACTTAGGTTGCTTCCAAATCTTGGCTATTGTGAATAGCGCTGCAATAAACATGGGAGTGCAGATATCTCTTCAATATACTGATTTATTTTCTTTTGGGTATATACCCAGCAGCGGGAATGCTATATTATATGGTAGCTCTATTTTTAGTTTTTTGAGGAACCTCCAAACGGTTCTCCATAGTGGTTGTGCTAATTTACATTTCCACCAACAGTATACAAGGGTTCCTTTTTCTTCACATACTTGTCAACATTGGTTATTGCCTGTCTTTTGGATATAAGCCATTTTAACGGGAGTGAGGTAATATGTCATTGTAATTTTGATTTTCATTTCTCTGGTTATCAATGATTCAGTGATGTTGAGCACCTTTTCATATGCTTGTTTGCCATTTGTATGTATTCTTGATCTGCCACAAGTCTCTAATTACTTGTTTCTTGTACCACTGTTTCCCTTCATTGTAGTCAGTGATTTGGTCAATCAACACTTTTTACGTATGGGTATCTGTTAACTGTATTTCTAGGAATGGACCAAGAATTGAGAAATTTATCCCAACCAGAAAGAACAAAATCTATGGAGGCACAGGATTACTGAAAGCTTTGCTCCTATAGCCTCAGTTTTTTTCTGCAAGTTCGCTGCTTCCCAGTTGTCCTTGTGATAAAATTCAAAACCTCAAACTGATTTTTAAAAAGCCAACTATATACTGCTTCTACTATGTCTACCTAAACTTATTTGCCATTATTTGTAAAGAATTCCAGGCTCTAACCAGCCCATTTGAGGCTTTATTTTACGTTCATGCCTTTGTTCATGTCTGTCTTTCCCTTATAATGCTCTTCTCATTCTCTAGCCAAATCTGCCAAAGTTCAGCTGTAGTGCCATACTTGATATGAAGTCTTTGCTGAGAATTCCCATATGTGGTCATTTCCTTCACTGATTTGTTTCAATAGTTGTTGCCATTATTATTATTTTTTTTATACTGTTGCTGGATACTTTCGCAGATCCAATCTCTAACCTGTTGTTCTACCCTAGGAGGTTGACCAATATGGCAGTAGCATTGGGCTTGCTTGTCTATTGGCTTGGTCCTTGTGTTGGGAGGCATCAGCAGATCAATGGATGAGAGGAGAGTGAGTCGAGGGATGGCTAGGTTCCTTTACTCACAGCCCCAGCTCCTGTCAAGAGGTCTTGTCCCTGCAGCCACTTCTCAGATTCTACTAACTATACCCTCCCCTTAGCCTTTCAGGCCTTGAGGAGGAAAGCCTCCTCATCCCACTTTGAATGAACTATTTATTGCAAGAACCATGACTGATTCAGAATATAATCTGTCCTTGAATGAAATAGTTAATTTCCCCTTTTGTATTCTCGTTTCATATCCCTGTCCCTTTATCCATTCCTATATTATATCATACTATCATATAGCTACCTTATATTATACTATGACATGAGTACCTTGTAAGTATATCATGCTATATTATAGTTCTTAAGTGTGTGGGCTTTGGGGCCAACTTACCTATGTTAGAAGTTCTGCCACTTATTACCATGTGATCCTAGACAAATTGTTTAACTTCTTTTTCATTCATTTTCTTTACTAGTAAAATAGGGGCAATATTAGTACCCACCTCACAGAGTAATATGATAATTACATTGACTGATAGTTTTTATTTAAAACTTTTATTGTTCTTACTATGAAATGGGAAATGTTCTAAACACCTTACAAATATTAACTCTATTAATTCTCATAATGAATCTGAGAGGTAGAGACTCAGTATCTCCATTTCACAGTGCTGGAAATGATACAGACAGCATTTAAGTAACATACTGAAAATAGTAAACCGAATAGGTGGCAGCCAGTATGCAAATTGGGAAAGCCTGACTCCAGAGTTCATTCTTTTAACTAGTATGCTGTGATAGACTCTTTTGGCATATGGTATGCACTCAATAAACAACTATTGTTGTTGTCGTTAGCATTACTTCCCATTGTATTATTACACAAAAAATAATTGTTTATGAGTATTTGTTTGCTAGATTATAAGTTCCTTGAAAAAAGAAGACAAGTTTTATTTGTCTATGTGTACTAGCTGAGTGCTTGGCAAATAGTTGCAGTTTAGTAAATGTTTCTAAAACAAATTATTAGTTGTTTCTTATGTATTTCCCAAGTCTATCCTAGCCTTGGAAACAGCTAACACTTAGCTAAACCTAGAAATGTCATTTGAGATTTCAGCAGCCATCATTGTTGCTGAAGCCACAGGTTCTCCTTTTTATCTCCAATTTCTTCCTCAGATGATTCACCACTTTCTTTGTCGTTTCCCTACTTCATTTTTCCTATAGTGACTTTTGTTCTCCAATAACCATTGATAGTGATGACAGTCCCACCTTGGAACCACTTCTAACTGTCCTGTTCAGCTTTTCCTGAGGCCAGATTTCCCCCAAAATACATTTTTTAGCTTCATAACTGCTCCTTCCAGAAATTTGAAACGCATTCTCAGGAATTAAGCAAGAGGCATTTGATTGACGTCATTTAATTTGTGTTTAAATGTGTTCTTCCCATCAACGATTAACCAGTGCTTCAGCCAAGATACATAACTTTTATTCTCCACTAACCTTAGGGTTGAGGTCACAATCAGGTACGTAATCTGTAGAGCCCAGTGAAAAATGAAAACGCAGGGCCCTTGGTTAAAAAAAAATTAAGAATTTCAAGATGGCAACAGTAGAGCATGAAACCAAGTATGAATCCCTTCTAATGCAGATCCTTGTGTAACTAACTGCACAAGTTATACGTTCAAGAAGCTGGTCCTGGTTGAGGTCTTTGTCTACCTAGGGCACTTCTCACTCAGAGAGGTGGAATAATCTTAACTTTCTGTCTTCCGTCATCTGAAAACTTGCCCCAAAGTTCCTTTTGCCATCTCTTGCAGCAAACCTAGTGGTTGTTATCTGTTAAGGATTCCTGGTGGCTTGCTTTAGTTTCCTACAGTTCTTGAGCTGCATGTGTTGAATGGAACTCCACCATTACCATGTAACACATCTGAATACTCTTATTTTCCTCCAGTTAAATTCTGCGCTCCTTGGAAATAATGGTCATGCACCCTACCTTAGTGATTTCTAAATAGAGGTAGTATGTAAAAATACATATTTACTTGAATTGCATCTTAAGAGGCCAGCCCATGGGAGGCATGAAGAAACCTATGTTACTAATTAATATTCAATAATTGACAGTTACACATTCAGGTAGTAGTGTCATGGAACCATCACGTTACATGGAACTGAAGAGCTGATGAGAGGTTTAGGGTCTAGGAGGACAAAAGTGAGTGTATTAGTCAGGGCCTGAGGTTATATGTACCCAGACAGGATAAAATGGGACAATATTTTATTAGTGGAAATATCTATGTGAAAGAAAAGAAGGAGGAAGCCAAGGAAGGTGCAAGAGATGTTAGATCAAGATGCAATTCTGACTCTGCAAGGAAGAGAGAGGGAGAGAAGGCTAGGCAGAAGCATCCCAGTGTGCGGTCTAGTGGAAGGAAATTTTGGCAAAGCTGTTGGGAAGTCATTGAGGCAGAGCCAGGCAAAGAAGTCCCATGTCTCCCAAGGAAGGCTCTCTGCCTTAGTATTCCCACCACACCCAATCATTGGGTGAGGAGAAGTCTGTGAGAAGCTTGGCTTTGGTGCAGTGCAATCATGGATTTCAAAATGCAGTAACAGGAGTCCTCAGTCAGTTAAGACCCAATAATAGAAGGCCTGCATATTCTCATGGTGGCCACTTGGGTATGAGGAGCAGTGGTGTTTAAAACTGTTTTGTATAATTTAAATAAAGAAAAGCTGAGGACTACTTAAGCTTGATTCCTTCAGAAGACAGTCTTTGGCCTTTATATTTCATGTGATATCTTTGCCATATGCTCTGATAACTCTCCATGTTTCCCCTACCATAATACCTCAGGTTGTTGCAATTGCTTTTTTATTGCCTGTCATCACTACTCGTTTGTTTTCTCTTTGAGAACAGGAATTATTTTCTCCTTCACTGCTACAGCCCCTGCACCTAGCTCAATGAGTGACACAACAGAAGCACTTAAAAAATTGCTATAACTCAAATTTGGGGGATATTCTACAAAATACCTGGCCTCTGTTGGTCAAAACTGTAAGTGTTATAAAGTTCAAAGAAAGGCAAATAACTATTTCAACTTAAAAAAGACTAAGGAGATACGACAACTAAAAGCAATGCGTGAGTCTGGACCAGACCAGGAAATAAAAATATAGCTATAAAGTTCATTAATGGGGTAATTGTCATACTCTGAATATAGAGTATGGATAAGATTATGGTACTAAAGCCACGCTAAATTTCCTGACTTTGAAACTGAGCTGAGGTTATTTAAGAGAATGTCTTTGCTATTAAGAAATAAAACCTAAAGTATTTAAGGGTAAAGGGGCATGATATCTGCAAATTATTCTCAAATGATTCAGAAAAAAAATATATATATATAAAACATTACATATACAGTTATATATCTATACACACAGAGAGAATGATAAAATGATAAATAATTAAAAATAATGTGGCAAAATGTTAACAAATGGTGAATCCGGGCAAGGGTTACCTGGGAGTTCTTTATCTTGCAAATATTCTGCAAGCTTGAAATTATATAAAAATAAAATGCATCTTATAAAGTATTTATTCAGTGAATAAAGAACAAAAAAGGCTAACTGCAGTTGGAAGATATTTATGAAGTTGGTTATGAAGATTCTTAAGAAGTTACCGATGGAGGTGCTAGTAGAACATTCAAAAAAGAAGTAGGGAAGGTTGACCAAGTAGGAAAATATCAATATCCAAGCCAGTATAAAATGGAAATGAGAAGTGAGGAAGTAAGTGGAAGACAATGAGGATGGTTTTCGATTTGGCCACTCTATTTGGAGAGGCAGCCGAATGCAAGAATAGAAGCCAGAAGAAGATGCTCAGTGAGATGGTTGAAAGCTAGATAGATTACAGCATCCTCACCAGTAAAACCCTTTCGGTAACTAGAAAGGCTACAATTTAGTACCTTCCTGACTTCTATGCTTATTTTCTTCAATACATAAAATGGTTCCGTAAACTCTTTTACCTTCTGAATTCTTTATATTAATTTTTTGAAGTTGTAAATAAAATAGCATCAGTTCTACATTGTTACATTTCAGCTTAATTCATATTCATTTACTGAAAATGGGAACATTTGAAAAATCATCATGGGCATTTATGCTATGTAGATTGTTGATTTTTATAGAAAAATATAAAAATATGACCAGTTTGATTTTCAAAGTCTTTTCTTAGACATGTAAATACTAAGCATTCAACTCAACATATAGAGTTTTTATTTGAGTATTATTTAGGTGGAATTCTATTTTAATGAATACAATAAAAAATTGTAATTTTGTCTAAAAGCCTAAAATGCCCTAGTTATAATATGTATGATTTCACTGTTTAACTTCCTATTTCATAGGGTTGCTATTTATAACCACTTCACTCAACTCTGGGGGGACTTAGTGAGATTAAAGACTTCTGATTCACTTTGTATTTGAAGAATTTTTTTTCCTCCATCTTTGCTCAGCTAGTGGAATCCATGATGAATTCTCATCTCCAAGGGGTAAGCAGTTTTTAGTAAAGCCCAGTAGCTGACTTATGACTCCTTAGAAATAGCATTGATTCCTTCCTTCTCCTGTGTTTTGTTTCCTCTAGAATGATAGAATCCATGTAGACACGATCCATTATCATGCTTAGGTACTGGTAAGCATGTAATGATTTTAGTTTTGTTCGCTTTAAGTTATTTGTGTCACAAATATCTGGGATCATATCAGAGAAATAAATAAGCACAATTAGCATTCTACTTGTTTGTTATGACTAAAGCTAGGTTGAGGAAACAGAAAAGGACCAGAGGTCATATGAGGATGAAGATAATACTAGGAACAGCATGTTTGGGAGAGTAACATCTGGTAGGGGTAGCAGATTGGGGGCAGAGAACAGAATTTTATAGATGGATATTTTGGAGGCAAGTAGTTTGAGTAATGATTAGATCTAAGGTGTTTTCTCATCTGTGGGTGGCTCGAAGGAATAGAGGTGAAGGTCAGTTTATTTGAGAAGTTCTGGAATTATAAAACTAAGTTGAAGTCAAAGAAAGTATAGTAGCAAATAAATAGAATACCCTTAAAAGGAAACCAAATGAAAAATAATCGTTACTCTCACCATATGCTTGTGTTCTTATTAGCAAGAAATTCTTTTAACCACTGTTTTTATAATATCTTAATGAAAAAATACTGAAGCGTATGCCATATTAAATCCCTCTCTTTATTTCTAGAAAGGGAATCAAAGGAGAAAATTCCCATTCTGCTATACTAAAAGACCACTAAGTAAAGAGCCTATTAGTGTATGATAAATCCCATAGCAATATACATTATCATTTTACAGCTTCTTTGTTGAAATGAATGTTTGTATGTGTTGACCATAGAGTGGGATAAAAAGTTGAAATTTTGTTTTGAAATATTTTAGAAATGCATAGTTGTACTGCAGTTGTGAACCTCCTTAGATTTTTAAGGAGGCTGCTTCAAAGGATCTCATTAATAATCTTCTCAGGTGCTTACAAAGCATGTGTCTGTCAGCAGAATTAGAGAATCACCCAACTAGAGAACAGGTTTCACAATACCCTGAGACCTATTTTGTTCATTAGAGAGGAAAATGGCTTGTTTTGAGTCTAAGTTGACATGCTTGCTAATTTCAGCAATAAAAGCTGTTCATTGTGGTCAGGTTTAATTTAGAGCCTGGTAAGGTTCAGATTAAAGTTGATCAACTTACTTTTACAACATACTTCTTAAATGAACTTTGAAATCTTAAAAGAAGGAAAAAAGTATAGCAAACAGTGAATAATGTATCTAAAACTGAGAAGCAAAAAAAATCTGGTTATGTGAGAGTGAATTAAAAGAAGAACAACCCAATAAAGATAATCTTTGTTATATAAAAATTTCCAAGTATCGAAAAGCACGATTTTTCATGTGAGTTACACACTATACCGAATATATTTGTCCACTGCCACATGCATAGTCCCTAGAATAGTGCCTAGTGCTGAAAAATATTTATTAAAATGAATGGATGAGTAAATGAATTTATGTATTTTGCCAGCCCTGTGTATTTAAAGTTCTCTGTTAACTTTGAGGTGAAAATTTGACTTCATCTGAGGTTTCTGGGTAAGTCCGTTTTAAAAATTCTATTGAACATATTCAAACATTTTAGGGTAGGCAATTCCAAAGCAACCTTTCAGCTTCCCATGTCACAGATGACCAGAGTTTCACATTCTAACACTGGAAAACATCTTATTTCATAAAATCTACCTGCTACTATATGGTTCCTACTTTAAAATTTGTTCAGTACTCTCCAGCTGACTTATGCCACTTACTTCAATAGCTGTCTTTGGCAATTTGTTCCATATTTCAAACACTCTGTTGTGTAAAGAAACCATAAAAGTTAGAAACCTGAAAATTGGATTTTTTTTCTGAGCAATCACAGCTTACAAATGTGGAAAATTTGTTAAAAGTTAGCCCCTCCAATTTTTCAATACAGAGAGGAGAAAGTGCCTAAAGTAGATGTACAATGTTTGGAAAAGTTTTTTGCATTATTTTACTATTACCAAAAGCAATTGAGTTTAAATCACAAAGCCTGTCTCCCTACCTCTTCACAGAAGAAACACTACAGAATGATCAAAATTTGGCCTTTCCAAAACCAAAATTCGTTAGAAAATCAGCAGGAGTCAAAGTACAGAGTAAATAACTAAGTTTCATATAAGTTTCAGATACATTACTATCTACCACTTTCATCTCTTCATCTTCATTGGCCTCATGTGGTAGAACATCATATTTAAAATTATACAAACTTGCTGGCTTGTTTACTAGTGTGGTTATTATAAGAAAAAAATGAGAAAATATAGATAAAACATCTGTCACATATTGCTTATAAACTAACAGTAAATATTACTTGTATTTTCCCCAATTAAAATAAAATTTACTGAGTTTTAGAACCAGAGCTAGTCAGATGCCTTTTTTTCATAAATTTCTTCATAAATACCTCTGAGATTGTGGTCCTTAAATCTAGAGAGACTAAGATGACAGAGAAAATAGACACTGAAGAAAGGGAAGAATATCTTAATGATTTACATTACTACCTATAAATTAAAAATTGTTAACTTTATTATATTTGTATTTTTATTTAAAATAGTGCTATATTAAAGTCATTTATAATACAGGGGAATAGGAATACTAACCTGTAATCTGATGCTCTCCAAACTTGCCTAAATCATAAAAGTTAATTAGATAATTTATTTAAAATGCAAGATTTGCAGC
The DNA here is from genome assembly GCF_000001405.40 of Homo sapiens. Taxonomy (NCBI): domain Eukaryota; kingdom Metazoa; phylum Chordata; class Mammalia; order Primates; family Hominidae; genus Homo; species Homo sapiens. Next base: position 31,730,340 of record NC_000023.11, on the reverse strand, counting down.
CCTTTCCACTACATATTCATTAGTTCTGGAGGGAGGCAAAAAGGTTTGGTGATTCTTACGGACAGGCAGCTTAGGAGAAAAGCTGATTTAGCTCGTCTACTTCACCTTTTCATTTGACAGGTGAGAAATCTCAGGGGTACAATGAAGTTAAATAAGTAATATCTCTTAAATCGGTTCTGTGCTTTTTCTGTTTTTAAAATAAATATACCTTAATTTTGACGTCACACAGAATGATATTATAAGTATAAATAGTTATCTATCTTTTAAATACATTGTCGTAATTCAGAATAACATTTCTTACTCAAGGCATTCAGACAGTGGTTTAAGTAATCCGAGGTACTCCGGAATGTCTCCATTTGAGCCTTTAAATGAAGAAAATCTATAGTCAAGATTTTCATTTGAAATATTTTTGATATCTAAGAATGAAACATATTTCCTGTTAAATTGTTTTCTATAAACCCTTATACAGTAACATCTTTTTTATTTCTAAAAGTGTTTTGGCTGGTCTCACAATTGTACTTTACTTTGTATTATGTAAAAGGAATACACAACGCTGAAGAACCCTGATACTAAGGGATATTTGTTCTTACAGGCAACAATGCAGGATTTGGAACAGAGGCGTCCCCAGTTGGAAGAACTCATTACCGCTGCCCAAAATTTGAAAAACAAGACCAGCAATCAAGAGGCTAGAACAATCATTACGGATCGAAGTAAGTTTTTTAACAAGCATGGGACACACAAAGCAAGATGCATGACAAGTTTCAATAAAAACTTAAGTTCATATATCCCCCTCACATTTATAAAAATAATGTGAAATAATTGTAAATGATAACAATTGTGCTGAGATTTTCAGTCCATAATGTTACCTTTTAATAAATGAATGTAATTCCATTGAATAGAAGAAATACATTTTTAAATCAATTCAGGGCTTATATAGTTGCAAAGCATGCATTGATGGGTGTGGTGACCACAGTGTGGCAGAACATTTGTGGCAGAACATTTGTTCTTTAGTTGTCATCTGGGCTGGCATCCATGGAGATGCCAGTCTCTCCCTCATATCCTTGGCTGTTGGTCCAAGCAGGCAGTGGCTTCTTCCTGGGCCATCTTTCATTCCCATGTGCAGTGACTTTCAGATCTGGATATCTCTCCGCTACTTTGATGCCCCCATTTTGTAATATCAAAAATCATCGTACTGTACCTTATGCCGTAGTAGGGTGGGCAGGAACTTTGGTAAGACCCATCTGACTAGACGCTGTGCATATTCTTTTCTTCTGACATACACTCCTATCCATTTAATGGGGAGAGTGATTCGCAGTGATTGTGTGTTGTGTCAGTGAGTTTCCATGGGGTCAGGAAGAGTGACAGACGAAGGAGTAGGGGAAACTCGCCACCCGGTTTCCCTCAGAGATTCTCCTCAGAAATGAGGTCCAAGTCAGCTCTGCTTTCAGGTTCTCTCAGATCTCTCTCGGTTTCTTCACTTCTCTCTACCTTCCTTCCCTCCAGGGACACACACTGGTATTGAATTTTCTTGCTTCCTCTGCAATATCCCCTCATTTTCCTTCCCACAACCCGAAGAATCCTTTGTAGTGCAGGAAGGAGGAAAACCTTTCAGCCATCTTTTTTTTTCTCTTTGAAATCTTTTGTCTTTTACCAGGCTTAGACTTTTCAAACTCGGAAACCATGAGAGTCTATATCTTCATAATTTATATTCTGCTATGTTAACCCTTCCCTAAGGAAATGACTAGTTGTCAATATGTTGGGGAAAGTGAAAGAGTAACCAGAGTAAAAGGTTAATATTTTAAAATATTATTAGTCATACTTCCACATATTGGGTAAGTACTTATTGATAATAGCTAGTATTTATTCAGTACCTCATAAGCATTAGATGGTGTGTGCACATGTGTGTGTTTCTGTGTGTTTCTGTGTGTGTGTACAAAATCTTTACAGAATCTTGTGAGCTATATTTTATAATCCCCATTTTATAGACGAGAAAACAGGTTCCAAGAACAGTTACTCGGCCGGGCGCGGTGGCTCACGCCTGTAATCCCAGCACTTGGGGAGGCCGAGGCGGGCGGATCACGAGGTCAGGAGATCGAGACCATCCTGGCTAACACGGTGAAACCCCGTCTCTACTAAAAATACAAAAAAAAATTAGCCGGGCGTGGTGGCGGGCGCCTGTAGTCCCAGCTACTTGGGAGGCTGAGGCAGGAGAATGGCGTGAACCCGGGAGGCGGAGCTTGCAGTGAGCCGAGATTGCGCCACTGCACTCCAGCCTGGGCGACAGAGCGAGACTGCGTCGTTTACAAACAAGCAAAGAACAGAGCTTGGAATTTGTAAATGTCTCTTTCTGACTTGAAAATCTGCGCTCTTTCTAGTATGTTTACCATTTCCCATCTTGTTTTGTTGCTTTTGTTAATGACCTTAATCATTGTACTAAGACTAAATACTTCTTTTGTCTGAAATTATGTATGTTTTGATTCACTTCCTAAAGACATGTCTTCTTTCAGTTGTAGTGATTGCTAATTAAAATAGGCTGTTCTTGGTTTTGAAAGTTTAACTCTTTATTGTTGCTTAAACAATGAATGTGGATGTATGCTAATGTATTATTTCAGTAACACTAGCCACTATAACAGGTAATCTCCCAAATCTTGGAGGCTTACTACAGCAGAAATTTACTTCTTATTTTAGTGCAGTCCAAAATAAGCAGCCCTCTATGAAGTCATTCAGGAACCCAAGCTCCTTCCATCTTTTGTGTCCAGAGCATAAGACTCATATGCATTTAATGGGCAGATGAAGAATGAGTATTACTCATGAAAATTTGTCATGAGCCACGCCTGGAAATGGTGTGTGTTAATTTTGTTCATATTCTGTTGGATGGATCTTGTCACATGGTCACACCTAACTGCGAGGGAATTAGGGAAATAGTGTACACTGTTGAGCCTAGGAAGAGGAACAGATTTGGTAAGATAGCCATACAATTGATTTAGCAGAGCATTCCTCCACCATACTGGAACCTTGAGGGTTCTCCAACAAGTTGCAACACACTGACCCAAAAGAGTGAATCTTAGTGAGTGATTTACTCAATATGAGACTGAATTCCCATTACACAGGTAAGTGATCAGTTTCTTGCCTGAGAAATATGGAAATTTGGCAGTGAGGTTTATGCAAATCTGAACATACTATACAGAGAGTCATTTGTTATTTTACTAATGAAAAATCACTTCAATTTTTTCCCTAAGAGGAAGACAATATGAATGTATTATACAGTATTTGTTCAACATTGTCTGAACATTTTCCATTATCCCCTGCATTTTTTTTTCATATTGCATTGACTTTTTCATGATAGAGATTAAAATTGAATGACCGGAGGGCAAGTTTGTATCTCTCTGCCAATATTCAGTGATTTGAATAGTTCTTCTTTTCTAAGCTTTTGTCTTTTAGGAATGAATACCTTTATGAATATTTGCAGCCTAGTGGAAAGGCTGTAATCCAAATGGTCCAAGAAAGCATTTTCTTAAAAGCAAGTGTCTGTCGAGATGTGTCATAGCGCTTATTAAGAGTCTAAGCTGGAATCTTAGTTCCAAATATGCCTGGAGCCTCTAAATGGTACCAGGATAATTCTGACAAGATATGTTTATCTAAACAATGTCATTTGCAGCCCTGCTACACTTCAGTTTATCTCTCCCTTTGAAATCTATAAAATGGGATGGAAATTCAATACTCATAAACTTTTCGATCGTGTTCAAAATAGAATTTTTCTTAGTAAAGATTTGGTTTTCAGGAAAAGGACAGAAATAAAATACTTGCTCATAAAATTGTATTTTCTCATTTGATGATTTTGGTCTTCCTTTTTATTGCCATGAAACTTCTAGAAATGCTCAAAAAGAAATCAGCTAAATAAAGAAAAAATAGTTAATATATGTATGTAATACTATATTGAAACATTTTTCTTTCTCTGGTAAATCCCATTTCATAACTTTGAACAGTTGGGAAAATCTATACATAGTTATTGCAGTCTATCAAGAGAAAAGTTCAGTACAAAGCTATTTATGTCTACTAGAAATATTCATGTTAAACTTCAAGTAATTGGGTGTGCAAGCCACCACCATGTTTTACTATATGAAACTATTACCGTGGTATCTGTTGTATTCAGGTAATTATATTGATGGAAATCATGCAGTAATAATCTAGGTAAGAGAGTAAATTTTGTCTAAATCAGATCAAATGAAAAATTCTCCCTCTTTCTAATATTCGAATTGCTCATTTTTCTTTAACTCTTTGGTGTCTGAATTTGTCAATCATTCCTGGCCATTTTCTTCTGCAAAAGGGCTGGGTCAGGGGACCAAAAGCAGATAAGATTAGAAGAATTTAAATTTTCTTCCTTGGAGGCGTCTGAATTACATGAAACTCTTGTTCGTGTCTGTTAATACTGCAAGGCATAATACCATAATACCTTGCATAGCAGTGAAGAGGATTTGGAAAGATAAAACTGCTTCCTTTTATCATTCTGTTTATTTCACAAACAATATTGGTGAATGTCGTTCCTGTAACATTTGGATTTAAGAGCCTTGTTTCTGTAGCTTCTCCCTCCGTAACCCCCACCACTACCATTTCGGGGCTATACAGCAATAGCATGCATTACTTTAAAAGGCAGGCTGCCTAGACTGGCCACTTGTTAGCTTTGTGGCCTTGAGCAAATGACTAATCTCAGTAAACTATCTGCTCTTAGTTTCCTTCTCTGTAAAATAGGCTCACTTATAACTATCTCATGGGTTGGGAGGATTAGATGAAATAATTAATGTAGAGCCCTTAGATCAGGGCCATAGTAAAAGCTGAATGAATGTTAGCATTTGTTATTTTAATTATAATCTATTGGGGTGCTTTGAAGGCTTAATGCAAAATACTTAATGAGCTTTTTGGTAGCTGTTTAGTTATTTCGCCCCCCACCACCACCCCAAAAGGAGAGATTTAAAAGACCGACAGGAGAAGGTTGCTTGGAAAAGATGGAATAAGATCTATAAATAGAATTAAACAAATATTCAGGAAAGCCTTTTGTGGGAAATACTGCAAAATTTTTATTATCTATAAATTTAATAGGTAGATAAAATTACTACTCCCATTTTAGAGACAGAAAACCGAGACTCGGAGAGCTAACGTAACTTGTCTAGGGTCTTAGGAAGATGACAAGTGAGGAAGTAGAATTCAAGCCCACGTCTATATGATTTTAAAGCCCGAGGCACATCAAATGGAAAAGGCTGGTTAGTCAGAAAAATAGGAAGGTATATTTATCTGACAACTTAAAATATTAGGACTAACCTCAGGTAATTATAGTCTGGATATACATTTTTGCTGCTCCTGTTTATACTTTTGACTTCTGTGTATTTGAGTGTCTAATCAAAGGATTGTCTTTTACATGTGTTGGAGATGTACAGACTAGTGGACCCCAATGATCTATTAGCTGTGTAACCTTAGCCAAGTTAATTCTCTTTCCTAAACTGTGGTTCTCTCATCTGTCATGTGGGGCTAATAATAGTACTTATGCTGGTAGGGTGATTAAGAAAGTAAAATAATTGGTGTTTCTAAAGTAAATATGTGGCACATATTAGATGCTCATTAAATGGTACATATTGTTATGGTGAGATGGATTTGGTACAGAGAGAACTGGAGATGGGAGAATATGAAGGGTGTATAATGTGGCCTTTTATTAGCTAAACCAAGGGAAGGACTTCTGAAACAGAATTCCAAGTTTTAAGAGGGAGTCGTTTATTTTGGAATTATTTTTTCAGCTAAGGATTTTTCAACCCAGTCCAGAATTCTTAGAGAAATTTAGTGATAGCTTATAAATTTTAAGAAAAGGAATTCACATTATATTGCATAAAGAACTGGTATACAGGGCCATAGAAGGGGAGAATGTTCTTCTGTATGAGAATAAAAAAAAACATCTCTCACACGATTTTTGAATTAACTGACAGTTTTATAGCAGCTTTGTCAACCCATCATTCATTGCTGCAACCAAATCTATGAAATCCTTCATGGCGAAATAAAAAGGCTCTGTTGTTCTCCACATTTGTATGAAATCTCTGTTGCTAATGAAATGCCAGCCAGTATCTTCCTCTCAGGTATTGTCTATTAGATGGTTGCTTATTTTAGAAGAAGTGGAGTCAACCATATAAATTTCCTTCTTTTGACATCTAGCACCTGCTGTCAACCTGTTATAGCTACAAGCAGCTCTCAAAATTCACATCCACTAGGATGCCGCTGGCAACCAAAGAGTTCAGTTCAGTTCAGCGAACGTTTGAATGCCTACTCTGTGCTATCTAATATCAGAGATGGTAGAGGGGATACAGGAAAAAAGTAAGATTCAGCCTTTGTCTTTAAAGAGCTCACAATCAAATGTGGGTATTTGGACAAGTATATTTAGGCAAGGCAGTTTAGGATAGGTGCTTCAGTAGAGCAGTATTACAAAATGTTGAGAGAAAACTAGAGGAGGAGTTTTAAATGAGGGCTTAGTGGAATGCTTCCAGGAGGAGGCTGAATTTGACCTGGTCATGAATAAGACTTTGAAAAGCAGAAGGAAGCTGGAGAGGGAAGGGTATTTCAGGAATTGATGACAGGAGAATACATAATTAGACCTGTTAACAGTGGGGTGGAAGACGAATATCAGCATGGGAGTGTGTGTGTGTGTGTGTGTGTGTGTGTGTGTGTGTGTGTGTGTGTTGTGGAGGATAAGGGAGTAAATGAAGTCAGTAAGACCAGTTAGAAGGCAAGAGAGCCCAAGCTGGAGCAGTGACCATGGAGTAAAAAGAAAGAAGTGAAATTGAGACATAAGGTGGAGCTAGAATTAACAGGATTTTGACATTGATTGCATATATAAAACTGTCAATCTAAGAGAAGGCCTGCCTCTAAGAGTTGGAGATTGAATTCTTTGGAAGATTAATGTCATAACCAGAGACAAACTCAGGATAAGGAGTTGATTATGGGAGACAAAGTAATGTGCTTAACATGAAGCTAGATGACCATACTGAGATTTTAAAGAAATGGTTGAAAACATAGAGATTGCAGGAGTGATGTTACTTTTGGACAAGAATTCAAAAGTTACCTGGAATGTCTGAGCTTGCACAGAGAGAGGGTACCTGGTGCAAAGAAAAGTGAACCTAGGAAAAAGCCTAGAAGTTGGTTTACATTTAAGGAATTTGAGAAGAGGTAGCACCACCCACCCCCCACACAACCCCCAACCCTGCCAACTTACAATATAGAAGCATTTAGACACACACTGAATAATAATTTTTTTTTTGAGACAGAGTCCTGCTCCATTGCCCAGGCTGGAGTGCAGTGGTGCCATCTTTGCTCACTGCAACTCCGCCTCCCAGATTCAAGCTATTCTCTTGCCTCAGCCTACCGAGTAGCTGGCATTACAGGCTCCCACCATCATGCCCAGCTAATTTTTTTGTATTTTTAGTAGGGACGGGGTTTCGTCATGTTGGCCAGGCTGGTCTCAAACTCTTGACTTCAGGTGATCCACCCGCCTCGGCCTCCCAAAGTGCTGGGATTACAGACCTGAGCCACCGCGCCCAGCCTAAATAATGAATTTATAGATGCTACACTGTATGGTTTCCTTTTTCTGCTGCTGTACAACCATTCAAGTAACATAAGTTTCATCCTGGTTCTTAATGATACCATGAATAAAGTATAGAAACTCTTTAGCTGAGGATTAAAGATTGTTGTGTTTAGGTAGACCAGGTTTCTGATGCAGCCCTCAGTATACCAGGGAAATTAGCCATTACTGTTTGCCTTGTAGGTCTAATGAACCCTTTAGCTTTTTATTTTGTATATGTCTAAGTTACTCTACAAATTCTTATGGAAGTATAAAGAGATAGTGAAAGACAATCTTATGAGAAATTTTAATAAGAATTGAAATACAGGCTGGGCACAGTGGCTCACTCCTGTAATTCCAGCACTTTGGGAGGCTGAAGCGATGGATCACCTGAGGTCAGGAGTTCGAAACCAGCCTGGCTAACATGGTGAAGCCCCATCTCTACTAAAAATACAAAAAAATTAGCCAGGCATGGTGGCGGGCACCTGTAATCCCAGCTACTCGGGAGGCTGAGGCAGGAGAATTGCTTGAACCCGGGAGGCGGAGGTTGCACTGAGCCGAGATCACGCCATTGCACTCTAACCTGGGCAACAAGAGTGAAACTCCATCGTAAATAAATAAATAAATAAATAATAAAAAAGAAATACAACTTACTTTTTGTATCAAATAAATTTTGGTGCACAAACATCATAAATGACATAATATCTGTCACACATCCTTTAGCAAAACAGGATTGTTAAAATTCTTACAGCTAATATTATGTGGTGAAGTTCTTCCTGTTGAATAATTAAGTGGATTAAAATATCATATTTCCTTTCTGTCATTAGAAATATATTGTGCATTAATCAGTCCTTGGGCCTGAGAACATTTATCTAGGTTTTCATCATCTGAAAACTCACAGTCCAATATTTCACCTGTATTATCAATTCACCATTATCATTAGAGTTTAGAATGCTGCTGTCTCTTTCCATCTATCTTCTGTTGTATCTAATAATTAGGAGATATATATATATATATATATATATATAGAGAGAGAGAGAGAGAGAGAGAGAGAGAGAGAGTGAGAGAGAGAGAGAGATTGGTAATAATACTAATATATATAATAATATTATATATATACACACATACAGAGAGAGAGAGAGAGAGAGAGAGAGAGATTGATTTTAAGCCATTAACTCATATGATTGTGGGAGCTGAAAAGTCAAAAATCTGTAAAATCCAAAAGCCTGGCAGGATGGAGACCAAGGGAAGAGTTGATGTTGCAATCTTGAGTCCAAAGGTAATCCGATAGCAGAATTCCTTCCTTTTCTGGGGACTTCAGTCTTTTCTCTTAAGGACTTCAAAATTGATTGGAGAAGGCCCACCCACATTGTGGAGGGTAATCTGCTTTACTCAAAGTCTGCTGATTGAAATGTTAATCACATCTAAAAAATACCTTCACAGCAACATCTAGATTGGTGTTTGACCAAACAACTGGGAACCATAGCCCAGCCAAGTTAACACATAAAATTTACCATCATCAGCCATCATCATGAGGTTCATAATGTCATGTGTTTCTTCACATATAAATCTCGTGGTTCTTTTATTTTTTTAGTAGTACCTAGTTAATAAGGTACCTGGAAATATACGTTAAATAATAGAAATGGTCTTTAATATCTTAATGAATTTCAGAGTTCTATCAGAGTAATTGTAACTTGTATATAAAAACTGATATATAAAAAACAAGTATGTTTTTTCTTCCTATACGTTGTGTTAAATTAATACTAATTACCTATCATGAAATGAATGTTTTCCATTTTTCATAAATGTATTTCATTTTTAAATTAAGAGGATTAATATCAAAACATATTTGAATAGGATTTAAAATCCAAATTACCTGTTGCGATTATATTTAATTATAAATCTTTCAAGTGAGTTTATAATAGGAAAAATATTTTTTATTAAAGTGATGTACCATAATTATGAACATAAATAGTGTTTTCTACTAATTGTTTTTGTCTTCATTATGTTTCTTTTTAAGGGGAAAGATCTGGGTTAACAAATGTTTTATTCATCCACCTTGAAAATTAAACATAATAAACAAAACTATTAAATAAATAAACCAATTAAAGAAAATAGTTTTTCTTCCTTTTTTGTGATAAAGATGATTATGAGTAAATATATTAAAGAATTTTATACTCAGACAAAGTGAGCTAATAAGACAAATACAAACAGAGATGAGCCCAGAAAGAGATACTCTACATGTTTATAGGCTAGCATTTTTATCTTATGACCTACAGGGTCATTGTAACTAAAGTCTTGAATTTCTGTTATATTTTGGTACCTGTGGGCATAAATAGGAATATTACTCCCTGATGGCATCATGCATTTTAGATAAAACTAAGCCAAGGGTTAAACACGTGCCATGGACTGTTCCTAAAAAATGCTCTCAGCTCTCAAGTTATAGAAAATTGTAGGGATTATTATTTTGTACCTACTACTTCTTTCTTTACCAAAATTTACTTATACATGATTTGAAAATTGCTTGCCACCTGTCTTTATTCTGTTGTACTTGTCTTAAGTAAAACATTTATAAAGTAAGTAGGAAGGATTAATAGATTGTGACCTTTCTACATGAAAAGGGGAAAGCCGAGCTTGTTCTACTTTTGTCAGGAAAGAGTTTGAATAGTTACCTGTTACTGTAAAACAATCACCCCAAACTTAGTGTCCTAAAGTAGCAATAATCATTTATTATCACTCATAGGTTCTGTAGGTCAGGATTCATGCATTGCTTGGTTGAGGGGTTCTGTCTCACGATCACTCATGATGTTGCACTCAGATGTCAATTAGGCTGCAGTCATATGATGGCTTGACTGGGGCTGAAGGATTCACTTTCACAGTGAGTTACTTGTATAGCTTGTGAGTTGGTGCTGTCTAGTTGGTTTCCCTCTAAACGAGTTCCTCCATGGGACTACTTGAGTGTTCTTATGATGTGGTGGCTGGCTTACCCCAGGACAAGCAACCTATGAGTTTTGCCCTGAGTTTTCTGAAACATGATCCCATGTTGCTTTGAATATCCCCATTAGACACTCCCACAAATGTCAATCATACTCTTTGCCCTAAAAGTTGCAGACTACTTGTACATGTCCTTTATCCTACATGTGTACAGGAAACACGTGCAGAATAACATGTGTTTTTGTTTCTTGAAAGAAACAAGAACCCACCAAAACTTTATAGCTCCGGGACATGATGATAATTATCTCAGGTCCACTCAGCCTGGCTCCACATGGAAAATATGGGTATTGTAAAGAAAGCTTTTGAATTTTGGAGGCCTAACAAAAAGACCTAGGAAGCTAATAGTTGGTTATGAGATAATTATAACAATGGTGATGAAAGCAATTGCGATTATTACTTTTATGTTAGTGAGATAAATACATAAGAATGTCCTTCTTTAATTTCATTCCTTAATTTCCTTAATCCCCATTCTTGATTTCTGGATTAGAGGAAAGCTATACTATCTACCTGATTACACAAAAAGACTGGACTGAGGGGTAACCATTAGGACTCTTGTTAGTTGAAGGTAATAAACTATATTACTTCAGTGGCTAAAACAAACAGGAGCTTTTTTCTCATATAAAACTAGAAGTCAGGAAACAAATGGTTGCTGATGTTGGTTTATCCGTTTGACAGGTTCTACCTTTATCCTGGAGATTCTTTGGCCTTTATTTCTTTAGTAATATAGTAGTAACAGCACTGAATCTAAAATAAGAGCACTTGGTCCAAGCACTGGCTCTGCCCCCTTAGTGACAGTGGGACCCATGGCAAATTATTTAATCTCTCCAACAGTTAATTTTCTCATCTGTAAAACTGGGATCCTGATAACTTCCATACTAGTTTGGTGTTAGGATTCAATGAAATGACGCATGGAAAAGTCCTTTTCAAATGGCTACTCACTATACAAATATTAATGTCTTAGTAAGCTCAGGCTGCTATAAAATAATGCCATAGACTGGGTGGCTTAAACAACAGGCAGTTGTTTTTCACGGTTCTGGAGGTTGAGAAGTACAAGATCATGGTGCTGACAGATGTGGTTCCTGGTGAGAACCTTCTTCTTGCTGTATCCTCGTATGTTGGGGAGAGAGGTGGTGCAGAGAGGTACTCTAGTCTCTCTTCTTGCTCTTCTTAAAAGGACACTAATCCAATTATGGAGGCCTCAACCTATGACCTCATCTAACCCTTATTATTTCTCAAAGGCCCCACCTCCAAATATCCATTGGGGGTTAGCACTTCAACATACAAATTTTAGCCGGCGGGGGGGATGCCAGCATTCAGTCCATAACAATCAACTATCCTCATTATTGAGAGTTCCACTAGGCCTTCTCAAGGGTTGACAATGATAGTGCCCTGCTAGCTATAAGAGTAAAAAAATTTTCACATCTAGAAAATGGGTGCACGAATATTGGTAACTGTTCTAATGTCTATGCACAGAATTTTTAGAACTTGCTCGAGAAATTTGTCTTTCCTGACAGTGTTGCTTCTCTTAAATTCCAGTCGAGGGCCTTGAAAAAAATAGGTTTTCCATCAAGATTCTCTGAATGAATAAATGAAATGCTCTGATATTTTCTTTCAATATTAAGATAAAGCAAAATGTATACAGAATTTTCTATTTTCAGTGTTTCCAATTACTGCATGGTTTGGCTTATTACCATCTCTAAGTCTAACCCTGGGTCATAGGAGTAAAGCCATTGGGGGTCCCCTACAAAGGATACAAGGCAGTGGTAGATACAATAAGCCTGACAATTGGAGTCAGATTTTTCTCTTTCATACAGGAACCATGGAACTGTTGCCCTGGGCCACAGCTGGCTCTCAGAAAAACGTAGAACTGGTCGAGGAAAGGAAAGGCAGGGAGTCCTTGATTCACTTGTTATCAGAAAATTGTCTGTTCAAACAACAGAATGTTTGAAAAGATAAAATCAAGTCTCAAATGCACAGAATAAGAATGAGGGGAAAACACCTTTCTCTGTAATTAAACAGAAAAGTGTGCCATGAAGTGATAAAACCCAGTCAACCTGAAAATGTGAACATCAAGTGTAATTGTGCAGAACGATAAGGTAATATGAACAGCACAGGAATATATAGGCTCACGTTGGCATTTTAAAGCAATGGCACTTTACCTGTTCCTCATGAAGGATTTGGTTTAGTCTAATCCCTTGTAGGAGCCACTAAGAGGAGAAGGCACAGTCCTTTTGGGATGTAAAATGGGGAATTCTTTCTATGATTACAAGAATTTGTAAATTGCTCAGAGTTTTAGGACAGCAGGTTATGTGTCTCTCAATGTTGGGTACCATGCCAAACGTACTTTAAGAGACATAGCAATAAATAGAATGGGATTCATTTTTTTCTTAATGTCTGGCAGGGCAACCAAAATGCCCACGTTTCCCTTCAGTAGCTTGGTATTTTGGTAACTAAAAACATGTTCCAGGGAACTCCAGAATATGAAACATTTCAGACAATTTGAAACTGTCAAAATTTTCACTTCTTTATGGGACAAATAAAATCTAACTTTATTCAGATTTTAAAGTATCTCATAAAAGAGTAATACTTTAGATTTGTGCTGTGCTTTATACGAATTGGATGAGGAACTCTTATACATATATAAGTGGATTTTATTTTCACAACAGTCCCTATGGTAGATATTGTCCTTATTAAGTAAATGAGAGAACCAACTATCAAAGATATTAATATTTTGCATAAGATCACACAGATAGCGGAACCAGGATTTAATCCAACTCCTCTGATTCTAAAAATAGGTGTTAGATGGGTATTCTTTCCCCAAACCTATGCTGAAAGGAGGCTACATTTGGAGTCAGTTATTGAAAGTTTAAATATATGTGTATATATATATATATATGTGTGTGTGTGTGTGTGTGTGTGTGTGTGTATTCTTATATACTCATGCATGTAGATAGTTATAAAGTACATGCTTATATGTCAATTTTATATATACGACTGATATATAAACTATCAATTTGTGATAGTTTATTTCAATTAAGTTCAAACATATTGGGTATTTATTGACTCATGGGACTTAAAATTTCTCAGAGGCATTAATTTCTATGCCTTTAAGCAAAATAATGTTTAGCCCGTTTTAGAAAGATAAAAGGCTAACATATGTTTTGTTTTTGTTTGTTTTGTTTTGTTTTGTTTTGTTTTGTTGAGATGGAGTTTTGCTCTTGTTGCCCAGGCTGGAGTGCAATGGTGCGATCTTGGCTCACAGCAACCTCCGCCTCCTGGGTTCAAGCGATTCTCCTGCCTCAGCCATCTGAGTAGCTGGGATTACAGACACGTGCCACCATGCCCGGCTAATTTTGTATTTTTAGTAGAGACAGAGTTTCTCCATGTTGGTCAGGCTGGTCTCGAGCTCCCAACCTCAGGTGATCCACCCGCCTCGGCCTCCCAAAGTGCTGGGATTACAGGCGTGAGCCACGGCTCCTGGCCGCTAACACATGTTTTTAAAAAATAAACACCATTCGAGTAGGAAAAGTGGGAGAACTGGTGGTTCAGCTAGAGATACGGAGATGGGAGGGCAAGTTGCTTTCTCATGTTGCCACATCTGTAAGTTACAAATGCCATAGATTAGGAATTTCAACGTTGTTGTGTCTCTCTGAGGACATTCTCCATGTAGTATATGTTTCGCCTCCCTGATGGACAGTAAGCATCAAACGGTTACTCCTTTATATTTGAATTATTTTAATTCTAACATCTTGTTCTGAAAATAACGGGAATGCCATAAATACTTACTGATTGATTGGACTGTCTCGCAGGGGAGCTGGCAGCTAGTGTAGGCTACAAGCTGCCATCATCATCTCCATGACCATGAGTCATCACTGGAATTACCCTAAAGAGGTTAATAAAACGCCTTGTTTGAAAAGCAAACAAAAAGCCAGAAGAAACCCAAAGCAAACAGACCCAGACTTTGCAATGGGTAGTGAATTTTCAGTCTTAAGGGATTGAGAGTCCTTTTAGTACAATCTCTCATAAACATATAACAGATTTTAAAAGCACCTTGGTCTGATTCCAGTTCACATACCTCATCCTTGCAGAATACAACATACTAGGCCATTTGAAATGTTCCTCAGTTTACTTTTGGAGGATCTGCTGATTTGAGCAAAATGGAAATGAAATGTATATAGAAAGCTCTTAATTTTTTTTTTTTTTTTTTTTTGAGACGGAGTTTCGCTCTGTCGCCCAGGCTGGAGTGCAGTGGCGGGATCTCGGCTCACTGCAAGCTCCGCCTCCCGGGTTCACGCCATTCTCCTGCCTCAGCCTCCCGTGTAGCTGGGACTACAGGCGCGCGCCACCATGCCCGGCTAATTTTTGTATTTTTAGTAGAGACGGGGTTTCACCGTGTTAGCCAGGATGGTCTCGATCTCCTGACCTCGTGATCCGCCCGTCTCGGCCTCCCAAAGTGCTGGGATTACAGGCGTGAGCCACCGCGCCCGGCCAGCTCTTAATCTTAAGAAGTTCAGTTTCGCAGCTCCCCCCCCACCAACCCCCAATCTTGAAAGCAGGAATTTGGATTAGGGTTTTTTAATAAAACTTTCTTTTTCTTATTACCATGATGTTTTTTGAGAGGGTACAGAGAACTCATTAAAATGTTATGTTATAACTTAAGACAAAATGGGAATGAGAATTTGCATTATATAAACAAAGTGTATGACTAAGTAACCTGTTACATATAAAGTGTTTGACTAAGTAACCTGTTGTCCCTAGGAGAAGTAGAATAAATATCAACATGTGGCAACTAACAGAATGTGTTGTGATCACTAAAGCAGCACATTCATTGACTTTACACTTCATTAAGTAGGTAACGAATTTTACAAATTTTAGGACTTAACCAGGCTGTCCATAATACTTTGCATCAGTAAGTACCAAAATCTACGATAGGGCACTTCGGAGTTCCTTAATTTAATAATATTGATAATATTTTGTTTACATTTTGATTTAATTGTATCATTTCATTATTTTTGTGTCCTGATTCTAAATATATACGTCAACAAGCTATATGGCCATTCAAAACAGGTAAACTTTAAATATGTTTTTGACATAGAAATTATGTAACAGTCTTCATCATGAGTATAGGAGTCAGATTTCCAATTGAAAATTTCATCCTCTAAAATACTTGGCATATGTATACAGTTGTCTAGTTCAGACAAAAAAGTATTGAATATAAAGTTGATTTTGTAAAACCAGAATTGGCATCCTTAAGGAATACAAATAAAGGGAATCTTAAGATAATATAATAATGCTGATTTGAAATGAAAATTAATAAAATTGTTATTCTATTTTAGTATGCTAAATTGGACAGATCCTTATTTCATTGAAAAATTAGATTCTTCAGTATATCAGTGCACTGTGCTAATAACACAAGAAGATTAAATTATGTCCATATGTGATTTGGTAGAATTTAATTATAAATATAATAAATCCTTCAATATGTACAGCAGTGAATATTCCAAATTTATCTCTCATATAAGTTGTGAGCAACTTAAGGATAGGCACCATCCCTTAACATACCTAGATTAAGAACAGTACCTAGAAAACAGTCATCAAATGCTTCCTAAATAAATTTTCACCTTCAAGCTTATGGCAGCAAATTAAACATAGATTGACCCTTTTCTAATAGAGACAGAATAGATGAGACTGATGACTTTTTTTTATAAATGTGTAAGTCTGCAAATATTTAGTAAGGATCTAATTTACACAAAGAAATCAACCTAGAGTGAGATTATTTTATTCATTTCCCGGAGGCTGTGACTGAATTATATTTGCAACTTGCCCTAATTTTTATACTTAATAATTTGCATTAGTATTTAAATTATGTGAAGGAAAAATATAAGTTTAAAATACTGAAAAGTATATTCACACATTCATCAAATGTTGATTATGTGCTTACAGTGTGCAAGGTATTGGGGCTAGGAATTATGTGGTGTTCCAAGGAAACCATGATACAGCCTCTTTCATTACAGTGTTTATTATTAGGTAGAAAAAGTAAAATTAGTATAATATTAGATAGGATATATGTGTCATAGGAGTAATATAAACAATATTTTATGAACAATGTATGAAGGTATAATTTTGTTCATTTATCCATTTATCGCTCTGTACATCCATCCGTTTATTCATTGTTCATTACTTCATTTAATAATACTTTAGTGACCATTGGAAAAGGGATTTATAAAAGTGAGTAAAATGTTAATCATTTTCTAAAGAAGTTGATAATCTAGGGAAAGACAAATGTGTACCAACAATAACTTGGATATAAAGCATAAATTAGAGGTACAAGCAAAGAAAAATGAAAGTACAAAGGAGAAAAATATTTGGCTGCATGAGAGCAGGGACTGTGTCTTGTTTCATCATAGATTTTCCAGAACCTAGATCAGTGTTTGGCACAAAGTAGGTTCAGATGAGTTTGTGTTGACTGACTGTCTACTGAAGTAATTGTGGAACATATCATAGAAGAAGTAGATCAGAGGCTGGATCTTAAAACTGGGAGAAATACATTTCAGCTCCGTGAAACCCCAGAAGTGATATTTGACATTAGAAAGCACAAAGTCACACTCTAACAGTGACAGTACTGAGTGAAGTAAGAATTTTCTGCACCCCTTCTTCTTCTTCCACTCCCATTAACCCTTGTTAGGGTGAGAAATAGCAGCTGGTGAATGGTAGAGAAGACTAGCAAGACAGAAAGAGGAAGCCCACCATGCCCACTACCCCAGGTAGTAAAGGACCTGTCCACTTCCATCCTCTTCTAATTGAGGAAGAAATCATATATGTGAGTTCAGATTGAAGTATTGATTAATATATTGAGCTGGATATTCTAATTTTAATGTCTCGATATGGAGCAGGACTTTGTTTCCTTAATGATGACCAGAAAAGACATGAAACTTACCCATATTTTCACCCAAGAACAGAACAGAACAACCTACTTGAACAGATTTAAAGGGAGAACCAAAGGCAGATAAAGTTGTCTTTATTCTTACACAGCATAAGTCCTGATTATTCATCAATTTATACATTTTATGAATTTAAGAAAAAAGGAAAGGAAGACTATAAAGGGATTCATATCAGGATACACATGAAGGTAATGTAGTCAGTTTTTTAGTGGAACCAAAATATTACAGTCATCACTGAACGAAAATATTACAATCATTACATCATTCACTAGATTAAGTGAATAAATTAAAAATATATTAAATAAAATTAACAAAGACATGAGCTTTTCAAAGTGTGTGGTAACCTGGAGCAATAAGCAGTGTAGTTGGAATGTTACCTCTTAAGGATTATCAAAGAGGCTGGCTGTTCAGTAGGACAGTGGTATGGTAAAGCAAGCTTGCTACATTGCAGAACTCCAGAGGGCAACATTCTAATTATCTTTAGCTATGGGGTCTGTTCCCATAGGATAACTATAACTTAGTAGGTTGACAGAGCCTCCCAAGAAACCACAGCAGTGCTCAATTGTGGCGAATTACTTCTCTATCCCATCAAAATGTCGTGATTGGACCCACAACTGTGCATACATTTTTTTGGCATTTTCCTGCCAGAAGCATATTTACATTTCTTTAATATCCAGTCATATCCTTCCCTTATTTAAAAATAATTATTCAGAGAATTCCAGTTTTTTGTAATCCTCTCTTCTATGAATTTTAGCAACACTTATATACAGATACTTGATATTCTGGAGAAATATGCTTCAAGACCATGTGGATTAACAGATTTTCAAATGCCGTTATAGTATATGTATATACTATATATGTATAAGTATGTGTAGTCCCCAAAATGCGTACTTTAAAATCCTCATAATAGATCTCTTACAGATGAGGAAAAGAAGATGTAGAAAGGTTACATAAAGTAGCTAACAAGTATTCCAAATAATATTGAACTTCAGTCTGACTATTCCAAAATTGCATTCTTAACTCTGATTTCTATATTTGTTTTCCATTCTAAACTGTGTATTGTGATATAAGTTCCTCACTAAGGCTCTTTTTCAGGGTCTTCCTAATACTAAAGTCACTCTTACAATGAGTATTTTCTTTACGTGTGAAATCCAATAGGCAAAAAAAAAAACTTGGCAATAAATTTTAGGCATTAACCTCATGCCAAGTAATTATCAGAAGGCTGTAATGCTTTGAAACTTCACAAGTCTGATTTTAAGATAATGGAATGAGGCTTGCATTGTGAACTTTCTTGATGCTTTACATTGCAATATGCTGTATAGATTGACTTCCTAAAAATAAAAAATAAAAAAAAAGATTTGTAGAGCATACTGGGAAGGTCTTGCCAATTAAAAACCGGAGATTGGCTGAAGGCTTGCAGCAATTGAATTTTGAATACAGATGGTGTCAAATCGAGTGTTTCCATAGCAACAGACTCTTCCTTAATAACTTTTAGATGGGAGGGGGTACATAAAAGAGAAAACCATCTTTTAGCAGATGTATGTTTTCAGCATGTTTTCAGATTGATTTTGGAAGCTAATTTGTACTTAACTAGTGATTGTTTTAAGTGGATCTAAATATTACTAAATTCTCCTGAGGAAACATTTTGAGAATAACAGAAATAAACTCTAGGAACTTTATAAAGACATGAAAAGGGCACAATTTTACAAAACCTTTTTTTTTTTGGTCTGGAGCCAATCAAACAGTATTTTATATTGAGTATGACCTATCAATAGTCAAAGAGTTCTTGATTCTTAATGCCTGTTAATATTGAATGTTTAGAATATGGGTAAAATCAAGGAAAAAGTGCTATGTATCTCATGGATTTGGAATATCTTAATATACTCTTTCTTCAGGTTAATGATTATTTTTAAAAAATGATGATATAAATCATTTCAGGAAGGACTGCATAAAGAGGTCATTGATAGAGTTCATATCATATAGCAGAGTTGTCGTAGATTTAATGTCCAATCCTCAGTTTTGCATAGCCAACAACTAAATTTTAGTAGTTTACCTAGAGATGATCAGGCTCTGGGAGACTGATTCATGCTACACAAACTCACAAGGCACTGGTTTATAAACCATTTGAAAGAAGAAATAATAATTCAAACTATTATTTTACAACAAGACTGGCAGGAAAATCAATAATGGTAATGTGTTCGGGGTGTCCTCCCCAGTGAGGACTATCCAGAAGACCAAATGATAGATTATTGTTCAAAGTGATAGAATTGGGAGAAGGGTAATAAAGCATTATGAAAGGATGCTTCCTTAAGTGAGAAAAGCTACATAAACTACCCATCTTTACTATTCTAGATGACCTTAAAAATATTAATAGAAACAGAGAAACAGACAATTCATCTCAGATGGTACAAAAAACATAATAGCACATGTTTGCTCCCTGGCTTCCTTTTAGATTCCCTGCAAGAGGTTTTCCCCCAACCACCACCATATACAGATATACAGCTTTACCTTCACTCTCCTATTATCTGTCACAGAACAATATAAAACTCAGATATGTTAGTATAAGTTAATAGTTGGTAGCTTTATGTTAATGACATTGCTACCTGTTACCCCCAGATTCATCTGGGTTACTTCATCCCCAAAACCCTTTCAAAACGACATTTCCCACAAAGATTTCTAGTATTACTGGCCATTCCCGGACATCTTGCTTCCAACATAAGAAATTCTGACATAATAGGGATATAAGAAGGCCTTGGGAATCTGTATTTATAACAAGCTCCCCAGGCTATCTGAGGCTCAGCCAGTTTATTTTTGCAGATAGCTATTACTATCCACAATCTCTTTTATCCTATTGTAATTGCAGAAGAAAATCTTTCTTTCTAGTTTCTTTGAAATTTCTGGAATGTTAGGACTTAGAGCCTCTAGGAACTTGTACATAAAAAGAGAGACTTAAAGAGATATCAAAGTAGAGATAGAGATAGATACAGATAAGTGCATAGACATAGAAGTAGACATATATAATAGAAACATATATGTATACATAGAAATAGAAATATGCCATTTAGAACTCTTAAGAAATATGTGCACTCTTAAAATATAGTTTAAAAATGTAAAGAACTTGCTATTAATTGAAAATAGCATAATAAACTTAAATGAAATAAGGACCCCAAACGCAAATATTTCTCTCTGACACACCACACACACACACACACACACACACACACACAGACAGAGAGAGAGAGAGAGAGAGAGAGAGCTGTACAATAACAACCAATTCCTGACCCAGATAAAGAAAAAATTTTTATTTATCTTCTTTCTCATTCTATTATTATTTTTTCTAGATTAAATTAAAATGGTAATTATGTGTAAGAACAAGCATTATTGCCATATAAACAATGCAACAAAGGAATCAATTGAAAATTAAGTGAAAATAAAAGGTACAGCTTCGTTAAAGACCCAGTTCTTAGAGCTTAGTCTCAAACTCTTTGTACTCTGCACTCTTTTCTTGATTTGACTCGATTGATTGATTGATTGATTGATTGAGTCAGAGTCTCACTCTGTCACCCAGGCTAGAGTGTAGTGGCTCAATCTCGGCTCACTGCAACCTCCACCTCCTGTTTCGAGTGATTCTCCTGCCTCAGCCTCCTGAGTAGCTGAGACTACAGACATGTACCACCATGCCCAGCTAATTTTTGTATTTTTAGTAGAGATGGGACTTCACCATGTTGGTCAGGCTGGTCCTGAACTCCTGAATTCAAGTGATCTGTCTGCCTTGTTCCCCCAAAGAGCTGGGATTACAGGTGTGAGCCACCACGCCCAGCCGATTTTACTCTCTTTAGAACTGCAAAAGTAGGAATCTAGCTCATATGCAGACATTCTAGAAAGTTTGATTTCAAAAGTCTTCTCAAAAGAAAGAGAGCAAGAGCAAGAAAGAAAGCAGAGAGAGAAAGCAGAAGATAAAATGGCATTGTTTGAACAGGGATGGAAACTGAGTAAGAAATTTGGTCACTAAACACTTTAGTGTCTATCATTTAAGATTGTAATTTGGTTATTTATCACTGGAAAGTGATTAATAATCTAAAATGCATTTTATAATACTAATACTATTAAAACATTAATTTTTGGAGAAAGTTTATTATAGATTGATTTATACTTACCACTGAATATTAAAATGTTTAATGGAAGTAGTTTCAAATAGTATTTAATGATATAGGGAATTATTACAACATTAATGCTCAGGAAAAAAAGTAGGATATGGAATTATTTATGCCATAGGATCCTAATTTTGTAAAAAACAGAGAAAACCAGCAAAAGAAATTATAACTGGAAGGAAATACATCAAAGTGGTTTGCAGTTATCACTCATGAAATTGAGGTGAACTTGATTTTTTTCCTTTTATATCCATCCGTGTTTTAATACCACAGACATGCTTTAGATCTGCCCGTATATTGTGGCTTTCAGAGGGTAATAAACCATTGTGACTCAGAAATAGCTAAGAATTTTTATCTCTCAAGAACAAATTTTCACTCCCTTGGGGTGTCATTATCTGTTGAGAATGCATGCAATAGTTCAAGAGCCAAAAGACTCTGATTCAGTAAGTTTAGGGTAGAAAAAAATTAAGTACATTTTTAAAATAGAGCTCTGGTGTTTCAAAGGCAATGTGCAAATATACCTACTTAATATTATTCTAATTTTTTCAGGATAGCTGAAATATAAACATCTATTTTTAGTAATAACACAAATGATGGAATGCTTTTACATATTTATAAATCATTAAGGATTTGCTTTTTGTTTCTACTGTCTGGAACATATAAATTTGAACACAATTTAGAACAACATTCAGGAAATATGATTTATTTATTACCTTCTTGACCTTTATTTTATTTTTACCATCTACTTTTATGTAAGTCTTTTTTTTCAATCATTGTTTATTTCTTTACTTTTCCTTCCACATAGAATTAAAGGGAGATTCGGGCTTAGTGTCCTTAATTCATAGTTCCATTGTGGCTATTAAAAGGTGAACTGAAAGCTTGCAAACACGTGGTACCTTGTAGATAATTTTCTCCAGTCAGACAGTTAGATAAAGGCCTCTGAGGTTTCTGGGGTCATTGTTGAAGCTATGTTTTAAAATCCTATATCCTTCTCTCATTGTTGGTTCCTTTTCACAACACAGAAGTTTTCTTTTTTTTAATTTCAACTTTTAGATACAGAAGGTGCATGTGCAGATTTGTCACGTGGGAGTATTGCATGATGCTGAGGTTTGGAGTACGGATCCCATCGCCATGTTAGTGAGCATAGTAACTGATAGGTCGTTTTTTTAACCCACTCCCCTCCCTCCTCCCTCTAGTAGTCCCCAGGGTCTATTGTTCCCGTATTTATGTCCATGTGTGCTCAGTGCTTAGCTCCCACTTATAAGTAAGTGAGAACATGTGATATTTGGTAGAACTTTTCATTTTTAAGTTAAAAAACAAAACAAAATGAGGATGAGTGGAAGAACTATTCAGCACAGCAGGTTATAAACCAATTAGGATGATGACGCCCTGAATGGAGATTTTCATGAACATCTCATATTAGCTATTTCAGCTTTGGTTTTTTTAATGTTCAAAGTAAATAGAATAATGAAGAGGCTATTTAGGAAGGTTTAGACTGAGGGAAAAAAATCCTTTCATTAGGTTCCAAATAACGGTTAGCTTATTAAACAGCAAGAGGCAGAGATTTAGCAGAGAAAAAATAAAAAGATTTAAAAAAAAACAACGAGATTAAAAGGTCAGTAATACCATTGGAACTGGCAGCATGGCAAGTTTATATCAGCTATCTTTTGTTTTGGAACACAACTATGCTAATTCTGTTCTGAACCTCTTGCTAATGCCTGTCTCAAGAAAATTTAACATACTTTATCTGTGTGTACAAAAATACCTAAGGACAAAGCTATTACCCAAACTGTATTCAGATTGAAAGAATCCATATAGAAATTTGCAGCTAACGTATTAGTCAGTGTATGTAATTTCTACTGCTTCACAGCACAACTCTTTCTAATTTTCAGGAGCAATATAGCAACTGCTTGCCAGCCAAGAGAAAACCATAGGAGCATTCTTATCATTGGAGCCAACATTAGTTCTGCCTACAGTGACTAACATAGATGCGTTTATTGCTAGCTGGAATTTTCCATTGGCACTAGTTACATGTAATAAGTTAGTGCTTTCAAATGGACCGTGGAATATAGGAAAACTAGAGTCTGACGTAACCAAAAAAAAATGTTGATAAACTCAGAGATTATGAAAGAGAGGAGAGGAGTGGTTTTTGTGGAAATGATAGAAAAGCAAAAAAAGATGGCAGGATTTGGAAAAAAGAAAATCAGGTTAGAGATTTAATTAGTAAAGGAGCTCCTTTTAATAATTATATAAGAGTATGAGTTTAGAGTAACTGCCTGGCTAATATGTACAATCTTCAAGTTCAGTCGTTTTCCAAAATTCTAACTTTTAGCATTTTTTTTTTGTAAATTTTAAGTGGAAATCTTCCACTTTTGTTGACTAACTTGGCTACCTGATATTTTACTCAACCTCCTACTTTCTTGTTCTCTACTTCTTCTGAGTCTTTGCTTCCACAATGAGGTAGCTCATATTCCTTAAGTTTCCTGTCTGGTTTTGCTTTTTTTTTTTTTTTTAACAGCTAAAATAAACTCTACAAGCATTTCTATCATTTTCTTTACATCCAATCTCTTGTCAGCCATGTCCTAATCACTTTGGTAAAGTATCAGTGACCACCCAAGAGGTTCACTTTGCTTCGTCAAAGGACCACCTGTCATGCTTTATCTCCAGAGCTTCTGCCTTGAAAGTAAGAATAATATAACCTTTCCTGAATGTCTTATTTCAATTTCATGCATTTGATCTGCCTCTTCAGACCATTCCCAAGGCTTTGCCCTTGTTCTTTACCCTCATGGCTTCAGTTATTCATCACTATATGAATGACAGCTCTCAAACTGACAGCTCTGGCCTCTCACCTATTTCATCTATTCCATATGGCAAACTGTCTATATTACATTTCATCATGAGGGATAATTATAATTCCACATTCAACAAGAAATTGTGGGTCCGTGTTGATTTCCAACAGCAACCTTTATTTTTTAGACTATGATAGAGAAAGGGTCAACTTTCTCTCTTACTTATTTATCTCAAATAACTCAAAGTCAAGCTAGAAAAGCCAAGCAAGTAATATTTCCCAACAAAGCAGCTTTAAGCAAAATGATTTTCAGACACGACATGCAGCCTGTATTGTGGAAGAAGCACAGTGACCTAGGTGTACTTTGCTGAAAAGCAGTGGTCACAGTCCATTAGTTTCATCTTTTTCCTGCAAGAGAGAAAAGTATGGCAGGGCCAAGACTCCTAAGACCCCTTAAAAAATTGTGAGGTTTTTATAACCCTGTTCATTTCCCATCAAAAGCATTCATGAAGCACCTGCCATGTACCAGATGATGCATTCTAGGCAGAGGGAAGAACTTGGGCAAAGTCCTGTACATTTTATCTTCTAAATCTTACTAATCTTTTCTTATCTTTCCATCTACCACCCACCATCAGGCTGTGCCTGGACTCCTATGCTAACATCTTACTCTGTTTTTCTGCATCTTTTTTGCCCTCCCCTCCAATCTACTCTCCAATTAGCAACATGACTAATGTTTTCAAGCCCAGATTAGACGGTGTCACTTCCCTGCTTTAAACCTTTCAGTGGATTCCCATTGCACTGAGGTTGAAGACCAAAATCTTTACCATAACTCACAAGGCCACTGGGAGCTATGAAAATTTTCTTTTTTAGTTTTTCCTTTTAATTAGTGATGCATTCAATAAGTGGAGTCTATCGTGAAAGCATAGATTCCAAAGGCATGTGAATACTCAATTATGTAATTTACTTACAGAATGTTTATTACTTCTTTTTTAGCTTTGATTTTGTATACATCCTAACTCAATCTCAGTTATATAAGAGATTATAAAAAAGTTTGTGATGAATGCATACATAAAGGAACAAATAATTAACAAATATATAAAGACAAATCAGTATTGAATGACCAAATGGCTCTTTATTTATTAAAGAACTTAGAAAAATATAGTCTTGCTTGAGACCAAGTTCTGGCAACGTATGTGTGTCTTTTTGTTTGGGTTAAAAAGCATTAGTTTTATATGTTTTAAAAGGATAGGATCTTCCCTTGGCTGCAAATAGTATAGGCAAAATGCTATTCTGTATCTTATTTTAAAGAAAATAACAATCATACCTTATTATTTGCTGACAGTTTTGCAGTTTACAAAGCACTGTTCACATGGATTACCTTATTTTAAATTCCTCAATTTTTTTTCCTTTTACTATGGGAATTCTGTTTCAGGAGAATTTCCCTTTAAAATTAAGGTGATTATACTATTCTGTTCCTGTATTTCGTAGCCATATGTTTCACCAAGGTATTGTCTCTCTCCAGGTCTTTCTTCTCTGGATGTATAGTTATGATTTTCCAGGAGGTAAATGAAAACAGTGGGAGCAATTGACAGAGTGTTTTTTGTTTCCCATAAACCCAAGCATTGCATTTAAGGAGCTGCTGTACTATTGTAAGAGTTCCTATACTAATTTTAAAAGTTCATTTACATATTTTGTAGATTTTTAGGATAAGTCATCAGAAAAAAATTAAAAATAAATTTACATATTTTGTATTAAGCTGTTTTGTTACTTGAATGGGGATTATTGGAACGAGGAAAGAATTACTTTTATCTCCCCATTTTTCAAATCATTTACTATAACATTCATGAATTGCTGAAGTTTAAACAATCAAAAATATCTGAAAATGGAGCCTAGGAAGGGTAACTTATGTCTTTCATACTCCTTCCTTTTTGGTTTTTCTACCAGCATTTTAGTCTAAAATATATTTTATTTTCACTGATCCTGTGTTTGTCTTAATAATATAGTATGTATGTTAAATGAACCAGAATTCATTGATCTTTTTTTTTATTATTCCTCTTTTTGCTTTTCTGGAGAAGCATTTGAAGAAATCAGTTCAGGCTACACTTCATCAATTCATTTCCTCATCTTCCCCTTAATACAAAAGCCCCATTTTCACTCTTCAAAACATTTGATCACATACTTAATTTTCATAGCATTGACTAAATGTATGTGTTTATTTTGTTTATATATTGCATATTTGTGATGATTTTCACTTTTACAGTTTAGGCATGGGTAGGAAGGACACTTACATGAGTACTTAAGTTCTTGGTTATGACTTGAGAAACTCACAAGGTAGCATGGAATGGCACGTAAACAAGGCTTTGATAGGGTGAAAGGGAATTATCAGGACAAAACTGACTAGTGGCAGTGACTTTTGAGCAGAGTGCTGCAAACTGAAAAGGCAGAGAGCATTGTAGGCAGAGAGAAAGCATAGACACATGTGAGATACATGTGAAATACTTAGACAAATGTGAGGTGTGTGGTAACATTGTACATACCTAGGGCTCCTTCCTGTGTAGCTGTAAAGCTGGAGTATAGGCATCACAACAGGCAGCAGAAGCCAAGAAACTAGAAAAGTAGACAAAGGCCACGTTATAAAAGATCTTGTAGGATAGGTAAAGAGTTTTAATACTATCCTGAAAGCAGTGTGGGGTGGGAGGCATGACATTAAGGAAATTTAATAAGTGATGAAAGACCAAGATTTTCATCTTCAGAAGACTTCTCTGGAGGTGGGTGGACCACTTGATGTCAGGAGTTCAAGACCAGCCTGGTCAACTTGATGAAACCCCATCTCTACTAAAAATACAAAAAAATAGCTGGGCATGGTGGTGCATGCCTGTAATCCCAGCTACTCAGGAGGCTGAGGCAGGAGAATAGCTTGAACCCAAGAGGCAGAGGTGGCAGTGAGCCAAGATGGTGCCACTGCACTTCAGCCTGGATGACAGAGGGAGACTCCCTATTAAAAAAAAAAAAAAAAAAGACTTCTCTGACTAGAGTTTTAAAGAAGGATGGGGAGTGCAAAAGGCTAACATTAAATCAGTGGTTCTCATCCCTGGCTGCACGTTAGAATCACTAGGGGGAGTTTAAAAAAAATGCCAATACTTGGACTCCACCCCAAACCAGTTAAATCAGAGCCTTAATAGGGCCCAGACATTCGTAGTTTTTAAAGCAGCCCTCTTGATTCAAATGCACAGACAAGGTTGTGTTCCGCTGAACTAGAGAGACCATCAGGAGGCTTTTAACTAAAGCAATCTAGGGAAGAGAGAGATGAATGATATAGAGGCCAGAAGAGCTATTAAGGAGAAGTGACTCGGCATCTTCTTGGTTAAAGTATAAGGAAGAAAGAAGAATGAAGGATAATTTGCATGTTTCTCCTTCAGTGACTAAGTAGAGGAACAGATGTGTATCAGTGATTAGGGGAGAGGAAGAATGAAGATGATGTAATCCAGTTTGGATATGTTGGCTATTTCATAGAGATTTAGTAGGCGTTTGGCTCTATGGATACAGAGTTCAAGAGACAATTCTTAGCTTAAAACACAGATTTTACTCTGATTATTTTAGAGATAGTAAATGAAGCAATATACATACATGAACTCACCAGAGAGAATATGTAAAGTGAAAACAAAAAGATCAAAGGGAGACCCCTAGGGAATAGCAACATTTAAGGAATGGGCCTAAGAGAGTGAGGAGTGGCCAAATAGGCAGAATAAAATCCAAGAAGGAATCTTCCATATTAATCAAAAGAGAAGGTTTCAAAGAGGGTTCGTCAATTGGCAGGTACTGAAGGGATATCTGAAAACATAAAGACTTTAGACTCTCTAATACTGTAGCAACTTTAAGGTCACTGCTATCACCTACAAAAGTAATTTCAGTGGCAAAAGCCAAAACGTAATGGTTTAGAAGGGTATGTGAGGTGTGGATGTGGAAATAGTGGGTATAGACTATTGCTTCTCAAAATGTAATCACCTGAAAAATCTTATTTTAAAATGCAGATTTTGATTCATTAGCTCTAGAGTGGAGCCTGAGATTCTGCATTTCTAACAAGTTATCAGGTGATGCTGATGCTGCTCATACACAAACCATCCTTTAAGTAGCACTGGTGTAAGCCACTCTCCCACAAAGGAGGAAGACATAGGGTTTCCATCAGGGGACGCAGGTGGGGTGTAGGACCAAAGGAAATAATACTCTTTTGTCTTTTGTTTGGTTGGTTTTGGTTGTTTTCTTCTTAAAATAAACATGGTTGTAGACGGAGATTGAAGACATAGGAGGGGTAAAAGATGGAATCACTTCTCATAGAAGATGGAAGAGACTGGAACATTGAGTACAGCGAGGGAATTAGGCATGGGTAGGAGGGACACCTAAATCTGAAGAGAAGGAGGTAAGGAAGAATTGAAATACAGAAAAGTTCTGTCAGTAAGCAATGTATGGAATTGTGCTTTTTAGCCATAGTTTCTGTTCAAGAAATTGTTTTCCATTTATTTTTATTTCTTAACTTGAATAGTTGGATGGTGGAGTATGCTTGTAAAAATAAGAGTGAGGCCACTTTGTTTTTCGGGGTTAATTTCCGTTTTCTGCACTCATCAAGTAAAAGTTGAAGTGGCAAGGTGTAGATATGAAATTCAGTGTGTGCTAAGGGAGAAAAAAATGCTTTTTATTCTACATGATTTTAAAAATATTTATATTCCAACAAATGCATCAAATTTGATGTGCAAATTTACAGTGATGAATGAGTTTTATTGTGTGCATTGCATGCTGGTGACATGGTAATAAATCTGTGGTGCTAGAATTATAATGGTCCCCTTTAGCTTCGCTTTAATGAACTCTTGCTGAACACTTTTGAGTTGTTAGTACTTTATTTGCTACATTTGGCACTTAATTAGTTAATGACTGAGATGCTGGACCGATGGATCATCTAATGATATGTTAGGCCTATTATCACATCTAGATAGTTTCTTTTCTGTGACTTGTAAGTGACCTAAGATGATAAACTGAAATATTTTTGCATAGATATACATCAAGCTTTTCTCCTAACTTCAGGCTTTCATCTTAAGCAATAGTTTCCAACACCCCCAAAAGAGAAGTCATTATGTTTTTAAAAAAATTATTCATTTTAATGTGATCAAATAATATCACATTTCAGCATTCACCTATTTAATTAATAAAACAACTTACATGTTTCATTATGACTGGATGTTGATATTTTTTCATAATCTATTATCCTCCAACCAGTGGTAAAAACCCAATCCTCCTCTCACCCAGCTCATCTTTCCGTATGGGAAGCAATACATACTTCCCTATGTTTTATTACCAAAACAGGAGAATGAGCTTTCTTTAGAAGGTTAACTCATTTTCTCTATTAGAATATTCAGCATACTTTTAAGGAGGTAATCTGGTCTTTGACAGTCTGTTGATTAGAAAATTAAGAGACCTGCCTAAATTCCATTTCCAACTCCTCTCCATACACATTGTGACTTTGAGCAAAACGTTTTGCCATTTCCACTCGTATAAGTTCTGTTTAGTATCTTTAAACTTCCATATCCCACAGATGGTATTTTTTTCTTCATTGGAAAGTGGTGTTAGTGATTCAGAAAACTGCTTAAATAATACACTGCTTTGTGTTTTCTGTGAGAGAATTTTTTTTTTTTTTTGAGACAGAGTCTCACTATGTTGCCTAGGCTGGAGTGCAGTGGCGCAATCTCGGCTCACTGCAACCTCTGCCGCCCGGGTTCAAGCGATTCTCCTGCCTCAGCCTCCCGAGTAGCTGGGATTACAGGTGCCTGCCACTGCGCCTGGCTAATTTTTGTATTTTTAGTACAGACAGGGTTTCACCATCTTGGCCAGGTTGATCTTAAGCTCCTGATCTCATGATCCGTTCACCTCGGCCTCCCAAAGTGCTGGGATTACAGGTGTGAGCCACCGTGCCCAGCCGAGAGAACATTTTATCTAACATTCTATTTTAAAATTTTTCAAATACACAGAAAGCTGAAAGAATTGTACAGTGAGTGCTCATGAACCCACTCTCTAGATTTTGTTGTATCACTTTACTTCTTTCTCTACCCGCCAACCCCTATTATTTTCTGATGCCCTTCAAAGTAAGTTGGTGACATCGGTTCCCTTTACCCCTAAGTTCTTCAACATGCATGTCATTAACCAGAGCTCAATATTTGTTCACATTTCTTTTGTTTGTTTGTTTGTGGCAAAATTTGTATAGACTAGAATGTGTAAATCTCATGTGTATTATGAAATGAGTTTTGATGAATGGGTATACCTGTGTGACACATGCCTCTCTTAAGATACAAAAAAATAGCCTTGGCCCAGACAGGAGGGAACATTTTTTAGGTTGGCTTGAGTTTCCTTTAACTGACATGTAGCATGACTGAATATATGACCATAAGATTGCCAAGTTGAAATTTACCAAAGGTCCATCCAGGGGAACAGTATGGCTATTGATACGTCATTTGTTCATCTAGGCACTGGGCTGGGTGAGTTCTTCACAAAAACCTTGTAAGGTGAGCTTTCAGCTCTGACAGAGGCATCAAGAAACGTATTTCACAAACTGTTAGAGCTGAAAACATCTCCAGGGATCATCCAATCTATCCTCCTTTGCTTTATGACTCAGGATTTAAGAAGCCCCAGAAAAGTCCAACAGTGTTACCAAAGTACACGATTGCCTATTTACGCCCCTATAATTGAGAGCTGTCTAGGGGTCAGGTACTTTTCTCAGTGCCTTGTGTACATTATTTCCTTTTATCTTTCTAGATTATTAATTTTCTTGTTATTATCCCCATATAATAGAGGAGTAAACAGTGTGAAAATAGCACTAAACTGTTGATCTTTTCCATGTTCCAAACTAACCTTAAATGTTAGGCTAATATTATAAAATTTTAAAATTTAGTCATTTGTTCTGGGTCTGGCTTCCATGAACTTAACCAAAATGCTTGGCTGTTTCTGCATTCTAGCTTTTTGGGATTTAGAGAAAAAGCAACTTGGTCATCATAGTGGCCAGGATTTATTTATGTGCCAATAACTCCCCTCTGTTTTTAGCTTTTTGATCTGTTACATCTCAGATACTTTATTCTCTATTTGTAAAACAACCACATTCCTCCTTTTCTATATCTAAGTGAAAAAAAATGCCCGTTCATACTAGCTACATGGTTAGCATATATGTTTCTTCCTCTTTGTGGGTTTGAGTTGAAACTTCTTTTGCAAAGCTTAACTATAGATAGGTCTTCCACAGAACCCTGTTTAAATGCCTTGTGGAAGTAGAAGGGACATATCTTAATATTCCTTATAATCTGTGTTATTATTTGGACTTTCCTCAGTTCCTTATATGTCTTTGTATGTCAAACATTGAGTTATGCTTACATTACTCTAGGTATAGTTGTGTCCTAGCTTTGTACAAGGTTACAATAATGGTGGTTTCCTTGTTTTCAGCTTCATTCTTGATCATGCCTAACATTTTTTGATGGTTTTAGCCTCGGAGAACAGTCTACTGCTATTTCTCCCTTTTTCCTGATCCCAACAAATAGTTTAGAAATCTTTGTCTTAACTGCAATTGGGATCATTTTTCCTTTAGAGTTGCCCACAGTTAGTCATGTCCGTCACTCTTCACTCACTCAAATGACCTCAAAAGATTTACCTGCAATTTAAGCCTTTCACCTTGGCATTTTCTACCTGGAACTCTGGCGTACTCTGTGGGATCAGTGAGATCCATAGTGTGCACTCCCTAGCAGATCGTGAATGTTTGTTGATAACTATAATTCATTGTTTAGTCTTGTCTATACAGAGAAGCAGTAGCACCTTGCTTTAGTAGGATCCTTTATGCTTTTATTCATTATTGAATTTTATCTTCACAATAATTCTGTGGTTCTGCAGTTGTCATTATTTCAGTTTGGGAGTTGAGGAAACTGAGATCGTGGCAAATCAACTTTTCCCATTTAAATCCACTATTTCATCGCTAATCCAGGGTTATAACCCAAGACTAACTGCTAGTCAAAGTTGCTTTCTAAAAATCAGTTACACAGACTTCTAATTCTCGTGCTGTACAGTCAGTGCAGAAATTGCAACAGAACTGTTCTTTGTTCTGTAGCAATGTGTATTCAAAAGGTAATCATTTCTTGTGTATAAATAACATTCCTCCCTAAGAGAGATGTTGTGGGAATTTATATCAGTCAAGAATGTATATCGATAATTAAACATAGCTAGTCTAAAAAACTTGAAGTGAAAGATTGGTTCGTATTCAATCAACTGAACTGTTTCTTTCTCTGCAATATTGTGGTTCTTGACATGATTGCTGAGTTTCCAATTTGACACTTCTGGAGGTTCGTAAATCAGGACACATGCTGGGTCTCAGTCTGTCATCCTGAGTCTTAGCATTGGTTATTTATTTCCCTTTATTACCCAACATCTATTTACTGCACAAATTAGTCGAGAAGCTTTCCATGACGGACCTTTGTGAGAAAAAAAAAATGTGTACATTGGGTAGCTCTTCAATTACAAACATGCACAGATTGTCTGGGTTTATGTGCATATACTTTATTATTATTTCACTTTTGTATGTCAGATGAATTTGGTGTAAATGTAAATCTAACAATATGGGCTCTAGTGGCCAAATACATTGCCATAATATGTTTTTGATCTGTCAGTCTCCTGGGTGAAGTGTCGCAAGTGTGGTAAAATTCTGTAGTATAAATTGATGCTCAGTTATGGACAATTACCAGGTCTATATGATGTCAGACTACCACACTGATCCACTTTTAGGATAACAGCTTCGCTCTGATGATCTTCAGATTTTAGATTTGCTTTCATTCCTTGACAAAATGAAATACATTTAAAACTTCTAAAATTGTCTTTTGTATATATTTCTGCAGGGTCTACTCTTGGGACTACTATAACAATCAATTGTACTGCTTTGTTTCTTTTATTAAATAGCAGAATAGCTGCTTGATTCGTCTGTATGTGCTGATGTGTGTCTGTGAATCTAGTCCAGTTCACTGTCCAATAAGAATTTCTGAAATGTTCTTTGTCACATCAATGTACAGTCAAAATCGTATTGTGTTTGTAGCAGAATGATTGCATCTTTTATTATTCACAGCAGCCAAAATGACACATATTTCACACGTGACACCTTTTTTAAAAAAGATGAATTGTCCAAAGTTGTATGTAGAATATATTTCACAAATCAAATTCCCTATTTAATAAATGGTGCTGGGAGAACTGGCTAGCCATATGCAGAAGAGTGAATTTCTATAAATAGAATGCAACTGTGTAAATAGCATCCAAATCAAGAAACATAATATAATATAGCCAGAAGCTCAGGATCCCCCTTCATGTCTTCTCCAGTCATGAACATTTCACAAGGGTGACTACTATCCTTACTTCAAAAGTTTTCTATTACTTTTTCCTGTTTTTGTGTATTATATGAAGGAATCGAACAGTCATATCTACTTGTCTGTGGCTGTATTTTTCCCCCCAACAATATGTTTGTGAGATTCATCCATATTATTGTATGTAGTTGTGGATTGTTCACTTTTCTTACTGAATAATATTCTATTGATACCACAGTGTATTTACACATGTTGATATAGATGAGAAATTGAGTAGTTTCCAACATGAGGAAATTGCTGTCAACAATTCTGCAATCCATAGCCATGCTATCAACAGTCTAGTACATGGTTTTTGGTGAATATATTAATAACTATGCATTTCTGTTGGATATACACCTGGGAGTGGAATTACAACTCAAATAATATTCATTTTAAAAATTTTATTTCGTTTTTAGTCGACAACTATATTATGGGGTACATTGTGATGTTTCAATCCATATATATACATTGTGGAATAATCAAATCAGGCTAATAGCATATCTATCACCTCAAATACTTCTCATTTTTGTGGTGAGAATATTTAAAATCCTCCTTTTTAGCTATTTGGAAATATACAATATGACAATATTAGCTATAGTTCCTGTGCTGTGCAAAAGAACACCAGAACTTATTCCTCCTGTCTAACTGGAACTTTGTACCCATTGATAAACGTCTCTCATTTTTCCATCCACCCACCACTGCAGCTTTTGATCACCACCATAATACTCTCCATTTCTATGAGTTCAACTTTTTTTAAACTGCACATACAAATGAGATTATATGATATGTGTCTCTCTGTGCCAAGTTTATTTCACTTAACCTAATGTCCTCCAGGCTCATCCTTATTATTCCAAATGACAGAATTTCCTAGGTTTTTAAAATTTTTTTTTTATTTTTAATTTTTTGGGGTACATAGTAGGTATATATATTTACGGGGTACATGAGGTGTTTTGATATAGGCATGTAATGTGAAACAAGCACATCATGGAGAATGAGGCATCCATCCTGTCAAGCATTTATCCTTTGTGCTACAAACAATGTAATTGTACTTTTAGTTATTTTTTAATGTACAATTAAATTATTATTGACTATAGTCCCCCTGTTGCACTATCAAATACTAGGTCTTACTCATTCTTTCTAACTATTTTTTGTAGCCGCTAACAATCCCCACCTATCCCCTACCTCCACACTACCCTTTGTAGCCTCTGGTAACCATCCTTTTATTCTGTCTCCATGAGTTCAATAGTTTTAATTTTTAGATCCCACAAATAAGTGAGAACATGCAGTGATTTTCGTTCTGTGACTGGCTTATTTCATTTAATGTAATGACCTCCAGTTCCATCCAAGATGTTGCAAATGACAGGATATAATTCTTTTTTATTGCTAAATAGTACCGCATCATTTATATGAGCCACATTTTCTGTATCCATTCGCATGTTGATGGACAGTTAGCTTGCTTCCAAATCTTGCCTGTTGTGAACAGTGCTACAACAATGTGAGAGTGCAGATAGCTCTTCAATACACTCCCTCCTTTTCTTTTGAGTATGTACCCAGAAGTGGGATTTCTGGAACATATGGTCATTCTCTTTTTATTATTTTGAGAAACATTCATACTGTCTTTATGGAGGCCGTTACTAATTCACAATACTACCAATAGTGGATAAGGTTTCCTTATTCTCTGTATCCTCATGAACACTTGTTATCTTTCAACTTTTTGATAATAGCCAATCCAAAAGATATGAGGTGATATCTCATTGTGATTTTAATTTGCATTTTTTGATGATTAGAGATGTTGAGTATTATACATATATGTGTGTGTATATATATATATATATATATATATATATATATGCTGTTTGTCATCTTTTGAGAATGTCTATTCATATATTTGCCCATTTTTTTATTAGGGTTATTTGTTTTCTTGTTATTGAGTAGCTTGAGTTCCTTGTATATTTTGGATATTAGCACCTTATCTAATGTATGATTTGCAAATATCTTCTCCCAATCTGTGGGTTGTCTCTTTATTCCATTAATTGTTTCCTTTGCTGTGCAAAGCTTTTTAGTTTGATGCAATCTTACTTACCTATTTTTGTGTTGATTGTGTTTGGGGGTCATATGCAAGAAACCACTGCCCAGACCAATGTCATGGAGCTCTTCTCTTATGTTTTTGTAGTTTTTAGTTTCAGGTATTACATTTAAGGCTTTAATCCATTTTGAGTTGATTCTTGTATAAGGGGTGAGATAAGGGTCCAGTTTTATTCTGTATGTGAACATTCAGTTTTCCCAATACCATTTATTGAAGAGACTGTCCTCTCCCTATTGTGTGTTCTTGCTACCTTTGTCAAAAATCAATTGATCAAAGGTGTGTAGGTTTATTTTAGTCCTCTTTGTCTTATTCCATTGGTCTGTTTTTATGTACTTGCCATGCTGTTTTGATTATTATAGCTTTGTAATACATTTTGAAATCCAGTAGTGACATACTTCCAATTTTATTCTTTTTAGTAAAGACAGCTTTGGCTATCCAGGGTCTTTTGTGGTTCCATGCAAATTTTAGGATTTTTTAAAAAAAATTCTATAAAGAACAATATGCAGATTTTGTTAGTATTGTGTCGAATCTTTAGATTGCTTTATGTTTAACAATATTAATTTTTCCAATTTATGAACACAGAAATCTTTCCATTTATTTGTGTCATCTTCAATTTCTTTCGTCAGTGTCTTATAGTTTCAACACGCAGATCTTTCACTTTCTTGGTTAAATTCACTCCAAATATTTTTTCATGCTATTATAAGTGAGATTGTTTCCTTAATTTCTATTTTAGACAGTTTGTTGTTATTGTACAAACAATAACAATTGTTATCGCTACTGATTTTTGTAAGTTGATTTTGTACCCTGCAACTTTACTAAACTTGTGTATGAATTCTAACAGTTTTCAGTGGAGTCCTTAGGATTTGCTGTATAAGATTATGTCATCAGCAAGAAGGGGCAATTTTACTTCATCCTTTTCAGTTTGGTTGCCTTTTATTTCTTTCTCCTGCCTAATTGCTCTGGCTAGGACTCCCAGTACTAAGTTAAACAAGGGTGGGGAGAGTGGGCATCTTTGTCTTGCTCCTGATCTTAGAGAAAAGCCTTCTACGTTTTACTGTTGTGCATGATGTTAGCTGTGGGCTTGTAATTTATGGCTTTTATTCTTTTGGAGAACATTTCTTCTATACCTAATTTGCTAAGAGTTTTTCTCATAAAAGGATGTTGAATTTTGTCAAATGCTCTTTCTGAGTTTATTAAAATGATCATACGGTTTTTGTACTTCATTCTGTTATATGTTGAATCACATTTATTAATTTGCATATATTGAAACAACCTTCTATCCCAGGGATAAATCCCTCTTGGTCATGGTGAATAATCCTTCTAATAAACTATTAAATATGGTTCACTAGTATTTCATTGAGAATTTTTGCATCTAATTTCATTCGTGATATTGGCCTATAGTTTTCTTTCCTTGTAGTGTCTTTGCCTGGCTTTGGGATCAGGGTATTGCTGGCCTTGTAAAATAAATTTGGACGAATCCCTTCCTCTTTAGTTTTCCAAAAGAGTTTGAGAAAGATTTGTGTTAGGTCTTCTTTAAATGTTTGTAGAATTCTCCCATGAAGCCATCTGGTCTTGAGCTTTCCTTTGATGTGAGAACTTTTAAATACTGATGCAATCTCCTTAACTCTTTCCTTAGCTGTTACTGGTCTTTTCAGATTTCCAATTTTCATTATTCAGTTTTGGTAGATTATGTATTTCTAAGAATTCATCCATTTCTGTTAGGATGTCCAATTTCTTGGTATATAATTGTTCATCGTAGTCTCTTAGGATCCTTTGTATTTCTGTGTTATCAGTCATAATGTCTTCTCTTTGATTTCTGATTTGATTTATTTGAGCCTGCTCTCTTCATTCTTAGTCTAGCTAAGGATTTGTCAATTGTGTTTAGCTTTTCAAAAAACCAACTTTTAGTTTTATTGACTTTTTTTCTATTGTTTCTCTAGTCTCTATTTCATTTATTTCTGCTCTGATCTTTGTTATTTTCTTCTTTCTGCTAACTTTGGGCTTAATTCATTCTTCTTTTTGTAGTTTCCTGAGGTATAATGTTAGGTATTTCATTTGAGATATTTCTTCTTTTTTGATGTAGGAATTTATTGATATAAACTTCCCTCTTAGCACTGCTTTTGCTACCCCCAGAAGTTTTTCTATGTTGTGTTTTCATTTCTGTTTGTCTCAAGACTTTTAAAAAATTTCCTCTTGAATTTCTTCTTTTGACCCAATAATTGTTTAGGAGCATATTGTTTAGTTTCCACATATTTCTTAATTTTATATGATTTCTCATGTAATTGATTTCTAATTTTATATTGTGGTCAGAAAAGATACACGATGGGTTTTCTTAAATTTGTTGAGACTTGTCTGTGGCCTAACATATGATCTATCCTGGAGAATGTTACATGTGTACTTGAGAAGAATCTGTATTTTCCTACTGTTCAGGGCACAATGTTCTGTATATGTCTGTTAGGTCCATTTGGTCTAAAATGTCATTCAAGTCCAATGTTTTCTTATGAATTTTTCTGTCTATTGCTTAAAGTGGAATATTGAAATTGCCTGCTATTATTATGTTATAGGCTATGTTTCCCTTCAGATCCCTTAATGTTTGCTTTATATATTTAGGTGCTCTGATTTGGGATGCTTATATACTTGTTATGTCCTCTTGATGAAATAACCTTTATCAATATATAATGATGTTCTTTGTCACTTTGAACAGATTTGACCTAAAGATTATTTTGTCTGAAGTAAGTGTAACTACCCTGCTCTCTTTTTGTTCTCATGTACATGGAGTATCTTTTTTCATCCCTTTACTTTCAGTCTATGCATGTCCTTTAAGGTGAAATGAGCCACTTGTAGGCAGCACATATTTGGGTCTTGTTTTTTGTTGTTGTCGTTAATCCACTCAACCACTCTATGCCTTTTGATTGGAGAGTTTAATCTATTTACATTCAAAATAATGATGGATGGGTAAGGACTTACTAGTGTCATTTTGTTCATTGTTTCCTGGTTGTCTTACAGATTCTTTGTTCCTTTCTTCCTCTATTGCTGTCTTCCTTTGTGTTTTGATGGTTTTGTGTAGTAGTATACTTTGGGTCTTTTGTTTTTATCATTCATGTATGTATTATAAGTTTGTGCTTTGTGGATACTCCGAGGCTTACATAAAACATTTTATAAGCTGATAATAACTTAAATTTGATTGTGTGCATATACTCAACACTTTGACTCTCCCTCCTCCCACATTTTATGTTTCTAACATCACAACTTACTTTTTTTTTTAATTATACTTTAAGTTCTAGGGTACATGTGCACAACTTGCAGGTTTGTTACATATCTATACATGTGCCGTGTTGGTATGCTCCACCCATTAACTTGTCATTTACATTAGGTATATCTCCCAATGCTATCCCTCCCCCGTCCCCTCACCCCACGACAGGCCCCGGTGTGTGATGTTCCCCTTCCTGCGTCCAGGTGTTCTCATTGTTCAATTCCCACCTATGAGTGAGAACATGCGGTGTTTGGTTTTCTGTCCTTGTGATAGTTTGCTGAGAAAGATGATTTCCAGCTTCATCCATGTCCCTACAAAGGATGTGAACTCATCCTTTTTTATGGTTGCATAGTATTCCATGGTGTATATGTGCCACATTTTCTTAATCCAGTCTATCATTGATGGACATTTGGATTGGTTCCAGGTCTTTGCTATTGTGAATAGTGC
This sequence comes from Homo sapiens, assembly GCF_000001405.40. Taxonomy (NCBI): domain Eukaryota; kingdom Metazoa; phylum Chordata; class Mammalia; order Primates; family Hominidae; genus Homo; species Homo sapiens. The sequence continues at coordinate 31,690,682 of NC_000023.11, read as the reverse complement.
AGCAATAAACATACCTGTGCATGTATCTTTACAGCAGCAGGATTTATAATCCTTTGGGTATATACCCAGTAATGGGATAGCTGGGTCAAATGGTATTTCTAGTTCTAGATCCCTGAGGAATCGCCACACTGACTTCCACAATGGTTGAACTAGTTTACAGTCTCACTAACAGTGTAAAGTGTTCCTATTTCTCCACATCCTCTCCAGCACCTGTTGTTTCCTGACTTTTTAATGATTGCCATTCTAACTGGTGTGAGATGGTATCTCATTGTGGTTTTGATTTGCGTTTCTCTGATGGCCAGTGATGATGAGCATTTTTTCATGTGTCTTTTGGCTGCATAAATGTCTTCTTTTGAGAAGTGTCTGTTCATATCCTTCGCCCACTTTTTGATGGGGTTGTTTGTTTTTTCTTGTAAGTTTGTTTGAGTTCTTTGTAGATTCTGGATATTAGCCCTTTGTCAGATGAGTAGATTGCAAAAATTTTCTCCCATTCTGTAGGCTGCCTGTTCACTCTGATGGTAGTTTCTTTTGCTGTGCAGAAGCTCTTTAGTTTCATTAGATCCCATTTGTCCGTTTTGGCTTTTGTTGCCATTGCTTTTGGTGTTTTAGACATGAAGTCCTTGCCCATGCCTACGTCCTGAATGGTATTGCCTAGGTTTTCTTCTAGGGTTTTTATGGTTTTAGGTCTAACATTAAGTCTTCAATCCATCTTGAATTAATTTTTGTATATGGTATAAGGAAGGGATCCAGTTTCAGCTCTCTACATATGGCTAGCCAGTTTTCCCAGCACCATTTATTAAATAGGGAATCCTTTCCCCATTTCTTGTTTTTGTCAGGTTTGTCAAAGATCAGATGGTTGTAGATGTGTGGTATTATTTCTGAGAGCTCTGTTCTGTTCCATTGGTGTATATCTCTGTTTTGGTACCAGTACCATGCTGTTTTGGTTACCGTAGCCTTGTAGTATAGTTTGAAGTCAGGTAGCGTGATGCCTCCAGCTTTGTTCTTTTGGCTCAGGATTGTCTTGGCAATGTGGGCTCTTTTTTGGTTCCATATGAACTTTAAAGTAGTTTTTTCCAATTCTGTGAAGAAAGTCATTGGTAGCTTGATGGGGATGGCATTGAATCTATAAATTTCCTTGGGCAGTATGGCCATTTTCACGATATTGATTCTTCCTATCCATGAGCATGGAATGTTCTTCCATTTGTTTGTGTCCTCTTTTATTTCCTTGAGCAGTGGTTTGTAGTTCTCCTTGAAGAGGTCCTTCACATCCCTTGTAAGTTGTATTTGTAGGTATTTTATTCTCTTTGAAGCAATTGTGAATGAGAGTTCACTCATGATTTGGCTCTCTGTTTGTCTGTTATTGGTGTATAAGAATGCTTGTGATTTTTGCACATTGATTTTATATCCTGAGACTTTGCTGAAGTTGCTTATCAGCTTAAGGAGATTTTGGGCTGAGACGATGGGGTTTTCTAAATATACAATCATGTCGTCTGCAAACAGGGACAATTTGACTTCCTCTTTTCCTAATTGAATACCCTTTATTTCTTTTTCCTGCCTGATCGCCCTGGCCAGAACTTCCAACACTATGTTGAATAGGAGTGGTGAGAGAGGGCATCCCTGTCTTGTGCCAGTTTTCAAAGGGAATGCTTCCAGTTTTGCCCATTCAGTATGATATTGGCTGTGGGTTTGTCATAAATAGCTCTTACTATTTTGAGATACGTCCCATCAATACCTAATTTATCGAGAGTTTTTAGCATGAAGGGCTGTTGAATTTGGTCAAGGGCCTTTTCTGCATCTATTGAGATAACCATGTGGTTTTTGTCGTTGGTTCTGTTTATATGCTGGATTACATTTATTGATTTGCGTATGTTGAACCAGCCTTGCATCCCAGGGATGAAGCCCACTTGATCATGGTGGATAAGCTTTTTGATGTGCTGCTGGATTCGGTTTGCCAGTATTTTATTGAGGATTTTTGCATCGATGTTCATCAGGGATATTTGTCTAAAATTCTCTTTTTTTGTTGTGTCTCTGCCAGGCTTTGGTATCAGGATGATGCTGGCCTCATAAAATGAGTTAGGGAGGATTCCCTCTTTTTCTATTGATTGGAATAGTTTTAGAAGGAATGATACCAGTTCCTCTTTGCACCTCTGGTAGAATTCGGCTGTGAATCCGTCTGGTCCTGGACTTTTTTTGGTTTGTAGGCTATTAATTATTGCCTCAATTTCAGAGCCTGTTATTGGTCTATTCAGGGATTCAACTTCTTCCTGGTTTAGTCTTGGGAAGGTGTATGTGTGCAGGAATTTATCCATTTCTTCTAGATTTTCTAGTTTATTTGCGTAGAGGTGTTTATAGTATTCTCTGATGGTAGTTTGTATTTCTGTGGTGTCGGTGGTGATATCCCCTTTATCATTTTTTATTGCATCTATTTGATTCTTCTCTCTTTTCTTCTTTATTAGTCTTACTAGCGGTCTATCAATTCTGTTGATCTTTTCAAAAAACTGGCTCCTGGATTCATTGATTTTTTTGAAGGGTTTTTTGTGTCTGGATCTTGTAGGTATGCTTCATTGTTTCTTATTATTTTTTTCTTTTGTCTTCTCTGGCTGTGTATTTTCAAATAGGCTGTCTGCCTACAAGATCCAGAAAATAGCCTCAAAAGGGTCAATCTAAGAGTTATTGGCCTTAAACAGGAGGTAGAGAAAGAGATAGGGATAGAAAGTTGATACAAAGGGACAATATCAGAGAACTTCAGAAACAGAGAAAGATACCAACATTCAAGTACGACAAAGTTATAGAACACCAAGCAGAATTATCTCAGAGACTACCTCAAGGCATGCAATAATCAAACTCCCACAGGTCAAGGATAAAGAAAGAATCCTAAAAGCAGCAAGAGAAAGGAAACAAATAACATGCAGTGGAGCTTCAATACATCTGGCAGCAGATTTTTCGGTGGAAATCTTAGGCCCCGGGCATATCCAGAGATGCTGTCTGAGGGCCAGTCATTGGAGTCAAAAACCTTAGCAGTTTACCTCATGTTCTATTCTATTGTGGCTAAGCTAGCACTCACACCACAATATAAAGTGCTCCCTGCTCTTCCTTGCCCTTTTAAAAGGCAGAGGATCCTCTCCCTGTGGCCCTCACCACCATGAGGGTTCTGCTTGGCCTCCACTGGTGTTCACTTAAAGCCCAAGGGCTCTTCCATCAGCTTGTGGTGAATGCTGAGAGAACTGGGACCCATATTTTAGGGCCTTGGGCTCCCCTCTGGCCCAAGGCAGGACCAAAAATGCTGTCCAAGAACCTAGGCCAGGACTCAGAAATCCCAGAAGCCTGCCTGCTTCTCTGCCTTTCTGTGGCTGAGCTGGTACCTAAGGGGCAAGACAAAGTCCCCTTTACTTTTCTGTCTACTTTTCTCAAACAGAAGGGGTCTTTCACCATAACCACCACAGCTGGGAATTTGCTGGGTGACCTATGAAGCCAGCACATCTCAGAGGCCAAGTCCCACAGTGTACTCCCTGGGTATTGCAACTGGTTATTCAACGTTCAAGGCCTCTTTAGTTAGTAGCTGATGAATCCTGATAGGACTGAGTCCTTCCCTTTAAGGTAGCAGATTCCCTTTTGGCCCAGGGTGTGTCTAGAAATGCTATCCAGGAACTAGGGCCTGGAATGGGGGCCTCATGACTCTGCCCATGCCCCATCCTACTGTGGCTGAGCTGGTATCCAAGATGCAAGACAAAGTCTTCTTTACTTTTCGCTCTCTTCTCCTTAACGAGAAGTAAGGAGTCACTTCTGTTGCTGCAAGCTTCACTGCTGGGAGTAGGGGAGGTATGGTGCAACCACTCCCTTAGCCATGCCAGCTGGTGTCTCCCTAGGTCATGTGGGAGACCCTAATCCACTGGCTTCAATATATAGAGGGACGTTTCTAAATTATTTATCTGTAATTTGATTAAGAAGATAGACACAGGCAATAGGATATGCCAACAGATTCTCTCTAACCTATAGTTATTTTAAGAAAGTTAGGGAAAGAGAGGTCATTGATTAGTTTTGGCTTACTGAATTATTTGACCCTCCCATATCTTTTAATTTATGGATTTTATATAAGGCACAGATATTCTACTAGTAAACATGACATTAAAGATGTTTTATACAAATGAATGTGGTTGATACAAAGGCATTAAATAAGAAACAAAGGAAATTCAGAGGACATTTGTTCGCCTGGAATAGAGATCATTAGCATAAGCATAAGAGGAAAATAAGGAAGGAAATGGGAAAGTCTTGAGTCCATTTTCAAATTATGAAAACTTGAAATGCAACAAACAAATAGTGGTTACTTAAGAAGAAAGACTGAAGATGCTGGGCAAAGGTTAACTTTAGAAATGGCATTTTTATATCATTATAAAGAGAAAGTGGGGATAATGGAAATAATCTACATGTACAACTCATTTGACAGACATTTATTGAAGGTATTCCAAATGCCAAACACTAGTTTGTGCACTAAGGATGTTTTTAATTTTTACTTTTTACTTTATTTTTATTTTCTAGCTTCTTCCGCTTTGCCAGAGAAGGATTTTTTTAAATGGATAAAATACTAACTTAGGCTAGCTTCTTTCAGAAACAGACCTTTAAACAATGATTAATGGTGAAAGTGGTTTGGTTGTAATGTGATCCCAGGAAGTACCAGTAGGAGAGTGGGACAATGAGATAATAAATGAAAGAAGCCAATAATTAAGCCAGTTATGGAACTAGTTATTGCTTTGGGCCACTGGGGTTTGATCCTGATGAAGGAGCTCTGGGAGATAGTAAACAAACAAACAAACAAAAAACATGCCTCAAAGTTGTCAACCACAAGGGGGTAAAGGCAAGGAACCAGGGCTAACTATTCCAACTCTTATCCATCATTGGCTAAATGCTTCCTGGTACATAAACTTTCCAGCACTTCTGGCCAGCGCACCTAGCAAGCTGAGGAAAATCTCTCAGGTTTGCAGTAGGGCAAATGCTTGTACTAGGACACTGCTGGCATATACTTGAAGGATGAGTGCCAACGGCAGATAGATGGGCCCTGACAGCATCTTCTACAGATTCTGTCCTTGCCTTTGAGGCAAGGACACTGTCTAGAGTCAGAGACAGAAATGTAAAATGTAAAAATGTAAATCATAGTAGCACACAGTACAAGTTTTAAAATCTTAACAAAGTGTTATGGGAGAACCACGGTGAGAGAAAATGACTGCACATATGAGAGCAGGGGAAGTCTTTATATGTGATGATGACATTTGAGTGGGTGTTCCGTTATCAAAGATCTACTTAAAAGGGAAAAAGAGTAGAATTATTTTAAACCATGGATGTAACCAGGCGTGGCCACCCTATATGTGAATGTCCTGGGATAATTTTGTCCCCAGATGTCTCTCTTTTTGAGTGTCATTTTCATTTATGTATTCATAATATAAAGAAATTGAATAGAAAGAGGTAAACATTGGTGGCAAAAATCCCTTCCTACCCATAAGGCTCACAGAATAATGTTGTCTAAATGCCATAACATTTTTGGTAAGTTTTGGTTCTATGGGCTTTGGAAATTTTTTATGTAGGAACTCCTCCAAGGTGATATAAGCATTCAGTGTATTTATCTAGATACCCTAGTTAAAGCTACTTTAAGCAGGATCAAAGTCCTCTTTTAAACTTTTGTATTTGAAAGCTATTCCCATGTACAATTCCCATGATTCTTGTACAATTCCTAGGAGACCTTTGTTTACATCAAAAGAGTTTGTCTCTCTCTATAAGTTAGAACTTGTACATTGTAGTAATGGAAAATCCATTTCAAAGTAGCTTAGACTTACTCAGACAAAATGTATTGATCAGTGTCATTAAACAGTTGAAAGATAGACGAGGCTTGATTCAGGAATTAAATAGCATGACCAGATTCTAGTTTTCCTTCTCCATTGCATGGCTCTGCTCCCCAGTATTTGTTCCGTTTAATTCCTCTTAATTGTTCTAAGATGGATATCAGGATACTGCAGAACTACGTGCTTTCTCATCCATCTTAAACAAGAAGCAATGGGTTTTCTCTTTTAGAATCACGAACAACAACAACAACAACAAAAATCCTAGAGTTGTTTCATTGGTTCTGATTGACCTTACTTGGAACCATAAGTCCATCTTTGAATTAACCACTAAAGCCAGGGAGATGAGTTAAAACTAAGTACACACCATCCACAGAGCAAAGAGAGGTCTATTGTGGGAAAACTGCACAAATGGAAAAATAACAGGGGAAACACAGGAGAAGGAGGTAGTTAGTTAATGTTCAATACACGCACCTTCTCAGGGACTTTTCTTCCATCTGGCATCATCTTTGTCTTTTGACCATTTTCCCCAATCAATACCTATATTCATACTCAAGTTTTCCATATTTGGGAAAAAACTTCTCTTGACACCAAACTCCCCTCTGACTTCCTTCTTATAATGATCTATGGTTGGATAGTCTACAATTTACTGTCCTTACTTTTTCATAGGTATTTTTTAATCTCCTACAGTAAGATTTCTACCACTGCACTGAAATCATTTTGTGTATGGTCTTCAGGGAATTCCATGTGGCCAAAGCCAATGGATACTTTTGGCATGGGCTTTGGAGGTCTAACTTCTTGAATCCAAGTGTCGGCTCTAACAATCACTATCTATGTGACCTTAGACCAGTTATTTAACGCTGTCTTTATTTCCTCATTTGTTAAATGAGGATAATTGCAGCAATAGAAAAAGAACGTAAACAATTATACTTATAGGATTGTATGATGATTAAGTGATTAATGCAAGGAAAGAACAACACAGAGCTTCAGACAGTGTAGATATTCAAATAAATGTTAGTTATGATTTTTATTATGTCTTGTGACATCTATGAGATTTGAAAGTGTTAATCACTCTTGTGTTTTTGAAAATCTTTCTTTTCCATGTTCTATAAAAGTACACTTTCTTGATATTCCTCCTCCTTCTCTAGTCTTTCATTCATCTTATTTGCTCTTTGTGTTTTATTTATTCTTTTTACGTTGTATTTTCCAGGAGTCCATTCCCAGCCCGGTGTTGGGCTCAGTCTATGTGCCATATAAATGAGAATGCACTTGCATTTGAGGCTTTGCTTTTTATTTCTCTGTAGTGACGGCCAATCCCAGATTTCTGTCTCTCCCAAAATACACAGCTATGCTATAGATCCTTCAGTCCTCCTGACTAAAATGTTAGTTTTATGTGTGTGTTCCTCACAACCTCCCAGTGAATAGGTCCAAAACTGAACTCATTATCTTCTCCATGCTCACTCTGCATTCTTTGGATAGGCAGTGAATAGCACCACTATCTAACAGGCACCTAAACCAGAAGCCAGGTAATCTGTCTTAAACCCTTTTGTTTTCCAAGTTCTTATCATAATGGCTGGTGTCTAACAGATGGTAAATAAAATAGAGACTAGCTGGCTACATGGATGGATGTGTGGGGATGCACAGAGGGATAGATGGATTATTGAGTGAGTCTCTAGCCTATAAATATTTTTAATTAACTAATAAATTATGATAATGTACAGTTGAAGGTCAAGGGTGAAAAAGCATACCCTCAGTGGGATGCACACCCCAAGGAGCCATTTTAACTTGCTACATAACACACATATGACCACTTTTTTGCTGAAAGCCTTCTATTATTGAGCAAGCATTCAAATCCCATGTTTGCCTGAAATAATGGTTCAGGTTATAAAAGTTTCCTTCTTTTTCCAGGATTAAAATTATCTTCCTACATAATAGGAAGAACTGCTTTATCTTTTCCTAATATCTAGAGATGGCCTTTTAAAAATATAGACTGTTTTCCCTATTGAAATGAACTGTAGGATGTACAAAATATTTACTGGCATGAATCAAAAGAGCTTGCTATGTTTATGTGAAAACCACTAGGCATTCTAAAAAATATTGCTAGCATAGTAAAATGTTAGTAATTAAGACTAACGAAAGCGAAGGCAAATTGGAATCAGAGACTATTTTTAAGGAATGTCAACTGTATTATTTTCAAATACACATGGTACATAACAGTAGGATATGAGAAAAAGTCCCAAGTATGTGTACTAAAGTAGCCTGCTATGATAAGTTGAAAAAGGGTTTGTAATTGGAATATCCACAGAATATTTCAGAACACTTAAAGACATTTTCATTTACACTTTATACAGCTTTCTTATAAGAGCATTTACACCATTTATTTTATAAACCAAAGATTAATTAGAAGACTAAACAATTACAAGGCCTCAACTACGAAAGCTGTTCCACTACCTAGTGGAACAACAACAATGAGACACACAAAACAATGGCGTTCAAAGATTAGAGAGAGACTTACGGTTAAACAGAGGTTGACATGTTAACTGAAGTTGCAATATAATATGTCGACTAGTTTTGCAATACATAGCAAACACCCAAACAGAAATAAACCTGATAAAAAAACAGTAGTCTATAATGTGTGCCACTTACTGAGTTTTAATTATTCTGGGGACTATATTTTTGATTTCATGTTACAATCACTAGTTTTGTGGGGTCTTTCTAGTCCTGATGCTTATTTACAAAATATCTGAAGTATTTCTTTCTATGTATTTATTTTTGAGATGGAGTTTTGCTCTGTCACCCAGGCTGGAGTGCAGCGGCATGATCTCGGCTCACTGCAACCTCTGCCTCCCGGGTTCAAGTGATTCTCCTGCCTCAGCCTCCTGAGTAGCTGGGATTACAGGCGTGTGCTAATTTTTGTATTTTTAGTAGAGACTGGGTTTCAGCATGTCGGTCAGGCTGGTCTCGAACTCCTGACCTCATGATCCACCCGCTTTGGCCTCCCAGAGACCTGGGATTACAGGCGTGAGCCACCGCACCTGGCCATCTCAAGTATTTCTTTAACTTATAACTTCACATAACTTTGTGGAGGCAACAGGGTTAATTAAAAAGGACTTTACTTACATAACAAAATAAGAAGCATAGTTTTATATTCCTGTGCCATATACATTTTGTTTGTCCATCTGTAGCCATTCTTTGACCTTCTCTCCCTTGCTCTTTATTCTGGGAGGCTGACCTCTGTCATCATTGGGCTCCCATGCCCTTTGGCTTCCAGTTGGTTTAGGCACCCAAGAGCCCTAGAAGGAAATTGAAGACAGGAGGTAAAGTGAGGTCAAGATATTTATTCTCCTAATTCCCTCCCTTTGAGGTTGCCACAGGCTGACTATGTCCTTTGACAAAAGGTTATTGCTCTTCTCAGGGTGGTTTCTCATTCCAATTCTCTGCTTTTGGCCACTTTTCCCTCCCCTCATCCCTTGGGCCTAGATGTAGTAACAGCTCTACTGTTGCAAGGTTCTTGTATTATCTGTGATGGTTTCTTATACCCTGCTTATCTTGTGATTTGTTGCTTTGTAGATAAACCTCTCAGATTATCTAGGCAAGATCATAGAAGAACACGTATGTCCAGCTAAGATATTCCAGAAGACAGTAGGGAAACATTGAAGGGTTTTATAAGAGGGAGTGCAGTGATCAGATTTATGTTAGTTTTAATCTTTAATTGGGGTAGAATTTACATTCTAAAACAGAGATTTGGGTCTGGGAGGATGATATAGAGCCTCTTATGGATGTGAGGGCAAAAAATGATAGAGGTTTGCAGTGCCAATAGAAAGAGGAAAGAAGTTATATATGAGAGAAATTTGTAACTAATTATATGAGGTGTTGGGTGACGCTTAGGAAAGAATCTAGAATGTCTATCAGGTTTCATGCTTAAGGGATAAAGTAGATGGCAGTTTTATTACTTGTTTTCTGTATTATTTTTATTTCATAAAACCAGCTTAGAGAAGTTGCATAGAAAAAATAATGTAGTCCTGTTTATTTTAATATTTGAAAAGAACATATTTCAGAGTAGAATCTATATAGTACCTCCCTCTTGGACTTCCAATGATACCAGTGATAGCCTCAATATAAGCCAGTCTTACAAAATGCACCCAGCGTGAATTCTTAGGTATTGTTAAAAGAAGTTGGCCAGGCGCGGTGGCTCACGCCTGTAATCCCAGCACTTTGGGAGGCCGAGGCAGGTGGATCACCTGAGGTCAGGAGTTTGAGACCAGCCCGGCCAACATGGTGAAACCCTGTCTCTATTAAAAATACAAAAAAAAAAAATTAGCTGGGCATGATGGCACGTGCCTGTAGTTCCTGCTACTCGGGAGGCTGAGACAGGAGGATAGCTTGAACCCGGGAGGCGGAGGTTGCAGTGAGCGGAGATTGCACCATTGCACTCCAGCCTGGGTTACAAGAGCAAAACTCCATCAAAAAAAAAAAAGAAAGAAAAAGAAGAAGTTTCTAATACACTTATCTTCCCTTGGGTTCACTCAGAAGACCCTTGGAAAAGGTTTTAAGAGCAAGTGATTTATTTGGGGGGTAAATTAATCAGTAGAAGAGTGGAAAAATGAGACAGGTGAGGCAAGGCAGCCAGTAAAGAGTGGTGCATTATCAAGCCAGCTGCTGTTGTGGGTCACTGGAGCTTTATCCCTTGGGAAACTCTGGAACCCTTGTAAAATACATGCCTCAGAGTTATTTCCCCTAGCATCAAGGGAGCTAGTGTAACAATATCCCAATTCCTACAATTAGTCATTATATACAGGCTGCCTCTGGGAGCTGGAGGGGAGGCATCAGTTGCCTGGTATGTCTAGCCTGTCACATGGATGGCAAAGCAAACTCCTGTGGCAACAGAAAGCCTTCAGGCAATGAAATGCTGGCACTGGGAAATCAGGCTGATGGGTGCTGAAGTGGCAAGGATGAGGGGATATGGATATTCTGCTGTAGTGCTTTTCTAACAGATGATTCATATTTGGTTCTAGGGATCAAGAATTGAGTTAAAATTTTATATATATGTTGATGTTCTATGTCACCTTCAGGAAAATAATTTAACAGAAACTAATATTTGCCATCAAAAAAGCAAAGAATCCTGTTGTTCATCATCCTAGCCATAACACAATGAATAATTTTTTAAATAAGCAACATAAATGTGAGATAACGTTTGGAAGTTACATTTAAAATGTCTCCTCCAGACTAGCATTTACTACTATATATTTATTTTTCCTTTTATTCTAGTTGAAAGAATTCAGAATCAGTGGGATGAAGTACAAGAACACCTTCAGAACCGGAGGCAACAGTTGAATGAAATGTTAAAGGATTCAACACAATGGCTGGAAGCTAAGGAAGAAGCTGAGCAGGTCTTAGGACAGGCCAGAGCCAAGCTTGAGTCATGGAAGGAGGGTCCCTATACAGTAGATGCAATCCAAAAGAAAATCACAGAAACCAAGGTTAGTATCAAAGATACCTTTTTAAAATAAAATACTGGTTACATTTGATAAAATTATACCATAGATTGTAATTTAATGATGTTTAATGTAAAGTTATTAACAGAAAATCACGTTAAAGCTGAAATGAACAGTAGACTTTGTATATTTATTTTCTTAGAGACAGAGTCTCACTGTCACCCAGGCTAAAGTGCAGTGGCACAATCATAGCTCACTGAGCCTTGAACTCTGGGGCTCAAGCAGTCCTCCTGCCTCAGCCTCCCTAGTAGCTGGGACTACTAGCCAGGCGTGTACCACCACGCCTGGCTAATTTTTTAAAAATTTTTGTTTTCTGTAGAGATGGGTTCTTGAACTCTTGGCCTCAAGCAATTCTCCTTCCTTGGCCTCCCAAAGCACTAGGATTACAGGCATGAGTTAGCATGCCTAGCCAGTAGACTTTTGAGTCAAGGTAGAGAATAGAGGAAAATTGACAGCTAATGTCAATGTTAAAGTTAATTTTGTTTAGTAATCTGGATATAGTTGGCTGGTTTTCTGTTGCACCATCTTTAAGATCACTTCAAAATTGGTATACGTATTTATGTAGTTGCATGAAGTCAACCATTCGGGCTTAATTCCTTCCTAGAAAAAGTAACAGGTCTACTCTTTCATATCTTATTTGGAGGCCCTGGATCAAGAAATGGGGGTGAGTGGGTATCAGGATTGGGGAGGAATAAGGAGTACTCTCACTTTCTCCCCCCATTCTCTTACCTCCAGCCCAGCTCATTCTTCTCTTCTTTCTCTTTCCTCTGAAATTTCCTCAAATATCTGTCTGCTTAGTAGTCTATAATTCCTCAGGATAAAAGAAAAAGGAAAAGGAAGAAAATTGCTTAATAACTATGTTTTATCAAGCAGCATGCATAGTGCTTTGCATGCGTTTAATCCCTTCAAACTTAGTATTTACTAGTCAGTTTGAAAAGCCCTTAAATGTTAAACAATGGTTAAGCTTTAGGGTATTTTGAGCAGGGAAGTAACATGGTAGGAGGTTGATCAGATTGGGCACTTGATCAAAACCCTCTATAGATATTTTATCTGACAGAAAAGGCCTTTTGCTAAACCAGTATCTGATTCTCAAATTGGTTATGTCATCTAAGAAGGAAACCGTATCATTTTCTTGGATGAAATGGCTTCCATTTCCAAATTAGTCAGGTTAGGCTATGCTAAGCTATAGTAAGAAATGAACTCTGAAATCTCAATAGCTTAACACAATAAAGACTGCTTTCTTGGTTATATCATAGTCCAGTAGAGGTTGACAAGCCATTCTTAGGAGCTGTCCCCCAACATGGTCACTTGGAAACCCAGACTTTTCCAATTTTGTGACACTTGTCATTTTCAACACACTGCCAAAAGCCACTGCAGAAAAGGAAGACAGAATGTGGTCAGTCAATCCATGGTGTTTTATGGCCAGGCCTGGAAATTATGTATATCACTTCCACCACATCCCATCACACAGAACTTGTTCTCGATTGAATTTCAGGAAGAGTTAATGGAATTAGTGAGCTTTTAGCCAATCTCTGTCATAGCCATTTTATCGAAGGGACCTGAGCTGCTATGAGGACAAGGTTTTAGTTTATATGATGAGGATGTTAGAAAGCCACATAGAATTTTACAGTCTTATCATTAGCTCTGTTGGAGTCAAAATCTAGGTGAATAAAAATTCTTTCAAGAGACACATGTTACCACTAATGGTTTTTTCAATGGATGAGCATAGATGAATTAGGAATCTCCAATGGTCATTTTCCTAATTCCTGGTCTGACTATGTAATATATAGAATCATGTGGTTATTCTTGAAAGCTCTAGTCATATTCGTGAGGTAGTCAGCATGTTATGCTACTTCTTTTTCTTCTCTATAAGTTTCGGATACTATGAATCTATTGGATCACAAACCAAAGTAGTTAACTGGTAAGAAGGTATAAGCAGAAAATACGAAGTTTGGACTGGATCCTTGAGTTAGATGAGAAGAAGGAGAGATGAGAGGCATACAGTGATAGATTTGACTAGGGCAAGAGGACTCTGGTAGTTAGCAAATGAGAAATAAATTTAACCTAAGAAAATCCTAAAGTGATGGTAAGAATGGTTAGGGTTTAATTGCTCTTAGAAGAGCAAGTAGCTTTAAATAAGAGACAAAAATATCTGCAGAAGGAAATATGAAAGTAGAAAACAAAACAATTGCATTGTCAAAACATGTAAGATGTTTTAATCACCTAAAATAAAACCAGAATTGTATTATAATTGCTATCCTTTGTCAAACTTTTGAAATTAAAAAAAAAAAACGCTTTGGAATGGTCTAAAACTACATCATAAAAATGGCTCAGCCACTATCTATAGAGATTGACATTTTTTGTTTGTGCTCTGTGTTTAGGAATTTAATGATGTGTATTGCTGCAGATTCAATGTAAGTTCCCGATACAGATAAAGATGGCCAAAGCTGTAATTTTTTCATCCATTTCTTGAATGATGTATGCTAAAATTAAAGTAATCCTAATGTTAATAATAACTTTTAGTGAATGCTTGCTGTGTGTCAAAAAGTATGCTAGTCACTTTATATATATTGGTTTATTTCATCCTTTCAAAAACACTCTTTGAAAAGTACTCTTATTATTCTTAGTTTGCAGAGAAGAAAACTGAAGGCTAGAGAAGTTCAGAATCTTCTTTTGAAAGTAGTAGAGTTGTGATGCGAATGCATAGCAATTACTCTTGTAGATGACCTCACAGGCTTCCTCTTCCAATTGTCTACGTGGCTAAAACAAAGCAAGAAAACCCCATAAGAATCTGAAAAAGACTCATGTAATTATTAATTGACAAATAAGATTATATTACATTACTGATAAACCAACAGGTAGAAAATGAAAGCAATGAAATAGTATACTGCGAAAAAAAATTTCATATTATATTCTTTGATGAAAAAATAAAACAATAATTGCAAACTGCATTTCATTTTTAATGAAACGACAATGTTTAATTCTTCTAAAAGGTAGGGAGCAAATAAAATGGTTATCTGGTCTTTACATCGAATGTGTCATCACTACTAAGTGATATTAGCTGGCTTATTACTTAAAATTTTCTTTTAGGAAAAAAGTGTGAAAATAGACAGGAGGAGACATTAAATGGCTAAAGCAACACCCCCTTGCTCCGTAAGTTCTTTCTGAGTCTGTGTGCCTAAGATTAACAAGAGAGCCTGTGAGCCTCACAAGGCAATCACAAAGCTATGTCTACAGCCTTGGAGAGCTGTGATTACAGCAGCCAGCCTCCTTTGCAGCACCTCAGTGATGACTACACTAACTCTCACTACTGAGCAACAATGAAATGTTTCAAACCCAACCACCAACACTGTTATAACTCTTAAAATTTGAGCCAGTCACCATACCTGAACGTAAAAAGAAAATTACCAAAAATGCTTGATACCAAAAAGCAATTAATGATTCATAATTGCTAATCTTTATTGACAGTCTCTTCTAGTTCTTATCTACATATATTTTAATTGTCTACATAATGTAAATTAAATTTTAAATTCTGATTTGTAAACTTAATATTGCATAAATATTTATCAATGTTGTTAAACATCTTTTAATAATTATTTTAACTTCTTTATATTATTTCATTAATTTCCATCTTTATGTCCTTGCTGGTCTGACATTTAGAAAAAACTCCTCCTTTTATTTAGAAAAAAAGAATGGTGAGGCCGGGCGCGGTGGCTCATACCTGTAATCCCAGCACTTTGGGAGGCCGAGGCAGGCAGATCACGAGATCAGGAGTTTGAGACCGGCCTGACCAACATGGTGAAACCCTGTCTCTACTAAAAATACAAAAACTAGCCTGGCGTGGTGCTGCATGCCTGTAGTCCCAGCTACTTGGGAGGCTGAGGCAGGGGAATCGCTTGAACCCGGGAGGCGGAGGTTGCAGTGAGCCAAGATCACGCCACTGCACTCCAGCCTGGGTGACAGAGCAAGACTCTGTCTCAAAAATACATAAATAAGGAGAATAAATGGGGACAATAACAACCTATTCACAGAACAGAAATAAAACCGGAGATGTCATGTGGAAAAAGCTTATCTTGAAAGCGTGGTCAGAGTGGAAAGAAACAGCAACAGGAGAGTCTTGATTTGGTGAAAAAACAGAATGCAGATGGCATAGAGTATCAACAATTAATTAGCAGGCCATCAAGAGACGGCCATAACATATTGGTAATTGTTTTCTTTCACCCTTAATTTTTTCTAAAACAAAAACATGAAGTTAGAAAGTAGTTAATTTTGTTAGCCACATGGCTTCATGGTTTAATTTTATCTTCTCTATGGGCCTGGTACAACAATAAAGTTCTTTTGAGATAGAAAGACAGATGTTAGGCAAAAACATACAAGATTTTCATTCTAATCAAAATCTTTGCCAATAGGCTATGACAGAATCCTATGAGAGATGATGCCATTTAGAACTTTCACAAGAGGCAAAAATAGTATGCCATTGGCACCTAAAACTGCCAACAGTGATCATCATAGGATTTATTTCATTTGGCGGATTCTTGGTTGAGTTCATAACCTGTTCCCTAGGCTTTTAAGATTGGTCCAAACTTGGCAATGGATTCTTTGGAAAAATTATTTCTTGATCGTTTTAAACTTTCTTTTCCAGTGTCAAGAGAGATTTTCCCAGGCTCCGAGTTTTCATTTATTTTTTCCCCTGTCAGTTTTTGAAAGAGAAATCCCCTTTTTGTCGGCTTTGTGATTGCTTTTGTGTCAAATTCAGCGTAAAAGCTTTTCAAACGTGACAGCATTAGCTGTTTTGTGCTTGGCTGAGCTAAGAGTACATGAATTCAATAGAGAAGTGAAATCTTGTTTGAGCCTGGCTGATTTGGCTATATAATATTGAAAACTATCTGAAGCAAGAAATTCAATACTTTTCAAATTATTGAATAAACATTTCTAAGGCTGCAAAATCTCTGTGTTTTTGAAGGCATTCTTTAGGAAACTTGAAACACAGACATTCTATAATCACATAATTAATTTTAAAAGTTGAACTTATTGTATGTAGTAACTAAGGCAGCTATTTGAGTGTCTCAAATTATTTTACTAAAAAGGGAGACATTTTTCAAATATGGAAGTAGTGCCTTACATTTTTAGTTATCTGTGGAAGGATCGATGGCATCATATATCTCATCCACCATAAAAATATGTACGGTAGTGGAAACTGAATTTTTCTTTTATATATTTTGTGTATTTTTTGGAGTTGTACAAAATTAAATCAGCAAATTGACCCACACTAGTAGTTTGAGGTTTGGGTTTCTGGTACAATAATGAAAAGCATTATTAGAAATCTTCTTGCCAGGACCTACCATTTCTTCATGTATTTTCTTTATTCCCTTTTGTTCTCCCCTAAAGCTTCTATGTGATTAAAGAGAAAAGATCAATAACCCAATAGTACTTTTCCTTCTAAAGTATGCATGAAACTCTTAAAGTTCTCAAAGCATACAAACAGAGTGCTCTCTACATTGCTGATAGAACACAGGTAGTAATGGGCTAGTTTCCCCAGGTAACTATTATATTATATAAATATTTAATGCAGAGTCACCAAGCCTTGAATAACTTTATGCTTTGATTGTACCATATTTTCTCTAGTTTGCTTTTCACAATTTAACTTATCCCGTGCTTGAAAATATAATGTGGTAACTGTGTAAATCTGCTCCTCAAAAAATTTTCGAAATCATCTTTTCTTTTTTCTTTTCTTTCTTTTTTTCCTTTTTTTGAGATGGAGTCTCACTCTGTCACCCAGGCTGGAGTGCAGTGGCATGATCTTGGCTTAGTGCAACCTCCACCTCCTGTGATCAAGTGAGTCTCTCAGCATCCCAAGTAGATGGAACTACAGGCACATTCCACCACGCCCAACTATTTCTCGTGTTTTTAGTAGAGACAGGGTTTCACTATGTTGGCCAGGCTGGTCTCAAACTCCTGACCTCGAGTGTTCCGCCCACTTCAGCCTCCCAAAGTGCTGGGATACAGGCGTGAGCCAACATGCCTGGCCCCACATCGCCTTTTCTGAACCCTGGGAATTAACCAAAGGCTGGCAACAATTTTTGAAATGCTGACTCTCAATAAAAATGGCAAAGTTTGAGGTTTTTTAAGTTGGCCTTTCCCGTCACTTTCTCCCAGCTCCACAGTAGCCTTGAAAATCAGTAGCCTTGCAACCATAATAGCTGTGAAAACTAGCAGCCTTTTAGCCACCAGAGAGTGTAGACCAGGATTGGAATTCTTCAAAAAGGCCAATTTTATTCCAAGAACCTTGCCACTGTTTGACCTATCTTGCAGCTCCCTGGAATAAACCTATATACATGGCCTTGCCTTTATTTGGCCCGACTTAGAGATAACTTTCTAGGAAAAGCCCTAGCTCCAGGGTGTTGGTCCAAACCAATTAGCAGCAATTCTTTAACATAACAGGTTCCTAAGGCTGTGATGCTAGTTGAGATAAACATAGGTCTGGAGAAAAACTTCCAGTGAAGCTCTGGAGAATGAGGTGTCCATAGGGGATTTTGGCAACCTCTGACATGTTCTTGCGGGATCTAGAAGCCCATGTGCTTGTCTTAACAAATAGAGAGTATCAATAAAGAGATAGAAATTGTAAATAAGAACTCAGTGGAATATCTGGAGTTGGAAAGCACAATAACTAAAATTAAATTTTCACTTGACGTCAGATTCAAGCTGCAAAAGAAAGAATCAGCAAACTTGAAAATAGGTAAATGGGATAATCCAATCCAAAGAAAAGAAAGAAAAAATATTAAGGAAATACAGAAAGCAAAAACTGACTGAACTGAAAGAAGAATTAGGTAATTCAACAAAAATAGTTGGAGACTTCAACATCTCACTTTTAATAACAGGTAAAAGAACTAGGCAAATTAACAAGGAAATAGACACTTGAAAAAGACTATAAAGACTATAAACTTACAAGACCTAACAGATATCTATACAGCGTTTCATCCAATAATAGCAGAATACTCATTCTTTTCAACTGTACACGAAATATTCTCTAGGGTAGGCCATATGCTAGGTCATAAAATAAGTCTCACTACATTCAAAGGGATTAAAATCATACAATGCAGATTTTATGACCATAATGGAGTACAATTAAAAATCAGTAACAGATGTAAATTTGGGAGTTCATAAATATGAGAAAATTATACAACACACTCTTAAATAGCCAATGGGACAAAGAAGAAATAAGAAAATACAAAAATATCTTGAGATAAATGGAAATAAAAATACAATATACCAAAACTTATGGGAGGAGGCTGAAGCAGTGCTTAGAGTAAAATGTATAACTATAAATACCTATATTTAAAAAGGAAAAAGATCTGAAATCAGTAGCCTAAGCTTCTACCTTAAGAAACTAGAAAAAGAAGAGAAAAGTAAATCTACAGTAAGCAGCAGGAAGTAATAACAATTAGTGTGAAAAAAATCAGATAGAGGAAGAAAATATAATAGAAAAAATCAACAAAACCAAAATCTAGAAATTTAGTTATTTGAAAAGGTCAACAAAATTGACAAAGTTTTAGCTGATTGGTTAGGAAAGAAATGGTCAAATTACTAATATTAGAGAAAAAGAGGGTGCATTACTACCAACATTACAGAAATAAAAAGAAGTAAAAGAGGATATTATGAACAACTAAACAAATAGATAACCTGGATAGACCTATAACAAGAAATTGAATTGGTATTAAAAACTTCTCCCAATGAAAGGCTCAGGCCCAGAAGTCTTCCCCCGATGAATTCTACCAAACATATAAACAACTCTTCCAAAAAATAGAAGAGAAAGGAACACTTCCTAACCAGACAAAGATATCACAAGAAAACAAGCTACAGAGCAATATGCCTTATGAATATAGACTTGAAACGCCTCAAAAAATTATCAAACCTAATACAACAACATATTAACATGATTGCTACCATAACCAGGTAAGATTTATCACAGGAATGTAAGGTTGGTTTAACATCCAAAATTTAATCAATGTATTATACCATATCAATAGAATAAAGGACAAAAATCGTATGGTCATCACAATAAATATAGAAAATTCATGTGACAAAGTACAAAACCCTTTCAAGCTTGAAAAATAAAGAACACTTAACAAATGAAGAATAGAAGGTATTGGCCAGGTGTGGTGGCTCACGCCTGTAATCCCAGCACTTTGGGAGGCCGAGGCAGTTGGATCACGAGGTCAGGAGATTGAGACCATCCTGGCTAACACGGTAAAACCCCGTCTCTGCTAAAAATACAAAAAATTAGCTGGGCACGGTGGCGGGCGCCTGTAGTCCCAGCTACTCAGGAGGCTGAGGCAGGAGAATGGCGCGAACCCTGGAGGCAGAGTTTGCAGTGAGCCGAGACAGCAGCACTGCAGTCCGGCCTGGGCGAAAGAGCGAGACTCCGTCTAAAAAAAAAAAAAAAAAGAAGGTTTTGTGGATTGAATAGTGTCCCCCGCTCCCAAAAGACATACTAAAAGCCTGAGCCCAGGTATCTGCAAATGTGACCTTATGTAGAAATAGAGTCTTTGCAGATGCAGTCAAGTTAAGATGGTATTTTTATAAGAAGAGGAAAAGAGGCATACACAGAGAGAAGAATGCCACATAAAGGCACTGACCACGGGAAAAACACCATGTGATGTTACAGTTAGAGATTAAAGTGCTACAGTTGCAAGACAAGTAAAACTAATGATTAACGGCCATCATTAGAAGCAAGGAAGAGGCAAGGAAAAATTCTCCCCTACAGGTTTCAGCAGGAGTATGGGCCTGCTGGAATCTTGATTTTGGATCTAGCCTCCAGAAGTCTGAGACAATGAGTTTTGTCTACCCAGCTACGCAAATTGTGACACTTAATTACAGAAGCCCGAGGAAACGAATACAGAAGAGGATTTCCTCAACCTGATAAAAGGCAGCTACAAAAATTCCACAGCTAATGTTATTGTGAAACACTGAATGCTTTCCCCTAAGATCAGGAAATAGTGAAGGATGCCTGGTCTCACCACTTCTATTCAGTATTGTACTGGAAGTTCAGGCCAGGGAAATTAGGCAAGAAAAATAAATAAAAGACATCCAGATTAGAAAGGAATAAGTAAAATTATCTCTACTTGCAGACAACATGACCTTGTAATTAGAAAATTTTGAAGAATCTATGAAAAAATATTAGAAATAATAAAATAATTCAGCAAATTTGTAGGATACAAGATCAATATACAAAATGAATTATTTTATACATTAAAAATGAATAATCTAAAAGTGAAATTAAGAAAATATTTACAATGGCATCAAAAAATGTTAAAAACTTAGGAATAAAAGAGATGCAAGGCTTGTATACTGAAGAATACAAAGCAGTGTTGAAAGAAATTAAAGATAAAAAAATAGAAAAATATCACATGTTCTCAGATCAAAAGACTTAATATTATTAAGATATCAATATCCCCCCAATTGATCTACAGACTCTATGGAATCATTATCAAAATCACAACTGGCTTTTTTTTTTTTTTCAGAAATTGACAAGTGGATCCTACCATTTCTATTGAAATGCAAGGGATGTAGAATAGTCAAAACAACCTTGAAAAAAGAACAACATTGGAGGAGTTAACTTTCCAATTTCAAAAACTACTACAAAGCTACAATTATTAAGTCAATGTGGTACTAGAATGTGAATAGACATATAGATCAATGAAATAGAATTGAAAGTTCAAAAGTAAACCTTTGCATTTATGGTCAACTGATTTTTGACAAGGGTACCAAGAGAATTCAATGGAAAAAGAATAGTCTTTCACAACCTGGTGCTAGAATAACTGGATATACACATGAAAAATAATGAAATTTGGCCCCACCTCACACCATACACAAAAATTAGCTTAAATGTATCATAAAAGAAAACAAATAATCTGATTAAAATGGGCAAAACACTTAAACATTTCTCAAAAGAAGATGTACAAATAGCTAACGGGTTTGTGAAAAATGCTCAACATCACTAATCATTGGGGAAATGCATATTACAATCGCAGTGAGATGTCACCTTACACCTGTTAGAATGGCTGTTATAAAAAGAGAAGAATGATAACAAGTGTTGATCAAGGATATGGAAAAAAGGTAACACTTGTATATCATTGGTGGGAATGTATATTAGTACAACCATTATGGAGAACAGTATGGTAGCTCCTCAAAAAACTGAAAACAGAATTACCATAGGATCCAGCAATCCCACTTCCGGGTATATATCCAAAAGAATTTAAACCAGTATGTCAAAGAGATATCTTCACTCCTGTGTTTATTGCAGCATTAGTCACAAAAGCCATGATATGGAATCAACCTAAGTTTCCATCAGTGGATGAATGGATAAAGAAAATGTGGTACATATACACAATGGAGTATTATTCAGCCTTAAATAAAGAATATCCTTTTGTTTATGACAGCGTGGATGAACCTGGAGGACATTATACTAAATGAAATAAGCCAGGCACAGAAAGTCAAATACTGCGTGATCTCACTTATGTGTGGAATCTAAAAAAGTCAAACTCATTGAAGTAGAGAGTAGAATGGTGGTTACCAGAGGCTGTGGATTTAGGGGTGGAAAATGGGGAGATGTTGATCAAAAGGGGTTAAAAACTTTAGTCAGGAGGAATAAGTTTTTGAGACTTTATGACACAACCTGGTGACCATAGTTAATAATATTATATTGTATATTTCAAAATTGCTAAAATAACAGATTTTAAATGTTCTTGCTATAAAATATGATAAATATATGCAGTGATAGATACGTTAAATTGCTCGATATAATCATTCCACAGTGTATACATATATCAGAACATACATGTACCCCATAAATGTATATAATTATTTGTCAAAGCAAAATAAAATTAAAAATAAAATGTTTTAAAACTTTTGTAAAATAAACTTTATAATAATAATATATTTTTAATGAATCATAGAGCTAAATATATTAATAAGAACTAAAACTTTAAAACTCTTCTAAGAAAATGTAGGAATACAATGGATTATGCAGTGTTTTCTTAGATATGACACCAAAAGCAAAAGTAACCGAAAAATACACAATTTGGAC
This sequence comes from Homo sapiens, assembly GCF_000001405.40. Taxonomy (NCBI): domain Eukaryota; kingdom Metazoa; phylum Chordata; class Mammalia; order Primates; family Hominidae; genus Homo; species Homo sapiens. Next base: position 31,668,273 of record NC_000023.11, on the reverse strand, counting down.
TTTAACAAAATTAAAACTTTTGTACTGCAAGCAATATTGTAAAGAAAGGGAAAAGACAATCCTCAGAATGGGTAAAAATATTTGTAAATCATATATTTGATAAGATACTTGTATCAAGAATATATAAAAACTCATAATTCAACAACAAAAAGGATAAATGACTTAATTACAAGTGAAGAAACAGTTTGAATAGGCATTTCTCCAAAGTAGATGTATAGATCTCCATAAGCACATGAAAAGATGGTTAACATCATTGATTGTTTAAAAAATGCAAATGAAAACCACAAGGAGATAGTACTTTTTACCCACTAGGATGGCTAATACAAAAAATACAGACAATAACAAGTGTTGAGAAGATGAAGAATGCTTGGAATTTTCACATTACTGGTGGAAATGTAAAATGGTGAAACAACTTTGAAAACAGTTTGGAAGTTCCTGGAAATATTTTTTTAATTTTTAATTTTTGTGGGTACACAGTAGGTATATATATTTATGGGATACAGGAAATATTTTGATATAGGCATACAATGTGTAACAGTCACATTGGGGTACCTGGCCTATCCCTCACCTCAAGCAATTATCTTTTCTGTTACAAACGACAATCTAATAATAATCAGTTATTTTTAAATTCACAATAAATTTTTTGACTGTAGTCATCCTCTTGTGCTATCAAATACTAGATCTTATTCATTCTATCAAACTATATTTTTGTATTATAAATTTCACTACCCATTAGCCATCCCCCCCTTTCCCCCTACCACTACCCTTCCCAGTCTCCTGGAAATATTAAACATGAAGCTACCATATGACAAAACCATTCTACTCCCAGGTGTATGCTGAACAGAAATAAAAATACATATGTACACAGAAAACCTTTATACAGATGTTCATAGCAGCATTATTTATAATAGCCAAAAAGTAGAACCAACCCAAATGTCCATCAGCTAATGAATAAATTTTAAAATGTCCTCTACATCCAAAAATGGAATATTATTTAGCAATAAAAAGAAATGAAATACTGATATGCACTGTAACATGAGTGAACCTCAAAAATATGCTAAGTGATGGAATCCAGTCACAAAAGACCCCAAATTGTATCAATACATTCATATAAAACATCCAGTAAAGACTGAAGGAGGAGGAGAATAGACAATAGAAAGGGACTGTTAATTGGTATGGGTTTCATTGGGGGCAAATAAAATGTTCTCAAATTAGATCATAATAATGGTTGCACAACCCTGAATACATTAAGAACCAGAAAATTATGCACTTTAAGTGGGAGAATTTTATGGTATGTTAAAAAGTATATCTGCATGTCATTGACTACAGATCTTTTCTTATTTTTTCAAGTTTTATGAACACAGTTTTAGAAACATAGTCTCCATTTTTCTCTTTCATGAAGCTGCTTGCCAGCTATAGAAATGAAAAAATAGCCATGTCTGTGGAACATAACTGCTACCTAGATGGGAGCCTCCATCACACAATGGATAGGGAGCTATTTTCTTTTATGGTCAAGATAGGCAGGTTCTGTCCTATAGAATATATTCTGAGATGTTACCTGTAGTTCAGAAAAACAGGGATATTGTTGTTCTAAACATTTCCTCAACATTTATGTGGCTTCCTATTTATTAATAAGAGAACCTGTTCTTTATGTGTCATTATACTAGTTTATTCTAGCCCTGGTCCTGGTCCAGGACTGTCTGGAGGTATTAGAATTGCCCTACTCTATGTGAAATAAGGTCATATCTGAATAGGTATGTCAGTCAGCATAGGCTAAGCTACAGTAATAAGCAACCTCAAATCTAGAGGCTTAATAGTCTATATTTTACTCATGTTACATGTTCGTTGTAGACTGATGAGAGCATTCTACTTAGCTTAGTCACTCGGGGACCATGGCTGATGGTATCTCCATCTTGGTACATTCTTTCATGATCATAGAGGCAAGGAACATGGTTCTTGAGCCTTCTGCCTGGAAGTGACCAGTAGACAAAACCAGTCACATGGCCATTCCTGAGTTCAATGGGAATGCCGATGTATAATCTTCTGGCGTGAAAAGGCACTGGATATTTGAGAACAATAATGCAGTCTACCACAATATGCTCATGGGGTCTGAAAAGGAGCTGAAAAAACGCCATTTTCTGGGGTTCTGTCCTCTGGCATTGTTTCTGGAATCGTTTCCACCCATCCATTTCTACACCCTCTCAACTGACTTTTCTCAGATGCCTGGGGTAGCTGGGTGATTTGTTAATTACAGTATTGCTTAAGCCTTTTAATAAAGTCAGCAAATTAAAGAGAGAGCCCAGATAAAGAGAATGCTTTCAAAAATGTCATAATGAAATTAAGGTAACGAAGCACTTGGAGACCTCTCCTCCCTTCTTTTTGTATGAAACTTATTCCAAAGCAGCTGGAAGAGAAATGGGGCCTGAAAGTAAAGAGGGGAAAAATATATTGTATGCCATTAGTTTAATTATAAAAATTCATTACATGAAGCCATGTAAGACAGAAAATAATGGAACTCTAATGGGTTGGCCGATAACACATTTACTAGTCTGCTCTCAGCTTGTAGTCATTGTTGAAAGGACAGAAAAGTAACGACGTTGGTATGTAGTCTTCAAAGCTATTGTAAAGATTAATCATTTTCAGTAAGCCGGAAAATGAGGGCCATTTTCTTAAATAGTATGCCCTGTATAGAGTGTTACCTTCTGAAACAGAGTTGTTTGGTAATGTCAGAGGTTTAATAGATGAGTCTTGAAGTTAATGGTGAGAGGCTTTACTTTTGAAATGGCTTTCTTACAGCTATTTTAACATTTCTATTATAAATCCATAAAGAGGTTTTATAGGTCGTTTTAATTCACACAAGGAGGGAAGAAATTGTGCTTCTCTTTTCCCAATAAGGATTTATAGAACATTAATTCATTCTTGGGACCAAATTGTTTAGTGATTTTCAAAAATAAACTATGTATTTTTCTGCTGTCTTTTTTTCAGAAATGCCTTACTTTATTATACATAATAATTTTCCAGTCATGCTATAATCATCAAGATTGTTTTATATTCTTCAAAGCTCAGTTAAAATAAACCCAGTCCTTTTCCTTAAATTTCTTTATATGGATGCATAACTTCTTTAACTGAATTGAAATGAAACCTGAATTGAGAGTCCAGAAACCTGCATTTTTATGATGACTCTTTCACTGACTAGCTATGTCACCTTGAACAAGTCACTTAACCTTTCAGAGCATTTATATTCTCATGTGGACAATTATGGAATTGCTCAAAAAGGAAGAAGATATCAAAAGATGAAAGTGAATATGTAGGTAGGGGTCATATATTCGAGGGCCTTGTAATCCAAAGAGAGAGGTTAGGACTTTGTCTTGCAGGTAATAGCAAACCATTGAAAGGTTTTACACAGAGGAGAAATGAGGTTCTATTTGCATTACAAAAAGATCATTTACGCAGTTGTATGTAGGTGGAAGGGTGGTTTGAGAGTGGAGGGAGGGAGCCAATAAAAAAGATTATTTTAGTACCTGAGCAAGAGATGATAGGGACGTAAATTAAGGTAGTGTCAATGGAAGTAGAAGATTTGGATAAAAGTTAAAAAAAAAAAAAAAAAAACTTATGATACAACTACCCAGGGAGTATGTTCCCTGCCTCCTGCTCCAGTTGAGGACCAACATATCAGATTGATCCAGAGACAGAATTTTGGAGAACATTAATATTTAAAGGACAGGCAAAAAAAAAAAAAAAAAAGCTTGAACACTCAGAGAATACAGAGGCGACCAAAAGAGTGGAAGCCAAGAAAGCAGAGAACTTCGAGAAGAGAATAGTCAGCAGCACCAGTTGCTGCAAATAAATCAAGTAAATAAGAACTTAAATCTTTCCATAGGCATTGGCTTTTGGTAACTGAATCAGTTAACTATTTTCACAAATGTGAGTGGCATATAGCAATAAGCCCATATTGCCTTTCATGAATTTTCAGCTTGGGTGGGGTGGCACTTCTTCATGTTGCAGGTTGATTGGGGTCGCTCTGCTCCATATGTCACTCATTCTCCTCCTGAGATGAGTAGGCTAGTCCAGAGCATGTTTGTCTTAAGGTAATGGTGAAGTGCAAAAGGGATAGCCACACTGCATAAATACATTTCAAGCCTCTGCTTGTGTTACTTCTAGTAATATCCCACTGGGATTAGGCAAAGCAAGGCGCATGACCAAGCTCAATGTCAAGGGCATGCTGTCTTTCGTAGGAAGAATTTCAGAGTTACTTAGCAAAGGGCATGGATACAGGGAGAGGTAAAGAATTGGGGCCAGTAATTCAATTTGCCATAGTGACTTCTGTCAGAATAGTTTTAGTGGAACGATGATGGCAGAAGCCTGATTTTCATGAATTGGAGAGTGGCACGAATGTAGTCAAGTTGAGATAATGAGTGAATATCTGCCTTCTAAAGAGTGTGACTGTGAAAGGAAAGAAAATGATAGAGTGCAGATTATTGTTGTTGTTGTTGTTTAAAGATGAGAGAGACACTCATGTTTGAAGTCTCTAGAGAAGGTCCCCGCAGAGAGGCAAGAAGTTGGAACACACAAAGAGAGAGGGAGTATGTGGAGGAGGATCCCAGAATAGATGGGTGCCCAGATGGTGAAATCAACTTCCAATAGCAGAAAAGTCGCCTCTTCCTCTGAGACTAGAGAGAAGGATGCAAGATGTAAAGTCTGATATTTCATGAAATGTATGTTTGATATATTAAATTTCCCCCTGTGGAATTGTAGGTAGGATCATTTACTGTGAGATTTCTTTCAGTTCGTGTTGTCAGGAATTAGTCTGTAAACCACATTCGATATTTCAAACAGAGGAAATTCAATACAGAGGACTGGCTCCTCCATAGGAATGAAGGAGCTGACAAACCCAACAGAGGACAGTGAGGCAACCCAGAGTTTAGCAACTTCAGGAAACTATTACCACCTCAAGGGCTGGGGAACCGACAAGTTTTACCAAAGCCCAGAAACCAGAACCATCGGGTGCTAATTCACCCAATGTAAGGTCTGCACAGCAGGTAATGGAATTACAGAGGGAGCAGCCGTCCAGTGGGAAACGGAGACAAAGGAGATACTGCCAAGACAGAGAGAGAAGGGGGATAATTATCTTGTTTCACCCTTTCTCATGCTCTTCTGTCTCCCACTAGTGTGTCTCATGACTTAACCTAGTTAGAAGCCAGCTAGCAAGAAATCCCAGGAAATTCTGACCTCCTATGGGAGTTAGTACATCTCAATACTGAGTGGAGTAGGAAATGGGTAGAGAATGGATCTAAGAGCAAACGACCTCTTGGTGGTTAGCTAACAGAGTTAAATTTTTCCATGAATCCCTTGGTTCATGAATGTAAATACAGGATCCAAGGAAAAATAACAAATCCAACATGTAGAACTTTTTGTTCATAAGCATATTAGGATCCTGTTTTACAATTTTCCGAGCAATTGCTTGATTTTGACACTTCAGGACAAGCCGGAGGCATGGTCAGAGCAAGTAACCCCATCCTAGTTTACAGATGACAAAACTGGGACTTACAAGGTTAATGACTTCCTTAAGATCAAACTGCAGAACAATGGACAAGCAAAACTTCCTGGGAAGATGTCCTTTCGTTACTCTGCACTGCCTTTCTTGAAGTTCCTTTGAGACACAGTCATTAAAAATTTAAGTAATAGTTCACCCGGAACAAACATTTATTTTACTTGTAGGTGAATATCACAAAACACATTTTAAAAGGAAATTTAACCAATATTCAACCTTAAAATTTTAATGATAGAGCTATGCACTTGCTTTTATCTTCCAAGTTAAAGGGAGAATTTTAGAGTTGCAGCATTTCTAGACAATGTCCATAAAACAGCGAGCTACTTGCTTTGCATTCAGAAGGGGCTCACACTGTGGGGAATATAGTTTGACTCATTAAAATTAGTAGTAGATGTGCTAGCAGTAGTAATGATGATGATGATGCTGATGCTGATGATGATTAATATTTATTTAATCCTTCGGGCACGCCAGGCACCTTTGTAAATGTTCTCCCTGAATTCTCTAAGTTAACCCACCTAATCATATTTCCACATAAATACTGTTAATATTCCCATTTAGCAAAGGAGGAAACTGAGGCACAGAAAAGATAATTAACTCTCCCATTTGCCACTAAGCGATCACGCCAGGATTCAAACCCAGCAGGCTCATTGTATTGCTCAGGCTTTTAGCTACTCTTTCTCTTCCTCCTCTCTTTTCTACCATGTAGGGTCAATATCACTAAAATAAGTTCTTACACATAAAAGAAATGAGAGAAGACAAACAATTAAAGTAGAAAAAAATACTCAAAATTCTTGAAATTAATTCAGGTTGTCTCATAGTCCACAATCACTTTTTCTACCTAAGATACTGTGAATATATATCAAGCACATAGTGCAGTAGCAGCATAATGGGTTTGAATGTGAAACATTTCTTTCCTGGTTGGGGAAACAATCTTTTGGGGATTTAGCATTTTATATTCTTCATAGAAAACACACACACATACACACACACACACATACACACACACACATATACAAAGGCAATCTTTTTTTATAAGCTAGTGCTCACAGTATTTTAAATTTCTTCACACACCATGATCACCACACAAGCAATTCCCTGTGGTGTACACCATTGTCAATGGAATTCAGAAAGAGAAAAGGGTGTGTGTGAAGTCTGTTGTATTTTTGAATTTACACTCCTTCTGAGGTCTGGAGTTATCCCAGTAGTAAATTTCACAGCAGTAGGCAAAGCTGGTCAAGGTCATGGTTCCTAGTGTGAATGACACTTGGGTAAAACCCAAGGTGGGCGGGCAGAATATTACCGTAGGAGAAAGGGAAAACATTCTGTGTGGGGAATGTCTTTAAGAAGGGAGAAAAAAAAAAAAGGCTACCTTTGAGAACCTTTGTGTTTATATAAGGGCCTGAGCCCCCTCAATGTCAGTCAAGGTCAGTGGGAGTTTTACTTTTTAATCCTACATCCTCACAAAACCTGGGCAGTATTCAGTGAGGGTTAGCACTCAGTCAAGATTTCCTTAGGTATAACAGTCCTAACTTTCGCTGTGAATACAATTTTGCAGAAAAATATATGGCACGCGTATTTCTACCTTTCAAGCATTAAAGTACATCAAAAAGTTCTGGTTTGACGTCAAGCCTCACTCTTTACTACCTTGTTTAGTAGGAAATCTGTCATTTAACTCTAGCTTACTATTTCTTTCAGAGATTTTGGAAAATTCTAGGATATGTTATAATTTATAATTTTAGGCATTTTTATGATCTATTGATTATGTTTTTAGATTCATTGGCACCTTCTGCATTTTATGTTTTTTAATTTTAACAGCTTTATTGAAGTGTAATTGATATACAAAAACTGCATAAAATTATATGGGCTAGAACATGTGCATATACCCATGAAACCATCCAAATGGTATAACCTCTTATATCTAGACTTTTCAAACAGGAACCTATGAGTGATGGGTGGCTTCCAAGGTTATTTAACTTGCTTGAGTAAAATAAATGATTTTAATTATATATTTACTAAAAATTTTGTTTTTATTTTGTATTCCTGAGCTTTTACATATATGCTCTGATACTGGTCCATCATAAGTATTTTATTAACAATTCAGTGTTTTATAAAAGGAATTCATTTGAAAAAAAGGTAACCAAGTTATTGGTCTCAGTTTTGTGGATGTTCATGCTATTAATTAGCAATTTAATAGATGAGAGATAATAAGCTCTTCTTTTAAAATGCAAATAGCACCCTCTGGATACTAAGGGCCAATTACATGTTCTTTCGTATCTTGGAATACATTTCTTTTATCACTTTAGGTTTGGCTTAAGTGAGGAGGAGAAAGAAAGAAGTGGTAATTTTGTACCCTAGGATATTTCTAGAAAAGGCAAGCCTTTGGCAGAAGTTCCCTCAGAAGGGCTTTCAAATAGTGCGAGGATCTGAAAAGTGGAGAATAGAAACTGTAATGCTTGATAAAAGGAGTATGGAAGAAAAGGCAGGCATTCCACGCGGATAAATGTTAATTGTTTTGTAATAGCAGCAACTATGCTCTGTGCCTTTAGACACTGTCCTCTGCTTTCATAGCAAAAGTCAGTGATATTGGCATTAGCTTCTTGATAATAGTTTGGTAATCTGGGTCTATTTGCTATATGCAGTAAATACTATTACTTGGTTTGATTCTAGGATGTTTTAGTTAACTGAGAAATTACATTATATATAGATTGTATATGTTCAATAGGAGTTCACCAAACACGCTGAAATTATGCTAAGAACACTGTTTGATTTTTATTCTGTAAATATCATACTAACGCAAAAGAACAAATATTAAAACAAAAATGATTTTTCTCCTCAGAAGCATTATTTTCAATTTCTTCCATTTCGTGTTCAGCTCATGATTATGTATTCTTAGAGATAAACACAGTGTAGTTAAAAATTGTGTTCTGTTTTTTACACAAGAAAATTGTGCTCTTTTTACAGTGATTACTGTGCACATTTGCTACATATTGGACCATTGGAATGATGTATTATGTTCTTTTAATGTCCCTGCATTAAACATCGACATTGTTTCTCTTTTTTTTTTTTTTTTTTTTTTTTTTTTTCCGAGATGGAGTCTCACTCTGTCGCCCAGGCTGGAGTGCAGTGGCGTGATCTTGGCTCACTGCAACTTCCATCTCCTGGGTTCAAGCAATTCTCTGCCTCAGCCTCCCGAGTAGCTGGGATTACAGGAGCCTACCAGCACACCCGGCTAATTTTTATATTTTTAGTAGAGACGGTGTTTCACCATCTTGGCCAGACTGGTCTTGAACTCCTGACCTCGTGATCCACCCGCCTTGGCCTCCCTAAGTGCTGGGATTACAGGCATGAGCCACCGCACCCGGCCTGTTTCTCATTTTTTTACTGCTTTGGTTAATGAAGATTTTAAGTCATATAGTATATTGATCTTCTTTTGAAGATTTTATCAGGATAAAGTACCAAAAGTGAGATTATTGAGTCAATGGGAATAAGCATTTGTATGTCACTTGGTATCTATTGCCAAATTGTCCTAATAGATAACGGTCCCCAGCAGTAATACGTGAATGTGCTAGTTTTACTGGTCTTTTCAGCTTTGGATTTTATTTTTTGTTAATTTAATTGGTGTCCAATTGTACCTTTTCAATTTAATACTCTATTTTTTATTACTTGAAAGTTAACTTTTTTCTTTTTAAATAAAATCATCCCACTCTTTCTCTTGTTTGAACTACCTGTTCCTATTCCTGTGTCCATTTATCAATGACTTAACCCATCCTATTGAATTTGATATAACTATCTTAACAATTAGTATTATCTTAATGCTTAGAAGCCTCCTCTCTGCACTTGCAGAAATGTTTAATAGAAATTTCAGGTTGATATGCTTCGAGATAAAACCTACCATTAATTGACTTCTTTCTTTGAAATATGTTTCAAGTGATGAGATAGCAAGTTTGAAAACACTGAATTGCCAAAGACAAACAACGAAGAAAATGTAGGTGATTTGGTTTAGTAAGATTCTTATATTTTGACTTTTTTTCTAATTTTAAAGTAAGGTATTCTAAAAGTATTTTGATCCTTCAAAAAATTCGTGACTAGAATAACAGTACTATTCTTTTGTTGTTCAATATTTTCTGTATGCAGGTTTAGTTGAACGCCAGTAGATGGCACTAATTACATAAACAATTCAACAAGTTAATGAAGAGGGAAAGAAATGTATGAGGTTTTTTTCGTTCAAATGTTGTTATATGTCACATATTCAACAATTATATATGAGCTTATTTTTGTAGTTTTTTTCTCTTGTGATAAAAACAATTAAGCCCACTTTATTGCCAATTAATTGCTACTAAGTTGAAATACTTGATACTGGTTATTGCTCAAGATGCTGCATTTGAAAAGTTTGTCCTGAAAGGTGGGTTACCTTATACTGTCATGATTGACTAAATCATATGGTAGGTTAAAAGCAATCTAATATATGTATTCTGACCTGAGGATTCAGAAGCTGTTTACGAAGTATTTTAAGACACTCCAACTAGAGATTTCATAAAAAAAACTGACATTCATTCTCTTTCTCATAAAAATCTATAGCAGTTGGCCAAAGACCTCCGCCAGTGGCAGACAAATGTAGATGTGGCAAATGACTTGGCCCTGAAACTTCTCCGGGATTATTCTGCAGATGATACCAGAAAAGTCCACATGATAACAGAGAATATCAATGCCTCTTGGAGAAGCATTCATAAAAGGTATGAATTACATTATTTCTAAAACTACTGTTGGCTGTAATAATGGGGTGGTGAAACTGGATGGACCATGAGGATTTGTTTTTCCAATCCAGCTAAACTGGAGCTTGGGAGGGTTCAAGACGATAAATACCAACTAAACTCACGGACTTGGCTCAGACTTCTATTTTAAAAACGAGGAACATAAGATCTCATTTGCCCGCTGTCACAAAAGTAGTGACATAACCAAGAGATTAAACAAAAAGCAAAATACTGATTTATAGCTAGAAGAGCCATTTATCAGTCTACTTTGATAACTCTATCCAAAGGAATATCTTTCTATCTCATCATGGCGCACACTGCCTTACCTGTTATCTGATAAATAAGTCACTTTGGGATTCATGATAGAGTTATAGCTGTACATGGTCTCATCCTAGTATCTCACTCCACACACCCAATGGGAAAATTTGTGGAGGGCAATATGACTCGTCACTTCATTTCCCATTATATATGAATGGAAATTAACAGCGCTTATAGACAGTATCTCCTCAAACTAAGCCTTGTATCCTTATTATACCTCTCTTGATCTCTAGTGCTTTTTTCACTAGCATTTATTCCAATCATAAATAAAAATATAAATTATGTAACTAATTGTTAAATATTTGTCCTTTAAATTAATCTAAATGCCATGAGGGCAGAGATTTTGTCTTTCTCATTTGATACATCCCCAGGTCCTGAACCACGTGATATAATAGGGAGCTAGTAAATGTTTTTTGAATGATGACTCCCTTTGCAGAATGTACAATTACCTTGTGCAAGCTGAAAAAATAGCACCTGTACAATATGAGGAAGACCACGGTGAAAAATAATTGAGTTCCAAAATATGACATCAATTACTGAAAAAATAAGCTCGGTGATTTTTAACAAGAAGTAAAAGTCACCACTGGGGCCAAAACAGATTTTGAACTAAGAGTAGGAAGTCTTAGGAGAAATGAGATAATGATATATGGAAATTAAGCGGCCAACTAAATTTTGAAACTGAGCTAGACATTAGAGAGTAAAAACTCCTGTGAAGCTGAATTTAAGCTGGTCACCCTGGGGAATAGAGCAACTCTAATCCTGAATTCCAGACAGTAGGTGTATAGATGGAAAAGACCATGGAAAAGAAGATTCAACCTAAAGTTGGGAAGTTTTAATTGGAGCCCTATGAAAAAGACCCTGGTGGAGAAAGGGCAAACTTGAATATGGAGCTGATATTTGGAAAAATTCTCATAGTAACTACTTTTTCTCAATGGCAAGGCTTGGACTTTCTTCTCAAAATACAGATCTTATATGTGTTCAATTAAACAGGGACAGATTAGGTTCAGGAAGAATTATTCACATGGAATCAATTGGTATCAGAGAGTCAACCATTAGATCTTAGTGGGAAATATCTGCTTCTCAAAGAGAAGTCTTTTGGGGAAAGCAAATTAAAGTCAGAGATTAATTTGATGAGTTTAGGTAATATAAACTAAGGGGCCAAGAAAAAAGCTTGCTCATGGTATGAAACTAGAGCTTGAGGACACTGATCTAGTCTATCTATACTACTCTTTCTGACAGACCCCTCTCTTCATTCTCATGCTCCTTGATGGCCCAAGCCACTCTCTCAGTTTTTTAAAAAATTGTTTTATCAAGGTCTCTGGATTCTTCATGGGAATGACTTCCAGTTTATATTTTTTGGCTTGGTTCCAAAAAGCTATCAGCTAAGGAATGCATATACTTACTTCCCCTATGGGTAAAGTAAATGAGAATTTTAGAAGCCAACTCACATTTTTAGCCTGTACAGAATCTGCAATTCACCAAGCTACTTCTGACTCATGTCTATAAAGTTCTTCCCTGTTCTTTTCTCACTTCACATGTACTCTTTGCAAGAATTCATCCACTTGTGTAGTTTCAGTCTGTTGATGACTACCCATCTATAATTCCAGCTGAGAATGATCTTTTGAGTTTTAGACATGTAGATCCTGCTGCTTTCTTTCGATGTTAATGTCCCACAGGAACTTCACATTGAAGAGGTCCAAAGCTAAACTCATCTTTGCCTTCTTCCAATCTCTTTCTCCAAATGCAACCTACTTCTGTTGTCCTTGTCTTAGTCCTTTTCGTGCTTCCGTAACAAAATACCACAGACTGGGTAATTTATAATGAACAGGGATTTGTTGGCTCATAGTTCTGGAGGCTGCGAAGTCCAAGATCAAGGGGCTGGAATCTGGTAAGGGCCTTCTTGTTGTGTCATGATTCCATGATGGAAGGTGGAAGACCAAAAGAGAGAAAAAATGGGGCCAAACTTGTCCTTATATGAAACTCACTCCCACAATAATGATGCTAATCCGTTCATGAAGGCAGAGCCTTCATGTCCTAATCACCTCTTCAAGGTCACATTTACTACTGTTGCAATGGCAATTAAATTTTACCATAAGTTTGGGAAGGGAAAAACATTAAACCATAGCATTCTGCCCCCTTTTCCCCAAAATTCTTGTTCTTCTCAAAGACAAAATACATTCATTTCATCCCCAAAGCCCCAAAAATCTTATTTCAGCATAAACTCAAAAGTGCAATCTAATATAAATTAGATATGGGTGAGACTCAAGGCACAATTCATCGTGAGGCAAATTCCCTTCCATCTCTGAGCCTGCAAAATCGAATCAAGTTCATCCCCTCACCCCCTACCCTTCCCAGCATCAGGTAACCACCAATCACAGAAAGTTTTACTGATAGTCCTGCTCTAGATCATCTTTGTCTATGTTCACTTTAGCTATTTATCCTAGTGTTCCATTATTGGAATACTAAGCATGTGGGAATTATTTATATTCTACTGTTCAAGGTCCTCACCAAGGTCTGATTGCAAAAATTCAAAAAATTGCAACCTTAGGCATAAATGGGTTAAGCAGTTTAGGGTACATTTATAATAATTATTTACTGTGCTACTTCAAAAATCTTATTGCCTCTATTTATAAATAAAAAGTGTTGTCTCTACACAGTGGCTTGTTGTAATGCATTTACTTGTTTCTGCCTGATTTTTTCTATTTATACATTTTCTTTTTTATTTTTATTTTTATTTTTTCACTTTTAAGTTCAGGGGTACATGTGCAGGTTTGTTACATAGGTAAACTTGTGTCATGGGGGTCTGTTGTACAGATTATTTCATCACCTAGGTATTAATCCTGGTACCCGTTAGTTGACTTTCCTGATCCTCTCGCTCCTCCCACCCTCCACACTCTAATAGTCCCTAGCATGTGTTGTTCCCCTCTACGTGTCCATGTGTTCTCATCATTTAGCTCCCACTTATAAATGAGAACATGGGGTATTTGGTTTTTTGTTCCTGTATTAGTTTGATAAGGACAATGGCCTCCAGATCCATCTATGTCCCTGCAAAGGACATGATCTCATTCTTTTTTTATGGCTACGTAGTATTCCATGGTATTTGTGTTGGTCTCAAAAACTACAACTATGACAGGATGGCATTTTCACTTTTGTTGTTATATTAAACTCATCTTAAAAAGGAAAGATTAATAATGTCAATATTTGGGTTATGGAGAAAAAGTATCTCATATCTTTGAAAAAGTTCTGTAACTATAGCTTTTTAGGTAGGAGGGATTCTGTGGAAAGTTTTCTGATTACATCATTTCTCACAGTTCAGGTTAGACACCATTTTACTATGAAACACTAATGCATTGCCTGCACTGAGACTTTCAGTCACATGGAGAAACCTAGGCAAAATTTTTGTACACTTGGAAGAATATTTAAATTAGTAATAAAATCTTTAGTTTTAAACTGTTGAATGTTAAATAAGATATAAAATGTACTTGAAAGAAATTTGCTTTGATATCAGACACTGCCATGTTGCAGTTTCAAGACATAATAAAAAAGTAAACTAATGTTTATATTTTGCTGTTTAAGTTTATTAATACATCAGATGAGTCTTCAAATTCTACAGTGGCTTTTGATATGATCATTTTTACTTGCCATTTTATATAGAATAAATATAAATAGGCATTTATGCTTAAAAGGAACTAATCTATCTATGGAAAAAAGAGAAGGCTGCTTCTCAACTAAATTGTACAGTTTAGAAACCCAGATCTGAACATAGATTATTGTTGTGACCTATGTAGGAAAATATGTTGTTTTCCTTATCGTAGTCCTTACAGAGTCCATGATAACATATAAAGCCAGAAATGTGAGCCTCTGCAAGTTCATTTCTTTGTCTTCAATCTCTGTGAATAGATATGAGTTTGTGAATAAGATAATATTAGATGTGATATTACAAATTATTGTGAGAAGCCTCTAAGGATTAGATTTCAAGGACTGCCATCTGGCTGATGACTTTATGATGACACTGTCATGAGATTTCATTTCCTTATTTCTGTTCCAGGATCACTCTTTAAACAAGAAATAAGCATTAACTCTGAATTGTCTGCTTGTAGCTGTATGAGGGCTTCCACAACTGCCAACTAGCCAGGTACAAACTCATCAAGCAGAGGAGATGGTCCTTGCATCAGAGGGTTAAACATGCCTAGAAGTTCCTTAGCTAAGCTCCCAGATACTAAAAAATCCCTCTAGGTTCTAAGAAAGATTCAGCATGTACATGTGTGTACATGTATGTGTGTACATATATACATATACGTGTATATGCATATGCATGCATATACATACAAACACATTTTCTTCCATAACATCTCAGTATTCTCTGTTCTTTATAATACTGTTTTGTATTTTAATGATCAAAATTAATAGTTGATCATCTGAAAACATTTTGACCTGTTTTCTCCGTCTTTGACAACCTTGAAGGCACTTGTAAGTCACTCTTTGCTTCTCTATTCCTAGGTCCTTTCTCATCTTCATTGCAACAAGAAAAGAGAAAACAATTGAGCCCTATTTTGTGTGTAGCAAGGAGCTACTCTAGTTAAACACTAGATCTCTTTTACATTCTCCAACATGTTGTTTTAGTAATTATTCTACTTTCCTTTTTTTGGGATATTCAATTTCTTCTTTCTTTTTGCTCCTCCCCTTTAGCAGGCCAACATACTCAAGTCTCCCTCATCCTAAGAGAACTTTTTTAGTATATCATTTTTTTTCTATCCAGCTGTACTTGCTTCTGCTTACTATATCATTTTTAAGCAGTAGTTGGCATTACTGTTTCCTGTTCTTTAGCTACTAGTTGTACTTTGACCCACTCCAGTCTCACTTCCCCAGCACCACCACTTTATGAAAACAAGGACTTACTAAGATCATCAGTGACTTTGTAATAGCTAATTAGTGTATTTTAATTCGTCCATCTTCTTGACTATATTTTAACATTGATCCTGTTGGTCAACTCTGCTAATCAAAACTTTATCCTCCTTGGTTCCCAGAACAATATTATCTTGAATATCTCATTTCTCTAATCATATAATAATTGTGAGGTGCTTGGCACAATGCCTAGTGCGTAGTAAGAACTCAGTAAAATATCATCTGCCATCGACACCATAAAAATTAATTTACTTACTCAACAAATACTTTTGTATGAAGTTTGTGCTAGGTAGGCCCAGTAATTGGTACTTGGTATAGAGCAATGAAAAGCCCTACCCTCATAAAGCTTATATTCTTGGAAGCAGAAGTTGGAAGACAGACATTGACAAATAAAAATTAAATACATGATGTGTCAGATGGTCATACACACAGTGTGGAAGAACAAAGAGGAAAACAAGTGGAGAGAGAGAGGGAGGTGGAAGAGGAGTGCTGCCATGAAAATGTGGTAATCAAAAAAGGTCTTACTGAAAAGGTGGCATTTAAGCAAATTCTAAAAGACCTGAGGATGTGGGCCATATGTATAATTGGGGGGGAAAAAGTAGTCCAGGAGAGTCCTAATAAGTTAAAATGCCCCAAAGCAGGAATATTCTTGGCATGTTGAAGGAACCTTAAAAGGGAGATCAGTTAGGCAGAAAAGGATCAAGCGAGCAGGAAGGTAGTTGACAATAAATTTAGAGGGGTAACTGGCATCTGATTATATTGGCCTTTTAGGCCTGTGGACTTTAGCTTTTAATCTGAATGAGATGGGAGTTATTGGAGGGTTTTGAATGGAGGAGTGACATGTTTTGTCTTATCTGGCTCCTCTGTTACAATAGACTAAACAGAAGTAGTGAGACCATTAGGAAACTGTTGTCATAATTCAGTCAAGAGATGACTGTGGCTGGGATCAGAATGGGAGAGGTGAATGTGGTGAGGAGTGGTTGGATTCTACTATATTTTGGGTACAGAGCACAACAGATTTTATAATGGAATAAATTTAGGTGTGAGAGAAAGAGTCAAGAAGACTCAAGAATTTTTAGCCTGAGCAACGGAAAGATGGGGTCATCATTTACTGAGATGGGGAAGGCTCCAGGAGTAACATATTTTGGGAGGAAGATGTGGATATGTTACATTTGAAATGCCTATTATACATCTAGGAGATGTGTGGAGTAGATAGCTGGATATATGAATCTTAAGTTATGGGGAGTAGCTCAAGATACAAAGTTGGGAGTTGTAACAATGATCAGTGCAAGTTCTCTGTCTTCAATGCAATTTTAAATGTTGATGTTCCATTCTTAATTGTCTCTCTTCTTTCTCTCTGCACATTTTGAGTAGCTTTGTCTGTTGGCTTCAGTTAACATTAAGACTCCTCAGTGTCAACTTCCATCTTACACTCTTCTCCTGATCTCCAGAACTGTACTTTCTGCCACCTAACCTACATTACCACCTGGATATGCTACAGGCTGCAAAATGTGTCAAGTAGAATGCATTATCTTGCCCCTAAAAGAAAGTTAAATTTTCTGTGTTTTCAGTGTAGTGTAATTGTCTAACTTAATTGTCTCTAAAACTGGAAACCTAAGAATTACCTTCTACCTTTCTCTTGATCTCTCTTTCCCAATCTACTGACACATGTATTAAACTGGCTTCCAAATTCTGTGAATTCTACTTCAAAAATTGCTCTAGAAACAATTCCCTCTCTTTATCCCTATTGTCACCTCATCCTAAAGCCTCTTCATCCTTTGTAGATTTCTGGGAGATTGTAACCAACTTTTCTCTATTCTGCCAGTTATCAAGTCTTTACGCTCATTTGACATTCACAACAGCCTTGGATCTGTCTTCCTTGAAATGAATCTTCTTGCTTCCCTTTGATTCCAGTGCTTTTTTTTTACCCTCCTGAGACTTGATGCATGATATTTACATGTATGACATGTTTCCAAAAGCATTCTCAAATTTTTCTGAAAGTAAAAACAAATGAAAAAGTAAAACATTTTCCTGGGAAGAAAAGCAAATAGTGTTATACATTTTTGCTTGTTCATTTGTTTGTTTATTTAGGAGAGGGACAAGCATTAGAACTTCATAAGAGTCTTATATGCTGTATCTACAAATACCGTCCCTTGGCAATATAATTTTAGAGTTCCTTTTCTGGAACTACTTAAGGACTGTTTTATGATCCTCAGCAGACTGTTATATTATTTTATAGCCATACCTTTTATTTGCTGAGTAATTGTACTCAATAATTGTTTGTAATTGAATGAAACAATTCATCAGATGTTGGGCACTGAATGGCTTTGGATTATTTCCAAAAATTTAAAGGATAAAGATTTGCTGCCTTCAAAGCTATGTACAAAAATATGATAGAATGCTAGCGGGATATTTGTTTAAAATACAACCTTTATTACATTGGGGCCTGCTCATAATATATATGTGGCACATTTTATTTAAAATATTAAAGTTCCTGGTGGGACATGTCCCCATAATCCCAGCACTTTGGGAGGCCGAGGTGGGGGTGGGAGGATCACTAGAGGCCAAGAGTTTGAGACCAGCCTGGGCAACATAGTGAGATACCATTTCTACAAAACATAAAAAAAAAAAAAAAAAAGCCAAGTTTGTAGTCCCAGCTACTTGGGAAGCTGAGGCAAGAGGATTTCTTGAACCTAGGAGTTCAGTTCAAGGCTGCAGTGAGCTATGATCATGCCAGTGTACTCCAGCCTGGGTGACGTAGTGAGACTCCATCTCTTAAAATTAAATTAAATTTAAAGCTACAAATGACCCCAAAGCCACCAGTTCAACCCTCTCAATTTTGAATACCCTATTTTAAATTCCTCTTATGCGAAATGTACCTTGTAGTCCATTTTAAGGACTGAGAGGATTTGGTATGTTAAAAAATTCAATCCATTATCAACTCCTTTAGGTACACTTAGCAGTATGAAAATGTGTCTTTCGGCTCTTCAGGAGAGAGTCATATGTATAGTTACAAGACAATCCCATTTTTATATTGCTGAGACCCAAATCTTCCCAACTGATTATGAAGCATAAGAACTCTTCGGAGGTTTAAGTGAGCTGAGATTGTGCCACTGCACTACAGCCTGGGCGACAGAGCAAGACTTTGTCTCAAAAAAAAAAAAAAATTCTCTGCATTCTACAGTAGGGTAATATAACATCTATGATGTGAAATCTTGGGGCTCCGGGCCAGAGAGTGTCATGATCCATATGGATCTAAAAGGTTCATAGTGGTAACAGCCTGCTTCATTTTATGTCATCTCCTTTCAAGTAATTAGAATGTTTCTAGCTTGCAGGGATTGCACACAAAGGGAGACATTTGGAACCATGTCATTGGTGATTTACTGGTGTGGAAAATTACCTGGTGATGTAGCCAAGTAGCCATTTTCATTCTAACCCAGTCCTACAGTCCTGAACTGGGCTGAACCAACGCACCAAAATATATGCTTAGAAATGCTCCTATGTATCAGTTTTCCCAGGAAAAACAATAGTATTATCGAAAACTTACCATTGTTTCCTAATAAAAAATTATAGGATACCAACAGACTGTTTTTTGTTCATAAATTTAATATTACAGTATCAAATATTAAAGCAAATGGGAGAAAGTTTTTCTTATTTGGTTTAATTGAACCATTAATGTTAGCTACAATACCCATCATGTTACTTTTCAATTATATTTATATTTTCATTTTATTTCTATCTGTATCATTCTCAGAAAGACTTCTTTAAAACATTCAATAAAAATAGAATTTAGGTAGATTTATTTTTAGAAAGTTGAGTTTTTTTAATAAATGAATATAATCATCACTTGACTTAATTTTTTTCTGCACAATTCTAGAAATCTTATAGTTTTGGGATCCTTTGGCTTTATTCAGTATGTAACAGGGATCTGTTTCCTTTCTCTAAATCATTAATTCAAATGATTTCTTATATTAAAAATGTTTGGACATATAGGTATTAATGAGTTTTATGAAATCTAATCTTTCCAATTTCCCCCTAAAAAGGGATGTCATTTAATCAGTTCTAGGTTGTGATCAATAGCAGATTTTTTTTTTTTTTTTTTTTTTTTTTTTTTTTTTTTTTTTTTTTTTTGCAGCTCCCTTTCACCCCGTAGGGAAACCTGATATCATCCTTGACTAATTGCAGCAAAGAGCCTGGCTCAGGTCCTTTGTCTTATACCGAGTGTTTATAGATTCTTGAGCCCAGCAGAATCTGAACTCCTGGCTACTGCTACCTACTTCCCAGCCCAGGCCCCAAAAGCCCTATGTCTGCAGCCCCGTGCACCACTGTGTGTTTTTGTGGCATTTCTGAAACACAGAGCTACTTAACTTGTTTCTAAGCCCAGATTGTGCCTTTTTGATTTTCTATTTTGGTATTTTATCTACCATTTTTCTGTGTTTGGATGTTTCTTCTATATTTTGAAATAACTTCTTTCCTTTAGTACAAGTGATTCTTATTGTAGAAACTATCAAAAATTTACAAATAAAGAATCATTCTCAACATTCTTAGCAATTCCTTCTATCATATTTTTGCAAATATATTTTTGCCTATTTTTATTTTACTTACTCCCTGTTTATTAACAGTTAAAAGCATTTTCAGATAGTTTTATTTTTTCATTTAAAAAAATCTTACCACATTTTTATTAGGAAGGAAATGGACAGGTGTTTATCTTTTCAATAAAAAACATGGGGGAAATAATTTCTTGAAGTACATAGTGACATTCTTCCAGCCAATGTTTTATGCTGTGGTCATTCCGTCTGTCATCAGTATTCATAGAAAGAGATGAAAATTATTTAAATTAACTAGGAAATCAATTCCCCATTCAAAGCAGTAGTTGTGTGTTTCAAATATCTTCTAATAGTCAGTTTCACACTTAGCTTTATCAAATTCCTAATTATGATACTCATTACATCACTCTGTGTCCAGTCAGTGTGTTTATGCCACAGAGCAATTAAAGCAAATCAGGTGAACCAAATTCAATCACCTTTGTAGATAATAACCTACGTTGCTTAAACTTATGGCCGCTCATACAATTACTGATGGATTGCCTTTTTCTTTTATATTGCCAGTATTTTAAATGTCCTAGTGAAGTTGGGGTAGCTGTTGAACTTCAACTTTATCACAACCTCTTTTTTAAAATGTGTAAACGAAAAAACCCTCCATGAAATGACCAAATACAGTTTTCATGCTGGGACAAATTAGATGAATAATAATCATAAATTCATAATGATTATTTATGATTTTATGTTTTTATAGTGAGATATGTTTTGTTGAAATGTGTTATATAAGTGATACTTAAGTTTCCTATTAAAATAGAAATGCTAAAATGGCATTGTTCTCTTTAGCTGTGAGTCTAGCTTTTGACCTCTGCTTAAACGGAACTGTTGTTCCATCCCAAATCTGCAACTCTGAGGCCTATGCTCCCTTCACTGCTGTCTAATGGATACCTATCAATTTGGAAGGAGGTTTCAGGCAGCTATTCCCGGTAATCTAATCTCAGCTCTGTCCTTTTCAATATTTTCATCAGTGGCTTGGATGAAGACATAGATAACATTCTTATCAAATCAATGCCACAAAGCAGGGAGAAATAGCAAATATAGCAGACAAGAGTATCAGGAGCCAAAAAGTTTTCAACAAGTTGGACTGGTAGGCTGAATACTGAAAGATGTAATGTAAATGCAAGGTGCTACATGTGGGTTCAAAAGAAACATGAAACAAAAAACCCATCTAACTTAGACTGGGCTCCCTGGAAATAGACTAAGATAGAGAGTTGTGTGCATAAGGTTTGTTGAGGAGTGTTCCCATGAGATACATGTGTAAGGTTGTAAGATAGGCAAGATTGCACAGACGAAGAAGTGCAGTGAAGCCTGCAGTGCGTTGCGGCCTCATCAGATTTTCAGGGGAGTTCTGGAAATTGCATGGCCCTTTAGAGACACGCTGAATTGAAGCAAGGGATCTGGACCTTTGAACCCAATACTAGAGAGTTAATGGTCCTGGGTCACCCCATGGGAAAGAGCAGACTGGAGTAAGATTGTTACCTACAGCTGAAGGCAATTTCCAGGGAGGGAGGCAGCTGTGAGCTGTTAGTAGTCAATATTCCAACCAGCTAGGGCATGAGGTCTTGGCAGAGCAACAGTGTACCCAAGACCGCAGTGTTACCCAAAGTATGGTCCTCTGACTGGCAGCATTGGTATCACCTATGAGCTCACTAGAAATTTAAATTTGTAGGTCCTACCCCATCCAACTAAATCAGAATCTCTGGGGATGGGACTTGGGGAACTTTTAACAAGCTTTCAGGCCTCCAAGTTATTTCTATGCATATTAAAATTTGAGAACCACTGCCTACACCAACCAAAAACATTCCAAATATGGAGATAACATAGAGTTTTTAGCAACAATAATCTCCTTCTGTTTCACTTCTCTCTTTACACACACACACACACACACACACACACAACACACAACACACAATGTGATAGAACAGTGGGAAAGGAAAGCCAAAGGGGATCTTAGGCCGAATAAATTTAAGCATATAACCTAGTCCTAAGAACGTATATTTCAGCTTAATAGAGAGAGGAATATTGTTATAAAGCTGTCCAAAGATGGAACAGGCTGCCTTGTAAAGTTGTAGAAGTATTCAGGAACAGGTTGGTGATACCTTGGTGGTTGTATGGTATAACATCCTGATCTTCACATACTCATCATCTAGAGTGGGAGTTTTCTTTTTCCAAATGGGGTTTTGGCAGAACTAGTTCCACTGTATCTTAATAAGTAATAACTCAAGAAAGGGTTCTATGGATGAAAAAATGATTAGGTAATATCAAGTTAAATCAAAGCGAACAGACTTCTTTCCCATAGGAGTAATCAGACCCTTATTACAGTGCATGCTTGGTGAATCAACAAAGTATGTGTATTTATGAAAGTATGGGGGGAAGGGATAATCTATACAGTATGCATCCCTTCTAAAAGTTTGACCATGAAAACAATTTCTCAAGAATCTTATACAACACTACAGTATCTGGTCCAATACTATGCATAGAACATGCACTCAGTAAGTGTTTGTAAGATAGATAGCATAGCATATAGGCCAGGCCACTGAAGGGAAATCATCTCACCGTGAGTTACCTGAATAGTATTCTCTAGTGCCATTAGCTCAATTCTTCACGTAGGCATAAGCCTATACATTTGCCATGCTAACCAAGGGAATTTGTGTTACGTGAATTTTGACTCTATTCAGACATTTTTTTCTATGACTCCTCCAAGGCTGTTATTCTTACCTCATATTCTGGTAGAAGTTTAAGGACTTTTTTCTGGGAATATTGATTAATTAGCTAGCTAGCTAGAGACAGAGAGAGGATAGAGATTGATTCTCTGGCAGAGCCTATTTGAATCATATTGAATCTTTTTTTTTCCTGAGACTTCCCACAAGGAGGATGGAGGAGAAATTTTTTAGAAATCCACCGAAGTAATCAGGGATATCTTCAGTAAAAGAAGCTATACTTAATAAAGTCTCTATTTTAGCAGATGGCAATCAACAATAGAGGCAATAGACAATAGAGTCTATTAAAATTGCTGGGATCTGCTAATAACGTTTTTCTTTTCCCTGAAACAAATGCCATTAACCCTCCTTGACACTCTGTCTTCATCAACATTCTAATAGAATGGAAGTAACTCATAATTTTGAGGATTTTTTTCCCACACAAAACCTATAAACCACACCACGCTAGTGATTACTTTTAGCCTAGTTGCTAGGTTGCTGCTGGTAACAGTAAAACTTATCCTGACAGGTAGGCAATTCCAGAAGCCCAGCCAAGCACTTGGTGTGTGTGAGTAAACCCCCATACACTTCTCATGTAGAGTAACCCTGGCCAACCCATAACTCTTAGCAACTATTCCTGGTGGACGGACCTGGTCTACTCTAAGAAGAGGCCAAGGTTCTTTAATAGTGCAGTTGCAAGAACCAGAATTGAAAGTCAAAGTTCTAGCAAGATTTTGCAGACTCCTTGGCAAACCAGTGGCTTGGGACTCATTCTTGACTTCAAGCCCTTAATTGATAATGGTAGGACAGCTTGCTTGCGCTGGGTTCTGCTCCCTGGGATATGCACTGTTTGCCAAATGAGTAGCAGGTGGACAGACATCTTTACAATTTGCTGTCCCATATTCTAAATGAACGTGACATTCTATAGGTCTGAGTTAACCTATGAAGTCACCAATTTCAATATCAAAATATTTATGACAGAGAAAAGGATACTGAGGCACAGAGAGTCTGTGACTTTCCTAAGCTCAAAACACCAGTTTGTGTTAATTCTGACACAGAAATTCTTGTATTTGCTATCAGTCTCCTTTTTCTGTGTGTGTGTGTGTTTTTACATTGCAGCATCACCTATATGATGTTAGGTTCTGTAACTTTTTGAGAATTTTCTCACATACAGTGATGTGTTACTTTTTGATATTTCAAATAGTTCTAGTAAGTCTTTTCTACTTTTATTAGCGTATTAACATACTGGCTCTAAGAGGGCATCTCACCACATCTTTGCCATTCTTCCTGGAAAGGCAAGTTTCTCTCCATCTTCTTTTTTGTATTCCAAAGTTTTGCCAAAGTTTGCTTTTGAAAATGGGTTACCTGGCAGAGCTTTATTATTCTAACTTTGAAAGTACAAGTCAGAATCAGACAGTGGCAGTTATATATGCACTACTGTGATTACTATATAATGAAAGTATCTATGGTGAAAATACTGATACTGACATATATTTGCCATTTTCTAATTAAGTGCTTCAGTAAAAATTAAGCACTCACTCTTTGCCAGATACTGCAATAGATATTGAGCACATTGAACAAAATTCTCCATATACATATATATGAGTCCACATTCTATGAAAGTATAATGTTTTTCTGAGAAAAGGCATAATATTCTATTAATATCAGCTTTTGCTTCTTCCACCATATATTGAAAGAATTCTGAATACTGTTATAATTTAATGGGAGAATCTAGAGAATTCTGTATTTGCTTTCACTGCATTGATGAACTAAGATTTTTAAAAAATGTATTCTTCATAGAACTACTTTTCCATATTTACCTAATATTATTCTTATATCATTTGAGCACATATTTCACTAACAAAACAAATGTGCAATGTTATTAGTTCTAACATCAAAATTACACTGATACTTTAATTTTTATCCTATTATTTTTCATGCAGATTAAAATAATTATAGCTACATCACATGTTGCAAGTTTTAAGAGCTACTTTAAAAATATATGCTTCAGGAAAGACATGATTAGATGGGGAAATGGATGATGTTCATATTTTCAAATGAAAAGTTTTAAAAAAGTGCCTATCACAAACACTAAATTTTTACATAAATTATCAACTACTAATATATCTACAAGAAATACCATTTTTCCCTACAAAAACTCTTAACAATAATTGTTAAACTTAGTCCTGGAACCTGCTAATATAATCGGACAAATGTTGTCAATAAGAAGGTGAAAAAGAAAGCATATATAGTTTATCAAACTATAAAATATAGTTTATCAAAACCAATTTTTCCTATTGACATTTATTCAGGAAGGAAAATGGATGAGTGAAATGAACAATGGTCTCTAAGAGAGGTGGGAGATAGCAATAAATTCAGACCACGTTTCCTGTCATTACAGCAGGGAAGTAAAAGAGCTACAGTCAACTCTCGAAAGTACTTGGGGGAACTAATGATTCCCTGTAGACCTGTGATGTTTTTGAAATTTAATTCAACAATTTGATATACACCGCAAAGCGAACAGATAGTCAGATCAAAATCGGAAGAACGATTGTCTGAATGGCATCCATTTTTCCTAGATGTGCTGTCCCATCCTGTGTCAATTAAACTTTCAGGTGATCTTCAAACATATTTCCAAGTAAAAGGTATTGCAGTTATCCTATAAACTGGCCTCTTCCCCAGCACTGCTTTTGCTGTGGTCAACTTTATTTCTTTGGGCTCACAAAACTGATAGAGCAAAATAAGGAAAACGGAACATTGGATTAAAATAAATTAATTCCCATTCTGTGACTCACTAAAAAAAAAATGATAACTATGCTTCTGTGAGCATTAATAAGGAAATGAATAAGGAAATGACCAAATTGTTCAGTGGACAACTTGTATGGGATTTTTAAGTATTGTGTCATCATCAATGTTGTCAATTAGCATATACTTTGAAATCAACTAAAGCAAATCAGTTGACTAATCATTAAGGGTCTTTTTAAATGACAACATCTAAACAGCAAATGTTTTATTTTGGAAAATCATGACAGCACAAGAATGAGCCAGATGTTTTACAACATGATATCCATAATTTAAAGTATGTAGTAGTCACTCAAAGGATTTCTATTTCAGTTTCCTTATGATTTGGCTAAGCTAGAATTTGGAAAAACACTTTAAGGTAATGTGAGAAACAGCAAAATTCAACATGTGGATTTTTTCACTAAAGCTTATTTCTGATTATTTTTTACAAACTTTACTAGGTATATGTTAACTTCATGACACTTATAGCAGTGGACCGTAGTTTTAATAAAATGTGAATGTATACTCTTTTCTCAATAATATTAAAGAATGTTGACTTTCGTGAGGATATTTTTATTTTTCTCAACATTAAGAACTGTCAAAGATTTAATTCTACAACAGAAGACGTGAATTTTGTTTTCTAAAGGAGAACAGAATCTATAGAAGAAGTGTTGCTCATAGTACTCAGATTGTTGACCAATCTTAAAGGAGAAACCGTCAATTAATTTACCGAGAAGTAATAACATTATCTTTTTCTTCAATTATGCACATCCACAAAGATTTGGGGCAAAATCCACTTAAATGATATTATACATAATAGATGAGTATTCATATGTTGTAAGAGTCCTGGCTTCTTTCCTGCAAAATGATTAAAACTTGGATCAGAAACCAATTAAAAATCCATTCTAATTCCCAAATGTATGTAACTGTACTATAAGAAAAATAAATATTTCTTCTTGAGGGATATCCATTAGTTAAGGATATTCATAACATGGTGTCTTGTAGGAAATGTTAATCTTTGGGTGAATAGGGATGTTTGGGAATAACAAGACTCAAAGAGATGTTGCACTTACTCACTTTTCTCTGAGTTGTTATTTCTGTCATTTCCCCAGTGCGCCTGTCCTCAACTTTGCCTCTCTCCTTATTCCTTTTTTTTTTTTTTTTTTTTTGAGACGGAGTCTCGCTCTCTTGCCCAGGCTGTAGTGCAGTGGTGCGATCTTGGCTCACTGCAACCTCTCCCTCCTGGGTTCAAGCAATTCTCTGTCTCAGCCTCCCGAGTGGCTGGGATTACAGGCACCCACCACCACGCCCTGCTAATTTTTTTTGTATTTTTAGTAGAGACAGGGTTTCACCATCTTGGCCAGGCTGGTCTTGAACTCCTGACCTCGTGATCCACCCACCTTGGCCTCCCAAAGTGCTGGGATTACAGGCGTGAGCCACCATGGCCGATCCCTCCTTATTTCTTTTTATCTCTACCTCTGCCTCAATGGTATTTCTCTATTACTGTTAGCATTTGCTTTCTGTGAGCTCTTGCACACTGTCAGCTTATATACATGTTCCTGTTCACATGTTTTCCTGTCCCCAGTGGTTACAACATGTCTTCTATCTCAGCCCACTCTAGAATTGTCTTACTTTTCCAGGTCTCCTGCTCCTCAGTATTTTTCCCACTTTTCTAGATTCATGTTTTCCCATCTGCATATTTCTCTTCCATGTCTGCACTGTCATCCGCTTAGAAGACAGCGCATAAGGACACTGTTATCTGAGCAAATCTTCAGCACAGCCACCATGAAGCATGGTTACCTTGTCACTTTCCATTTTTCCCATAGTGTGTGCAAACTGCCCTGATCTGCATAGAAAGGTATCATAATTGAGGAAACAAAATGCACAAAAATGTCCTTGGTTATTCCACCCCTCAGAAATATAGGAGAGAAGTAATTTACAGAATTACACAGAATAACGCTATGTCACATGGACATGGAGTTATCGGGTTAGCATATAATTGGAAAATATTTCCTAGGACCTTGACATTTACTCACTTTTTGTTTTCAAATTACATGTCCCTATCTATTAGTTGCAAATTATTTTAATGCACCGTTTACCAAAGAAAGGCTGTTTCTTCTGAAAGCTTTCATTTGACAAGTAACTTGTAAAAATATTCACATTGTGTATCTGTTTTCCCCTTCTAGTCCAAACTCTAGTTATCTTAAACTTTGCGCAGTTATAAAAAATCATAACAAAAAAAGCTTCCTCGTTGTCATTCTTGTCAAAACAGGTTTACCAGACTTAGGTAAACTTAAAATAGTTAGTGTAAAAGTTAAAAAGCTGATTTGCTCCTTCCAGCGTGTTTGTTGCCTTTTTGCCACAGCAAAATTGTAAATGTAAACGTATTCCCTAGGAGATGAGCTGGGCTGCAATTTTCAGCTAATTGGGAGAAGCAGCCCTGAGTTGAGCACTGTCAGGCTGATTTGAGTCTTAAGATATGATGATGATTATTGTGTCAAATGTAATCAAGAACGTGGGCTCTGAACTGACTCAAGGGCTGGCTGTTTTTAATTCAGGTTCGTATATGAAGTAGACCTCCGGTTCACCGATAGTCACAGCTGGTTGTAGAAGAGAGCAATTTTTAAAATGCTATTTCATTCTCTATGGAGCTCTAGGGATCAGAGATTGGATGCACAGGGAGGGGACACATCCTCATTCTCTCCTGAAAAATTCTATTAATTTTCAGTATAATAAACTTTCTCTTGAGATTCCCCAGTGGCTCTGTATCGGTGGTTTTCAAACTTCTCAGACCCAATGCCACCCCTCTTTTCTTTTTTAAATAACAAATACTTTGTAATACCTTCTTTACGATTATAAGCCAAAATATGTAGACAACATACCCTACTTATACAGGCAATAGTTTAAATGATGCCGTAACTCTATTTTAAAGAGAAATAAGAGTCATTTATAATAAAATAATATGTGTTGTAGTATGCAGTTATTCAGGCAGGATCACACTGGAACACAAGTGAAGTTTTTAGATCACGAGACTATCAATGCAGTATAAACAAATGCAGAATGACACCATTGTGTTGTATGGAGACTCAAATACCATGAGGGGCATTGGTCATCCATAGCGTAATTTTCCAAAATGCTGAACAACTCTTGGCAAAATTCCTAACACCATGAAATAAATTTTTTCTTGGATCGTTATGGCAGTTAGTTGCATGGCTGAAAAATTCAATGTCTTAAAATCATGAGGAAAATATCTTATGTTTACGTGTAAAATTGAGTTACGTTCCAGGTTTAGGTGTTTATAAACAGGGTTTCCACATACATGCATGTCCAGTGGGATATTCCAAAGTGCTGTCAGACTTGGGAGAGTTCTTTGTTGTATAAGAAGTCTACCATCTTCATTCCCTCTCCACAGAATGCTATTATAGTAACACTCTTCAATCACTGTGATAGTCAAATGTCCTCCCTCAATTTCTAGGATGCCTCTTTTTTTTGTGGTCTGTATAATTTGGTTAAATATCTTTCCAGACAAATACTGATTTGTGAATTAATGAAATAGCAGTATTTTCGGAGCACCTAACCTATTTCTGAGTGATACAGTTGCCATTTTTACAAGACTAAATGAAATTACCATTTCAGACCTGCCAGATTGTCTAGCCCAGTCTTTTACAATTCTGTGATTATCACTGCAATTATAATCTATTTTCACCACTTGAATGGCATGATCTCTATAAAAGGGTGGTGATAACACTCATCTATTCTCCTTCCCCTCACATAGCTATATCAATCGCCCCCTAACCAGTTGTTGATAAATGCAGTTGAATTTTATGTAAAAATTATAAGAGATATTATTGTAGCTGTCCAAGACATTTAAAATGCTAAATGCAACTTACGTGGAGGCTATAAGAGAAATATGAACCCATTTATTGAAGAGATTAGCTAATTTAGTAAAACAACACAGATATACCTGCATACAGGGATAAATCCCTATTGTCTAAATTATTGAGATAAAATAATGTTTTACAATGAAAAACTTTTAGACAAGTAGGTAAGTAAAATGCAGCAGTCTATTTGCATTTCATCTGGGCATTTGACAAAGTCTTTCGTTATACTCTTGTGAATAAGTTGGAGAAATACTGGCTAGATGCAAGATAAATTGGATGGCTTAGAAGCCACTTCATGATTTTACGCAAAGGATGTCGATTAATAGACCAGTGTCAGGTGGTGATGGAAGATCTCTGGTGCTATGTCACAAGCTTCTGTTCTCAACCCTGACACACTGGATGTTTTTGACAGAACATGAGTAGAACTACAGAGAGGAGGCCCATCAAACTTATGGGTGATAAAAAGCAGGGAGGGCAGGAGTATTTTGGGTGACAGAAGCCAAATGGGTGTCTGGACAGGATGCGTTTTAAGGCACTTTTGGTACTTGATGTCTGAAGACCAGGATCAAACTTATAGGCAATCTGAACATTTGCCAAAATAACAGGTTAATTTTGACAGAAGTTATTATTTGTATGCTGTCTATTTCTTTAATACACCTAGAAAGTATTGAAATAACATTTTTTGCAGACACTCATTTTGAAAATTCAGAAAAAAAATTGTTAACTTTCGTGGAAGAGTAACAGAAACTCAGTCATTGACAGCTAAATACAATGTGTTGCCCAGTAAAATAGTCCACCCCTTCACTTTCATGGCTAATATAAAATTTGATGAAAGATACAAATTCCAAAGATTGAATATCTGTACATTTGCAAAGCAAAACACAATTTTGGGCACAGAATTGCTCATTCTCATTTTTAAACATCTTGGTTATAACTGAACAATAGTTTTTTATAACAAAGATAATATTTTCAAATTATTATGAGGTTCAACTGAAATAATTTATGTGAAAGCAATGTCTAAACTCTAAAATTCTATATAAATATAAATTATTATTCAATAAATTCACATCAAGAAAATTTTAAGTTTTTTAAGAACAAGAGCCTATGGCCTTGTTTTTAGAAGCTGTATACCTTATCGGTAGTAGGTTTATTGACTTTAATTAAATTTATTGAGTATCTATTAAATTGCCAGGAACTGTGGTGTGAATCTTTGCCCTCAAATAATTTACAGTAAGTTGTGGTTGATGAATGGTGATGACGATGATGAATATCCAGACTATAGTAAGTGGTATATTCATAAGTCAGAGGATTCTTAAAACCAGATGCACCCTCAGATTCATTCCTTTCATGTTGTACTTCTAATTGAAAAAAATAAATCCTAAATTATGACTGTTCTTTATAAATTTTAATTGATCTTATAAAAGGCCATCAATACATTTCAAAGTATCTAGGTCTTTTAAATGCAATTTTTCACCCTGGTAATTAAAAGTACGAAAGCAAGAAACTTTAAATCTTTATTTTGATAAGTTTTAATTAGCTCAAGCTACTTGTAATCCCACATCTTGTCTTGTAAATCATATCTGAGCCATTAAAATAGGTTTACAATTAGAAGGGCAATTCTTTTAGAATCTACTTAAACTAAGTCACTTCGACAAATTAATTCATCGTTCAGTTGGTTTTATTAAAATGTATTTATTTCACTGTAAAATGTCTAGTAAAGCAATGTATGAAGTATTTTATTTTCATGTTAGAAATTTTATGTAAAAGATATCCCAAAATACATAGACATTCAGATACTCTCTGTATCATTAACCAACATTTACTAACTTATCATTTAGAGAAGGCCAAAATTGTATGTACTATAACTTTGTATAATTTCATAAGAATTAAAATATTCGATTAATGCCTGTAATGCCTTCTTTCTAAATCAAATCCTCAAGCTTACCTCGAGTTCAAAGTTCAGTATTTATTGTAACACATCTCATAGATGACGGATGAAGATGGTAAGCAAAGGAATAATAATTTCTTTTCTCTTTTCACACATATATACACACATACCCCATAATCCTAATTCATATAATAATAACAGAAAACAAAGGGCTTTTGAGAATAGTGACATATTAATATCCATTATATTTACTTCACAGGGAGACTGGCAAGTCTACCTTGAGAGGTAATGTCTTATAGTACAGTGGACTAGATTGTTTCAAGATTTGTCATTTATTTTGGCAACTCACCCAGCTTCCCTGAAAGTTAAGTTCCTCATCTATAAACTGTTCATGATAATTACAACCTGCCTCATTAGCCTCATCAAGCTATTTAAAATATGAAAGGAGGTGCTATCTGTGGATCCTGTCAAAGGAGCTTGAAAACTGCAGAACATTATTTTAGTGTAAAATACTATAACAATACATGTTGAATATAAAATGGCTTTTTCTTAACTTTTATTTTAAGTTCAGGAGCACGTGTGCAGGTTTGTTATATAGGTAAACTCATGTCATGGGGGTTTGTTGTACCGATTATTTTGTTACCCAGGTATTAAGCGTAGTACACATTAGATATTTTTCTTGATCCTCTCCCTCCTCCCACCCTCCCCACTCCAGTAGGCTTCCACGTCTGTTGTTCCTCTCTGTGTCCATGTGTTCTCATCATTTAGCTCCCACTAATAAGTGAGAACATGCAGTATTTGGTTTTCTGTTCCTGCATTAGTTTGCTAAGGACAATGGCCTGCAGCTCCATCCATGATCTCTGAAGAATCTCCACACTGGTTTTCACAATGACTGAAATAACATACACTATAACCAACAGTTTATAAGCAATGCTTTTTCTCCAGAACCTGTTATTTTTGACTATTTAGTGATAGCCATTCTGACTGGTATGTGATGGTATCTCCTTGTGGTTTTGATTTGCATTTCTCCAATGATCAGTGATGTTGAGCTTTTTTTCATATGCTTGTTGGTCGCATGTATGTTTTCTTTTAAAAAGTGTCTGTTCATGTGCTTTGCTAAAAGGGCCCTTTCAAATGTGTATTATTAACCACAAGAGAGTACTGAGTAAGAGACTAGGTAATAAAAGTCACAAATATTTCGATATCATAATTCAGAATTTAGATCAGCGGTTATGAAATTGTTCGTATTTCCAAATTCCACTGACAGGACTCTACTATAAGTTTATTTCATCTGTTGATATGTTTTTAGCCACTTCTTTCTTTTAAAGTGAATCTGTTGTGTGTTTGCCATTTGATATTAGAAAACTGAACCTGCCTGCTTTGCTGTCTTCTGAATATTATGTATCAACAACTAACAAGCTACAGTTAGTTGTTTTGTTCTGTTTTTCTCTAAGTTATTGTGGATGAGGATATATATAACTGCACAGTCTTATCAGGTTTGTAAGAGATGATCTTAGGCTCATCTTTTAAATTGGTTTTTATACTATTTTAAACAAATCCTTTTAGGAGAGAAGAAAAGCTGCTTAGTCTATCAACATTAGGAAATATATCTTTAAAGAGTTTATCACTGCAAGTAACCAAAGCCAACTTAAAAATTCGCATTATACAAATCATTGAGAATTTATTTAGAACAGAAATGTGTCCAACTATAGGTCAACACCAATTTTAAGTGTGTAATTATCTGGGAAGTAGTGTTAACTGCATTTTTTTCTAAAGATCCCTTACAGTTGTATAAATGCCCAAAAGGATATTTTGAGTCTCTGTATATTAACCAAACCAAATGTAATTCATTACTCCCAACATTATATTTCAACCTCTCCAAATAGTACCTTTTCGTATTGTATCAGCAGAAAAATATAAAATGCAGATCTTAAAGAGTATCAATCTCTTTAAAAATTCAAGAAAGAAAAAAATATGTGTGTATAGAGACGTGTATTTCATCTGCTCATAACACTGTGTACATTTCTTTATCAACTAATTTTTTTCAGTGATTTATGAGTTGAAATACAAATCAAATGAAACGGGTAATGCAAAGTAAAGTAGAAAACACATTTTCTACTGCTGTCTCCTAATGCAGGTCTTTTCAGGAAAGTACTAATGGTTTTAGGGAAAGTGTATAATTATGGTTGTTTCCCTAATGATAAATTCGCAAATCTCTATTTTAAAAACATTCATAAGGTTAAAAAAATGAGAGATGAAATGTGTCTTTCAAAATTCCTTACGTGATTGATAATGCCTATACTCTCTTACTATCTAAAGTCTAGGTGATATGTATATTTTTTTTAAAAAATAAAATGTCTGTATCAGTGAAGGAAGTTTACACAGATAGCTTCAAAGCTGTGGTTTATCTTTGGAGGATTAATCTATTTCTCATGCCAGTGTGTTGCTACTGCACATGTTAAAAAGTCATCCTGTGGTGTCTGGGGTGACAAAAGATGGGAATGAGTTTTCTGAGAACTAATCAGCAATACTTTGGGAACATTTAGGTCATGGTTTCCAATTAACTCTGGAGAGTTTGAGTAATTTAGTACCAGACCTCAAGAGAGAGGGGATGAAAACCTCGTTAATTCATATGTTGGTGAACGGCAAACCAGCAAATTTGCATTAAAAATGGATTTTTATTTTAAAGCAAAGAGCAGCCAGATCTTTTCTGCAATAGTTTGGGTAGGAGAATATCTTTGTATGTATGTGTTCCCTTATGTGTAGGTATTTGTATGTTTCAACGACCCTGCATATGGCAATAACAGAAAATTAAATTTGTGCTCTAAAATGAAGACCAGGATTCAGTGACATAATCTTCCTTGTGCCTTTCTTTCTTTTAGTACAATGAATATATCAGAGAGGAGTGTATTCCAATATCTGTCTTCAGAGTTACAAAAACTTCTTTTCTAGAATGCAAGACTTGGGCTATACCCCCAGCTCTGCCACTTAACTTGTATACAACCTTGGGAACATCATTACAATTCTCTCAGAATCAATCTCTCCAGCCCTAAAATGAAACCAGCAAAAGCCTGTACTGTATATCTAAAAGGTTTTTTATTTTTATGAAAATTAGTTAGGCAAACTTTTGTTAAGCATCCATCACTCTATTTTGAGATAAAGCCTTGCTGGATGATCTCCACCTCTTTTGATGGAAAGAGTAAAACATGTTTAAGATACATTTATCACTTGTTTGGCAAATTGAGATAGAAGTTTATGAAAGCAGATTGATATATGTTACATTTGAGCTACTGGGAAGGACTCCAGATGGTTTATAGCCTTAATTACATTGTAACTCTAGTTAAATGTTTACCTATCTGTACCCTCTGTTAAACTTGAATATGTTAAATACCAAAGTCCATGTATTATTGGATTTTCTGTCACCATCATCAGGCACAGATCCTGGTACACAATAGGTACGGAATGGATGCATGGATGAATTATTGAATTAGATGTTGGTAGGCATGTGGAAATAAGAATGAGGTTCAGAATTAAAGATAATCTGTATCGAGTGTAAAGCCATTGGCAGAGAATGAAATATCCAGCTGAGTATACATAGAAAAAGAAGGTAGGTAGAAAAATGGAAAATATCTTATGAAGTGATGATAGAATAACTCTGAATATGTTTGAAAACATATAAAGAGTTATGTGGATGTTAGCTTTAAAAATTATCTTCCATGCTGTACATTAGATCTGCCATTCTTCATGCTGTGGATGAAAAGCAAGCATCAGAAGTTAAATTAAAATGATGTCATATATTCCTCGCCTTACAGTTTCATAACAGAGGAGAAAAGAGAAACATTCTCTCATTGCCACCACCCTTCTCCAGTCATATTTCTAGGTAGATGTTGCCCAAAAACAGATAAAACCACAGAGTTGGTTTTGCTAGGAATGGACTACTAATCCAGGCAATGTTGACAGCTTTTGCTTCTCATTAGTGCACGTTACTAATAGAATTGCTAGAGATTAAAAGGAATCCTTTCTACAAAGTGCTGTATATCCATAGGTGACAAAATTCTAGCTTCCCCTCACAAGTACAATATAAAGTTATGTTTTAAAATCAAAATGCAATTTACTAGCAAACTAGTAGGAACTGTTATGGTTACAGGAAATTTGAATTTCAGATTAACTCTGGTTCTATGAGTAGCGGTTGATATGGCAAGAATCATTTTGATCTTACATCCAGGTGCTACTAAGGTCTCTCTGACCTATATCTCACCAAAAAAAGGAACAAAATAATGATCCTTTAATCTTTCTCCTAAAATATCATAGGAAATGATAGTGGCTAAATTGCAAATAAACTAGGAAGGAAAGATTCAGAGTATTTTATGTGATTACTCTATAACAATGCCAGGCCATAGTGAAAGTGTTATTTAGCAGAAGACTGAGTTCTTTGAATGTTCCTAATTTATCACATTTTAAAAATAACCTGGGCAAAATAACCTTTCATATCAGATTGAGCCTTTTTCTAAAAATACTCAATATGTTTCTGTAATTATACCTACACACTTACAATTCCACAGTATAATGCACCGATAAAGTATTTTTCATCCATATATCTAATAGTAGAATGGTGTGTATACAATAATTAAGCTCTTTAGGCTTACCCCGGAAAGCAACAAGTTTCCCTTCCTTTTTCCTTTTTATGTATTATGTTGGCCATAAGAAATTGATGATATTCAACTCAATGCAGTCTTAGAGATTTATTCAGAAATACCATGGTGTGTGTGTGTGGCGGGAGTAGGGTTCTAATGACAGGTCAGAACTTACTTATTTGATTTCTTCATTGATAATCAGGTCTTAAAAAGAAAATGGGTATGCTGAAAACATGCCTTCTGTGATTCTTTACCTTCATGTGCAGTTGTCTCTGGATAAACACTTTCTTTGGCACGTATAGGGTTGCACTAAGCTTTATAGCTCCAACACTCCGCCCCTTCAGTAGATTCTTGCTTGTAACTGATGATAATGCAAACCTGTATTATCTATAGGTCTCCTTAAAGGGCAACCAAAAGTTCAGTAGCAATTCAGGCACAATTACTGCATGTGAGAATCCTCCATCTTGTTCCCTTTGGAGACCACATATATTTCTTAGGCAAGTATATTTTTAAAATCCTTGTTCAGCATGACAATTCAGGAGGTCAAGTTCTCCCAGAAAGCAGATTCTGAGAAAGTGATTAGCATGAAGGAATTTTATTGGAGAGTGCTCTCAGGATTAACACCTGTGAGCGGAGGAAAGGAAAGGGAGCAGGATTGGGCAGAAGGAGAAGCTGGGCTACCATACAGTCACAACTACAACACAATCAACCCTCCGCCTCTCCTTCCTAGCCTTCCCCAGGAGGATCTCTGAAGTCTGAAGGTAGAATAGCCCTTCAGAATTGTCCTGAGTTGCAGCAAGGGACCCAGGATTTTATACCCCACAACTCTCCCATCAACCAATACGTGCAGCCCGTCTCGGGGACATAGTGGGTAACTTTGGGCTAGGCACCTCTCTTTAGCTGAGTCCAGCTCTCAGACAGGAATAACAGCTGAGGACTGTCAGCCAGTAGCACTACCAGCAGCTGGGGTCAGAAGTATTTCAGTCCTGAAAAGGGGTCCGGGCAGCCCAGCTTAGCATCTACTATGCCAGTCGTTCTCAAATCTGGTTCCTGGCAACTGTGATTCTCAAGCTTTAGCATATATTGGAAGGCTTGTTAAAACACAGCTTGCCGGATTTTACCCACAGAGTCTCTGATTCAGTAGAGCTAGGCTGAGGCCTGGGAATTTGCATTTCTAATAACTTCTCAGACGTTGCTGGTGCTGCTGGTCCATGGACTATGAGAACACTGTTTCATGCTGCCCTTATTTACATACTGAGAATGGTACACAGTGCTCTTATGAATAGAATGAAAACCTTTTGAAATCACATTATTCCTTACTCCATCAAATTCTCAGCTATTTTTGTGCACCATAAAGCTGGAATAGCTGATTATAAAACTTTGTTATGTAAAAAAGTACTTAACCAATACAGTAGATTCTGTTTGCAAAGCATTATTACAGTTTCTAATATCTGGTCATTGTTACTTGTAAAATTCAGCCAAATTTTCTCCAGGGCCTGTAGTTTGATAACTTGGACAAAGGAATTTAAAAAAAAATCTAATTCAAGACCTTTGGTTTTTTTTCTGAACATATCTTTTTTTTCTTTATGATTCTTATTTTTACATTTTACTTATCATATAAGCCACTTAAACCCATATGGTTCCGGAAAATTTAAAACTATATGATACATTTAGAGCATGTTGAATGCACAGATATGGAAATTAAGTATTCTTGACTCATTCTAGACTAGACCTGGCACAATTAAAATTTAGGGATTCAACGTACACACACATAGATTCCGAGAGAAATGTTGAAGCCGTAAAACCCCCACACAAGCAGGAAACAACAGTCTTACCTATTATTCAAGAGGCACGTAAAGGAGCTCATTTGAGGAGATTTTCTGCTGTTATTGCCATCGAATTTTTAACGTATTTTCCAAATTAGAAAATATTCAGCCTGATGTTGTCAATATTTCAGACCACAAGGGTATCATTTAGGAAAATGGTTTCTTACTGTCCTGAAAGAGTTACTGTTCTTCCCTAAGGGCCTAATTTACAAAGCAGCAAACTTGCTGGTAGGATTTGGCTGAAAATCACATTGTCTCGGTAGAACTCTTTCATCTGATTTATGTGCATTGCATTTTGCAAATAACTCTTGGAAAGTTATTTACTAGTTACTTTCTCTGGAAGCAGAGGGTAAGCGGCATTTCTAGTTTAAGGATAGAGGAGCTAAGATGCATCAAGCGCAGCTCATCATGAAGCTGATGCTGATAAAATGCACAATATTACATTCTCTAAGTTTCACTCTGCCATGGGAGAATTTCATATTTTTAAATTTTGTTTGAAATTGGACTACATTAGAAAATATGTCAAATGTCTAACCCTGCATTTATATTCTGGAATGTGACAGCTTATTTCTGTTCCAAATTTTGCACTGGAGATGGAGTAAGTCTTAATGCAAACTGCATGAAACTGCCACTTTTATAGGTCACACCCAGTCAATTGTCAGCAGTTACACATGGTTCAAACTGTAAGGTGTATGCCCAATTGTAGCATTGAGATTCGTGGAGTTGTTGCAGTGGTTCTGAATTTTTCAAGCATGATACATAAAAAGATAAATGACTCTTTTGATATTTCTCCTTGCATTG
Source organism: Homo sapiens (assembly GCF_000001405.40). Classification (NCBI taxonomy): domain Eukaryota; kingdom Metazoa; phylum Chordata; class Mammalia; order Primates; family Hominidae; genus Homo; species Homo sapiens. The sequence continues at coordinate 31,629,640 of NC_000023.11, read as the reverse complement.
ATAGTTTGCCTGAAAACTAGATAAGCAGGGAGCCGGCAGTCCACGTTAGCCCTTGAACTACATGAGGTTTAATTTATTTGCCCAACCAGAACCCTACACTACCTTTCAGCTGTGCAGTATTAAAGTTTATTTAGGAGTTGATAAATAGCTTAGTGCAATGCTTCCTTTTTTCCAGTAGCTACATCCTCATAAACCTATTCTACCCTCCACCAGTTAATGCAGACAGAAGATTTTTATCCAGTATGAGCACTGAAACTCCACTGTGGAAGACTGTGTGCTCAGCAAAAACCTCACCCATGATGAATAAACAGCTCTTCCGGGGGCTTTGCTGCCGCTGGCTCGGCAGGAGTTGTTTATTGCCTGGTTTGCACATCCCATGATAAAGTTGCTGCTGAAATAAATTGCAGTTTTGCATAATTATTGACAATCACATCTTAACAAGCAATGTGTATCATATTCAAGTGTTCAATTTTTTAAAATCCATTTTTAGCTTATGTTTAATCCCAGAAAGTGTTTGTGTAGTAATAGAAGGCAAATAAGACATTTAAATAGAGTACTAATTTCCTCATTGCAGACAAAGTTTACCTGAATCTTTTTCCATAGGACTGTTACTGCCTAAGGCAATTTTCCTTTCTAAGCTATTATTATATAGATATTTGCTGAGGGCATATGTGTGTGTATCCACAATACATGCATTTTATATATATATATATATATATATATATGATCAAAAATATGAATACATTTTTAGAGTTTTTGTCATGAAAGAGTTTGTTTCATCTTTTTAAAATATTACAGGAATGGGGAAATGGGATATGGGTAGAAGGAACTAATGTTTTTGAGTAACTGTAATGTATAACTGTATAACGTGGGGCACTCAACTTCACAGGAATTTTTTATTTTAATTCTCATCACAGCAATAGATATTGCAGATGAGAAACTGAGAATCAGAGAGGGAACTTGCCATATCACGTAAGTGGTAAAGAACACTGGGAATTGAACTCAGATCTGCCTAGTTTTTAAAACTCTACTCTTTTTCATTACACATAACATTTTTATTTTGGAAAATGTTCTCAGTTGTATGATCAAGTAGTTAAATATGAAACTAACACAATAATTATAACTGATGTCATGCAAAATGATAGTTTGCACAAAATGATAGTTTCTATGAAATGTTATTTCTTTACTTGTTAAGTCTTTCTTCCTTTGCCCTCCAATCCCCTTCTTTTTGTCTTTTCCTCTAGTCTTTTCCTTTTGATTCTAGGTTTGTATTTTCTTGACTTTTCTCCTTGCATATCAAATCCTTGTTTTCTGCCTCAGAGCAGCATCAAAGACAAGCATGGTACAGGGATTTTAGGGTTTTAACTATAAAGGTTTGTCTCAAATTTGGCAGTATATTAAAAATAAGCTTTCAAAATTGACCAACAAAAACTACAAAATTGAAAAAAAGGTACTTTGAACTTTCACATGTTCAAATATATGTATATATATTTCACATATATATATGAAACCTCCTCTGTGGAGAGGGGTTTATAGAAATCTGTAATTGTCATTCTTGCATGCCTTCCCCCATACAAACGCCTTTAAGTTAAATAAAAATGAAAGTAAATAGACTGCACAATATTATAGTTGTTGCTTAAAGGAAGAGCTGTAGCAACAACTCACCCCATTGTTGGTATATTACAATTTAGTTCCTCCATCTTTCTCTTTTTATGGAGTTCACTAGGTGCACCATTCTGATATTTAATAATTGCATCTGAACATTTGGTCCTTTGCAGGGTGAGTGAGCGAGAGGCTGCTTTGGAAGAAACTCATAGATTACTGCAACAGTTCCCCCTGGACCTGGAAAAGTTTCTTGCCTGGCTTACAGAAGCTGAAACAACTGCCAATGTCCTACAGGATGCTACCCGTAAGGAAAGGCTCCTAGAAGACTCCAAGGGAGTAAAAGAGCTGATGAAACAATGGCAAGTAAGTCAGGCATTTCCGCTTTAGCACTCTTGTGGATCCAATTGAACAATTCTCAGCATTTGTACTTGTAACTGACAAGCCAGGGACAAAACAAAATAGTTGCTTTTATACAGCCTGATGTATTTCGGTATTTGGACAAGGAGGAGAGAGGCAGAGGGAGAAGGAAACATCATTTATAATTCCACTTAACACCCTCGTCTTAGAAAAAGTACATGCTCTGACCAGGAAAACATTTGCATATAAAACCAGAGCTTCGGTCAAGGAGAAACTTTGCTCAGAGAAATAACTTAGGGATTGGTTTATTAAATTTTAAAAGTTGACATTTTTGAGTGTTTATTTAATATTTTACAGGGAAAGCATCTGTATGAATTGTCTGTTTTATTTAGCGTTGCTAACTGAATCAGTTTCCCTTCATTACTTTCAAATATGTTTTGAAATGTTAATCTGGCATTTTGTAGCTTTCTTCCTAACATGATCTGTGAAAATAAGAATGAGATGGCTGAATTTGTCGTAGTTAATGATCAAACAATTTTCAGACAATTGTTTTTCCTAGAAACAAAAATTATTTCCATAAAGTTCCATATGCATAAACAGTGAAAACAGAACGTGGGGTAGTTTTGTTTAAATGAAGTCTTGGTGAGAATCATATTCTGTAGTACAAGGAGGCTCTTAAAGTTTATTCTCAATACCTGATATAATTTTCCTGAACTATTATGGAGTTTTGTTATGTATAGTTGGTTTTTCTGACTTGATATAATAACTTTACTAGTCTCTCAAATACAATTTGGATATAAATCATTATAATAAGATGATTGATTTTTTAGACTAACTTTATTTTTTGATATTTTTAAACTATTATGAAAAACTATTATGAAACTATTATGATATTTTTAAACTATTATGAAAAGTATATTCTAGTTTGAATAATTCCAGAATCAAATCATAATAAGCAGAAGTTCTTCTCCTCTCCCTCCTATCGTTCTCCTTCTCCTGTTTTTCTTTTTTGATATGATAGTTGATCTACTTTGCTGCTCTGTTGCATAGAGTACGTAACAGTGGCAATGTATGGCTCCTGAATTTATCGTTCTTGCTTCATCATCCTGCTTTGACCCCACTTTCTCCTCCAAAATGCGTGTTGAGTTAGTTTGATCATTTGGAGGTAATTTGTTTGGAACAGTATCAGACTTTATAGATATCTCCCATGGCTTGTGATAGAATATAAGGGCAATGCAAATGTAGAGTTTTTTGCTCACTCTTCGATGTATGGTTAGACAATGTACCACTGTAATATATTTGGCTTAGGCTATTTCATAAATAAAATTTTATTATAAAATATTATAAATGCTGATAAAGCTACTCCAGAATTTTAATAGATATGTGGGTTTCCCGGCCAGATGCGGTGGCTCATGCCTGTAACCCCAGCACTTTGGGAGGCCGAGGTGGGTGGATCACCTGAAGTCAGGAGTTCGAGACCAGCCTGGCCAACATGGCGAAACCCCATCTCTACTAAAAATACAAAAATTAGCTGGGTATGGTGACCTGCGCCTGTAATCCTAGCTACTTGGGAGGCTGAGGTGGGAGAATCGCTTGAACCCAGGAGGCAGAGGTTGCAGTGAGCCGAGGTGGCGCCACTGCACTCCAGCCTGGGTGACAAAGTGAGACTTCATCTCAAAACAAATAAATAAATAAATAAAAATACATGGGTTTACATTTTACCCATCAGCTATGGTAGGTAAATAATAAGCTTTGATTAAGTCTATTTTAGTCTATTTTTAGCAGATTACTTTGAAAAATAAAGAATAACCCAATGACTAAAAAATTATTTTATGTCAGGGATTTAATAAAACATATCTTTAAATCTAGTTGAGGGCAAAAATACGTCTATTTTCTACTATACAATTTGTATTTATATCTGCTGTATTATATAATGAAAATTTATCTCTATTTCTAATCTCAAGAAACTGCAAGCTTCTGAATCATTAAAGGGAAGATTCACCATGTGTCCTAACTATATTTACTATGGAAGCATGGAAAATAAATATTTTATGTTTAGATTTCTGATCTCTCTTTCAAAAGCAGTTGGAAATTATGCTGAGAAAATGTCTTAGCTTATCCCATGTTACTCAAGAAAATGTATTTATTCGTTTTTGTCCAGTGGCTTAACCAAACCACAGTTTATTTGTTGCTCACATAAAGTCCAGTGTCGATCAGGCTACTCTTTTCCATCTTTGAGCTAAGGCACATATTACACATAACTTTCAGTGTACCCGAGGTAGAAAAAGAGAGAGCTTGGGAATAAGGCAGGGGCTTTTTACTGTCTCAACCCCAAAGTGATAAACTACATTTATTCTCAAAATCCAGATAAAACTCCCATAGAGCCTCTGAAAACCTCAACATTTGCGTCTTAACTATAATAAGGTTAACTAAGATTCCAAAATTATTTTAAAACAGAGACAGTTTCCCTCTTCCCTGGCAGCTAATATTGTATTTTCTATAAATCCACTTGCCCAAGGTTTAAACTACATTTTATGGATTGAAATGACATTTATAGCCAACTCCTGATTTTTAGTTAGATGGTTGGATAATGATCTTTTGATGAAAGACTCGGAGATGTCATGGTAAAACGGTGAACTACTGAAACTATTGATTATTGTTAATGGCACATTTCAGCTGATTGAATTGAGTCAAGAAACTGGTGTTGAAGAGCAACAAATGGAAATGCCGAGCTTGAAAATAAATAAAGCAGCATACCTTAAGAGATTACATGCAATTTCAGTATTTCAGCTAAATGGAAGTGTTTGCTTTTTTTCCTCTATGAATTTTTATTTTGAACAAAAGGAATTTTCTATAATATGTAGGTAGGAGAAAAGTGAAATGGCATGCTTTTTCACTTCATTTGAAGAAGCTGGTAGCATTGTATTCATAGATTCATGCTGTATAGCAATCATAGTTCTCATATATTAAAAAAAAAGGAAATTTGAAATGCCTAGCCAAAGCAACAGCTCTGCCAACAGATTTTGATATATCTGTCTACCCCAAAAGTAGTGATGATTTACTTCATACAAATGCTAGTGAATGAAGAGAGAGGGTGAAAACCTTCACAAAATGTGTTTTTCTCTAAGACTGTCAATCCGTTTTTCTATATATGGAGACTCCAGCTCTTGCTAGACTACCTATCACTTTCGTCTATCAGCCACTTCGTAAGATATTTATTCTCTCAGCAATAATCATAATTCATAGATTCTTTAAACATACATGTAATATAAAGCATATACATTCTGAATGGAATTAACATGATTAATTCTTCTCTGAAAGACATTAGAATTTCCTCCCGTATTATAAAAAGGTGTAACTCACTTTCCTTACTAAAATCAAGAACTTTACCGTCGTCCTTGTACTTCAGGATAAGGGGGTGTTTCTTATAAATATTGTTATTTCTGATATGCTAACTGGAATTTTTAAGCAAATGTATTTTTATAGAACGCCATACAAAGCCTTTAGGGGTGAAAGTTTCAGGATTTTTAAATTGCAGATTTATCCTTTAAATAAAAAAACTATATTCGTAATTGAATCGGATTATTTCTCTATCCAAAACATTTTCTGCTTTGGGCCTAAGAAGAGTTGACAAAGCTGTTCATGGTTCAAAGTACTACCATAAAACCCTGGGTAACTAACTGAAAATGGAAAGACTCTGTCTTTCTGAATATTTCACAAGAGTTTCACAAATATTAAGTGGTTCTCTAAGTACCCCTGAGAGATCATTGTAATATTAGCTTGTAAAGACAATGTGGGGGTGTGGGTATGTGGTGACCTTTATGATGTTCATAAAGGTGGTGTAATTAACATATTTTTCTCAGCAAGACAAACTAAGGAGCAATAAATATATGAGATACCTTCATCTGTGATCTGGGTCATGTCTCAGGCCATATCTTTCAAATCACTCCCTTCCCTAATCTCGTGTTTTACCTACGTCTCCTCTCAATCCCCCCATTATAAAAATTGTCTTCTGATGAATAAAACATTTCCAGAGAGACAAGTTTCATAAAGTTTGAATTGTACATCTGAGTACACCTATGAATTAAGATATCTTTGATTTCTAATATGTTATTAAAATTGGGTGTGGTGGCTCACGCCTGTAATCCCAGCACTTTGGGAGGCAGAGGCGGGCGGATCACGAGGTCAAGAGATCGAGACCATCCTGGCCACAAGGTGAAACCCCCGTCTCTACTAAAAATACAAAAATTAGCCGGGTGTGGTGGAGTACGCCTGTAGTCCCAGCTACTCAGGAGGCTGAGGCAGGAGAATTGCTTGAACCCAGGAGGTGGAGGTTGCAGTGAGCCGAGATGGCGCCACTGCACTCCAGCCTGGTGAAAGAGCAGACTCTGTCTCAAAAAAATAAATTAAAATAAAATAAAATAAAATTGGAGAAGTTTCTCACCAAAATTTTGGCGCACGGATTAATTCTGAAGAAAGAAGAAAGAATGCAATCTTAGTAGCACAATTAGTACCTTGAATAAATTGGAGTATCGTATTTCTTGGACTATCTGAGAATGCAGAGGCAATTTAAGGATCCCTAATTCTAAGGAGAAGAAACCTTTAGTGTATTCCTTCCTGTTGCTTTAGTTTGAATTGAGTTTTATATGTATTTTTTAATCTTTCTATTTTGATTGTTGTCTAAAGAGTGTGAAAGTGAATTTTGATATTTTTATTTTGCCTGGCGATGAATGCCTTCTGCTCTGGATATTTAAAAATTATATACACATATATGTGTGTGTGTGTGTGTGTGTGTGTGTGTATATATATATATATATATATATATATATATAAAATTTTTCTGAGAACTTTTATTAATTCAGCGTATCTTTGCTAAACACCTGCCATGTGTCGTGGTGTTAGGTCTGGTGATACAAACATGTTCAGAGAGATGATTTTCTTTCTTTTTTGGGGGGTGGGTAAGGGAAAGAAGGCTTATACAACAGAATCTTATTTCTCACAGTTCTGGAGGCTGGGATTCCAAGATCAGGGCCTGGTGAGGGCCCCTCTTCCTGGTTTGCAGATGGCTTCCTTCTCTCTGTGTCCTAACATAGCAAAGAGAGACAGAGCTCTGATGACACTTCCTCTTGTTATAAGGGAACTAATTCCATCATAAGGGCCCCAAGAAAGGTGCTTTTCAAAAACAGTTCAGTAAAAGTACTGGGTTGTATAATCACTTTAATGAGTATCAATCCATATTTTTAAGATAGAAATGAATGAAATTAGTAAAATAGAATAGAAATAAGGAGTCCATCACTTTTAAGTAAGTTTCAATATTGTTCGTAAAACTTTGGTTCGGTGGTTTGTGTGTGTGTGTATTTGTGTGTGTGTGTGTGTGTGTCTGTCGGTGTGGAAATACTGGATCACTTTGTAACATATATTCAAAAGCCTCTGTATTTTAACATTATTTCTGCCTTTGAGAGGTTCACATTCCAGAGGTGAAGACATACATCCTAAGACAAAATTATAATAGCATTATGAGAATTACAGTAGAGAGCTGGACAGGGTCTAGCAAAAACAGAAGACTAGGCTAAACCTTCCAAAGAGGCCAGGAAACTCACCTAGAACGGTGGATTTTAACCTTGCTTATGCACTGGGGGAGATTTTAAAAATATCTCTGCCCACAATAGATACCAACTGAATTGAGCATAGCATGTCCTACCCATGAATCTATTGTCCAGTGAGAACCTCTGTTTAGAGAAAGTCACCTTAGAAGAATTGTTAGGAGTTATTTAGGTTCATGGGGTTGAAAAGAGCATTCGTGATAGAGGAAACACCATATCCAAAGGCTTAGTCAGTGTGGTAGTGTGAGAATCTGAAGGAACTTGGCTGGGGTATGGTTGCTACAAGAAATGAAATTAGATCAACTGGGGCTAAATTATGTGGAAAGACAGCATGATGTAGCAGCTAGAGTATGGACCTTGTAAGCAGGAAGACCCCTTATTTAGCACTTACTAGCTTATTGTCTGACCTCTGAGTCCCAATTTTACTCTTCTATACAATGAGTACATCACAGGATTTTATCAGGTTTAAATGATAAGATATATGTAAAATGCATACCAGAGAGGCAGACTATTGGACTCGAAGGGCTCAGTAAGTGTAAGCTGGCTCTCTCTGCCCCTTGCCACCTATTTTTCAGACTCTGGACTTTTATCACTTTAAGTCATAGCCTAGTTCTAAGCAAGGAAATGGACTAATCAGACATGTTTTTAAAAGATCATTCTGGTAGTGGTTAGGAGAATGAATTGGAAAGATATGAGACCCATGCAGGGACAACAGTTAGGACATTATTTCTGTAATAAGCCAAGCAAGAATTGATGATCAAAGTGGTGAGGTTGAACAAACAAAACAGATACGTGAGCTATTTGGAGATAAAATCAACACTGTCATATGTTTTGTGGGAGGTGGAGGTGAGCAGAAAATGTGAGGTAAAATGAGAAATCAGTGCCTGCTTACCACTTGGCATGATTGACTGAAGGTAGTGTCTTCACTCAATCATGAGTTGCAGAATTCAAGATGGCAAACAGTTGTGAGGAGCAAAGTCAAGAACGTGTTTGATTTTGAGGTATCTGTAAGTGAAAAATCAGAGGTGAAAACCTTACCTCTCTTGAAGCAGTTGTGAATGTAAATCTAAGGTTTGGAAAAAGATCTGGGTTAAAGATTTAAAATTGAAGGACATCAACATGGAAGCCATAGAAATAAATTATATTACACACAAATTTATGTCGTTATTTGAATTTCTCCATGGTCCACTCAGAAATATATCTAAATGTCACCAAAATGTTACTTACTGTAGTACAGAATTGGTATTAAGTGATACTATTGTCCATGTTATTCAAAAAGACAGTTATAGGGACCCTCTTAATAAACTAATTGTGAAAAAGGCAAAGAATTAGCAAAGCTTTGGCATAAAATTCATATCATGGGCCAGGCGTGGTGGCTCATGCATATAATCCCAGCACTTTGGGAGGCTGAGGTGGGCAGATCACCTGAGGTCGGGAGTTCGAGACCAGCCTGACCAACATGGCGAAACCCCGTCTCTACTAAAAATACAAAAATTAGCCAGGTGTGGTGGCACACGCCTGTAATCCCAACTACTCGGGAGGCAGAGGCAGGAGAATCGCTTGAACGTAGGAGGCAGAGGATGCAGTGAGCTGAGATCGTGCCATTGCACTCCAGCCTGGGTGACACAGTGAGACTCCATCTCAAAAAAAAAAAAAAAAAATTATGTCATGGAAAAAGTAAAAGTCTTTGCATAATGTATCCAAGATCATGAAAAACTCTTTTCAATAAGATAATTAGTTCCTTTTCTTATATAAACATGGAAATTTTCATTTTTCCTTTTATTCTCATATTGATACTATAAAAACCCCATCCTCATTCACAATACTACTGTCTCTACCCTCGATAGATACCAGTTCAATTGAACGTAGCATGTTCTACCCATGAATCTATTGTTCAGTGAGAACCTCTGACTATAATGCTCAGGAATACTCAAGACTCACATGATTGTCTTCTTGCTATATTTAGTTACTTTATTATTTTCCATTTTGGGACCCTGAATTCCTGTAGATCTCAGAGAAAATCCGAAATGAAATAATGAAAATAATTAAAAGTTTAGAAAAGGGAGTCAATGGGGACAAATGTTCAGGACTGGTCTTTTATCTCCTGCAGGAAGAAAGACTGAATGCAGAAAATTAGAATCCATTTTTCATCCAGTCACCCCAATTTAATGCAATATGAGTTTAGCTATTTGATTTTAAGTGTTGTACCGTTTTGGACCATGTTACCATGGTAACATGAACCATGTCTCATTCATACGTAAACATGTTAATTGTATTAAAACCTTTAAAACCTACTTCTGGATGTTGCCATTACATTAAACAATTATCTAGAATGATACAAAGTAATGACTAAATTGAATAACTTTGTAAATTAACTATTGGATTTTGTAATTTTATATCTATAAACCAAAAGAAAAGCCCACATTGGTAAGAAGACACTGTGCATACTGAAAAGTCAATTTTGTTAGCCTCCAATAACCATTGTGTTTTATTCCTCGCAGAGCTTTTGTGAGGATCTTATAAGGGAATAAATATGAAAGCACTTTGAAAAAGCTTTCAAGTGAAAGGTCCTTATTAATTTTATGAATTACCATTAAACAAAAGTCAAACTGAAGATGTAAATCTAATAGGATGCTCTTAAAAGTCAATGGATCAAAGTTATATTAATTAATAAAGAATAATAACTAAATATTTTATGTTTCATAATTGGCAAAGTATCTTTACTGTCATTTTCTAATTTGATCCTTAGTGAAAACCTGTGATGTTGGTACTCCTATTATTTCCATTTTCATTTGAGAAGAATAAAATTGGAGAGGTTAAGTAATTTATCTATTGCTACTTGTTAAAATAACTACTAAATTTTATTACTCCCAGTTAGGAGGGCAATTATATAAACTAAAAGCTTGTCACAATAAATGTTTACTTTTCTGGGATTAAAGTCATCATGTATTTTTCAATTATTAAGGGGGGTAATAATAATAATAGCTACCTTTTTAAAATAGTTACTATGTGCCAAGGTGTGTACTAAGTGCTTTGCTTGCATGATGTAATACCATCGTATATTTAGTACAGAGGAAAAACTGAGAGGCTGGGTAACTTCTACTAAGGTAACACACAAGTACTGGTTGAGTATCCCTTATCCAAAACACTTGGGACCACAAGTGTTATGGATATCAATTTTTTTCTGATTCTTTTTTTGGATTTCAGATTTTTTCAGATTTTGGATTACTTGCTTTATAATTATGGGTTAAGCATCCCAAACCCCAAAATTCAAAATTGGAAATACTCCAATGAGCATTTACTTTGAGAATCATGTCGGCGCTCAAAAATTTTCAGCTTTTAGAGTTTTTTGGATTTTGGATTTTCAGATTTGGGATGCTCAACCCGAATATATAGAAAAGTCAGCATTTGAACCTAAGTTTGACTTTCTGATCTTCTACCAACTCTACTGTCCTACCCATTACTCTACATTGACTCAGCATTACAGGGAAAGACCCAAGATCACCAAAAGCAAGCTTCAAATCACTCATCTAATAGAAATTAGTGGAAATATTTCTACTTCCTAAACATCCATCTTTCCTTTACATTTTAAAGTCAAGTTTCTACATCTGCCTCCCAACTGAAACACTTCTCTATGAAATCACCATAACTACCAAATGCAAATATTTTTATCAAGTCCTCATTGCCCTAGAAATCTACTCATATTTTGTTATTACTGCTCACTACAGCCTACTGAAAAATGTCTCACCTTTTGACTTGCCAGGGTGATATATTATACTAATTGTCTCCTTGTCTCTCTAAGCACTCATTCCTTCCTCTTTCTTTCTTCTTTTTTTTTTTTTCACTTTTATTTTAAGCTCTAGGGGCACATGTGCAGGTTTGTTACATGGGTAAATTGCATGTCATGGGAGTTTGGTGAACAGATTATTTTGTCACCCAGATAATAAGCATGGTACCTGATAGGTAGTTTCTCAGTCTTCACCATCCTCCCACCCTCCACCCTAGAGTAGATCCTGGTTTCTGTTGTTCCCTTCTTTGTGTTCATATGTACTCAGTGTTTAGCTCCACTTATAAGTGAGAATATATGGTATTTGGTTTTCTGTTCCTATGTTATTTCACCTAGGATAATGGCCTCCAGCTCCATCCATGTTGCTGCAAAGAACATAATCTCATTCTTTTTTCTGGCTGCACAGTATTCCCTGGTGTATATGTACCACATTTTCTATATCTGATCTACCATTGATGGGCATTTAGGTTGATTCCATGTCTTTGGTATTGGGAATAGTGCAGCAATGAACATACAGCTGCATGTGTCTTTATGGTAGAATGATTTATATTCCTTTGGGTATATACCCAGTAATGGCATTGCTGGGTTGAACGGTAGTTCAGTTTTGAGTTCTTAGAGGTATTTCCAAACTGCTTTCCACAGTGGCTGAACTAATTTACATTCCCACCAACAGGGTATAAGCATTCCCCTTTCTTCACAACCTCACCAGCATCTGGTATTTTTTGACTTTTTTTTTTTTTTTTTTTTTTTTTTTGAGACGAAGTCTCGCTCTTGTCCCCCAGGCTGGAGTGCAATGGCGCAATCTTGGCTCACTGCAACCTCCACCTCCCGGGTTCAAGTGATTCTCCTGCCTCAGCCTCCCAAGTAGCTGGGATTAGAGGCGCCTTCCACCATGCCTGGCTAATTTTTTATTTTTAGTACAGACAGGGTTTCACCAGGTTGGCCAGGCTGGTCGCAAACTCCTGACCTCAGGTGATGCGCCCGCCCCGGCCTCCCAAAACGCTGAGATTACAGGTGTGAGCCACCACACCAAGCCCACAGTATCAATTCTATGCATTCTTTTCTGATTTCATTAATCTCATTATCTTCATTTGATATTTAGTCAATAGTTACTGTCAGTTATGTGTTAGTTATTATACTAGAAACAGTCTTTTCTCCATCTCCTTTAATCCAATGATTTGAACATTTTTATTCCTTTCCAATGTCTGTCCCACATTTCTTACTGTATGTAGGACATTTCTTACTCAAATGTCTCACAAATGACATAAATTCAGTATGACCCAAATAGGCCATTTTTTATACCAAGTCTTATTTCCTATCCTGCTGTTCATCCCGGTACCATCTTTTCAGTCAGAGAGTTCAGATCATATAGTCATTTCTAAATCTCCCACTTACTTGCCTCACTTTCAAGTTCATTTTTAAGGTCTGTAGATTCTGCCTCCCTAATTCTTTATGACCATTCCTTTCTCACTAGCCCCTTACCTCCACTCTCATTCACACTCTTACTATTTTTTACCCTCCTCCACTCATTCCTGCCCACCAGTGGCTCCAATCCAACTTGCAGATTTCCATTTAAATTAAGCTTCCTAAAACATAGCTTAGGTTGTAACTACAATGCAAATTCCATGAGAGCAAAGATTTCATCTGCTTTATTCACTTGTATATATCCATTGTCCAAGACTGTGTGTGTCACATGAAAAGTGTTCAATAAGTATTTGTCAGTGAACGAAAATAATATATGACTCCCCTCTTCAAACACCTTTTTTGACTTCAAAGCCCTTCAGAATATTCTACAGACTCCTTCACCTGGCTCTCCACAATTGCCCCTGAGTCTCGTTTCCAATCTTATTTCTTATTTTACCTCTCAATGCACCTTCAACTCCTACTAAAATGAACAGCTAGCCAGCTTACTTCTGTGTCTTTCGATGATCTTGTTTTTTGTCTTGAGATTCCTTTTTTTCATCTAAGCTTACCCAAACATTACCTACTTTTCAAGGAAAGCCATTTTCGAATCTTCCCTTTTTCCCTGAGCCCCCAAGCTGGAAGACATCTTGTCTCCATCTCAATTCCTATAGGCATTTCTCTGCACTTTAAATGACGTTTAGTACTTCTGACATTGCATTAGAGAGAGGCTGGGGTGGATAGTGTTTCATAGTGTGAACTTTGAAGCCCGACTGCCTGAGTTTAAATCGTGATTCTGGGGCTTACTGACCATAGACGCATTTCTGAATTGCTCTCAGATTATGGAGCATAAATCAAAAGTAATGACAGCTACCTCTTCAGGTTGTTGTGAGGGTGATGCGAATTAATGTACTGAAGTGCATGGAACAGTTTCTGGCACACGGTAAGCACCCAATAAACATAGCTAATATTATGTTATTACTATTTTCAGGCTTATTTTTATGTATACATATAGTATGTAATTTTATGTCAATATGTATAAATAGACTTTGGTATTGTTTATTTCACTATCACCTTGAGAGCACAATTCTCATTTGATTTGTGTGAGAAACTACTTAGAAAGAAATAGACGTGTGAATGAAACTATGCTTGAAATATTGGTTACTGTGAGTGTTGAAAATCCATTTTGTTTAAAGAAAGCTTCAATTGTTAATCTTCCATAAATTTTAGTTCTTAAGCGTTCATATTGACTCGTTTTGGAAAAGCTCTTTAAAGTCTTGGGATATAAACAAGGCTGAATACCCTCATTCATGATAACAAACATATTATACTGAAAATTGTAAGAGAGATATTTTATCTTTCATAATGCCCTCCTTGGGAAAATACATTGACTTGGCCCTTCTCTTTCAATCAGACACCAAAGTTGAGATTGCCTGAAACACAGTTTGGTAAAAGGAGTTTCTTTTTCCCAAACATCCTGAGTAACACAGGAAATCACACCAATGACTGATAGATAACGTTAATAAAATTAATAAAGTTGTTTTAAATGCATACCATGGGGCAGTGGCAATGAAAACATTGAGAAGGCTGGGACTATTTGCCAACTTTCTTTGATCTCCATTAGAACCTGGACAAGATCCACATAATTTCAGAACTTCTTCTCCAAACAAGAATTGAAAAGGTCAGGAAAAGTTTGACCACAGAAAAATGTCAAAGAATTTTGTGTCACTTTCTCCTCCTCCCTTCCTCTAACCTTGAATAATTTTTTAGGGTTATTGGTCTTTGGGAGCAGACTTTCTAGACCAAAACAAAAAAAATGATATTCCTCTATGTGATAGGTAACAATCACTACCCATCCTACTGGAAAATTCTCAAAGTGTAAATTGAGGGGATAAAAAAAGAATCTTAAGTCCTTTAAATTATTTTTAAGATGAACTACATTAGTGCCTCTCTTGTGCCTTTCATAATTCTGATAATAAAACATTCCAGGTATTAGTCAAAGATTAATGGTATTGAAAATAATTTAGGTTATCAGCATGTGATTTTCATTCCACATGAGGTCCTTTTGCAGTTTACATGGTTTTCTAAATTATATTAAAATAAAATGTCAGAAAGTTCACATTTTTTTCATGTTTAACAGCATCAATCTTTAAAGAAAAGTTATTGCACAAAGGTCTGTGCATAAATCAGCCATTCTCCGAAGAGGTAAAAGAAGTCATTACGCCTGGTTATGAGAGAGAGTTTCATGAATGTAAGAGACATAAATCATTTCCCACTGGAGATCATATTAGTCTAGATGGAAGAATGTCTGTTTCTTGATAGTGAGAAAGCAACAAATTACTTTTGTTTGCTCCTGAGTCTGTGGTTGTCCTTGAGAGGTCTGTTAGCATGTTGACTATTGACTATTCAATATTAGCATTATAATAACTTACAATGATCTGAGTCACATAAATATAATCTTTCAGTTCTCTAAAGATTTTACTTTTTCCTCTCTAATATCTATTCACCTCCAACACCTTTGCAAATATATTATTCTCTGGGAGTTACAAAGAAAGTTATTCTCTGCAGGAAGCAGCATTTCAGTTGCTCTCAGGAGCCAACCACATTTCACCTCAATTCTTTGCTCCCAATTCAACAATTCAATATTGGATTAAATTCAAGGCTGTGACCCCAAATAGAATGAGACCTGGATATTTATGAACCACTTGACCAGGCATTCTTCCCATGATTTACTCCATAAATCCTTTTTAGTTTTTGCAGTAGCTTTACAAATATTTGGAAAATGGCTGTGCAATGCAGTTTTAAAAAGTGCAATGAGTAGAGGTAGCTTCTTCACCTGGTATGGTAAATTGTTGATTCTCTTTTGGAGTGGAAAACAAGTGTTCTTATTTGGATGCAACCATTGCATTGATTAGACAACCCTAAATTCATCTTTCATCCATGACCTGAAAGAAATTTTGAAATTCATGCAATATATACCCGTAGTGGAAAATGTACTTTTTGAATGGATTCCTGAATGTGACTTTTAAGAAGAGCTATTAAGAAGTGGGATCTTCTACAGAACAGTAAACAGGCATGAAAATATACAAGTTGATAAGATATGGAACTACCCCAAAAGAGGAATTAATAGTGGTGGGGCTTGGGGCAGGAGGACAGAGAGACCTAGCCAAGGAAGGAAGGGCTATATTATAATAGAGTACAAAGTCCTTTAGTCATCCAAGAGAAGGGGCACCTTCTGCATCCCTTATGAGTAAGATCAGAGAAGGTATTCTAGTTAACTTTTGCTACATAACAAGCCAGCCCAAAACTTCATGGCTTCAGTAAAAATTACTTGTTTTGTTCATGAATCTACAGTTTGCTCAAGGTTCAATGGGGCTTGCTTATCCCTGTTTCAGTTGATATCAGTTGGGGTAGATTGCCTGATGCTGGAGGATTCACTTCCAAGAGGGCTCACTCACATGCCTGGAAAATAGGTGCTGACTGTCAGTTTTTCTTCATGTGGACCTCTCCATGGAGCAGTTTGGGCTTTTTCACAGTGTAAGAGTTGGGTCCCAAGAGCAATTATCCTAAGGGACAAGAAATTAAAGCTGCAAGCTTCTCAAGGCCTGCCCTAAAAGCAAGAATGGTTTTGCTTCTCCCATATTCTATTTGTCAATCAGTGACAGAGCTCTGATTCAAGGGGATGAGAACATAAACTCCACCTTTCCATGGAGAAGTATCAAAAAGTTTTGATGCCATTTAATTAAAGCTGCCATACAAAGTTTCTTATAAATGACACTGAGCTGAATGAATACTAAACAGCAAGTAGTCATTATCCCAGTCAAGAGAAGTTATCTTTGCTCAGAATACCCTTTCTCTCCTTGTCTACCTGGAAAATTCAACTCTTGGCCAAAGCCCTACCTCTTCTCGAAAGCATTACCAGGCCTTGCCTCTAAGTGTACAATTGGAGATACACCAGTATACTGATGTTTTTAAAACTTTAAACTTTTTTCTACAATAAAACATAAATTAAATAACTTCCCTTCTGACTTAAAAGCTGCAAAATGCTCATGACAGTAACTATATAAATTAAAATTAAATCTTAAGCACGATAAATACCTCTCGAATAGCAACATAGATGCTTACTTCTTTATTTCACTTCTTTATTTGCTTTTCTTTGTCTATAGTTTGCCCCAAAGGTATTTTAATAATATCGGGTTCCATGTATACCAGTGTGTACCAATTAATATTTAGAATATACCTGTTAATAACCTCATTTGCATAGCCCTACTAATCTGAGCACAGCGCAGCCTTAAGAAAGTCTTAGTTTTTCTCAGTTTAGTTCATCTCTCTTCTCTTCTCCTCCTGTCTCTCTTATTTCCTATTTCTTTTTCTTTTCAAGTGACTTTCAACTAAGTAGAAAATGCATTTCACATCACTATGCCGGCCTCCAGGCTCTGTCTATTTCATTCACCCAGGAATGCCCTTTCTGAATGCTTTCTCTCATTTAGCAGCTATCTATTGAAGTTGGACAAATGATAGAAATTCATTTCTTAAAGAGCCAGAACATCATCTTGAACAAGAAGTTAAAAGAATTCAGCAAATCAAAAGATGAGCTAATATGGGTGAATCTTAGAGGCATTATGCTAAGTGAAATAAACCAGACACAAAATGAAAAATATTGTATGATTCCACTGGTATGAGCTACCTACAACAGTCAAATTTATACAGACGTAAAGTTGAAGGATGTTACCAGGAGCTGGAGGAAGAAGAGAATGAGGGCTTATTGTTTAATGAGTACCTGAGTTTCAGTTTGGGATGATGAAAACATTCTAGAGATGGATAGTGGTGATGGTTCAACGATAATAATAATATAATATTAATGTACTTAATAGTACTCAACTGTATACTTAAAAATGGTCAAGAAAATGGTACCCCGTTATCCTGATGTGATTATTACACATTGTAGGCCTATATCAAAATATCTCATGTACCCCGTAAATATATGCACCTACTATGTACCCATAAAAAAAATTTAAAGGCTAAATGGCCAGGCATTGTGGGTCACTTCTGTAATCCCAGAACTGTGGGAGGCTAAAGCAGGAGGATCACTTGAGCTCAGGAGTTCAAGACCAGCCTGGGCAACATGGCAAGGCCCCATCTCTACAAAGAATTCAAAAATTAACTGGGTGTGGGAGCTCATGCTTGTAGTCCCAGACACACTGGAGGCTGAGGCAGGAGGATTCCTTGAACCCAGGAACTGGAGGAAGCAGTGAATGACACTGTACCCCAGCATGGTCAAGATCCCAAATCAAAAAGAAATGATTAAAATGATCAATTTTATGTTGTGTATATTTTGCCACAATACAAAAATGGGGAAAAGCCTATTCGCTTTTAAGTATCCTTAAAAAGGCACAGCTTCTTCAGCTAACAGACTCTAAAACTTTTTTTAATAGAAGTATTAAGGTATTTAGAGAGTGCAAAATATCTTATTTTAAGTCAAGAAGTTAGGGTCCTGTTCCTAAACACTAGCCTCTGTAATCCTGGGGAAGTCAGTGCTGTTGGAGATCTCAGGTTGATCTTCTGAAAAATGATGGATCTAGGTAAAAGATATGTTTCTCCAGGTTTACATACCACGGACACCATCTTTACTTGGAAACTTTATTAAAAATGCATTGTGTCAGAAGCTCTCTGGGGATGGGTCGTGGAATCTGCATATGTAAAGAGCCCCTAGGTAGTTCTTGTGCCCACTTAAATTTGAGAACCACTAGACCAGATGTTTTGCTTATGGCCCTTTCAGCTCTGAAATTTGAAAAAAAAAAAAATGATTCTGCAAGACAGAGTCTCTGTGCTTTTGCAGGATAAAGAAATGAAGAAAATAATACTTCCTGCTTGTGTTGGAGCATTTTTTTCATTTGGTATCCCCATCTCCAGTGGCTAGCCAATCAAGAATAGTATTGTTTATTCTTCCCACTGTTTTGAAGATACAAAAGGAAAAGCTAAGCCAGATGACACCTAAAGGCTTCCATTACCATTTTCATGTTTTTCCCTTTGCATAAAAACTGTCCATGCCTCCATCAGAGCCATGATCACTAGTACAATGTTACACTCTAATGACTCATGACATTAAATTATATCTTAGCCTAATATGACCAAATTACAATATCAGAATAAAAATTTCTTTTTTCAGGTTGAATCCCATAACTTAATCCAATTATAATACTGGCTGAATTTTTCACAATTATGTCTCAGTCTTGATTTAGGGAATCTTCTCTTTATCATAAAAATGCATTTTGTTAAACATGTTTCATTATAATCAATTTCTCAAAAGTAAAGTTAATCAAGAGAAGGAAAAAAGGTTTTGTTTTGATTTGATTTGGAATGTGTATGTGTGTTTACTGTATTGAAATAGATTCTGTCTGAAAGACTGTATATAAGATAAAAAGTACAGAAGAGTAGTCAGAGAGTTATTACCCACCCCTGACTGATGGTGAATAGATTATCTAAGTATCCCGTAAAAGGCACAACTCCTTCAGGTATATTTTACAAATTAATTAGTAACTTTCTAGCCAAATTTGTGTCTTAAAGACACCAGCTAGAACTTGGTTAGTTCTAGCAAAGAAGATTATTTTATTCTGAAACAGGTTTTTGTTGTCGTTTTACTTATTTGAACTTTTTTCTTGAATATGTATTTCTTTGCACATAAAATATATTGACTTATGAATGTGATTAAAATGGAAAATAATTAGTTGATTTTAGAGAGACAGAGAGAGGAGAAGAGAAGTGTGAAGGAGAGAGGGAGGATAGAAAGGAGAGAGGGAGAACAGGAAGGACAGAGGGAGAATGGGAAGGAGAGGGAGAGAGAGAGACAGAGAGAGAGGAATGGAGTGGGTAATAAGCAAGAGAAAAATGCCAATCATATGCTTTGCTAGTGTGTAAAGTCTGATAACCCAAGGGAGAGAGGACTACTCTGGCCTAGTGAAACAAAGGAAAGAGAAATATGGTAGAATATTCTCCTGGTGCTTCACCAAATGTGACACCAGAAGTCTGACAGAAGTCATGTCAGCATTTGAGCTCCATAAAACTCAGGCTATCGACCTACCATGTGAGAGTCTCAAAATGAGTTTAGGTAGGGGCAGAGGAGTTGAAATCCAGTAACATATGCAACAGTGATCACACCAGGATTGCACATAGAAAGCAAATTAGTCCTCTAATAGAGACGCCAATTTGAAATTCACCCTCTGAGCAGGTTTTTAAGCACACTCTTCTTTTACTTTTCTATTTACAAAAATGGAACACCACCAGAAAAACAAGAATTTGAAAGACGAGATGAGAAAAGTAAGTTGTAATTGGAAACAGACAGAATGTGTACACAAACACACACACACACGCACACACACGTGCATGCACAGGTGATGAGAGAGTAGTTTGCCTACATGGTGTATCTGACTAAGAAGACTTTTTGCTCTGGTTGTCTTACAGGAAGTGACTAAATCTCATGATGTGAAATATTTTCTTGCATATTGTATTGGAAAAGAAAATAATTTTCCCAAACTCCTTAGGGGCAGTGTTGTCTTATAATTCCCATATAGTATATGCTCTTCAAGTAAGTAACTCCAGAGTTGAGTAAGACAAGACTCGTGACTCAGATGGCATGCTCTGCTCCCTAGACTAGACATTGCATCAGTCTGCCTATACTCACATCCGCTGTTAAAGGATTGCCTCCAGTAAAATATGTCTTTTAATTCCTTATACAAGAATCTGGAAAAAAAAAGTAAGATTCTCTATTTCTTAAATTTAGCAGCAGGTTAATCACTGATAACAATAAAAATACATAACAATCATCTAGCACGGGTAAATATTGTGGCAAAAATTACACCCTGAAGAATTCAGTCAAAGATATAAGTAAGTACACATCATTGTCATGTTCCACAATATATCATCTGCTTTAAAGAAACTGTTATGTAGCTGTAGTAGATTTAATCATTAATCCCATTTCTTCTCCACCTTCTGCAATCACAACCTTAACAATGCCTCCTTATGAGTGGAATGTACTTCCCAACCCCTAGTCTTAGGGGTTGGCCATGTGATTTGCTTTAGCAAATGGTAAATGAGCAGGAGTGAGAGGTGACAGTTTTCAGCCTAGGCCTTAAGAGATCTATACATTCCTGTTTGTGCTTCTGCTATCATTCTGAGAACACGTCCATCTAGGCTGCTGGTCTCAGGAAAACGATAAAAGACATGAACAGCAGGGCTGCACTAGCCATTCACATCCAGGAAAAGAAATGATTGTTGCATAAAGCCATTGAGCTTTATTCTACATTACTGTGACAATAGCTAATTGAAATAGTAAATATACTTTGGTTTTTCCTAAATGCATATTGAAAATTAATAATATTAGCCATCTGTATGATAAAAATATAAAGCCTATGTTTTATTTTTTAATGGTTCACTGCCCTAAATAAATTTCCAAAAAGTAGATGTTCCCTTGTCTAGTGATGTCATTATATTTTATTTATACATCATAAACACACTGTTTATTTCTGCTCATTTTTTTGTAAGTAACATGTGTTACCGCCAATCTTGAGATGATACACACACTTCTGTACTAAATTTTGGAAAACATATTAGCTACCCACTCCTTATATCAAAATATTGCCTAATAATGTGTTTTGTTTTAATCCTTCATGAATTTCCAGGAGAACTGAACTGATACTTGGGTTTGTGAGATATATGAAAATAGTGAACATGAACTTCTGGTTTAACCCTTGTGATGATAATGGAATCATAGCTCTGTTAATTACTCTTGTGGTTTGTCTTCCTAGAGATAATCATGTACAAAATTCCTTTCCAATTTGTTATATAATATTAGAAATACTTCCAAAATTGGCATGGATTTATTGTTATCATTTGTTGGCACAATCATTAAAACGAAACCCATAAAGCTAGATAATTAAATGTTTACAAAGCTATAGTACTCAAAACAAAAACACTGTGAAAAGAGATTTTTTAAATAATAGTTTTTGCATGCCTTTTGAATAATTGGATTATTCTGAATTTCTTCATGTTTAGTCCCTGAATCTAAGTCATACCGTCTACATAAAAATAGATGTCAGCTGAAGAAAACCAGGCAATGGATTTGTCTTGACGACAATCTTTTTATATGTTCAGACTTCATTTAACATTAGACTTGTCTGTATTTGAAATTGGTATTTCTTTACATTTCTGAATTTAGGGAAATGGCACAAGAGAATAACATTAATTTCCTCTGCATTTTGGCCTAATCAAATTTGAGCCTTTCAAGAGACACAGCCAAGTCAATTCAAAGAGACATATGAAAAGACTACTGTTAATGTATCTTTAAAATGAATTAGCGGCATGAACTGTTGCTAGGTGAGTTAGGTATAGTTGTAGTTTTTAGTAACCCTAAGAGAAGATGCAGTGCATTCTAAAATGTCACAAGGAGTTTGATTGCTCAAAATTCTGGGAGATTGGCTCTCTGCAAGGCTTCTTGATGTCATTGTTCCTAGAGGAATGTTGTTCCAGTACCTATAGCGATTGCAGCCATAACTATTTATGTGTCATTGTAGCCATTGTTATTACTACATGCTTCACATACCTCTACTGAGGTCTAAAGAATTAGTGGACTTCATATTCTGGAGAGAACACTTGAAGAACCAAACAGAAGTTTGATGTGAATCTGCATATCCACCATTATTGTTCATAGGTTCTCAGGATTAGTTGAGTGATGCCTTAAAGAAAGAAAGTCAGATGATAGGTCTTCCTGCTGCCCGCACCACATCATGAGTGTTATTCCTATAGAGGAGGAGTAAAGAGTGGGAAGAAAATGAAATCTGTCAATACTGTGAATATATAAATAATAAAAGTAGCAGTAGGACTGATTAATTCTGAATCATCTTTATGAAATGACTGGAGCCGTGAAAATGCTCAGTCTGCACAGCTGATTGAGAAATGTATGCAATCTGTTGATCGGAATTTATTTGTGAATGCTCTCTTCCAGAGATTTATATACCAGAGTTCTTAAAACGAATTTTGTCCCCATGAAAAGAAAACTACAGATCTGTAAGACTGCAATTTAAAATGGAAGAAAACATGTTCCCACTTGAAGAACAACTTTCAAACAAACAACTGATACAAAAAAGTCAAAAGCTGTTTTGTTTTATATAATAGTTTCAGAATACTTCCAGTCAATATATACCTTGGTTTGGTGAAAAAATAAAAAGCTAAATCCTTAGATCATTAACTAGAAATTTTTGTAAAATAAATAAAAGCCGTGGGTTTTAGTGCAGTGATCCCATGAAGAGGAATATATTCACCATTGGTCTCTTAATCTCAGATAGAATGTACATGTTACTTTATTTTATAACGAAAGCAACTGTGTTGTGATATTATGTATAATATTATAACAGGAGAAGTCCTCTTAGCTAACTCAGTAATCAATAACATTGTACGTTGTGTGTTATTGTAACCAAAAACTATGACAGAACCCCATTTCATAAGATCAGTTTATCCACCTATATGATTTATATTTGAATATTCATTTCAGTACTTATGTTGCTTAAACAAAGCTACTGTATTAGTCCATTTTCATACTGCTATAAAGAACTGCCCGAGACTGGGTAATTTCTAAAGGAAAGAGGTTTAATTGACTCACAGTTCCACATGGCTGGGTAGGCCTCAGGAAACTTACAATCATGGCAGAAGGTGAAGGGGAAGCAAGCATCTTCTTCACAAGGCCGCAGGAAGGAGAAGCGCCCAGCGAAGTAGGAAGAGCCCCTTATAAAACCATCAGATCCCGCTATCATGAGAACAGCATGGGAGAAACTGCCCTTATGATTCCATTACCTCCACCTGGTCTCTCCCTTGACACGTGGGGATTATGGAGGTTATGGGGATTACAATTTAAGATGAGATTGTGGGGTGGGGACACAGCCAAGCCATACCAAAAACTCTGTTTTTTGTTTTTGTTTAATGGAAATGATTTAGAACTTTATTTTCTGATGTTTCTTTTTCATAAAACCACGACACCAAAATCTACTTTTCACTGCTCCATTCAACTAGTAGAGAATATCTAATCTCTTCTCAAGTATTTCTTTCTCAATTATGGTGGTTTTAGCTAAGAACAGCTTATGGCATGCTTTTCTAAATAATATTAGAACACATAAATTATCTGTACCTGGTATTACCACATTCATTGCTCATTTTAAGATCTCAATTGATACATTCAATTCATATATATTTAAAATTGATTCATTTAGAGCAAGAGATACAGGCATTTTAATGTATTACACTGCTACTAAAGCTTAGCAAATTATTCTTTTTTGTGCCCACAAATTATCATCCATTCATGTCCTAAAAATAAAATTGAATTTATTATACTTTCCCATTTATCCAAAAAAAAGGTTTTTTTTAACAATTGATGCAGATACACATTTTCAAGCTAAAAATATGTGTGAAAGTGGCCTCTTTCTCATAGTATTTATTTTAGGAGTCTAGCAATAATTTTTCTTAGGTTATCAGCACATGTCTTAGCCTGAATTATTTGAATTCAGTCTGTGTCTTCAAGTTCAGATGGTTATGTGATCTTGTTAAGATCTCAAAGTAGTGGGAATGATGGAGTATACAACAACCTCATTGTTTTTTATGGCAACTGTCATTTACTGAAGGACATAAGGCTAGCAGAACATGGTCAGAGAAGGAATCAAAGTTTGGTCAGCCAACTCTGCTCCACAGCTACAAGCTGCTAGACAGGCATAAATTTTTCCAAACCTACACAAAGGGACTTAGGGCCCTTGGCTGAGAGCGACATTCTAACCACTTCCTTATTTATGGCTGGTGGGGTTTGTACATTTTCTCATTTCTGTATAACATTTCTTGACTGTAATAAGCAATGTATTCATTCTGCTTTACCACTTTCACTAACCTTAACCTCAATATATACTCAATTAAGCAATTGAAAACAGCAGTTTTAATCTTTTGACATAAATGATTTCCTCCGAAGCAAAATGCTGGAAATCCCCTCAAATGCACCTTTTATTGATGAATACCTATAAGCACCACCTACAGTCGCTGGAGGCTGACAGGAACCAAACTTGATGATAACCACTGAGCTGAGAATTTTCAACTCACTCTTTTTCCCTGTATGGTTCTTCTAGCTGCATTATTTCCCACTATTTAAAGCTACAGCTGGTGAACTATTCAAATATTTAAACTTTGGAGAAGAAAATATCAACTTATCACAACCCTCTTTTTATATTCTAAATTCATATACCTGTTTGGTACTTAAAGGAAAAATATGCTGAGGAACAGGCTGGTCATAAGACTGTATAGAACGTGCATCTTCCATCCTATTGAGGTGACTCCTAGACAATGGGAAAAATGCCTTCACTCGACTTGCTCATTAAATGTGACCGTAGCTGCTAATCTTTTGGCGCTGTCTCGAACTTTAATTAGATGTGCTCTTCTCTTGAAGGTTGGAACTACAGTATCCAGAGACCATAGAATCACAGAGTTGAAAACAAAATCTTGGAAATCATTGAATCCACTTATCAGATGAGAAAAAAAAAATAAGCCCATGGAGATAGCCATTTTAAAACATATCATTCTATTTAGCCTCCAATGTAAAACAATGAGTTACTATGTTTCAATAATGTTGATGTTAAGAAATTATTTGATAGCTTCCTCACTTGGTCTCCTATATTCCTCCAAGGTTACTAGTTAGGAAGACTGTCATTCAAATTTGGAGACTACATAAGAAGCAGAAAAAGCATATAAAGAGGCACATGAAATTGGAACTTTTCTGGTAAAATCTTCTTTCTTAAACTCTCCTCAAATAAGCTGTTGGTGGCAGGAGGTGAAAGACAGCCTCCACCCTTTAGCACAGTCCGTACTTGTCAGCATTTCCCAGGAAGGGTGATGTCTGGAAATGATAGAGATTGTGGAAGCACATTGCATTATGGGTCAAGAATGCGAAGGTCAAGGAGTGGAGTCTTCCTTTACGAAGTAGTGTTAACTGCTTGGCGTGGCATTGTTGTAAACAGAAGCCACCAGGAAGGATCATCCTTAGGAGGGAACCTGTAGATATGACTGAAAACAAGAGAGATCCAGTTTTACCACTCTGGAAACATAGGTAATAGAAAGCCCAAAAGGTACCTTATCACTTGTTTGTTCCTTTCTGTACAAAAGGACTTAAATCCTTTCTGAGCAAGAAAGATATTTGAGAATCCAATTTTGTTTTAAACTTGAGCTTAGCATTTTGGAACTATTCCAAAGACCACAGAATTCACAGTCATTAGCATACCACAGCAGACTCTTTTCAAATATTGCAAACCAGAACAGTCTGCTTGAAAACCTGGAAATACGACCTAGTGGGTTCAACTTGACTTTTTTTATTTCTAACCCTTACCCCTAGGCAATTATTGATAACTCATTCTGGTACCTGGTATGTATATGGACTTTGTTAGAAGAATTTGACAACTTTCTAATCATCTGTTTTTTTTCTTTTGCTTGATAGACATACATTTAGTAGAACTTTACTGGATTGTATTGATTATAAACCACATTTCAGTTCATATCAGTCCATTTTGCTGCACAATAAACAACCAAAAAAATTTAATTCAGTGGCTAATAACAACAATATTGATTTATTCATGGAGCTGCAGTTTGGTAGGGTTTGGCCAATCATGGCTGGAAATGGTTTAGCTATGCTTATCTCTAGGCCGTCGGTTCTGTTCGGGTCTATACCACATATTTTCTTCTGAGACTCAAGCTGAAGGGACATCAGCTACTCGGGGTATGACAGAGTAGCACAAGGCAATGACAGAAGCACAAACAACACTTTTCAAAATCTCTCCTCTTGTCACATTTGTTTATAGCCCATTAGACAAAACATGTCTTGTGGCCAAGCCCAAAGTCAAGGGGTAGGAAAATACTTTCCACCTATGTGAGGCCATGGCTGGAGCGTGAATGTATGATACTACTAGGGATGTGAAAGGATTGAGGCCAATAATTCAATCTTCTATTGGAGACAAGCTCAACGAGTTAGTTAAAATGGAAGGCTAATATTTACTAACTTTGCAACCCAAGGAAGAGAAAGCAGGATCTCTCTGACGATGACGGAATTTCATACCCTCATCTTTGAAGTTATACTAAAGCTTAGGAACAACCGTCAGATAGGACTGAATTGCTCCCCCTTCCAGATTCAGCATGTGAAGTATGCAGCATCTTATTATAGCAGTAGCCAAAACAGCCGTTTTCTTCAATTTGGGAATACAATGTAGGTGTGTTAATTTTCAATTAAGAGTTCTAAACTTATTATCTGCTTGGTAGCTCTTCCATGTGACAGTCATTCCATCTGACTCTTCATGTTGGCTTTTGAACTAAATTTTAAAGGAACCGCCAAAATTTAAGGGCCATGTACTTTTTATAACCTGTTTGTGGTCTGGGTAAGAAAATAAAAATTATACAACTGTTCTTTTTGACCAGCCACAAGCATGTAATGAAAATGACTGTTTTGGCTAGCAGATGTATTAGAAGCTTTCAAGGTGTTTAAAAAAAAAAAAAAAAACTGGAGAAAGGAGCCAGTGAATTGACCTCAAACAAAACAAGAACAAATAAACAAAACACTTGTCTGCACTTCCAAGGAAGGGTGATATCTAGAAAAGATAGAGATGATGGAAGCACCTTGCATTATGGGTCACAAACGTGAAGGTCAAGGGGTGGCGTCTTCCTTTATGAAGTAGTATTAACTGCTTGGCAGGGCATTGTTGTAAAAAGAATCCACCAGAAGTGAAACAAGCAGCACTAAAAGTTAAAAGATTTATGTGTAAACCTCATCTAAGGCAACAGAAGCCATTTCTATAAAATAGTATAGGACCTTTTATTATATATGGTCCTAGAGTATATTAAAATAAGTCTGTTTGGGTCCATTTGCAGCTCATTTGAAGATTTTTATAGGAAAAACATCCTCAAAAATATCATACTACAGTGCCTTGATGCTTTTTTCTTTTTATAAGGTACTGCCAGCCCAAATAGTAAGAAACCGATATGATTTTTGTCCATGTGAGGTGTTTAATTGCTTCCCAAAATATGGTTATTGTGTAGATGTCACTAACGAAATATATAAAGAGCAGTATTTGGGAAAATTTATTTTAATACCACCTTTTTCCTTTTTTACCCTAAAAGTATTTATTTTTTTCGTAGCATACACTCTGTGTCTCAGTATCATTGTTTTTCATAAAAACATAAATTCTTAACAGAAAATTTCCTGCAAGCTCCCCTAAGCTTGAAGAGACAAAGGAGATTTGTAATGTAGCTCAGCCCCAATCAGGGTAAAAGAATGCAGGGCTGACTTTATACTTATAACTCAGAAAAAGGTTATGCTTCCCGTCTCTTCACAGAGCTAGTCTCTTAATTGATTCCGAACTAGGAACATGTACAAGTGGCCCACGATCTGGAACAGACTGGCGGATAATGGAATATTGAGACCTTGTCTATGGTCAGCCATATTAACACTGGATAAGTCTGATAACACTGTGATTACATATGTATCAATATAGTATGCTGTTAATATATTAAAAACTTATTTACAACATGATTATTGGACAACTGTTACAGTACAGCCACATCAATCCTATATCAAGTTAGACCATGTCAACTGGTTTTGTGTTGAGACACCTGTGTATGGACATAGTCTGAACTTTTCATAGTTTGTGCTAAATGATAGCAATCAACATCGGTATGGCACTTACAGTTTACTGATAACTTTCATGCCCATTAACATAGTACCGCAATAACTCTGTGAAGTGCTGAATTTGTGTCCTGTTTCATGATTGTATTTGTGTTGATATCTCAGTCAGTCAGAGTCCCAACAAGAAACAGATGGCACATTCAGATTAGGGTAAGTTGAGGAGTCTTTATTTACAAGGCACTACATACTCAGGATTGGGCAGGGTGTAGGGAAATCTCACAAGATAGCACAAGACTCTAGGACTAGCAGCAGCAGAGCTGTCACCTCTCCTAGACCTGAAGCCGTTGTTGGGGAGAGAGGTTTCTCAGAGCCCAGAAAAAAAGAAAAAAAAAAAAAACATCATGCAGATTTTAATGCCTTGGGAGGAGCAGTGGCTTTCTCTTAAGGACAGAATTTGCCTCGAAATGATACTCAGGGAAAAAGAGATGAAGGGAATCAATACTCTGACCCAAGACTCTCCCTTCTCTGCAGTGGTTTGCTAGTCCTCTCCTTGGTCAAACCCAAACAGAAAACCATAGGGCATAGGAGTCTAATGATGTAATCCAAGTCAGCCCCCTGGAAGGTGGAAAAAGAAGGGAAAATGGATCTGGATCTGGAGGGATACCAAAAAAAAAAAAAAAAAAAAAAAACCATAGTTGGCATGCTTGTTTATTGATATTTTCTTGCATGATATAAGAATCCAGATAAATATAGTAAGAGGTCTATTTTACTAACAATTTTAGGCACCTAATAATAATACTCCTTCTTTGAATGTATAACCTCTAGAATTGGTTCAGAAATGTAACTGTGCCGTTACAATTTCTATTAGTATTCAACAGTAGATTCATATCCATTCATCTATGACTGGAGTATCTGCCATTTGCTGGTTAGTTACTGTGTAAGGTACTTTGTAAGGTATAGAAATACACTTGGGGTGCGATGGCTCATGCCTGTAATCCCAAGGATTTGGGAAGCTGAGGCAGGCAGATCACTTGAGTCCAGGAGTTTGAGATCAGCCTGGGCAACATGGTGAAACCCCATCTCTACAAAAAATGCAAAAAGAGTACCTGCGCATGGTGGCATGTGCCTGTAGTCCCAGCTACTCGGGAGCCTGAGGTAGAAGGATCACGTGAACCCAGGAAGTCGAGGCTGCAGTGAGCCATAATGGCACAACTGCACTCCAGCCTGGATGACAGAGTGAGACCCTATCAAAAAAAAATAAGAAATAAATTTGAGCTCAGTGACCTACATTCTAGTGCAGAAAAAAATGACCATAGTTGATTATGAGATTTTAAAGCAATAAACCACATGAGACATACTAATGAGCTCATAAGATCATTCAGAAATTGTTTATTATGAACACATAGTACTTTCAGTGTGGCATTAAACAGAGATCACTGTCCTTAAACAAGTTAAAAGCAGAATCAAATCATCTGCAAATTAACACACCACTAAACTTTAAGCTTCTTGAGTGATTCTGTAATTTTTAAAATGTCTTCAGCATTTCAGTGTCAAGATAGTGCAAACTCAGTAAAAGCTTGTGGAATTGCATTAAACAAAACCAAAATAAATAGATTTTATTAAAACTATATACAATTGTCTTTCTAATCATATCCTCTCCATGAATAGGGAAGAAATAATTTTAGGAATTTAAATATCTTCTATCTTAATAGTTCCTCTTATTTCCCTCTTAAGCAATGTTCACTCCTTCAAAAATATTTATTGAGCATCTAATATGTACTTAACACTGTGCCAGGTGCTGTGAAGAATGCCAAGGAAATAGAATGAACTTCTAATTCTTTGGAGTTCCAATTAAATAACCTAAAGTTAAATTGGTTTCGGAGAGAACATTATGCCTTCGAGACTGTAGGCTTCTCTTGATTAGAAAGTCTTAAACATTTTAAGTAACTAAACAGATTAAGGAGAATTCAAGGATGCCTCTCACTAGTAAATTTGGATTAGTCTGGCAAACTTCAGACCTTAAATGCAAGATTTTTAATAATTAAAAGAAGAGAGAAAATGATAATTACATTTCTAGAGTCTATGTTTACCATTCAGCCTTCTTAATCATTTCCTAAGTATATCTGGTGATCAGGATTTTATAACTCCAGAAAATCTTTCTATACATCGCATAAATCTCTTCTTTTAAAAAGCTCTTCAATTTTGTATTTTGTTAAAACTTAAAAGCCTCCATGAAAAATGAGACAAAAGTCAGTGAGAGGCTGTAGCAATAAAAATCAGATGTGATTTTCTTTTGAATAACATCTGTTTTTACAGTCCTTTCATGTTAAACTTTATAAGAATTTATTATAAACAGCTTTATTGACAGTTCAATCCTATTTCTAAAAGGATTTATTTTCCCCCAATGGTAAGAGTTTTCTTTTCTTAAACCTAACTAGTTGCAGATATTTCAGATACTACATTTCTCATTGTGTAAGGTAAAGTTTCTGACCACCTGAATATGACTTGTAGCTCCTGAGAACAATTTGTTTAGTACCGATATCATGCAGTGACATTGGTACAAAGGAATTTTCTTTATTTCACTGTACTGTTTTCAGTTTTATTCTATAGTTGTTAAATAAGACCATTAAATATTTTTATTAGTCTTATTTCCTGTTTAACTAGGTGGGTTTTTGATCTCTGTTCAGTAAAGCATTGTGCTCTTCAGAGCAAGCAATTGAAAAGCAAATAGTGAGTATTTCTACTGTAAAAGTTTAACATTAAAAGATATACACACAGCCAGGCAAGGTGGCTCACGACTGTAATCCCAGCAATTTGGGAGGCTAAGGCAGGAGAATCGCTTGAGCCCAGGAGTTCGAGACCAGTCTGGGAACCATAGCAAGACTCCGTCTCTACCAAAAAAATTTTTTAAAAAATAGTTGGATGTGGTGGAACACCTCTGTAATCCCAGCTACTCAGGACGCTGAGGCAGGAGGATTGCTTGAGCCTGGGAGGTCAAGGCTGCAAGGCTGCAGGGAGCTGTGACTATGCTACTGTACTCCAGTCTAGGTGACAGAATGAGACCCTCTCTCTCTCAATTAAAAAAAAAAAAACAAGATACACACACATATATTTGCGTAGGTAACTCTAATTTCATTTCAAGTATGTTATGTAACAACCATTTGTGTAGTGCTTGTAACAGTCAATATGTAAATACTGACTCATCTTCTTTGACAATTCTACCTAGATACTTATTAGAGTCCCCCTTAGTCATTGAAAGGAAGGTTAAAATCAAAAGACGTTGTTTGCCAAAGTAATGAAAGAAAACTTATAAACACAATGTATCATGTCTGGGGCTGAACTAAAACCCTTCTGATATGTGGTATTAACAGATCATCTTTCATGACAGTACCAGTTATTAGAAATAAAATGATTGGAGTTATTATTAATACTAACAATAGTGGTATTCTTAAAATGACTTCCTTATTTATCTTCACCTTTATACATTCTACTACTGCTTCAAGACCCATCTTGAATTCTTCTTCCACAGAACATTCTGCATTAATTTCAGCCAACATTGATTTCTCTTTTTAAAATTTGTCTTGCACAGTGAATTAGAAAACCAGGAATTGGAAAACCAGAAAAGCTTATTAAGTAAGAAGCAGAGAGGAGAGAGTTTCAACAAAGGGCCATTCTAAAGTGGTCTACTGCGGACACCATACTGATTATAGTTGGTGATTAAATCTTATCTTTCCAACTGATTATAAACTCCTCCAGGGCATACTCTTATATTCCACAAGATGCTTATCTGGGTGCAGAGCATGCATGCAGTTGGTATTTGCTGATTTATCAACTAACTAAATCTTAACATATTATTATTAACAATTTAAAATAAAGTTAAATGTATCACTCTCCACCCCTCAAAGCCATTTCTGTTCTTTGTTTTCATAGCACCATTATTATTTCCTGCATAGTATTTTTTAAAAACCGTATTTTTAAAATTTATATATTTGTTTATTTGGGTATACTTCACTAGATTGTAAGCGTCACAAAAGCAGAACTATTATAACCCCAGCCACTAACACAATGCCTAACAAATAGTAGGTTCTCAATATTTGTTGAATGAATGACCTACAGATATTACTTCATTATGAAAGATTTTGCTAAGTTGTTTTACATCTATTTTATCCAAAACTAAAGTTCTTGAGGCAAAGCCTAGAATATCTTCTATGTTCTCACAATGCTCTGAATCAGTGCTTCTCTTAATATGCATAGCAATTGCCTGGAGAGCTTGTTAAAACATAGATTACTTAGCCCCAACCCCAGAGATGCTGATTCAGTAGGTCCCAGGTGATGCTGCTGCTGTCAGTCTCTGGCGCACACTTTGAGTAGTAGGGCTCTAGGATGTTATATGTACAGACACATGCTGAATAGTGGGCTATGTGCTTACTTGCTGGCTAAATAATAAATGTTCTCACTGAGTCATAGAACTTTGAAATTTGCAAGGACTTTTGCTATTATCTAGTCTATGGATAGCAAATAACCTGATACCGTGCTATAGTGCTTGACTGCATTTAACCTGCAGAATCCTCATGAGCAGCCCAGCACCATCACTCCAAGTGAAACTACTCTCTTCTTGAGGTTGTCCAATTCTATCAATTAAAGATGAAAACCAGGTTCTGAGAGTTGAAATCTCTGGACTTCAAAGGTCCAACAGCCCAGGTCTTCTCAATTCTCGTTAGTGTTTCAGCAGCTGAATACAAATTTATTAAGCTGTATCAGAGTAGTATCTGTCAAATTGGAGTGTCCATAATATGCTTAAACAGAGAACTCCATTCCAATAACATGAACTTTCCTTATGCTTTATTCATCATCGCTTGAAATTTTGAATTTTGCCCAAAGAAGTTTATACCAGTACATGTTAAATTACATCATAGCCTTCTTTGTATAAATCTTAGAGTAGTTTACTGAAGTACATCGCAAAGTTTTGTTGTTTCTTAGGTGATTTTAATTATGTATGTTTACTTTCAGTAATGCATCTTTTCTCCTTCATCAATATTATGTTATGCTAGCTGTAAGTACAAAATAATTGAGAACAAATTATGACAAATTGAACCAAGCCACAAAAAAAGGAGAAACCAAATACTTTTGTGATTTGAGCTTTTTTCAGTCCTTGAAACTTTAAGAATATCTGTCTTTATTAACTTTTGCTTTTTGCTGATGGTTTCTCTCATTTTATTATAGCTTATAGCATTGTAAATTAATTTAACATGAAAGGATAAAAACGTTGCTTTTGAAATGTTTCTCATTAAATTATGAAAAAATATTACACTAAATAAAAGAAAGGAATGCCTCTGGTACCAGCTTCTGTTTGCTCAATTATTGCAGTACCCAAAGTGAATTATTACACAGTTAACTCAGAGGCAATATTATTGTCATTATATTATAAAATAGATGAGTTGCAATCTTCAAAAAAAAAAAACAGCATAGGTCCTTTGAAAGTGAAATACCTTTTTTCCTTGTGCTTCATTTAAATATATACTGACCCCAGTTTTGTTTTTGTTTTTCCTTTTTAGAGTTCTTGCTAATGATGGGCCCAAAGTTATATTAAGAACTGCAAAGTAAATTTCAACCAATTACTTTATTCAGGGGAGTCATTAAATTGAGGTACCTCTGAAATTTTGGAAGGAATGTACTGCCAATTAGCCGAAAGCACTACTCAATGTCCTTTCTATGGTTATAATCTCTCTAGTGTATTTTTAATTGAAGACAACCTCTATAGAGGAGGTGAGAAGTTGCTATTTATTGGTACTTGTTAGGATGGAATCAAGGGTGTGGAAGATATTCATCTATTTCTCTCTCCAGCTCCCCCACACAAAAAGAATGGTGCTTAATCCATCTGAAGCATTTGGGGAGCGAGGGTAAAGATGTAATATTTACCATGAGCCGAAACAGATCTTCAGAAGTGGAAAATGGAAGCATATTGAAGTCCCTCAACTAAACAGACTTTCTTCCATATGGAATTCAATGCATTAATGTTTTCAAATTCTATAGCTTCAAATTCTTAATATTTTCAAATTATGTGAGCTTATGTCAAAACATTTAAGTGAGCTTTTAACAATGAGGCAAATATTTGAATCATTTGTCTACATAACAAATACTACTATAAAGCATATTAAATGTTATAAAAATCCTAATATACTAATGTAAGCTATTATAAAGTACAAATAATTAAACAATATTTATATGATCAATGTTTTATAATACGATAAACACATTAAATAATTAAAAACTCTTCCACCGTGCAAAAATGACTAAATAAATTGTTAATTTCTAAGGCTTTTTGAGATTACTGTGAAAGGGGGTATAGTTTCAGGAAAGGTGAAACTTCCCTTCAATGTGTAAACCATTAAAGAACATAATAACCTACTGAGTGTGGGTCTCAATGATATGCCCTGGAAAGTATGGGCAACTACTCCACACCCAATTTTGTCTTTATATGATAAGGCACAGCAAATAATTATAATGCAATGGATAAATGGTAAATCCCACCAAAGATTAACCAATCAGAGCAGGATGAAAATTCTGAGTTTGGAAATCTATTGGAAGATTTACAGATTAGATTAAAGTGCCCAGTAACCAAACTATCAAAATTATATGGCTTCAGTTAATTAATGATTTCCAAGGTTTTTAGTATACTGTATTACAAAACACATTAAGCATCTTAAGCATTCAAACAACATTTTTTTGATGATTCAGAAAGCATCACAAATTGTTATATCAGCTGATAATAACTTAGGTACATATCAATTAAACTTGTATTATAGACACGCAGAATTCTTCAGACCAGAAGTCGAAAGGGCTTCTCTAGTTTGTTTATGCTAAGTTGTTTAGAGATGACATAACTCTGAGCTAATTTGTCTATTGCAATGGTTCTCAAAATGGGGGGCGGGGGATATTTTTACCTCCACCAAGTGGACATTTAGCAATATCTGGAGGCATTTTTAATTATTATTACTGGATTGGAGATACAACTGAAGTCTAGTGGGTAGAGGCCAGATATGGTATAAAATATCCTACAATGCATAGGATAGCCCTCCACAAGGAATTATTTAGGCCAAAATGTCAGTAGTATAAAAATTGAGAAATGCTAGTCTAATATAGTGTTTACTCACCTTTCCTGAAACTATGTCCCCTTTCACAGTAATCTCAAAAAGCTTTAGAAATTAAAAAATCGTTTAGTCATTTTTGCATGGTGGAAGAGCTTTTAATTATTTAGTGTGTTTTATCTTATGAAATGTTGATAATATAAATATTGTTTAATTATTTGAACTTTATAAGAGCTTATATTAGTATATTAATTAGGATTTTATTTAACATTTAATATGCTTTACAATAATATTCATTATATAGACAAACGTTTTATTTTTTTCACTTTAACAATGATTTTTAACTCTAATTACATAAGAAAAAGTATGAGTTAACAATTTTTTAAATTACATGCTTGGTTTGAGGGCCAAATACACATGAAAATGTGGACTAAAATTTAAAATCAAATAAAATCTATAAAGTCGAGGAAAAAGCTACTTTTATGACGAGGCATGGGGAATTCTTCATAGTTTTTGGGTTTTATCAGAAGTTAGCTATTTTTTTTCTTTTTGCTCTGTAAACAATCAGATAAGAGAGGCTCAAATGACATTTTCAAGTACATCTTAACAAAATACACTTTGAGCATCAATTGAGTAAAGTTTCATTCTTTTGAAACTTTGGTTTTCACAAGATTTCCTGAGAGTTTTATTTTATTGGTGTTCTGTGGGACTTGGGCATCATAATTCTTACAAACTACTCAGCTCAATCTAATGTGCAGCGAAGCTCTGGGAACTTTTGTTTTGTCTAGTATCCAGTTGGAAGATTCTATAGCTACAGAGCTTGGGTTTAAACCCCCTCCAAGTCTTTACCAGCTACCTTTATGACCCTGGCAAATTACTTAAACTGTGTGCCACCATTTTCTCCTCTGTAATACGGAGGCAATAAAAATTTCCACTTTTAGATTTTCTATATGCGGTTTACAAATTGACTTACTCTGAAGATCATCTGGAGTAAAATCTGGAGAAATATGATCCCTTATAACTTCTTCAACCCTTTATATATTTCAACATGAGTAACCAATGCTCTAAATATGGATATAAATTATAAGAATAAAAAATCTAGGACTATTATAATGGTCTAAACTCTCTTCATAGCTAAAAGTGTTGAGTAATTAAACCAGTTGAGCAGCTAAATCATGTACACACTTCTTTGATCCCTCCCACGATCATGTATTTGGCATTGTAATGAAAAGATATGTTTATTTTCGAGAATAGACATAACTACCTTTAATAATATGATCACCCAGAAATTTTTACAAACCCCTGGAAAATTTCATGAATATCAGGCTGTGCTCATAAAACCTTAGAGATGAGATCACAATAGACTGGGTCAACATATAGTAATGAGCAGGATTAATAAAACCTCAGATGGGCATTTACAAATGAGTCAAAACCATGAGTATAATTAAATAATTGTAGCAAAAAAAGAGCCTTGGGTAATCCTTTCAGCAAACGTAATCGAAGTGATTGCATTTAGAAGACAAATATTTAATTTGGTGACTAGAAGGTCTTTTATTATTCCATTATGTCTTTGTGTGTGTGTGTGTGTGAGACACTTTTCAAGGTCAATTTTTACTTATAAATTGTCTCTAATTAAAAATTGACTTGGTTATTAAATCATTGAAAATTGGCCATCATCAAATTCCTCATTAAAATATTTCTATGTGCCATATATATATATATATATATATAGAATATATATGTAGAATATATGTATACATTTATTTTTACTTTTTTTTTACTGTGCCTACTAGAGAAATTTAAACTACATATATGTAGAATATATGTATGTTTTAACTAGACATACTGTTAAGTACACTATACCTAATATTTGGCAATATTAATACCATCTCATTGAGAAACCTGGAATATATGCACATTTTGGATGTCTATTATATGTTGGGCACTGGACTAGTCATTGATAATACAGAGATTAGTAAGACTCAGGTTGACTTCAGCCATGTTGTCAGGAAGCACACACTCTAGTTTGGGACAGCGAGGAGAAATTCAATAAGAGAAATATATATAAGGCATAATGCTCTAGGAGAATATGCAGTGGATAACTGCCCAATAGGACCAGGCAAGGCTTTTTAGAGGAGGAGGTGGCATTTGAGTCAAGTGTTAAAGGCTGAATGGAAATTCACTGGTTGAGATAAACTCCTTAGGAGGAACTACTTTAATAGAACTTGCCGTTAGTCCTGAAATAAATGGTGTGCAAAATCATTACCATCTGTCAATTCACTCAGTCTACTTTGCTCTTAACTTCAGAAAAAAATCAGAAATACAATTAAAACATTTGAGCCTATTTTACTGTCTTTTAAAATGAGTTAATTCAAAGAGGAAATTAAATATAATGAGAGAGAATCTCCCCCGAGGATTGGGGGCTGGGGAAATGCTATTGATTCTTTGCTTGTGTTTATTTTCTCTCAAAAATACATTATGCATAAACTTGATGATCAAAAATTCAGATTATTACATTTCTAAATTGGCAATGCAATTTATTGCATCATACATCAATCACAAAAATGCTCATCTTGCTGACTTTCATAAACTTCTAAATGAACAAAAATGCAAAAATAGTTTATACTATATTACACTATAGTAGATTTGTTAAACTAAACCAGAACAATGGTCCATGAAAAATAGGCCTCTGACTCCAAACGCTCACACCACAGGATCTCTCTGAGATTTTTGTGTCATTTCAAGTCAGAGAAAATTGTCTAATAAATTGTTGGCTTGTAACAATGAAAACTAAGATATCTGTGGGGCTATTCTTGTTCTCTTCATTTTACTACAGCAGCTCTGCCCAGTAGAAATAAAATGTGAGCCACATATGTAATTTAAATTTCTCTAGTAGGCACACTGAAAAAATAAAAATAAAGAAGTGAAATTAATTTCAACAGTATGTTGTATATAACCCAATATACCCAAAACATTGTCATTTTAACATGTAATTGTTACAAAAGTTATTAATTAGATTTTTTCCGTTAAGTATTTAAAATCTGGTAAGTTTTACTCTTACAGCGCAACTCAGTTCAGATCAGCCACATTTCAAGTGCTCAGTAGCCATATGTGTCTAGTGGTTACCATATTAGAAAGTAGTTTGAGAGATCCACATTAAACCAAAAGGAAAAGAACTTCCGGCCCTTCACTGATGAGTCACTCTTCACTGCTAACCTTGGAAGCATTCCCAAATGTAGTCTACAGAGTTTAAATAGTCTATCTTAACATCTCTCAGGGCTTCAGTCTTAATGCCATAGTATTTTTAAAGAATGGTGGATATTCTTTTTTACAGAACACTCTGTAAGAGCAATTAGAAGTTTATGATGCACGTAATGCAAAATACAGGTCATTTCCCAAGCCTATTTTAAAAGCGCAAAAACTGTAGTCATTTATCACCCCTGAGAATGTTGTCTTAAATGTCTTGGTTTGGATAT
Organism: Homo sapiens; assembly: GCF_000001405.40. Lineage (NCBI taxonomy): Eukaryota > Metazoa > Chordata > Mammalia > Primates > Hominidae > Homo > Homo sapiens. Next base: position 31,590,635 of record NC_000023.11, on the reverse strand, counting down.
TGGTGATGTGAGAACTTTGTGATAAGAAAGTAGTCTTTAAGAATAAGATATCAGACTAAAATTCATATCTAGAATGAAAGTCTTGTTTTTAATGGAAGATTAAGAGCAAGTCTGATTCAGATCATGCATGGGGTACACTAGTCTAGGAAAACACTAGTCTGAAAATATACTAAAAGTTACTTCGCAACTTAACAAGAAAATGTCTTGTGGGTGATGTCGTTCTTGATTTTTAGGCAAACCTACCTACCTTTGCAAAGCAGCTGGGACCTTTTTGCATTGGAAGAATCATTTGGAGCACAAACAAAATTAGATTATCAACACTTTGGAAAACAACTACGAATGAGCAATCAGAAACCTGACCTTAAGATTACTTGTGAATTGTGAATCAGCAAAATAAACTCGATTGTTCATTGCTAAGTGTATTTCAATTATCAAGGGCCTTCTAGATTATAAGTAGTCTTTTTTTTTTACTTAGTTTACAATTAAGATGTGTGGTATTTGAAATACATTTGCCACAGGGAGAAATATAAATTATAATTAATTTCCTAGGCTAATTCAATTTATGACATACCTATATACATTATCTGTCATCTATAATTTTTCCCTTATTGTTTACTTCCCACTGGAAGAATGAAAATGGAATATTATTACATGGCACATGGCTTGATACTTTTACAAACTCTGACAATTATGTATTTATTTTGGGAGGCATTGAGTTTATTTGTTTTATTTATATAAATTTATGAGGTACAAGTATAATTTTGTTACATGCATAGATTGTGTAATGGTCACGTCAGGCCTTTTAGGGTATCCATCACCTTAATAAGATGCATTGTACCCATTAAGTAATTTCTCACTCTCATAAAATTCTAATTATGTGAATTTAATTTAATCTATTTAATGTGTTTTAGGCAAATATAGCCGGTACTATAAACAGTTGATTTTAAGATATCATTGCTTACATTGAGACTAAGTAAAACAAAATGGGTCAATAAATGTCAATCTAGATAACAATGTCAACTAAATAAGAGGTCAAACATGGCAGTATTTTTGAAGGTGATCTGTGAAAGTGATTATAGCGTTTACACTCATGGAAAATGCCTTCAGAGTTTCAACTAAGAATGCCAACAGCTCATTCCTTTATCCTGATGCATATTGTCTTCCTTCTCACCCCCAGTTCCTTCTTCCCCTAACCCCTACCCGCTTTCCTTTGCTGATTTTGACAGAAATAGGACCCCCAATAAGTCAGGGAGATAGCAGGAAATGGGATAGGATAGAACCCGGAATGATAGAATAGCTGAGCCTGAAGGCATGAAGAAAGGCTCCTCCTGACATCTAAATGGAGACCTAAGAGATGGGTTGGTCAGGTAGGGGGAAGGAAACATGAGGAGTATTCTCTAAGCCAGGCAACATACTGTGCACAAGTCTGAAGTCATGGGAAAGTGATTTTGAGAGGATTGCTGCTTGGTAAACCTAGAGTTTGAATTGGGAGAGATGAAGCTAGAAAGTTAGTAAGGGTCAGATTTTTTTTTTTTTTACTTGCATGACAATGGTAAAAACCACTAAAGGTTCTGTGTTAAGCAGAGGAGTGACTTCATTTAAAAAGGTAAATTGGATTGAAATGAAGGGCATAAACTGAGGCAAAAATATCCTTCGTTAAGTTATTGAAGCCCAGTTGAACACACTGGTGGCTTAAACTGGAGTATTGGTATAAGTGGGGGAAAGAGGTTAATAGATTCCAAGTTGAAAAAAAAAAAAAAAAACATAGACTTTGCTATCTAGTAATGGATTAATATACAAAAGGAAAAAGTAAAGTTTCTACTTTTTGGACAGCTAGAAACCTTCACCGAAGTAGGGAACCCAAGACTTAGATTATGTTGGGAGGGGCAGGGTATTTTAGTTGCACAGGGATTTGCTTTACAGAAATGACTGAATGACAATATAGAGAGATCAATTCCATTAAAAGAAGTTTGATTACTCACAGTTCTCAAGGGAAGAGTACATACTACGCCATGCAAAGCCATGCAGGAAAAAAGTTCCAGAGTCGGTCAGCAGGCAGAAAAGGAAAGCACAGCCCAAACCCTTTATTGTGGTTTCCAAGGAAAAGAAATGAGTGAGGTAGAATAGGCAAGTCTGAGCAAGTTTAGGACTGGATAGTTCAAATAATTTCCAAAATTTCCTGGCTGTAAAAGTGGTCTCTGGTTGTCTGGTACCAAGCCCTAGGGTGAGGGGAAAAAGTTAGGGTGGGGGAAATATTGGTTTGGTGTAACAACAGTTAGATGAAGAAGGTAGTTGGGGATACGGACTTTGGATTAGTTGGTTTGTATAACGAAAAGCAATCCAACAAATCCACAAGGGAGCAAGTTTACAAGTTATTTGCTATCTTTAGGAATTAGCTAGCCCTGGGAGGGGCAGTCTCTCCCTGGCCTTCCAAGGACCTCAAGATGTTCAAGCATCCATAAAATATGGAAATTTTTTAAAAACATTATAAATACACAGAGTAAACGCTGGGCATGATATAGGACAGTGGTTCTCAAACTTTAGCTCCACTGGAATCTCCTGGAAAACTTGTTAATATGCAGATGACCGTTTTACCCTTAAGCTTCTAATTGGGGAGGTCTGGGGAGGGCACAGATAATTTGCATTTCTACAAAGTTCTTCCATGATTTTGATGCCGCTGGTGAGGGACCAGGCTTTGAGAACACTGATTTAGGACGTGTCCTGTTTAGGGAATATCCAAAAGGCGGACAAGTTCAGGGAATATTCTTGGGCAGTTGGCTGTGTGAGTCTGAAATTCAGGATAGAATATTAAGCTGAAATAAAGATTTGGGAGCTTATCTACAGTCAAATGATAATTGAAATACTGAGAGTACGGGGGGAGAGAGGTCCATGTACCAAGAAAAGTGAAAATGACTAATCCCAAGCCTCGCTGACCATTGAGAATGGAGCTAAGTGAGAGGAGTTAACAAAGCTGACCCAGAAAAAGTCATAAGGGCCTTAGGAGGCCAAGGAAAAAAAATACATTCACTGCCAACGAGAGGCACTTACGAATGGCTTGACTGGCTTTGCCAGCATGCATGAACTGCTTCATAATTATTTGTATTGATTACAGTAACAGATACATATTTTAACAAGCAACTTAAGTAATACAACTGATTTTTAATTATCTTGTTTAAATTGATAAAGGTTGTATATATTCATGGTGTACAACATGATGTTTTGATATACCCATACATTGTGGAATGGCTAAATCAAGCCAATTATCGTATGCATTACCTCACATACACTTTATTTGTGGTGAGAACACTTAGAGTATACTCTTAGCAAGTATCAAGTATATAATACATTGCTGTTAACTATAGTATCCATGTTGTACAATAGGTCTCTTGAACATACTCCTCCTGTCTAATTGAAATTGTGTTTCCTTCGAACAACTGATTTTTTTAAATAAAAAACTTAATACCTGTAAGTTAGAATTCTTAATGGTCACCTTAGGAGCCTATACAATTATTCCTACGTTGTTGTTACTATTCTGTGTCTTTTTCTTTTTTAACATCTTTAAAGGTATCAAATTTTTATATTTTGAAAGTAGAATTTATTTTTTGTCAGTCTAAAATATTTTTATGTTGAACAAAATGCATGAATGGTAAACCTAGATGCAATCAATTTTTCAAATAAAAAAAGTAGATACCCATGAACATTTCTTTTGTAATTGCAAACTGTCTTGAAAGGCAGTTTCAAAAAGAGTTTAGTTCCTAAATTGTACCATTACTCACTGCGTTAAAATGCAACATTCATTTGAGCGTATAACCTTTTGATCAATTTGTTTTTGATGTCTTGTTCCCTGAGAGTTGTCTCAAATAGATACATATAAATATACACATATCTCAGATTGGCTCTGAGAAATGTCTTGATTCAAACGTTCTTGATTCTAAGATTCATGGTACATAGGAACTGTATGGTGACAACCTTGTCAGCCTATCTTTAGAGTAGCTTTGGATTCTATTCAGAACATTTCCCAAAGCTATTCTGCTATCAAGAATATAAACAGGAATAGTCAAGGGAAGCTTTTTAAAGGGCAACATTTTCATGTAGGCATTTTTCTCACATTGAAAACTAGTTTACTAAATGCAGTGTATTACCTTCTCATTACAAGAAGTCTTTCACATTAGTATAAATGCATATGGCAGTTGTGCCAGAAATAAATTGCCTCTCAAACTAGCACATGGAAAGAAGAATTCTGAGATTTAGCACATATGTAGCTTTTAAATAGTATACTCTGTTTCAAACATTATGTGTTAGTCCACGTTCTCTTCAGCCATTTTCAGTTGCATTTTTACTTTATATTCCTTTGTATATTTATCTTTGCTAATCATTGTCCTGAGATTCCTTTAGCTCTTGAATTCTACGTTTTTAATTAATAGAAAACTTTCTTTTTATTTTTCCCCCGACATAGTTGTTTTCTAGAAAGAAACAGTTATAGGTTATAAATCCAACACTTTAGGGCCGACTTGAACATGCATCAAAGCTACTAGAGGACTTGTAGAAATACAGATTGAATGGTCCCATGCCTAGAGTTTTACATTCAGTTACAGATAGGGTAGGACCTGAGAATTCACATTGCTCACAAATTTCCAGTTGATTTTGATGGCATTGGTCTAGAGACCAAACCCTGAGAACCATTAAAAAACAAACAAACAAAAACAAACAAACCAAAAAAAAAACTATATACAGAGATTTTCTTCATTGGCTTTTGCCACTGAAGACATTTAGATGAAGAGACTCCACAAAGTGTAATCATTTAGTTATGAGAGGGGCCTGATAATTTGCATTTCTATCAAATTCCCAGGGGATACTATTGTTGCTGATTGAGAACCACACTTGGTGAAACACTAATTAAAATACCATTAAAAAGCAAAAACAATTTAGGCCAGCAAAACCTCCTAAAGAATGAGGCCTAAAGACTTATTTTGTTTTATTTTTGCCAGAAGCTTCTTATGGGCAAAATTATCACCAACAGAGCTGAGGTTCAAACTTGTGTTCATAGCAAGCAAAAGGGATAATTTGGAAAAAAAGCTGAGGTTAGCTTTGTGGTTGGTTTGGGAGTGGGAATGAGTAGGGAGGAAGAAATTTAAAAAAAAAAAAAAAAGGAAGAAGCCAAATATTAAATTGTTCACAGGGCGAAAAAAGAGAAAAGGAGTAACTAGAAATATCTTAGACTGGTTCGGCAAGTCGGGTCCCTCGCAGCTAACAGTGGTCCCACCCTCTGGAGTTTATATGTTTACATTCTTTTTTTTTTTTTTTTTTTTTTTGAGACAGGGTCTCACTCTGTTGCCTAGGCTGGAGTGCAATGGTATGATCACAGCTCACTGCAACCTCCACCTCCTGGGCTCGGGTGATCCCCCCAACCTCAGCCTCCCAAGTAGCAGAGACTACAGGCAAGTGCCACCATGTCCAGCTAATTTTTTGTATTTTTTTGCAGAGATGGGGTTTCACCAGTTGCCTAGGCTGGTCTCAATCTCCTAGGCTCAAGTGATCTGCCCACCTCAGCCTCCCAAAGTGCTGGGATTACAGGTGTGAGCCACCGCGCCTCATTGGAGTTTGCATTCTAGTTGGGAAAATAGCCAATAAATTTGTGACTTATTTTCCTTTAAAAAAAAAACTTATTCTGGCTATTGTGTGACTATAGGATATGGAAGGTGCAAGAGTATGAGGCTAACACCCTGTTCTAAATTCCGTCTCCTCTGAGCCTTGTTCTGTCAAGAATCTCCTCCTTCTATACTTTTTAAGTCACCTTCCTACTGATCCTTTGCTGTCAGCTTACCACTCTGGTACCCTTCATTTTAACAAACAAACAATTGTCCAAGCTTACCGGTGCTGCTCCTTCACCCCTCCACCTGTACCTAGTGTCAATTCTCTCCCTCTTCTGATGGCCAAACTTTGTGAAACTGTAGCACAGCTCCATATGTGTTCCTGCAAAGGACATGATCTCATTCCTTTTTATGGCTGCAGAGTATTCCACAGTGTATATGTACCACATTTTCTTTATCCAGTCTATCACTGATGGGCATTTGGGTTGATTCCATGTCTTTGCTATTGTGAATAGTGCTGCAGTGAACATACGTGTGCATGTATCTTTAAAATAGAATGGTTTATATTCCTTTGGGTATATAACCAATAATGGGATTGCTGGGTCAAATGGTATTTCTGGTTCTAGATCTTTGAGGAGCTGGAAGCCATTATCCTCAGCAAACTAACACAGGAACAGAAAAGCAAATATCACATGTTCTCACTTAAAAGTGGGAGCTGAACAATGAGAACACATGGACTCATGGAGGGGAACAACACACACTGAGGCCTGTCGGGGGGTGGGGCGAGGGGAGGGAGAGCATTGGGAAAAATAGCTAATGCATGCTGGGCTTAATATCTAGGTGATGGGCAATAGCAAAGACTTGGAACCAACCCAAATGTCCAACAATGATAGACTGGATTGAGAAAATGTGGCACATATACACCATGGAATACTATGCAGCCATAAAAAAGGATGAGTTCATGTCCTTTGTAGGGACATGGATGAAGCTGGAAACCATCATTCTCAGCAAACTATGGCAAGGACAAAAAACCAAACACCACATGTTCTCACTCACAGGTGGGAATTGAACAATGAGAACACATGGACACAGGAAGGGGAACATCACACACCAGGGCCTGTTGTGGGGTCGGGGGAGGGGGGAGGGATAGCATTTGGAGATACACCTAATGTTAACTGACGAGTTACTGGGTGCAGCACACCAACATGGCACATGTATACATATGTAACTAACCTTCACGTTGTGCATATGGACCCTAAAACTTAAAGTATAATAATAAAATATATATATATATATCTCTAGGTGATGGGTTAATAGGTGCAGCAAACCACCATGGCACATGTTTACCTATGTAACAAACCTGCACATCCTGCACATGTACCACGGAACTTAAAATAAAAATTAATCATAGAACTTTAAAAAAAGAAAAGAAAATGTAGCAGAGCTGCCTAGCTCACCTTCTTTACCCACAGCTCACTTTTCAGTCCATTTATCTGGCTATTACTCCTACCGTGCCAGGCAAACTGCTCTCACTAAGAAAATCAATAGCCTACCCCCTGCCAAATTGCCTGACTCAGCTTCTCCTTGTAATTTTCTCCTTTAGTTCTCTAACACCCTCTTCCCCAGGTTTTCACCTGACCTGTCTCCATAGGACATTTGAGTCTCTTTCCTGATGATTCATCCTCAGCCTCTTCCATAATAAGTATGGCTGCTCCCCAGATCCTACCCTCAGCACTTCTTCACTTTCCATGCCACATCTCTTCTGTGATCTCATCTTCATCCACGGCTCTAATTAGTATCTATAAGCAGATGACTCTCAAAGCATATGCTGCCTATGTACCCCTCTTGGCCATTCTACATTGACATCTGCAACTCCCCAGTGAACTTCTATATTTAGACCACAGGACTGGTACCTGCTGATAAGCACAGGTAGGGTGTACTGAGTAGTGTTTTCTCTATTTGGTTGGGCTTTTGCTAAAGCAGTTGTCAAATATTTTGAGTCTTACTCATGGCCACAGACATTTTAACATTAGCATGTCCCAAACTGAAATCCCCTACTGCCTCTATTCTCTATTTCAGAAGATGGCACCACCATCTACCCAATTATTTAAGCTAGAAACTTCTGATTCTGGTGAGACTTCTCTCTTTTATGCATATGTCTACACTGACACAAAAGACTGCAAATTTTACCTCCTAAGTCTGTCTTAAAGCAGATTTTTCTCTATGATTCTCTATGGTTTCAGGCCCTTATCACTGTGAAGTCAAGCATACCTGATTCGAATCTTGTCACCGTTGGCAAATTTTTAAATCTCTTCTAGCCTCAGTTTCCTCATAAAGTTTTCTGTTTCTTAGGGTGACTAAAGGGCTTAAATGAGATTACCATACAGAGAGTAAGGTACATAAAATGCAATTAATAAAGAATAGTCACTATAACTGCTGATGATGATGCTATTACTATTCGTATCCTAGAAAACTCCGGTAACTTGTTCACTGGTCTTTCTGCATCTAGCATCACTTCCTCAGCCAGAGTTATCTTCTGACATGAAGGCTGATGCCGTCACCCCCATACTCATGTTTGAAATTCTTCAATACCTTTAAGATAAATTCCCACCTCCTTGGTGTAGCATGCAAGGTCACACATGACATAATCTCTCCAAGGCCCCATTTCTTCCACTCTCCTTGAGTGATATATGTGGCAGAAAATTTAAGGCTGCCTGGATATTATCCACCTTACGTCCCAATACTTCCATCTGCCGCAAAGACCTTCTACCCAACTTCCCATCCTCAACGAATTCTTATTCTTTCTTTAAAAATAACCTCAAACTTCAGACTAGACCTCTGGTCCATAGGGCATTACAAATCTCTCAGTAAGTTGTACAGGATGAACACGCCCCCTAAAACTTTGTTTCAGATATTTCAATTTTTATTTTATTTTATTATTATTATACTTTAAGTTTTAGGGTACATGTGCACAATGTGCAGGTTAGTTACATATGTATACATGTGCCAGATATTTCAGTGTTAAAGGTTTAATAATCACATTTACAGAAAAGGAATTAGCTACAAAATGGTGGCACTGGTATACAAGTATGTAAAGATACAGTGCTTACAATTTAGGATTATTGTTGTCGATGTTTTAATATTAAAATGGCTAATCATACAGCAAAGTCGAAAGAAATTTACGGTCAACATCTGTATACCCAGCACCTATACTTTGCCATTGAAATTTTACTATACTTGATTTATTACATATTCATCTATCCATCCCTCTTTCTGTGATCAATTTTTAATATTCTAATACTCTTACCCTTAAATAATAAGTTATCTTTTCAAAAAATAATGTGTTTTTACATAGATGAAGCAAAATAAACTTGCCCTTGATAAAACAATATGCACTGTAGTGCCTTCTAATTCAGTGCATTGAAGTATCCATTAACAATATAACCAGAGAATATAAAACATGTTTATTAATATTCCACTGTACCTGATTAGATATAGACCATTAGGAAGAGTTATTATAATTAAGAATCTAGGTTTGTCAATATAGAAAAAAACCTGTGTTTTTTATCCCACTGGAATGTCTTGTGAGGAATATTGTTCCCCTTTTTCTAAAATTTAACTTTGACCTTTATTTTGTTAATGCACCATGGGTTAAGCCACACTACGACATGTGCTAAATAGACCTGGAAGTTTTCAAACTAGGTTTTTAAAGTGTATTTGACATTAAATCTTCATAACACCTTATTGATTAATTTAAATCCATTACCATGGTAAGGAAAATTCGCAGACAGGCAGGTGAAAATTAAAATAGAAACAAAACAACATGGTAAGCAATCCTTCCCCCCAAGCCAATCAGCATGTAGTCAGTGTGTCCTTTTAAATTAGCAAGGCGCAGCTTCCCATAAAGTCCCAGCTTGATTTTATATGCTGCAATAGTATTGCTAAAATAAAGGAGAAGGCAACTTTTCTCTATAATTTTTTTCTAGAAGTTTTCACGCAGCTTAGTATACTGCAATGACCACATTACTCAGTTCCAGAATTAGCAGCATTCCATTGTGAATGACTTAATTCACATTGTGATTACTCATTTAACAACATTCTTGAGGGTTTACAATGTGCAAAGCATTACATTAAGTCGTGTGTGGCAGAGGTTCTCAAATGCAGATGATCTGTGAAGAAGATTTCCTCAATAAGCAGAGAAATGAGAACTATAAGGACAGAAAGAGAGAGAGAGAGAAAGAGAAATTATTTAAGCTTGTAGCTTGTCATCCTCCTTTCTTAGGACAGCCTACCATTTAGGCTGAGACTATGTCTTTCTGATTATTTCTTGTGGTTGAAATACCCCTTCCTTAACAATATGATGGTAACAGTGGATGGTAAATCTTGTTTTGTTTTAATAGTTTACCTGGCAAAAGTATCATTTTATGTCTGTATCAGTTATATATAATAGTATATCAGTCCATTACCAAACCGCCTCAAAACTCAGTAGCTTAAAACAGTAGGTACTTCTTGAGTTCACTAATTTGTGGGCTGATGGTTTACATTGGGTAGTTTATCTGCTCTGACTGGGCTCCCTTGGGAATCTGGAGGGTAGCTGAGAGCTTAAGTGTCTGAAAGTGGCTGGGTCAACACAGCTCTATCGCTCACATCTTGAACATCCCTCCAGCAGGCTAACCAGCCCGAGCAAGTCCTTTTTGTGAAGGCTGAGGTGAAGAGTGGAAGTGCAAACATGTAAACAATTTGTTGAGCCCCTGCTTCCATTAAGCCTGCAATATCCGATTGGCTAAAGCAAGTTTTATTTCCCCCTGTGGTAGGCAGAATCATGGGCCCCTCGAAGATGTTAATCCCCAGAACCTGTGAATATGCTGTGCTCCCTGGCAGTAGGGAATTAATATTCCAGACGGAATTAAGGTTGCTAAGCAGGTGACTTTGAGATGGGGAGATTTTATGGACTATTCAGATGGGCCTAATCTAACCACAGGGTTCATATAAGTGAAAATGGAAGCAGGAGAGTGGGAGTCAGAGAGATGAAGATAGCCCCTGCTGGCTTTGAAGATAGAGAAAGGGGCCATTAGCCAAACAATGTTGGTAGCATCTAATGCTGGAAAAGGCAGGGAAATAGATTGTCCTCTAAGCTTCTTCAGAAGGAGTATAGCCCTGCCAACACTTTCATTTTAATCCATGAAACCCATTTCAAACTTCTGACTTCCAAAACTATAAGATAATCAATTTGTGTTGTTTTAGGCCAGTAAGTTTATGGAAAATTGTCACAGAAGCAATAGGAAACAAATATACGCTCCATTGTTCAATCTTTTGAATAACACATATACTATTATTTACTTAATGTTTTTCTTAAAATCAGCTCATTTTGTTTTCTGCTTTTAGCCTTAAGTGATAATTCCCACAAAACTGTAGTCTGATGTTGCAGTGTTTTTTTCCTTAATACAGATAAAACTAAATGAATATTAAAATTTAAACTATAAGCTGTTTATCTGTGTAACATGGTAAATTGGCTCCCTACCACTACTGTTCAGCAAACCACATTTTGGGAAACAGCGATTTAGGTGGTTCAAAGGAGCAAGTGATTGTGCAAGAACAAGAATTTATTAGAGAAAGAAGCATTTGGCCAATGGGTAGAATTGTTGGCAGACAAAGGTAGAAGAGAAAGACAAATTATTCAGTATGGCTCTAGCGAACTCTTTGCACTTTTATCACACAATCTGAAGCTTGCTAATCTTGACATGTCTTAATGTTGTTGGATTGCTCATTAAACTGGCTGAAATGTTCACAAAGACTCTCACCTGTCTTCTGGCTTAAGCTGAGATTTATCACACTTCTTGGAAACATCTTCTGGTCTCCAGATCTCCCTCAGCTAAGCTATACAGTCAGTCTGTTCTGTAAGAAAGCCCAAACTTCTCTGCAGTGTTCCTCAGTCTTTTTGATATCATGATGAACAGATTAAGTTGATGTGTTCATCATGATATCAGGTAAGCTGGCCGAAGACTCTAAGCTGCCTAACCATCCCAGGGCTGAGAGGGATCGATATCTGAAGTACCTATAACCCAATCAGGGCATGTGCCTTAGCATACCCATTGGAAAGCCCTGTTTTAGAGCCTTTATCAGCTGTGAACTTATTGAAGGCAATGATTTTGTCCTGTTAATCATTCTATTCATAATTTTCAACAAGATACGTGGTTGTTGTTAATAATAATTGTTGGTTGAAATGAAGTTAAATAAATAGCAATTGACTTTTCCAAGGTGACGCATTGCACAGATTTATTTATCTTCCCTTTGCTGCCCTGGAGTACCAGTTGTATCTACCAATAAGCTTCATTTATAGGCCAGCCTCATCTTAGTTTCTGAATTAGTCTAAGTGGCTCTGGTAGCGCATCAAAAATCTTGCTTTCTGATGGTCTTTGTAATTTGAATTCTGTGACTTACAGACTTGGTATTCAATATGTCAGGAATAAACCTGGGGTGTGCCCAAATGGTTTGAAAAATCCCAGCCTTCCTGATTTCCTCTCTTCTCTTTCTCCCCTGGCCACCCTAATAGTCTGATAGTTTTTGTTATTTGGATACTCCTAAACTCTTGGCAATTTTTCTTACATCTGTTCTCTACAGGCTGTCACAAGTGAGTGGAGGCAGGATGGCATGGGCTGCAGTGGAAAGACCAAGAAAATAAGTTAAAAGCCCTGGGTTCCAGTAAATGCTCTGTAGTGGGATTTAGGGCAAGTCTCTTAACTTCTCTCAGCATCAATCTCCGCATCTGTGAAATAAGATTAATGACACCTGTCTTGCCTATACTTCAAGGTTGTTTTGAGGTTCACATGCATTTTCCACCCCATATAGCCTATAAATCTCTGATGCCTACAGATAACCTATAATGTTCTCCAGTAAGTTTAATATTTCCAGGATTTTAAAACTCAATGACTAGCACTGCTCTGATCTAACATAACATATTGTGTCAATATGTGTGGGAGTCTCTCTGGTTGATGTTAATGGAAGTTTGTATAGTTTACCTAAAATAGAATAAAGCTATAATATTAATATATATCATCGATGTGTTTTAGGTGATTTTTTTCAATATAAAGGCAATTTTGGTTCAAAATTAGGTAGAACATTTAATTTTTACTAATTTACAAATAAAATGATAACATCAAAAGGGCCCCTTCTTTTAAAGATAAGTTGTAACTCTCACATTGATAGTAATCTGTCATTTAGGACAGGGAATCCATGTAGTTTGAAAATTCATTGGCATCATGGAGCTAAAACAGTGGCTTTTTAAACATGTCGATTTCAGTTTTCTTTGTTTTACAAGTCAAGTAGTGATATTACTGGGTACATATGAAGCATACTGATTGACCAAAAAATAGTAACAAATTTTGTAAACCCTTCACTTAACCATTATTCACCTTTCCCAGCCACATAAGAATCCTTTCTCTTTGTCCTTAGATTAATTGCCTTTCTTTAACCTTTTCAATTCTAAGTCCAGACAAGCTGCTGTGGTTCTTTAAAAGGCCACACAAAATAAGTATTGTCCAGTGCTAACACTCTGAAATGTGATATTGTAATTACTACCAAGTGAACATTAATCACTACTAGATTAGAATGGAATTACCTGTTATATTCACATTAATAGCAAATGAGCTTTCCCTGATTGATGTTGTTATAATGAATACAAAAGGAATTAATAGTGATCTGGCACTCACCAAAAGAGGGGTAGTCATTAAGGACATGCCATCAAAAGGCGGGTAATACTTTACAAAAAACAAGTATTAATTAAAGTAATATCACAACGAATGCCTATTGAATAACTTATATCCACATTACAAAGATATTATATGGTTGCGATTAATGTGATTGCAATACATTTTGTAAAAATTAATAATGACTAACCCTTTAAAATATTTAGGAAGCAGATATTTGTTTATATTTGCTAAATAGCTATGCCAACTCTTTAGCTTTTGTGAGTGACTTCTAGCATAGGAACAGTGATGGATAATATGAAGCACTATATATAATAACTCATCGGCCGGGCGCGGTGGCTCACGCCTGTAATCCCAGCACTTTGGGAGGCCGAGGCGGGCGGATCACGAGGTCAGGAGATCGACACCATCCTGGCTAACACGGTGAAACCCTGTCTCTACTAAAAACACAAAAAATTAGCCGGGCGTGGTGGTGGGCGCCTGTAGTCCCACTACTCAGGAGGCAGAGCTTGCAGTGAGCCAAGATTGCACCACTGCACTCCAGCCTGGGTGACAGAGTGAGACTCTGTCAAAAAAAAACAACCTCATATATTTTTACTTGAAAACATACATTTTGCCTTTAGGATTTTTACTTGTTAGAATATCCTAAAGGACCTATAATTGTAAATGTAAAATTGACTAATTTCTGGGTTTTAAAAAAAAGTATTTGAAAGCTGATCTGCTGTGAACATTGAACCAGATGTTAAGAAAAATGCTAGTAAGAAATGAGACTTGGGAGCAAAGAAGCAGAACTAAACTTTTCATATATGGTTTCTATGGAGTAATTGAGAACGTACATATTAACAGGGATACAAAGTCAGGCCCTCTCATTCAAGATGCTTTCTGTCTTTAAAAAAAAAAAAAAGTAATTTTTGAAATTTTCTGTGGCAACAGTCCCATAGCAGAAAGCAAAGAGTTTTGAATTAAGTGATCAGAATATCATTCTTATAATTTTACTACACTGAACATTATTTAGAAAATTTTGAATGATATTAAAACCGCTATAAAACATACTTGCCTACCATAAGACTTAGGATTTAAGCCAGATTAAAATAAATATTTATTTAGAAGGATGTATGTAAGAACTGGTGAAATATAAATGAGGTCTGTATTTGAGTTAATAGTATTGTGCCAATGTCAGTTTCCTAGCTTTGATGATAATGTACTATGGGTATTTAAAATGCTATCATTGGGAGAAGCTGGGTAAAAGGTGCGTGAGAAGTCTCTGTACTATATTTGCAAGTTTTGTGGTCTTAAACCATTTCAAAGTAAAGTTATTTTAGAAAATATCTAAATATATATTTTAGAAAGTATTATCTTTTTCTCTGTAACTAGTGGCTAATTAGCTCAGTCTGAAAGAGTATGTAGAGGTGGAACTGCTAAATATATTTCTGATCTAGACTTACTTGATGATGCTTGAATTAGTAAGTGAATGTTATGTGCCAACATATGCTATGATACATATAAATATATAAGATTAAATGATAGGAGCTAATTATTTCTTGGCATGTTGCAGTGGGTCCATTTAAAACTGTTTATGTAGGAAACTACTGTAATTATAAAAATGAGCACAGCCCAACAGCCCAGTATATTAGTTGAAATATAAAAGGCGTTGTGTCCAAGATTTGAAATGCCTTACAATAAGCTTGGCACTTACTTACCTTCACACAAAGCAGACACATTTTATTGTGATTTTAGTGTTCCATATTATATGGTACAGTACCAAAGGAAAACTCTAAAATATGTACTCAAAATCCTGATGTGCCCTTCTTTCCAAACAGGTGGCACCACAATGAATATAACCTTTAGAGTTAATATCTGAGGACAAACCCAGCAGTTACACCAGCATGATTTAGGTCCTGCTGTTACAATTATTATTATTGTATTTATTTCACAATTAAGTTGCAGAGTTGAGCTCGATATAGTTCCAGCTGTGGCTTTTTTTTCAACTGTCTCAATAGTTCATAGATATGGCCAAATGTTCAATAATAGTGAAAGCTTATAGTCCACATATTATTTCTGTAGCACCAATTTTATGTGAAAAAATGATTTATCTAAATCTCAGAGAATTTCCATAACTAGTTTTGTTATACATCTACAAAACTAAGTTAAAAGAACAGAGCAGACTTTTTAAATAGCTAGATTGGCCAAATCCACCTCATTATCATCAAGAAGATACTGAAACACCGTGTTTATACAACAAGACCAGGCATTGTAAAAGAGGAGGAAAGGTAGAGACAAAATTTATTTAGCCCTCAGGAATCTTTCATTCTGATAGTGTAAATTTGACAACTTTAGAGGGACTTATTAACATGTATCTTATATATCTTGATACCGAATATATATTTTGTGATTGCATTAGAGCCATGAAATATTACACAGGTCATTTGAACATAGCATTTTCATAGAGAAGGTGACATTTGCAAAAGATTAGGAGAAAAGTAACTACGATTAGAAAATCGTAGTTTTATTTTGTCTCTTGAGAATGAATTGATGTTAATTTTATGTCTGATTTGGCCAAATACGATGTGGAATTTGCTAAAGACTGAAAAAAGAAGAGACATCAAATAGAGGGTTGCAAGTTAACAGACCATGTTATAATTAAATGAGGGAAAAAAAAGTAGAGTTGTTAAACTCCCAGAGAAGTCATTTCCCCTTGGTTTGGTGCATTTCACTTTGGTGGTGAAGTAAATGACCATATGGGCACTTTTCTAGCTCTGTCCGCAGGTAGCACTGGGTATTTGTGGACAAATTACCTAGCTTTTCATAGCACTAGTTTCCTTGTTGATAGACTTCAGAATTCTAAATTCCATTTTACATCCTTATTTCTATGTTTAACTTAAAGATAATCCTTTGCAGCCGGGCACAGTGGCTCACACCTGTAATCCCAGCACTTTGGGAGGCCGAGGCAGGCGGATCACGAGGTCAGGAGATCGAGACCATCCTGGCTAACATGGTGAAACCCCATCTCTACTGAAAATACAAAAAATCAGCCGGGTGTTGTGGTGGGCGCCTGTGGTCCCAGCTACTCAGGAGGCTGAGGCAGGAGGATGGCATGAATCCGGGAGGTGGAGCTTGCGGTGAGCCGAGATCGAGTCACTGCACTCCAGCCCGGGCAACAGAGCCAGACTCTGCCTCAAAAAAAAAAAAAAACAAAAAAAAAAACAAACAGATCATCCTTTGCACTGGAATTATCCTGCAGTGGAGGATAGTAATGAAAGTGTAGACTCTGTTTCTGAACACTAGCTATGTCACTTTCAAACTGTGTGATTTTCCTTCAAGTTTCTCAATCACTCCAGGTCTGGTTTCTAAATAGAGGAATAGGAGTAGAGATTAATATTGTGAAGATTAAATGAGAAAACTTATATAAAGCACTTAGTACGGTGCCCTGCATATTGTGAAGGCTTGGTATGTTGTTAGTAGATTCATTTTATTATCATTATTAATAATACTGAACCCTGGCTGTTGGGGGAATTGGTTCTATCCTCCTGTCTCATAGTCAAAATAGGTTAAAGGGCCTTCTATCTCTTATTTCTGGTGGTGCATTATAATTACTAATAGTAATGTGCTTCATTTGTATATGATCCTTTATAGTTTACATGGCGCTGTTTTATGTAATCTTACTAAAATTTCAAAAATAATTTTAAAAAGCCAGAATTCACAAGAATGTGACTCGGAGAAGAAGTAGATGTTTTTCTAAGTAGATCTTTCAGTTTAACTGATTCAAATTTTCTCATGTTTCATATACATGATTATCATGTCTTTTGATAAACAGAATGTTAACCAGAGTACAACCTTGTATGAACATATTTATTCAGCTTAGAAAAGATCCAGAGGTACAAAATCTAGATCCCAGTGTAGAAGTTAGCATACACAGTACAATTTCTAGTATGTCCATAAACAATATGTTAAAGTATTAGTTTGAGCCATATAGGATTGCCAATATCTGAGTGTTATAGAGCTACAAAATTAGTAGGAAATTTTGTTGCTTTAACCTAATCATTAAATTAGAATTGTGTGACTTAAAGTTACAAATGGTTTCCGAATATTTTGCAGTAAAAAAGTAGTGAGGAAAATAAATATAAATACTAAACTAGACCTGGGAAATTTAAGGCTATAAAGAATTCTAGCTTACAGAGAGAGGAGTCTTTGTTTGCAACCTCCCACTAGCTAAATTTAAATTATCACAAATTTCATCCTCTCCTTTACTTAACCCTTGACTCATGCAACTAGTCAAATGTCTTTTTCTTGCTAATTTTTTCTTTCCATAGATCACTTATAGGGAGTTCTGGTTAAAAATGATGTCTCTTTAACCTTCACTAAAATGAGAATAGGGGAATTAAAATGATATTTACCACAAAGAGAAAAAAATCTGGGAGGAAAAACAATAAAATAAAAAAGATAAAAAATTTAGGAATATGCAGAGAATGGAGGAGTTAGCATATCTTGGAAACCTGAATTCCAAGTACTTAGAACTTGGGAAGTCCTAGAAATGTGAAGCACCAGCTACTGCAGAAGGCAGAGATGAATGTGAGGTAAGATAGTGAGACTGTGAAGAGAAATCATTCAGTAAAAAATGCATTATCAAGCCAACTGCCACTGGTCTAGTGGAGTTTAATCCCACTGGGGAAATTCTAAATGGATTGAAGACATGTGTTTAAGAGTTAGTTATTCTTTCAAAGGGGCAAGGGAGCTGGGGTATTTATACACAAAATCCTGCTAGTCATTGGTTTAGGACTGCTTCCAACGGGGGAATTATTTTCCTAGCATTTCTGGCATACCACCTTGGCAAGAAAAATTATTTTGTGTCCAGAGTATGTCTAAAGCCATTAGGGAAAAAAAATGTGGATCCTCATAGTTGAAAGCCAGGCCAGTCTGCACTAAAGTGGTAAGGATGTTTTCTTTTAGAGATACAGGTCTAAGAAAGAAATCTGAAGGTGGTTACCTCTTATGCAAGAATTTAATTTGATGGATTCAAGGTGTGTTGGTTAAGAGAAATGGGGAAGGGTTGCTTCTCATGACTGCGGCACGATTCTACTATACTAAATTTTTCTTTTATTAAGCAGCATTGCCTTATGCAATGATAGGAAACATTTGTTATATGTGAAATCACTTTTATTTTTATTTTTTAATCTATTCCTATTCTTTTCATTTTTTTAACTTTTATTTTAGGTTTGTGGGGTACATGTGAAGGTTTATTACATAGGCAAACCGGTGTCACAGGGGTCCGTTTTACATTTTATTTCACCACCGAGGTATTAAGCCAACTACTCAGTAGTTATCTTTTCTGCTCCTCTCTCTCCTCCCGGCATCTCTTTTAAAAGAAAATAATTTTTAGCAATTCTTTAGAATAAGTCTTGGCCACCTAAAGGTTTCCAGGACTCTAGTTCAGGGAGTATTTATCTAAGTCAGTAGTTCTTAACCTGATATAATTTCATCCCCAGAGAACATTTGACAGTATCTCAAGAAATTCTTGGTTGTCACATTGGGGGCGGGGATACTGCTGTCATCAAGTGGGCAGAGGCCAGGGATGCTGCTCAACATGTTGTAATGCACAAGACAGCCCCCCACAACAAAGAATTATTTGGTCCAATATGTCAGTAGTGCCAAGTTTCAGACATCCTGCTCTAAATCAGGACTGTGATGTGAATTCTCTGCGATGATGAAGATATTTTATATCCGTGATGTGCAGTACTGTAGCATATGGCTACTGAGCAATTGAAATATAGCTAGTGTGACTGTACACCAGGTGTGATGTTCCATACCGAGGAAAGAAGTAGAAATAAGATATAGTCTTTGAAGTCAGAGCTCACAATCTAGTAGCGGAGACAGATTTTTAAAAATTACAATATTTTAAAAATATTGCAATAGAACATGGTAATGTTAGAAGATTAATAACATGCTAAATTTGAGGCATCAGGACTCAGACAGACAATTAAAAATTCTCTGAGGTGAATTTCCACCCTTAGCTCAGAATACTGTAATGTTTAAAAGCTGTTTTCTATACACACACACACACACACACACACACACACACACACACACCCCTTTAAATCTTTTATCATGTAACTCATTGCTTCTTATTTTACCCTTTTGTCAGAGAATACATATAAAATACTGGAATCTGATGGGACATTCTACTTTATTTAACAATGCTATTGAGTTTCTCAAAATAGTTTCCTAAGAAAGTCTATTAAAGTATTGATTTTTTCATAAAGGATAATACAAATGGCATGAGTCTGTTTAACATTTTAATCAAGCTTAAAATTAGTCTTGCATTTGAAACAAACTTGCCCAGAGAAATTGTTGAGAAACTTAAGAGAAAAACATCATAAAAAATTGATGGGCCAGCCAGGCTGTGAGAATATTAAAATCCAAATCTAAATTATGGTTAACCATTGTCACATCTTTCTTTGAAGCTTAAGTAACTCGATATTCCCTGTAGGATACCCAGTGATTCAAAGTGACACATATACTGTCAGCTCATTTTCCTTCCCAGCATGCTGGTACAATTTGTATCCATAGAAATATATGGAAAAACCTATTAGTCTTGAGTGCCAGAACCTACCAAAAGGAATCTTTGTCATCTACAAATAAATTAATAACATAAGATAAACAATCCTATTAAGTTATACTGGCCCGAAAAGGGAAAAAAGACCAGTTTATGAATTGACAAAAGAAGGTAAATGAGATTAGCCATATAGCAACCACTCAGATAATAATGTGTTTTCTCTGTTTAGTAAAAAAGCATATTTGAGAGAAAATTTTCCCTTATAGAACAATTCTTAATAATATACATAGATACTCCTTTCCTGGGATGTAGAGTTTAATCCTCCCCTAAGCCCCTCCATGAACTTGGTAACTTACTTCCAGATAATAGAATATGGAAAAGTAGGAATAACAATGGAGAAGAAACCAGGCAGGCACCAAGTTAACTAAGTAGTCAAGTATAACATCGCCAGTGATAATAATATTGATATCATGTCTCCTGTGATATGATGTCATGAAAAGGACATGTTATCTCTCTGGTATTCTTCCCCAAAACCTGTAACTTCTTCTAATAGGGAAAATACTTCAGTCAAATCTTAAGAGACTTCTAGAATATACCTGACTAGTCCTATTCAAAAGTTTCAAGGTCATGAAGAACAAGAAGAAACTGAGAGACTGTCACAGACTAGAGGAGACCAAAAAGACCCAAGGACCAAATGCAGTAGGAGATTCTGGATTGGATCCTGAAACAGAAAAATGACATGAGTGGAAAAACTGGTGAAATCTGAATAAAGTCTGTAGTTTTGTTAATAGTGTTGTATCAGTGTTTGTTTAAATGTTTAGATAAATCTCTCATGCGTACAGAAGAGTTATCATTAGGGGAAGCTGTGTGTCAGGCACTTAGAAAACTTTCAGATACATAGGTACCTTTTGTAAGTAAAATAATGAATTAATGGGTCATTTTATGTCTGTATTTTATATAAGGCTACATTTCTAAAGAGACAAAATTGTGAGTCCCATAAAAATATAAAATGAATATGTGTAAAACATTTTATTAGATCATTAACTGATGAAGGAATTAGTAAGATGTTAGTTACAGTTGGTTCAAAGGAGAGTCTGAAGAATTGGCATATATATATACGTATATATACGTATATATACGTATATACATATATATACGTATATACGTATATATACGTATATACATATATGTGTATATATATATTTTATATATATACACATATATATATAAAAAACACTCTAGAATGCTGATAGGAATTTTATAACAGATACAATACTGATCACTAACTGTAGGGCAGGAATCTATTGCGTTCCATGAGAAAATTTTACTGGCATCTAGTGAACAAGAATCATTTGTGTCACCATCAGCCCTCCACAAATTGACTTTTAAACGTACAGAATTGCAAAATAGCATAACCAAAGTCTAAGGTACAGACTCTTAGATAATCAGATAACTCCTAAGGTTTTCCTAAGGAATTAAAGGGAAAGAGACATTCTCAGATTAAGGAAAACAAAGAATTTCTTGCTAGCAAATCTGCTCTTAAAGAATGACAAAAAGACATTCTCTAAACAGAAAGGAAATTATAACGAAGTCTTGACATTTCAGAAAGAAAATAGTAGAATGGGTAAAAATGAGAGTAAAATAATAGACTATCCTATTTACCATAAGTTTGAAGTGAAAACTTTAACACCACCTGATGTGGTTCTCAATGTATGTAGAGAAAATACTTAAGAGTTATATTTTAAAAGAAGACATACCTAAGTGGAAGTAAGAGTCCTTCTACACGTCACCTGAAGTCAATTCCAGTAGATTGCAATGTTAATGCGTATCGTAATGCCTGGAAAGACCACTAAAAAACTATACAAAGTGATACGTTAAGAAAATACAACAAATAAATTTTGATGGAATCTTAAGAAATGTTCAAATAACCCACAAGAAGGTAAGAAAAAAGAAAGAGAAGAATGAGAAATAAAGAAAACAAACAGAAACCAAATAAGGTGGCAGATTGAAGCCCTAATATATCCATAATTACCTTAAATGCAAATGGTCTAAATATACCAATTAAAAGAGATTTAGCTGAGTGGATTGATAAAAGCTGAGCACACAATATGCCGTCTAAAAGAAGTTTATTTCAAATACAACCTAGGTAGGTTAAAATTAAAAGAATCGAAAAAGTTACATTATGCAACAATTAATCAAAAGAAAGCAGCAGCAGTAATGTTAATATCAGATAAAGTAGGCTTCATTGCAAAGAAAATTACTAGTGACAAACAGGGACATTACATAAAGATTAAGTGTTAATTCACTGGGAAGACATAATAATCCTAAATGTGTTTGCACCTAACAACAGAGCTTCCAAATACATGAAGCAAAAATGAATAGAGCTGAAAAAAGAAACAGACAAATCCATATTTCTAGTTAGGGACTTCAACACTCCTCTCTCTTCAGTTGATAGAACTACTAAATGGAAAATAAGCAAGGGTAAAGAGAACTGAACAACACCATCAACCAATAGGATCTAATTGAAGCACTCCTCCCAACAGTAGCAGAATACACATTACTTTAAAGCTCTCATGAAACATTCACTGATATAAGCCATATTCTGGACTCCAAGCAACTTCAGCAAATTTAGAGAATTCAACTTATATGTTCCCAGAACATAATGAAACCAAGCTAGAAATCAATAAGAGAAAGACAAAAGAAAAACCTCAAAACACTTGGAAATGAAGCAGCACACCTTTAAATCATTTTCCCCAGGTCAAGGAGGAGGTTGCAAAGAAAAATTTTTTAAACACAAAGAACTAAATAAAATGAAAATAAAACATCAACATGAGTGAGATTCTGAAGCAAAGGGCAAGCATATCTACTGTCTATTTTTAAAGATTAAGCTTCCTTAAGCTCAGGGTTTCTCTCCTGTGATGCAATCCACTGTGTGTACAGGTGTCTCCTGAACTTCTTTGGGATTACTCTGTGGGAACTGGCTCAATAAAATGTTGGTTCTTTGACTACTGCTTTGCTGTGAGTAATCTAGTCTTTTTCTCTGGCAAAAAAAAATAAAGTGAGATGTCATAAAAGCAGTATTGAGAAT
Organism: Homo sapiens; assembly: GCF_000001405.40. NCBI lineage: Eukaryota > Metazoa > Chordata > Mammalia > Primates > Hominidae > Homo > Homo sapiens. The sequence continues at coordinate 31,567,700 of NC_000023.11, read as the reverse complement.
AAAATGTATAGCATTAGATTATTTAGTTAGAAGACAGGAAAGGTCTAAAATAAATAAATGAGCCTAGAGACAAAAACCATCAACAAAATATTAAATAACATGCGTCAAAGTTTAAAAAAAGAGTGTCATACCATAACTAACTGGGATTTAGTATTGAAGGCTGGCTCAACATTTGAAAGTTAATTAGTGTAATCTACCATATCAACAAACTAAAGAAGAAAAAATCATATGATTATATTGATTGATGCAGAAGCATCTGACAACACCCAGCATCCATTCATGATAAAAACTATGAGAAAACTGGGAATAGAGGATAACTTCCACATCTTAATAAAGGGTATCTACAGAAAACTACAGTTAATAGCATAATTTTAATAATGGAAGGCTTAATGTTTCCACCCATGATTGCTAATTAGGGAAGGATGCCCAATTTCACTACTCTTTTTTAACATAGTTCTGGAAGTTCCAGACACTACAATAAAGCAAGGAAAAACAATAAAGCATGCATATTGAAAAGTATAAAATAAAATTATTTCTATTTGTGGATGGCATGACTGTGTACGTAGAAAATATCAAATATTCTACAAAAACAAAAGCAAAAATAACCAAAAATGCTCATGGAGCTGAGAAGAGAGGTTAACAAGATCCAAAAATACAAGATCAACACACCAAAGCTAGTCACATTTTTATATACAGATGCTCCTCATCTTATGATGGGCTTACATTTAGATAAACCCATCATAAAGTCAAAAAATCATAAGGCAAGCCATCACAACTTACGGATTATCTATGTTGGAAATGAAGATGTGAAAAGTGAAATTAAAAACACAACACCATTTATAATTGCTTATCCAAAAATGAAATACGTAGGTATAAATCTATCATACATGTACAGGATCGGTATGTAGAAAATTATAAAATGCTGATGAAAGGCATTAAAAACAACCTAAATAAGTGGATTATATGGCATGTTTATAGACTGGAAGAGTCAGCATAGCAAATATGTCAGTTCTTCTCAAATCAATCTAAAGGTTTAATTTAGTTTCTATCAAAATCTTATCAAGGATTTCTGTACACATAGACAAGCATACTCTAAAATCTATAAGAAAAGTCACAGGCCACAGAATAACTAAAACAGTCTTTTAAAAAGGTAAATAAAGTGGGAGTAACCTCTCTACCCAATATTATGGCTAACAATATAGTAAGGCTATCAATACAGTATGATGTTGCTGGAGGGATAGACTCATAGACCAAATGAAACAGAATAGAGAACCCAAAAACAGACCCATGCAAATGTGCCCAACAGATTTTTGATAAAGTTGCAAAAGCAATTCAATAGAGAAAGCTCACCTTTTCAACAAATGGTCCTGCAGAAATTGGACATCCCTAGAGTGGGAAAAAAAAAGAACTTCAACCTAAATCTCACACCTTGTAAAAACTTAATTCAAAATAGATCATGGACTTAAATGTAAAACATAAAACTATCAAAATTTAGGGAAAAATGAGAAAATCTTCAGGCTCTAGGGCTAGAATTGGCATTGAAAGCATGATCCACACACAGAAAAAAATCAGTTGGACTGCATCAAGATTTAAAACCTTTGCACTGCAAAAGACCTGTGAGGGAGGATGAAAAGACAAGCTACAGACTGATAGAAAATATTTTCAAGCCATATAGCCAAAAGATGGATGTCTAGAATATATAAAGAACTCTCAAAACTGCAAGGTAAAACAAGAAACAAACAATGCAATTAGGAAATGGGCAAGACACATCAAGAAACGTTTCACCAAAAAGGATATACAGATAGCAAATAGGTGCATGAAAAGATTATCAAAAACATTAGCCATTAGAGAAATGCAAATTAAAATTATTATATATTCCTACACATCTATCAGAATGGCTAAAACAAAGTAGTTACAACACCAGATGCTAGCAAGGATGTGGAGAAAATGGATCATTCACATATTGCTGGTGGAAATGTAAAATGGTACAGCCACTGTAGCAAACTGTTTATCAATTTTCTGTAAAACTAAACATGCAGCTACCATACAACCCAGCAATTGCACTCTTGGACATTTATCTTACAACCTGTACAAAAATATTCATACCACCATTATTCATTATAGCCAAAAACTGGAAAGAACCCAGACGGTCAACAATGAATGGTTGTACAAACTACGGTACATCCATACATACCAGGCAATACTATTCAGCAATAAAATGGAATGAAATATTTATACATGCAACAACTTTTAGATCAATCTCCACAGAATTATGCTGAGTAAAAACAGCTCATCTGAAAAGGTTACATAATGAATGATTCTGTTTATATAGCCGTCTTGAAGTGACAGAATTAAAGAATGAAGAACAGATTGGTGATTGCAAGGAGTCCGGGACAACAGGGGAAAGAGAGAGAGAGAGATGGATGTGACTCCAAAAGGGCAACACAGGAGGCATCCTTGTAGTGTTGGAACTGTTCTTTACCTTGATTGTGTCAATGTCAATATCCTGGTTATGATATTGTACTATATTTTTGCAAGGTTTTACCTTCAGGGAGACGGGGTCAGGGGTATACTGGTTTTCTCTGTATTATTTCTCACAACTACATGTGAACATACAATTATCTCAAAACTAAAAGTGTAATTTCAAAAAACAAATAAAACAATTCAGAAATTTTAAGACTTCAACAGTCATTTATCTCATTTGTTATTTTACTGTTGAGAAAACAGGCACAAAGAAACTGAAGTGACTTACTTTCATGCTTCACCTAAGTCTTTTTTTCTTTTCTCCATCACTCAGTTAAGAGCTTCTGTAATACAGAAAGTATGTCTTGTATTCTTTTAACTCCCATATTACTTCAAGCAATGTTGAACACATGTTAACATTGTAAAAGTTGTTGTCTGAGTAAATGGGAAAGATAGAGGTCTATGTCTATATGCAAATACTTTGTATTAACATGTTTCAGTCTGATATAACTTTCCACACAGAAAGTACAAAAGAAGATCTGTTCAAGTTATCTGATTTAATTAAGATAGTAAAAAGAAAGCTGATAATTTAGGGGGTCTTATTTGATTGTTTTTAATTTTACTTATTTTCCACTAGGTGATCATTTTGATGATTCAAAAATGAAAATTTACAAAAAGGTATAAAATAAAAATTATTTCTCCTACCTCTATGCACTGTCGAATCAATTCCCCTACCCACCACCAATCAGTATTGTCAGCTGTTTGTATATCCTTCAGGAGATATGTACGAATTTCAAGCGAATATGCATAAGTTTATGTTATGTATATGTGTGTGTCTGTTTTCTATATATATGCATCTTTACATTAATGGTAGCATACGATACACATTTTCTTCTGAATTATGCTTCTCTCTCAACAATGTTTCTTGGACATTTTCCTGTATCAGTACATAAAGAATGTATTTGTTTCCTATGACTGCAATAGTGAAATACCACAAACTGGATGACTTAACCAAAAGAAGTCTGTTGTCTTACAGTTCTGGAGGATAGAAGTCTGAGATCAAGGTGTCAGGAGGGTTGGTTCCTTCTGAGGGCTCGGAAGGAGAATCTGTTCCATTCCATTCCCCTAGTTTCTGATGGTTTGTTGGCAATCTTTGGTGCTCCTTGTCCTGTAGATGTCTGCCTTCATTTTCACATGGCATGCCCCCTGTGTACGTGTCTGTCTCCAACTTCCCCTTTTAAGGACAGAGTCATATTGGACTCAGGCCCAACCAAATGACCTCATTTTAAGTTGATTATCTCTGTAATGACCCTATCTCCAAATAGGGTCACATTCTGAGGTACCAGGGGTTAGGACTTCAACATTTAAATTTGGAGAAAATTTGGACAGAATTCAACCCATAGCAAAGAACTTAACCGTTAGTTTAATGACTACATATTGTTCCATTTTGTGGATGTATCATAATCTATTTAAGCAGTGCTCTGAACATTTTATTGGTTTTCACTTTCATTGTTTTGCCTTAATATTGGTGTCTGTTTCATAGAATAGATTTATAGTATTTTAGGCTTATCAAGATTTTATTTAAATCTTGGAATTTAAATTCCCTGTAAATTTCAAGTGCCTTGAAGGCAAGATATATTGAGGAGGGGAGACTTTTAAAGTTCATATGAAATAATAAATAATCGCAAGTATCTCAGGAATGCATGAAAAATAATAAATGTCTCTGCATCAATAATAAGGGAGGGGGCTTGCCTTATCCAATATTAAACTTGCTGTAAAGCTACTGTAATCCAAATAGTATAGTATTAGCACAAAACAAGACAAGTAGATCACTGAAGCAAAATTGAGAGTCCAGAAGCAGATCAGATTGTTTTTGGAGGCCGGGCATGGTGGCTTACGCCTGTAATCCCAGCACTTTGGGAGTCTGAGGTGGGTGGATTACCTGAGGAGTTCAAGACCAGCCTAGCCAACTTGGTGAAACCCCGTCTCTACTAAAAATACAAAAATTAGCTGGGCGTGGTGGTGGGCGCCTGTAGTCCCAGCTACTTGGGAGGCTGAGGCAGGAGAATCGCTTGAACCCAGGAGGCGGAGGTTGCAGTGAGCCAAGATCGCACCATTGTACTCCAGCCTGGGCAACAAGAGCGAAACTCCATCTCAAAAAATAAATAAATAAATAAATAAATAGATACAAATTGTTTTTGGAAACATTATATGGCAAATGTGTTATTTTAATTCAAGGAATAAAGGTGTTTTATTCAATAAATGGTGCCAGCACTCTTTGCAATTCCTCTTAGAAAACACAGATTGCCTCCTAGCTTATGCAATGTAAGAATACATTTCAAATGCATTAAAGTTTTAAATGTAAAAACAAAAATTCTTGGAATGAGGAAGACGTTTTCTAAACAAGACACAAAACTCAAAAGCTATAAGGAAAAAATATACCTTGTTACTGCTTAAAATAACAGAAGACAAAGTCAAAAGAAAAACAGCAAATAGAGTAGATGTATTCGCAACATGTGACATAAAGAGATGCATATACCTAATATACAAATTTCTCCTACAAATTTGTTAATTAAATTAATATTTTTTAAAATTCAAACAACCCAGTACAAAACTGGCCGAAGTATAGGAATATGCAATTCCCAGAAGAGGATATCCAGATAGCTGGAAAAATAAAACTATGATAATATGCTTCCTCATAGTAGTAAGGGATAGGAAAATAAAGAAATAAGACACCATGTCTATCTAACAAATAGACAGAAATTAAGAATGATAATTTTTAATGGAAGAGAGCACTCTCAGATATTGCAGATGAAACGCAAATTGCTGTGGTCTTTGAGGAAAGAAATGTGGTATGATCTACAAAAATTTTAAATGCACTTACCTTTTGATCAGTCACTCCATTTCTGAGAATCAATACTACAGAAATAAAAGTACCAGTATGAAAGGCTGTATGTAGAGGATGTGTATTTTGGCATTGTCTATGATGGTCAAAAAGTAGAAATCAAGCAAATACCCTTCAGTGTGGAAATTATTGAATATGTTATGGAATTATTTGGGCATCCCAGAATGAATTATTATTTAGTCTAGTTAGAGCTGTGTCTACTGTCCTGAAAGAATGGTGATGATATCTTTCAAAAATCAAAACAAGTTTCAATTAACATATTCCATTTTTAAAATAAAAAAGATAAAATTAATCTTATGGGATTACATAACCATGAAGGAGGAATGGAGAGATATATACTAGGTTATCAGTATTTGTTACCTTGGATTTTCAAAGGAGAATGAAAGAGGAACAAATAATGTATCAAGTTTCACAAAAAGTGAAAAGGTGGAATATAAATATTACTGCAAATATATAACCATTGAATATGTATATGGACAAGGACGATAAGATAATATAGAAAACTGAATATGTTGGTTTTATTATGAGGTGGTTGGATTGAAGATATTTTTGTCTCCAAATACTGTTGTTTTAATATGTTGTGTTTTACAAAGAAACATGGGCTGAGCAGACAGGGAAGCCCTGATAAGCATAGTACCTGCCATGTGGCCATTCAATAAATGATAGTTATTGATTATTATTATTAGAGTTGTAGTACAGTAGTGCCTACCTTAATATATTTAGATTGATGCCCAGCAGCATTGAGTTAACCCGCATTTTAAGGACAAGTGTTATAGCTATTATATACTAATGGTAAACTTGAGTCTGTAACTAGCACTGTTGAAGGAGGACAACAGAGTAATATGATGTGTATTGGCCTGGGGATGGAAGGGTGGTGCTTAAGGCACAGCAGATTTTCACTCCAGCCAGGTTTCCTTAGGACCTCTCCAATGAACAGGATACCTCCCTTCCTGTTCTTTCTACCCTCCCACCCCGTTTTTTGCTTTTTCAGTTTCAGCCCAAAGGGGAAGGAAGTATGATGACTGACTCCCCATCAGTCCCTGAGGTGAACTGGGATTTTGGGAGAGTGTGGCAGCTGCAAATTTGGCTTCCTGGAGATAGGATTTTTGCCCTCAATCTGGAGAAAGTTCCTGAGGCTACAGCTGTTCAAGCTTGTGAAGTAGGAACTTTGATCCCTTTTTTCAAAAGTTTTGTATAATTAGCATCCAACTTGTTAGACAGTATGTGGCTCATTACAAGATTGCCACAAATTCATGCTGGGCCGTGTCTAAGAACAGGGCAAAGGGAGCCTTTGGAAAGTGTTATACAGTTGACCCTCAAACAATGTGAGGGTTAGGGGCGCTGAGCCCAACACATTGAAAAATCTAAGTAGAACTTTTCACTCCCCCAAAACGTAACTACTAATAGGCTACTGTTGACAGAAGCCATACTGATAACATAAAGAGTGATTAGCGTATACTTTGCATTGTTATATGTAATATATACTGTATTCTTGCAATAAAGTAAGTTAGAGAAAATACGATGTTACTAAGAAAATCATAAGGAAGAGAAAAATATATTTACTATTAATTAAGTGGAAGTGGATCATCATATAGGTCTTCATTCTCATTATCTTCACGTTAAGTAGGCTGAGGAGGTGGAGGGAGAGGAGGGGTTGGTCTTGCTGCCAATCTAAATGCTGGGCCCAGCCAATGGGTATAAGTTTTAAGTGTGCACATATTGGTGAACCCTTACAGATCACGGCACTGTCTGTTCGAGTGTCTATTTTGAAATGTCCCTATCCGTAATATAAGTTGCAAAGGAGTTTGTGGGCCCACTGAATTCTACCACCCTGATCATTGTGAAGCCCATTCAGCTTTGTGAAGAGCTTATCTTGGTACTACCTTAGCCAAGGTATGATAACTCAGACATAATGTCTTTTCTTTCATGGTTCCTTTTTTAGTGATCATAGATTCAGTTCTGTAATAATTAGAGATTTATGTGTCCTATTAGTAATTGCATCATTCTTTAAAGACAGTGTCAACCTTGCTATACAGTGTGATTGAAGCCTTGACATAACTTGGGGGTTTGTTGGCATTTTGAAATCCCAGGCCCCACTTCAAAACTGTTGAATCAGAATCTGCATTGTAAGAAGATCCCCAAAAGATCTGCATGCACAAGCCTTGAAAGAGAAGAGAAGCCATCTAACATTCCTCACCTAAGATTTGAAGAATTTCCCACTTATGCAAGAGTAGGGGTGTGATTTCTCAGGCAGGATATCTAACAGAAAACAACACTTATGAAGTGTTTCCTGTAGGAGCTAAGCAGGTGGCCAGAAAATGGCAGGCTACAAAGGAGAAGAATGACTAGGAACCTGAGCAAGGAGAAAGTCTCAAAGACAAGGAAGTGGCTGGCAGTGTCAGGGACTACCAGGCAGCTGAAAAAGCTAGGTGTGAACACTATTTCTTGGAGTTTTCAGCAAGTAAGAGGTTCATGATGATGCCTCAAAGAATTTACAGTGGAACCAGAGCCAAGAAGTCTTATTGTGGTGAGTTGGGAATTAGGGAAAGTGTTATACAGTTGACCCTCAAACAGTGTGAGGGTTCGGGGCGCTGAGCCCTAACCTCAAGTAAGAGGTTCATGATGATGCAATCAAAGAATTTACACTGGAACCAGAGCCAAGAAGTCTTTTTTTTTTTTTTTTTTTTTTTTTGAGACGGAGTTTCGCTCTGTCGCCCAGGCTGGAGTGCAGTGGCGCGATCTCGACTCACTGCAAGCTCCGCCTCCCGGGTTCACGCCATTCTCCTGCCTCAGCCTCCCGTGTAGCTGGGACTACAGGCGCGCGCCACCATGCCCAGCTAATTTTTGTATTTTTAGTAGAGACGGGGTTTCACCGTGTTAGCCAGGATGGTCTCGATCTCCTGACCTCGTGATCCGCCCGTCTCGGCCTCCCAAAGTGCTGGGATTACAGGCGTGAGCCACCGCGCCCGGCAGCCAAGAAGTCTTATGGTGGTGAGTTGAGAAGTAGGGAGGTGGAAATAAGGAATGGAGATGAAGACATGAAAGGAATTTGAGAAATGAGGCAATAGCTAGAGAAGAATATAGGAATACACAGATCCAGCAACCCAGCAAGGGAAGGGCTAGATTCTGATTTCATGAGCAAATTGCCTACTAATTAAATTCACAATATCAGAGGAAACTGTTGGACTCACTTACTGAATAATAGCTGAAAAGTATCTTTGCTTTATAGAGAGATCACTGTAGATGAAAGTCATCTTCCAGTGGTGAGATATTCTTCAGTGTCATCTCTTCATTTTTATTTCTAATTTTTCTTAATTTGAATTATTTCTTCTGATAATGGGAATGATGTGGTAATTTTGTCTCTCCTGTAAATTATTTTAAAGATTTGTACGAACTCCTTTGGCAGGCTTGAGTGTGTTGTGACAGCTTGGCTTAGATATGCATTGAATGTCATTGAATTCAAACTCCTTACCAACATAGTTAGATAGCCCATAGGCATTCTACTTGACCCTTTCAAGGAGATCTGGAGATGCAATTGTAGGGGAAAAAAGAAGAAAAGAATTCAAGAAGCAACAAAGTGAAAGATAATTTGGCTTGCAGAAGAGAGGTCTTTCTATCACAGTAATAATAATGCCAATTATATGTCCATATATATATATACGCACACATATATATAGTATATATATATACACATATAACTCAGACATAATTCTTTCATAGTTCTTTCTTTTGTGCACAGATTCACTTCTGTTATAATTACATACTTATGTGACCTATTTGTTAGTAATTGCTTCAGTTTCTTAAAAGAGCATCACCTTGCTGTGCAAAGTGTGATTGAAGCCTCAACATCTCTTGGGAGTTTTTTTAGAATTTTGAAATCCCAGGCCCCACTTCAGAACTGTTGAATCAGAATCCGCCATTGTAAGACAATCCCCAAGGGATCTGCACGCACGTTGCAGCTTGAGAAGCACTGCAGTATCACACATATACACACATATTCAACACCAAAGAGAGAGAAAGAGGTCATAAGCTCTCAGGTGGAGACTAGTTCCATGTATATATGCATAGAGAGAAGAACAAACTCTACCTTCCAGCAACGTAAAATTCTACTCAATCATGTATTCACCAAAAAAGAAAAGGCTTTCTCCATATAATGTGTATTATTCATATATTGGCACTCTTCAGAGCTCTTCATTCCACCCTAATGTTATCTTTCTTAGATAATTCACATGACACTTTGTTATCTTCCAATAATTTCTGTCATTGTTATAAGCGAAATTATTCAGGCTTTATCTAAGAGAGTAAATCAAACAGTATGCCTCTCTCATTCCAATTCTGCAATATTTTCATTCTAGAATGTCTAAAGGAGCCTTGAAAGAGAGGAGAAGTCACCTAAGGCCAGCTAGAGGGGATATATAGCAGGGAATGGTGGCAACTCCACTCCTCGTAGCCCAGTGGGGTTTTTTTTTTTTCCAATCTGTATTTGTATGTGAGTATCACGTCTATGCCGATTTTATGTGTACATATGTAACTCAAATCTGTTCATTGTGCTAGTTAGAATCTTATTTCCCCCTCTTCTACTACACTCTACCCTTTCTCTTTCCCCTCCTTTGGCAACCAAGACACTGAGTTATTAATAAGCAGATTGGAGCAAACATTTTGATGCACTATTGTTTGATAGATTTGTTGGTTCATTCAATAAGCATTAATTGAGCACTTGCTAAGTGTTAAACAATGTACTAATTGCTAGATTTAAGGATGAAAATGATAAAACCCTTGGCCTCTAGAGCCTAGAGTGTAGTTGGGGAGACAAATGGGCAAATTAGTCACACGACAACATATTCCTTGTTAAAACAGACAGTTGTGCATAAGTCTGTATACCCAGACTGGAGATGACTCTGTTTCCAATGTTGCCCTGGGAAACCTCATGATCAGTTTAATAATGATGTTTGGGGTGAGAGGATACTGAGACAGTTTGCTTCTAGCATAGTAATTACCCATAGAAGTTTGGGGTCTTTATTCAAAAGAGTTTACAGGCCACATGAGCCACTGTCTTGCCTTTTATAGGATCACATCTAAGTTCCGTGTCATATAATGGCCTTGGCCTTCTTGGCTTTCTCTGTGCTCTTTGCCTGCCAATACCCTAATTATTGAAGTACTGTCTCCCGCAGCTCCTCAACCATGAGCTGTTCCCGATCCTCCCAGCAGCTATGTTTCTCCTTTCTTCAAACCTCTTTAGCTTTTTATTTGTACTTTATTTGTACTAAATTGTATTTAGAGCTTTGGAGAACATTCTTCATAGTTGTAATTAGACTGTAAAGTCCTGAGAATGTATTTTTCATCTTCGTAGCCCCCTGCAGTATCTAGCAGAATGCCTTTAAACAAATGGGCAGTAAATAAATCCCAACAAACTTAAATTAAATTTCTCCAAATTGCATATTTAATTTTATAGTGGCATTTACTGATAACATACATTGAAATAAAGGCCAGAGCATAATCCTCTCTGTTTCTGAATATTATTTATTTAAATATTAACTTTCTAATCCAATTAGGTCTTTCAATGACACTTTAGATCTAAATTTATTTTTGCATTGTTTTAAATGTCATCAAATGATTCATCTCTTGTGTTTTTTAATATTTTTGGAACGAACGTGTGAAAATGAGCAAGTGTCATCAGAATATGATGCTTGGGTTTTTTTAATTCAACATTTCTTTGATCATATATTTAAAGACTTTTTCTCAATTCCTTTCTGGATGTGGCCTCACAAATCATTTCAGAAGTCAATCCATTTCAAGATTTTTTTTTTTTTTTTTGCTTTTTTCACTTCACAGGAAGTCAAGTTCATTCTTTAAAATGTAGCAAATGATTAAGCAAATTCAACGAATGATCTTCATCAACTCCGAGGTGTTTTTCCCCCTTGAAAAATTTAAGTTACTATTATTTTTTTTTCTTTTTTTTTTTTTTTGATACAGAGTCTCACTCTGTTACCCAGGCTAGAGTGCAGTGGTGTGATCTCGGCTCACTGCAAGCTCCACCTCCTGGGTTCACGCCATTCTCCTGCCTCAGCCTCCCGAGCAGCTGGTACCACAGGCGCCTGCCACCATGTCTGGCTAATTTTGTGCATTTTTAGTAGAGATGGGGTTTCTCCTTGTTAGCCAGGATGGTCTCGATCTCCTGACCTCGTGATCCACCCACCTCGGCCTCCCAAAGTGCTGGGATTACAGGCGTGAGCCACTGCGCCCGGCCAATTATTATTATTTTTTTTAAACTTCACCTATCATAAATCTTTTAAAATTTCACCTATGATAAACTTCCTCTGTCATCTGGGGAATTACTTAAATGCAATGATGGCCTTCAAGTATACTACCAGGCAGCCTATCCAAATCATGAAACAGAAAGGCTCATAGACCAAATTAAAATACTTGAATCACAGAGTTTATTAAAATCACAGTGAGAAGCAAACGGGAAAGATATGTGCTAAGTTAACACGCTTAGAATAGAGTGTAAGCAGACTGTGAAGATTAGAGTACTTGAATTCTGCAGTACACAACATTATATGTCTTGTCTGTCTCTGTATTGCATCAGCCTTCCCAATTATGGTGTGCTTACAAGGACCAAAGTTGACTTCCCAACAAGGGAGTCCAAAATGGGTGGTGCCTGATTCAGTGGCATGTGGTTTATCAGAGACACAGAGACAAGAATGCATGGCCACAGCTGTAACTTGCCAAAATAGCCTGATGACTAGCCATGTAATTCTCAGGCAGAAGACTTACGGTGCTGGAATAGGTATCACCTATGGATGCCTGAATTAAGACCTTGTGAACATTAAGTGCTCATGTGTATTTATTTGATCTTGAATATTTAGTGCCTCTTGTATATTTGGTCTCATGTGTATTTAGCATATTATGAATATTTAGTACCCAGGTGCCTCATGAATATTGGGTATCTTTTGGTCCTTCTATCCCTCACTATCTATGTTTAGTACACACATGCTCTGCTTGCTAACTACTTATCTTCTAATTAACACATTCCAAGAGCCAATTATGTGTATCTCTTTCCACTGAGTTCTTCATTCAATGACATCAAGTTAGTTGCTTGAAATCAGCTATTGTGAGAGCACTTACACCACAGAAATTGGCAAATGCTACAATTAGCGCCACTGCCCTCCCCTAGAGCCAGTTATTTGACATTTACTAGCATTCCACTACTTACATGGCCCTTCATGCTCTCACTCCGTGTGACCACTCAAGCCTTATCCCTCTTTACTGAACTCTACAATCAAATAAAATATCTTTGTTTCTTGCTTCTGGCCCTCCATCAAATGGCTCCCTCTCCTAGGAACAATCTGTCTCTCCTCTATCACCTTTGTTTAGCTAGTTAATAATCCCTTTTCAGACAGCACCTCATAAATAGATTCCTGAACATCCCAAACCGGATCTCCTGCACCTTCAATGTGCTACTTCAGTACATTTGTCTTACCCTTTGCCATATGGTATTTCAATTGCCCATGAATTTGTATTCCTGTTTAGATCTTAAGCTTTGTGAGGTCTTTTTGTACTTTTTTGTACTTCCGTATACCTACCACATAATAAATATTTAATGAAAGCATTAATGAATAAGTAAGTGAATGGAGTGAGTGAATGAGTATTCAATTATGATTCATTTGTATCAAAGTGATAACATATACTTACAGGGAAAAGGCCAGAGGGGGAAAAAATAAAAAATAATAATATATTTTATGTATGACCTTGTGTGGGGAAAGGAACATAGGGCCACTGCCTGGCCTGCTTCTTTTATGCAAATCCTAATGTAAAATATGATCAACGCCTGGCTGGGCAGAAATACAAAAACCCAGTACTAGTGATTCTCCCAACCAGATACCAGCTAGTACAGATCATAGCCAGATTTAACTACTGTGAAGTGGTTAGGTTAGAGGTGACCTATAAGGAAATGACGCTAATGATCATTAGCATCATCTTGGAAGCTTAAAAAAATGCCCCAGCTGTACCCCAAGCCAATGATATCAGACTTTTGTGGGGAACCCAGATATCATTGTTTTTAATCTTTAATGATTCCAATTTAGCCAAAGTTGAGTCTCAACAAACCAAGTTCTTCTTACTCTCATATTCTCTTCTTCTCGCATAGATAAGAATTAACAGCCAGCTCTTCTACATGTTTCTTAGACACATATATTGTTTCAGTGGTAATTCGTTAACAGTGCATATGTCAGCAAAGCATGACTGAAAAAAATATCTGCTCCCACACATTCTGATCCCATCTTGACACTGCATAGCTGTTGGCGAAGGCAATTTCAACAATGAAGAAGTGGGAGAAATGACTACATTTTATGTAAATATGTATTCATTGAAAATCAAAAGGACATATGTAATGATATTGTTTAAGATTCTAAATGAAGGACAATACTTAAGAGTCCTCTGTAGTCAAATTTCTCAGCAGTAAAAAAACATTGTCTTTTCTTTACAACTATTAACCATATGGCTGTGAAAATGTTATTCTACAAGCCTTTAAGATTTGAAATCTGACTTTATGTTAATACACAGAATTTACCACACAATCCTGTATGATTTCTAAGTAGATTTAAAGAGTAGCTATTGCTCACCTTTTCAACATAATGGTAATGATGGTGCAATGTCAATTACATGATACTCTCATGGGCGTGATTATATGATTGTTAACACACTGAAGTGCTTATATAGACATAGATACTGATTTTTATATGTACATATTTAAAACAAACAAGGACTTAAAATGGCCTGTAAAAGTCTTTCTAGTCAGTCTTTCTGGTTTTGGACAGAGAACAAATAATCCCTTACAGCTGTTAGGTTGGTGCAAAAGTAATTGTGGTCTTTGCCATTGCTTTTAATGGTAAAAAAAACGCAATTACTTTTGCACCAACCTAATAGTTATCTACTTCCATCTTTAACGGGCCCTACCCAAGACTGCATGGTATATAAGTAAGAAATGTAAATGAAAATCTCAAATGCTAGATCTGCCCAGGAGGGGACCACTAATGAGAGAGGAAATGTTAACGTCCCATATGAACTAAGCTCAGCTTAGCATTTACCCTTCCTGCTATTCCGCTAGAGCAGTGCTTCTCAAAAGTTGACCTGTAATGGAATCTTCTGAATGCCTTTTTAAAACGTAGCTGGCTGGGCCCCATCCCCAGAGTTTCTGTGTCAGTTGGTCTGGGATGGGGCCTGAGAATTTGCATCTCTAACAAGTTCTCAGGGGATGTTGCCGGCCCTTGAATCACAACTTAAAAACCTCTGCTCTGAAGAAAGGGAAAGCTCTCTCTGCTGGATTTCCCCAAGCCTTTTTCAGATTTTCAGGAGACTTCTGTGCGGTAGCTTGCTTCCTTCTTTCCATACTACTACTACTACCACTACTACTACTACAAATAGCAACCTCTAGCATATTTTCAGTACTAAATACCCAGCACTATATATACATCACAAAAGTCCCTTGAGGAAGGTGGTATTATCATCTCCATTCTGCGGATAAGGAAATAGATAAGAAATTTGCTGAAGATCGCAGAGCCAAATGAGACTCAAACCCATGTAACCCATGTCTGTTTGACTTTAAAGCCCGGAATCTTAATTTGTTCCAGACAAGCTCATTATGTGCTCTGATCTTCACCACTGAAATGTTCTGAATATGAGGCTGAGGGCAGCAGTGAGGTTGGAAGGAGCAGCCCAGAGGAGCAGGCACTGTGCTGGTAGAATAGTAGTATGGTGGGGCCTGCACTCCCTAATAAAAGAAGGGGACAATGACTATTTCCTCCTTCTCCAAGGTCGTGCTGCCTCCCATTTCTCTGTCTGCCTGGTAAGAAGCAGCTCTGGGCCATGTGTGGTGGCTCACACTTGTAATCCCAGTGCTTTGGGAGGCTGAGGCGGGAGGATCTCTTGAGCCCAGGAAATTAAGACCAACCCTAGCAATCTAGTGGGACTTCATCTCTAATAAAAATAAAAAACTTAGCTGGGTGTGGTGGCACACACCTATAATCCCAACTACTCAGGAGGCTGAGGTGGGAGGATTGCTTGAGCTTGGGAAGTCGAAGCTGCAGTGAGCCGTGGTCTCACCACTGCACTCCAGCTTGGGCAGCAGGGTGAGACCCTGTCTCCAGAAAAACAAAAAGCAGCAGCTCTGAAAAGAGGATCTAGCAGTTTCTATATGCAGGAGAGCATTTGCGCAATTGTTCCTGGGGTTGAATCTGAGAAACTCACAGTGCACATTCAGATACTATTTACAATCTTCTAGGAATAGTATAAATATTGTGGCCAGGGCACCTTCATATTGTGAAACACAAAAAGACTTCAGACCTTAGATTATGTGTCGAAAGTTAGGCACCAATGATTTTTTTTTCCATTTGTTCTTAAGTGGCAAATCTTTACATTAACATTTTTGGTACTTGTCTTTAGGGAAATTTCTTCTCTGTTCTGAATGTATATATTGTAATTCCTCATTTACAATTTTGCCTGCAAATGCAAGTGAGTACAGATCATCCAGTTATGAAAATGCTCTGAGATTTGAGTCTAGCTGTTTCAGCTTTAAGAGCCCTGACCTAGACTTTGAAACTGACATGGTTTTATATGTATGTGGTTGGAATTAAACCCAAAGCACATCTTTTAAAACTCTGAGGAACTTCTGTGCCACAGCTTTCGCTCAGTTGGTGAGATTTTACTTTGAAATTTAAGGGATGAGTCTAGTTTATATGCAAAGAAATGTAGGGAGCTTTGCAAACCCAATCAAATCCTTTGTGAACAGTGTGTGCATCTGTTTATTTTGCTGTCATTTTGAGTCCATGATCCTGTATACTGTTTTGTGGGCACATATTGAGGGTAATATCAAATACCATGTAGAACAGATGCTGCAGGTATCCTTTCCATGTCCTCTTAGCTTTGGGGTGGTAGATGGGCACATGGACCAAGCCCAAAGTGACAGGGTATTAACAGGAGCAAGACTCAACCAATAAGGGAGAGTAGATGGGTACAAATCTCAGCTTTCTCTCCCCTCACTGGGATAATTTTGAGATATATTCCAAAGATCCTCAGAGCATCCCCAACAGCATTGAGCCCCAGTTCCCCAGATTAGTAATCTACTCAATAAATACCTCTTTTTTTTTTTTTTTTCCCGAGATGGAGTCTCACTCTGCACCCTGGCTGGAGTGCAGTGGCACAATCTCAGCTCACTGCAACCTCCACCTCCCGAGTTCAAGTGATTCTCCTGCCTCAGCCTCTTGAGTAGCTGGGACTACAGGCATGCGCCACCACACCCAACTAATTTTTGTATTTTTAGTAGAGATGGGGTTTCACCATTTGGCCAGGCTGGTCTAGAACTCCTGATCTCAAGTGATCCGCCCGCCTTGGCCTCCCAAAGTCCTGGGATTACAGGCATGAGCCACCACGCCCAGCCCAATAAAGAACTCTGGATTGTTTCTTCCTTTTCCTCTCCTCCTTTCCTGTTCCCTACAGTGTTTCCTAGGATCACCTCAGTCTGCTGTATGGGAAACCCAGACTGAGTCACCATAACAGACAGAGGCATTGTTACTTTAGGACTTTAGTGGATATAGTTACATGGGAGAGAGAGACTGTGTATGTATATATAACCTTTATAATATTAAACCATGCTATACTCAAATTATTTACTGGCCAAGATTTCCAATATAAATTGGAAATAAATTGGATATAAATCAAGAACAGTTAAAATTGGAAATAGTTAAAATACAAATAAAATAGCTAAAATTGGGCAAAATACCTGACCCAATGCTTTAATATCCGATTGCATAATTAAACGAGTAAAGAGGAAAGGAAATTATTAGCAACTCTATATTTAAATGCAACTGACATCCAAGGAAGTCATGAAGAAAACTCTTTGTGTTGATAAACTGAAGGCCTCTTCTAGCAGACTTCTGTGTTTATTGTTCTGTTGCTGACTATTTTATTCCAAACAAATGAACTTGCTTGTCATTATACCCCACCCTTCCCTAGTACAGGGCCCCCATTCTTTGAAACAGTAACTCATTCAGTTCCAAGGAGAATATGAAAAGGGAGGGTAATATATAAAAGAACTGAAATGAAAAGTGGCCTAAGTGTGGCACATTTCCATTGTGGATTCCATGGCAATGGAGAATTGATGGCAGAGCATGGTGAGAGATGTGAAGCATCAATTGGCTGTATCTCCAGGGAATTCCTGAAGTTCAGTTGCCACCCTGGAGGGTGGCAAATGCTCTCTCTCACCTTCCTTGAGTTATTGCTTAGATGACTCAAAACAAAAAACTGATGAGCTATAAATGGGCTGTATTATTTGTTTTTACCTGCTGAGTAGTTCAGATATTTCAAAATAATCTCAAACTTAACCTATGGTGTGGTTTCTGTGTTAAACAAAATACCGTAACTTTTAGTTGAAAATACTGTGTAAGCCCACACAATCTCTTGTTCACAGATAATCTTGTTGTCAAACATTCATGATGACAAAAACTCATAAACGATTCTTTTAAATATCAAGAATAACTTATGCTGTAAGTCATAATTTCATAAGCATGAATTTATGAATGTGTTTTGTGTTTGCAATTTTCATTTAGGTTGTCTTAAAATCATGCGTTTTAGCTTAACTTAGGAGAAATATATCTTTTGTGACAACATAGGATATTCAGAGAAACGTGAAAACTAGGTGATGTGTTTTATGAAAGAAGGCATAAAGTATATCAAGCATAAGAACTTTGAATTCTATTTGTGTTTTTTGTGGCTTTAGAAAAGATTGTTCTGGGAATAGAGAATTCCATTTGGGAAACCTAGCACATACACAGTAGCAGAGTTAAAATACTGACTTGGAGGGTTCATTTGAAGAATTCTATAGAATTTTTGCATGTTGGGAATAGGTTTATATTCTTAAACATTGCACTCAGGGTTTCTATTCAAAGCAAAAATAACTTTGCATAGACCTTGGCCATTCTTTCACATTCTAAAGTAATCCATTTTTTTTTTTCAGGGTAGTTGTTCTCAGTCCTGATTTTCTGATAATTCAGATCATCTTTAATTTACACCAAAAACTTTTAGAAGAGTCAGATAATAATTTAACATAAAATGTAAATGACTGAAATATACATTTTTTAAAGGAGCAGATATGGAGGGGTCCAATGTACTTAACTATTTGCTCTCTTTGTCTCCTTGCATTCACGGGAATGTTTCTATGTAGTTTTCTAATTTCACACAATTTCAATAATCCATACCCTCCTCATTTTTATGGGCCTTCATGATACTAAAAATGTTACCAGAAATTATTTTGTGTTAGTCTCTTTGTTTAGCACATTCATACATAAGTTTTAACATTTAACTGGCATATTTTTAAAGTAATACATGTTTTTTTTTTAAAAAAAATCAGTTATGTTTGTGTGTGTGCATATTTTCTTTTGTGGCCAAATGTTGCACGCCCTAGTCCTTCTATTTAAACAATGAGTTTACATAACAAATGTTACATGATAAACATGAAGACATTTAGTTTGAAAAAAAATGATTTTCTAGTTTACTCATTTAAAAAAAGCTGAAGTAACCGGGAAGAGGAGTGGCAGAACATATTAGTCTTTTTCATAATGCCATCATTAAACAAAGATACTTAATTTCCAGGCCTGGTGCAGTGGCGCAGCCTGTAATCCCAGTACTTTGGGAGGCTGAGGAGGGCAGATCACTTGAGGTCAGGAGTTCGAGACCAGCTTTGCCAATATGGTGAAACCCTGTCTCAAAAAAAAAAAAAAAAGAAAAAGAAAAAGCTACATAATTTCCAAAATGACTTCAGTGGGACCTGAGGTGAGGGAATAAAGGCTCTGGAGTAATTTCACTCTCTATTCCTCTCCTAATTTTTTTTCTGTTCCTTTATAACAACATTTTCACTACTTTTGAGCTTGGGAGTTGAGGAATCATGACCAGAAGAAAAGGAAAGACGGGAAAGATGTTCAAGGGTGAGGATGCTTAAGAATGACCTGGCAAGCTTATGAAAATGCAGTTGTCTGGATCCCACCACAGAGATTCTGATTTAGCAGGTCTGTGGCAAGGCCTGCGATTCTGCATTGCTAACCAGCTCCCAGGTGATGACACTCATGCTGGCAACCTATGAACCATTGAGTGGCACTGTTCCAGGGGGCAGGGCAATGAGAAATTGAAGTCAAAAGCCCCAAGACCTGGTGCTACGAAAATACTCTGGTTCCTTCCCTCTCAACTGATTTACTTGTCGGTGTGATTTTGCAAAAATCCCTGAACTTCTTAAATCCCAGTTACCTCACCTGAAAAGTATGAGTGTTGCTCCAGATCTGGAGGCTTTCAGACCATGCAAATCGAATTCAAACCATGCAAACCATTCAAGTCATTCTAGAAAGTTCTGCAAGGTGCCTCAGAGGCCAAAGGGAGAGATGGGAAGAGGGATTGAATGGGCTCTTTCCAAGGTTCCCTAACCCACTTGAATACTTTCATCTTTTATCTCTTTCATATATTCCACTTTTGAGTATGGTTTCATTTAGAAAATAGGATTTTATACCAACAGATTTAAAGAAAAACTCCAAGTCTGAAAATGACTCATTTATTTAAAACTGTATAGAACAAAGACATTTAGTGCACAATTCCAAAAATTCTCTGATCCTTCCACAGCATGCCCAGTATGCTGCAAGAGTGCCAGCAAACACATGCTTACTGCTCACAAATGTGAAATTTAACCCCATGCACTAGGAGGTCCCTAGTGTGGGGTGGTTTTAGCTAACCAGACTAAGAGAGTACAGGGCAACATCGAGCCTTTCTCTGCGGTCATGTCTGATTCATTAAAAATCCAGCTTTCCCCGAAGATATATTAATTACCTTCTGTTTCAGAATTTGTTTTTAGAGCCTAATTCTTAATTATATCTCCAGCCATTGTGTGATTTGACCATTTTGGAACTAAAAAGTTATCCTATGAAATTCCACCTCCAACTATTGCCACACTGTTAGTTTGTCTATTTCATACACCATGCCAATCTTAGCGTGGTGCTAGCATTTCATTATAACCAGCTTTCATTTTTAATAAGACCATGTGTATATGAAATTGTAGACTTCAGTCTTTGTATGAATTGAAAGCTATTAATCTTCCCAGGGTTAGGTTATGTTAAACAGATTGTAATGTTCTTCTTTTTATTATGTTATTTAAATCCCCTTCATTTCATACTGCACCAATACATTTCTACTATCTTGGAATAAATTAATTCCAGTTACGTGATGGAAAATTTTAGTGTAAAAATATAACCTGCAGT
This sequence comes from Homo sapiens, assembly GCF_000001405.40. Lineage (NCBI taxonomy): Eukaryota > Metazoa > Chordata > Mammalia > Primates > Hominidae > Homo > Homo sapiens. The sequence goes on along the minus strand of NC_000023.11, from coordinate 31,547,042 downwards.
ATAATTTTTTCTGTCAGAATACCAACTAGAACTGGTATGTTTCATTCTAATTGGAAATTTGAGTTATCGCTTTGATTTTTAACAGTGGGAAAGGAAAATGAAGATTGATATCTTTCAATAGCCGTTCATTCATTCTTCATTCCTTCATTCATTCACGTATTAAGAATAGTCTATGTGCTAAGAACAGAAAGAGTGTTAGAGATATGAAGATTAATAAGACCAGATCCCTGCCTGCAGGCATTTCCTATTCTATGTCATAGATAGGGGGCTATTCTGTTTAGAGGTAAAGCATGACCCACATTGCCTCTGACAAGAAGCATAATGTCTGTAGCAGCTAACTGCTGGAGACAGGAGGCTAGAGGGCTGCCCTGGTAATTGGTATTCAAGTCTTCAAGAAAGGAAACCAGCTATTCCAAAATCAGTGGGCAAGAGGAAGTTGTAAAGTTAAGTGAAATGACTAAAATATGAATAACTAAAGGTTGGAATCTGGTAGAAGGAGAGGAGAGCATCGGTCAGCACCTTAGTTTGGGAAGGTGGTGTGGCCATAGTAGGCTTTATTTAGAAAGAAGCAATTCTTAGGTACCAGCTAGGTTTCAGTTCCTTAAGGGGAGAAAACTGGCAAAATATAGGCAGGTTTCCAGGGTGCAAAGCCACGTTCTAGCTTCAGCTCAGGCAAGGCCCTGGGGTATGAATCACCACCAGAGTAGCCCAGCCAAAATGACTAAGGGATCTAAGCTGGTTGCTAATGAAAGAGGTTGCAGCTCAAGGCAGCTCTGCTGACGCCCACTGGATACTGGGATTACATTGATTTAACACATGGAAACCACTTAATATGGTATGTGGCACAACACAATTAAGTACTCATAAATATTTGCAGATAATGCTGCTGCCATTGCTGTTTTTGTCGTTAGAAGACTCGGGAAAATCATCTAATACAGGAATCCATCTGTTGGCGGGGCTTGGGCTTCTAATATTTGACTGGTTGATTTTTGTCGACCCAATCTTAACAATATTATACACAGCCATTACTTCAGGAAAGGCAGTTGTAAAGAATGGTATAAATTTCCTGTAACTTGACTGCCACATTCTAGCTGAGTCACCTCTATATACCTCAGTTTCTTTGTATCCGCAGTGAAGATTAATGACCTCATAGGGTTGTTATTAGAATGAAGTGAATTACTACACTGGACTTATTTAGGACAGTAACTCGCACATAGTGAGTGCTCAAGGAAATCTCAGACCCTGCCTGCTAGTGGAGGGTCCAGCTCCTGATACATTTGGGGGCAGGTTTAAGGAGTTCATTGATTTAGAGCTGTAAGGGCTGATCTTTCACCCTGCATGTCTTCAGCAACTGTGGCTGGTAAAGTCCAGAGCAGTCAAAGGCTGACAAATCCTTGTTAGAAATCACAAATGCCCATTCTCACAACTTCTGTGGTGTTTTCCATCCTTTCCCTAGAATACTTTCTTTTTAAGGCAAAGGAAAGAATAATCACTGCAGATAGCACACAGTATTTTTTTGCAACATATTTTCAAAAATTATGATGAGAAAAGTGTATCATTCCTGTGAAGAAACAGCATAAGGAAAATGATTTGAGAAAGAAACATGGTTCTTAAACTGAAACAAGTGTCAGAAGGAATCCCAGAAGGCAGAAGGAAATATAGTAATCATGATGAAGTCTAGAGCTCACACCGGTTAACAGAATGGCAGCAGCGATATTCATCTCACGCCTCTTCCATGCTGTCCCTGAGTGAGCTTCTGCTGAATTGCCTGGCTGGTGAGGATTGGTTTCAGCAGCAGAAGGAATGGGCTGCCAGCTGAAGGCTCTGGTTCTGATCCTGGGTAGGGTCAGAGAAAGCAAGATGTGACCATCACTTTTGACCTTGGTCTTGAATTTGATTCCATGGAACAACGATATTTTACAAACCCAGTTGAAGGTTTATCCCTTTTTCTATTCAACACAGGGAGAGTCCTTAGAGCCCCAGGAAGACTTAGCCCTTTTTCATTCTAAGAGTAAACCACATCTAGGTTTCCAGAGATGAAAAGACCAGGCTCTGATCTTCCTTCTGGAAGCCCTTGCCTATTCAACAAGCATGAGTATTAAATGCTATTGCCTTGGAATCATAATTCAGTTTTCACAGTTTGGGCTATGTCAGAACCATTCTTGTCAACCCCCTGTTTTCTGAGAACCCGAAACCTGCTTGTTTAGAATTTTAGAATCTACTTGACTCTTACAGGGGAGAAAAGATCTCTTTTCTCACCCATCGCTAGGTTCATGGCTGAGGCACCTATAATGAAGGACAAATCAACAACATAAAAGCATGCGAATTTATTTAATATAAGTTTCACATGACACAGGAGCCTTCAGAAATGACCCAAAGAATCAGGGAAAAGTGTGTATTTTTATGCTCTGATTTGAGGAAAAGTAGATGTCCAGTATGACTGGACAAAGGGGAATGGTAATAAACTGGGGTGACCACAGCAAGGCCTGTTTCTGCAGAACCTCCTGTGTCCCTGTGTTTTCAGAGGTAAAAATTTTCCTTTCCTTCCAGTATAGTAAGGGCACCTCTGGTATGATAGTCTCATGACCTGCTTCAGGGGAGAAGGGGGAAGGGGAAGGTGAGAGTGACCATCCTGCTTCTGCTGTCTTCTCAAATACCAAGCTGCCATATTGTGGATTTTGGAGTAGCGTAACTTGAATCCTTTTTTTTTTTTTTTTTTGAGACGGAGTCTCACCCTGTAACCCAGGCTGGAGTGCAATGGCACAATCTCGGCTCACTACAACCTCCACCTCCCAAGTTCAAGTGATTCTCCTGCCTCAGCCTCCCGAGTAACTGGGATTACAGGCACATGCCACCATGCCTGGCAAATTTTTTGTATCTTTAGTAGAGATGGGGTTTCACCATGTTAGCCGGACTGGTCTTGAACTCCTGACCTCGTGGTCCGCCCACTTCGGCCTCCCAAAGTGCTGAGCCACCGCACCCAGCCGCATAGCTTGAATCTTATCAATACCTTAACCAAATGACTCTGACAGTTTTCCTCTTCTTATCTAAATTCTTGAGGGTCACCCACACTTCCCAATGTCTTTTGAAACTTGACCTCTTTTCTGCTGAATTGAGGAAGATACCTGATTTCTTTAACCTCACCAAATTCCTACTTCTTACTGTTGTTCATTGCTGGCTGAAAATTTACTTTGGCGAGTTCACCAAGAACATACTTATCGGTTCACTGTTTATATTTGCACTCAAGATAACACTTGAGGCCCTGCTACTCAAAGAATTTAGTGACAACTTTCTTCATCACTCTCATATCTTATCTGTCATCAAGTCTTTTTTTCCTCGTAAAAATGCTTTTAGCTCTTTAAGTATGTTTCATATCTATAATAGCTAAGATAGGCTAACAGCTATAATATATTAAACATCCACCAAATGGACTATTAAAATGACTTAAACAAAATAGAAATGTATTTCTTTCTCATGTAAACAGTCTAAGGTGAATTCATGTTAGTTGGTGTTGGATGTGTGTGTGGGAAGGGAGGGGTGACACCCACATAATTATTCAAGAATACAGGCCAGGCCAGGTGCAGTGGCTCACACCTGTAATCCCAGCACTTTGGGAGGCCAAGGTGGGCGGATCACCTGAGGTCAGGAGCTCGAGACCATCCTGGCCAACATGATGAAACCCCATCTCTACTAAAAATACAAAAAATAGCTAGGAGTGGTGGTGGGCACCTGTAATCCCAGCTACTTGGGAGGCTGAAGCAGGAGAATCACTTGAAGCCGGGAGGCGGAGGTTGCAGTGAGACAAGATCATGCCACTGCACTCCAGCCTGGCGACAGAGCAAGACTCTATCTAAAAAAAATAAAATAAAATAAAAATAAAAAATAAAAAATAAATTAAAAAAAAAACAGGCCAGCAAGGGTCTTCCATCTGCAATAGCCAATTGCCGAGGTTGCCCTCCTGAAGATATTCAGCCAGCCCAAAGGGGAATGAGCTAGAGGACTGCACACGGAGGCGTCCCATGTCCTTTGACTCAACCTTCTACTGGCTAGAACTCTGCCCTGTGGCCACATGTAACAGCAGAGGGGCTGGAAAATGAAGTCTAGCTAGATACCTAAAAAGAAGCAGAGAAAGGTTTCAAGAGCATTTAGCAACCATATCCACCTTATTCATGCCCTGCCCTCTATTCGCAGTGGCCCCGCAGCACTGCTCAACTAGCTTGCTGCATTGGCCTCTTATCTCTTATCTATTGCCTTAGATCCATCTAAATGCTCTGCTACTCTTATGCCTGGAATATGTTTTCAAGATGTGACTAATCCTCTCACAGCTTGAAGGATAAAAGGTCAAACTGCTCTGGTGAATGCATGATGCCTGGTCACCTCTGTAGCCCCATCTTCCCTGACACTTTCACAGACAGTATTCCCTTTACTCCAACCTGTGGGAGTATTTTCTAATTCACAATAATAGCAGGAAATACAATGTGGACCAGACACAGTTCTGAGCAGTATATTAACTCATGCATTTCTTACGATAACTTTATAAGGTTGACAGTAGTAGTATCCCTATTTCACAGAGAAGGAAAGAGATACAGATAAGTAATTTACATATGATCTCACAGATAGTAAGTGGTACAGCTTGAGTGCATATGACTCAAAGGGTAGAGGTTCTAGATTCTTAATCACTGTATTGTACTACTTCTCCCAATGTTATCGTACATGCCATTCCGTCTTCCTGGAATACCCTTCGTCTTTCTTCATCTAACTTCCACTCAAACTTTAAGGATCAATTTAAGCATGCCTTATTTTAGGTAGCCATGGTTGACATCAGCCTAATTTAATTGCTACTCATCTATGTCCCCATAGCGTCCTTTGCATTCCTCTATATCTCTCTGCTATAGCAGTAAATGTACCACCATTCCGTAAAATCCTTAAGGGAATGTTTAGTTTTATGTTCCCAATGCCAGCACAATGTCCAGAACAGTGTTGTCCCATAGAAATGAGAGCCACCTATGTAATCTTAAGTATTCTAGTAGCCACGTTCTTTAAAAGTAGAAGTGAAACTAATATTTTATTGACCCTGATATATCCAACATATTATTATTTCAATATGTAATCAATAAAAAGTATTAATAAAATTTGCTTTTTCCATTCTAAGTCTTTGAAATCTGGCATGTGTCTTTCAATTGCATCCCATCTCAATTTGGACACCGTATTTTCATTGAAAATATTTGGTCTCACCTGCACACGTATGTTTATTGCGGCACTATTTACAGTAGCAAAGACTTGGAACCAACCCAAATGTCCATCAATGATAGACCGGATTAAGAAAATGTGGCACATATATATCATGGAATACTATGCAGCCATAAAGAGGATGAGTTCAAGTCCTTTGTAGGGACGTGGATGAAGCTGGAAACCATCATTCTGAGCAAACTATCACAAGGACAGAAAACCAAACACCACATGTTCTTACTCACAGGCGGGAATTGAGCAATGAGAACACTTGGACACAGGGTGGGGAACATCACACACCAGGGCCTGTCGTGGGGTGGGGGGAGGGGGGAGGGATAGCGTTAGGAGATATACCTAATGTAAATGACGAGTTAATGGGTGCAGCACACCAACATGGCACATGTATACATATGTAACAAACCCGCACGTTGTGCACATGTGCCCTAGAACTTAAAGTATAATAAAAAAAAAAGAAAATATTTGGTCTCTATTTACATTTCATAAACTTTATAGTTGAAAAAAGAAGATTCACATTCCTAAGTTGTTCCAAACATACACAAAAGTTTTTCAATAACTGAACCAAGAGTCAATTTTTAAATTTATATTTAAATTTAATAAAATGGAATAAAAATTTGTTAAACTTCAGTCTCTCCGTCTCACTAGCCTGATTTCAATTGCTCGGTAGCTACCTACAGCCAGTGGCTCCTGTGTTAGACAGAGCAGCACAGCCCTAGAACACAGTAGATCCTAAATCGATGTTTATTGAAGAAATTAATCAATGACAGTGTAGAAAATTTGCAGTGATTATGTCAGAATCAATAGTTCTCCACCCATTTTCTCCCACACTCTCAAAAGGGCCAAGTTTTATATCACCAAATGATATTCCTCTTACTTCTTTCTGAGCAGAAACAGTTTTGGAAATTAAGATCTTTTTCAAATTTTCCAGACTCGGCATTTTAGCAGCGTTTCTATTTGTACCAACAATGCCTTTCTACCTATTTTCCTTGCTTCTTAATAAGTTAACTTTGTGCGAAGGTCATTTTGTAGGTCAGTGTAATATTGTGCATTAAGGGCTTCTAAGTTTTCTGGTATTATAAGAACTCCTTGGTTTCCTTCTACTTTTCAGAATGGAAAATCCTCAGAGCAATTTTCATCTAAAAGTGCTGCATTTAGGTTGTTTCACAATTCCCCAACCCTGAGTCAAATATAGGTTGGTGTATGAGCAGCAGTGTCTCTTGGCTAATCAAGAGCGTCTCCTTTTGCTACGCTCAGTGTTAGAGAAATGGAGAAAGTCAGCTGGGTTTAGAGATTAGGTGAGAGACTCAGGCATATCCTTTGATAAGTCATAAATCATTTCCTGTTTAGAAAAGCACATGTTTAGACACCCATAAAATCTCCAAATGAAGGGTGTTTTACTTTTCCTTCAAAATCTCACTGGGAAAAGGTACTTCTGACTTTCCAAGTGAATAAAAATAATGACTCCTGATTACCATGTATGTTTAAACTGATTTGCAAAGCAAGTGAAAAAGAGTCTAGTGAGTAGTGATAAGCATCTTTTAGACATCAGAAGATGTACTGATTTAAAGGTCCGTATCATTTTATAACTAGTATCTATTGAGATTCAAATGGTTATTACTCTGTGTGAATCTGTCTTTTCTAATTGTTTTTACTTATTTTAGAATATCGATTTGTGAATATTAAATTCCTAAGTTTTCCAGCAATCCAGTGTTTGTTTTGGATATCCAGCCTGGATGCAGAATAGCTGCAGAAAGTTATCACAAATTGATCTCTATATTCTGTTTCCGAGTGGCAATTGTCAAAAATTTGGGGTCATCGGCTACCCCTCCCACCCCTAAGAAGTTCCTTGTACTTCCTCTTTCAAAACACTCACATCATTGTTCAGTGCCTCACTTCTCTACTAAAATGTAACCAACCACAAAGATAGGGACTATGTCTTTCCTGTTTACTGGTGGATTCTCAGTATCTAGCACCATGACCAATGTTAATAGACGTTGAATCAATTCCAGTTGTTACCTCTTCACACTGGGACAAAAGTCCTTGCAAGTATTCTGCTGCCATTTGTATAGATTCAAGCCAAATATGTCTCAAAACGATATTACAGATGATCTCTTCGTTGTTCCTCTGACAATTTCTTTCCCCCCTGCATTGCTTAACTTGATTGACAATGACCCCTACTACTTATAACATGTGCCTTTTAGGTAGTGCACTTGGCACTACATTTTATGTGATAGTTTTATGATGCTAAAGACTATTTGCTGTGATGATGCTGTGTTCTCACATGGCATATCCAGATTTATTTATGCTGGTGACCAAAGGCAGGTAGTTAACCTTGAAAATAGGTTAAAATTTGAAAGGCAGCAAATCTTAGGGCTAGAATTTATAATTTATCTTTAAGGAATCTTGAAACCAGGTGTGAAGGAAGGGACGTAGGCTAGAAGTACAGAAACCTGGGTTCTGCTCCAGCACTGATGTTAAGAGCAAGTTGCATTGCTTTTCTGGACCTTAATTTTCTCTTCTGGAAAATGAATAGATTAACTGGAACAAGGAAGGAAAATACGTGAATGGCTTCCGTTTCTGTCTCGTTTACCCCTGAAAGACATGGCTAGTCAGTCAGCTCTGTATCAGAGCACTTCTCAAGGCAATGCTCCAGGTAGCTACCACTCACTAATGAGAGTTAGCACATAGGTAAAACCTCTTTGTCATCTCTAGGCTACTTCATGTTTAAGATACTCTCCAGCTTTAAAATTCTAATAACTCTATTAGACTGAAATTTAAGAATACGAGAATAATCATCCCTCACCATGAAGAGAGAGTCTGAGGAAAAAATAATGAGAACGAATAACCCTTCTCTTTTACTACAATTCAGGACTGCCATGAAGAGCCGTCCAGATTGTGAAACATACAACTCATGATGTGAATGGTACTTCTTTGTTTTTCTCGGTGTACAACTTGCACAGCTGTTCATGGCCCTCTGCTTCCACAAATTCATTTCTAAATAGCTGTACCTCAGTTCTTTGACTTCTAGTATGTCTAATTTAATACACATTTCTAGATTTACGATATATAAGAAATATCTCCATGAAGGAAAAATGTAATAGCCCATGCTTTTCATTATAATAGAATTTTATGAAACAATGTCTTTTAAAAACAGAAACATATGTACTACTACTTCGCAGGACATTAGCCCTTGTATATAAATCAATAATACAAAAAATTCAAATTACCAAGGATTAGAAAAGACTGCTGTGGGATATCTTCTGGTGCAAGCATACAGTTATTTATCCATTTCTTTCATGAATATTTATTGATGTTCCAAACATTAGGCTAGACACTAGAGACACATCAATAAATAAAGGAAATAGGTTTGATCTCTATCTTCTTTGATCTGTAGTTTAGTGGGGGAGGAAGGAAATTAAACAAGTAACTACTACAGGTTGAACATCCCTGATCCAAAAACCTGAAATCCAAATGTTCCAAATTCCAAAACTGTTTGAATGCTGACATGACATCACAAATGGAAAACTCCACTTCTGACCTCATGTGACAAGTCACAGTGAAAATGCAGGCACACCACATAGAGTTTATTCAGCATCCCCAAGGGAAGAAAGATCCTCTCAGCCCCCGTTAGCTGTGATATATCTTTTCCACCCACACCCAGATTCCATCATACAAGCAAACCCACAAAAGGTACGAAAAATGGCACATGTGCGGGCTAGACGCGACAACGGCAGGTACCCTACAATGTCCAGCATGGGGCCAAAACCTACGTGCATTAATCACTGTGTTTGCTGGTATATTCTCTGGTGGTGTCAAGATATTGTTGAAAATGCCCTAAAGGCCTGCATGATATCCATAGGGTAATGCAAATATTCCAAAACCTGAAATTTGAAATACTTTCAGTCGCAAGTATTTTGGATATGAGATATTCAACCTATAGATGGTAAGGGTATTACTATGATAGTGCTACGGGTGTACATCAAGGTAATTGACCCTGGCTTGGCAGGATGCAGAAGGCTTTCCCAAGGAAGCCTTACCTCAGCTGAGACCTGAAGAGAAGCAGGAGTTAGACAGGTCAAGTTGGGGATTTGGAGGAGGTGGAGTCCCAGCAGATGGAATACTATGCATAAAGGCCTGGAAGTGAGAAAGTCATGTCATGTTATTTCAAGGGACTAGAGGAAGCTTAGCAAACTGGAGGCAAGAAGATAGCTTCAGCACACTATTGAAATTGTCCAGGTGAGTAATGATGATAGTGTAACTAAGTTGTGATACCTAGGTATGTGAGCTGAACCTATGGAGAAATGTTCTAGGCTAGAGAATCTTTAATTGGATATTTAATTATCAGTATATACGTAATTAAAACCTTGCAAGGGTTTGAAATGGTTCAGAGTAAAGTTCGTAGATGAGAAGAGGGCCTAGGAGTGAACCCAGGAAAATGGCAAAGTTTCAGGGGTAAATAAAGAAAAATAAGCTTTCAGTGGAGACAGGGAAATTTGCAGTTCAGTAGATAGGAGACAGACTAGGTTCGTGTGATGTCACAGAATCCAAGGGAAGAGAGGTTTTCAAGAAAAAGTAACATTTAGAGGTGTCAAATACTACAAAAGCATCATGAAAGATAAGACCAAAATATATCCTATTAATTTAGCAACAAGGAAGGTATTGACAACCTTTATGCAAGTGATTTCAGTGTTGATTATGGAGAACTCAGTAATTACTTGGTGGTAACTAAAGAACCAAGATTGCAGTACGTTCAGGCATGATTGAGAATTGAGAAAGTGGGGGAGCAAGTGTAAAACAATTATTTTAAGACTTTTGGCTGCGATGGGAAGAGAGAAAGGGCCATAGTAGCAGAAGATGGATGTAGGGGCAGGAAGAACACACTCTTAAAAGGGTAGTGACTTACACATGTTTAAATGGCAATGAGAAGAAGATGGTAGAGAGGGAGAGGTTGAGGATGCAGGAGAAATTAGAGATAATCAATAGCACAGGTACTTGAGAAGGCAGAAAGATGAAATTTAGAAATTAGCTTCAGATAGGAAGGAAAGTACAGCTTCTATTACAACATCAGGGGAGAAGGGAAGGAGGATGGGCATAGCTACTGGTAGTTTTGTAAGTTTGGTGAAAGGTTAAGTAGGATTGTTGTATTGGATTTATTTTTTATTGAAGTGGAAGCTGCAGCTAAATGCCCAGTGATGAGGAAGGTGTTGGAGTCTGAGATTTAAGGTGAGTGGCAATTTGAAATAGCTGCTCTAGGATCCTATTTAACAGAGAAAATGTTGAGTACACAATCAGTGAGCAGTTTTAAGTCCACTCTATTCTGTTTGCAGTTTCAAGTACCTTTCATTGCTTCTAAGTTTATGAAAACTGGTTCACAATCTTCTTGTGCTTCTTATTTCTACCTCTTTTCCTTCTGTTTTCTCACCTCCCCAGTTTAAACAGTCCCGAATTTTTTACAATTAAATATACAGCAACTGCCATGAAATCTACTGATAAAAGATACTGCAAAATCAGTTTGGGATTGGGTTCATTAGCTTACTTATTATTATCAATCCTAGGCCACTAAGCAACCTTGCATAAAATGCATAAAATGAGGAGATTCTAGTGGAGGATAGTTTTCAATTATCTCATTAATTTCAGGCCATGTGACTAGTCCAAATAGATATTATAGGCCAAGAAGAGCCTATCTTGAGATTTTAACTCCCAGGATAGGTTTTCTACCTGATCAAAAGAATCTAATAACTATTCAATCTCTTCTTAAATGGTTTGGTTTTCTGTGCAAACAGTTTTACCCTTTTAGCTGATTTTCTAGGTGTTAAATTAAGAAAATTCTCTCAGATACTTGTTCATCATGTACTAGGATCCCTGATGTGTTCAGAGTTGTCCAACTTTCAAAGGGCTTTGCATTCAGAGTACCTAATCTAAACCCTGATATCATTCTTTTATAACAGAAAACCCCGGATTAGACTGGGACAGTGTCTGTCATGTTCATCACTGCATCTCCCTCAGTATTTGTAGAATGAATGAAGGGACAATGGCAAACTATAGTCCTACCATCACACTTTTGGTAGTGAGGAGAACTGCTGTAACTTGGAAGATTGGAGGGGGAAAAGGTGGCTAAAACAATCATACAGTAAACTGGGCTGCTATCAAGAGAAACCATTTGTCAATTTTGGCTTTTGTTGCCATTGCTTTTGGTGTTTTGGACATGAAGTCCTTGCCCACGCCTATGTCCTGAATGGTAATGCCTAGGTTTTCTTCTAGGGTTTTTATGGTTTTAGGTCTAACGTTTAAATCTTTAATCCATCTTGAATTGATTTTTGTATAAGGTGTAAGGAAGGGATCCAGTTTCAGCTTTCTACATATGGCTAGCCAGTTTTCCCAGCACCATTTATTAAATAGGGAATCCTTTCCCCATTGCTTGTTTTTCTCAGGTTTGTCAAAGATCAGATAGTTGTAGATATGCGGCATTATTTCTGAGGGCTCTGTTCTGTTCCATTGATCTATATCTCTGTTTTGGTACCAGTACCATGCTGTTTTGGTTACTGTAGCCTTGTAGTATAGTTTGAAGTCAGGTAGTGTGATGCCTCCAGCTTTGTTCTTTTGGCTTAGGATTGACTTGGCGATGCGGGCTCTTTTTTGGTTCCATATGAACTTTAAAGTAGTTTTTTCCAATTCTGTGAAGAAAGTCATTGGTAGCTTGATGGGGATGGCATTGAATCTGTAAATTACCTTGGGCAGTATGGCCATTTTCACGATATTGATTCTTCCTACCCATGAGCATGGAATATTCTTCCATTTGTTTGTGTCCTCTTTTATTTCCTTGAGCAGTGGTTTGTAGTTCTCCTTGAAGAGGTCCTTCACATCCCTTGTAAGTTGGATTCCTAGGTATTTTATTCTCTTTGAAGCAATTGTGAATGGGAGTTCACTCATGATTTGGCTCTCTGTTTGTCTGTTGTTGGTGTATAAGAATGCTTGTGATTTTAGTACATTGATTTTGTATCCTGAGACTTTGCTGAAGTTGCTTATCAGCTTAAGGAGATTTTGGGCTGAGACGATGGGGTTTTCTAGATAAACAATCATGTCGTCTGCAAACAGGGACAATTTGACTTCCTCTTTTCCTAATTGAATACCCTTTATTTCCTTCTCCTGCCTGATTGCCCTGGCCAGAACTTCCAACACTATGTTGAATAGGAGTGGTGAGAGAGGGCATCCCTGTCTTGTGCCAGTTTTTAAAGGGAATGCTTCCAGTTTTTGCCCATTCAGTATGATATTGGCTGTGGGTTTGTCATAGATAGCTCTTATTATTTTGAAATACGTCCCATCAATACCTAATTTATTGAGAGTTTTTAGCATGAAGGGTTGTTGAATTTTGTCAAAGGCTTTTTCTGCATCTATTGAGATAATCATGTGGTTTTTGTCTTTGGCTCTGTTTATATGCTGGATTACATTTATTGATTTGCGTATATTGAACCAGCCTTGCATCCCAGGGATGAAGCCCACTTGATCATGGTGGATAAGCTTTTTGATGTGCTGCTGGATTCGGTTTGCCAGTATTTTATTGAGGAGTTTTGCATCAATGTTCATCAAGGATATTGGTCTAAAATTCTCTTTTTTGGTTGTGTCTCTGCCCGGCTTTGGTATCAGAATGATGCTGGCCTCATAAAATGAGTTAGGGAGGATTCCCTCTTTTTCTATTGATTGGAATAGTTTCAGAAGGAATGGTACCAGTTCCTCCTTGTACCTCTGGTAGAATTCGGCTGTGAATCCATCTGGTCCTGGACTCTTTTTGGTTGGTAAAATATTGATTATTGCCACAATTTCAGAGCCTGTTATTGGTCTATTCAGAGATTCAACTTCTTCCTGGTTTAGTCTTGGGAGAGTGTATGTGTCGAGGAATGTATCCATTTCTTCTAGATTTTCTAGTTTATTTGCATAGAGGTGTTTGTAGTATTCTCTGATGGTAGTTTGTATTTCTGTGGGATCGGTGGTGATATCCCCTTTATCATTTTTTATTGTGTCTATTTGATTCTTCTCTCTTTTTTTCTTTATTAGTCTTGCTAGCGGTCTATCAATTTTGTTGATCCTTTCAAAAAACCAGCTCCTGGATTCATTGATTTTTTGAAGGGTTTTTTGTGTCTCTATTTCCTTCAGTTCTGCTCTGATTTTAGTTATTTCTTGCCTTCTGCTAGCTTTTGAATGTGTTTGCTCTTGCTTTTCTAGTTCTTTTAATTGTGATGTTAGGGTGTCAATTTTGGATCTTTCCTGCTTTCTCTTGTAGGCATTTAGTGCTATAAATTTCCCTCTACACACTGCTTTGAATGCGTCCCAGAGATTCTGGTATGTGGTGTCTTTGTTCTCGTTGGTTTCAAAGAACATCTTTATTTCTGCCTTCATTTCGTTATGTACCCAGTAGTCATTCAGGAGCAGGTTGTTCAGTTTCCATGTAGTTGAGCGGCTTTGAGTGAGATTCTTAATCCTGAGTTCTAGTTTGATTGCACTGTGGTCTGAGAGATAGTTTGTTATAATTTCTGTTCTTTTACATTTGCTGAGGAGAGCTTTACTTCCAAGTATGTGGTCAATTTTGGAATAGGTGTGGTGTGGTGCTGAAAAAAATGTATATTCTGTTGATTTGGGGTGGAGAGTTCTGTAGATGTCTATTAGGTCTCCTTGGTGCAGAGCTGAGTTCAATTCCTGGGTATCCTTGTTGACTTTCTGTCTCGTTGATCTGTCTAATGTTGACAGTGGGGTGTTAAAGTCTCCCATTATTAATGTGTGGGAGTCTAAGTCTCTTTGTAGGTCACTCAGGACTTGCTTTATGAATCTGGGTGCTCCTGTATTGGGTGCATAAATATTTAGGATAGTTAGCTCCTCTTGTTGAATTGATCCCTTTACCATTATGTAATGGCCTTCTTTGTCTCTTTTGATCTTTGTTGGTTTAAAGTCTGTTTTATCAGAGACTAGGATTGCAACCCCTGCCTTTTTTTGTTTTCCATTTGCTTGGTAGATCTTCCTCCATCCTTTTATTTTGAGCCTATGTGTGTCTCTGCACGTGAGATGGGTTTCCTGAATACAGCACACTGATGGGTCTTGACTCTTTATCCAACTTGCCAGTCTGTGTCTTTTAATTGCAGAATTTAGTCCATTTATATTTAAAGTTAATATTGTTATGTGTGAATTTGATCCTGTCATTATGATGTTAGCTGGTGATTTTGCTCATTAGTTGATGCAGTTTCTTCCTAGTCTCGATGGTCTTTACATTTTGGCATGATTTTGCAGCGGCTGGTACCGGTTGTTCCTTTCCATGTTTAGCGCTTCCTTCAGGAGCTCTTTTAGGGCAGGCCTGGTGGTGACAAAATCTCTCAGCATTTGCTTGTCTATAAAGTATTTTATTTCTCCTTCACTTATGAAGCTTAGTTTGGCTGGATATGAAATTCTGGGTTGAAAATTCTTTTCTTTAAGAATGTTGAATATTGGCCCCCACTCTCTTCTGGCTTGTAGGGTTTCTGCCGAGAGATCCGCTGTTAGTCTGATGGGCTTTCCTTTGAGGGTAACTCGACCTTTCTCTCTGGCTGCCCTTAACATTTTTTCCTTCATTTCAACTTGGTGAATCTGACAATTATGTGTCTTGGAGTTGCTCTTCTCGAGGAGTATCTTTGTGGCGTTCTCTGTATTTCCTGAATCTGAACGTTGGCCTGCCTTACTAGATTGGGGAAGTTCTCCTGGATAATATCCTGCAGAGTGTTTTCCAACTTGGTTCCATTCTCCACATCACTTTCAGGTACACCAATCAGACGTAGATTTGGTCTTTTCACATAGTCCCATATTTCTTGGAGGCTTTGCTCATTTCTTTTTATTCTTTTTTCTCTAAACTTCCCTTCTCGCTTCATTTCATTCATTTCATCTTCCATTGCTGATACCCTTTCTTCCAGTTGATCGCATCGGCTCCTGAGGCTTCTGCATTCTTCACGTAGTTCTCGAGCCTTGGTTTTCAGCTCCATCAGCTCCTTTAAGCACTTCTCTGTATTCGTTATTCTAGTTATACATTCTTCTAAATTTTTTTCAAAGTTTTTCAAAAGCAATGGCAACAAAAGCCAAAATTGACAAATGGGATCTAATTAAACTCAAGAGCTTCTGCACAGCAAAAGAAACTACCATCAGAGTGAACAGGCAACCTACAACATGGGAGAAAATTTCCGCAACCTACTCATCTGACAAAGGGCTAATATCCAGAATCTACAATGAACTCAAACAAATTTACAAGAAAAAAACAAACAACCCCATCAAAAAGTGGGCGAAGGACATGAACAGACACTTCTCAAAAGAAGACATTTATGCAGCCAAAAAACACATGAAGAAATGCTCATCATCACTGGCCATCAGAGAAATGCAAATCAAAACCACTATGAGATATCATCTCACACCAGTTAGAATGGCAATCATTAAAAAGTCAGGAAACAACAGGTGCTGGAGAGGATGTGGAGAAATAGGAACACTCTTACACTGTTGGTGGGACTGTAAACTAGTTCAACCATTGTGGAAGTCAGTGTGGCGATTCCTCAGGGATCTAGAACTAGAAATACCATTTGACCCAGCCATCCCATTACTGGGTATATACCCAAAGGACTATAAATCATGCTGCTATAAAGACACATGCACACGTATGTTTATTGCGGCACTATTCACAATAGCAAAGACTTGGAACCAACCCAAATGTCCAACAATGATAGACTGGATTAAGAAAATGTGGCACATATCCACCATGGAATACTATGCAGCCATAAAAAATGATGAGTTCATGTCCGTTGTAGGGACATGGATGAAATTGGAAACCATCATTCTCAGTAAACTATCGCAAGAACAAAAAACCAAACACCGCATATTCTCACTCATAGGTGGGAATTGAACAATGAGATCACATGGACACAGGAAGGGGAATATCACACTCTGGGGACTGTGGTGGGGTCGGGGGAGGGGGGAGGGATAGCATTGGGAGATATACCTAATGCTAGATGACACGTTAGTGGGTGCAGCGCACCAGCATGGCACATGTATACATATGTAACTAACCTGCACAATGTGCACATGTACCCTAAAACTTAGAGTATAATAAAAAAAAAAAAAAAATTAAAAAAAAAAAAAAAAAAAAAAGAGAAACCAGTGCTCTATTATCTAGGTATATACCAAGGTTACCCACTGCTTGACTCTCATTATTAGCCTTCTTTGATGTTCTCTGGTACTTGATGTCTTTCATAACTAATCAATGTATTAATGTATCCAATCATTTACTCGATAACTTTATTGAAAGCAAAAGCAGTTGCATACCAGCTATCAAGCTGGAAGTGGGAGATACAGCCGCAGACAAGGCAGATATGGTCCCAGCCCTTAGGAGCTCCCAGAGTAGCAGGAGGTTTCCCCTTCCAGTGTCTTCTCTCTGCTTTTCTTCAAAAGGAAAAGGCTGATGTGTATAATATACCATATCTCTTTGAAGTTCTCTGATTATGGATTTTAGGTTTAAACCAGTTCTTCATCCATGACTTTATAAATTGAAAATCCAGGATTTTGCTGTGTTGTTGTGTTCTTGTTTTGTTTTGATGTCCCTGTTTTCTCTAGATACAGTTAGAAATGTCTAGGAAGAAATTTTTGGTTAGTATGGGAGCCCCACAAAGCCATTTTTTTAAACATAAAATCTGTATTACATATCAGGTATGAAATACAGGGGGAATGAATCATTTCTCCGTAAAGGAAAATTTAAAGTAAATTTCAGGAAAGTGAATTCTTTCCCGTTTGCATTACCGACAGATGCAGAAACTTTAATCGTCATTTGCTAAGAGGGATATGGCAGATAATACACAATAGATGTCGTAGCAACATTCACTCGCATTCTTTTTTTTTTTTTTTAAAGAAATCTTTCTTTCAAGAAGCTATTCTAGGATCTTTCTCATGACAGTGTCCTAGTTCTTATCTTTGCTACACACAGGCTCACAAAGTGTTTTCTTTGAAGGGCATTTTGTTATTGGCCCTCTTTTCATTTTTCTTTTCCGTAGCAAACAGAACCGAAGGTGTTTACTCCCCACGGTGAGAGGGCACCTGGGTGCACAAACAGTGGTGTGAACCACTGGCCTTTCTCTGCTTTCCGTTCCCTGAATGTAAGAAACAGGTGCAGTGATCAATTCACTGCGTGCAGTGAACCCCAGGCAGAAAGAGAACGTCGTGTCACAGACCTTTTGTTACTTGGAGAGAATGAGCGGGAAGAAAGGCTGCCTCTGCTGCTACTGAGACCCTTTTGCCCATTTTATTGACTGCTATAGGTTCATCTATCCTAATTTGTCTCCGGCTGTCCCAGTTTATCCCTGTTATTCTTGTGTTACTTTACTTTACTATATTTTATTTTATTTTATTTTATTTATTTTAGAGACAGAGTCTTGCTCTGTCACCCAGGCTGGAGTGGAGTGGCATGATCATAGCTCACTGCAGCCTCAAACTCCTGAGCTCAAGCAATCCTCCTCCTTCAGCCTACTGAGTAGCCAGGATTATAGCTGTGCACCACTATGCCCACCTAATTTTTTTTTTTTTTGAAATGGAGTCTCGCTCTGTCACCCAAGCTGCAGTGCAGTGGTGCGATCTCGGCTCACTGCAACCTCCACCTCCCGGGTTCAAGCGATTCTCCTGCCTCAGCCTCCTGAGTAGCTGGGATTACAGGTGCCCACCACCATGCCCTGCTAATTTTTGTATTTTTAGTAGAGACAGAGTTTCGCCATGTTGGCCAGGCTGTTCTCAAACTCCTTTAACTGTTTTTTTATTTTTATTTTTAATTTTTAAAACATATTGTAGAGATAAGAGTCATGCTACATTGCCCAGGCTGATCTCAAACTCCTGGCTTCAAGCAATACTCCTACCTCGGCCTCCCAAAGCACCTGGATTACAGGCATGAGCCAGTGTGCCTGACCCTGTGTGATTATTATTAGCATCCTGGACACTCTCAAAAGTGTTCAGGTTTGGACAATGAACTATAGGATCACCCTAATTACATGAGATTAAGAGTAGAGACCTTGACCACCAGAAATGGTCAATACTCACCATATATTTTCTTCCTGATGTTAGAACCTGGTACTTTTGGGAAATGAAATTGTACATGAGATATATGCAGAATGGGCGAAGGGAGCGAAAAGATTTAAAAAATTAAGCTCGATTTATTGAGCGCCTCGAGTGCGCTCAGTGCTGTTCCAAGTGCTGACAGCAGAGAGGTAAGTTCTGTTCTCCAGTGTTCACCTCACACGTGCAAGCCAGGTTTGAAAACACACTGTCTTTCCTTAGTATCCCTCCACCCCTCCATGTGACTATACGTATGTATCAAGTTTGTGATATTTCACTTCTGGGCTTCTTTTCATTTGGAAATTTAATGTCAGTGTATCATGTTTTAATTAATAGGACATCATGTTATGAAACTGTTGAATCGAATATTTTCCCTAGGCATCAAATTACTTGTCAGTGGAAATTTGACATCTAGATATGAGGGACAAAAGAGATGAGAAAAATAATAGTAAAGTGTTCCTAAAGGATGCTGGTATACTGTTTAGGTATTTTAATGCACTGTTACAACCTAAAGTGTCTTGTAAAGTATGTTCTTTAGAAATAAAATAAATAAAACAAGACATCTCTCCATAGGTACAAATCCACTTGCCTTCCTCAATTCCTATCCTTCTGTGATGGGAAATCTCTGCTGTGACAAAGAACCATGTTAAGAAAACCATAAAGTTGTATTGTTTGTAGATTTTTTTAATGACTAAAGGAAGATATTGCAAGTAGTAGAAACAAATAGAGGAGGTGGCCCTGAAGGTCAATATAACGGAGTTCACTGCAGAAAAGAGAAACTACTCTAGGTACGTTAGACACATATCAAAGTTTTGGAAAGGCTAAAGTAGCAGGTTTTAGACTTGGCTTCGAGGACAGATTTCTAAAACTATATAGAACTGATCCAATAAGAAACTACCATCTCCGGGGTACCACTGAAGCAATGATTTCAAGAACATACTTTGTAAATAGGAACTAGGAACCAGGAGGTTGAAATCTAGACGCTACCACTTTTGAAGCTGCTGTTAGCAACTGCCCTTCTCCAGCCAGGAAGCTGGAGAAAGAACTTTGGAACTCTGATGTAGGAAATCTCATGTTTCTTTGACTAAGCTCGCCAACAGAAATAGCCAAAAGGGGCAGAAAGGTGACCTATGCCTCACTTCCACTTTCCAGATCTCTCACAAGTATACACATTTGGCAAAACGTTGCCAGATTTAGCAAATAAAAATAATGCATGCAACATACTTAACACTAAATAAAAAAAGATTGTGTAGAAAATTTAAATTTAACTGGGTGCCTTGTATTTTATCTGACAACCCTAACTTATTATATCCTAATTCATAATCAGAACACTAGCTGCATGGAAGTCTGGCAAATACAGTTTTTAATTTCCAACCTGTCCAACTGGAAGGATGGTAAGTAGATTTAGGTGAGCCAGTTCACAGTATTAACCAAAGTAGATTGCCTACCAAGAATAGCTAAAGCCTTTCTGCCCCCAGACGCTTATGCTACCATCTGAATATTTTTACTTTGCATTCTTATATTCTTGGAAATCCTATCAATCTGTGATTCAGATTGGTTTGGTTTAACTCAGCTTCCCCTTTTTTTTGGAGACAGGGTCATACCCTGTCACCCAGGCTGGAGTGCAGTGGCACAATCATGGCTCACTGCAACTTCGACATCCCTGGGCTCAGGTGATCCTCCCTCCCACCTCAGCCTCCCAAGTGGCTGGGACTACAGGCACGTGCCACCACACCCCGCTACTTTTTGTATTTTCTGTAGAAACAGAGTTTCGCCACATTGCCTAAGCTGGTCTCAGATTCCTGGGCTGAAGTGATCCACCCACCTTGGCCTGACAACGTGCTGGAATTACAGATGTGAGCCACCATGCCCAGCCCCTCTTTTTAAAATATAAAAATCTCCCAGAATGTGAAAGTTGTCAGTCTATACTTTGGGAATAAGATTTTCAACAGATAGAAGAGAATGAGGATTAAAACATAAGGAAGTTTGGGAGTAGAAAATATGGGCACCAGAAGGTGGAAGGAGAGAGCAGATGCCCATTTATATATCTCCTTTGTTGGGTGTTGGACAAATCCAGGTCTTAAAATAGGAAGTATTTCTTTTCCGTACTTCTTGAATCTTTCATATCCCAAAAGATGCATATTTCCCAAATCATATAACCCAAAGTCATGCTATCAAAATGATATAAATCATCCATGGTATAGGTTAAATAGCTATATATGTATATGCTGGTCTGAGACATGTATATGACTATTGTGTCCATGGAAATTTGAGTTTGGGGTTCTGGACCATTTATTTGCAAGTGATTTTTGGTTAGAGAACTCTTTGTAAGTTGGGGATTGCTTTTACTTATTTTATGAGTAAAGATGTCAAAAGGATGACTGCTAAATTTGCACTGTGTTAATTCACTATTTAGTGAGAAGAAATATTAGACTAGCTATGAAAAGTAAAACTGCCTCTCCAAAAAGTCAAAGCTGATGAAAAACAGTCATACAAGCACAATGCCGCTCTTCGGAAACATGGAAACACTTTTTCCTTCCCAATTTTCCCTCAGATTTTCTCTTCCGCATTTAAAACACTTGGGTGGTTCAAGTTTCTAGGCTACCACTGATTGTAACAGCAAACAGTAGCAACTGGAAGCAGTGGGATGTTGGGAGAAGTAATAGAGGTAGCTGCTACCCAAGTTATCCTGGAGGATTTTCCATGGCAATGAAATCAGGTAGTAGAAGCTTGGCTAACTGAGTGTAAGCAAACAGTTCTACTGAGAATGGTGTTGTCTTTTCAATCCGTTTATCTGTGATGGTGATAGTGTGAAACAGGGGAATTTTATCCAAGGTTTAAGGAAGGTTATTTGGTTAAAAGAGGATATTGTTACAGTGAAGTCAAACTTTCCATTAACTTTTTGCTGTAACAACAGATTGAACGTAGCATTTCACCGTCAACGAGTAAAGTGAAATTTACAGATTAACTTATGTGCCTCTTTTAAAATATATCAGATTTCTAAATTGCTTTTATTTCAGAGGTATGGGAGGTTCACTTTCTCTTTGAAAGTGTACATTATTTTTCTAGTGTCTTACATCTGCCTACAAAGATGTTATTTTACTTGAAAGCACAGTAACTATTTGATGAGAATTTGTCAGCATCAGTAAATTAAAGACCCTCAAATGATTTCTACTAATTATAGTTTAATTCCGTACATTTAATGATATTTTAAAACACATGAGTTATTTCATAACTCCCAACATCACAAGGATAAATTTTATTCTACAAACAAAATATTGTGCTAAATGAAATAGTTCATTTAGGCAAAGAAAGGAGCACAGAAAATTAGTGGAACTCTCTGCTGTAAGTAACGTAGACATTACATGGCATATTGAGTCTCCATGAATATTGTCATGTTATGTTTTAAAAAGGTGATCGAACATATGGCATTTAAAAGTTCCAAGTCCTCTTTTAAATGCTTCAGAATCTATTATTTAATGATCATCTTGGATCTCAAAACTGATCTTTTGAAAGATTTTATTCGCCCCATGTGTTAATATGATTTCCCTGTCATATGATATGATTATCTATCAATACTTAAAACCAGCAGCCAAGTAAAAAATCAGTTCATATCATTTAATGAATACTATGAGTCAGGATCTGGGTAGGCAAGCTATTTTCGGGTTTGAGTAGTTCCAAAGCTTAAAAATCTTATATTGATTTTACAGTGAAGAAGAAATAGTCTTAGCTACTTTGGAGGTTTCAAACATTGACTACTCAAGGAGTATTTCCTTGCTTTCTCAGGCACCAGGCAGTTTTTCAGGAGCAAGCATTCATCCATTCAGGGAATTGTAACCTGTAGTTTCCACTTTTCTAGCAATCACACTTAAAACCATGAGAGTAGGCCATAGGACATAAGGAGCTCAGCTTCTCAGGGCAAGCACATCCTTTCAGCTTTCACCTGTCCGTTTGTTAGTGTTCACTTCCGTGCTCAAGGAGTTTCTTGTTGCCTCTGAGTTCTAAGAGACAGAACGAAGGGAGAAGGGTGCAGAAGTCTAACGCATGTTCATGGACTTATCTCTCCAATAAAGAGCTTGTTTTATCTTCTTTTATTTATTTATTTTTTCTAATGAAGCCATTAGCCTCAAACAAAGCCATGGAATCTTATCAGAGTGAAACCGGGGTCATTCCATAGGCTGGCTGAGTGAGAGCTCCATGGCACGATGATGTATGGTCACTGCACAACAACGCCTTTGCCACAACACATGTGCCTTTTAATTACACTTTAAATCTCATTTGAAGAGATGTTATCATTATGGAAATTGCTCTGTAAATGTGCCCAGGATGAGACCCAATAAAAGTTTGCTGAGAAGAATTGAAGACAGAGGAGATGAATCAGCAGCTAAAACATTACCATCAGACAGAATTTTCTTGGCTGTAGGCAAAACAGCCCATGCAATAACAGAAAATCTTCATTGACTCAGAGGCGTATTTTCCCTAGATTATTATGGGGCACTCCTGCCTGTAGCACTATCACTTCTTTGATAAGCTGAAGGAAGCGTTCTGCTCTCCAGCTCAGCGGGCCTTTTTCTCCCCAACCTCAGAGCCATCATTTGAATTTATAGTTGCCAAAATGAATAATACAGTATTGCCCTTGTGTTCCTGACTTCATGCATGCATGCAGAGCGGGGTTAAGGTTCTTTAAATGAAAGATTGCCTTCTATTCATGCAATAAAGAACACCTCTGCTTCCTTTCCAGGGTCATTTAAAAATAACTATACCGCTGGGCTATGGAAAGCACATAAGAAAGATTCTTAGGGTAAAGTCAAAATGCTCTTTTCTCTACAACAGGCATTGTCTCATATCTTTGTGTAGCACAGCTGATTTGAAGTTTTCTTTTAAGCACATTCTTAATTATCTTTTCCTTTGATCTTGAACTGTTTCCCTGGGCTACCAGACAGAGAGCCTAGAGCCCTACCTCCGCTTTCCCCGAGGTGCAAACTGCTCCGTCCTTCCACAGGCAGGCCCCTGGCTGAATGCACCCTTTTCTCCATGGTTACCCACCCACCTCTCTGTTATTTGTTACTTCCCAAGTGAATGGCAGGTTAAAATGGGAAAAGGTCAGGTTATCTGAATGTGGTTAGAGTGAAATGAATTTCCTCATTGCACCCAAGAACTGTCCTTTGACAGGTCTCCTTCCCCAAATCGGGTCATTTTGTACGTAGGCTCACTGGGAGTAATTCTAAGACAACTAAATAAGTAAAATCACATTTTGGTGCCATTTTCCAATGTATTCTTCTTCTTGGGGGTTCTCCTTTAAAATGGTACTGGAAGGATACGTTGTCTTCATTAATCCATTGTATGTCCCGGGGGTGGAGGTGGAGGTGGCAGTAGCAGAAGCCCGTGAAGTAATAGGTCGTATTTTGTGTTTATAAATATTTCTGCAGGTTTTTGAGGAGAAGATCCATCATTCTTATAAAGGCATTCATGACCTCCAGAAGATTAAGGGCTGTTATGCTAGAACAGTGTTTCATTCTTAAAATGGGGTCTCTGGACTAGCAGTATCGGCATCACTTGGGAACTTCTAAGAAATGCAAATTCTTGAGTTCTACCCCAGACATACAGAATCATGATCTCTCAGAGTGGAGCCCAGCAGCCTGTGTTTTAATGAGCCCTCTGGGTGATTCTCAAGCCCACTCAAGTTTGAGAACCACTGTACTAAGGGAACTACTGATGCATGATGCAAGTTCACGCTCACAGGCACGTGTGAATGACACAAAGAACACAGACGCCTGAGAGAGCAAGAAAGACAACATAGACTGTCTGACTCCCTGCTGGGCCCTTCTTTACCGCCCCTATTTCAGGCTACCATGCCCATGAGTGGATGACACGTACCCCCCGACAAAGGTCAACACCACTCTCCCTTCCACACCCTATCACTAAGTGACAGGCTAAGCCTATGTTAAACTGCTCACATCTCCTTGGAAATTCAACACTTTAATAATAGGTAGCATTATCACCCCCATCTTCTTCTCTAAGCCAGAAACCCAACTTGCCTCCCTATATGTTATCCTTGCATTCAGTCAGTCTCTAAGTTGTATTCATGATCTCTCAAAAATATCTCCCTTTTTCTCATCCTGTGTCTATTACCTCAGTTTAGATCTCCATATTCTCTTGCCTCTAATGTTCTTGCCTCTAATGTACCTTTTCACTGCCACCAAGATGATGTTACCAAAAAATCTTAAACAGATTAGACATCTTCACAGGATAAAGTCCAAACCCTTAGCTTGATACACAAGCCCCTTCACAATCCAGGCCCTCCTTCCTGTGCAGCTATATATATATATATATATATATAGAGAGAGAGAGAGAGAGAGAGAGAGAGAGAGAGAGAGAAATTTTGATCTTACCACTCTGTCTCTCTTCCCGCCATGGGTCTTCCCCTCTTCCCTCCGGAGTTACTTAGCTCTGATGTGTATTCTTATCTCGTCTTATCTTCAACTTCATTCATGTTTTTCCCACTGCTTCAAATTTCACTCTCCCACTTCTCCCCTGGCCAGCTGCTACTCATCCCTCAAGACCCTGATCAAATATCATCACTTGTATGATGGCATCTGCAAATCTTGGGGGGCAAGGCTAATTGTTCTTTGTTCCCACAGGGCTGTGTTCCAGTTTAACATGATCACATGTTATTTTGGTTCATTTATTTGCTTAAGACTTTTTCAGAAGGCTATGGGCTCTTTAAAATAGAGAACTTACATCTTGTAGTTTTAAGAGTATTTTTAGTAAAAGTTTAGAGTGACCCCCATCTTTCTGCCAGCCCACAAAAGGAAAACATCAAAAAGTGAATGTGTAAAAGGAAGAGAACTCTGACAAAACCAGGCAGAAAGGTTTTTCAGCAAGTCTTTTTATTTTCTGTTCAGGATAACATTAATAATTATCCACGTTGGTTTCTCATTCTCCTGTTGGTGAATATTTTTCTGCTAAATTTAAAACCGTATCACAAACTCAAGCAGAGATTTACAACATTTCAACAGCTTTTCTACCCCTGCCTTAGAAGGGTGGATCAAAAACATTTGTCCATGGTAAAGCACTATGGACATGACTTAGTTAACAATTCTCTGTTTGGGTCACCATGAGGCTTCTTCGTTTATACTCAGGGTCAGCGACAATGCTGATATGCAGCTACAATTTCTCATTTCTTACTCAGGGTGTTATGAAGCAGATTTCCACTGTTCTTTAATCGTTATTAAAATGTAGTCCAGGTGCAGTGGCTCACGCCTATAATCCCAGCACTTTGGGAAGCTGAGGCAGGTGGGTCACATAAGGTTAGGAGTTCGACACCAGCCTGGCCAACATGGTGAAACCCTGTCTCTACTAAAAATAAAAAAACTGGCCGGGCATGGTGGCAGGTGCCTGTAATCCCAGCTACTCAGGAGGCTGAGGCAGGAGAATCGCTTGAACCCAGGAGGGGGACAGAGGTTGCAGTGAGCCGAGATCACACCATTGCACTCCAGCCTGGGCGACAAGAGCAAAACTCTGTCTCAAAAAAAAAAAAAAGTCATTCTCATGTAAAAATTCTTGTAAAATAATCTGTAAAGTCATCCTCTTATCTGTTCTAGTTCTTCATAAGACTTATATAACATGTCATATGGGCATGGAAAGGCCTAAGCCTTCCCAAACCTTGCTCTTTTGGGGATGATTTTCCAAATGTACTTGTTCTCAGTTGAAAAGAGCATTGCGGCCGGGCGCGGTGGCTCAACGCCTGTAATCCCAGCACTTTGGGAGGCTGAGGTGGGCAGATCACGAGGTCAGGAGATCGAGACCATCCTGGCTAACATGGTGACACCCCGTATCTACTTAAAATACAAAAAATTAGCCGGGCGTGGTGGCGGGCGCCTGTAGTCCCAGCTACTTGGGAGGCTGAGGCAGGAGAATGGCGTGAACCCGGGAGGTGGAGCTTGCAGTGAGCCGAGATCGCGCCACTGCACTCCAGCCTGGGCAACAGAGCAAGACTCCGTCTCAAAAAAAAAGAAGAAGAAAAGAACATTGCATCATGGCACAAGGACACAAAAAATACCCTGGACCTGCTTCAGTGAGATGGTCTAAGGGTCTCTAGCATCTTCTGAACTGAACTGAATGCTTTGGGAAGAATTAATAGATACACGATGTATATTAGTTCGTTTCACACTGCTATAAAGAACTTCCCTGAGACTGGGGTAATTTATTTAAAGAAAAAGAGGTTTAGTTGACTCACAGTTCTGTGTGGCTGGGGAGGCCTCAGGAAACTTATAATCATGGTGGAAAGCAAAGGGGAAGGAAGCACCTTCACAAGGCAGCAGGAGAGAGAGAGAAAGAGTGAATGGGAAGAGCCCCTTATAAAACCATCAAATCTCATGAGAACTCACTCACTATCACATGGGAAAACAGCATGGGGGAAGCCACCCCCATGATCCAATCACCTCCCACCAGGTTCCCCCGGATTACAGTTCTAGATGAGATTTGGGTGAGGACACAAAGCCAAACCATATCACAATGGAAAGCTCATGAATGGGTTCTAAGAATGAGGAAATGTACCTTAGCATTTTGCCTACTTTTCCTTTATGACATTTTTTTCCCGGCAAATATGCCAAATATTACCTACCTTTACATCAGTGTCCACATGCATATCCCCTGTCTTCCTCCTTTTCCTCATACATTAACAAAAGAGTAACTTTGTTTTCTCCCCATCACTGTTCACCCTATTGTATAAGAGAAGAAAAGCAAAATAGGATGAAAGAACTATCTAGGCACACACACAAAAGTCACACTCTCCAGAAGAAAGAATTTGCTCTACTTGGTAGTAGACAGAAATTAACTCACTGAAGATCACCAGAGAATCAGATCCAATTATATCAGCAGGACTTTAGTTTACATCATGGTACTAGAACCTTCTTTAACATTCAAAACTTATGAATACCTAGAAATAGTTTTAAGGTTAATATCTCTATGCTGTGGGCTAAAGAGTACCCACAAATGAATACAGTTGTGTCTGATGAGTGTCTGTGATTATTTTGGAAATTGTCCTGCTATTTAAAATGAAAAAAATAGAAATGTCTTAGATTTTCCTATCATTAACCTATTGTAAACAATTACATCAGTGTAGGGTTGTTTTGTGGTTGCGTGGGAGTATTTTGAGGTTTTTAGGGGGTAAAGTGGGGGATAGAATGAAGTTGTTGTTTGCATTTACAACCCTAATAATTAAAACAAGCCAGAGGGAATTACCTACATGGCTGTTGTGATTTCTAGTGTATGATCAAAAATAATTATGGCACTTTGCCATATGTTCTTGCTTTCTTCTTAGATATGTGTTATTGGGAAAAGATGAGACTTGACATCAACTAATTGCTTTTTTCTAATATACAACCTTGAACCACAGTGATTCTCTGGAGGACAAAAAATAGCTTAGTGACAAAGAGATTCCAGAAATAAGAGCTTTTCGAGCTTTTAACTCTCTATGTAATATAGACAAATTGCACAGATTAATATAACCAAATATGTATTGGTCCATGGGAAGAGAGTTACCTATTTGAAGAATAGGAGTGTATTGTGTTCATTTAGAACCATTCAGAAACATCAATGATATTAGTTCTGAGTTGACTAAGGATAAATTTTTAAAAGCAATACCTAATTGGAAAATTATTCAGTTGTTGACCATTCCTATCAGTGCTCTGAAACTAAATATCTCACAGATGCCTTAATGAGTTATTATAATTATGTTGCTGTGATACATGTAGCCCAAGTCAGAAGTCACTTGCTTTGTATTTAATGGATGGGGAAGACACTGGAGCTTGGAGGGAAGAGAATAAAAATAACCTAGTTTCAGGAAGATCTATGCTCTAACCCTGCTTCTGCCACATAACAACAACTCTATGATTTGTATAAGTTACTTTACCTCTCAAACTCGTGGTTTCCTCGATAGGGGATAAAGAAGGCCTATTTCATAGAGTTGGTGTAAAGGATTTATAAGGGCTGTAAGTATTAGTTCCTGCCCTGTTTCATCCCCCTACCCTACCCCCACCCCTCATCATGGCTCTGCAAAAACAAATATGTCTCAGAGTTGGAAAGACCCATCTGGTCTTTCTCAGATAAGGGTAGTTTTCTTCAAACAGACTGATTCCTGCACATAAAATATAATATAAAAAACCAAAAGTACCTTCAACATTGTAGACTTTTCATATGTGGTTGTCTCTGTGACTTAAATGTACAATCTAGGGTTTGCATGTTAAGGTCTTTCAAGATTACTGTTGGCACTGATCTGAAAGATGTCTCATGCAGGAAATGCTCACCCAATTATGAGCACTGAGGCTGTATAGCAATATCAGAAATAATATTGCAGCACAGTATTTTCTATGGATTTTAGATGCAGTATTAAAAAAAGAAAACTCAGCCTGTCTTTAAGACTCGTTTTCTCTTTCAACACCAGAATTAAAAGGCATGCCATTCTTTTTTAAAGTTTATGTGCAGAGCCAAATGAATATCAACATTAGTTCTCCACTGGGTCCACGGCTTCTTTTTAAAAATATCTGAAGCAGTGTTACTCTACCCACTTTTTCTCAGGAAATTGTGTCCTTTAGAACTGGCACCCATATAGTTTAGGAATGCTTGATAGGGTATATTTTAGGTGGGAGTCACCTGTGCCTATATGGAGCTTTGATGTCAATGCCCTTGTCATTTGGTGTCAATGGTTTTGTCATTCTAATTTATTTGGCCCCAAGGTGTGTGTGTGTGTGTGTGTGTGTGTGTGTGTGTGTGTGTGTGTGTTTGAAACACAGCATATGTATTTTTTTCTTACTCCTTGAGAAATAGAACTTTAAATAACATTTCTATCTTTAAAATGTACTTGTGAATAGTTATCACTTTCCTGAATTCTACCTTCCAAAGGTAGGACAAGAGAAGGATGGAATTAAATCACACATGCAGCTATTTTTATAACTTATGAGCACTCAATGATGGTAGCATCCCTCTTCTTTACCTTCTCTCTGATTCTGAAGCCACTGCTGTTTTGGTTCCTGTATGGCTGGGACTGCCTGTCCACTAGACTTCCTGCCTTCACTCTGACCCTGCTACATTTACCCTGAACACCATCCTCCCAATAATCATTACCAGATGCTATTTTCACAATGTTACACCTTTACACAAGAAGCTACAGTGGAATATTATCCTTACAGAATCAGATAAAAATCTCCAGGCGGCATTCTAAGCTCTCATTGGCTACACTGTACCCTTTGAACCTGAACTTCCTGAGAACTACCTCTTAGCTCCTGCCTGTAGCTCTGGCTCCCATCTTCATGCAGTAGGTATTCGTTTTCTTTTGAACGGCCTCATATCTTCTCTGCTAGCAGGATTGGAGTCATGGCAGAAAGTGAGAGGGGGACTAGAAGGATGCAACATTAATGAAACCTCACAATAGGTTAGGCATTGGGTTAGGTACTTGGTTGATCTACTCACATCATCTCATCTAATCTTTGCCAAAACCTTAAAAGGTAGGTATTATCGGCCCTACTTATAGACATACAATAGGTACTTAATGCACATTTTTGTGATGAATAAATATTCGGGAATTTTTGCATTGTGACTGGATGAGAAGAAACTAGGAAAAACAAGACGTAGATGAGAAAGATACCTCTCATCTTACTTCCAACCTAGGAGATCTTAAATGAACTCATCAGTTTTAAAAGGTAATCTTAAGAATGGAGTCAGAGGGTCACACAAGGAGAGAAAGCATCACGTATTACCAGAGTTCGGGATTGCTTAAGGCGGTTTGACAGTTTCCTCCGGGGGTAATCCACCCTAGGCCAGGCATTTTTAAAGATTAGATTTTGAAATGAAGCTTTGCACTTGGGAATATACTGAGGCAAGAAAGCATATCCCTTCTCCCTGCTGAGAGAGCATATCCCTTCTCTCTGCTGTTGCAGTGCTTAAGTGTGAGAATTTTCGAATGAGATATGAAAGCAAAGACAACAAACCCTGCAGGATAATAGTCTCTGAGGACTTTAATAACAGCCGTTTTTAAAGCAAAGCCTGTGGACTCCTAAATCCATAGCTGCTCGTTTAAGATGCAACGCAATGCAGTGGACCTGAAAACATACTCCTTATCTACCTAGAGCAACCAGGCTCCAAGCCAAACAGCAGTCCTCAAATTAACTCTTGTTTCTCTTGGGACGACAACTCTGCTGCTTTTAAAGGTGTTGCGTGGCCACATATAGAATAAGAAGGGAAAAAACAGTCACACCCTCTTGTGAGTCTGTATCCAACTGCATTTTCTGATCTGGTTAGGAACCTCCGGTGGTTAGATTAGAATCCTGATAAGGCCAAGACTGTGGGTCCAATTTCTTCCTATGGATTCTTCTCGAAAAACTTGTTAGGAAAGATCCACTTCGGGTTTTTTTTTTTTTTTTTTTGCGCTTGTTTTAATTCCCAATCCATAATAGACTGATACTTTTGTAACATGCAATAAAAATGAATTATTTTAAAAATTACAAATACCAGACATACAAAATTTAAGCCGATGCTTTTTATTTTTAGATTGCTGTACACGTTTCTAAAGATTTGCTTTCAATTTCTGTTCTTATGTCTTCATAATAGAATATCTGTTTCTGTGTGTGTATACGTATGAGTGTATGCAAGTGTGCTCCAAAAGCTCTACTATTTAGAGCTCATGTTTAATGAGTCATGTTGGATAACCAGTCTAAGGGAGTTCTACTTTCATATAATTGTTTTTGTTTTATTTTTATTTAAATCATTAACACCTTTTCAAAACAACTGTATCAAATAACAGTCATTTGGTCATTTGAAGCATTTACATACACTGCTTTCTTCTTAAACAGATTTTACTGAATGTAAATCTGCTTTCCCTGGCTAATTCAGCATCATCATCCTGAGCATTAACTATTTTGCTTCGCTATAAAACGAGGTGATGCCTTCAAGGGCTACTGATGCATGGAGAGCTGTTAGTTTCCACACTGTGTGACCCTGGTCAATTATGCATGCCCATGGCTCCTTTTACACCTTTCTGATTCTCTGTAAGGTGTCACTTCTTCCTACTCTCAATTTAGCCACTTAGGATAATTTCTTTACTATTTTGAATTGTATGTTCCTGACCTTCTAAGTTCTTAGAAATCAGACCACTTTTTTTCCCATCAAGCTAATTTAAATTAGATAAAAATTATCAGTAAGGAGGAACTAATGGCCTTATAATTATTCATATACTAACTGCTTTCAGAAAAGCTTAGAGATAATCTGTCTATAATAAAATTCTTAAGGAGATTTGGTCACTTATTGTTATTCTTTCTACACCATTGTGTTTGTTTCCTTACTTCTCAGCTATATTAAAATGGGGAAGTTTTCATTTGCTGAGTCCTATTTTAGAGACCAATAATTCCATTTACATAGGAAAGGAAATATGTGGATACGATTATTCATGATGTTCTAGAATAGTATCACAACCATCTGCTTAATGGTTAATAAAATGGTTAATAATAAAAAGAAGGGTACAGCACTAATTCTTGACATCTCCCTTCTTTATTTTTCTTCTAGTAAAACATCCATAACTTTTCCTATTCTTCCCCAGTTGTATTATTACTTATGAACACCATGGATCATTCTACTTTTTGAATGAAATAGTACAAATTTAATATTCGATAATCTTGTCTTTGTACTTTTCTTTCTAAACTTTTATTCTCGGTGGCTTCCTAAAGGAAGACTTTATTCTACTTGGTTTAAGCAGTTGGTCTGCATTCTACCTATTTCTCTCAACTCTCATTGTCCATTCCAATCAGGTTGTGCAATTCATTGTCCCTGCTCATAAACCAAATTCATTTCACCTTTACTCCATTCCCATGCTATTCTTTTTACCTGGAATATTTTCTTTTGTTCCAATTTCCCAATCGTATACATCCCTCAAGGCTCAAGCCAAGTCCTGTAACTTCATGAAATCTATTTCTAACATCTGATTTCCACATGGATTATCTTGTAATAGTAAGCCCTGCATTTGCTATTATTTATTAAAGATCTCTTGTGTTCTAGACGCTATTCAAAGTATTTTACAAAAATTCCATGTAATATTCAAAAAATTCAGCAGGTATGTATTATTATTTCATGTTTAGTGAAACCAAAGTAATGAAAGAGTTTTCATCATTATGTGGCTAATAAGGGAAAGAGAAGAGAAGGGTCAAACCTATGTCTATTTAACTGCACTTTGCCATGAGTTTTCTCTGGAAGCTGAGAAAGGAGATTCACAACAAGAGTAGATGAGACTCAGATAAGAAGGAAGTGTGGAATTTGAAAAAGCCCTTCAGAAAACAGGATCTCCCCTACTCCTAAAACTGCTATACTGTGAACATATTGCTTGTCTCATAACTGAACTTTTTTGGTACTCTCAGCTGAAATTTGCTCTATAATTGTACAGAACTTTAGGCCAAATGTTTCTTTTATGGGGACACACATTATTTGTTTCGTTTGCACCCATTTTCTCAATTACTTTGTGTTTTCTCTTGTTGTATTGGATGCATCTCTATCCACTGCTACAAATCTGTTTAATAGTCTTTATATTAATAAGACCATGAAATTGCTCTTTGTGTGCTGACATAGTTATCCTTTATTTTCTAATGGCAGTGCTAGATTTGCTAAAATTTAGGTAGTAGCATTATTAATAGGAAAAACTACCACCAACAACTAAACTTGAAAGGTAATATAGCCTAGTGGCTAAGAGCACAATCCCTGAAGTCTGACTGACGAGGTTCTAAATCTTGCTGCATTTATTAGCTGTGTGAACCTGGGCATTTTTAGTTAACCTTACAGTAGTTTCATTATCTTATATGGAAAATGAAGATAATAGTAGCCCCTACCCTAGAGGGTTGTTGAGAGGAGAAAATGAGCTCATGTATATACAGTGCTTTGGACAGCACCTGATGTACAGTAAGGTTCATGTATGTTGTTGTTCTTGCTGCTGCTGCTGCTGCTATGGTTTTTGTTATGTAACAACTACCTTTTCCCCTTTGTTCATTCGTTATTGCTTTTCCTAAAGACTACAATCACAAAAAAGAAGAAAAAAATTAGAGAGCATACAGTGAATGCAGTAATGAAGGCTTGAATGATCTTTTCTAGTTAAGTCAGAAGTGAAATAAAACTATCCAAAAATTTCTATGAAAATTATCCTTTGTCCAGATTGGCTACCCACTGAGAACTCCACTTGATTCTCCATATCAATCTTTTGCTCTTTTGTGCTACCTGAGTCTGAGGTGTAGTCTTTAAATGATGAGTTTATTGGCACAAGACAGGGATGCCCTCTCTCACCACTCCTATTCAACATAGTGTTGGAAGTTCTGGCCAGGGCAATCAGGCAGGAGAAGGAAATAAAGGGTATTCAATTAGGAAAAGAGGAAGTCAAATTGTCCCTGTTTGCAGACGACATGATTGTATATCTAGAAAACCCCATCGTCTCAGCCCAAAATCTCCTTAAGCTGATAAGCAACTTCAGCAAAGTCTCAGGATACAAAATCAATGTACAAAAATCACAAGCATTCTTATACACCAACAACAGACAAACAGAGAGCCAAATCATGAGTGAACTCCCATTCACAATTGCTTCAAAGAGAATAAAATACCTAGGAATGCAACTTACAAGGGATGTGAAGGACCTCTTCAAGGAGAACTACAAACCACTGCTCAAGGAAATAAAAGAGGACACAAACAAATGGAAGAACATTCCATGCTCATGGGTAGGAAGAATCAATATTGTGAAAATGGCCATACTGCCCAAGGTGATTTACAGATTCAATGCCATCCCCATCAAGCTACCAATGCCTTTCTTCACAGAATTGGAAAAAACTACTTTAAAGTTCATATGGAACCAAAAAAGAGCCCACATCGCCAAGTCAATCCTGAGCCAAAAGAACAAAGCTGGAGGCATCACACTAGCTGACTTCAAACTATACTACAAGGCTACAGTAACCAAAACAACATGGTACTGGTACCAAAACAGAGATATAGATCAGTGGAACAGAACAGAGCCCTCAGAAATAATGCCGCATATCTACAACTATCTGATCTTTAACAAACCTGAGAAAAACAAGCAATGGGGAAAGGATTCCCTATTTAATAAATGGTGCTGGGAAAACTGGCTAGCCATATGTAGAAAGCTGAAACTGGATCCCTTCCTTACACCTTATACAAAAATCAATTCAAGATGGATTAAAGACTTAAACGTTAGACCTAAAACCATAAAAACCCTAGAAGAAAACCTAGGCATTACCATTCAGGACATAGGCATGGGCAAGGACTTCATGTCTAAAACACCAAAAGCAATGGCAACAAAAGCCAGAATTGACAAATGGGATCTAATTAAACTAAAGAGCTTCTGCACAGCAAAAGAAACTACCATCAGAGTGAACAGGCAACCTACAACATGGGAGAAAATTTTCGCAACCTACTCATCTGACAAAGGGCTAATATCCAGAATCTACAATGAACTCAAACAAATGTACAAGAAAAAAACAAACAACCCCATCAAAAAGTGGGTGAAGGACATGAACAGACACTTCTCAAAAGAAGACATTTATGCAGCCAAAAGACACATGAAAAAATGCTCACCATCACTGGCCATCAGAGAAATGCAAATCAAAACCACAATGAGATACCATCTCACACCAGTTAGAATGGCAATCATTTAAAAGTCAGGAAACAACAGGTGCTGGAGAGGATGTGGAGAAATAGGAACACTTCTACACTGTTGGTGGGACTGTAAACTAGTTCAACCATTGTGGAAGTCAGTGTGGCGATTCCTCAGGGATCTAGAACTAGAAATACCATTTGACCCAGCCATCCCATTACTGGGTATATACCCAAAGGACTATAAATCATGCTGCTATAAAGACACATGCACACGTATGTTTATTGCGGCACTATTCACAATAGCAAAGACTTGGAACCAACCCAAATGTCCAACAGTGATAGACTGGATTAAGAAAATGTGGCACATATACACCATGGAATACTATGCAGCCATAAAAAAAGGATGAGTTCACATCCTTTGTAGGGACATGGATGAAATTGGAAATCATTATTCTCAGTAAACTATCACAAGAACAGAACACCAAACACCGCATATTCTCACTCATAGGTGGGAATTGAACAATGAGAACACATGGACACAGGAAGGGGAACATCACACTCTGGGGACTGTTGTGGGGTGGGGGGAGGGGGGAGGGATAGCATTGGGAGATATACCTAATGCTAGATGATGAGTTAGTGGGTGCAGCGCACCAGCATGGCACATGTATACATATGTAACTAACCTGCACGTTGTGCACATGTACCCTAAAATTTAAAGTATAATAATAATAATAAATAAATAAATAAATAAATAAAAAATGATGAGTTTAGACAAATATCATTATGGTAGTATTATATTATGTTATGTTATATTATATTATATTATATTATGTATAATGTATATTCCTTGCAGCCTGCCCTGCATTCCCAATCTATGACTCATGCTGCCTTATTGATACTGAAAAATCTCCACTACAGCATGCCAGCTTTTGAAAGAGAGCCTTGGGTTCTTTCCCAATACTTACCTTCCTTTTAGGGCAACCTATCTGAGTCCTGTAGCTTGAAAGATTTCCTACCAGCCTGCCATCCCAAAGGAACATGGATGAACTATGTTTATGCTGATGTGTCAAGTCATTTCTTGGTATGGTTCATAGTAGTCCACATGGCTCTTGTAGACAAAGAGATGAATTACTGATGGCAGAATTTCTGTTCTGGCAACAGGGAAATTTGCAGAAAGGAGACCTTTTCAGTGTGAACATTTTTTGCTCACAGGTGGTCCAGGATGCCCAATGCTAAATGAGAAGTGAAAAGAGCAATCAGGGCCAGGTGTGGTGGCTCACGCCTGTAATCCAAGCACTTTGGGAGGCCAAGGTGGGCGGATCACGAGGTCAGGAGATCGAGACCATCCTGGCTAACATGGTGAAACCCTGTTTCTACTAAAAATACAAAAAAAATTAGCCAGGCGTGGTGGCGGGCGCCTATAGTCCCAGCTACTTGGGAGGCTGAGGCAGGAGAATGGCGTGAACCTGGGAGGCGGAGCTTGCAGTGAGCCAAGATCGCGCCACTGTGCTCCAGCCTGGGTGACAGAGCGAGACTCTGTCTCAAAAAAAAAAAAAAAAAAAGAGCAGTCAGAATTCAATTTTTCATTCAGAACAAATCAATCCACGTGGGTAAACATTTTATCAAACTCAAGAATGCTGTCTTTCAGGGTGCTTTTCCCTCAACAGTCACTTATTTCCTCTTGCAAGTAGTATCTTCGTTCAGGTTCAGTGACTACTGTGTATTATATCCAATGCTTCTGGCAAGTGGGTTGGTGGAGGCAGCCCAAGATCTTCTAGAATCAAGAGAATTGGATCCATTTCCCAGTTCTAACACTTATCAGCTATATGGCTTTTAGGCAAGTCAGTTAAACATCCGAGTCTCAGTGCTCTCATCTGCAAAACAGAAAATGTGATGTACTTCACAGAGCCAGGGGGAGGAATAACTAAGGTGGTACATTTGTACGTGCTTTGTAACCTGTAAAGCCCTTTACTGTACACGTGTCATTTACAGCTCTGTATCACCATCATGACCTAGAAAAGCAGTACTGACAGAAGACTTATCTTCTTGCCAATGCTAAGATAACTTTAGCCATTTCTGCATTTCTAAAGGAAGGAGTCTTTATCCCAGTATCTATGAAGACTTGGCAGGAATTGCCGTCAATATTTAGTTGGTAATATAAACGAATTAAACAAAAATGCACACTAGGTTTTAGGAAAATTAAAGACAGAACTATCATTTGTACTCCTCTTACATTTCCCAAAGTGCTAAAACTAGACAATAAATCAGTCCTCAATAAATGCTTGTTTATCAATTTTATATTCATTTATTTGTTGATAATACAACAAAGATGTTTATATGCAGTATAATATATATGGCAAAGATGAAAAGTAGCAAATTCATGAATCAACATCCTATTTATGCTTGAGAAGACAAAGAAAGTGTTGGTGACTTCATGGTATACATAACCTTAAGGAGCTCGTGATTGAGCCTGGGTCTCTGCTATCAATGTAGGATATAAATTTCAAATGTACTATCCTTTATATGTATGTTAATGTAGTAAACATAGAAAACTGATGCTACTAGTGAGAATACTTTTACTTGAACAACTAAAAGTTTGTCTTTAATCCCCTAAGTGCATACACAAAAGGAAAGTACTGTACAAATCAAGTACAACAGAAGAAGTAAAGTAAAAGACAAGTGAAGGAATTATCTGGAACTTAGATCTGGTTGGCTTTTTCTCCTGAAGTACTTAGATAAATTAACTCACTTTTCTCTTTTGCTGAAGAAGTGCAAATTAGGCAGGCATGTTATTCCACGTAGGCAAAAGGAAAAAAGAAAGAAAAACATAAAATGGCTATATATTTGACCAAACTTCGTTCTGCAAGAATCCCAATACTAACCTTCTACCATATAAACTACTTTCAAAATCAGGCTATATCCTTCCAGTACAAACCTGGTTTGTACTACTCAGAGATACTACTCAGAAATACTTTCAGTATTTCCCTTCTTTCAACTTCTGATGTGATTCTATCCATATTCCCCTGCCTGTCTCCCAGTCAAAGAGAATGGGACACAACTCTCTTTAGAGTCCATCAGTGATGCTTTAGCTGCCAAAAATAGTGACAATAGACATTCATTGTCTGTCTACCTTACTTGTTCAACATTCAGAATTCTGCATCTTAAGAGGCTGTGGCTGAAAACTTGAGCCAGTTCTTCAGAATTTCTAACATGTTATTTCTGCCACTTTTTCTCCCTTACTTTAGCAGAGTAATTTAATTCAATTTGAGAGAGAGAGAGAAAAAAAAAACTTTTCTAGTTACACAGATCAATCCAATTGTTTGGAGCTTCAGAATGAATTTTTAAACTTGTTGAACAGAAGCATACAAATCTCTAAGAGCAAGTCAGATAATATACAAAGCCTCCATTCATTGTGTAGGCAGAAAGGAATGCTGGTACCCGGCAGCTCTCTGAGGAATGTTCCCTTGGCTTTGACTATTCTGCTGGGAACAAGGAAGGAAACACATATATAAAATGAATTTATAATGTCTCTGGCTTGTAATGGCAGAATGATAAGAAAAGTTGGCTGTTTAATATAAACTGTCAGTTGCATATTCCAGGCCTCCTCTCTTTGAGGTTCCTCCCACATCCACACGCCTGGCTACTGTTTAGTGCGGAGTACAAAGTGGCCGTTTATTATTATTGACTGGTGAGGCCTGTGCTCCAAAATTCATTCTGTCAACAGAATGTAAGCAAAGTTGGCATTTTAAAGCAGGGCTCTTTCAGTTTCTGGGTTTTCTCAGGATTGCTATGCAACAGGATCAGTGCTGTAGTGCCCGGTTCAAGCTGAAAATGTTACACAGGAAGACATACCATGTAAAGGTCAGATTCTTCTACTATAATAATTTTCTTGATCTGTGTGTATACAAGTGAAGTTGAATGCATAACCTCTTATCATAACTCTTACCAAGGTCCTATGTACTTTCCACCTGTCAAGCCTAAAAATGTGTATTAAATGGGAAATCAAAACTAATAAATGTATGATGCTGTACTATATGTATGATGCTATAATACCAAGGTGAACTTAATTTGTGTTGTCAAGAAGATTTTCTCTCCCATGACAGACTCCCAGGAATGTGCTGGTGCTGTGGGCCAAGTGCAATCTTGTTTATTAGTCTCTCCACGCTTTTATGGTCAGAGTTAACTCTACAGATTACTACGTAAATAGAAAATATGACTTGATCCATATAGTAATGAAATTATTGGCACTGGGGTACACTTTATCATAGAATTTTATTGCCTATCACTTCCATAAAATAATACATTTTGTCCATAGACTAGAAGATATAACTTGTGAACTTTATAAAGTTATAAATACATTACTTTCCAACTCATAATGGCAAGGAATAAATCTATTACAACTAATAAGATGCCCATTTTAAATCTACATAATAACAGGAGAAGGCAATACGCCAAGAAAAGGGATTTGAGATGTATCTTCTTGTTAGTTTAGCCTGATTGAAATGTCTTTTGAACTAATAATTATTTATATTTTGCAATTCTCCAAATTCACATTCATCGCTTGTTTCTTTTGTTTGGTAATTCTGCACATATTCTTCTTCCTGCTGTCCTGTAGGACCTCCAAGGTGAAATTGAAGCTCACACAGATGTTTATCACAACCTGGATGAAAACAGCCAAAAAATCCTGAGATCCCTGGAAGGTTCCGATGATGCAGTCCTGTTACAAAGACGTTTGGATAACATGAACTTCAAGTGGAGTGAACTTCGGAAAAAGTCTCTCAACATTAGGTAGGAAAAGATGTGGAGCAAAAAGGCCACAAATGAATTAAAATGGCCAAATTTTCCTCATTGTCTTAGCACAAGTAACTGGTATCTCACATGTCTACGTAAATCATCCAATTTCAGAATGATTCACTGTATTTTGAATAAATGAATCATTTATTTGCTTGGTATGGAGATGATACTTGAGGATTCAGATTAGATTAAAGTGGTAATGTTTTATAAACATAGGAGACATGCATATTAAGACATCAGAGTGAATTTAAATGAGGAGTGCAGCTATTCTAGTTTCATAAATTTCTCTCTTGGCATATCACAGGGTTATACAAAAAGTGATAAAAAATTAACGGATATGTATTATGGAATTATTTTTGGCATTAGTCTAAATGCATACCAGAGGACAGTCTTTAAAACCCTTTATAACACATTACAATTATATAATATAAAACCTGTAACACATTATAATTAACAGTTTAGAGGAGATAGCTCCTACAGTTAAAGAGAGACTATAGCAACTTCCTGTCTTTTGCTTCCTCTCAGATTTTGTTAAAACACATCCTCTGTAAACTAAGCTTTTAGTTGTAGTATACTCACATACTTTATATTTTGCCCCCTTCTATGTGCCAGCTTTCTTTGGAGAAGTTAGTTAATGGATGCATCATAGCATCTTTGTAAAAAGGGCAGAGGGAAGTTCTTGTTATACCAGTTTTGCAATAGTTCCGTGGAGGAACAAAAGGATAGAGATAGTAAGTAAAACGCCCATTGTAACTTAAATGATCTAGCAAGGGCGGGGAATGAAAGCCAGGCTTCCTGCTTTCTAAGCAGTTGCCTTTCTTAATTCATTTCTCTTTATTAAAAATATTTTGTGCTTTCTTCTGTGTCTAGAGAAAAAGTGATAATGAAGGGAGGTAGAAGATGACCAAATGGACTTAATAATAGTTATGGGAGTATACACTAAATGACGGGAGTAGTTACTACCTCTAGGTAGAAAGATTACAGAAGGGAGATTTTTTTTCTTCTTTATAGTTCTTCTAACTTGTCCAAAATTTTAACATATATACTTCTATAAGGAGGAAAATCTGCATTTTTAGTAATTCAGAAGCACTATTGTAAATGTCTGCATCAAGTATGAAATAATGATAGCAACTAATATTTACATGATGTACCTACATACCACGCAATGCCATAAGCACTTTCCATTCATTGACCGGTTTAATGCTCTCAGCAACCCTAAGAGGTAGATTTTATTATTGAATTCTTTTTACATTTGAAGAAAGTGAGGCACAGAGAGGCTAAATAATTTCCTTAGGGTCACTTAGCAAGTGGAAGATACAAGATGAAAACAGGGAGTCTGGGTGGGCCAGGCGTAGTGGCTCACGCCTGTAATCCCAGCACTTTGGGAGGCCGAGGCAGGTGGATCACGAGGTCAAGAGATCGAGACCATCCTGGCCAACATGGTGAAATCCCGTCTCTACCAAAAATACAAAAATTAGCTGGGCATGGTGGCACGCGCCTGTAGTCCCAGCTACTCAGGAGGCTGAGGCAGGAGAATCGCTTGAACCCGGGAGGTGGAGGTTGCAGTGAGCCGAGATCGCACCACTTCACTCCAGCCTAGGGGACAGAGTGAGACTCTGTCTCAAAAGAAAAAAGAAAAAAGTAAAAGAAAAAGAAATCAGGGAGTCTGACTTCAGAGTCTGAACTTTTAACCACCATATGATACCGTAGCATATAAAGAAAGAAGGAAACTTCTACAAAGAAATGCATACTAATTGAAAGGATGAAATAGAGAGTAGATTTTTTCTAGGAGTAGAAAAGGATTTGTTTTTATGAGAAGTAGATTGCTAGGAGTAGAACAGGTTTATTTTTATGTATAAGGTTTTGTTTTGTTTTGTTTTTCACAAGTTTGCACCCTGGCTTCCCAGACATTGTTCCTTATCTCCCTATTTTGTATATGAATTTTGTGTCAACTTGGTGGTGGTACACTGGGAGCAACAATGGCAATAGCATTTTCAAAGATAGGGAGGCTCTATTAGCTTTCTACAGCTTAAACTCTTAAGAGAGGTCAGTATGTGTGATGACGTAGGCCACTTTGATAACCTTCGTCATTAAAAAAGAATGAAAATGTGAGATGGAAAAAATATTGGCAGGTCAAGTTAAGTTATTCTTTTCTGCACAAAAGAAAAAGAAAGATGCTATAATTGTTCCGAGTATCACTTAGTGCCTTTTCTCTGCCTCATGTGAACTTGATAAAATAAAAGGAGAATTGAAAGTGGCAAATAGCATGTCAGCCAAAATATGGACTCTTCATTCTCAGCAGTTTCCCATGTCAGCTACCGCAGTTTGATTCTTGCTGTCATTAATCAGGTAGAAAACAGTTAGCTTATCTAAGGTGCTGCCAATTCTAGAATTTAAATATTCAGATCAATGGTTTTGGCTTTTATATAGGCCTATGTAATAATACAGGATATGTTATAAGCACTCATAAAAAGCAAAGAAGTAATTCTCCACATCAAAGCAATTTAGCTTATTTCCTGACACTTGATTGAAATTAGGGTATTGATCAATCTACAGCAAATGGCAGGGTTCAATTGAGAGAAGTACAGTATAGGCAGTAATTAGGGATGATTATGAAATAGAATAGAATAACACTGGAAGAGTTAGATATAGAACCATTAGTGGCACTGATAAACCTGCATTATGAATCTTGTCACTTCTTCCATGGGGGTTATTTTAAAATGAAAAGTTGCCACAATTAAAAAATAGTTTCAATGATATACTGGAAAAATAGGCCTGTGTTTGCCCAAGTTATAACATATTATAAAAAATTACAGTTGGCCCATTGTTTGGTGAGCGATTCTGAAACTGCTCTTATATTTCAAAAAAATAAAACCATTAATGTGTCCATTTTTAAAGAAACAAAATTGAATTTAAATCCAAATGATTTCGAAGTTTCCCTTTGTATTCCATTGGCTCATAAGAGATATCCTTGTGCTTCCAAATACAAGTCCATATTGTATCGTTTTCCTTCCATTTATTTTTCTTCTGCCATACATCTTTTCTCTTCCTGTGATTAAGATTCTTATTTAAGTCATCATGTTATGCCATATTGATACATTTGCAAGAATACTCTACCTTGGACGCTGTTTATATCATATTACTCTTTTGTTCAAAGCTTCAATCTTGTAGGTCTCCATATCTCCCTCATTCATTTATTTGTTCATTCAACAAATATTTAATGAATGCCTACTATGTACTAGGCACTCTTCTGGGCACGGAGGATGCAACCATGAATAAAACATACCAAAAAAAATCACTGCTCTAATGAAGTTATATTTAATCATTAGAATCTAGTAGAACCTTCTCTCTCTGCCAACTGTGCCTAATAAGTCCTTGCTAACTCCTTCCCTTCTCTTTTCTTTTTCTGCCTCCAGTTCCTTTCTCACCAAGCATCATTCTGTTACTCCCCAACATAGATTCTCTGAGCCAAGAGAATCAATAAATTCTATTTTCTAACCCCATTCCTACTCTCCAACAATTTCCTCACTCTCCCATATGAGTATGTACCCTTGCTGGTTCTCACACTTGCAACATTCTCTTTCCTCTTATTCTCCAAATTTTGATTCATATTCCATAACAAATCTTTTCTTTTCTGGCTGTTTCCTCACTAGGTCTTCCCAATACTATTCTAATTTACACTTGATAACATGTTTCTTCAAGTGTTCAAGAGTTGCTTTATAGGGCTATGCTTACTGCCTCCAGCTAACTTATATGAATACAAAAATTTCAAACTCGAAATATGTGAGTATGGTAGAGTAGAAAGACATGGGCCAGCAGCTGGGCAACCCAGTTTCCC
Organism: Homo sapiens; assembly: GCF_000001405.40. NCBI lineage: Eukaryota > Metazoa > Chordata > Mammalia > Primates > Hominidae > Homo > Homo sapiens. The sequence continues at coordinate 31,503,436 of NC_000023.11, read as the reverse complement.
TTCTGTTCTATTCTGTCACTAACTGTCTTAGCATATAATCTTGATCAAGTCACTTAACTGCTTCAGACTTCAATTTTCTCCTTCACTGAAATGAAGAGTTTGACCAGAAATATGGACAGTCTCTTCCAGTTCTCTTGCAATCGTACAATTTTATTCTTTTAGTTCTGCAATCACACTTTATGAACCTGGAAAATTGTTTAATTTTTCTACCTTGGTTTTCTTAATTAAAATAGAACTGATTGATTTAAAAGGCATTATATAAAGTAATTAAGATGTCTTTGAGAGAAAAGAAATTTAATTGAAATTGTATAATCCTATCTCATAATTTAATTCAAGAAAAGTATATGCTATCATTCCACATGCATTATTACATCACATGTTGGCCAAGAGGTATAAGGAAGAAAAGTAAGTAGTCAGTGATAATTTAAGTTCCATCAAACAAAACGAAAACATTAACTGCTTTAAGTGGGAGAAAAAGAGAAAATTATTTACTTAAATGTACACACACATGCATACACACACAGTTACTGATGACGTTATCCAATATTAAGATGGTAATTAGTCAAAGAAAGTGTTTTTCATTCTAAAATTCCATATCCACAATCCTTGCATTTTTAATTTTAGAATATTAATAACTTGAGAAGTGGTCAAGTCAATTGTTTTACATAAGAAATATATATGAAGATTTCAATTTAGTCTACTACTAGATTATTTTTCCAGATCATTGTATATACTATTAACTATGAAAATCACATAATATGTTATCAACATAATTTCAGCAGAATTTACATTATGTGAGATTTTTATATTTGGCAGAAAAATTTGTAAATGTTATATAAAATGTTCACATTTATACAATTGTGAACATTAAGAGGCAAGGACACTGACATTATATAGTCTGTAGAAGCCATAAATCTATTGGGGAGTGCTTGCTATTAGAGGTTAGAATAGTTAGTGTCTTTGTATAATGGAGAACAAAAGAAGGGCAAAAAGAGGTGGGGTCTACCTTTGAGAGAAAACTGCAACTTGGACATTGAATATCTCTGACCTTCTTTCTCTCTCTTTTAGAATGTTAATTATGTTTGGATGTTGGAGTTCAAGACCTGTCTAGAAAAAAAAAATGTTGACTTCTCTTTGGGATTCTCTCTATTTAAAGAGATAGCTCCCATTTTAATTCTGTGGTTCTTTAATTTTTTTTGTTTCTGAAGTACAAATTCAAATTATTCATCTGTTGATGACACCCTGGAGATTTTTCTCAGTGTTCTCTTGTAGTAGTTTCATGGTTTGAGGTCTTACATTTAAGTCTTTAATCTACTTTGATTTGATTTTTGTATATGGTGAGAGATAGGGGTCTAGATTCATTCTGCATATGGATATCCAGTTTTTCCGCACCATTTGTTGAAGAGACTGTCTTTTCCCCACTGTATGTTCTTGGCACCTTTGTCAAAAATGAGTTAACTGTAGGTGTGTGGATTCGTTTTTGGGTTCTCTAGTCTTTTCCATGGGTCTTTGTGTCTGTTTTTATGGCAGTATTGTGGTTCTTTATTATTTCTGCATTCCTCCCTTTTCTTTCTGCATGTTTAAGTGCTATTTTATTACATGAGGGTACTAAAGATTTATAGGGATATATCATTAGTTTTATAAAGGAAGTCAAAGTGAAAAATGAATTCAATATAACACATTTCACTTTAAGAATGCATGCCTTTCAGAGTAAAGTTTTATTAAGGATTTCAAACTAGGCATTAACCAAATCACAGTTGAAATATCTGTGTCTAGAGAAATAACAATCACTTTATCAGCCCCTATAATTCTTAGTGTCCTGACACTGAGGAGTTCCTTAAAGACCAAGCAATATACTCCAGCACATCTAAAGGCTCTGCGTTTTACCTAAACCTTACAAATTGTGGAAATTATCAGCTTTTTAGAGATTAGCACTTGCCTTGTTAAACGGTAGTAACCCCTAAGCTCTTGTCTTCACTAATAAAGATTAATAGACATAGATAGAAGCTAAGCATGCCCCTTTGAACCACCTCTTTTATTTTCCGTTGAGTGGGTAGGAGTAAGCAGAATATATTTGACAATTAGCAATGTTAAAAGACAAACTTTAGACAAATTCCGTTTTGCAGAGTTTATTTGAGCAAAAAACAATTCATGAATCAGACAGTACTCAGAATTAGAAGTTCAGAAAGCTCCACCCAGCAAGGTGGGCAGGCAGTATTTATAGATAGAAAAAGGAAGTGACATACAGAAACAGCTTGACTGGTTACAGCTTAGAATTTGCCTTACTTGGGCATAGTGTAAATAGGCATTTGCCTTATATGGACATGAGCTGATCAGTTTACAGCCTGTGATTAGCTGAAACTTGACTGCTGGGATTGGCTGAGGCTCAGCTATTTGTTACAAGAATGTACTCTTAAGTTGCATATTGCTTACATGCCAAGCTGGGTTGCAGTTTGCTATGTACAGAGTCAGCTTTAGGCCCAATTTAATTTAATTTAACAGCAACAAGCCTTTTTGTTCAGAGATCAAAAACATTTGGTTAAAACCACTAAGGTTTAAGGATTTTCTCATCTAACAAAGGTTTGTAATTTCTATTTCCCATATCTAAATAGGACAGCTCAAGTTATGTTTTTCAGCAGCTGTTTTATACCTTTGCAATCTTGATTTCTACATATGCAAAACAAGAAGGTTGAACTATAATCTCTCAGGTTCCTTCCAACCCCAACAGCCTATGTATGATATAACCAGAAAAAAAAGTCATTACAAATACAAAGAAACATTTTCAGGAGGAGATATTCCACATGCAAACATAGGTTAATCATTTCAAAATATCTGGTATATACACTCATGAAAATAAAAATAGGGCAACTGCTTCCGATAAATGTATTAGAAATGTGACTTGAAAACATTTCACGGGCTTAACATGGTCAAAGAAAATGTTTTGAGCTCACAATGTTCCTTACATTTAGATCTTCAAAATCAAGTCACTGACAAATGCCACCTTTGCCCTGTGGAGACCAAGAAGTAATGTTTGGGGCATATCAGAAATGCTTTAATAAATGCTTTATCAAAGAATGGTTCTGGAGCTTACCTGTGGAATTGTGAAGGTTCTTGTTGAAAGCAGAGATTGTTGATAGAATTATAGAAAGTCTGGAGGTGGCACCTAGCAATCTCAATTTTAAACAAGCTACTCAAATGTTTCTTATACACACTATAGTTTGAGACCCAGAGCTTTAGGTTGAATACATTTGTATATGCTGTTTTAATTCATTCTCTGGCTGCCTTTCACCTCTTCAGTTCTTACTCAGTGTTCTCTGTCCTTTGTAAGTTTTTCGCTTCAGTTTTTGTCCTCCTATCACATTTTTCCTTTCACTCTTGAGCTTTAGGAGAGGAAAAAAATGAAGCAATTTGATATGTAGTTAGGATGATCAAACATTCTGAAATTTTATCTAACTCCACAGCTTAGAAAAAAATTAAAGGAAGTCCCCTTACCCAGATATGTGAGAGCTTTTCGTCTTTTGAGGTTCCAGGTCCGTCTTCTGCTGCTGTATTAGCTCTCTTGACTGTCCTCTGTCCCTGGCTTCTAACAACTTCCCTATTTCATGCTATTAAGTTTCTCTTAGATCCTTTAGAACTGAATTCCCGGCTGGGTGTGGTAGCTTACGCCTCTACTCCCAACACTTTGGGAGGCTGAGGCAGGTGGATCACCTGAGGTCAAGAGTTCAAGACCAGCCTGGCCAGCATGGCGAAACCCCATCTCTACTAAAAATACCAAAAATTAGCTGGGTGTGGTGGTGGGCGCCTGTAATCCCAGCCACTTGGGAGGCTGATGCAGGAGAATTGCTTGAACCCGGGAGGTGGAGGTGCAGTGAGCCAAGATCGTGCCATTGCACTCCAGCCTGGGTGATAGATCAAGACTCTGTCTCACCAAAAAAAAAAAAAAAAAAGAACTGAATTCCCTAGGTCTCAGTTATTTTGCTCTCTCTTAGGGGACCTAAAGGGGTTCATTGACCCACTAATAATGAGTCAGCACCATTTAACCTAGAACTGGAATTTTAGCACTTCCTTACATAAACAAAGCCGCAGCTTGAGGTCTTAACATAGGCAGCCTGCCCTTCACTATATCCTCCTCTAGACCTCTCTGCCACAAGGATATTTTGTTTCCTCTACCAGGCAGACAGAGGCCAAACATTAGTCATCGTTATATTCTCTCTTCCCTTCCTCTCTCCCTACTCCCCAATGTATCCTAGAGACTTAGGGGCAGTCAATAAATATTTATTTAATCAGTGTCTTTTCTACCATTTGCTGCTTTTCCATGTCTGAGCCCTACCTCTCTCCACCTACTTTTCAATATGTCCTGCTTGACAGCCTCTTTTCACTCTCAAAGGGACCAAGCTGTGAATTCCAGACACCCCAAGGAATTCGTTTAACCATTACACATTACATGCTATTAAACAGCTAAAATCTTGCATGGGGAATTGTCGCTTAGGCTTATCATGGAAAAGTGGTAACTGAAAGGATGGTACAGAAACATAAAAGAACTGACCTCTAATTGTATGCAATCTGCATGCACTATTATATTCAATTCATGACATTTATGGTATTTCACGATTCAGTTCTTGGGAAATAATACCCTTAGAGTCTGGAACAATTTAATTTATCTTATTTGATGGAAATGCCTTCATTTTTCCTGGACATATTGTTTATACTGCAATTATAGAAAGAAAATCTTGACAATTTGGAAAAGTAGAAAGATTAAGAAATAAATCACCTGTAAATCTACCTCTGAGGGATAACCTGGTTGTCATTACAAAATTTTTTCCTAGTCAAGCATGTGCATACAAATACATACACATACACAAATGTTTTAGAAAAATTCAAAAAATGTATTTGTTTTGTAACCTGTTTTCTCATTTAGTAACTGGGATGATGACCTTTTCCATATCCATAAATATTTGGCTATGTCATCATATTGAACCTTGCAAAGGATTTTACTGTATGAATGCACCATTATATATGTAATAATTCCCTTTTAAATTAAGAGCTATTTAATTAAATTCATATATAAATTTCATTAATTTCTAAATTTAAAGCATATACAAGTTTCATTACATTTGAAAACAATCAGTAGGTTGGGGTTTTGCATTTCTCAAGCAATTCCCTCATATTGAATATTTAAGTTGTTTCTGTTTTGTTTTATCAATCATAAATGATGCTATATATAACATTTTTCCACCTATATCTTTGTATCTTTTTCCAATTTCTTTGTTAGTATAATTTCCTTGAATTTAAGCCTGTGGGTCATTGTCTTTGCACATTTTAAAGACTTTTATGTATTGTCAAATTATCCTTCAGAAAGTTTGGAACAATTTAATTTCAGTAGATAAGTATTCTTTGGTGATTCTGTTTGACTAAGGCCAAAAGGAGAATTGTATTTGTAATGTCAAGCTAAGTTACCAAATGGCTAAGGGAAATGTTGCTCCACCTGGTTGCTTTGCTTTACATTTCAATCTTTGCAGCGTTAAAGTCTTTATTATATTTATGTTATAGGTAGCGTTATTATGAATTAATTAGTAATTGCTGATAATAGCTGAGTGATTGAGCATAATTTCTAATTTACCTGAAGATAAAGCTTTGCTAACACTGCGTTTCCTCTTTGTTTTCTGGATGATGATTTATTTTATTAATTTAGCTTCTCATCTTCAAGTGAAATGTGGATTTTATAGCACAGATCATTCATTTGTGTATTCTTAAATGGCTTCTAAGGATTAACGTGTTCTAAATACAGTTGACGGTAAAGCACTCAGTCTCCTGCCTAAATTATTCATGTTCGGGGGAAGCTTTCAGATAAATGTCTGATTTTACTCTTCCATGTGAGTTGTTGTCTTAGTACTTTTTACACAAAGGAAACAAAGCAGAAAATGTTGAAACTTGGTGAAGACAAATCCCAGGTGCACACAAATAAAGAAGGGTAGGGGGAAAGGAGACGCATTTGGGAAGAGGAGCAGAAAGGAACAGACGCCAGATGGAAGAACTCAATGGAAAAGGCTGCCTAGGGTGTAGAAATGGAAAAGTCAAAATGTGGGGAGAGACCTTTCCATTTCTCAAGGCAAAAAGAATTCCAGTACTAGCATGAGTCACATGAAAACGAAGTGTTTTTCATTAGTCACTGCATCCAATTTTTTCTACCAGAAATATTAAGAATTGTTGACTACAACAGTATGGAAAAGCAATAGATTCCAGTGTGTATTTCATGCCAAAAGTCTCAGCATTCTGCATGTGGAAATAAACATATGGCTAAACACTGCCTTTTCTCAAAATTGCCATCAAACTATCCTCTGTTTTGTGGCTCTCAAAAGTAAGTAGCCAGATTTTTATTCAAGACTGCTTTGTAGTTCACAATAGGTTTATTGTACTTTTTCAATGGAATTGTTAGAATCATCAATTACACTTCTAGATATTCTGACATGGTACGCTGCTGTTCTTTTTCAGGTCCCATTTGGAAGCCAGTTCTGACCAGTGGAAGCGTCTGCACCTTTCTCTGCAGGAACTTCTGGTGTGGCTACAGCTGAAAGATGATGAATTAAGCCGGCAGGCACCTATTGGAGGCGACTTTCCAGCAGTTCAGAAGCAGAACGATGTACATAGGGTAGGACATTTTTAAGCCTCGTGCCTTGCACATGTTAAGCACATAGTAATCCAGTGACTATTTTAAAATTAATTTTGTTTGAAATTAAGTTGAATAGAAATCTTTTTTACTCTTCTCACCCAAGGGTCAATTATAAATAATCTAAGCCATTACACTGTAAATGTCAAACACATTTGTGTTAATAATACCCTTTAAGAAATCGTCCATCTCTTTTGGCTATATAAAAAAAAGCTTTTCATGATGAAAAATATTGAACATATACAAAAGTAGACAGAATGCTATAATAAAACTCGTACTCATCAAGACATCAACAATTATCAAATCACGTCAGATCTTATTTATTCTATAGCTCTTCCCAGATTGTTTTAAAACAAATATCAGGCGTGTGTTATTTTATTGTTAATATTTCAAAAGGTTAAAAGATAGGATTCACTCTTTTAAGGTAATCACCTTGCTACTATAATGCTTTTGAAATATCAATAATTTCATCATATCAAATATCCAGTCCATATTCAAATTTCCATTTTTCTCATACATATTATGCATTTTTTAAACTTTTTCTGGTTTTGGTTTAAATAAAAATTGAAATCAGACCCACACCTTACTTTGGTTAGTTGGTCTTTTTATTACTTTTTGTTTGGAAGTAATTACAGATTCACAGTAAGTTTCTAAAATAGAATAGTTTCCCTGTATCTTTCACCCTGTTTCTTTTCATCATTATATGTCATGCAACTGTAGTACAATTCTTATTGTCATTTCAACATGCAATCAATAGAAAAAATGTACATTTACAGCACATCTCAATTCAGGCTCATTACATTCCAAGTACTCAGTAGCCAGATGTTGCCAGTAGCTACCGATTGAACAGTGCAGTTCTATAGTTTGATTGTATTTGGGTTTGGCTTTTTTTGGCAAGACTGCTTCACAGGTGTTCGTGTATTCTTCCATCATCAGGAGGTGGTATATAATGCCTTGTTTTCTCTTTTTGTGTGATGTTTAATAGCTGTTCACGATCAGTGGCTAGGGGTTGCAGTGTGATAATTGCCTATCTCTACCATTCCTTCTTCATTTATTCACTGGGGTAGGTCTATGAAAAAAATGTTTTGCACTTGTCTCCTATTTTGGTACTCAGTATACCTTTCATACCGAACAAGCAAAATACGTTTCAATTTTACCAATTTTTATAATAACAACTTGTTCACTAGCATCCTCCAACGATGACCAATTATTTCTTTGTTTGTTTGTTTTATTTTTATTTACATTTCTATCTTCTCTACTAAGCTCTGAGTGAAAAAGGCAGAGATTTTGTCTTGTTCACCTCCAAGACCCTAGAGTCTAGTAAAGTGTCTGGTGTAGAGTGGATACTGATAAGTGTTTTGGAAATGAGAATAAAAGATACAAGAACAGAAATGAATAGCAAACCAAACAAATTACTACCAAATAATAAAAACTTGATAAAATGGTACCACTTTTGTATGTTGAGCATGTAAAGGAAAGATCTCTGTGGAGATACAGCCAAAGGTGGCATCTTGAGGAAAGGTCAAGGGTTTATATTATTCTGGAGAAGAGGATATAGGAAATTATAAAAAGGGAAGAGAACATGAAAGAAGACCCAGGGATCTTTGCAAAAAAAAAAAAAAATGCCAGGGAAACTGCCAGTTTCTCCTTTAGCCATTTGCCTTCATATATTTCTGAATATTAAATTAGCTTTTGTGGTAGGGTGAAATGTAATGGTGCTATGTGTTTTAAATGTTCTGACTTTGAATAAACAGCCAAAACACTCTGGTGTACATATAGAAAAGCACTCATTGAGAAGGATGGGCCTTTTTTAAAAAATGCATTATGCGATATAGTGAAATGAGACAGAATTTCTACAAAAGATGAATTTTATGCTAGTTCCAGAAACCAAAGAAAATGAATCACTGGACATGTGCACTAGGAGTCAGGAGACTGAGATTCTAGTCATATTTCTTCATAAGATGGATTCTGATTGCTATTTTGTTCTTCAACTGTAATATGAGGAAATTGGTCCAAATAATTGCTGTGGTTTCTTCCAGCCAGTATTTTGTTATAAATACTGCTTCACTATTCCTGGTTATTAGTTTTGGTTGCTTGTTAAGAGTGGTAAAATGTCTGTACTTAACGCAGTCCTTACTCAGGAATCTCATGACAAAGAACATGACTTGGGGAGATGGTGATGCTAGAGTTATGAGTGATACTCACCAGAATGAAGTTAATCCGTCCCCACTTGGTTAGTGTGCTTGCTCAGATAGCTACCTGTTAACCTTTCGTGAATTTCACAGGACTTCCAGCCCATTGATTACTCTGTGTTTTATACATTAGTTCCTCTGCCCTTCCATATTTACCTCCTTCCAAATACAACTTAGATTCAATCATCTAAATTTTAATAACTTGTTTTCAAAAGTCTGAAACCCTTTGCTTCTTTATCTTTTTGTTGCTGCAATCTACAAAACTCCAAAACTCTAGCTAAATATTCCGAGACTCTAACTAAATATTTTCTCATACCAGACAACAATGTAGTTGTCTGGTACAGTACCTTTTCCGGATGACCAGCCTTCAGCCTTCCACTACCAAGACATCACTGGGTCAATTTTTTTTTTTTTTTTTTTTTGAGACTGGGTCTTGCTCTGTCACCAGGCTGGAGTTGCAATGGCACAATCTTGGCTCACTGCAACCTCCGCCTCCTGGTTCAAGCAATTCTCCCGCCTCAGCCTCCCGAGTAGCTGGGACTACAGGCACGCGCCACCATGCCCACCTAATGTTTGTATTTTTAGTAGAGACAGGGTTTCACCGTGTTGGCCAGATGGTCTCGATCTCTTGACCTCGTGATCTGCCTGTCTTGGCCTCCCAAAGTGCTGGGATTACAGGCGTGAGCCACCGCACCTGGCCAATTTACCTTCAAAATTGTTTTTGACTGTCTACTATTGTTATCATCATAATTATAGAAGACCATTTCTCCTAACCTTTCTGCATCTACTCTTGCCACCCTACAATGCAATCTCTACATTTCAGTCAGAATAATCTGTGTAAAAAACATAAATCCAATTATATCAGTCCTTATCTTAACACTATAGTAGTCTTCTCAGTGCTCTTGGAAAAAGACCAAAATCCTCAACAAGGGTGACAAGGCACTATCTGGCTTGTCTGGCCTCAGCCTCCTCTTTCCTAGATGCTCTTCCCTTGCTGTTTGGATGCCAGCCATACTGCCTCCATTTACTTTTTCCAATTCTGCGTGTCCCTCTTATGTGGGGCTTTAAATATGTTGGTCCTCTGTCTCAAACCCTTTTACCTATACCCACCCACTCATAATATCCTGGTTATCATCTAATAATCCTTTACATCTTGGCTCGGACATTGTGCAAACTTTTCCCTGTTGTCTACATTTGACCAGATCTTTCTTTACACACTTCTAAAATTGTCTACTTTTCTATAACATAGCGTTGTTTGTCATCACGTACATGTGTTACTATTTGATAAATATCGACTACTCTTGCTAAACCATGTCCTTCAAGAAGATTTTTGGGAGGGGGAAAGCTGTCATTTTTCTACTCAGCACATTCCAAAGTGCCTAGTATACAGTAGACACTGGTTAGATAAAGGAAGGCTATTGAGACCAAGAGCAGGGAAAGAAAGAATAGAGTGGTATTCCCTTCTTATTTACAGGAGTTTTCTGTTTATTTCTAATTAAGCATCTTTTTGTAAAGTGTGTAGAGCTACTTTGATGCACAGGTTTTTTTTTATTATTATACTTTACATTCTGGGATACATGTGCAGAAAGTGCAGGTTTGTTACATAGGTATACATGTGCCATGGTGGTTTGCCACACCCATCAACCCGTCATCTACATTAGGTATTTCTCCTAATGCTATCCCTCCCCTAGCCCCCCACCCCCTGACAGGCCCCAGTGTGTGATGTTCCCCTCCCTGTGTCCATATGTTTTCATTGTTTATCTCCCACTTATGAGTGAGACCATGCAGTGTTTGGTTTTCGGTTCCTCTGTTAGTTTGCTGAGAATGATGGTTTCCAGCTTCATCCATGTCCCTGCAAAGGACATGATCTCATCCTTTTTTATGGCTTCACAGTATTCCATGGTGTACATGTGCCACATTTTCTTAATCCAGTATATCATTGATGGGCATTTGGGTTGGTTCCACGCCTTTGCTATTGTGAATGGTGCTTCAATAAACATACGACATACAGCTTTTACTTGTAGTTTGGCGCAATGCTTTTTCAAGCTTCTCTTGGTATCTTTAAGAAAAATTCTTGACACAAAACACTCTCCTTCCTCAAACAACATCATCGCTCCTGAGTGCTGATGAGAGAACAGTTTAGTAGCCTGTTTGACTCAAAGTTTTGTCACATGTATGTGGTAGCCCTTTCATATATGGACTGTCTAGTTAGTGATGCTCTTGAAGCCTATGGGCAAAAGAACAATGGAAAATCCTTGAAACTGGATCTGCGTATCAGATCTCCTGAACTCAGTTAGAAAAAGAGAAAAAGAACAGAATCAGTACAAAATTCCATCAAGATCTAATAGTTGACAGATCTTATATTTGTGGACTTTTGTTTTACTTTGCCATGTTTCCAGAATTGTACATTGTATTGCTCTTTATGGGTTTCTTGATTTAATTGTTGTTTGTATAGAATCCTTGGTATCAAGATGGGTCACTGTAATTGTAAACTTATTCCGCAAGTATTTAGAGTGCCACTTTTTTAAAAAGTCATCTGCTTACTCTCTATTCTAAATTATTAATATCCTTTGCTGATGCTTTTTATGGGGATACAAATCCCATTAAAATGTCAATAGTTGAAACTAAAATCAAATGTTGTTCATTTTCACTTTCATTTTCTATAAATCAGGATGTTTACAAAACAGGTAATTTGTGTTTTTCTTTGTATACCATTTCAGATTAGTGATAATATTTTGTAGCAAAATATTACATATCTTGTACTCTTTTCTTGTAGAGAAAATATACAGTCAATATCAATTGCTGTCATGGAGAGATATATGGTTCTTCTGTAGGTAAAATTCCAAGATACTCCACAGACATATTTGGGGACCATAGTCTCACTCCTCAAAGCAATTTTCACACCCATGGGAGTAGATCTGTGCTCCCCAAACCAGCTGGGCAGCATAACAACTGCAACTGAATGGCTCTCAAGACTAATTAATAAAATAATGCTCCAGATGCGGTGAAGTGTTATAAATAATTAAAGCTCAAATATGCCTTAGCAAATATAAACTGACCAATTTTTATGTCTTTTGAATACATTATCCTGGCTTTTACAGTTCCTCATTACTTGCCTCACTAGACTGACTCGTTTTCAATTAGTGGGTGTTATTCTGGTCCAGATATATTTTAAAAACTGACTTCCTTTGTTTTACTTGAGCAGTCACTAAAGTGATATTTATTACTTGTCTACTTCTGTGATTAACCTAGAGAGAGTTTTAAAGGAGCAAATCATAGTGGGGAATTTCTAAGGAGAACTGCAATAAAACATCAGCTTATTCAACTCCCTTCCTCCTACCCCAAATCCAAATGGAGATTAGATCTTGATTGTAACAACAGTGTAGGTAATGACTTTTTGTTTGCCTTTTTACTAATGAAATTGTTTGTCACTAGGTTTTCATCTTTCAATTAAAAAAATCTCTATAATCCCTTCCCTAGAGATCATTAAGGATACCTTCAAAGCTTCCCGAGATTTTCTGGTTAAGATTTAGATGGAAGTAATCAATACATACATTATTAAAAGAGTGGACAGAAAGCCATTATTGCTTGGATGCTGTTGACAAATGAAAAGGCTTGAATAAAGTAGTTTACTTGTTCATTTGTCAGGTCATATATTATGCATGTTCGATTTCTTCAGAAGTCACCACAAAGTGAGAGACAGGCTGAGAAATTCAATAAAATTATCCTGAAATCATGTTGTAGATTATACATTTATTTAGGCTCATTCTGTTATCAGTGCTGGCCTGCTTACGTGGGATACATTTTAGTATGTATGTTAGCTTGACGAGTTTTCTGTGTTTTCTTTTTACAGAAAGAGAAAATATCTTTGGATGTCATTTGTGAATGTTAAGATTTAAGTCAGCTCTGTGTTAAGAAAAATGCGTTGTTCCCTATCACCTCTGAAAAACAACCAAAAGTTGCGATAGAGTGATTCATTCTTTTTTCTTTTCTTTTTATTTATTTTTTCTTTAATTTTTTTTTGAGATGGAGTCTCGCCTGCAGCCCAGGCTGGAGTGCAGCGGTGCGATCTCGGCTCACCGCAAGCTCCACCTCCTGGGTTCACGCCATTCTCCTTCTCCTGCCTCAGCTGGGACTACAGGCACCCACCACCACACCTGGCTAATGTTTTGTATTTTTAGTAGAGACGGGGTTTCACCGTGTTAGCCAGGATGGTCTCGATCTCCTGACCTCGTGATCCACCCGCCTCAGCCTCCCAAAGTGCTGGGATTACAGGCGTGAGCCACCGCGCCCGGCCAGAGTGATTCATTCTAACATTCAATGACCTGGCCTCTTAGAGTTTCTAAACCACTTGACTGTTAGTTATATCTACTCTAAGGTGTCTTTTTAGCCGCGTTGGAGGAAATAGACGTCTTTTTGATCTATTCTTCATCATTTTTGTATAAGTTTGATATCCTATGCAGTCATATTTAGGGATGCTGAATAGAAATGACTTAAAAATTATTTTTAGAACTGCATTTCTAGGCATTTGAGTCTTCTGAAAACTAAGTCTAAGTCTTCTGAAAACTAGCTTTATCATCAAAACTGAAGAACTGAGTCATCTAGGAATTGCTGCTTTGCTTTAATGACTGTAACAAGATGAGATGTGAATAATTTACAAACTGACTTCTCTACCAGTCTTCTCTCTCACTTTGTCAAAATATTTTGATGTCCTGACAAATACTCTTTAAAACAGTATCTGCATAGTGTTTTGCCTTGACAAAGCACTTTTACACACATTATTCATTTAATTACAAATGATCCCCTTGATTTTTTTCTGTGCTCTTCCTTTTGTCCCCCAAAAACATTATTTTAGGAAAAATTATACCATAACTCAGATTCCTAGAATTTATTGGTTCTTTCAAGAACTTTTTTTATGAAGAGCCTACTCTATGTTAAGCATATGTTAGGGAACAAAATGAGTCTCTGCCCCTATGGATGTTTAGATTTTAGTGACAGAAATACATAGTAAACCCATAAATTAATATATGAAATTATGTTGGGTAGTAAGTGCTATGAAGAGAAAATAAACAAAGCATGAATAGAGAAAGATTGAGGAGTACTGGCCTATGTGAGGAGGTTATTTTGGGGTAAAGACTTGTGTGAGGCCGGGTGCAGTGGCTCATGCCTGTAATCCCAGCACTTTGGGTGGCTGAAACAGGCAGATCCCTGGACGTCAAGAGTTCGAAACCAGCCTGGCCAACATAGTGAAACTACGTTTCTACCAAAAACTAGCTGGGCGTGGTGACACGTGCCTGTAGTCCCAGCTACCCAGGAGGCTGAGGTACCAGAATCGCTTGAACTTGGGAGGCGGAGGTTGAAGTGAACCAAGATTGTGCCACTGCACTCTAGCCTGGGTGGCAGAGTGAGACCCTGTCTCAAAAAAACAAACAAACAAAACCTGTGTGAGTGAGTAAACCATGCAAAAACCTTGAATGAAGAGGATTCTAGGCAGAAGAAGCACCAAATTCAAAAGCCCAATGGTAAGAACAGGTTTTGAGTGTTGTAGAAATAGCAAGATGAGCTGTGTATCTCAAGGGAAATAAGATCAGTAGACAGTGATAGGTTCTAGAAAGAGGGAAAGGCCAGATAATGAATGGTCTTGCAGGCCATAGTTTGGAGGTGGATTTTATTCTGTGAGTAAAGAGACATCACTGGAAGTAAGGAAACATCACTGGAAGGCTCTCAGCAGGGATGATGTGATCTGATTTATGTGTTTAGAAGTTGACTCTTGCTGCTATGGAGAATTGACTATAAAAAGAGCGAAACTGAAGACACAGAAAAGGAGGGTGGTGGAGTCATCTCAGAAGGAAATGATTACTTGGACTAGAGTGGAAATGATAGGTATGGTGAATAATTATTTGATCGAAGATATATTTGGAGGGTAGAATTGATAGAACTTAAGATAGATAGAATGTGGAGTTTGAGAGGAAGCAAAGAGTCAAGGAAAATTCTGAGGTCAATGGCTTGAACAAATAAAATAATGATGTTGCCATCTGAGAAAGACTTGGGAATGATCACGTTTGAGTGTATGTGCTTAGAATGAACCAGGGTTCCATTTTTGGATTATGTTGATAGACAGACACAAAGGGTATGATTCAGATATTATTTACCACTTATACTTGACAATCTCAAATTTTGGCTCAGTATCTTGAGAACATACACAAATTAATTTGTCACAGGGTTTTCTAATAATCCATTCATTTCTACTAACATTTCAGAAGTAATTTCCAAATCTTAAAGTTTAGGCTTAATGACCTAAGACCTAATTCCCTAAATGGCCACGGGAACTAGATTGAGTTTTCACCAGTGATCTCTCAAGGTCAGCTCAGAACTTAACAACATTATTGTCAGTAGGAAGTAACTTCCCCAGTGATTGTTGGAAGCAGCCCAGCCTTAGAATTAAGAGTCAAACAGCTGTTCAAGATGCTGTGTGCGCAGTAAACTATTCCTCCATAGTATCACAGACCTGCAAGCAGGCTGGACTATTCTAGCCCGTGCCCTTGATCTCAGAGAATACAATCTTTGTTTTCAAAGACTTCCAGAAAAATAAATCTCAACACAGAGTTTGTTAAACACATTTTCCCCTTATACACTCAAAAATGTTTTTTCATTGACTATAATTAGATTTTTAAAAAAAAAACATAATTTCAGGCCTGAAATATGTTCATTTACTTTTCAATTTTACATCAAATTTATTCAATCTCATTTATAAATTAATATTGTTGTTCATGTTGTTGACTATCTGAAACAATGAATGGATGTATCTGATACTTCAATCCCTTATCTTCACTTTTATTCAGAAGTGGAGTGAAAATAAGGCGGAGCTTTTTGTCATCTTATTTAGATGATTATTTAGTCAAACTCATAGAAGCAGAGAGTAGAAAAATGGTTGCCATACATTGTAAGGGCGAGTTGTTGCTCAATGGATATAAAGTTTCAGTTATGCAAGATGAAAAAGTTCTAGAGGTCTGCTGCATAACATTGTGCCTATAGTTAACAATACCGATTTGTGCACTTAAAAATGTGTTAACCGAGGTCCGGAGATCAAGACCATCCTGGCTAACACGGTGAAACCCCATCTCTACTAAAAATACAAAAAAAGAAAAAATTAGCCGGGCATGGTAGCAGGCACCTGTAGTCCCAGCTACTCGGGAGGCTGAGGCAGGAGAATGGCGTGAACCTGGGAGACGGAGCTTGCAGTGAGCCGAGATCGCGCACCACTGCACTCCAGCCTGAGTGACAGAGCGAGACTCCGTCTCAAAAAAAAAAAAAAATGTGTTAACAGGGTAAAGTTCATATTAAGTGTTCTTATCTCAATAAGAAAAGATGATTATGGCCTTTTCTTTATAGCCCAGATACCCATGTTCATAACTTCTGTAATACTAGCTGTCTCAAATGACTATTAAGGGAAACCTCTCTTTCTGTTGTTTGCTCCATTGCCTCTTTCTTCAAATTTTTTTCTTCCATGAACCCCTATGAATTTGCTTTAGATTACTGGGGGCAATATTCTTGCCACCCTGCCATGTACATCCTGGATTGCTTGCCCTTTTCCAAGACCTCGCTTTTAAGTTAACTGAGCATTGCTTGTCCCGAAGTGAGCATTTGGTAAAATATTCTTATGTGTTTGAGACTCAATAAATATGGTGGCTCTTTAAATAAAGAAGGTCCTTTTGGTGACAGAATATATTCAGCAACTTTCTTGTCAGACATAGAAACAATACAGGAGACATAAAAAATAAGGTAGAAATAACACAGGAACAAGAATGATGACGTAGGATGGCAAAACTAGTAAATACAGATCAAGTTACAGATATGACTGTTAACATCTTGTTCTATGCCTGCTCGGTATCCATTTGTTGAATGAACAGAACTGTTGGATCATCCTACATTTCAGAGCCTGTCTAGTGTCCTCTCATCTCCTACCTAATCCTGCAGACTACAGAAAAAGCCCCAAGCAGCAGTTCAAACCATGGAACTTCTGAGTGTTTGGACATGAAAATCTCCTTTAAGAAATCACTAGGTTGAAGAAGGCAATGCTAATGGGACCACTTCTTGAGGAAATTCCACCCAGTAACTCAGCAGTGACACTCAGCTTTGGATCTGGAACATGAGTAGACCTAGAATAAGATCTGTCCATTTTTCCCAATTTACAGCATTAATTTTTTCACTTATGATTCATGAGTCCAGGCTTTCCCCTGCAAGCCTGTTTTGCATCTAAATCAACTTGGCCTTCATATAACACACTCTAGTGTTCTAACTGGGTGTTCTGTATCTTAGTCAACAATGTTTACTGAGCATTTACTATATGCCAAGCTATGGCTATGGTTTTTAAGCATCGATAATAACGATGCTTAGCAGAGACTCTCAAACTGCCACCATAGAGCAGGCCTGTGGCCGATTAATGATCTTAACAAATTGATTATAGTATATGAGAACTGGATGTTAGAACTTAGATAAGGTTTTAGCAAATGCCCACATTTTACAAATGAGGACACAGAGGAGCAGGAAGAGTTTATCACCTTTTCTGGATCACTGCAGCCAGGTTCTGGCCCAGCCCAGGCTTGAAGCCCAAGGCTTCTGCCACTCAGAACAGTGCTCTTTTCACCACTTCAGCCTGCCTCCCAGGATGATTCTAGGAAGTTCTGCTTACAAATATGGGTAGTATTTCTAGTCATTCCATCAGATTTTATTCTGAAAAACACAAATTTACCATTTCAATATGAATACAGGTAAAATTCAGCGCCAGGCAAGCTGTACATGATTGAAAGACATCTGTGTTTTGAAAAGCACGGGCTTTTACTCACATCCATAGTAATATGATCCTAAATCCACTGTCCCCAGGAGAAAGCAAGATAGCTTTTCTCCCTGTCATGTCATTACCTATGCCCAGAGTTCTCCTCTTGTTCCTCTCATGAAGCAAATCAATATCTCACCTTTCATCCCCTCCATACGTGGTTCTGAGCTACTTCTATTTATGGCATTATTTAGATATTTTTATAATATAAGCAGGAAGCAAGAGGGACAGAAAAAAATAATCAGTGGCCAGGTGTGGTGGCTCACACTTGTAATCCCAGCACTTTGCGAGGCCGAGGCAAACGGATCACCTGAGGTCAGGAGTTTGAGACCAGCTTGCCCAACATAGTGAAACCCCGTCTCTACTAAAAATACAAAAAATTAGCAGGGTGTGGTGGCGCGTGCCTGTAGTCCCATCTACTCAGGAGGCTGAGGCAGGAGAATCACTTGAACCCAGGAGGCAGAGGTTGCAGTAAGCCGAGATCGTGCCACTGCACTCCAGACTGGGTGACAGAGCGAGACTCCGTCTCAAAAATAAATAAATAAATAAATAAAAATAATAATAATCAATAACTTGGTTCTTCTCTATTACTTTCAGGAATTTTTTAAGTTTCTGATTTCTTCCATGGCCATTAGGATTTTCCACTTATGTGGCTTCCAAATTATTCTAAGTCAGGGAGATTTTATGTTTTGTTATCACTCACTTTCAGCTTCACTTTAGAATTGCAAGATTTAGATTCAAAGTGTGTAATTAACTGATGGCCTTAGGTAAACCCTAACTTATCTGTATCTCAATTTGCATGGATGAAACATTCATAATATAAAAGTATACACCACAAATATACCTACTCAACCAAACTATTGGCTCCTTAATGACAAAGATTAAGTCTCTATATCTTTCCTAACTTTGTACCTAATAGGTTCAAAATAAATATTTTTTGAATGAACAAATTAGTGAGTCAACAATCAGTCACCCGGTTGGCCAGTACCTATGGTGTTTTAAGTGCAATCTACCAGATAATTCAACCTTCATAATAAATAGATTTATCTTGAGATTATCATTGCTATAATAGTGTAGTAGCATACTTCATATAAGTTTATTTTGTGAACCTTAAGAAGCTCAAGGACAAACATCTGTGTAGTATTCCTAACATTTTCTAAATTGCATATTTTATTTTCATAGAGGTGCTCTACGTCTTTAGTATTGCTTCTAATTCTCTCATATCACTATTTTGGACCCTTGGGTCTGGCTGTCTTGGAAAGGTGAAAAGAAAGGTATGGGGAAGAGGATGTGTTTTAACAAAGATAATTTTATCTGTTCAAGGGATTCAGGAAGTAATTATCTTAACATCTGAATGCTAACATCTGAATATTGTAAATACGTATTCTGTATGTACATGGGAGAAAATATCTATATCTGATACCTTTTCTATCATCACATAAAGGAACTGACTTCTCTGGTTTAAAATATTAACCAAAATTTATATGACAAAATCAGTATATATGAGTATATATTTTCTCAAACCTCTTTCAAACAGGCCTTTTTGGGAGACAAGACACTTATCAAAATCAAGGCTCTTGACATTAAATATTCTTGTTTGTCTTTTTTTAAAAAAAAGTCTTCATTTTTCTTTCTTTTAAAATGCAATAAATTATACTACAACATGCAGTTTATGGTGAGTTATTAGATACTGAAAAATTGGCTTTCCATTATTTTAATGCAGATTCTACATTGCTTTTTTTTTACTACATAAAGCCATTTGTTTTAAGCTCCATGCTACAAAGACCACAGATGTTCATTGCCTAGAACAGTGTCTGATACATAGTAGTTGCTTGAAGTTTGTTAAGTGACTAAATTAAAGAGGATCTTACATATAACCATGTTTAAAATTACATATTGTTATTTATAGTTTTTCCCACATGATAAGAATTATTGCCATTTTCTTTAACCTCTGACCTCCTTGAACCAACTATTTCTCTCTTTTTGTGGGAGTTTTATCCTTTTGTATTTAATCTGAATCTTTTGAAATTCTAAAGATACAATCACTTAACCCTCTCTTCCATCCACTTTCTTTTCTTAATTTCAGGCAACAATGTGAAAATAATGGTGCTTATGTCTTTGTAATAACAGAACTTTCTTTGTCTTTTCTTTGGCCTCATTTTAATCTTCAATGACTCATATTTAAGAAATGAACTGTGCAGCTGTGGTGGATCTAAGTCCTTGGCAACAACTCGATGGGCAAACACGTGGTCTCTCACAATGGATGCTCCTTAGCTTTGAATTATTTACTGTCCAGTTTTAACAATGGAATTATATCATCAAATAGTGCCTTGGACTTTTTAAGTTTTTAGTGCCTTAAGTTTTTAAGTTTGATGAGACCTTTAAGATCCATTTCCGGCCGGGCGTGGTGGCTCACGCCTGTAATCCCAGCACTTTGGGAGGCCAAGGCGGGCAGATCACGAGGTTGGGAGATGGAGACCATCCTGGCTAACACGGTGAAACCCCGTCTCTACTAAAAATACAAAAAATTAGCTGGGCGTGGTGGCGGGCGCCTGTAGTCCCAGCTACTCGGGAGGCTGAGGCAGGAGAATGGCATGAACCTGGGAGGTGGAGCTTGCAGTGAGCCGAGATTGCGCCACTGCACTCCAGCCTGGGCGACAGAGCGAGACTCCATCTCAAAAAAAAAAAAAAAAAAAAAAAAGATCCATTTCCTTATTTTACAGACCTTGTTCCAACAATTATCTCCACCTTCTGTCAAGGTCGTAACATATATCTAGGGTGACCAACTTTCCTCGTTTTCCTGAGACTGTCCAATTTTCCTGAAACTATTCTGGTTTTAACATCGAAAGTCTCTCATCCTGAAAAACTCAATGCTGGACAAACCAAGATGGTTGGTTACCCTACTGCTAGCTTCCGTCTTTCACTCTAGGTTCAAATCATTCCTATGCTAAAAAGAACTTCTTATCCCTTTGTCTTGTTATCCTCTCTGTCCTCCTGTCGTGTCTTCCTCTTTTCCTTCTCAGAAAAAGAAAATTGAACATTTGATTTTCACTTGAAATACCTACTCCTTCTTCCACTCACTCCTCAGCTATGCCTACTTCTGAGGCTTCTGCCCTCCACTGAAATTGCTCTCAGCACATCTAGTGAACACTCTGCAATGCTGATCTTACTTTACTTCTGTGTTTCATTGGACTCACTTGGTCACCCTCTTCCTCTCAAAATTCTCACTCTCTCCTTGAAATTTCTACACTCCTCATTTCCCCTAATCTCTCCACCTATTTGTTCCTTTTCTATCTCTCAAGAGATCCTGTTCCTCTGTTTGCCCATTAAACTTTGATATGTAGGCACTCAACGTATATTAGCTGAATGAGAAAATAACTCCTAAGTATTTTTTTTCTCCTCAAACCTCAGAATTTATTATTTCCTTGTGGAAGGAATGTTAGCTTTCCAAGCTGAGCATATCACAGTCCCTTACTCTGTCCCCCATGCACAGAACACCCCCCCCACACACACACACACACACCATCATGTTGCATTTTTAATATTACTCTTCAATAATTTTATCCTGAATGAGCATGAGGGGTTCTGAATCAGAGGCAGATTTCATTTAATTACCTTACAGTAAATATTGTTGCTGTGCCCTTCCTTTGCCCAAAGACTTACCCCTAGGGCAACATGATGAACGCTGATGAAACATTTTCCTACTTGAGTGGCTGGGTACTCCATAAGTGGGAGACTAGGAAAAATCATTTTTTCTGCTTATAAAGGAGAAGGAGGCTGCTATCCATCTCTCATTCTGAAAGGTTCTCTGTGGAAACATAACAGGCCTGAGTCCTAATTCCAGCTTCTGCAGAAACCAGCTAGCCCTGTGTGTCTCATGTTTTACAATCTGGAAATGTCTCCAAGGTATGGGCTTCATATTTTTTGAAATGTAAATACCTAGAAAGATACCCACTCCAGTCTTTCTAACAACATAGAGTTCAGCTTAGGAACCTACCCTGAGCTATAACCGTTTGACCCTCTTGGATCAGAGAAATGAACTAGACAAATTGCTACAGATCTAATCTCCATGGTGTGGGAAGTTTCTCAGGAGGCTAGAGCTTTCTGTAGGTGAACTGAGACATCCAGGAAAGTTTATTTCCTCATACTTAGTTGAATTGCACCCAGCGTTTGCTCATCTACTCAACCTAGACACTAAGTGTCATTCTTGTTTCTTTTTCTCTCTTCTCTCCAGCATCTATTCAGTCACCAAATTTTCACACTTCAGATTTTTAGACATTTCCCTATCCTATCCCTGTCATTTTTCCTGGTACCATTGCCCTGAGTCAAATCCTCATAATCTTGCACTGAATTCTTACAATTGCCTCATTATCTCTCTGATTCCATTTCTGTTCTTCTCAAATACATACTCTGTATTTATATCAGGAAGATCTATTTGAAGCACACATATTCCTGTGCCACTCCCTTGGTTAAAACCGTTCAAAGGTTCCTGATTACCTTCAAGGCAACACCTAAGCCTCTTAGTGGACCATATGTGATCATAGAGAGGCAGAGCTTCAAATTCTGGTTTAAAAATCTAATGTATTTCCAGATAGCAATAGTGTCTTTTTCATCTTTGGACATGCCCTCTCCTTGTTCTTTATGCTCTAGAAACACTGGCCTGCTTGAGATTCCGATACATACCATACTGCACTATGTCCTATGACTCTGCACTTGCATTTTCCTCTTCTTGGAATGTTCTCTAGCATACTCTTCCTTGAATAAGTCATGTTCATGCTTTTGAATTCTATGTGATTACTAGCTTCTCCTGGAAGCTTTTCCCGATTTTCTTCCCCATATTGCGCAAGTCTATAGCACTGTCTACATTGTATTGAAATTATTTACGTGTCTGACTCTTCTATTATATGTTAAATATTCCTAAATAGAAAGGGCTGTTTTGCATTCAACTTTGTATTTCCAGTTTCAGGTACAACCACTGACACATGGTAGTTCAATAGAGGGAGCCATTATTATTTTTATAATTAGTAATGTCAGTATTAATTGCCTCCCTTCAGGTCCAAACAGAGAAACTAGGCAAAATGATAATTTACTTGAATTTGGGAAACTTAATTGTATGAAAAAAAACACAAGAATACAACAACTGAACACACACACACACACACACACACACACACACACACACACACAAACATGGAGATTTCAAGTGAAATATCAGGAGAATCAGCTTTATATGTAAGCAGAGTAAATAACTCACGTATCTAGCATGATTTTAGGGTACAGAAATATCCCATTATTCAGAAAGTACTTCCCTATCTGTAGGCTGAATCCTAATATTCTACTTACAGAACTCCAGTATTTTGGTTCAAACGCCTTCCCTTTCTCTATTGAATTGTAAATAGCTGTGGATGATGAATCATTTTGCAAAGTATCAGACTCAGGATTCTTTTGAATGGTGAACACCGCTAAGATTTTATTAATAAATGTGTCATACAATACAGCTCTGGAACACTTCTGTAACATAATGGCATATCTGAAATTCAAGGAAGAATACTGCTAATTTGTTTTTCCCCAGTGAAAGAACAGGGCTTAAATTCAGCAGGCAACATTGCTAAAAGACAGAGTTGAAAAAAGTTACAAAAATTAAGCCCTAGATCAGGGCAAATATTACTGTTATTGTTAAACAGTTATATTAGCATTTATGTAGCATGCACTTAATACTTTTATTAATACCCTCACTTCTGAGATCAAAGAATCTGGGTCAATAACTCTCTTCAATGGTGTCAGAGTATCCGTTAGGTTATTCTAGGCTCACGGTATACCTCACGATCCTTTTAGCACTCGATTATGTGTGAACTTACTGTTTTCACTCTGCTTCTAGTGTTAATTTTCTCCCTTCTTTGGATCTAGAAACTTTTTGAAGGCAGAAACTATTCATTTTGTTTTTCTCTTGATCCCCTGGATAAAGGAAGATTACAGATTAAAGATTAATTCTAGATCTGTTCATTTATAGAAACTAGTGTCCGCAATTCCTACATCCATAATAGCTCAAAACATTTCTACTATTCTCAAAGAGGTCACAATGGATGATGTAATGACTATTTTTCAAAAGTATTGAGACTTTTCTCTTAGCTTACCTATTTTATACCTTGTCAGACATTTTGACAGAATTAACTGGTGATTGTCAGTTGGATTCATTGTATACTTTAATATAGCCTAAGGTCCTGCAAATGGCCCTTAAGGCTTCCCATTATGTTCTGGATATCCACTATTTGGGGTATGTTTAAGTCCTCATTAGCCATGCTAGAGTTTTGCAATATATACCTTGAAACTTTAGCTGTAGATTTGAAGTATGGCTGTCAGGTTACATAAACAAAGCACTCTTATCTCAATGAGAGGGCATTAACTATCCAGAATGCTCCCCCCATCTCCCCAGAATAGCTTTACAAACACAGCGCTTTCCTCATTAACAGATAGACCCATATAGCCTTTAAAAAAAATCATTTTATAACCATCAGTGTATAAATAAAAGAGATAGAAATTGACCTGGGAGTTTCATAAACAAGTTCTGAGCACCCAGGATTAATTTTGAGAAGAATGCCACAAGCCAAATAAGCACTTCTTTTCATCTCATTTCACAGGCCTTCAAGAGGGAATTGAAAACTAAAGAACCTGTAATCATGAGTACTCTTGAGACTGTACGAATATTTCTGACAGAGCAGCCTTTGGAAGGACTAGAGAAACTCTACCAGGAGCCCAGAGGTAATTGAATGTGGAACTATAATAACATATTGATAGAAGGATCAGTGGTGACGGAGCAGCCCATCCATTCTTGCTGCCAGGGTCTGGATAGCTCTCATATTTTCTTGGTTAAATAGAATCAATTCAAATTAAACATAGATGCTGAAAAAAAAATAAGGACTCATAAACTACCATGCATAAATCAGTTTGTGCATTCATAAATAAACATCAAAAGAGATTAGCAATCAGTTATTGGAACATTTAGAAAATAATAAACAAAGGGAGTTATCTGTGAGGAGGAATTCTATTGTTGCAAAGACTACAAGTTAATTTTCCATTTAAGAGCCTGCCTGAAGTAAATTAGAGCTTGTGGTATGCATCCTAACGTTTTTCTCCTCAATAGCTTAAGTGAATCTTAAATTGTCGGATTGATATAAGGTAGAAACTCAGGAAGATATACTTTAGATGTTCTGGGCTGTATCAAAATTTATGCCAAAGTATAAAAAAGCCGTTAATCAGTAGGTTACCCTCTTGTTCAACTGTACTCTTTCTTTCTTCCAGTATGACCTTTTTGACAATGTTTAAAAAAAAAGAATGTGGCCTAAAACCTTGTCATATTGCCAATTTAGAGCTGCCTCCTGAGGAGAGAGCCCAGAATGTCACTCGGCTTCTACGAAAGCAGGCTGAGGAGGTCAATACTGAGTGGGAAAAATTGAACCTGCACTCCGCTGACTGGCAGAGAAAAATAGATGAGACCCTTGAAAGACTCCGGGAACTTCAAGAGGCCACGGATGAGCTGGACCTCAAGCTGCGCCAAGCTGAGGTGATCAAGGGATCCTGGCAGCCCGTGGGCGATCTCCTCATTGACTCTCTCCAAGATCACCTCGAGAAAGTCAAGGTACCGTCTACTTCTTTGCTTCAGGGCCCTTTGAGAGACTCAAAAGAGCTTCTAATCTGAACTTGAGTGCAGTGTTATCTTCCCACAAAGTTAAAGCTAGAGAAATCAGTCCGTCTTTCACAAATTCAGTCTTCATTCACATGGTATTTTCTCCAAGAGAAGACAGTGATCTAATTATTTGTCTGTCTTCAGTTATATGAAATGAAATATTAAAACAGTTACAGGGCAAGAAATCACTTTGACTTTGATATTAAGTGATTGTACTAAAGTCTGATGTGTGTGTGTGTGTGTGTGTGTGTGTGTGTGTGTATTGGTGTATTGCTTGTGTTACTTAGTATCAGAATACAGAAAAATAAAACACTTAATCAAAAGCCAGGAGTCTAGGTGTTGGCCCTTTTGCTAACCAAATTACATGACTTGGGTAAGTTATGGTTTGGTGAAATAAGGCTGTTAATGTGTTGCCCTTCCCTTGGAAGGCAACATTTGTAATACAGTTTCAAGTTTCATTGGCCCACTGCAGAAATGAGGGAAAATCATTATATATTTGGAAGACCACTGTCTATAAGACCAAAGTTAAATTCCCTTGTGGCACAAAGATGGCAAATATATTCTGTAGAAAAAAATACATATTTAGGAGTATCATTTTGAAATCAGCAACTACTCATCTATTGTCAAAATCACAAAAATCCTCCTAGATTAAAATTCAAAAGAAGTTAAATTCCCTCATGCACTCAGCATGTTTGCCAGCATCTCAGCATCCTCATTCTAGAAGTTGTCCTCTTCCTTGGCTTTCATGGAACTGTTCCATCCATGTTCTTCTTCCTATATTTTTCTAGATTCTTCTCCTAGCCACCCCTCAAATACTGTTGTGCCCAAGTTTCTAACCTTAGCCTAATTCTCTTTTGATTGTTTAAACCCTCCCTGTTTGAGATGGCCTGGATGGTGATGTATCTACATCTCTAGTCCGCATCTCTCTTCTGATCTCTGAATCCATGTGGCATTACGATCACAAATGCAACTATTCTGAAACCAAGTTCATTTGTTCTCCTGTTTTCCATTTCCCTACTTCTGTCCCCTCTTATCTGACCTTTTTTTTCCTGTTTCCTATTTCAGTTAATGAATCATCATCCAACAAATTTTCCAGGCTAGAAACTTTAGGTTCATCCTTAAACCCTTCTGCATTTTCACTGATGGCACATGATGGCTCATGTTACCTCAGAATAGCTCTTTTGTGTTTTCTCTCCTCTTTTAACCAATGTCCTTTTTAATCCCCAGCATCTTTTACTTAGATGATAACAGTATACATCTTTAAATCCCATTCACCCCTCTGTGTGCCTGGCATATCTCAGATACTGCATTTTAAACATTTGGTGAATTAATGGATGGATGAATGGTTTCTTTGCTGATGTTCCTGCATTACCCAGCTTCTTCCAATTCCAATCCAAACTCCTTGCGGGAGAATACTTGCCTAGAGAATGAAATCCAATGAATAAGGAGATTACGTGGCCCTTTTCTTCCTAGCCTTGACTTACCTTCTCAGCCATAGCTCCTATTCTCCAGACCATTTAATACACTCTGCCCATATGATATATATATATATGTGATGGCATATTTGGGAAAAAGGGGTGATATGGGCAGAGTGTATTGAATGTGTGTGTCTGTAAAGTATGTGTGTGTGTGTGTGTATATATATATATATATATATATACACACACACACATACATAGTTAGATATATACATAGTATATATACATATATACATAGATATACACATATATATACACATAGATATAGATATAGATATATCTGCCTTTGCAAATGCTGTTCTCTCTGTCTGGATCCCCCTACGTTGTCTACTTGGCGAATTCTCCTTCAGCCCTCAAGGACCAGCCAAAATGTTACCTATCTTTGTTGTCTTTCCTGAGTGTCTACAACCCCCAACTCCCACCAAGCAGAAGAAACTGCTTACAGTTGGTACTCTCATAGATCACCAAGCATGCTAAATTGTCACACTTAAATTTCACATATATTGTAGCAACTTGCTTATGCATTTTTTTTTCTCCCAGAGAAAGTGAAGTTGCTAAGAGCAAGGATCATGCTGTACATCTTTGGGCTGCTAGCCCAGGGCCAGCAACATATGAGGAATCTCATTAGGTACCTTCATTTATTCACTCAACAACTGTTTATGAGTCATTATATAATGTGCTGGACAGGTAGTTATAAAAGAAACAGACTTGATCATTGCCTTCATGAAGCCTATGGTCTAATGTTGAATTGCATAGCTCTTCATTAAAATAGTAGGTAAAATTTTTAAAAAGAAAAGATTAAAAATTTGACTCTAATACTTGTAAAATCCCTTCTACCCCAATGTTTTATGACCCCATGTCTAACATTTAAAGTAAGGGTTAACCTTGCTGTGTACTGGAAAACTAAGGGTTTTGAAATGTATTACCTAGTATTTTAAAAGCATTAAATATGTTGATTTTATTCAAAAATATAGGGACTAATTTTTTGACAGACTTCTCCAAAAATGAGAAATAAGTTAGGAAAATGTCCCAGTGGAACTAAATTAGTTAATATGTCAATTAAATTGCTCAATAGATAGGCTGTAGAGCAGACATAAGGGATTCATTTTTAGCCATACTTGTCACACAGGTGCATTTGTAAGATACTGAGTATGGATGGAGAAGAGAATGTGTACAGCATAATTTAATAATTAAAAATAACTAAAAGCATAACAGTTCAAGTATCAGCTGGCCTTCACCCAACCCTATTTGCGGTATTCCTTTTAGTTTCCCTGTCTTATCTGTTCTTGGTCTTAAGACAAACTTCATTTTCCATACCCTGATTGGTAAAACTCTCATTCTGATCCCAATGATAGCAAAACATATAAACATTAAACATACCTTTCGAAAAATTATATTTATAACCCAGCACATCTATCTTTCTCAGACATATATACACTTAAGTTATGGTACTTATCTGAATTTTTATGTACTGGTAATAGTAGATGTGATTGGGCTTTTGAATCTGTGTTGTATTTTATGCGTGTTTCAAACTATGAATTACATGAATTCATATATATTTATCTCCCTTCGGTAGCTCTTCTTTAATTTTGCAGTGGAAATAAATCATTTTTCTCCACTGCATCTTATTGACACTGGGTTTGAAACTCTGAAGCTTTGGGGGTAGTAGTTTACAAAGAATGAGTTTTATTAACTAAAATTTATTTCAGAAAAAAAGTAGAAGTGTACTTGAAACCACTCTTCCCATTTTTCCACTCAGCAATTTAAGCCCTCAGAGGATTCATGCTGTAGGGAACTTTTCTAATAAACCATGGTTTCTCTTTTTTTATTTTATTTTATTTTATTTTATTTTATTTTATTTTATTTTTTTTTTGCGACAGTCTCGCTCTGTCACCCAGGCTGGAGTGCAGTGGTGCTATCTCGGCTCACTGCAACCTCCACCTCCTGGGCTCAAGCAGTTCTCCGCCTCAGCCTCCCAAATAGCTGGGACTACAGGCGCCCACCACCATGCCCAGCTATTTTTTTTTTTTTGTATTTTTTAGTAGAGATGGGGTTTCACCATGTTGGCCAGGCTAGTCTCGAACTTCTGACCTCAGGTGATCCACTCACCTTGGCCTCCCAAAGTGGATTACAGCACTGATAACTAGGCAGCTAGCTAGAAGAACATTTTATATATCCATATCAGTTCATTTTCCTTACCCCTAGACACTCTATCATAGTACCCCCCCTCCATTCTGATCTTATGTGTTAAATAACTTGTTATTCAAGAAACTAAGTAATATGTGTTTCTGTGAGATTTAGCATTCTGTAATTGTATTAGCAAATGTGGCTTTTGGATTTAAAGAATGGGTGAAACAACAATGACTAAGTCCCTGGCCTTTATGGAAATGGCATTATTGCTAGCTGATCATCTGCGGGTGGTGAACATGGTAAATTAATAAATGGAAACACAATATTAATATTGACTATATTGCTCACTAAGAGAATCTCAGCCTTCCAAACATAGCTTCCATAGGAAAAAACAGTAGAATCAAATTTAAGTTTTAAATGCTTCTTTACTTTTAAAATTCATGATTTATACTGCTTATCAAATATTTTAAGGGCAAGATCATGACTTTTCACTTTACTGAAAATAGCACCAGTGCTTATTTGACTAGACAAATATTCTACCTTCCTTGTAATGGGGAATAGGAATAACTTTTTGAATTACTAGGTGTTCCACATAGATCTGTAAGTGGAATATATAAAGGCTTTAATAAAGTAGAATAACTTTTAAACCTGTAGTCTGGATACAAGATTTTTGTTCTTCAGGACAATCCCAAGGTGAAAAGGTTTGTGGATTGTTGTTTTCTTTTTTTTTTTTTTTTTGAGACAGAGTCTCACTCTGTCACCAGGCTGGAGTGCAGTGGTGAGATCTCGGCTCGCTGAACCTCCTGGGTTCAAGCAATTCTCCTGCCTCAGCCTCCTGAGTAGCTGGGACTACAGGCGCGCACCACCACGCCCAGCTGATTTTTGTAATTTTAGTAGAGACGGGGTTTCACCATGTTGGCCAGGATGGTCTTGATCTCTTGATCTCGTGATCCGCCCACCTTGGCCTCCCAAAGTGCTGGGATTACAGGCGTGAGCCACCGCTCCCGGCCAGATTGCTGTTTTTTAATGTTTTGTTTTTGTTTTAATAAACCATGGTTTCTCTTTTTTTAATTTTTTTTTTTTTGAGACAGTCTCACTCTGTCACCCAGGCTGGAGTGCAGTGGTGCTGTCTCGGCTCACTGCAACCTCCGCCTCCTGGGTTCAAGCAATTCTCTGCCTCAGCCTCCTGAGTAGCTGGGATTACAGACATGTGCCACCACGCCTGGCTAATTTTTTTTTTTTTTTTGGATTTTTTAGTAGAGATGGGGTTTCACCACGTTGGCCAGGCTGGTCTCGAACTTCTGACCTCAGGTGATCCGTTCACCTTGGCCTCCCAAAGTGCTGGGATTACAGGCGTGAGCCACTGCGCCCAGACTATAAACCATAGTTTCTCTGTACCAAAAGTGGTATGTCCTTCTTGAGCCAGGAATATTTCACTGTTCTTAGTTTACCTGTTGACTCTGAACACAGTTTTTCATACACTGTAAATAACTCTCCCAGGCTGCCATCTTGGAATATGCAAATCTGTCGCATCTATGTAGTTATGCATATCGCATTTTTGTCAAACTTTTAACTTGCATTTCTTACTGTGAAAAGTCAGGGCAGGGATTCTATGAGTTTTTTCTTTAAAGTTCCTACAATGAAATGTTTTGATTAAACCTTTTTTGGCATTCAAATTGAGATTGATTTAATGATGTGTGTAGTAGGCTAGAAATTATGATGAAGTGACGATGCCATCCTTATTTATCTTCAGCATTCACATCTAAAGTTTTAAGAAGAAAACTGGCAAATCCACCTTTTTAGGCTTACCATCCTCAGTCCCTGTGGCTTTGGGTTTTTTTGAGAAATTTGTCAAAGAAACGCTATGTTAGAATTTGACATTGAGGAAGCCAAGCATATTTCCTCTGAATAGATAATGTGAAATGTGATATAATGTATTAGAATTTCATCTTCACTTTGGCAAGCAAGATACTTGCAACCATGTTCATGCAACTATCTTCCCTTATTGCTTTTCTCTTCTTAACCTTGGTTCTAAAGTTTTCTTCTTATTGTATTAATTTTGTTATGCTTCCCATTTATATGAGTCAAGTCAACCTTACTTGATTTCTTATATATGAGTTATGTAAGGAAAACTTATCTTTTCTTATAGAATTAGGGGATGAATGAGCAGATAGAACCAACATGAACAGGGCGATCCTAAAAATCATTCAAAACATGTAAGCTCTCCCAACTCTGAATAAACTTGTGATATCTTCATAATGAATAAGGTATACTGCCTATAGTAGGAAGAGGAAAATTTATTAATGTTTTGTGCATTGTTAAAGAACTACAAATGAATTGCCGTGTGGAGGCTTTCATTGTTGTTGTTGTAAAAATGCTATGTGTATTAAGTAAGCCTTTGATGGAGAAGAAAAAACAAAGAAAAAATATTTAATCCTTCATAAATCTGGGTTAAATATGAAGCTAATTCCTGTTATTTGGAGTAACCAGGGTTTTATCTAGTTTACAAAGCATGCAATTGCAATGTTTAAAAGCATATGATTTGGCCTTTAATATCTGAAAATATGTCTATCAAAGGCCATATTATAGCGAGTGTCACTCCATACTTTATAAGTACGGTATATTTTTAATAGAATGTTTATGTACTGGTGATAAGAGATGTTACTGGGTTTCTAAACCAGTACTGTATTAAGGATTTTATGCTATTGTAAGATTATGGATTATGTGAATTCATATATATTGATTTACTTTCAGTAGCTTTTCAATAGAATATCTAGGGTTTAATACAGCTTAGAAACTAAAGCAGGAATTATTCATCTTTAAAATCCTGACCAAAGAAGTGGCTGGCAAGATGGCTGAATAGGAACAGCTCAGGTGCGCAGCCCCTAGTGAGATCAACACAGAAGGTGGGTGATTTCTGCATTTCCAACTGCAGTACCCGGCTCATCTCACTGGGACTGGTTAGACAGTGGGTGCAGCCCACAGAGGGCGCAGAAGCACGGTGGGATGTCGCCTCACCCCGGAAGCACAAGGGGTCAGGGAATTCCCTCCCCTAGCCAACAGAAGCCGTGAGGGACTGTGCCCTGAGGAACGGAGCATTCCAGCCCAGACACTATGCTTTTCCCACAGCCTCCGCAACATGCAGACCAGGAGATTCCCTCGGGTGCCTACGCCACCAGGGCCCTGGGTTTCAAGCACAAAATTGGGCAGCTGTTTGGGCAGACACCGAGCTAGCTGCAGGCGTTTTTTTCATATCCCAGCGTCACCTGGAACACCAGCGAGATAGAACCATTCACTCCCCTGGAAAGGGGACTGAAGTCAGGGAGCCAAGTGGTCTAGCTCAGTGGATCCCACCCCCAACGGAGCCCAGCCAGCTAAGATCCACTGGCTTGAAATTCTCGCTGCCAGCACAGCAGTCTGAAGTGGACCTGGGATACTCAAGCTTAGTGTGGGGAGGGGCACCTGCCATTACTGAAGCTTGAGTAGGCAGTTTTCCCCTCACAGTGTAAACAAAGCCGTCAAGAAGTTCTAACTGGGCGGAGCTCACCGCAGCTCGGCAAAGCCACTGTAGCCAGATTGCCTCTCTAGATTCCTTCTCTCTGGGCAGGGCATCTCTGAAAGAAAGGCAGCAGCCCCAGTCAGGGGCTTATAGATAAAACTCCCATCTCCCTGGGACAGAGCACCACGGGGAAGGGGCAGCTGTGGGTGCAGCATCAGCAGACTTAAACGTTCCTGCCTGCTGGCTCTGAAGAGAGCAGCAGATCTCCCAGCACAGCACTCGAGCTCTGCTAAGGGACAGACTGCCTTCTCAAGTGGGGTCCTGACCCCCGTGCCTCCTGACTGGGAGACACCTCCCAGCAGGGGTTGACAGACACCCTCATACAGGAGAGCTCTGGCTGGCATCTGGCAGGTGCCCCTCTGGGATGAAGCTTCCAGAGGAAGGAACAGACAGCAATCTTTGCTGTTCTGCAGCTTCTGCTGGTGATACTCAGGCAAACAGGGTCTGGAGTGGACCTCCAGCAAATTCCAGCAGACCTGCAGCAGAGGGTTCCTGACTGCTAGCATCAACATCAACAAAAAGGACGTCCACACAAAAACCCCATCTGAAGGTCACCAACATCAAAGACCAAAGGTAGATAAATCCACGAAGATGAGGAAAAACCAGCACAAAAAGCCTGAAAATTCCAAAAACCGGAACGCCTCTTCTCCTCCAAATGATCACAACTCCTCTCCAGCAAGGGAACAAAACTGGATGGAGAATGAGTTTGACGAATTGACGGAAGTAGGCTTCAGAAGGTGGGTAATAACAAACTCTTACGAGCTAAAGGAGCGTGTTCTAACCCAATGCAAGGAAGCTA
Source organism: Homo sapiens (assembly GCF_000001405.40). Lineage (NCBI taxonomy): Eukaryota > Metazoa > Chordata > Mammalia > Primates > Hominidae > Homo > Homo sapiens. The sequence continues at coordinate 31,470,091 of NC_000023.11, read as the reverse complement.
AGAACCTTAAAAAAAAGGTTAGAGGAATTGCTAACTAGAATAACCAGTTTAGAGAGGAACATAAATGACCTGAAGGAGCTGAGAAACACAGCACGAGAACTTTGTGAAGCATACACAAGTATCAATAGCCAAATCGACCAAGCAAAAGAAAGGATATCAGAGACTGAAGATCAACTTAATGAAATAAAGCATGAAGAGAAGATTACTGAAAAAAGAATGAAAAGGAACAAACAAAGCCTTCAAGAAATATGGGACGATGTGAAAAGACCAAACCTACATTTGATTGGTGTACCTGAAAGTGATGGGGAGAATGGAACCAAGTTGGAAAACACTCTTCAGGTTATTATCCAGGAGAACTTCCCCAACCTAGCAAGACAGGCCAACATTCAAATTCAGGAAATATGGAGAACACCACAAAGATACTCCTTGAGAAGAGCAACCCAAGACACATAATAATCGGATTCACCAAGGTTGAAATGAAGGAAAAAATGTTAAGGGCAGCCAGAGAGAAAGGTCAGGCTACCCCAAAGGAAAGCCCATCAGACTAACAGCGGATCATTTGGCAGAAACCCTACAAGCCAGAAGAGAGTGGGGGCCAATATTCAACATTCTTAAAGAAAAGAATTTTCAACCCAGAATTTCATATCCAGCCAAACTAAGCTTCATAAGCAAAGTAGAAATAAAATCCTTTACAGACAAGCAAATGCTGAGAGATTTTGTCACCACCAGGCCTGCCTTACAAGAGCTTCTAATGAAGGAAGCACTAAATATGGAAAGGAAAAACTGGTACCAGCCATGGTAAAAACATAACAAATTGTAAAGACCATCACACTATGAAGAAACTGCATCAACTAACGGGCAAAGTAACCAGCTAGCATCATAATGACAGGATCAAATTCACACATAACAATATTAACCTTAAATGTAAACAGGCTAAATGCCCCAATTAAAAGACACAGACTGGCAAATTGGATAAAGACTCAAGACCCATCAGTGTGCTGTATTCAGAAGACCCACCTCATGTGCAGAGACACACATAGGCTCAAAATAAAGGGATCGATGAATATTTACCAAGCAGCAAATGGAAAGAAAAAAAAAGCAGGGGTTGCAATCCTAGTCTCAGACAAAACAGACTTTAAACCAATAAAGATCAAAAAGGACAAAAAAAATGGTATTACATAATGGTAAAGTGATCAATGCAACAAGAAGAGCTAACTATCCTAAATATATATGCACCCAATATAGGAGCACCCGGATTCATAAAGTAAGTTCTTAGAGACCTACAAAGAGACATAGATGCCCATACAATAATAGTGGGAGATTTTAACACCCCACTGTCAATATTAGACGGATCAACGAAACAGAAAATTAACAAGGATATTCAGGACTTAAACTCAGCTCTGGACCAAGTGGACTTAATAGACATCTACAGAACTCCCCACCCCAAATCAACAGAATATACATTATTCTCAGCACCACATCACACTTATTATAAAATTGACCACATAATTGGAAGTAAAACACTCCTCAGCAAATGCAAAAAAACAGAAATCATAAGAGTCTCTCAGACCACAGTACAATCAAATTAGAACTCAGGATTAAGAAACTCACTCAAAACCACACAACTACATGGAAACTGAGCAACCTGCTCCTGAATGACTGCTGGATAAATAAGGAAATTAAGGCAGAAATGAATAAGTTCTTTCAAACCAATGAGAATAAATACACAACGGACCAGAATCTCTGGGACACAGCTAAAGCAGTATTTAGAGGGAAATTTACAGCATTAAAATCCCCACAGGAGAAAGCAGGAAATATCTAAAATTGACACCTTAACATCACAATTAAAAGAAGTAGAGAAGCAAGAGCAAACAAATTCCAAAGCTAGCAGAAGAGAAGAAATAACTACGATCAGAGCAGAACTGAAGGAGATAGAGACATGAGAAATCCTTCAAAAAATCAATGAAGCCAGGGGCTGGTTTTTTGAAAAGATTAACAAAATAGATAGACTGCTAGCCAGACTAATAAAGAAGAAAAGAGAGAAGAATCAGACAGACACAAGAAAAAATGATAAAGGGGATATTAGCTCTCATCCCACAGAAATACAAACTACCATCAGAGAATACTATAAACACCTCTACGCAAATAAACTAGAAAATCTAGAAGAAATTGATTAATTTCTGGACACATACACCCTCCCAAGACTAAACCAGGAAGAAATCGAATCCCTGAATAGACCAATAACGAGTTCTGAAATTGAGGCAGTAATTAATAGCCTACCAACCAAAAAAAGCCCAGGAACAGATGGATTCACAGCTGAATTCTACCAGAGGTACAAAGAGGAGCTGGTACCATTCCTTCTGAAACTATTCTAAACAATAGGAAAAGAGGGACTCCTCCCTAACTCTTTTTATGAGGCCAGCATCATCCTGATACCAAAACCTGGCAGAGACACAACAGACAAAGAAAATTTCAGGCCAATATCCCTGATGAACATCAATGCGAAAATCCTCAATAAAATACTGGCAAACCGAATCCAGCAGCACATGAAAAAGCTTATCCAGCATGATCAAGTTGGCTTCATCCCTGGGATGCCAGGCTGGTTCAACATACAGAAATCAATAAACATAATCCATCACTTAAACAGAACCAATGACAAAAACCACATGATTATCTCAATAGAAGCGGAAAAGGCCTTCAATAAAATTCAACACCCCTTCATGCTAAAAACTCTCAATAAATTAGGTACTGATGGAACGTATCTCAAAATAATAAGAGCTACTTATGACAAACCCACAGCCATTATCATACTGAATGGGCAAAAGCTGGAAGCACTCCCTTTAAAAACCGGCACAAGACAAGGATGCCCTCTCCCACCACTCGTATTCAACATAATATTGGAAGTTTTGGCCAGGACAATCAGGCAAGGGAAAGAAATAAAGGGTATTCAAATAGGAAGAGAGGAAGTCAGATTGTCTCTGTTTGCAGCTGACATGATTGTATATTTAGAAAACCCCATCGTCTCAACCCAAAATCTTCTTAAGCTGATAAGCAACTTCAGCAAAGTCTCAGGATACAAAATCAATGTGGAAAAATAGTAAGCATTCCTATACGCCAATAATAGACAAAGAGAGTGCCAAATCATGAGTGAATTCCCATTCACAATTGCTTCAAAGAGAATAAAATACCTAGGAATACAACTTAGAAGGGATGTGAAAGACCTCTTCAAGGAGAACTACAAACCACTGCTCAAGGAAATGAGAGAGGACACCACAAACAAATGGAAGAACATTCCATGCTCATGGATAGGAAGAATCAATATCGTGAAAATGGCCATACTGTCCAAAGTAATTTATAGATTCAATGCAGTCTCCATCAAGCTACCATTGACTTTCTTCACATAATTAGAAAAACTACTTTAAATTTCATATGGAACCAAAAAAGAGCCCACATAGCCAAGTCAATCCTAAGCAAAAAGAACAAAGCTGGAGGCATCATGCTACCTGACTTCAAACTATACTACAAGGCTTCAGTAACCAAAACAGTATGGTATTGGTACCAAAACAGATATATAGACCAATGGAACAGAGGCCTCAGAAATAATGCCACACATCTACAACCATCTGATCTTTGACAAACCTGACAAAAACAAGCAATGGAGAAAGGATTCCCTATTCAGTAAATGGTGCTGGGTAAACCGGCTAGCCATCTACAGAAAACTGAAACTGGACCCCTTCCTTACACCTTATACAAAAATTAACTCAAGACTTAAACATAAAACCTAAAACCATAAAAACCCTAGAAGAAAACCTAGGCAATACCATTCAGGATATAGGCATGGGCAAAGACTTCACGACTAAAACACCAAAAGCAATGGCAACAAAAGCCAAAATTGACAAATGGAATCTAATTAAACTAAAGAGCTTCTGCACAGCAAAAGAAACTATCATCAGAGTGAACAAGCAACCTACAGAATGGGAGAAAATGTTTGCCATCTATTCATCTGACAAAGGGCTGATATCCAGAATCTACAAGGAACTTAAACAAATTTACAAGAAAAAACCTAATCAAAAATTGGGCAAAGGATATGAACAGACACTTCTCAAAGTAAGACATTTATGCGGCCAACAAACATGAAAAAAAGCTCATCATCACTGGTGATTAGAGAAATGCAAATCAAAACACACCAGTTACAATGGCGATCATTAAAAAGTCAGGAAACATCAGGTGCTGGGGAAGATGTGGAGAAATAGGTGTGCTTTTACACTGTTGGTGGGAGTGTAAATTAGTTCAACCATTGTGGAAGACAGTGTGGCAATTCCTCAAGGATCTAGAACCAGAAGTACCATTTGATCCAGCAATCCCATTACTGGTTATATACCCAAAGGATTATAAATCATTCTACTATAAAGACACATGCACATGTATGTTTGTTGCAGCACTGTTCACAATAGCAAAGACTTGGAACCAACCCAAATGCTCATCAATGATAGACTGGATAAAGAAAACGTGGCACAGATACACCATGGAATACTATGCAGCCATAAGAAAGGATGAGTTCATGTCCTTGGCAGGGACATGGATGAAGCTGGAAGCCATCAATCTCAGCAAACTAACACAGGAACAGAAAACCAGGCACCGCATGTTCTCACTCGTAAGTGGGAGTTGAACAACGAGAGCCCATGGACACAGGGACGGGAACATCACACACCGGGGCCTGTCGAGGGGTGGGAGGTTAGGGGAGGGATAGCAGTAAGAGAAATACCTAATGTAGATGACAGGTTGATGGGTGCAGCAAACCACCATGGCATGTGTATACCTATGTAACAAACCTGCACGTTCTGCACATGTATCCCAGAACTTAAAGTATAATAATAATAAAAAAAAAATCCTGACCAAATTATTTATTCAATGTGAAATTAATTGTAAGTTAGTGTTGCCAGGAGAGCTTATTACTTAGTTACCATGTATTCCCTCTCATCTCCTGCTTTGTTTATAAAGCTAAAAGCAAATTACTTAGGACAGCAATGTCAAATCACTTTCTTTCCCCAAAGCATCTGATTTTAGATAGCGCTGTGTGTGTTTTAAAAGCCCCTACCTCGACTTAGGCAAACAGAACCTTCGTTTACCATGCTATTCCCATCCCGCCTTTGAAACTTCTGAAAAGGCAGAGCGGAGTAATTGTTTCAGACATCTGCTTAGCATACTTTGAAGTGCATATAAGTTCTTTTTCAGTTTCATTTGAACCCCAGCTGTCTTCACCGAAGTCTATAATCAATCTGAATTAAGTTGTCCTACTTCTCCTAATAAGTCTCTTATTAAGTTCTGCATCAGCCTCTTAGGGAGACTTAAAAGCTAATTCATGTAGAATTGCCATTTTCTACTAATTCACTTGTCAGCTCTCCAAATTCCAACAAAAACAATTGCAAAGACTATTAATTTGGCTCTTCATAAACAACTTATGTAAGTGTAGTATACATTGGAACCAAACAAACGATTTAAAACAGTGGGTGGGAGGAAATGAGTTGATGGCATTCAAAACGCTTCCTTTTTTGACTGTTATGAAATGCCTTCCACATCGAAAGCATAAAGCCATTTATTTAATAAGGGAAACATCCTTCTGCTTTTACTTTCATAGATGAGATAATGACTGAATGAACTTTGCTTAAAGACAGGAAAAGGCTTTAGAACAGTTGGAAAAGGAACATGTTCTTTTTGTCATTGAACTTATTTTAATTTGGACTTCTTTGTGTTATTTTGATGGACTGTGATAAAAGAAGGAGCTAGAATTGGTTATTATTGTTATTGGATTAAATCAGAGTTGTACAGCTACTCTTCTGGTCATGGGATATTTAGGAGAACACGGGTAATCAAAATGTTCAGCTAATGAGTTCATCTGATTCTACTCAAGAAGTGTTTAATCAGATAATAAAAATTTCTCCAAATAATACCATCCTTCCTACTATTTGAAAACAACCATATCAACATCTGATCCTATAATATGCCAATCCTGTTTGCTAGGATTTTCTGAAAGCTTTGTTTGTGGTGGGTAATAACTAGAAATACTATTCCTCAAGAGTCTCGGGTAATAAAAGATTATTCAAAAAACTTAAGTAATATACTCTCAGTATTAGAGGATATACAAATGCACTCATTCATTAATTCATGATATGATTGAAACCTATACCCAGAGAAGTCTGATCTCATTATAGAGTGTGAACATTTAATTTATTTCAAAAACAAAAATTATATTGAGAGTTGTATAGATGGCATCTTAGTTTTCCTGGGAATATTATTATTTAGCACCAAGCTGAGGGAGCAAGAATTTGTATTAGCTTGTGTATACATGTGCATGTACCACATTAACTAGAAACAGTGCTAAAATGTGAGTTATTTATTTAACTGAAATTCCATATTTCCTAAGAAAATGGAATCACACAGCCAATATATATTTTTAATTATTTTTTGACATCTACCAAAGTTGTGACAAGAATAAAGTTCACAATTCTGTTACTCTCCTACCGTTCAGTAAAACAGGAAATGCTTTAAGATCAAATAACCCAAGGAGTTCGCTTCTTCCTGTCATGCTTGACAATTACAATTTTCAAAATTTAACAGTTAGCATTGACACCAGTATTATGCCTTACACAACCTGAAATTAACTAAGTTAAGTAATGGCATTGAATAATTTTTCTTGGTAAATCAGTTTTCTGGGTATTATGGGAACAGTTGTGTCTGTGATACTAATGTCTCTCTCATTTTAATGGGGCCTAAGAAAGAACTTTTTCATAATAAGATTTTTTCATGTTAAAATAATATTTTTAGTTATAGTTTACACTTACTGCAGGTTTTTCTATTTAAAAGCATCTTCCGAGAGCAGTGATTCTTAAACTTATTTACTTCAGTTATCTTAACAGCATAGAAGACATAGCCTGACATCTCCCGCTTCCACTTACCTATCTCCTTTTTCCATGAGCATGAAATTTCTTTGATGTTCTTGTTTTATTTTTTAAATCTCACATCAATTTTATGGTATTTTCCATAATGGATTCATCATGTTTTAATATGAAGATGCTTTTTCTTCAAATTCTGAAGTAAGGAATCTTTCAGCACATTCACCTATGGACATGAAAGCGTAAGTTGAGAATCACAGTATAAAGGATTGCCCAGTTTTTGCAGGCTTTATCTTTTTCCATCAACTTCTGTCTTTTATGTACACAGACAAAAAGAGCAGACCCTTGCTATTTCAAATTTATCTTTTGCAGGTTCATCTGATTATTGTGATCCAAAGTTCCATGACTAGCAGCTCTTAATTTTGAACATGTATTATTTCAAGCTTTTGTGCATAGTCACTTAACTAATGAGTTAAATGGCATTTTAAGTCAGGTTCCATGAACGCAGACCCTGAGAACAGGGGTCTAGGTGCCTGTGATTTATAGAGGGTCTGCTCTCAGGAGAAGCCTGTATTGGAGTTAGGGAAACAATACAGGAGAAGAAAGAGCCCAGCAAGTATGCCATTTCAGGTGAAACCTCACATTGTGTCTGATCCAGAGAGAGAGCAAGCCCTCGAGCAGAAACCTCGCTGTGGAGTTGTACTCTTTATTTTATTTTATTTTTTTGAGATGGAGTTTCGCTCTTGTTGCCCAGGCTGGAGTGCAATCTCAGCTCACTGCAACCTCCGCCTCCCAGGTTCAAGTGATTCTCCTGCCTCAGCCTCCTGAGTAGCTGGGATTACAGGCATGCACCGCCACGCCTGGCTAATTTTTGTGTTTTTAGTAGAGATGGGGTTTCACCATGTTAGTCAGGCTGGTCTTGAACTCCTGACCTCAGGTGATCTGCCCACCTCAGCCTCCCAAAGTGCTGGGATTACAGGCGTAAGCCACAACACCGAGCCGGAGTTGTGCCTTTATACCAGTCATTGTCTGTGTCACTGAAGTGCTGGCAAATATTTGTCGACTAGCTCTGAGGTGGGATGAATCCTGGTGTGTATCAAAACCAGTTTTCGTGGTGTAAATACTCCCTCTACCACTGATCTCCAGCTACCGACATAATGCCACTGAGTATGGAATTGGGAGGAGATGCACACAATTGGCTCTTGGGCTCTGCTGCAGCACACCACTGGCTGTGGTCCACTCCTGGGATATGGGTTACTTCCTGGGCTAGGGGGCTCCCATAAGCAGAGGTCACATGTGGAGAAGGCAGGTAGCTATAAGACATTAATAGTCAACCATCACAGCAGCTGAAGGATGGATGCCCAGGTTAGGTAAAGTGTCCCCTGCAACTAATAAGTAAACCTAGTAATCCACTCACTCTTCATATTCAACTTGGCTTTTTTTAATGCTGTTTTGTTTTTGCATGTACAGTAATTCTTTATAAATAATGAGAATTTTGTTTCTTTATGGAAAATCCACCTACCCTCCACCCTACCATGAATAGCTTGATAGCTGTTCATCAGAATTAGTGATGGAAGAGAAGAGTTAATGAATGAAAAAGTCTAAGAAAGTGATCACTATTAGTAAGAAAATGGCCTCATAAGTGAGTTTGGCTTTATAGTTATGGAATCTGTAAATGTCTAGGCATTCAGACATGTCCAGACATCATTGAGAATGTCAAGAATTTTCAGTGGCAATGGTTCTCACCTCAGCATACATCAGAATCACCTGGAGGGCTTGTAGAAACTCAGGTTGGTGAACCCCTTCCCCAGAGTTCCTGATTCAAAATGTCTGGGGCAAGGCTAAGAAGTCCCAACTTGTTCCCAGGTGTTCATGATGCTGCTGGTTCAGAGATACATTCTGAGAACCAATATTCCATAGTAAAGCTACTGTGTATGTACCTGAAGACATATTTTGTGTAGTGTTAGCGTTTCTTCAATTACAAGTAATAAATATATCATTTATTATTTCTTTTATATTTATCAATATCCAGAAGATTTAGTTTAAAAATGAATGCAGGCACACAGCCTCTTGTTGGATTGATTAATAGTTTAGATATGGGAGCATCATAGGGAGCATTGTTTCGCTTAGGAACCTTGAAATGAATAAATGGCTTCTTTTCTAAATCTCACTTGTGGAAGACTTTGACGGTGGTTTATTTCATTTTTTCCTGTTGGTATTTTAATGACACTGGTACAATTTTGGGGTTGCTTCAGATGACCAACAGCATAACTTGCCTTCCCAGTATTAATTTTTAACGTTAAAAATATTTAGTCATGGCCGGCCGTGGTGGCTCACGCCTGTAATCCCAGCACTTTGGGAGGCCGAGGTGGGTGGGTTGCATGAGCTCAGGAGTTTAAGACCAGCCTGGACAACATAGTGAAACCTCGTTTGGACAAAAAATACAAAAATTAACCAGGTGTGGTGGCATGTGTCTGTAGTCCCAGCTACCCGAAAGGCTGGGGCAGGAGGACTGTTTGAGCACAGGAGGTTGAGGCTGCAGTGTGCCCTGTTCACTCCACTGTACTCCAGGCTGAGTGACAAAGCAAGACCTTGTCTCAAACTATATATATATTTAGTCACATAACTTTTCACTTTGTGTAAATATTTTTTGCATTTACCAATAAAAACAATTACATTTAAAAATTCTCCTTACACTTTTCTACCAAACATACTGATGATAAAATAGTACTTTATAGAGTTTCTGAATCTAGGATATTAAAAATAGTTGGGATCAGTCAACACTTTTTAAGTAAAATCTACTTGCTAGATATGAATAGCTAACAGCTTCTCCAGGAGTGCCTACATTTTATAACTTACTTTGTCCACCCCTTGAGGCTCTGTGTTCAGGGGGAGGGTATATTTTTGTGTATAGAAATAGAGATGAGGTGAAATAGAGATGAAATAGAGATGATGTGGGATCAACTGGGAGAAAGTAGAAAAGAGTCTTAGCTGAAGTGGTTGAGGAAGGAGGATTTTTCCCAAAATGGTGCAAAAAACAATGTATTAAATATCTGTGAAAAAGTTCATGGTTGTGGTATAGGGTGAGTGGTATATGAAAAGAGAATTATGGGATAAACTAATGGAAACAGATGTCTTAAAATTTGCTTTTAACTTTAAACAAGAGACATGAAACTTAAACTTTTCCCTTATCCTAGAATCTGGGAGAGGAGAAGGATGAGAAAAAATGAAATTTTACATTAGAAGCAATTTGATTAATGTTCAATGGAAAATGGAAATAGCTATGGTCAAACCCACTCAAATCAAGTGTACATTAAATAATTGAGTTAACTGAATTAGGCAGAGTAAGGGCACATTGATTTTCAGTGTTGTTGAAAATTGGTCCACATATCATTGTTATGCTTTTTGTTTGTAAACCTCAATATTTATTAAGTTTCCACAGTGTGCTCAGCCCTGAAACGCCAAATTCTCTTAACCAGAATGAGGCTGGAGGATCTAACACTAAGACAGATTTCTATTTTCTTTTAAGGAATTGATTTTTATGGTAATTTTTTTTCTTCATAAAGTTAAGAACCTGCCAGTCCTGTTTCGAAACACACTTATTTTTAGAAGTTTGGTTTTCCGGGATTATGCATCATTATAGACTCAAATGACTCATTTAGAACTTTTCCCTATCAAATATTCACATTCTATCATCATGATCTTAACACGGCATAAGCAAGTTAGTGAACAGAGTGAAGTCAATTTATTGGCAATATATGCCGAAGTACAGGAATTAAGTAGAAACAAAAGTGAATGAGAGTCTTTGGCAATACATTGATGTGTTTTTTTTAGAACCAATGATAAACTACTGCTGAGTTTCCTTTCATTTACTTTTTTCCTACTCTTAAAACATTGTAACCCATTTTGAGATCTATCCATTGTTGTGAACCTAAAGCCTATTAGGTCTTATTAAATAATACCCATTTAACTGACCTGTGATTTAAGTTTCTTATCTGCCCCCAAGCAAGCAGACTGTATGCAACGGCATTTTACCTGCTTCACCTTCTGCTTGCCAGTTGGTTTTTGGTCTTCACATGTTTCTAGCAGGGATGGGGCTAAAGCAAGGGAGAGAATGGTCCATTGTTTTAGACTTTCACAAACCCAATATACTAGAATCTCCACAAAGGTTATCCAATATCAGGGTGACTTTTGTGCATCCAATAAAGCATAAGGTTAAAAGAAATACAGGCTAAACAAATGAGCATAAATTACTCCGTTGGCTTATGCTGTGAATAAAATATTACCTTTGGAACCATCTCAATTTTTTTTTTGTATAAAGGTTGAAGGAAGACATTTGCAAAGTCGTTTCTCCTATAAAACTGCCTAGGGTTTGGGGTTGATTGTTGTATGCAAGAGGGGTCTTGGTGAAATCTGACCCACTTTGAATCTAAAATTACTGAATTATTAGTGAAAAGATTATTTTAAAAAGAGTTTTGAACTCTTTTTCCTACTGAAATTGTATTCTCCTTTAGATAATCAATGCAGCATCACCCCCACAGATTTTTGAGGGCACTAAATCATACTCCTATTTTGAAAAAGAAAAAAGTCTATTACTATTAAATATATCTGTTAGTTGAATATCAATCACTTTTTCTAAAGGGTAGATTTGGCCAATGAGTGATTTTTTTTTTTTTTTTTTTTTGGAAATCACATCTGAGAACGTTGTTTAGACAGCTTGACACTTAGACTCATTTGTGTAAGTAGTAATTTATTCATCATTTGCATGTACTTAACTGGACATTATCATGATAGCAGTTGTCATAACAGACTATTACAGGATATGAATTTAGATATTACCTTAAGATGTGATCATAAAAATCAGAATAATATCTTGAAAATATCAATTTTATGGTGAGAAAAATGACAAACTGAATAAACTCTTGACTCAAGAAGCTAGACTTTTCACAACCTCATGTATTCACAGAAGTAAAAATAACAACTAATAATGTGTCCAGAGGGCCCACATTGCTCAGAAATGAATACATAAGACTTTCTTTTCAGCCTCAGAATATGATGAAAAGAAGATGAACCATTATGATGTTGCATAGATTTTAATGAAGAAAATTCGTTTTCTGTTCCTTTCGTTTGACTTTAAGTAGTTGAACATCCTGCTTTTTTATTTTGTTTGCAAGAAATAAGACCATTTTAGAAAGGCTAAAAACATTAATTACATTTAGGAACTACAATAATCTGAAAGTAAAATTGGATATTAAAGGACGTTTTTGCAATCCTTTTTAGCCCTCTTCTGTGTATTATTTTTATCACTGCTCTTAAAAATTTGTATTAATCTTTGGTTCATTTCTGCCTTAGTATTTCTAAGTTAATAATATATTGAATGAAAAATCAAATCAGTAAAAATCCATTTTGTTTCAGTAGTGAGTGCCTTCCCCCTAGAACCAAAACTAAATAAATGTGCTCCATATAAAGCAAACCAGGTACAGCATATTGCACGGGTAACTCACAATTCTAGATTCCTCTATTAATCATTATTCAGACATGCAGAGGTAGCTTAATTTGCTTTAATAAGTGAAAACAGAATCTCTTTGAGACTGCTATCTGCAATATTATACTTTGTCCTGCATTTTCTTGGTCAAAAATTGTATTTTATAGCCATGATATATTTTGGCTTGGAATTTGCTTCTTTATAAGCCTAGTTATTAATAGTCATCATTTAAATGAAATGATATCCATTAGCCTTAAGCTGCATGATTACAGAGACTTGGTCTATCTTACGCTGTATTTCCAGTGCCTAGAACATTCCCTGGCATATAATAGGTACCCAATAATAGTTTTTGGAATAAATGAATAAACAAATTTGTGCAAAAGCATAGGGCAAAATGCTATCTTTTAGATAGCGTGACCCTTAAAAATTATTTTGCAAATAATTTGCTCCATTTGCCACCAGCTTATTTCTGGCCATTGTTACTTCTTGTCTCTGCATACAAACACTCTGTGTCTCTTCTCCTTTCCACAATGACCACAAGTTATACTGATCTACTTGAGATTTTCCAGGTGACTATTTCATGTCCAGAGGAACATGCCTCTTCTAGTGTTCCCCTCTGTGAATGATTTCAGTCACCTTATCTACTCAGGAGGTCTCTCTTCCCCTCCATCAGCATCTTTCTCTGCACCTTCCAAACCCCTATGACTCAACTTCTCATAATATGGATTGCATTTTTTTTAATGACCCATTAAATTGTGTACCTCTGCTAATGATTGTGAGTGTGTTGAGACTTCCATTTTTCCAGTGGATGATAGGTATATAATATATATATATATACACACACACACACACACACACACACACACACACACACACATATATGTGGGCACAGTATCTAGTGGATATAAAGTAAGTGTTTTCAAGTGAGTAGTAATTAAATCTAAGAGTTGCCGAGAAAATGCCATTCCCGTTTTGTGGACATCTTCATTCTACATTGTAAAGGCCACCTCATTCAAGACCCACCACAATCTTGATCCCAGAAAACACCCATGATTCATCTTTTACAGCTGCCCTGTACTTCATATTTTAAGTTATTAAAGGCTATTTGCTTTTCCTCAGACACACATTAAACTTTCCTACCTCTTACCCTTTGTTCAAGTTCTGAACACATATCTTTCTTCCCCACACTATGCTTCCTCTTTATCAGTTTCATGTACCTACTTTCCAATGTCTAGTTCGAGGAGACGTTTATAAGGCTACATGATAGAGGTTGCCCCTGGGGCGATGTGAGAAATCAGCTCCAAAAAGGTAGCTACCCGGCAAAGGATCTTAGTCTGTGACTCTCTCATGGATGAACTTATTACCTACTGCTTTGCAGAGTCTCCCTGGACTAGCCTGAATAGGAACTTGTGTGACTATATGTGAACTAAAAGAAGGAGAAATATGCCTAAACTTCTCATCCATCTTTGTAACAGCCCTAAAGTATGCATGTTACTATCCCTTTTCTACACAAGTGGAAAATATTTGTAAATGAACTTCGTTACAGTCTAATATTTGATGACTTCTTAGTTCATATCATTATTTAAGTAACTTTTCTTTAGTGGAAAAGCCCAAAAATTAGGGAGGCAGGGAGAGAGAGAGAGAGAGAGAGAGGGATCATCTGTAATCTCAGCCCCAGCATCTATAATCCCAATCCCTGCAAGGGCCTCTTTGGGCAAAGAAGAAAAAGGCACTGTGTTTTTGAAGAGATCCCCGGTCCTATGCCAAGCCTAACCAATTTGGTAGTAGAGCCCAGGCTGGATTTCAGTTGGTTTGTAGTCTTCTAGTCTTTTCATATGTAAATATTTTTAATGCTTTTATTCAGTGTTGTTAAAATGCCCTCCAAAAGATGCACTAACTTGTGCCACCACCACCAAGCAGAATATATTTTCCTTGAATAGGCTACTTCCTCTTTTTTTCCCACTCACTCCATTTTTATTTTAAAAATCCCTGGTAGAGACCAAAAACTGAAATGTTATATTCTTGCCCAAAGAATGAGAGATGCTTCAGAAATTAGCAAATGCTCCAATATAAATCAAGTGATAGATATAAATAATTCAGATATGGGATAAGGAAAATGGGTAGCTTTCTCTTATTTAGGAACTCTATGTCAGGTTTCTGTGAGAAACTGTTTACGAAGCAGTCTGACAATAGCTATTGGTCTGAAGTATTAGTAATTAGTACAGAAGTGCCTAATTCTCTTGACTGCTTGTTCTTTAATAAAAATGTATTGAGGGATTATCATGTACTATGGCTTGGCATATACTGGTGAAAAACAATAATGTAGGATTGCCTTAATAAATTTTCTGGTCTTGGGAAGGAACAGACAATGAATAAATGAATAGGCAAATATATATGTACTTGCAAATTGTGATCAGGGTTCAGAAGGAAAATAGGGTGTTGAGAGTCAAGGAAAAAGGAGACACTTTACGTAGGGCAACCAACTGGGAATAGGCTATCTTTAAAAGTCACATCTAACTGAGATCAGAAGTATATGAATAAGAGCCAGCTAGGCATAAAGTGGATATATAAAACTCCAAGCAGAGGGAACAGTGTATCTGAAGGTTCTAAGTCAAGAGTAAGCTTGGGCCAGGCACGGTGGCTCATGCTTGTAATCCCAACACTTTGGGAGGCCGAAGTGGGAGGATCACTTGAGCCCAGGAGTTTGAGACCAGCCTGGAAAACATAGAGAGATCCCATCTCGCAAAAAAAAAAAAAAAAAAGAAAAAGAAAAAACTAACTTAAAAATATATATATATCAATGCCAGTGGTGTGTGCTTGTAGTCCTGGCTAACTTGGGAGGCTGAAGCAGGAGGATCGCTTGAGCCCAGGAGTTTGAGGCTGCAGTGAGCTATGATCGCACTGCTGCACTCCAGCCTGGGCGACAGAAAGAGGCCCTGTCTGAAAAATAAAATAAAAATAAATAAAGAAATAAAAAGCTTGATGAGTTCTAGGAACTCAACATTTTCTAACTTCTTATTAGAAATGCCAAATTCTCAGGCCCACCTTACACCCACTGAATCAAAAGCACTAAGTGGGACTCAGCAGTCTCTGTGTTAACAAGCCTTCCACATGACAATGAGATGCACACTATTGTGTGAGAATCACTGCCTTAGACTGATGTTTTGAGCTATTTAGGGGAGGGAGAGGGCCCATTCAGGGACAATGGTGGTTAACACATGTGGCTCAGACCAAGAAATGATTGCAAGCCCAAAAACTTGTTAAATGTAAAACTTCAGGCGCAGTGGCTCACGCCTGTAATCCCAGCACTTTGGGAGGCCGAGGCGGGTGGATCATCTGATGTCAGGAGTTCAAGACCAGCCTGGCCAACAAGGTGAAACCCAGTCTCTAGTAAAAATAGAAAAATTAGCCAGGCATGGTGGTGGTGTGCGCCTGTAATCCCAGCTACTTGGGAGGTTGAAGCAGGAGAATCGCTTGAACCCACGAGGCGGAGGTTGCAGTGAGCCCAGATCGCACCATTGCACTCCAGCCGGGGCGACAAGAGCAAAACTCTATCTCAAAAAAAAAGTAAAACTTCATCTGTCTGAAGTAACTTCTGAATTTGAAGATAAACATCCTCATGGTTGATATTTTAATGGTTTATGGATTATTACTTACTTTTAAGGAAGTTAATAGGTTTCATTAACTGCCATTTTGCTTCATTTTGTCACATATAATTAAAATTTTTCAGACAGAAAATATTGGTATTTTTTCTGTTTCCTTAGCAACCTAAAGCATGACCTGCTTAAATGACTTATTTGTGCTCATTAAAAGCCTTTTTGTGTTAATTGTGTATATTTTGTATTTAGCCTCTGTGAAACACTCATGAACTATCTTTTTATTTGTTTTAATTGTGTCATTGGAAAGCTTGAAGTATTTTGTGGTTTTTTTTTTTTTTTTTTTTTTTTTGCTTGTTTTTTGTCTATAAAGGGGAGATAACTGGCAGTTGCAGTTAGGATTATAGAAACATTTTCCCAAGGAAATTAATAAAATTTGTTCAAGTTTCTTCTTTTACAAATTGTACTTATTTTTGATTTTTTAAATAGTGGTAAAATACAAATTACATGAAGTTTACTATCTTGGCTCTATTTAAATGTATACTTCCATGGCATTACATACATTTACGTTGTTCTGCTGCCATCACCACCATCCATCTCCAGAACTCTTCTCATCTTGCAAAACTGAAACTCTATGTCTATTCAACGATAATCCCCACCAGGCATGGTGGCTCACACCTGTAATCTCAACACTTTGGGAGGCCAAGGCAGGCGGATCACCTGAGGCCAGGAGTTCGAGACCAGCCTGGCCAACATGGTAAAACCCCATCTCTACTAAAAATACAAAAATTAGCTGGGCGTGGTGGTGCACACCTGTAATCCCAGCTACTTGGGAGGCTGAGGCAGCAGAATTGCTTGAACCTGGGAGGCGGAGGTTGCAGTGAGCTGAGATCGAGATCACACCACTGCACTCCAGCCTGGGCAACAGAGCGAGACTCCATCTCAAAAGGAACAAAAAAGAAAAAACCACAGTAATTCCCCATTGCTTCCTGCCCCCAGCCCCTGGAAACCACCATTCTATTTCCTGTCTATAAATCTGAATACTCATTTCTATATCTTCTTTGGAGAAATGTCTATTCAGGTTACTTGCTCATTTTTTAGTCAGGTGATTTGTTTTCTTGCTATTGAGTTGTAGGAGTTCCTTGTGTATTTTGAATACTGACCCCTTACCGGGTGTATGGTTTGCAAAATATCAATTGCTCCTGCTATGTTCAACTTGTTCTTAAAAATAAAAACTTTTCCTTTGTGGTCAATACTTCCCTGTTCCTCATTTCCAAATTTTATACATGAAGGAAATGTGAGCACCCAGAAAAGAAAGAAGATAGACACTGTTAATATGGCCAAGATATAATTCGGCTTTTATTATAAGAACATTGGAGTTACAAGCTTCATAGAAAGCCATGTCCTAAAAGATGAAGAATTATGATCAGTGCAAAGAGAAAATGTTAAAAAGAAAAAGTTATCCTTTTATGTTTGGGTATATATTCTTTTTCGATATTGTAAAGAGAAACTAGAGTTTTTTGTTCTTGTTTTTGAGACAGAGTTTTGCTCTTGTTGCCCAGGCTGGAGTGCAATGTTGCAATCTCAGCTCACTGCAACCTCCACCTCCCGGGTTCAAGCAATTCTCCTGCCTCAGCCTCCAGAGTGGCTGGGATTACAGGTGT
The DNA here is from genome assembly GCF_000001405.40 of Homo sapiens. NCBI lineage: Eukaryota > Metazoa > Chordata > Mammalia > Primates > Hominidae > Homo > Homo sapiens. The sequence goes on along the minus strand of NC_000023.11, from coordinate 31,452,453 downwards.
GCACCACCATGCCCGGCTAATTTTTCTGTTTTTAGTAGAGACAGGGTTTCACTGTGTTGGCCAGGCTCGTCTGTAACTCCTGACCTCAGGTGATCCACCCACCTCAGCCTCCCAAAGTGCTAGGATTACAGGCGTGAGCCACCGCACCTGGTTGAGATTGTTTTTTATAAAAAGATGTGGATTCTTTATGGAAAACACAGAGCAGTTAATTGCTATTTTTTTAATGTCACAAATTTGGAAGCGTGTTGAGTCTGAGAAGAAACCATAGTTAAAATATAATTACTGATAATCGCTTGGGAAATAAAAGCCCTAAATTTCTTCATGCCTACAAACTTAATATTGTTTTCCCAAGATCTTTTTTTTGACTTTAACCTTTCTTAAGTGTTTCTGATTATGCTAAATCTAGGCCATTAGTTCTGAGTCTGTTTCATTATTTATATTGTTATTCAGTTTACTCGTCAAAAGTGATCATGCCCAAATATGAAAGTTTACAAGAATTGCCCTGAAAACTGAACGGAAGGAGACAACGAAAAGAAACTGCATAATATTTTGCCTTCAGGCTATCACAATAAAAACTGTTGCTGGAAAAAAATGCAATCACATCCCTTTTTTTTTTTTAAAGTACGTTTCAATGGCATAATTTATTGTCGAGAATGTCTCTACCAGAAGCATAAGTGATACTAAAGGCAGAGGGTTGTATTCGCTCAGTCTGCAAAGTATCCCCTTTGTCTTAGCTCCACACAGTCCCTCAGAATTTGGCAGAAATGAGGGACTCAACTTTCGAGAAAGGGTGACAATCCCAGTTTTGTTGGAGAGCTATGAAATAGCCCCATAGTGTTAGTAATGAAAATTCACTTAAGAAGTCTCCTGCAGGCCCGGCACGGTGGCTCAGGCCTGTAATCCCAGCACTTTGGGAGGCCTACGTGGGTGGATCACCTGAGGTCAAGAGTTCAAGACCAGCCTGGCCAACATGGTGAAACCCCATCTCTTCTAAAAATACAAAATTAGCCAGGCGTGGTGGCGGGCACCTGTAATCCCAGCTACTCAGGAGGCTGAGGCAGGAGAATCACTTGAACCCAGGAGGTAGAAGTTGCAGTGAGCCGAGATCGTGCCATTGTACTCCAGCCTGGGCAGCAAGAGTGAAACTCCACCTTGGAAAAAAAAAAAAAAAAAGGAAAGAAAGGAAGGAAAGGAAGGAAGGAAGGAAGGAAAGAAAAAAGAGAAAGAAGTCTCTTGAAAAAAAGAAAGGAAGAAAGAAAGAAAGAAAGAAGTCTCCTGTATAAAAAAAGGAAAGAAAGAAAAGAAGGAAGGAAGGAAGAAAAGAAAAGAAAAGTCTCCTGAAAAAAAAAAAAAAACAAAATATAAGTGCTTGACAACTGAAGTTCAAGGGTAAAGGCTATTGGGAAAGCAGATGAAGTTAATCTAAGTAATGGATGCTGTTGGTGCCCCAGTCAGATTCGTTCACTGGGTTGGTGCACCCATTCCTCAGTGACTCTGAGTATTAGCTGCTAAAGCCTCATGGTTTCACCCCTTTCCAGAGAACCTCCCTCAGCCAAAAGGAAGCCACCTTGACTGGCATGTCCCACCACACCTTCTCTCTTAAAACCACCAGGGGTACAAAGGGAAAACCCCTTTGCCTCATCATGGCACCTGCTGTTGTACAATTTGTGATCTGGGAATTCCCATGGGGCCAGATTGATGCTGGTCTCCAGCCCATACCACATCCCAACTTAACTTTCTTGCCCTGTCTTCCTGCTTCTCTCACTCCCTTTTTCTTAAGAGCACTCAGACTCTGCTTCTCTTAAACCTGGCTGAAGGCAGTAGGTATCTGAAAGAAAAGCTGTACCTACATTCTGGGCATCAGAGCAGTCAGGGAACCAACCAGAATGAAAAGTCAAAAATTACAGATAATGATGGAAGTCTCTGAGCCTGATACATTTCATGAAGGGCTTGCTTACAGCTCAACTTGTGTTTCTTTTTAATTGTTTCAACAGCATTTGAGTAGCTCATTCCGCCCAGGTATTTGAGAGATTCCAGTAGGCCTCTGATCCTCTGGAAAAAGCAAGATACAGTCCTTGACTCTCTTGGCCCCATGAGGATGATATATCTGCTGAGAAATGCAGGAGCTGCAAAACATAGCTGGGCTGTACCTGCTGCCAATTCCCGGGTAATTGCATTCTGTGAGGGCTTCCCTGAACCACGAGGAAGAGCCCCGGAATAAGTACTAAACACCAGTATTTATAGGACATGATTTCTAATTGCTCATCCTTGCCTTCTCATGACTAGCTCAGCATGAAGAATGCTGGGACTTTTCTTTCCTAGCACCTCCTCTTTTTAGGCTGTTTTCCAAGAGTCTTGGTTAACAAACATTTGTTTGACAAGGATTCATGGTAGACAGCAATGCCATTAGTCCCTACTTAAGTAATATTTGTAACATAAATTTCTCTGCACGTGTATGTAGCCCAAGAATAACACTTCATTTTTGGAACCTAGTAATTTTGAATTCCTAGTAAGTGAGATAGGACGTCTATGAGTTAGCAGGTTAAGATTTTAGGAGGAATATTTAATATCCCTAAGAAGGGAAGTTTTTCAAACACTGAGTAGCACTATATATATTTATATATATATAGCCAGATTTCTATCTATCTATCTATCTATATATATATATATATATATATATATATATATATCACACCATTTATAAATAAACTCATAAGTGGCAAATCCAGTAGAGCTAATCTGAGCATCCCAGAGTCTCCCCTCTCTGTCGCTTGTTTGTGCAGCTACTCCTGCTGTGGCCTTTTATGGATTATCCTGGACTTCTACAACTGACCCCTCTACTTTCTCTCCATCTACAAGCTTCATTTTGCTTTGCTTTCCTCCTAATCCAGTTTAGATTCCACAGTATATTTTTTCAATTACATCCTGGCTAATATCGAAACTCCCTTATCCCTAAATGTGTGAGCCACAGTCATCTGACGAAACCCCAAACCTGGATCAACTGTTTTCCCCATGCTTACATGCAACACTGTTGGAGAAAATGAGAAAGTCAGGCAGATTGGTTCTGCTAAAAAATGTTGAACCTCATCCTCAAGTGGGCCCTCAACACTGTTTGCCAACCTCATTACATCTCTTAGGTCAACTCCCTCTCACAGTCTCTATTACGATTAATTCAAATGTTCCCACTTACCCTTAATTCATGTTTTCATTCAGTGACTATTCATTGCACACCAGGCACTGCACGCTATGCCAGGCACTGCAGACTATGCCAGGTCTGTTGATTCCTACTTCACAGAGGAAATAAAACCCCTCCAAGCAGAATTCCCTCAATTTACTCTTTCTAGTCTTTCCAACTGACCTTCTGTGCTTTGCAGTAGGAATGTTCTCTTAACTGTCAAGTCAAAATTCCTCCCTCAAAAATAAGATTCCCTTGTTAATAGACAATTCCTTTATTTTCTTAGAAAAGTAGTAGATGACTATAATTTTAAATGTGTATTTGAACAAATCCTTAGCTACATAAAGATAAGCAAAGATATGACAGGCAATTTAATTTTATATGAAGAAAAACTTATTATATCAGACTTACCTATCATTCTAAATCAGTACTTTTGTATCTATAATCAGACAACATTTAATGAACTGAAAATTCTGCCTGTGAGAAACTAGTCATAATAAAATTAGACTTGGTTTGCTCTTTCATGGAGAACATATTCCAGATGTTTAAGTGATTCAAAGAAAACCCACAATATAATGGCTTTCTTCAATGTTTTCTCACTTACTGCTTCCAAACTAGAAAAAAAACCTAATGCAATCCTGATATCACTTAAATAGCACCTCGTATTGCTCAGCGTTAACTGTGCTTTTTGACATTTTAGGTGTAGTGTTTAATAATTTAAACACAAATTTATGTGTGTCATATTAAAAGCTCTAATCTGTGAAATATAGCCAAACCAATGTCACATCTATTTAAATAGCAAAGTACCTGTGTTCACCCTTTACAGGGTGAAGGTCTTGTGACTCTGTGTTTAGGCGGCCATACTTCTTGTTATGTATGCTGCTGGGCACTGAGAGCCCACAGTGGTGAGCCATCCTTGGGTGGTAAAAGCTGCTACCAAAACCTAAATCAAATGCCAAAGTGAAGACTGACATGAGCATTCTCCTGCCTCCTTTTCCTTTTTATCTTTCCTACCATCTGTTATCTCCTTTCTTCCACCTTCATGCGTTGAGTGCCCTCATGATGATTTCTAGCTGACTGAAGTCCTTTAGTCTGCTCAACCCCATCTAGAGACTTCCCCAAAGTGAACCTTTGCCCCCAGTTATCTGTTTATCAACTGACCTCACACCAGTCAAAGCTTCCATTGTCAAATATTTTAACAGAAATTTAGGAATTCAGATTAAACTGAATATTTGGCATTTTTTCTTTTTTTTTTTTTTTTTTTTTTGGAGACAGAGTCTTGCTGGGTCACCCAGGCTGGAGTGAGTGCAGTGGTGCCATCTTGGCTCACTGCAACCTCCACCTCCCAGGTTCAAGCGCTTCTCATGCCTCAGCCCCCTGAGTAGCTGGTACTACAGGCATGTGCCACCACGCCCGAATAATTTTTGTATCTTTAGTAGAGACAGGGTTTCACCATGTTGGCCAGTCTGGTCTCGAACTGCTGACCTCAAGTGATCCACCCATCCACCCACCTCAGCCTCCCAAAGTGCTGGGATTACAGTCTTGAGCCACCCCACCTGGTCTGGGTTGTTTTCTTCATCTTTAGCAGTTGTCTTGTTCACAACTACTTCAACAATATTTATTTTCTTTTTCTTTTTGAAGCAACTCTCCAGAGTATTTGGCCTGGTTTTTATAGAAATAATAACTTTTTTCTTTTCTTTTTAAACTAATATTTTTATGATTTAGGAAATCTTTCTTTATTAAATTACATAATCACAACAGTTACTGGCAAAGATAGGTTTGAGAACATACACACAACTGACGGTTGTAACAAGTCAACTGATGGGAGCAGAAGGTCCACACATACTGACAGGCACCTCGAACATTTTATTGAGGCTGTGAGAGGTTCCCATCACTGCTGTTTCACAAAGAGAATGAAGACTTTGGCTAATTTGGTGAGTCTTAAGTGGAGATTAGTTCAGAGAACTTCCACTATCATTGCTTGAAAGAAGCAAAAAAAAAAAAAAAAAAAAAAAAAATCCCAAGATCTTATGGTAAAGTTTAAAGAAGAAAAGTAAATTTTAAAAAGAAAAAAAAAGAGGAAAAGGGAGAGCATTGCAATTAATTATGAGTACCAAAACTTATTTTTGAATCCCCTTCATCCTCCAAAACATTGAAGCAGGATTAATATGTGTGCTCAGGAATTTGGGAGAGAAAATGAAAATCAAAATATTCTAATAAGAGACATTTGAAAATGTACATTGTGTCACCTAAAGGGAACTGAAATCTAGCTATGGCTTAACGAGGTAGGATAATCAACTTAATGGCTTGAGAGTCTTGCTTGTAAAGAGAGATGATTAGCACAAAGGACTCACCTGTATCACTGAAAGATGCTGCCTGCTGGCTTGCCCTCTCTGCAGAGGTTCCTGTTTACAGTTTCCCCTCACATGATATTTATTTGTGGCTACTAGAAATGCACGTTATTATCCAGAAGAGAATGATTTCATTTTGTAACCGTTGTCCTTGTCCAAGTTTCCCCCATTGACATTTAAGAAATCTGTTTTCTAACCTTTCTATTATGCAAAACAAAATTAATATGGATCATTTCCTTTTAGAGATAAGTATTCATATATATGGATTTAAACCACCTTTCTCCATGGGCCCTTATTCTGATACTTTTAATCCATGTATTTATTCATAAGGAAATGGAACAATATTTACTATCCACCCCTATAAAACTTTCTGAATTTCACACTGATTCCAGTGACATTCCACTAACACGAAGTTGAATACAGATGAATACATCACATATGATTTTTTTTTTGCATGTGTATGGTCAGAAGGGGCTCTCTTTTGTTTGTTTTTATTAATATATAATTCACATACTTTAAAATTCACTCTTTCAAAGTGTACAATTCAGTGGTGTTTAGTATATTCACAAGATTGTGCCACCATCACCATTGTTTAATACCAGAACATTTTCGTTATCGTCCAAAAGAAACCCCCTGATTGCTTAACGTAATGTTTTTAATGACCACTTTTTAAAACTTTAAGTTCAACAGAGTGATTATCACAATGTTTTGTATTATCTAAGAACTACACAACAGTGTTATGCTCTATACAGCACCACGGTTTACTGATGAAGTATTCAGGTTGATTTGAGAGGATAATGTCGTTCTTATTTTGAATGTTCATACTGGCTCCTTTTATTTGGAGTGGGAGGAAATGCAAGGCTTATAAATGAGGTCAGTGTAACCAATGGTTTTATCAACATAGTGAACCAGACAGAGAAATAACACCTGCCCAGATCAAGCAAGTCAAAACAACACGTATAGTCAAGTGGTGCTGTCCTTGTACACAGACATTACATTACACAAACTGTTCTCCTAAGTGAGGGAATTTGTCCCTTAGAAATTGCTTATTGGAACATTTGGACATCATGCATCATGTTAAAGATCCATAAATGCCATCTCGATAGGGTAGATATGAGGCGTGGTAATATCCTCCCCATATCTGCATAGGGTTCTTCTGCTCAACGGATTGCTATGATGTATTGCATCAGAGACTCCTGCTCTAGTGCTTCAAAGACAGCTGAGAAGCCCCACGGGAGCCTTCTGAAGTCATTGCTACAAGGGCTAAAATACCAGGAGATCAGGAAGTCATTCTGAGGACTTGACAAAATACCCTACTCCCTAAATGAAACTGTTATGATGTGGTTGGTGCAAAGTATGCATGCAATATTTTATGACTGAATATATCTTTCTATTGTAAAAAATAAGGATCCATTTCTGGTTGTGACATGAGTAGAATTTAGAATCCAGCAGCAATATATTTTTCTTGTTACTTTGCCAATCCAGAATTTCTTAGGGGAAGCATATAACATAATAGTTAAGAATATATATTCTAGAGGCAGGCAAACCTGCATATAGGTATCCCAGGTTCCTCAATTTTTACCCATGAGAGCTTGGCAAGGTTTGTTTGTTTTGAAAACAAACCTCTGCAAGTTTGTTTTCTCATGTATAAAATTAGAATTCTCCAACTACTGGCCTCATAGGATTGTTGGGTAGAAATAAAATCAGTTTATGTATGAATAGAGCTCATCATGGCATTAGGCACCTAGGAAGTGCTCAACAAATAGTAGTTATCATTATTCCCCCATTAACAAATATCCATTGTTATAATACTACCACAAGAGACTGTCTTAGTCTGTTCCAGCTGCTATAATAGAAATGCCATAAATTGGATAGCTTGTGAAACAACAAAAACTTATTTCTCACTGTTCTGGAGGTTGAGAAGTCCAAGATCAAAATACCAGCAGATTTGGTGTCTGGGGAAGGCCCATTCCTCATACAAAGCACCTTCTCACTGCACCCTCACATGCTGAAAGGAGCTAGCTAGCTCTCTGAGGTCTCTTTTATAAGGGCGCTAATCCCAAAAATCACCTCCCTAAAGGCCCCATCTCCTAATACCATTGCCTTAGGTGTTTTGATTTCGTTTCCTTTTTATTTTTTAGGATTTCAACATAGGAATTTGAGGGGGGACACAAACATTCAAACCGTAGCATAGAGCAAACATTACTGGCACTGCACCCTAAAGAGAATAAGCCCAGGTATCAGTTCTTCTTGTTTTAAATATTCTCATCTTCCAATTTGCTTTTGACTATTGCACACAGGCACTTCGAGGAGAAATTGCGCCTCTGAAAGAGAACGTGAGCCACGTCAATGACCTTGCTCGCCAGCTTACCACTTTGGGCATTCAGCTCTCACCGTATAACCTCAGCACTCTGGAAGACCTGAACACCAGATGGAAGCTTCTGCAGGTAAGCACATTGTAAACATTGTTGTCCTTTGTTACAGTAAAATAATATACAGATAAAATTTGTAAAGAACAATGAAAGTACTTTTTTCATGTAATGTTCATGGTAATATTTGTGAGGATAGGATATTTTATATTAGTTTATAATTCCCATCTAAACATTTTCAAATTATTAATATTAATTTTGGAAGCAACTAAGACTTAGTATATGTCTTAGTCTGTTTAGTGTTGCTATAAAAGAATACTTGGGGCTGGGTAATTCATAAAGAACAGGTGTTTATTTGGCTCAGTTCTGCAGGCTGTACAAGAAGCATCTGCTTCTGGCGAGGGCGTCAGGCTGCTTCCACTCATGGCAGAAGGCAAAGGGGAGCTGGTGTACAAAGATCACACGGCAAGAGAGGAGGAGAAAAAGAGGGAGGGGAGGTGCCAGTTCTCATGAAAACTGCTAGAGCAAAACCTCGCTCACTACCGTGAGAATGGCACCAAACCATTCATGAGGGATTCACTCCTACAACCCAGACACCTTCCACTAGGCCTCACCACCAACACGGGGGATCAGATTTCAACACGCGAGTTAGAGGGAACATCCAAACTCTGTGTAGCAGTATTCTTACGATAAACAGAAAATAATGCTGAATCATGATGGAAGATGTGAATTGCCACCATGCAGTTCCTTTGTACTCTTACTGCTTGGATTCTCAAAAACATCTTTCCCTTTAGAATCCTAATTTAAACAAGAGTCAATAGTAAGATGTGTCCAAAAGTCATTTAAAGAAAGAGCATCCTATCACAAACTTACATGTGGAAGTTTTTCGTAGGTTTGCGTAATAAATACAGGCAATGTAAGTGTGCTGCTCAAGGTCACACTTACTAGCCATGGGACCTGGAGCAAATTACTTAACCTTTCTGAGCCTCAGTCTTTCATCAAAAAAAAAAAAATGCGATAATAAAATTCTCTGCAATATCAGTTTATTATTAGGATGAATAAGTCAAAATAAATGGAAAGTGCTCGGGAGCGAACATGCCAAATGATAAACACTCTACAAATTCTAGCTCTTGATGTTGTTATTATTATTATTATTACAGTACACAGGTTTTGGAATCCAACATATTAGCTGAGTGACCTTGAGGCCACTTAATCTCTGTGGTTGTCCATTTACTCATCTCTAACATGGTTACTGTAACATCGAATGAGTTAATTCATGCAGAGTAATGGTTGTAGTGGTGGAAGAGGTGCGTCTACCTTCTCAGTGTGAAGGACACCATGTTATACCCCAAAACCCTAAAATTAGTTTAACCGTAGAATTAGAGAATCATTTTCTCTCCTTTCCAATTTTCTCCTTTCCAACAGGATGCAGAAGGTATGCCTCTGAGGAAACTGGGTTTAAAACTATTTGGTTTTAACTTTTTAATAAGAAAAATATAATAAACCAAATCACTTTCCTATTGTCAGTCCATTTAGGGGTGTGATTGAGAGGCCTGTTAAAGAATTGCTAGATCTTTAATAAAGATAAGTTGCAAATCCCAGACCTCTTGAGATCTCACATAATTTAATTCTTGTTGTGATGGATAGTCCTGAAAGATTTGTATTCTAGATTGTTATAAGTGGCATCGACTAAAGCAAGGCGATATAGCTAAGTGATTATATGCCTTTCTCTGTTTGCTCCATAGTAGTTGAGTACTATTAAAATTTTATCTGTTCCATCCTTAGTATGTTTTTCATCTTAAGTATAAATAAGGAAAGTAATAAATGTCCAAAGAAAACCAATGGCCACATTAGTCCCATATAAGTGTTCTAGAAGTATATTTTATAATTTCTTTTAGAGAGCAGAATGCCACGTTTGCTTTCAGAACGTGGTAAAAGATTTGTGACAGTGGCAGGTAGATTTCCAAATGAGGTCAAAGGATTATGACTAGTAAGAAAAGTTTTTTTTTTTTTAATCAATGCTAAGTGATCCATTCTAGTTGCACTATTTATTTGCATTTAAGGTATCAAAAACAGTAAATAGCTTACTATGTAGCCATTCTTTACAATGAGTAAAAACTTGGTTATAAGTACAGGAAAACACATGTAAGGAGATAGTATGATATAGCGAAAAGAGCATTGGATTGACTATTAGGAGGTCTAACTTCAAACTTAAGCTCAGCCATTATTTGACCGTGTTATTGTGAGAAAGCCATTTAACCTCTCTCAGCTTTAATTCTCCTCATTTTTAAAATGCAGAAATCTATTTTGTCTAAGGTCACATACAGTTCAATCTTATGATTCTGTCTCTAGATATCTGGGGGAGATACACATTTGACAGAATTTAGTTTAAAACCAATGAAGTTCCTTTCTTTATTCATAATACAAATGTGGTTTGTTGAAATTATATTTCTCCTTGTATAACTCTAACTTTTAATCTCTTCTTCCCTAAACCCACATATACACAGCCTTCTCCTATTAAACAGTTCAGTTTGTGGTGTCTGCTCTATATTGTAGCAAATTTCATGTTTCTATTTTTGAACATGACCTTAAAGATATGCTTAAAAAGTGTTTTTAGCAGAAAGCTGATAAATCCAAGGTTTTGGTTTGCATATAACCGAGTCAAGTTAGTTCCATTCTTTTCTTTGATAGTAATTCTGCTACATTATAAATGTGAGGCCTTGTTCAGAAAGAGAAGAAAGCAAGAAATGAGGTTCACATCAAGCAATTTTTTTCCCATTACTGGAAAAGCAATTCATACATCCTGTTGAGAATATTTTATATTTAGAACAATGTATGTGAGGCTAACGCATTATCCAAGTTCTATGGCGGGAAGCTTGAGCCCACCACCATTATGACATCATATTTTTTTAAATAGTAAATGTCAAAAAAGACATATTTCTATGAAAATAAAGAATTTAGTCACAATGCTATGTCAATCTTTAAATCGTGATAAAAACCAAGTACAAGTTCATCTTTGCCTCTGTCCACTAAGACAAAGAACAATCAAAAAGTAAAGAACTCTCTGGGCATGGTGGCTCACGCCTGTAATCCCAGCACTTTGGGAGGCCGAGGCAGGCGGATCACTTGAGGTCAGGAGTTTGACACCAGCCTGACCAGCATGGTGAAACCTCATCTCTACTAAAAATACAAAACTTACCTGGGTGTGGTGGTGCGTGCCTGTAATCCTAGCTACTCTGGAGGCTGAGGCAGGAGAATTGCTTGAAACCAGGAGGCAGAGGTTGCAGTGAGCTGAGATCGTGCCACTGCACTCCAGCCTGGGCGACAGAGCCAGACTCGGTCTCAAAAATAAAATAAAATAAAATAAAAATAGAGAACTGGAGTAGTAGAAAGGCAGATGTAAACCTGAGAAAAGAAGAAGAGTCTTAAATTTGGGCAAAATAGTATAATAGAAAGATTAGAGTTACATACTATCAGGCCGTGTCTACTTGATATCAGAATATCCTGGGTTCTTTGCATTATCCATTCATTTAATTTTCAAGGAAAGCCATGCTAGTTTTTTAGCTGTCTGTAATATCAGTCAAAATGGTGAAACCAGTTAAGGGATGTGAGCACCAACAATACAGTCAAACCCAGTCACAATTTACCTATGTATAGAATCATAATGTATAGAGAATTCCAAACTGACTTTGAATCTTCTAATAGAAATGTAAGAGACATTGGTTTGCCTGTTTGAAATTTTCTGTGGGAATGAAGTCCTATTTTCTTCCTCAAAGTAGACACATTGGTATGCATGTTACTATTTGACCATTTGACTTTTTGTGGTGTAGGAAACCATCACTCCTTGCAGTTAGAAAAAGTCCTCATGTGCATTCTCTCATCTAAGAATCACAACCTTGTGATTTTGTATTATGATTATGATTACCTATTATCATTATTCCCTTTTACGTGTAAGGAAACCGAGGCTTAGAAACATGAAGTACCACAGTCACAGTCACATAACTTGTATCAGTCAAGATCTGAGTCAGGTTTTTCGAACTGCTATTCCCATGCTCTTTTTGTCTCCTCTTCTCAAAATCCTATTACGTTTGGACTTAACAAAGCAATAATGGCTGGGTGTGGTGGCTCACGCCTGTAATCCCAGTACTTTGGGAGGGTGAGGCGGGTGGATCACTTGAGATCAGGAGTTCAAGACCGGCCTGGCCAACACATAGTGAAACCCCATCACTACTAAAAATACAAAAATTAGCTGGGTGTGGTGGCGCACGCTTGTAGATCAGCTACTTGGGAAGCTGAGGCAGGAGAATCGCTTGAACCCGGGAGGCGGATGTTGCAGTAAGCTGAGATCATGCCACTGCACTCCAGCCTGGGCAACAGAGCAAGACACCATTTCCAAAAAAAAAAAAAAAAAGCAATACTTTAAAACTATTTTGGACAATACAGGTGTAAAATACTTCACTTTTTTACATGTATCTTCTTTTTTGAAATGATTCTTAGGTATATTAACTTTTAAATCTTCCTTTTATAAACCAATGGATTAATGAACCCAGTTCAGTGTACCCCTTAGAAATCACACTTGTTTCAAATATAAAATTTTAAAGCATTATATTCCTCATTGCCTTTAGAACTCAGCAATTGTACTAAAATCAGCCAAAAGTGATTTCAGTGAATCAGCTCTTAAAGCCAAACTAATGCTAATATTTGACCAAGTAGAAACGAATATCTAAACCAGGTGAGAAAAAAGTTAAAATGATGATAAACCTTTCTAATTTTGAAATAGTACACACACTGAGTAATGCAGTCAATCTCTTTATTCACCAAGCGCAAGTAGTATATAAAGGAATATTATACCATTTTTCTTTACTCATGAGTAAACCCACAAATAGCACAAAAGCTGCAAAAACACTTTAACATAAGGAGTATTTGTTTTATTGACTGTAGGAACTCATGGAATGCAAACACCTTTAAAATCTGAATAATATGAAGGCATTTCCAGCTATTAGATTCTTTACATATGTCAAAGAACAGTATCATAAATTATGTATGTTTTTTAAAGGTTTCCTAAGCTTCTTCCAAAGTCATGTAGACATCATTACACTCCATCTGTATACCTCTGTGGTAACTTGCTGTCGCAGGGATCTAGAGCCTCATCTTTTGCAAACTTCATTCCTTCTTTCATCCCTTTGTTCTTTCATTCAGTCAGCACTGATTGAGCATCTACTGTGTACCTAGAAGACATTGTAATGATCCTGTTTGGTCCAAGGACATACTAAACAAAACTCCCTTTACTGCTTATGCTATATTAAGTAAAGCTTTAAAGATGGGTTCTCTTTTATTACTTCCATGATGGCCCACCCCTCTCATCCTTTCTCAGTGTTAAAAACCAGAAATATACATACTTACATACTATCATAACACTGATACTACAAAAGCAGTACCCATTATTATCTCTGGTTTACAAATTATTCAATAATTTCTTACTGGAAACTTGGTCTATATAGTCATAGTAGTAAGCTTTGTGAGAGGATGTGATGGGATCATAGTTAGCTAAACAATAGGAGTATTTGTGTGGCTTCATTTTAAAAAAACTAACCAGTTTTTTTCCAACAAGCAATTCTTATATCAGAACCATTTATATTCTTTACTTTGGTGAGATAGGATTTTCTAAGCAGGTCTTTTATCTGTATCTATGTATGTTTGTTCTTACCATCATTGAGCACAGGATTTGATCCTTTAAATGTGTTGACAGATTTTGAACATTTTCCTCATATCTTTCTTTTTTGTTTTTTAATGATCCTGTACTAATCATTTTGCATTATGGGGTCACTTCTGGACAGAGAGCCTAGCCATCTGCTCTTACAAATAATGTCGGCCTATCACTAACTGGGGATAAGGAGAAGACATCTACCGATGTCTTTCTAGCATGTCCTTCTTGACTTTTTCTTTCTTTAAGAAGACTAAAATGATTCAGCTTGTGGTTCTACCACAGAACTCAGGAGAAAATGATAAATATGAGGCCATTCTCCAAATAAATATGTTTTCCTACATTAGTGGTTCTCAAATTTTAACAAGCATCAAATTCACCTGGAAGGCTTATTAAAACACAGATAACTGGGCTCCACATACCAAGTTTCAAATGATTCAGTGGGTCTGGTGTGGAGCTTGAGAATCTGCATCTCTAACAAACTTTCAAGTGAGGCTAATGCTGCTGAATCATGGACCACACTTTGATAACCCCTGTTCTATGTTAAGTACTTGTCAGGTACAGACAAATTTAAAAGTTAAAAAAATATATATATGACTTCTGTAAGACACTGTGAAGGGTTTAGACTCTGGGGAAATTAAGTATAATGCCATCCCAAAAACTCTGTGTTGGAGGAGTGTTCAAGTGCTGCAGGATCATGGAGAACCAAGCACTTAACTTTTCTATGAGGCAGAAAGAGGAAGATAAAGGGAAACGTGGAGGATGAAGGGAAACTGTTAATAGATCCCCAGAAACACAATTTGCTGCTATATGGATTTATATTTACTGTATTTCAAATCACATGGTCTAGAACTGTGCTGTCCAATATGATAGCTACATATGGCCATTGAGCCCTTCAATGTAGCCAGTCGAAAGTGAGATGTGTAGTAAGCGTAATATATACACATGTAATATGTATATGTTATATATATGATATAGATGTAATATGTATGTTATATATATGATATATATGTAATATGTATATGTTATATATATATATATATATCAGGATGCAAAGACTTAGTACCAAAAAAAGAATGTAAAATATCTCATTATTTTTATATTGATTACATGTTGAAATGATAGTATTTTTATGTATTTGCTTGGGTAAAATGTCATAATGAATTTCACTCATTTATTATGATTATTCAAACTTGGTTATTTTTCTTGAAAATGAATGAAGTGAGCCTGTTGCTTCGGCTACAACAATGGGCAGTGTTTCTGCAAAATTTTTACATGTGCCTACTAGAACATTTAAAATTGTACATGTAGCACTCATTATATTTCTGTTGGATAGCATTGGCCTAAAAGTTTTCAAAATCTAGCATGGATAAGAATCACCTGCAAAGCTTGTTAAACCAATCCGCCCCCAGAAATTTAGTATCGGGTGAGGCCTGCAATTCTGCATTTCTATCATGCTCCCAGGAGATGCTGTCTATTTGTAACCACATATAGAAATTCATTCCCAAACTACAGATGATAGAGTTTTACAGAGAGGTGCAAAAATATATTTTTGCATCAAGCATTGTCTGTAGCTTGAATACAAAATTATGTTGCCCATATACCACTGGTTTTTGTAAGTAAAGCAGTTGTGTTACAAAGCATACAAGTTTTTATCAGCTAATAGCCTTTTCTCAATTAGCAGATACTAAGTAGTACTTTTATTATGTGGCAATTCTCCAGTTTTTGGAATGTTATTGAGAAATACACAGGGTTAAAACAAATTAGAAAGCACCTCTCCCAAAATACTGCAGTAAGATGTAGGAAAAACTGCTCTAACATATTCTAAACTATAGGTTGCTCTTATGTAAATATTTCAACTATAATATCTAGTCTGATGTGCCCACTGGCCAGAGTTTTGTAAAAGCTAAAAGTAAAGGAAATAAAAAAAAGAAAGAAGTATGTGTTTGTTTTTGAAAAGGTTAGGTCACAGAAGGATTTGTTGATATTAGGAATAGAATGACCCGTGAAAAAAGGACAATTAAGTTCCAGGAAAACATCTTTTCAGTAAGGAGAGAATAATCATTTATGCTTAACCTCAACTCTGTTAGGAAAAAAAGGATGTAAACAAAACCCTTTAAAGAATTGAAGAAGGAGAGTATAAATTTAAATGCCCAGGTTAGTGACCACCCTTAGAGCATACTGAGGTCAAAGCGTACTGTCAAGCTTAAGAACATTTGGTTTTCAATGTTTGTACAACTAATTGTACTTTAGTCAAGAGGACTGTTATCGAAATTGCTCAGGTAGCCTTGAAACTAATATGGCCCAAATATTCCAGAGTCTGTCTTTCTCACCCTAGGAGAAGAATGGTCTGGTTTTCAAGGGAATTCTCTATTTTTTTTTTTTGAAGGCATCAGGATGTGTGAAACTACAGGGGGATAAATGAACGATGTACAGAATGTGATGAAAAAATTATATGAAGTATAAAATGGGAATGAAGCCATCAGGAGCCAAAGAAATATTTATGAATTTAAGAGAATGAAAAGCATATTATTATTTTCAGATATTTTATAAAGTGAACCCAAATCATTATAAAGTATTAATTAGGCTACTTGATTGCTTGATCTTTATATACTAATTTCTAATTTGTTTTAATCGGGAACTATTTTTGCTAGTTCTAAGGCTAGCTATTATGGTAATCCATGTAAGTGTGTTTATTATTGTTTTTAAAAATGGAATGTGTTCCTAGTAAATGTGTTTAAATAGCAAAATGTATTTATGCATGCATGTATTTATTTTAGTTTCCTGAGACCTCTAGTTCCTTACTAGAAACATGTATATAATTCCAGGCATTTAAAATTGCCATGATGGTCATGTTTTCTTGTCCTTTTCCCTTATTCTGCAACTGACATTTGCCCTTGTCTCCAATTTCTCACTGCTTTATTCTTTGTTCTTGTAAGTGTTCTTGTCTCTCTGGGCTGACCTCTCTCCTTCCCTGGAGTTTGACCCCGCCCCACCCTTTCTTCTGCATTTGTTTGCACTGGTTGTTTTCTTCATTGCCTTTCCCACTGCCCCGCTGCGCTGCATGTGAAACACTCCGCCAGTAGCTGCTCACAGTTCCCATGCTACATCATACCCAGCATTCAAAGAGCTGCTGTTCTCACATGGCCGCCAGTAAGATTCCCGACTCCTCCTTCACAGCACATTCCTCTAGAAAGTAGAAAGAATCCCCTTTCAGGCCACATGAGAAGCTGCGTGTTAAAGCCAACTCCATAAAGGGGAATGGAAACTAGCGTATGAAATTCAGAAATGCTACTTTTAAAGGTAAATACCACAAAGTGAATTTCAAATTCATACAGTTTATCATAATACTTCTTTATTTTTATAAATGCTATAATGTCCTTAATATAATGATCACTGTGATATAAGTTGTCCTCTCCCTTAATATATTAATTAATTTACTAAAGGAGACGGGAGGGTGGAAATATAATAAATTAGAAGATGATTCTTATATCAGAAGTACAGCCTTTATACATAGTTTTACTTTATTCAGACAATCAATGTAGTCATATGGTATAAATTTGAAAATAATTTTAGTGAGCATTACGCTTACTGAGATTAATAGTGAGAACTTACCTAGCACTTACTGTATGCCATTCACAATTATAAGCACTTTTGCATGTGCTAATGCTTTTAAGCCTCACGTAACCCAGTGAGGGAGGTACAATTTTAACCTCATTTTACAGGTTAGAAAAATGAGGAGCCCAAGGGTTAAGTGACTTGCCTGTGGTCATATATCAGGTAAGTGAGAGAGCCAGGATTTGAACCCAGACAGTCTGCCTGGGGAATCTGTCAGAACTCCTAACTATGCAGTACCACTCCTCTGATAAAAAGTTGAATTGACATGACAACATTTCCTATTCATTTATGATTCGACCCTTTAAACAAAAAGAACAGCATCATTCTCACATTTATTAATTTGTCAGGAATCACCTGGATCATGAGTTGAGGAAATTTAAAGTAGGAGGGTTGTATGAATTTCAGACCACGATCTCAAGAATTGCCTGTTTAACTCAGAGCCTGAATCATTCACAGACTAAAAACTAGAATCACTCTTCTGTAGGACCAAGAGGGTTGAATCATCAAAGTCTTGCTGAAGTGAACGGAAATCCTCCTTTGTTCAATCATTCATTCAATAATTATTTTTTTCTGGTGTCTACTCTTTACCAAACTCTGTTTGAGATGATAGGGATTCAGTCATAGACAGACCTTCTCTGCCCTCATGGAGGTTATGGTTTCTTGGGATGACAGACAGTAATTTTTTAAATCTCATAAAATAATTACAAATGTGTCAGGAAAGAAAATACAGGACACTACCAGAATATATAGTAAGGACCTAAATGTGTGTGTGTGTGTGTGTGTGTGTGTGTGTGTGTGTGTGTGTGTGTGTGTGTGTGCGCGCGCGCTGCAGTAAGGGTGAGAGGCAGGAAAGGGCAATCAGGACACCCTCCCAATAAAAGTGACCTTTGACCGAGATCTGAAGGATGAAGACAAGCTGAGTGACTCTTCTATTCATCTATATCTTTTGTTTTAAATGGCCTGAAGCCTGGGACTAACTAAACAGGGTTGTAAAATTCCAGTATGTAAATTGAATAACTAGGGATCATTTGAAGTAATGGACTGCAGAGTTAATGTATAATTAAGTCACATCTAGGGAAGATTTCCCATCATTATCACAGAGAGCATCCTGTTTGCTTTCTTCACAGCACTTACGAAAATCTATAGCTATGTGTTTGGTGGCTTGTTTAATGAAAGTCTGTTTCCCCTATCTGAATGTGAGCTCCATAAGGACAGAGGCCCTGAATACCACATCTACTGACATTTGGCAGTGTCTTTCATATAGTAAGCATTCTATAAATGTCTTGAATAGATGAATGCATAAAACTAAGTTAAAATGTTACTGAAAACTATAAAAATAAGCAGAAAGTTATACCAGAGGAGAAAAATTAGGGGAAAAAAACTATAATTTCTGAAGACGTAGTACTTACATCTAAATTTGTGGCTTCATAAGGTTAACCAACACTTAAATAGTTTTGCCAAAACTCCAAGAAAAAAATGACCGGGTGTCGTGGCTCACGCCTGTGATCCCAGCACTTTGGGAGGTCGAGGTGGGTGGATCACCTGAGGTTAGGAGTTCGAGACCAGCCTGGCCAACATGGTGAAACCCTATCTCTACTAAAAATACAAAAAAATTAGCCGGGCATGGTGGCAGACACCTGTAATCCCAGTTACTCGGAAGGCTGAGGCAGGAGAACCACTTGAACATAGGAGGCGGAGGTTGCAGTGAGCCGAGATCATGCCACTGCACTCCAGCCTGGGCAACAGAGCAAGACTCTGTCTCAAAAAAAAAAAAAAGAAAGAAAGAAAAAAAAGAACTACCATTTGACCCAGCACTTCCATTACTTGGTATGTACCCAAAGAAATATAAATTTTTCTACCAAAAAGACGTGCGCTCATATGTTCATTGCAGCACTATTCACAATAGCAAAGACATAAAGTCAACCTAGGTGCCCATCAATGGTGGATTGGATAAAGAAAACGTGGCATATATGCACCATGGAATACTACACAGCTATGAAAAAGAAGGAAATCATGTCCTCTGTAGCAACATGGTTGGAACTGGAGGTCATTATCCTAAGCGAATTAAAGCAGAAACAGAAAACCAAATAATGCATGTGCTCACTTATAAGCAGGAGCTAACCTTTGGGTACACATGGATGTAAAGTTGGGAACAACAGGCACTAGTGACAAGGGCAGGAGGGTGTGGGACAAGGGCTGAAAAAACTACCTATCGAGTACTATACTCACTACCTGGGTGACAGGTTCAACTGTACTCCAAACCTCAGTGTCACACAATATACCCATGTAATAAACCTGCACATGTACCCCTTGAGTCTAAAATAAAAATTGAAATCTAAAAATATAAAATATCAAATCATAAAAATAAATAAGAAAACAATTGAATCTACTGATATGTTTCATTGCTTTTAAAATATCCACTTTGAATTACTGAATATTTTAATATTTTTAGTTTTACACTTCAGCACAGAAAGTCCAGAAATCCAACCCTTGAGTTTACAAAGACACCACATGATAGTTCATAGTTCACACAGCTAGTTAGTTGTGGAACTAGAACCCAAAATTTGCTCTCTATGTCTCTCACATACCTTTTCCCTTTATTCTAATAAAGGCATTTGTCAGTCTAAATGTACAATATTCGAAGACATTTTTTAAAGGAACTACTTATCCAAATCCCACCTGTCTTACAAGGTCCATGTGAAGCAATGAGATAAGGTCTGTGAAACTGCTTCCGAAACTATCAAATGTTATAAAAATGTTAAGTTTTATTATTAGAACTGCAGTTCATCTCTATGAAACCTTTCTAAACTTTCTCACTTTTCTGAACTTGACTACGCAGCGTCTTTTCTAATCTATTTGTTCTCCCTTTATAAGAAGAATTTAATCCTTTCCGCCCTGCTGGGTTGTAAGAAAAAGGACTCTCTTCTTTTCTATAATCTATTGATATTTGATTATATTACACATCTAATGGGTTCCCAATAAATACATAGTGAATAGAATTGAACCAAATTTCTTTCTAGACATGTGAAAAAAAATCCTGATCTTTAAATAGAAAGGGTACTTTCAAAGATTATATATAGAACCTCTTGGTATTTTGTATTTGCAATGAAAATATTTTAATTTGGGCCAGGTGCGGTGGCTCACACCTGTGGTCCCAGCACTCTGGGAGGCCGAGGTGAGCAGATCATGAGGTCAGGCGTTCGAGACCAGCCTGACCAACATGGTAAAACCCCGTCTCAATCAAAAATACAAAAATTAGCCAGGCATGGTGACGCATGCCTGTAATCCCAACTACTCAGGAGGCTGAGGCAGGAGAATCACTTGAACCCGGGAGGTGGAGGTTGCAGTGAGCTGAGATCATGCCACTGCACTCCAGCCTGGGTAGAGAGGGAGACTCCATCTAAAAAAGAAAGAAAGAGAGAGAGAGAAAGAAAAGAAAAGAAAGAAAATATTTTAATTTGTCTTATGTTCAACAGTTGCATCATATCTGCATCCTTTTGTTAAAATTGAACAGGCTTCTAGTTTCATATAATAATTTCTGGCCAGGCGCAGTGGCTCACGCCTGTAATCCCAGCACTTTGGGAGGCCGAGGCGGGTGGATCACCTGAGGTCCGGAGTTCGAGACCAGCCTGACCAACATGGAGAAACCCCATCTCTACTAAAAATACAAAATTAGCTGGGCGTGGTGGCACATGCCTGTAATCTCAGCTACTCGGGAGGCTGAGGCAGGAGAATGGCTTGAACCCAGGAGGCGGAGGTTGCTGTGAGCCAAGATCACGCCATTGCACTCCAGCCGGGGCAACAAGAGCGAAACTCCGTCTCAAAATAATAATAATCATAATCATCATCATCATAATAATAATTTCTACCAACAGCTGGCAGGAAAAAAATATGAGAGCATAGTCATGAACTTCAGATTCCACTCCCCTTACTTTTGGCATTCCATTCCTCTGAATTATAGCTTATATTTCTTTATTATCTCAGTTTGATTTAGTCTTTCTAAATATTCACCTCTGTTTCCATCCATAAATATCGACTGAACTACCTTTTAATATACTATCTTTTTGTAACAGAGAAAATCAAGTGTAGGTGGATTATTGTAAGTGACACTGAGGAAATATAAAAAGACCTTGACTTGTCCAGGCGCGGTGGCTCACGCCTGTAATCCCACCACTTTGGGAGGCCGAGGCGGGTGAATTACGAGATCAGGAGATCAAGACCATCCTGACCAAATGGTGAAATCCTGTCTCTACTGAAATACAAAACATTAGCCGGGCATGGTGGCAGGCGCCTGTAGTCCCAGCTACTTGGGAGGCTGAGGCTGGAGAATGGCATGAACCTGGGAGGCGGAGCTTGCAGTGAGCTGAGATCATGCCACTGCACTCCAGACTGGTGACAGAGTGAGACTCCCTCTCAAAAAAAAAAAAAAAAAAAAAAAAAAAAGACCTTAACTTGCTTCAAACAAGTCAGGACCCCCAATTCCAATTCTTAGGTCTGGCATTCCCATCAGACACTTAAACTGTAGGGGCAGTAAAGTTGCCCATGTGGCTACAGCTTTTGTGGCTGTGCTGTACTTGGGAATTTTAATGTTACCCTCTTTGAATTAGGTCCTTCATTGATCATGCATCTCAAAGTATCTCAGTGCCACATAAAAATTTTCTTTCAGAGTCATATTTTCCCATTATGAATGCTACCTACTGCTTATCTGTTGAGTGTACACTTTTAAACCTTCTGTGGGTGGTGGCCCCTTTGCCACTGGGTGAGTTAGATGCTGATCCTGGTCATTATCGCTGCCTTTCCAGCCTTTTCTGCTCTTACACCAAGCACAAGAATTCTCTGCTGATAGTCAGGATCTAGGGCTGGGAAAATGGGATGAGTTGTCCTGTTAGACAGGCCCAAAAGGAGTATTGTTTAATCCCCAGGGTGTGGGGAAGAAAGATACTCTTGTTTTCTTTTCCCCAAATGTGTCCATATACACCCTTCTCCTTTGCTGGCAGCCACCAGGCTTGTTGAGGATCTACCCTCCTCTGCATATCATGTGCATCAAGGGAAGCCCCAACCCAAGGGAATACATAATGATAGTCCTGAGCTATTTCATGGTGCTCTCGCAGTCTTGATTGCCCTCTTCGGAATTGGACATGGTCATATTACGCAATTTTAGGTAATAAAATACAAAGGGCATTCAGCTAAGGGACCTTCTGAGAAAGGTTTTTCTCGTCTAGAGAACTAAACAGGCATCCTTCTCCGGGCACTATGCGTAGTTCTTTATTCTACCTGGAACATTCTTTCTCCAGAAATCTTTGTGACTAACTCTGTCATTTCCTTCAAGTCTTATTCAAATCTCAACTTAAAAAAAAAAAAAACCTTCTTAAAATTTGACCACACTAATTAGACAGCAACTGCCCCATCTCCCTCTTCCCAGCCATCTGAATCCATTTCCCACTTACCTTTTTATGATAGCTCTTCTAGGAAGGCACTCCCTCCTCCCTGTGAATCATGTCTCCAGGCAATTGTTCCTTGTGTAGAGGAACACACCAAATCTGGGCTGCTCCTGTACAACAAACTGAAGGAGGTAGAATTGATTCTGCAAGAAGTTCAAAGCTAAATAAGAAGGAGTCTTGTAGCTTCTGTCTTGGTCTTCTGGAATGCTCACTCTGGGGAAAGTGATCTGCCCTGTACTAAGTCTACTCTAAGGCCACTGTGCTGTCTACATGAAGAAGCCACAAATCTAAGCTAGCCACATGGGGAAGCTGCATGGAAAGACAAATACGTGGCTAGCCCCCAGCTGTTGGCCGAAGATCCGCAGCCATCCCAAGTGAGGAGCCAGATGTACAAGTGAAAAAACTGTAACAGCCATTCCAATGGAGCCTTCAGATCAATTCAGCTTTGGCTACTATCTGACTGCAAACACATGAAAGAACCCAAGCAAGAAACACCCACCTGAGCACAGTCAACTCACAGAACCATGAGCAATACTGATAAATGGTTATTTTTAGCCAGTAAGTTCTAGGGTGATATATAGCAAAAGGAACATCTGTCCTGTTTTTTCTGGTTTTTCCTATCATACACTCATTCTGCAGGATTAACATGTGTAATATACTTTTTTTTTTTTTTTGAGATGGAGTCTCAATCTGTCGCCCAGGCTGGAGTGCAGTGGCATGATCTCAGCTCACTGCAACCTCCGCCTGCTGGGTTCAAGTAATTCTCCTGCCTCAGCCTCCCGAGTAGCTGGGACTACAGGCATCCACCACCACGCCCAGCTAGTTTTTTTTTATTTTTAGTAGAGACGGGGTTTCACCATGCTGGCCAGGCTGGTCTCGAACTCCTGACCTCGTGATCTGCCCGCCTTGGCCTCCCAAGTGCTGGGATTACAGGCATGAGCCACCACTCCCGGCCTAATATACTTTTTTAAATTGTCTTTCACTATGAGAAGGTGAGCTCCATGAGGCCAGGGATATTGTCTGTTTTGTTAGCTAATGTATCCAAATTACCTAAGAATAGATCTTAGCGTGGTAAATATTTGTTGAATGAACGAGTGAATAGATCAGAATTTCAGTAGCTACGTTGTGAGTATGTGGACAGTTCACCAAGAATGGCAGAATGGAAGGATGGGAGGAACCTGGAATAATGTCATTGTGCTTCTGGATTACCCAGTCCTGGAGCAGCTTTGCCTCTGTGGGCCTTGACTAGTCAAGACATTTTGTGTTGGGTTTTTATGTTAATTCCATTTGCATCACTATAAAGGAATACCTGAGGCTGGGTAATTTATAAGGAAAAGAGATTTCATTGGCTCATGGTTCTGCAGGCTGTACAGGAAGTGTGGTGACAGCCTCTGCTTCTGGTGAGGGCTTCAGCAAGCTTACAATCATGGTGGAAGGTGAAAGGAGAACCAGCGTGTCACATGGTGAGAGATGGAGTGAGGGGGTGGGAGGTGCCACACTCTTTTAAACAGTCAGATCCCACATGAACTCACTCTGAGTGAGAACTCACTTATTACTGCAAGAATGGCACTGAGCCATTCGTGAGGGATCCAGCCCCATGATCCAGTCTCCCCCACCGGGCCCCACATCCAACACTGGGGATTACATTTCAGCATGAGATTTGAAGGGAACAAACATCCAACCCATATCAGTTTTCTACAACCTGCAGCAGAAAGCATCTCATCTGGCACATGGTCTTGCAAATAATTCTGACTTAGATGCATGGGACTCAGATATGACTGAACCAGAAGATAAATCTAAGTAGCAGACACCACAGTATTCTCAAAACCACTCTTTCTCTTTCTCTTGTTGACCGAGGCTTTTCTACTGAGCAAAGCACCTGGTTTATAATATGTTCTTTCATTACGCCTTCTCCTAAGAGACCTCCTTAGTGTCCCTGCAATGGATGTCTGGGGAGCCACCAATCTCTTAGAGATGACTAGACATGTAGCCCCAGAAATGGTTACACCTTGAGCTTTTCTCTCAGTGCAGATGAGATACATTGCCCATCCCACCAATTTGCCACATTTATCTAAATTTCTGTGTTAAGCTGGGACCTCTACCACTCAAGCTGGGATGCCCCTCACCACCACCACACTGCAAAAACTAAACATTTTTCATTAGCCTCCTACTTGCAATTAAGTACATAAAACCTGCAAAACAAGTAATAAAATTAAGGCACTATTTGGTTAATGCCTTTTCTCAGAAATCACTTTTGCATGAAGTTCAGTTCAGTATTTTATCAGTGACTACATTAGTCTCGAGACCCTCTACCCAATAGGAGGGACAAAGATGTACATGACACAGGCTCCCTTCAAAGATGATTAATACATGAACTACATACAGTATTACAAGGGCTCCACTAGAGATGTGAGCCCCCCAGAAATGATATTAATGTGCAGAAGAGTTAGCAATAAATTTTGCACAAGGGGTGACATTTGAGCTTAGACTCGAGCAATGAGTAGGGTTCCAAGAGGTAAAGAAAAAAATGGAATGGTTTTCTAGGAAGAAAACCAGGTCTGGGAAGATCTGATATAACCTGAGGTAGTTTATAAGTCTGGAATGACTGAGTTATCGGGTATATGGTGGGGAAGGCAGCAGAGGTGAAATAAGTAATATCTAAGCAAATGAAAAACATGTAATTAGGGGAGATGAAATATAATTAAATTATTTACCTTAATTCCTCTTTTGACTCTTTACATTTGTCATTCATAAGGAAACAATTTCACTAAGATTGTTTTGACCTTTTTACCTTATTTGGCCAAGTAAACAAGGGACAGAAAGTTTTTAATGTAAAATATTCATTCAACCTGAAAGAACATTGATGATTCCAGACCATTTAAAGTTAAATATTTTAGAGTTCTCAATTATTTCTATTTGGATGAGTAGAACCTTTTTTCAGACTTCAGGAATATATGTTTAGTTTTTAACAGACTAATTGTTCCTGCTTTCATGCCAGCCTCATGGGCATCAGCAGGTTCAAGGTTAGTAGGTAGGAATCTGCCCCCTAAGAATGCAGCCTAAGAGTTAAGGAATGCATGATTACCCCTGTAATTACTTGAGAGGGGCTCTGAAATTCTGGCAGGGTTGGTGAGGCCACCAGATAACACTGATCAAGAATGTACACGAGGTTAGGAATTCAGACTGTAGCTGAAGTGGGGAGTTCGGGTAAACAGGCTCTGAATGGAAAAGATCAGGAATTCAAATAGACAGTTAAGTCAAGAAACCAACATCTTAGAAATGTAAACCTCACTTTAAGTCAAAGGCTCTCCAAGCTAAGACTTCATAATATATTTGCCAAGGCAAGAGCTAGTATCTGCTTACCTGAGTGGTCCTGGAGCTGCGGCCAGTTGAAACAGGAGATTGCAGATGGAATGTCAGTTAGAATACTTTCAGAGGCCAGTAACAGATACCTGACTTTAAAGTTCTTAAGTTTGTCTTTCCCAAGGTTTTCTGGTCATAAGAATCACCAGGGGCACTTGATTAAATTATTAATTCACAAGCCCCTTCACTGGAGATTCTGATGCAATAGACTTGGGAATATATTTTTTTTTAACACGAACTCCAGTGGAATCAGGCAAGAAGTGAAAACCCTATCGTTAATAATAGACACATTAGAAATAATAGAGACATTTGATAATCTAGCACAGTTCCCAAACTTTAGTATGCATCAGAATCCCCTGGGGGCTTGTTAAACTACAGGCTGGCAGGCTGCTCCCAGCGTTTCTGATGCAGTAGGTCCAGCGTGGAGTCCGAGATTCTACATTTCTAGTAGGTTGCCAAGTTATGCTGCTACTCCTGTGGTCAGGAACTGCACTTTGAGAACCACTAATCAAAATAAACTGAAGTCCAAAGACCATCAGACCTAGAGCTGGTTAATTCAACAGATTAGCTATATCAAGACTTGAGGTCAGCTTCTCTGGGATTCTCTTGTCTTTTTCCTCATGGTCCCAAGATGGCTTCCCACTGCGCCAAGCAACATATCCGCAGACAACAATAACCAAGGCAAGAAGGAATAAGGTTCAAGGATAACTGTATTGTGTGCGTGTGTGTGTGTGTGTACTCATGCCTGTGTGTCTGTGTTTGGAAAAGCAAACGTTTCCCAGAAGCTCCCCAACAAATTTCTTCTTATGTGTCAACTAGAACTGGATCTCACTGAACCTCTTTAAGCCAATCACTGGCTATGAGAAACAAGCTTACTGTGATTGGCTTAGACCAGATTTTAATTTTTTCCTCAGAGCTGTGTCCTTTGTTGCCCAATATCTGAACATAATTGAGCTTCTTTACCAAGGAACAAGAAGTAAATAGCTGTTAGTTAGGCAAATAGCTGGGTATGTCCACAAATGGGTTCTGAAACAAGTGTGATTATAATGAGGTTCAGAATTGAAAATATTAGTACAAATGCTAGTAAATAATGTATGATATTGGCTTTCTTATCACCATTTGCAACAGAATAACAGTCTCATGAAGAATTTGGCACAGCCATTGTAGAAAAAGTGCCTTTTCAGAGCTCACAGTATGCATGTACTCATCTTGCTTTTATTATACCTGTATATGGAATTGCAAGCTGTCCCTTCAGGTAATGAAATTTAGACAAGTTGGAACCTGTATAACAGCAAATCAATACTGAAATTATAGGCAAAGCCTGTACTTGTGCAGACTAACACATAGGATAGAAAGACTTTGTGATCAAAATTCAACAAATCCCACATTTATAGGTATCCAACATAGAGAGAAAACTATATATAGTGGTGTGTCTTTTTATGTGTTTGCGTTTTTCTCCTTATTCATTCCTGAAAGTGTATTTTCTTTTAACAGACTCACAACTCAGCTACACCCCATATGCCCACAGTCAACACAGTGGAAAACTGAGTTGTTTATTTGAGCCTCAAGTCATCCAAATACTTCGTTAAACGTTGTAGTAAAAGGTCTCCCCTGAATTCAAGGAGGATGCCCTAAGTTTTCTGCATCCTTTTGATAGAGGAAAGTATTAACTAATGTCAGACTATCTGTTGTTTTATTTTCCTTTACAGCACTAGATTTTGTTAAGGACATTGATAATTTTGAAAGAGAAGCTAAGCTAAGGTGACAAATATATCTTCTGTTGGTCAATATCTAAAATTATGTATTATTTCTTTTTTGACTACACCTTACAGTGGTTAGTTTGCACTTTACGTAAAAAACTGATGTCTACCATCTTCCATCTTTGTAAGCACCATCCAGCCTAATAGTTGTTGGTTTGAATAATGCCACAAGCTTTGTCCAGAAACCAAAAACCTGATTTCCAAAGACTAGTCTATGTAGCTGAGCCCTTCATTCCATAATCATTAAACTATGGTTAGGACACAGTATCCAGTCTCCCCTCAACCTTGTCCAATCACAGTCTATGCAGAGATCATGTAACTCGATTAAAATCTAGAACCATAGAGACATTTCCCTTCCCTGGGGCAAATGGGAATTGCACATGGGGGAAAATGGTGTGGATAAGCAAAAAACGGAAGTTTCCAAAGTGCAACAGAATATTGATAATTTTAGTACATTTCAACATACAGTGAGTGTAATGACGGCATTTTCCTACTGCTTCCTTAGTTGTGAAGATTTTGTTTTTTCTTCTGGGTTCACTGCCGGGAAAAGAGCAGAAAATGTTTTAGAGCCTCTGCCAGCAGAGGGGGCATTTACCATTTGTGCATAAGGTCTCTGGCACTGTGCCCTGGGGTTCTCTTTTCTATATGTTTCTAACAGTCACACACAGCAGTGTGACTGTTTACAGATACTTTACCGTCTTCTCTGATTGAAGCAGGGACTGGTTTGCCAGCAACTTTTGGTTGTTTTTGTTTTTTTGAAGACCATGCAACTAACAGATGTTTGTTGTTGGCTCCATATCTACATTCTTTGAAAGCTGGAGAATCAAATTGCTGACATTCAGACAACACTAATTCCCATATCCAGGGAGCCTAATTTGCCGTCCCTGAGATCCTGATTCCTGGTGTTCACGGGTTTAAAAACCATTTCAGTGACACAATATAAGAATGGGCTTGGGAGATGCAGCGCTGTCTCCACTAAAGATAATCACATTTTATAAACATCTGCGTCATTACTGGTATGATTCATCTCTAAGCTGTATACAGCTGTGTTTCCAGTTTCAATTAACAATCCCTTAATTGCATATCCATCTCATGTTACTAATTTAGTTAATTTATTCATAATTAAGAGTATTCTGTTTTCTACCAAGGTTTGTCGAGCTCAGAACATTATAAAGAAAAATATTTTAAGGCAGCATCTCCGAGGGATTTTGTTTCTTATAATCACATCACAGTAAAATGTCATTCATGCGCCCAAAGGAAGATGAATTGCTAAGGGATTTTTTTTTCCAGTAAAATAAGAAGCTTTGGGAAGCTGCAGTGTGTTGTGTTTTTAAACCAAGTTAAATGCGATGCATTTTGTTCTTTTCTTTCTCCTTCCCTGACATCCTCTCAAAAAAATTATCATTTTATTTGTATTATTGCTTAAGTATCACAGCAAATCCAGTCACCAGTGCAAATAAAACTGTCATTACCCTGTCAGGTAATGGTGTCTCTTAAAATCTAAGCTATAAAGTCTGTACATTTTAGAGGACATTAAGATCAAGAATTTTTAAATTGCCTAAGTCTAAGCAAGTGGAGTACACCCTTGTGGAAAATGGAAGGCAGATGAAAACATGATGCCAGGCAGTGAATTCATTTTAGTTTGATCTTTTCTACAAAAATACATATATCCGTGCAGCAAGAGTCTTGCCTGTGTTAGTACATGTGTCTGTGTGTCATTCAAAGCAGCAATAACAAAAAATTAAGACCATTTCTCACTTTGTTTATTGTTCAAGAACTCCCACCTATAGCCTTGACCTGTGTTTGAGCTTAAAAAAAAAAAAAGTCTTATAACTGCCCAGTGGTTTGGAGATTTTACACAATAGAAATAATAAGCCATCTTTTGCCTCACATGAATTCTACTAAAATCAAAACTCCATAGGATACTTTCCAAAGTAACTGGTGAAAGGAAAAGTGTGGTAGTATAGGTATGCATATTATCCCCATCACTTTATTTCTGAGCTCTTCTATTTTTTAAAAATTTTAATTTGTATCTTAAAAGGGCAAAACATAAGAAGAGGTAGGAGTATTCTAAATTTCAGTGACAACAAATTCATTTATTTTACAATTTAACCATTGCCCGTCAACATTTACTTAAAATTTCAGCATGGGAGGTTTTAAACACTTCTAGAGTCCCATCTTACCCCATTTCCACGATGCTTTTCTTCTCCATGTGTTGCTGCAGTTTAATATTGTCTGCGTGTTTTAATATGTTAAACGAGTTAAACATAGAGTAGGAAGTTAAAACTGTTAGCAGCTATATGTTTCCCAAGATTGATGAAAATTCAGGTAACACTCCAACCTGTTAAAGATACCTGCAATCTGGCCAGGTGCGGTGGCCCATGCCTATAATCCCAGCACTTTGAGAGGCCAAGGCAGGCAGATCACCTGAGGCCAGGAGTTCGAGACCAGCTTGGCCAACATGGTGAAACCCCGTCTCTACTAAAAATACAAAAAACATTTAGCCGGGTGTGGTGGCATGCACCCATAGTCCCAGCTACTCGGGAGGCTGAGGTGGGAGAATTGCTTGAACCCGGAGCCTGGGTGACAGAGTAAGACTCTGTCTCAAAAAGAAAAAGAAAAAAAAAAATATATATATATATATGTGTGTGTGTTTATATATATATATATGTGTGTGTATATATACATATATATATGTGTATATATATATGTGTATATATATATATATATGTGTGTGTGTATATATATATATATATATGTGTGTGTGTGTGTATATATATATATAGAAAGAGAGAGAGAGAGAGAGAGAGAGAGTAAGCAGGGAGGGGTTGAAGCCAGAAAAGACTAGAAATTATCTAGGCCAAACCCTTTAATTTATAGATTAGGAAATAGTTTCTGGTTGACTTAGCTGAGACGTTCTCATTTGTTAAAAGCAAGATCAGAAATCAGACACAATTCAACGCTCTTCACTACACCTTGTTTTTCTCTTTGTGGAAAACAAGACGTATCCTGTTCAAAAATTTATGCTGTTTATCTGAAAGCCCAAAATGCCTGTTTACATCATATTTTCCATTTTGCAATAGCAGCTCATTTTGGGGATTATTTTCTGATGAAATCTCTAGGTTTAGTTGTACTTGAATATCTTTTTATCTGTACACACTGGAATATGCATATAATAATTGATAGAAATGTGGATTTTAAAAGTAGAGATGATCATTATTATTTTATGATCCTTTAAGTTAATAAAATTCACCTAGAATAAAATAAACAAGTTTAACTAAAGTTCTCGCATTTTCCCAGAAATCGTAGACTAGAAACTAGTCTTATTTGCTTATTTTATTCCAAAGCTTATTTTACCTCTATTATTTTGTGGTTCTATAAAATATTTCTGTGTATTCCTCCAAAGAACCTCTTGGAAAAGAAAGTAAACATCACATCTGAAAAATAGCTGGGCATTTTTTCATTATCTCTGCAAGGGGAGGGGACGTGAAAGGCAACCCCATATAGAAACTCAACTCCCTGCTTTTTACAATGAATGAAGTTTTTCCACTGCACTGTCAGAATGGTAATTCTTGCTAACTACTCACCTATTTCACAACATTAACAGAGTTCCAGGATTCATGCTTTAATATTGCATAATGGTCCATGTTTTGAACATGAGGAGTGGCAGCGGAGATTACACTTTGATTCCTTGGATTTCATGTGGCACTGGATGGGAGCAAGGCACTGATTTTAAGTTGAGATAAAAAGGAGAAGTCAGTCAATGCCTGCAGCCAGACAGGACTCTTGTAATAGCTAGGGAGTATGCCTCATTTGGATATG
The DNA here is from genome assembly GCF_000001405.40 of Homo sapiens. Lineage (NCBI taxonomy): Eukaryota > Metazoa > Chordata > Mammalia > Primates > Hominidae > Homo > Homo sapiens. Next base: position 31,420,850 of record NC_000023.11, on the reverse strand, counting down.
CATGACTGCCGGGCAAGGACACTGCCATGAATCGCTAATGGCAGCAGTTGTATGACATAAGAGAGATGTGTATCAGCAACTCACAAGTTGACTTTGTTACATGTTATGAACACATTCCTGTGGGCACTCATTCATAGAAGTGAGAAATGTGGACACCACAGTGTCCCAGGCCTTTGTTACCTTATGGCCTGGGAATATCTTGCTTTGCTGGAACATGAAGCCACGTCTGGTTATAAGAAGAAGTTTGATCTGGGAGCAAAATTGCCTGTTCACGCATGTCTTTCTCACTTCTTTAAAACTAACTTGCTATAAGGGTGATTAAAAAAAACAGATGTCAGGTGAGAGTTTTGCTTTGCATCAACTTCCTACTTGTAGAGGTAATAACATAAACCTTGCCTGGCAATCATTATTTGTCATCCAGCTGAGGGTGTTTACTCTTGAGAAAGAAGTAATGGACAAAATTGACTTGGATTCTGGTTCTATGTTTCCCATTAATTGACTCTGGACATATACATGCAATTTAATCCATCTTACTAAAAACATGACCAACTCACAGGATGTAAATTCTATTCTATAGAAAGGGCTTTCCCTCAGTAGTTAGTCAAGGGACGGTTCCTAACTCCTGTCTTTATTGAGCTTATTTTCCAAAATAAATGTATTATTTTCTACTTTGTTCACAGAGCAAGGCAGCATAAAGAAATTAAGCAACAAAACAATAGTGTATTTTTACCCAACTTTCTAGAAAACACCCATTTTTCTTAAGTTTTGATATTTTTTTGCCAACAGGCAGTCAAAAAGAAGATAAATAAAACTGGGTTAAGTTGGTAATGACACAATAAATAAATGAGATGAAGAAAGAGGCAATAAATATGAGTGGATACCAACAAGAAACATGTTCAAGCCCTGAAAAAATAATGAGAAAAGGTAGAACTATTAATAATACATCCCGCTCTCGTATCACACCTTGCTCCCCAGATACATCCTATCTGTCCTGGCACCATGTTGATGCTGTTGTTCTGTAAGCTATGCCAATGAACATGTTGGATGACCTACTCCAGCTCTACCTCAAGATTTCCAAATAAGAAAAGGACCCAGGGATCTCCTTGCTGAGGTCTTTATCCATTTACTCAGGTCACAAGTACTAATTAAGCAGCTCTTATGTGCAAAATGTTATTGCTTCAGGTCAGTTTTTCCTATACTGCTGTTCTATAAGAGAGGAAGAAGGTCCCTGCCCTCAGAAAGCCCTAGAATACAGATCTAGAGATGGGTTCAACATCTTTGTTATGCAATTATTTCATTCCAATTGTAATGAGTACTTAGAAAGGACAAAAGCAGAGTGCTGAGAGAGTATAACAGAGGGACTTGACCTGGTGTAGTAGGCCTGGAAAGTTTCCTGGGGAAGTGGTATTTTAGACAAACAACACACACATACACCCATGAATGTATACGTGTGGAGAATGTATTCTAAGTAACTATGATGAATGTATTTCTTACTGTAGGTCATGGTCAAAGTTTGAAAACTATTGTTCTAACTAGTATTATAATTCCAGGGATAGTAGAGGTCATGTGACCTGTTTAGCACATGCCTGCCTTAACAGTATCTAGTAGGCCAGGCAATGTGGCTCACACCTGTAATCCCAGCACTTTGGGAGGCCAAGGCAGGTGGATCACTTGAGGCCAGGAGTCTGAGACCAGCCTGGCCACCACGGTGAAACCGTGTCTCTGCTAAAAATACAAAAATTAGCCAGGTGTGGTGGTGGTGCCTGTAGTCCCATCTACTGGGGAGGCTGAGGCAGGAGAATTGCTTGAACCCGGGAGGCGGAAGTTGCCGTGAGCTGAGATCATGCCACTGCACTCCGGCCTGGGCCACAGAGTGAGACTCTCTGGAAAAAAACAAAAAACAAAAAAAAAGAATGTCTAGTAAATAAGTCAGTGCCAAGCAACTACCTGATAACTGTTACCACCTTAGTCATCACCGAAGGCAGAAGGTCTTGCATTCATTGGAGGAGAGTTACCAATCTAAGACATTTGCATGAAAATGTGCACAGAGCCCTCACCTGATAATCAAAGCATGTTCCAACACTTCTCTTTGGATAAAATAAGAGTTACATCTCAATGAAATCACTTGTGGATCAAGTTCTCATCCTTTCGTAAATAAAGAGAGGGGCAGCAAGAAATGGAAGTGAGCACATATAAGTGTGGGAACCTGTACTTTCCTAACCTATAAAGCATTGGATGTAGTTTTTGCTATTGGTGCGCATGGAGTCATGTGGCCTTGGAGCAGTTAGGTACCTTCCCTGATGATAGGGGAGAAGGCAAAGAAATTGATGATACATCTCTCTCATTGTCATTCCCTAGTATATTACACTTAAATCTAACTGCCCTATTTTGTGATTGCCTTACTGCTGTGGCTTGAATATTTGTGTCTCCCCAAAATTCATATGTGGAAACCTAATTCCATATATGATGGTATTAGGAGGTAGGCCCCTTGGGAGGTGATTAGATCATGAGGGCAGAGCCCACATGAATGAGATTAGAACCCTTATAAAAGAGACCCAGAGAGCTGCTTTGCCCTTTTTGCCATGAGAACACAAGAAGGTGCTATCTATGAACAAGAAAGCAGGCCTTCACCAAACACTGAATCTGCCAGCGCCTTGATATCAGACTTCCTAGCCTTCAGAATTGTGAGAAAAAAACTTTGGTTGTCTATAAGCCACCCAGTTTATGATATTTTGTTATAGCATTCCAACGGACTAAAACATTCATTTTCCAGAAAATCTACTCCATTTATAAGCCAGCATTCTTTTTTTTTTTTTTTTAATTTTCTACAGATCTCTGCAGAAACATGCAGAGTAATAATAGGGCCAGGCACGGTGGCTCACGCCTGTAATCCCAGCACTTTGGGAGGCCACAGTGGGTGGATCACCTGAGGTCAGGAGTTCGAGACCAGCCTGGCCAACATGGTGGAACCCCGTCTCTACTAAAAATACAAAAAATTAGCCGGGCATGGTGGTGGGTACCTATAATCCTAGCTACTCAGGAGGCTGAGGCAGGAGAATCACTTGAACTCAGGAGGCAGAGGTTGCAGTGAGCCAAGATCCCACCATTGCACTCTAGCCTGGACAAGAATAGTGAAACTGTCTCCAAAAAAAAAAAAAAGAAGTGATAATATATTTGCTGTATATATTAGTTATAGATAGTTATATTGCAGTACTATCAGAAGCTATGCCACATATTATTTACGTATTTCTTAAGATATAGAAAACATCCCTCCCCTGCAGTCATTAGTACTTTTGCATTCAAACTTCAAATGAAACAGGACTTTAGAAATTATAGGCTTGGTGCCATCCTGGCCAACATGGTGAAACTCGTCTCTACTAAAAATACAAAAATTAGCTGGGCGTGGTGGTGCACACCCGTAGTCCCAGCTACTCGGGAGGCTGAGGCAGGAGAATCACTTGAACCTGGGAGGAGGAGGTTGCAGTGAGCCGAGATCGCGCCACTGCACTCCAGCCTGGCGACAGAGCGAGACTCCGTCTCAAAAAAAAAAGAAAAAAAAGAAAAAAAGAAAAGAAAAAAGAAATTATAGGCTTGGTGATTTCTCAGGCATTAACTCAAGAAAGCAGCCTTTATACCGATTACCTACATTCACCCAGCACTTACCCCATTAATTTCTAATGTTGCTTGGAACAAATGAACATTCCTGGAATGCAAGCTAAATGAAAGAGCCCCGAAGAAGAACAGGGCATTTCCTGGTTCCTCATATTGACAAATTTAAAAGCCTGTGCTATAATATGGGCTCCTGTTTCCTTTCAAGTTTGTCTTTGAATAAGTGGACAGAGTAGCTGAAAGCAGAGTATTTAAAGCTTTGAAACGACCACTTTATTTCAGTCTCTGTTCTTGCTGGGACCACTCTTATAAATGAGGAGATTAGAAAATCACCTAGAACTATTTAATCGTTGTGCAGAAGACCCTCTTACCCCAAATATTTACTTACCGCTCATTTTATTGGCACACTGCCTCAAATTCCACCTGCTGTGAACTGACCTAAGTGAATTTAGGTCACGTGCAACTATTAGGTTCTTTTTGGGAAATAATGGAGAACCACAGATGTGTTTGAGGTGGATGAGGAATGGCTACCTCAAGCCGCAGCTTCATGCTTCATGCTGAAGTCCTCCACAAGTGCAATCATGTCGTTAACCAACATTTGTTAGAAGGCAGGCAGAAGTCAGCTTACAGCCTGTTCTACAATTTTTATGAAGTGTAGGATTTTAGGCTTAAATTGACACCATTGCAAATACAGTATTCTCTTACCTTTAGATTTGGCATCAGGTCACAAGAATTCTTCCTAAGCCAATGGTTGGATACAAGGCCATTGGAGACCAGACGTAAAATTAAAAGCCCAAGCAACAGGTTTTGCTGGATTCTTATATCCTGTTTATGCAATGTTAGGGGATGTCATTAAAATATTTTAGTTAATCCATGTATCTTGATTGTCTTAAATTTTACTAATGAGATCCTATAGGGATATTCATTGCAATCCACTATTTCCCTCAGCAAAAACACATTTGCGATATCTATTACATGCATTACAAAATCCTCCAAGGTTCACAGAGATATATAGTAGTAGCAGTCTCTGGGTTTTGGCCTTTTTCATAAGATGAAGGCTGTGCTGTCCTAGAATATGAATTCCTAATTAAAATAACCATTTGCCTCAAGCCTCTAGAGTTGAAGGTTGCACTAACTGCACATATAAAATATCCAACTATCTATGTTGAGATATTTAAAATTAATTACAGATATTGTAACACCATTATTTAACTTAAATTCCATTACAGGTCCTTTGAGTATGCAAAATATTTCTTTGAGATGTGGTAACCCCTTTAACTGATCAGGAAATAAACCTTTATTATCAAGTTGTTATCCCACCTTGACAGGCCTAAAGCGCAGACCACATATCAGAATCCCCTGGGCAGCTTATAAAGCTCCTCATGCCCAGGCTGCATCTCAGACCAATTCAATCTCTGGGGGTGGGCTCCAAGCATCAGCATTTGTTGAAAATCCCCAGGATTACAAAGTGCGGTGAAGTTTGCAAACCCTTGTAATAAGAGAATGGGAGGAGGGATGGCTGTTTGCCAAGCAGAACCAGGAATGAGGAAGGATATTGGTAAACAAAATTTATCCATAATTGACTTTTCATGAATCACAGTCCTACTGAGACCCAGCCTTGTCTCATGAGACTTTGGCTACGATGATGAGTGAGAAAAGGACTCCTCCTAATTTACCAGACTCTTGATTAGAAGCAAATGAAATTTTGGAAAAGAGACAAGTCACTTTCAAAAGACCCCAGCCTGTACCTGACCCTACCTCTGGACTCCATAGTAATGGCAGGTAGTGGTCATTCCTGGAGTAACTCTGTATTTCTTAAAGGAACATTTGCATAATGAACCTACAGCAATCTGGAAGACGACTGGGGTAAATAGAGAATTTGTTGATTTTAGATGGCTGAATACTATCCGTGCAGAGCAATTAAAAGGACAACTGTCAGAATCAAGTAAGAGAAAGGAAATAAGAGAAGTCTCATGTTAGTAGACCTTGTTTGATCAATGTGTTTTCATCTTGTATATGATTAATAAAATAAGTTTGGGAGTTAGGATCAACCTTTGTTTACTCACTGGAGAATAACTTGCATATAGAATGAAGCTGGGATTGTCCAGGCTGGTTTTTTTCCATTTGGAAGTTTGGATACAATACAAGGAAGCCTGAATTCCAAACTGTTTCTCTTAAAGAGTGCCTTTCTGAGCCGCTATTAAGGAATGCTTATTGTTTCGAAAATGGTAGCACAGAAGTGTTATAACTAGAGTACACCTTGTGCCTGCAATTAATTACCCAGTGTCTTCAAAAATTCTTGTCTTTTGCTGGTAGAAAACCTTTGAAACTATAGTTGTCTGTGGTATTCACTGCAGCACCTTAGATATAAAGAGAGAAATTTATTTTCAGAGGAATCTTGAGACAGTTTGTGTGTGTGTGTGCATGCCTGCTTACACATCTATTGGTTTTCCCCAAGGATTGTAGAAATCCCATTAAAATTCCAGCTTCTTAAGGAGCTACTGAAACTCCAGTTTTTCATATTTTCTTTTATAATATTTGGATGCGTTTAGGTAAACTTGCAGCATTTTAATTATGTCTGTATCAGATGAGCGGAAGAAATGTAAAAGGGTTTGGGGAGAGATTTAATTTTAGATAGCGGCGTAATTAATAGCATTTGGAAAAACTAGTGGAACTTTAATTAAATGTCTCTACATTAATTTAGTCATTTAATTGAACATGTAGTGGGATAGTCCTTACAATTTTTCACCCTTACTCTTTGAGGAAAAATGATTTTTGAATAACAAAGCATCAGTATGACTACTTTTTATTATTTAGCTGTATGTTCACTACTTGGCACTTTGTTTAATTTTTCCCCCCATATGTTTCGAGCTTTTTAAAACATTAATTTGGCTTGTCGCTTTTATCTTAAAAACTATAAATCTGGGGGCCGGGTGCAGTGGCTCATGCCTGTAATCCCAGCACTTTGGGAGGCCGAGGTGGGTAGATCATTTGATGTCAGGAGTTCAAGACCAGCCTGACCAACATGACGAAACCCTGTCTCTACTGAATACAAAAAAAACTAGCCGGGTGTGGTGGTGCATGCCTGTAATCCCAGCTACTTGGGAGGCTGAGGCAGGAGAATTGCTGGAACCCAGGGGGCTAAGGTTGCAGTGAGCAGATATTGCACCACTGCACTCCAGCCTGGGCAACAGAGTGAAACTCCATCTCAAAAAATAATAATAAAATAAAGAAATAAAGAAAACTATAAATCTGGGAGAAACCGTATTTGGAAACATTGAGCAACTGTTTCTTTTCCTTTATTTTAGACTTTAATATTCACTAGAGTCATGTTGTAAAGTTTTCACCTTAATATTGTAGGCTTTTTTTTTTTTTTTACTTTGCCAACTTAACTGGCTTTTTTAAAGTGGTGTTATGCTGCAGCAGTGTATCTGAATTTCAGCAGTGCCTTTTACGTGGCTGCTCACAATCTTATTAAACTACATGAATTATACATGGAGAGAAATATAATTTGGTAAATTTGGTGATGTTTCAATAACCATGCCCAAGGAGGAATGTTGTGTTAAACTGTCAATTTGAGAAGTGTTTTGTGGTGCTAACCACAGAGTGAATTCAGTTCTACTTCATTTCACAACCCTCCATAAATAGTGCCCCCTAAAAGTGGTGCCTCCTTGCCTGTACTTTGACCCAGATTTTTGTCATTTTTCTAGATAAGCATATACATTGTGCACTTATTAATTTTTCAAATGACACAAAGGTGAGAATGGGAGTCAACACACTGAAAGATCAAAATCAAGACTCAAAATAAGATTATAACAGACTGGGATACTGTACCAAAATAAAAAAATTAAAATAAAATTTAACAAGAACAAGCAAGATGTCCTGCCTTTAAGATTTTTAAAGTCTTTTGTACAAATATAGGCTGAGGAACATCTGACTTTGTGGCGCTTTATATGAAAAACAAATTGGGATTTTAAATAACCACAAGGACTGTATTAATCTCCAGTATGATCTGGTGTGGCTTACTGTACGAGGCAATACAGTATTAGATTGCATTAATGAAATTCACAAATGTTCCATTAATCTCTTCACTAGTTAAACCACATCTGCAGTCATATTGACTTATGAGCATCACGTATGATGAGAACACTGAAAAATCATAATACATTGACAGCAGGGCAACCAAGATTGTGAAAGGTATAGCGATGGTTATATGACAAATATTTGAAAGAATCTAGAATGTTCAGTAAGAAGATAACATGAAAATACAGGACAGCTTCTTCATGCATCTGGGGAGGGTGGGTAAAGGACACAGCACACTTAATTAAGTAAGATTGTAGAAGAGAACTATGGGCAAGTGTTACAGTGGAGCTTACTCTGAGTAAGGAAAATGTAAACGTTAGAGTTGTTATTAAGTGGCATGGGCTGCTTCACAAATTTCCATCATTTTTTAATCTGATTCATCTGCTAATAGGACAAACTGTAACAATAGCTTAAACAATAGAGAAATGTAGGTCTCTCTCATGTACAAGCCCAGAACTAGGTAGATCAGGCCTCCTTCCGCTATTCTGCTTCACTAAGTCCGAAGTCCTCCTTTACCTTGTCCTGCCATGGTGGCCTCAATTCTCGTTGTCACCACATGGTCCAATATGTCTGCTTCAGCTCCAGCCAACACATCTGAGTTCCAGCCCCCAGCAACATGGAAGAAGGAAGGAGGCACAGAGAGGGCGTGTGCCAGCAGTGTTGTGAGAAAATCTTTCAGAAACTGTCATGAAATGTATCCCCTGATAGTTCCTTCACCAGAACTTTGTCCCATGATTATATTTACATCTATGTGAGGCTAAGAAATATATTCTTTCCTTCAGGCATCTACATACCCAACTGAAAATTATGAGTTCTATTGCCACAAGAAAAAATGGAAAATATATGGGGACAATCAACAGTACTTGCACAAAGATGTTTTACAGAGAATTACTCTTTTACCTGGGAATTTTACAAGATAAACTTTAAGATCCTATCAACTCTCTCTCTCTCTTTTTTTTTTTTTTTTTTTTTGAGACAAGAGTCTCGCTCTGTCACCCAGGCTGGAATGTAGTGGTGCGATCTCGGCTCACTGTAACCTCCACCTCCCGGGTTCAAGTGATTCTTCTGCCTCAGCCTCCCGAGTAGCTGGGACTGCAGGCGCCCGCCACCATGCCTGGCTAATTTTTGTATTTTTAGTAGAGACGGGGTTTCACCGTGTTGGCCAGGCTGGTCTCGAACTCCTGACCTCAGGTGACTCGCCCGCCTCGACCTCCCTAAGTGCTGGGATTGGGATTACAGGCATGAGCCACCACGCCCAGCCAGATCATCTCTGGAGGCAGGGGGATCACTTGAGGTCAGGAGTTTGAGGCCAGTCCGGCCAACATGACGAAACCCTGTCTCTACTAAAAGTACAAAAATTAGCTGGGTGTGGTGGCAGGCAACTGTAGTCCCAGCTACTCGGGAGGCTGAGGCAGGAGAATAGCTTGAACCCAGGAGGCCAAGGTTACAGTGAGCCGAGATCGTGCCACTGCACTCCAGCCTGGGTGACAGTGAGACTCTAACTCAAAAAACAAACAAAAAGAGTCTATGATCCTATAATTTATAGACAACATACAACCTCCTTTCTCTACAAAGAGAATTGGTTCTCAAGGGCTGTTTGGAAATTCATTTCCTTTTAAGTCCAAAATGACATACAAAAGTGACCAATATATACAATGTACACCCTTCTACAATAAGTTCTCTTTTGTTGCCGTAGTAATCGCATGTCTTTTCTTAAAGGAACACTTTTTTGACTCTTTTGTACTTTTGAACATAGCGGTGTTAATAATAATATTTATAAAACATTATGAAAATATGCACACAAAACACAACACAGGCTAAGAAAACCTAATGGTGGCCTAAAGTAAGTTCTGATGTCCTCTGTTGGTGGTATTCTTCATTGCCATGCTTCTGCTGTGCCTGGGACCTTTATTGCTACCTATGGGAAGTTGTAAGTAGAGAAGTTTCTTTACTACAGGGATGTGAACAATCATTGTAAGTAAGGAATAATGAATTCACATAAGTTCACAGAGCATGTTTTTCTGCCCTGGTAATACTGCATTTCTCACTTTGCATTTAAAGTACCTACGCCCTTACACAGAAAAAGTTATCGGGGTTGGGTGCAGTGGCTCACGCCTGTAATCCCAACACTTTGGGAGGCCGAAGCAGGGGGATCACTTGAGGTCAGGAGTTCGAGACCAGCCTGGGCAACATGGTGACACCCTGTCTCTACTGAAAAAAAAAAAAAAAAAAAAAAACACACACACAGAAAAATTAGCCAGGTATGGCGGTACATGCCTGTAGTCCCAGCTACTTGGGAGGCTGATGTGGAAGAATCGCTTGAACCTGAGAGGTGGAGGTTGCAGTGAGCCGAGATCGCACCACTTCACTCCAGCCTGAGTGACAGAGTGAGATTCCATCTCATAAATATATAAATATATATATATAATTATCGATTGATTAATATTATTATATGGTCCCCATTACTCTAAACTCTCAAAATGTAATGTAGGTCAAAATCAGAAAAAGGCCATACTGTCTACTCCTTCCTCTGTTTCATTCCAACTATAAGAGAAAGGGAGAGGGCAAAACAAAGATGACAGGAGGCCAAATTGTACATAGAATTCATGGAAATTCTTACCCAACATGTAAAATTATGATAGTATAAGGAAAAGTATACTGCAAAAATTAAACTTCTACATTGTGAAATGGAGAACATTTTTACATCTAGCTCTATTGCTTCTCCCTGTGGAGCTGTTCTAAGCACAAAGTTCCCATTACATAATGAACAACTCCTTAAATACTGTGCAACTATTTCTCACTAGAAGCACGATGCAGCAAACTCTGTTTCTCAGTAACCATTTATATCATACCTAGTGGTACCGAGTTCTATAATAAAAGGGTGATATGTGCATATTTTGTGGTCATAGAGTGCAAAGTTGACATCTACAGTTTAAAGCATTGCATTGCATGAATAAGGTCAAAATTTAAATACTTTTCTATGATCATGTTCTTTACATTAAAGGTTAAAGATGCATGCCGCTTTAAAAATGGTTTAAGGGCCGGACACGGTGACTCACGTCTATAATCCTGGCACTTTGGGAGGCTGAGGTGGGCAGATCACCCGAGGTCAGACGTTCAAGACCAGCCTGGCCAACATGGCAAAACCCTGTCTCTACTAAAAAATACAAAAATTAGTCAGGCATGGTGGCGGGCGCCTGTAATCCCAGCTACTCGGGAGGCTGAGGCAGGACAATCTCTGGAACCCGGAAGGCAGAGGTTGCAGTGAGCAGAGATCGTGTCACTGCCCTCCAGCCTGGGCGATAGAGCAAGACTCTATCTATCTCAAAAAAATAAATGAATAAAATAAAATAAAAATGGTTTAAGAACTTCAAACCATCTGGCACCAGAAAACACCTAAATTGAATTAAAAATCTGGAAATTTAATTTCACAACTTGTCCTTTTTCAAGCCTACCCTAAGTTTTGTTTACTTAATGGGGAGAATCTGTTTTATTTGTTCCTATGTAGAAGACTGCTGATTTTATCATGATTGTATTAGGGCCCAAGGATATTTAAAATATTTCAGTAGCTATTACTTATACTTTATATCTGCATTGCACTTTAGAGTTGACTGAGCATTTTCAAAGTATTATCTTACCAAATTGCCACAATAGTCTTGAGAGGCTAGTAAATCATGGGAGAAGCCCCCATTTCCCCACTGGAAAGCAGAGAAAACCCCCATTGTAGTAAAGGAGGGGTTCCCTCCAGAGCTCTTGTGGTTGTGTTGAGGAGGAAGTATTAATGCTGCTGGGCATGACTTACAAGAAATAAGTCAATTCACTTAAGCAAAAGTGCTATGATCCTGTATACCATGTGAGCAGCTCTAGGATGGGGTCACCCAGCATTTTGGAGCAGACATTAGAACATCTGGAGGGAGTAAACGCAAAGAAAATGGGCTAGATACCTTTCCTTGGATGGGAAAGGATAACATTAAGATACCAAGATCAAATGTTCAAAGAGCACATATACACCAGAGAATACTATGCAGCCATAAAAAATGATGAATTCATGTCCTTTGTAGGGACATGGATGAAGCTGGAAACCATCATTCTCAGCAAACTATCACAAGGACCAAAAACCAAACACCCCATGTTCTCACTCATAGGTGGGAATTGAACAATGAGAACACATGGACAAAGGAAGGGGAACATCACACACCGGGGAATGTTTTGGGGTTGGGGGAGTGGGGAGGGATAGCATTAGGAGATATACGTAACGCTAAATGATGAGTTAATGGGTGCAGCACACCAGCATGGCACATGTATACATATGTAACAAACCTGCACGTTGTGCACATGTACCCTAAAACTTTAAGTATAATAATAATAAAATTTTTTGTAAAAGCATTGTATAATAAAAGTAGTAAGATAAACCAGTAAAAACAAAACAAAACAAAACAAAACAAAAAAAAGTTCAAAGAGGCCGGGTGCAGTGGCTCACGCCTGTAATCCCAGCACTTTGGGAGGCCGAGGCAGGCGGATCACTTGAAGTCAGGACTTCGAGACCAGCCTGGCCAACACGGTGAAACCTCGTTTCCACTAAAAATACAAAAATTAGCTGGATATGATGGTGCGTACCTGTAATCCCAGCTACACTGAGGCATGAGAATCACTTAAACCTGGGAGGCAGAGGTTGCAGTGAGCTGAGATTGCACCACTGCACTCTAATGTGGGCAACAAAGCAAGACTCTGTCTCAAATTAAAAAAAAAAAAAGTTTAAAGAAAAATAAGTTATTTCTCCATGCTTCAGGAGATATGTTTCGCAGGAGAAAGAGGCTTAATAGAGAAAACAGATCCCTACAAACATTTGTGGTTTTTAAAACTGCCCCATTGGTTACTAAGTGGATAACATGAGCGTGATGCCAGATTCAGTACTCTAGTGAGCCATGCAGCTTTGCTGTGCTCTGCACCTGATGAGTGTGGCCTCACTTCTTATAAATGCCTGTCATTGCTAACAGGGGTCCTTGCTGAAACAACAGGGCTGGACTAATGCTCTAGTTCCCTTCCTGGAAAACCTATCCCAAAGCTGAGATCCTCATGATGCCTTCTCTCATATATGAATGATTGCAGGTTACGCTATCATCATTAAATCGAAACATTTTAGACCACTTTGCGTTTGTTTGTTTGTTTGTCTCATTATGTCCAGTTTTATCCTGTTTCATAATTTAATAAATTTTTATTGGGTCTGTCTTCTGGTTAAATGTTGTGTGTATAAAAAATAAAGTCAAGAGAGAGAACAGGAGTTATGGAACTAATGACAAATCCATCCTTCAGCTAAATAAAATTATACTATGGATGATTTGAGCTGTACGTTGAGTGATAATTTTTAAAAATAAGATAGATCGGGTGCGGTGGCTCATGCCTAAAATCCCAGCACTTTGAGAGGCCGAGGCGGATGGATCACGAGGTCAGGAGTTCGAGACCATCCTGGCTAACATGGTGAAACCCCATCTCTACTTAAAAAAAAAAAAATACAAAAAATTAGCCAGGCGTGGTGGTGGGTGCCTGTAGTCCCAGCTACTCGGGAGGCTGAGGCAGGAGAATGGCGTGAACCCGGGAGGTGAAGCTCGCAGTGAGCCAAGATTGCACCACTGCACTCCAGCCTGGGCAACAGAGCCAGACTCTGTCTCAAAAAAAAAAAGAAAAAAAAAAAGGGCCAAGCATGCTGGCTCACACCTGTAATCCCAGCACTTTGAGAGGCCGAGGTGGGTGGATCACCTGAGGTCAGGAATTCGAGACCAGCCTGGCCAACATAGTGAAACCCTGTCTCTACTAAAAATACAAAAAATTAGCTGGACGTGGTGACAGGCACCTGTAATCACAGCTACTACGGAGGCTGAGGCAGGAGAATTGCTTGAACCCAGGAGGCAGAGGTTGCAGTGAGCCGAGATTGTGCCATTGCACTCCAGCCTGGGCAACAAGAACGAAACTCTGTCTCAAATAAAATGAAATAAAATAATAATAAAAAATAAGATAAAGTATCACAAGTAAGATGTAGTTGAAACTTCATGCATTTTTCTATGATGCCTATGATATTCAAAAGATAACTGAATTTCATGAGCAGAGTTCAAGAACTTCTGAGTATACTTTTCATTGATGACTTAATGTAATGGATTTCTATGATGATGGCACTATATTCTTTTGGTGTTTATGGTATTAATAAAAAATTGTGGTAAAGCTTGTGGAAATGAACATGCCTTGGATTAGGGTGCCTTAAATGTGCCTTTGTAAATGCAGCTAGGAGACTCCAAGTCACCCTTCTAGTCTAACTGCTACTCCTTTCTTTTACAAACTACATGCCAACTAAACTGACCTTGATCTGTTTATGAAAAGGCGGTATAGGAACAGGGGCTCTGCAATTGGACAGATCCAATTCTAATCAATCCACTCCATTGATAGATATATAACCTTGAGTCCTTCCTGTGCCTCAGTTTCCTCATCTGTAAAATGGAATTAAAAACCAACTTCGTGAGGCTTTTGGAGAATGAAAATGACATAACTCAAAGATTATTGGGTATCAGAAACAATAATGTTATCTATCACTGTCTTTACTGTTATTATTATTATTGTCATTATTATTATTTTCTCTACCTGGAACACCAATTCCACAAACTCTTAATGTCAAGACCATGCTGTATCATGGAGCCTTCCCTGATTCCTCCATATGAAAATAATTAATTCTCATATTAATAATATTACTTTTCTAGTTGTATTTTCTTTTTTTAGCTTTTATTTTAGGTTTGACGGTACATGTGAAGGTTTGTTACATAGGTAAACACATGTCATGGAGGTTTGTTGTACACATTATTTTATCACCCAGATATTAAGCCCAGTACTCAATAGTTATCTTTTCTGCCTACTCGTATTTTCATTATCCCCAAGTATACTATACATATCTTAAAATTAGGATCCATGTTGAAAAAACATTGATATTTCCTATGGCTTCTAACACAGTACATTGCACTTAGATATTCAGCAACTCTGTATTGAATGTATGGGTACAATCTGCTCTTAGTTTCTAATTTGGTATTAATATGTTCAAGCCTCAAGAGCTCATGTAAATGATGGTTTGACTATATTGCCCATCTTTTGTTAAGTTGAAAAGCTGAAATTCATGCACTGTTTGTTAGTGTAGTAATTTGTGACAACGTCTAGCTATTAAGTCTTTTCTAGGTATAAAACCTTTATATCTGTCATTGTTCCCCTCTTGTGTTTTTGCTTTAATATCGTTGAAAGCATCTATTATTGGAACTTTCACTTCTGAATAGTACTTTTGAGAACCTGTATAGAATTTCAGAGGCCTTAGAAAATTGTCATAGATTGCTTTTAGTATATGGTTTACCACTGTGGTCTCTTAACTTTTCAAAAAGTATTTCCAAAGGGCACTTACATCCATAAGTGGAAATTGATTTACATCTATTATTGCTGATTGTTCACTATTCTGAACTTCGGCTAAACAGGTGATTTAGGCAGAATTTTTTTAAATATTAGATTTTTTCCTACTTTCTAAATATTTTGTAGCTCTTTCTTATTAATTTGAGTCAACTTATGCTCGCTTTTTTTTGTCAATTATAGATGGTTGTCAGGGGTTTGGCAAATGTCATATGAAGGTAATTCTTTAAAAGTTGGGATTTTTGAACTGTTTATTTCTACTACTTTTGATTTTGCTGGAAATTATCATTCTATTAAAGGGACAAAAGGGTGCTCAGAAATATGCATTGAAAAATTTCTTACAGATTTATCAACCATTGCCCTCAGGCACTGATATTCAGCCAGTATGTTCCAATACATCCATGTCTTTCCATTTTAAACCTTTTAATTCTGTTCTAATTTTTCATTGCCTGTGCCTGATTGTTCTGTATCCATCTGATACGAATGGTTAAGTACAACATTTTAAATATCACTCTTGCCTATACATATTATTTTTCTTGTCAGATGATATAATTGTAGTCATTACATGTTTCTTAAGCACAACTGAAATCTTAATTTAAATCAATAAGTCTTGTTTCTGTGGCCATTGTTTCCCAGAACTCTCCGGATTTCTAAGCATGGTGGTTATTCTTCCAGGAATAGTGCCGAGAGTCTTCAGCAGCATGCATTTCTCTCTAATTGACATTATTTCACACTCTCCATTTTCCTTACTATTGAAAACTGTATTTCATTGGTATTTTGCCAAGGATCCTGCTCTGTTTCATAATAATGTTCTGTTCGCACTCTCTGCACTGACAAATACCTATTCCATGCATCAATTGCATAAATGGCAATTTGAAAGCATTTAACCACAGCTGGATATTTTTCATTGATTCTTTTCATCTGAAGATCATTCATTAGGCTTCTCCCTCCTGTTTCTTCTCACATCCATACCTCCTTTCCTCCTATGTACATAGTGTCTTTTGCATTTTCTGTATTTAAGTGTAAATTGCTGACTACAGTTATGCTTTTACCTCATTCCATGGTCATAATGAAATCACAAATTTAAAAATGTACTACTTTTTAAACCTGTTTTCTGACTTGTCCATCTAAATGCAATTTTATAATTCTTCGACATTCAGCCTCCTGGTGAATGATTTCTGCAATCTCTCCAAGACATCTGTGCAGTGTTATGGATTATATTGATTGCATTTTGTCCATGTTCAAATTTGCAGAATGTAACCTACAGAATATATATTGACTAATAAAGAAATGCATCCACATGGTGGATGGTTGTAAAGAGAAAATATATATTGGTGTGCAGCAGGCGCCCACACAAATGAAATCTAGAAAACAGCAGCTTGCCATGTCAGAGTTGCAAATGAAGGCTGTGGCTACAAAACACAGAAAGTCTGGAGTGTATGAAAGGTTTTTCTTCCAAATTCATTCACACATAAAAATGAAAAAATTGAAAAATCATATATGTGCACCTTAATTTTTATATCGCATTGGTGTTTGGGCATACGACCCTGAGATTTTCATACCCTCGATTTTTTTAATATAACCACCTGAGCGTTTCTTCCCATGGGGTTACTTTAGAAGATGGGGGGTGTACACACTACGTATGTATGTCAATAAAGAAATGAAGGAATAAAGGAGGAAAGAAGTGAAGAAGGCTGGGGGTAGGAAGGGAGGGAGAAATTCAGTGATTCATTACTTATTCATCATCCTAAACTGGCATATAAAATAATATGTTTAAATCAGTCTAAAATTTTCATTGTATAATCTCTGAAATAACTAGTCCCCACTCCCTAAACTGTTTGGTGTAAATATTTATCTATGTCTAATCATTTCTATGCAAAATAGCCTTATATATATTTTCATTTTCATAAGATCATCTAAGAATCAAAGGAAAAGCTATTTTAGGCAATGAACATAGGCAGTGATTTCAAAATAGAATTTGAGAAATGCAAGGATAGATGGAATCACAAAAGATGATCTCATTCATGGTGTTTTAAACCCTACAAATAGATTTCTGTTTAGTTGACCTCATTTCAATAGCTTCTCATTTTTTTCAGAAGTGTATTTGATGTGTATATTTCTAATAAACTTATTTTTCTTTTTGTACCCAGTATTAAGGAGCACAGCATTTATATCCACTGAACAAAGGATAACTGAAAGGAAACTCCTTGATATCCAACTTGGAGTATTTGTTTCTCGAATGAATATGAGTTTATATAAGTAGTTTTTTTCACATACATAAAATTAGAATTTGTTTGTATTATTGATATTATTTCAGAACAGCGGATTTAACGTCATAGATGATCTAGATGTGTCCTTTCCTTAGAAATCTTTAAAATGAATCACATAGTCTAGAAACAGATCCAGATACTACATGCTCTCATCAGAAAGGACTTTCTTCTCTTCGTGTCAAGTTCAGTGTTGGCACCGTATAGACAAAGCGTGTTAAAATAGCAGGGTTCTTGTTCTCTGACACATTACAAGAGAGGCAAGATTATAAAACTGCTATGTGTCTCATTATAATTCCCATTAGTTTCATTTGCTTCAAAACATTCACTTCTGTGCTTTTTGCAAAAGCTTTCAAACTTATTTTTTGATGATTCTAAAAGTAATTCTTCTATGTCTTTTCCTAGTGATACTAGCATTAGTTTTCTTTTCCAATTGTACTAGGAGGCATGAGAGATTATCGATGCCCTATTTTCTTGTCTAAATAGGCAACCCAAATAATCATAGTGACCTGTTCATTTATATTATCTTTATTTCTTGCCTCATACTTCTTCATATTTCTTCATTTCCCATGTTTCCTTATTCTTTGGAGCCAGAAACGATCACGTTAATCACTCTTTCCATTAGTTTTCTCCTATACATTTTCTGATCTTTCTCTGAGCCAGTTAAGAGTCATTCAGCCATTTGATAATGGACACTAGTTTACTTTGACCTTGCAAACACAAATACCCTGTTTGATCTTTATTTGCTGAGAGCAGTAAGACAGAAGAATTACAATAAACTTTTTAGCACCCTTCTGTTCAATTCTTTTTCAGAAATCGTTCCCTCAAAAAGCCTATTCTAGGCTCTTTCTTTTGGCAGTTTCCTAGAATTTTCCTTTGCTTTTCACCAACTGGAACATTATCACTAGAAGTAAACTAAGGGACCATCTAATTCAACACCCTCGTTTTGTACTTTAGGATACTGAAGCCAAGAGAAGCTAATTTTTTTGCCTGCCATAACACAACTAGTTAGTGAAGCAGCCAAAACTATAAGGGATCTTGCCACCATAAGCTTTATCGGCCCATCCGTTTATCTCCTCAAAGCAGCCCTATACCTGATTTCCTTATTTCTGTTCTCTAAGTAAGCCAAGCTCAGACCTTAGAGTGACCTTCCCCTAATCCACCCTGCCTGACATCCAATAAACTGACAAATCCAGTTGATTATGAAGCTACAGTGTTTTTCAAACCATACCATAATTGTCTAGGCTGTTGCCATGCTCTACACACCAGTTTTCTTATTCCAGTCCCTCCCTGCCCCAGTCCCAGTTCACTCTACTCAGCCTCTCTACTGCAATGGATAAAATCACAGTTTCCAGATTCACAAAGCTCACAGCTCTGCCACTTTCTAGCCTTGTATTTGTGTTTCAGTTGCTGCTGAAACTCTCTAAGCCTATTTTCCATCTATAAAATGGAAACCAACCCAGAGGCTCGTTGTATTACAGAGATATTGCATGAAAAGCATTTAGCGCAGTGTCTGGCCCATAAGAAGTCCTCAGTAAATAGTAGTCTTGGGGAAGCAGTAGGGTGTTGTAGTAAGAGAGCAGAGCAGGGGACAGCAAACTACAGGTCTCAGTACAAATTCAACATGGGGCCTGGGTTTTTTTTAATAGCAGGGGAGCTAAAAACAGTTTACTTGTTTTAATAAGTTGTACGAAACCCAAAGAAGAATATGTAACGGAGATTTATGTGTTCCTCAAAGCCAGAAATATTTACTTTCTGGCCCTTTACAGAGAACTTTCATTAATTCCTGTTGACAGCTGTCAGGGTATGAATCCTCTCTACCACTTAGAAACTGTGTAACCTTGGGCAAATGTTTTAACCTCTCCAAGGTTTGGTTTCCCTGACTGTGAATAGTACCTATGTTACAGGGTTGTTATGAGAATTAAATGAGATCATTTATATCAGGTGCTTAGCTCACTAGCTGAAATAGGATTTAATAAATGTTAGCTGACATGGTTACGTCTACTCATTGTTGCAGATAAATAGCCTCTAAGTGCAGCTTTAATAGTGATTGTTTCTTAAAATTTTTGAACAAAGTTTTTCTATTTCTTATCCAATTAAATAAATATTCCACATTCTGGCATTCAATATTTCTAACGACATCAAGCAACTCTAAAATCATTGAATGTTTTAAAGCAACAGGAAACCTTAGAAATAACTCATCTAAACTCATATCATAGATATGGAAACTAAGGGCCAATAAAACCAAGGCTTCTAGGACCTGAAATCAGATCCTCTCTTTTTAGGTAGTGTGATCTTCATCGTGCTTCTGCCATGCAATCTCAGAATTTAAAGGGATTTAAGAATCATTCATTTTCTTCCTAAGGCAGGATTCGACCCTATAAAATCCCTGTCAGTTTGGTCATTCAAACCCAGTTTGAGTACAGTCATTGATGATAAATCACCCTTTTCCCAGGGAGCAGTTCTGGTTGTTTCAAAGTCTTTATAATAAATGAAAATTGGCTTTCCTGAAATCTCTATATATTGATCTATTCCTGCCCACTGGAGCCAAAGAGAAACGTCACTTCTCTACATCTGTAAAATACTCGTTGTCAATTTTCGTATCTTCTCTAAGCATCCTCGTTTCAAGCTGATGTGAACTAGTTGGGTTTTTGATTGTTTTCATTGTCCTGCTAAGTCGAAAAGCTAAGAAAAGCTTGGCTCTTTCATCACTGTTATATATCCCACTGTGTAACAGAACTTGAGTTCAGGGTATACACTCTAAATAACTGCTTTTGTAAAAGTATTCAATTATATTGATTTTTTTCGTTCCCTCTGTTGTTCCTCATAATTACCCTCAGTCAAGACTTTCATCTTCGTCTTTATCTTCCTCTGCAAGAATTAACAGTGGTCCCTTTTGTGAACTTCAAATATCTGAGACTGGTCTCAGTTAATTTAGGAAGTTTATTTTGCCAAGGTTGAGAATATGCACCCATGAAACAGCCTCAGGAGGTTCTAACGACATGTGCCCAAGGTGTTTGGGGCACAGCTTGGTTTTATATATATTTAGGGAGACATGAGACATCAACCAATATATGTAAGATGTACATTTGTTCCATCCAGAAGGGTGGGACAACTTGAAGCAAGGAGGGGCTTCCAGGTCACAGGTAGGTGAGAGATAAATGGTTGCATTCTTTTGAGTATCTGATTCGCCTTTCCAAAGGAGGCAATCAGATAAGCATCTATCTCAGTGAGCAGAGGGATGACTTTGAATAGAATGGGAGACAGGTTTGCCCTAAGCAGTTCCCAGCTTGACTTTTCCCTTTAGTTTGGTGATTTTGAGGCCCCAAGATTTATTTTCCTTTCACACTTTCAATATAAGCTATCCAGAACTGATGATAATATTCCAGATATGGCCCAACCAATGGAAATGATTGTGTTTCCTACATACCATATCACAATCAAACCTGTTTTGCACCTTGCATTTACTTTCTTTATTAATGATGTCATTGCAATTTAGAAAATTTGGGGCCACATTTACTTCTTCCTCTCTATTATCTTCAGTTTTTATTTGGTCACTAAATTCTGTTTGCTGACTCTTATATCTAAAAATAAAAACACTCAAATCCAGCTATTCCTCTCTAACTACTCTGCCCTTCCCTCAGTCCTTTCTCAGTGACTATTAATGATTTGGCCTTCTAATGATTAGCCTCCCTGTCCCCAGACTTTTATCCATCTTTATCACTATGGCTAGTTATCTTGCTAAACAACAGATCTAATCCTAGTACCCCATTATATTAAAAAAATCTTCTATAGCTACAGCTTTCTCTCCCTCCAGGTCAGTATCCATAGCCTGTCAAGATGTGGCTTTGATAAAGGACAGAAGGCAGGGAAATTCTGGGCAGAAGAGGGCAGGTCCCCATTGAGGACCCACCCTCAAGCCAAAAAGCCTGGAACCATGGCCCAAAGTGAGAACTTACATCCCTGTTTTCCCTCTTGAAGGGTGCCTTTTCCAAAACCATCCATTACCCCCCACCCACCCCCCAACCTGTGCCTATAAAAACCCCAGAGCTCAGCTGGCAGAAGGAGGAGAAGCAGATGGATGTCAGAAACTACAGTTGGACATCAAAGAGAAGCGGCTTGACTTTAGAGGGACAGTTTGACAGCATAGCTTTGGAGAGGAGTCCAGCTGTGGATGGTCAGACTCCAGGGGAAGATTACCTTCCCACTCCATCCCCTTTTCAGCTCCCCTTCCCACTGAGAGCCACTTTCATTGGCAATAAAATCCCCCATATTTACCATCTTCAATTTGTTCATGTGACCTCATTCCTCCTGGATGCTGGACAAGAACTTGGGTGCCATGCGTGTGGGTGAAAAAGGCTGTCACACTGACCCTCCACTGAGCTGTTAACACTTAAGCCATCTGTGAATGGCAAAGCTAAAAGGGCGCTGTAACACTTCCTCATGGGCACCCTCCCCTAGAGGCTGCTGCAGGGCCCGTACGGTGTTCACTCTTGCCAGCACTCAAAAATGCTGGCCCCAGCTGCTGCACCTGCTCACCTGTGCTCCCCCTTCCATGAGGGGTGGACCAGCGAGTGAGTGGAGTTTGCTCCCCTCCAGTTCCCACCCACGAAGGGATCAGGGAAATATCCTCCTTCAGCTCCAGTGAGGCACAGTGGTATACACCTATAGTCCCAACTACTGAAGAGGCTGAGGTGGGAGGATCTCTTGAACCCAGAAGTTTGAGGCTGTAGGCACTGTGGTTGTACCTGTGAATAGCCACTGCCCTCCAGCCTTGGCAACATAGCAAGATCTCATCTCTAAAAAAGAAAAAATATATATGATGTGGCTCCAATTCACTGATCTAGCCTCTTAACTGAATTCCTTCCTCCTGGCTGGGCACAGTGGCTTATGCCTGTAATCCTAGCACTTTGAGAGGCCAAGACAGGAGAATTGCTTGAGCCCAGGAGTTCAAGACCAGCCTGGGAAACATAGTGAGACTTCATATCTACAACACATTTTTTCAAAAAGAATTTTTTCCTCCCTGCTCCCCACCCTACCCCCTTGCAACCTTATTTACTCTTCGGCCTCTGGCCCTCTCGCTATGTCTTTCTCAGCTTCATGCCTTTGAAAATACTCTTTCTATGCCTGGAAAGCCCTTATAAACCTGGAAATTCCTATTCTTATTCAACTCTGAGCCAGTCCATTTTAGTGGCTTAGTTCAGAGGCTCTAGATTTAAATTGCAATTCTGTCAGATTCTGTCTGCTTTGCCAACCTCAATCAAGTTATGTACTATGCCTCAGTTTCCTCATCAGTAGAATGAAAATAATACAGTAGTGCTTTTTTCATAGGGTTGTAGTGAGGATTAAATGAGATGAAGCGTATAATCCTCATGTACATAACACAGTACATACTATATGTGTTGCACATAGTAAGTGCTCAGTTCTTTTTCTTTGCATTATTCTTAGCACATAAGTCAAGTTACATTTGCTCTCCCTTACGCAAGGTCAATTGTTCTTTTTTATGTGTTTACCCGTTACTTTGTTCATGCATTTGTTATAACCACTGCCATCATAAAGCAACTTGCTATCTTTGTTCATAAAACAAATCCCAGATTCACTGAGCTCAAAGTGAGAGAAGGAAACTTTGCATTATGTGCAGTTCCTATGCTTTTCTCCAAATTTCACATCTCCGTTGGGGATCTCTCACTAGTTATCCTTGCCATACCCCCACACCAGCCTTACAATTTTGCATTATGTTTCCTACATCATGATTCTAAACGGTCCTCCTGTTCGCTTTCTCTCCATCCCATATCGTTGCAGATAGCTATTTCCTCTTTTTAAGACAGAAACACATTTGCATTTTGCCTAAGCTACATTTGTAAATTTTACAGTATTTTCGAAAGACACAATGGAATCTAGGAAAGATGCAACAGATAAAGAGATTAACTGGCCAATTTTTGAGAGCACCATCCGTAAAGTCCACGAACAAGTGAGGCTTCCTTGTCGGAGAAAGCAATTCAGTCACCATAAATGATCATTCAAGCCTGATCTCATTCCCTCTTGAAACTGGAAATTGAAAGCTTGTTCCTCTGACAGTTGTGTTGTCAGTGGATATGCCCAGTGTGCAAAGGACTGGACAAAGGGCAAAAGTACACATATCCCATCTGGAATTCTGAGTCATCCCTGAGACATCATTTTGGATTTGTCTACTGAGATGAAATTAAAACATGAGTAATCAAGCCCACACTTCTTCCCCCTCAAACTCATCTCTTTGGTATCATCAAGAAAATCAAATGCTAATAGCCATTGACCTCCTAATTCTAGTGCTCTTAGCTATGATAAAACAGTCATTAACTTAATCTAAATGTTGCAAATAAAGGAGCCCCATCAAAGCTGAAGCCCCAAAATTATACAAATGAGTTAACTGGGAAGGCATGGGGGAAACAACAGTTTTCATAAGACACACTCTAAATCTAGTTTATTCTCTTAGGAAGACTTTTCTCATCAATAGAGAGCCACATAAAGATGCCTTACCTGCCTTTCACGGGGACTATATCAATTGGCTGTACTGTCACTCACTCCAAAACTCTCAAAATGCCTAACACAGATTCTTGATTTTATTGATTGCATTAGATGTTACGTTTTCTAAATTTTCAGCACCCTGGAGGTCACCTCAGGAAATCATGCAGTTTTTGAATGATTTTCCTTAGAAATACACGTGTAGCTATACATATGCCCATGCGTTATTTAATCAGTTAGTGAAAGGAGGAAAACAGCATTTCTATTATTGACCTTTCTCAATCTCTGAGGAGACTGTATGTCTTGCCTACAGTCCAGGATTGAAAGCAAAAGAAAAAGGCACTGACAAAATAGCATTTTATTTTAATAGCACATTATGGAGAGACAAAAAAAAAAAAAAAAAAAAAAAAACCCTGGGATTTCCTTTGTCTAAGTAGAATTGACGTATGGGTGAGATCAGTCTCTATTTTACTCAGTACAAGTGCACACATATTTATGTACACACATATAATTGTCATCTTTGGGCCGGGCGCGGTGGCTCACGCCTGTAATCCCAGCACTTTGGGAGGCCGAGGCGGGCGGATCACGAGGTCAGGAGATGGAGACCATCCTGGCTAACACGGTGAAACCCCGTCTCTACTAAAAATACAAAAAATTAGCCGGGCGTGGTTGCGGGCGCCTGTAGTCCCAGCTACTCAGGAGGCTGAGGCAGGAGAATGGCGTGAACCCGGGAGGCGGAGCTTGCAGTGAGCCGAGATCGCGCCACTGCACTCCAGCCTGGGCCACAGAGCGAGACTCCGTCTCAAAAAAAAAAAAAAAAAATTGTCATCTTTGGAAGCTAAGGGCCCTGTATCAGAGTATCAGAATATACCTATATCCAGGATGCAATGTTCTCCAGTTTTGCATTAACATCAGCTACAAGGTTCACTGCCATCTAAGACTAATCAACAGTAATAGCTAAAGGACAAAGGTCAGTTCCTGAGAGATATGCCTAAATTCATCTGGCTATATCTTCTGTTCCTCCCAAACCCTAACCCCATAAATTCTTCATTGTTTAGAAGGATTCATATTTTTTGTTTGTTTTTCATATTCCCATTTTATTGGCTGGGGTTAGAATTGCAATGGCAGCAAAAAACACAGAAGCTATCTACAGTGGCTTAAATAAATAGAGTTTTATTTATCTCCAATATTAAGATGTCTGGAAATAAGGTGCTTTGGGCCCAACAGTATCAGGACTGGCATCTGTATATTTTTTATTGACTTTTCCTCATGCAATATAGCAGCCACCATTATTTCACAGGGTGAAAAAGAGAAGGCAAAAAGGGTGTACTATCTGAGTCTTATCATTTTTATAAAGCCAAAAATTTCCCAGAAACCTTTTTTGAAAGACTTCTACTTGTATATCATTGTGTAGAACTGTGTCACATGACAGCCACCAACAAAAAGATGGCTAGGGAGAAGTGGTTTTCAACAGGTATTGAAGTAGCTAACCGGCAGTGTCTGCCGGTCTTCAGTTATAAACACCAGCAGCTAACTCTGGCTAATTCAAGTCAGGGAAAACAAAGGGGATGGGGTAGGGGCTCTTTATTTAAAAGATACTCATAGAAATGAACGAAGTAATTTGAAAACTAGGTCTCAGAATAGGACATGAAGTATAAGAGTTCTAAAATCTCAAAAGCAGGAACACATGCATCTTCTTTTTAAGTGTTGTCTTTGAAATACTAAGCTCCAAAGTCTTTCCAACCTTGTATTATTTTCTTCCTTTGTCAGCTTCCTGAGTGGCAGAGTCTGAGTAACCTATGGGGTCTTTGAACTCTTTAGGGGAATTGAGGAAGGCAAAAAGGTACCATGATTGGCAGCTCTACTAGAGTCACAAGAAATATGGGGAAAGCGATTCCTCAAAGGAAAAACAAAAACAGAAACAACAACCAGGCAGTTAGTAGAAGGATGAAATACTGGACCCACAAAGACAACATATGTCTTCTCACCACACTTGGTCTCTCTCTCTCTCTCTCTCTCTCACCCTTCTCTCTCTCTCATAGTAATGAAACTAAAGCTGCAAAACTAAGGCCTAGCTATTCATTGTGATCCTTATGAGATCATAAAAAAAATCTGTATTTAAGTGGAGAAAAATAAATGGAATATCAACTTTAAAAAATTTTTTTTGAGACAGAGTCTCGCTCCGTGGCCCAGACTGGAGTCCAATGGCATGATCTCAGCTCACTGCAACCTCTGGCTCCCGGGTTCAAGCAATTCTCCTGCCTCAGCCTCCTGAGTAGCTGGGACTACAGGCACGTGCCACCACACCCAGCTAATTTTTGTATTTTCAGTAGAGACAGAGTTTCACCATGTTGGCCAGGCTGTTCCGAAACTCCTGACCTCAGGTGATCCACCCACCTCGACCTCCCAAAGTGCTGGGATTACAGGCACGAGCCACTGCACCCAGCTGGAATATCGATTTAATTGTAAGAGAAAAATGCACTAGTTTAAAAATGTGTCCTCTTTATCCTCAGGTTTTAAAAATATTTTTAAGGTAGTTTAGAAAAACTGAAGTGATTATTTGATAAATAAATTTCAAATGCTATCAATGGAACAAGAATGGATATTAGATATCCTGCTAACAAGGATCATATTTTTACAAGTTGTTTCTCCAAAGAGAACAGAGCTACAGCTGAGATTCTGGTGCGCATAAACCTTTCCATCAGAGCTGTAGTCACCTAACAATTCTTATATCACAATCTTCATATCTCAATCCCTTTTCCAAATAACTTCATCTTTCTTAAGTTGCATACAAATGTTATAATCTAATATTTTTGAGATGGATATCATGTGTCATAAAAAGAAAGCCATTGTAATATTACCAATACCAAGTATTAGCAAATATTGACATAGCTTTAGAATAAAAATAAACAGAGCTCAGGTTCTGGCTCTGCCATAGCTAGCTAGATTTATCTTAAGACTTCAGTTTCCTCATATACAAAATGTTGATAGTATCATCATCTTGTAAGCCTTGTTGTAAAGAGCAATTTAGCTAACAGTAACAGTGTTTAACATGCATAAAGTGAAGACTCCTTTCTGGGCTGATAAGAACGCTAGTTTATTCATTTGCTTATTTCTATATTTTTAAGCTTAGAGTCTGAAAATTTTCAGAGTCTGGGAGTCAACGTGTGGGGTGTGAATTGGAACTTCACCACTTACTAACAACTCCCTTTTGTAGTGCTTCCATTTATTTATCTGTTCAATAGGAGTAATAATAGCACTCGCTCAAAGAGTTGTCTGAGGATTAGATGAGACAATGCTTGCAAAATGCAAAGTGGAGCACCTGGTGTATAGTTGGTATTCAATAATTTCTAGTTGTTGATATGATGATGACGATGATGATGTATTCTCTTGATATGTGAATGCTCATCACACCATCCTATGGAATATTTGATTTTAAGAAAAAGTTGGGTTTGTTTTTTTTTTTTGTTTTTTTTTTTTTTTGAGATGGAGTCTCACTCTGTCGCCCAGGCCAGAGTGCAGTGGCGCAATCTCGGCTCACTGCAACCTCTGTCTCCTGGGTTTAAGCAATTCCCCTGCCTCAGCCTCCAGAGTAGCTGGGACTACAGGCGTCCGCCACCATGCCCGGCTAATTTTTGTATTTTTAGTGGAGACCGGGTTTCACCATATTTGGCCAGGCTGGTCTCGAACTCCTGATCTTGTGATCCACCTGCCTCGGCCTCCCAAAGTGCTGGGATGACAGGCATGAGCCACCATGCCCAGCCAAGAAAAAATATTTTAAACAAGTTAAGATCATTTACTATACTGTGCCCTAAGATGAGGTGAACATGTAGATCATGAGATCTAATTGATTTTAGATGCAGTTCAGTTTTTTAAAAGAATGACCTGCTTTCCATATTAAAATTTCAAAACAATGATATGTGGAGATGATGACAGAATATGGCTGAATGAGGTACCTTGTTATCCTCAACCTTTTGGCTCAGAGACCTCTTCCTTGCTGGAAACTTTCCTAACCTTTTAATGATTTATTAACATTTTGCATGCACTCTTTATACCTTTCATTAATGACTAGTTCACTGCAAATTTTTCTTTGCTTTATTTCCTATTCTTGGTGTGACATTCATTCTCTATCTGTTTCTATGGAAGCTTTTGTGATGCCTCAGAGAGAAAGAATTCTGAGTCTTTGAAATAATGAAAACATTACTAAACCATAAAACCTAGATTTCAGGAGCCTAATAGAGGATTAGAGCTTTATTACGTACAGCCATCTTACAGTTTAGCCTTCAAGTCTCAATTGTGGAATGATCTTTTGTCCTTTCTCTCCAGTGTGCATGTGTGCATACACATATAGACACAGTTCGCGCTTCAGTCATATAAATGGGAAGCCACAAAGCTTCCTAGAGTACCCAGATGCAGAATTAGAAGACCCAATCTTGACACCAGGGTCAGGGGATCTGTGGTTTGGGGGGACTTGTGCTGGCTATATTGTTGTCACAGCAGGAACAGTTTGTGTCGGTATAGAGGCTTTAACTTCTAGTAAAGGGATATATAATGAAAATGTAAGCAACCATCGTTTATTTTTCTCACATAATAGGAATTTAAGAGAAAGATATACCCAAAATTGGTTTATTAGCTCAACAGTTTCATTCAGAATCCAATGTCTTTCCATCTTTGCATTTGCTATCCTTAGCCTTTGGCTTTGGTCTTTGGAATTGTCACGCGATGGTTATAAAATGGCTGCCACACTCCAGGAATTGCATCATGACAGTGTGAATGGAAAATAAAGGAAGAGTGGCAGTTCTTGTCATGTTTCAGAAGCAACAGCATGTCTCCCTAACATCTCTTTGGCCAGAACTAGGTCAAGTAGCTGCATCTACCTGCAAGGGAAACTAAGAAATTGACTATCAGTGCTTTTTAAACTTTTTTTTGTGTGTGTGGAAATAGATAATCACTAGAGAAAAAAGGGAGAGTGGAATGGTTGTTGATGAGGCAACCAACAGTGTCTACCACTCTATTTATAAACCTTTTCTTGATTTTTCCTACTAAATGTGTGGCCGTTTTTTTTGCTTGCTTTTTGTTTTTTGTTTTTGAGATGGAGCCTCACTCTCTCCCCCAGGCTGGAGTGCAGTGGCGTGATCTCGGCTCACTGCAACCTCCGCCTCCCAGGTTCAAGCAATTCTCCTGCCTCAGCCTCCTGAGTAGCTGGGATTACAGGTGTGTGCCACCACGCCCAGCTAATTTTTGTATTTTTAGGAGACATGGGGTTTCACCATGTTGATCATGCTGGTCTCGAACTCCAGACCTCGTGATCCGCCCATCTCAGCCTCCCAAAGTGCTGGGATTACAGGTGTGAGTCACCGCACCCAGCCAATGTGTAGCCTTTTAGTTCAAGGACCTTTCATTATAAATCTTCATAGTCCAAACACCCGGCATATTGTCTGGCACAAAATAGGAAGAAATATTTTTGGACGTGCCAAGGAATTTGCAAGACAGTGAGACAAATAGCCAGTAAAAATGTTAGCATTAATATATTATTAAAAATAGTGAGAAATGCTCCAGGCGCAGTGGCTCATGCCTGTAATCCCAGCACTTTGGGACCCCGAGGCGGGCGGATCACTTGAGGTCAGGAGTTCAAGACCAGCCTGACCAACATGGTGAAACCCTGTCTGTACTTCCAGCTACTTAAGAGGCTGAGGCCGGAGAATTGCTGGAACCCAAGAGGCGGAGGTTGCAGTGAGCCGAGATCACGTCACTGTGCTCCAGCCTGGGTGATAGGGCAAGACTCTGTCTCAAAAAAATAAAAATAAAATAAAAAGAAAAATAGTGAGAAATGTTATGAAGACAAAGAATAGGCTACTTTGGAAGAATAATAGTGGGAACTTCTTCATAGTCTAGGAAGGCCTCTCTGAAAAGGATATATTTAAGCTAAAATCTGAAGGTTAGGTCAGTCATATGAACAGGGAGGGGAATGGAATAATATTTTCAAGACAATGACCTAAAAGGAGGCAAGTATGGCTAGGAGCTAATGACTGAGGGGGTGAGTGGTACAGGACAAGGCTGGAGAGTTTATTTTATGGGTAAGCAGAGAAATAATATAATCTGACGTACCTGTGAAAGTACACCTGAGCTGATGTACCTGCAAAACATCATACAATCTGATGGACCTGCTGTATAAATGAGAGATTGAATGTGGCAAGAGTAGAAGCAAAGAGGCCAGGTAAGAGGCATTTGCAGTTGTCTTGATGAAAGAAAATGACTACTGGGAGTAAGATGGCGGCAATGGAAATAGAGAGAAATGAACAGATTTGAGATGTATTTTCGAGACAAAATCTGTATGACTTGGTGATGGATTAGATGTCAGGCATGAGGGATTGAGGATGACTCCCAAGTTTTTTTTGTTTGATCAACTTGTTGTACTGTTTGCTGAGGTGATAAAGATGGAGGAGGAAGCAGATTTGGAAAAGATCAACAGTTCAGTTTTAGACATGTTCAGTTTGAAATGTGTGTGATATGTCCAAGTGCAGAAGTCAAATTCAATTATAGCTCAAAGGAGAGACCCGAGCTAGAAGCGTAAATGAGAAAAATATTGATACAAAATGGAATTTAGAGCATCCAGAATGGAAATCACTTAGCATGTAAAGAGGGAAGGGAAGATGGCCTAGGACCAAACCTTGATAAACTTCAAGAAAAAGAAGTCAAGCAGAGGTAGGAGAAGAGAAGTCAGTCAAAAATCAAAAGAATATGACATCTCAGAATTCAAGGATGTGAATAAATGTGTAAGTGATGGATGGCTTTCGGTCTGGGCTTTTTGTTTTTTTTTTCCATTTTAAGTTCCAACTTTGCTACAATCCGGCTACGAATCCCACACCCTCCCAAATTATCTGAGGATGTTAATTGATACTTGATCAGAAAGCAGTGATTTTTAAAATCATATACTTCTAAATTATCTGAGATATGAAGCAATGAGATAGGGAAGTGGCTGAAATATGTTTCTCTGGCTCAGCTGTCATGAGGGCTTGCTCTAGAATGGCACTCAAGCACATGTTTATCCACTGAGCTCTATATCATTTATTCCATTAGCTGAAGAAGGAATCTCTCACACTCTAACTTCAGTTCTGTTGGACATGGGAATAAAAGTTAGATGTATACAGACTAAACTAAACAGATGGTAGAAAAACAAAGGATTCTTAAAGTATATTGGAGAAATGCATTTCTATGGTCAATTTTCTTGAATATCCTAAGATCAGGTTTCATGTATATAATTCTTTACATTTCACAAAGCACCTTTAGATGTGTCTATTCCATTTAACCCTCATCCTAACTGTGTGAAGTAGGGCACAGAAGTGTAGAAATGATTTTTTAAAACTCACTAAGCTAATCAATGGATAATCTGTGATTATAATAGAATCTGAGTTTCGGCATCTTTATCTTATTCCTTACTGCACTATATCTGGAATGGTAAATATTGTTCATCTCACAAGCAAGCTCTTATTGACTGATATCAGCTGCCTAGAGTGGTTTATTGTAAAAGAGCATAAAGCAAATTGGGGAAGACTACAATACAGTGCCATAGGCTGATTAGTAATTTCTACCATTGGTATTAAATGAGAAAATAATGGTACAAGTGCTTTACATTTGTCTGCCATTCCTAAACTAAGGCACCTCCTGTTATTTATAAGGAAGAATATTCTGAGAAGTTTAAAAGTCTCTTGTTAAATCATTTGATGACGTTGGATAAAATGGCTTAAAATAAGAATATGCCTGTTGCACAAATAATCTACACTCCCCCAAGATAATGAATAAGTCAGCTGGAGCATCTCAAGTTTCAATATGTAGAGGATCAAAATGAAATAGTCATAAAACCCCTTGCAGACATTTCTTGGGCAGGCAAACTAATTTCCTAGTAAAAGAAGTTGGAAGTTGGACAAATTGTATATGGGAACTTTCTATACTACTTTTGCAAATTTTCTGTAAGTTTAACTTTTCCTAATAGGATGCTGAGATTCAGCTCTTCCAATGGTCTCAAATGTTTTTTGGTTTTGTTTTGTTTTGTTTTTTGAGACGGAGTCTCACTCTGTCACCCAGGCTGGAGTGCAGTGGCGTGATCTTGGCTCACTGCAACCTCCACCTCACGGGTTCAAGCAATTCTCCTGCCTCAGCCTCCCAAGCAGCTGGGATTACAAGTGCCTGCCACCATGCCTGGCTAATTTTTGTATTTTTAGTAGAGACGGGATTTTGCCATGTTGGTCAGGCTGGTCTCAAACTCCTGACCTCAGGTGATCCGCCCACCTTGGCCTCCTAAAGTGCTGGGATTACAGGCATGAGCCACCGCTCCTGGCCTCATTTAACCATTTTGACTTTCACTTTTTCTGTCTTCAAAATGAGGTATTGAGCTAGGTAAACTTAATGTCTTTTTTCGCTTTAATTATCTAATAATTCTGTGATTCTCAACTTGGTGTGTTAAACCAGATTACACCTAAGAAACCCTGAAGACTTTTTAGCTAGGAGTTTAAATATTCACTTAGTCATTCAATTAATATCTATTGTGGGTCTGTTATATGCCAGGCGCCATTTTAGGTATTGATAATAAAGCAGCAAACAAGACAAAACCCCTGCCCTCAGGAGAGCTTACATTCTTGTAAAGAAGACAGATGATAGGCCGGGCGTGGTGGCTCACTCCTGTAATCTCAGCACTTTGGGAGGCCAAGGCGGGTGGATCACGAGGTCAGGAGATCGAGACCGTCCTGGCTAACATGGTGAAACTCCGTCTCTACTAAAAATACAAAAAAAAAATTAGCCGGGCTTGGTGGTGGGCACCTGTAGTCCCAGCTACTCGGGAGGCTGAGGCAGGAGAATGGCATGAACCTGGGAGCTGGAGATTGCAGTGAGCCGAGATCGTGCCACTGCACTCCAGCCTGGGTGACTGAGCAAGATTCCATCTCAAAAAAAAAAAAAACCGAAAAACAAAGAAGAAAGATGATAAACAAGTACACAATTATCATATAACAATTTTAAATAGTGACAGCATGTTGAAATAAATAAAGCAAGGAAGACGCTAGAGAGTTGTTCATGGAAGGAATTGTCATTTTATATAAGGTGATCAGGGAAGGTTCCACTGAGGAGGTGACATTTGAGGAAAGACCTGAAAGAAGTGGGGAGGGAGACCCGAAAGTTCATGAGGAATTGTGTCCCAAACAGGGCAACACATAAAAAGTCCTTGAGGCAAGACTAAGCTGATTATATAACATTTAAAAGAATTAGGCCAGGTGTGGTGGCTCACACCTGTAATCCCAGCACTTTTGGAGGCCAAGGCGGGTGGATCACCTGAGGTCAGGAGTTCAAGACCAGCCTGGCCAACATGGCAAAACCGCGTCTCTACTAAAAATACAAAACTTAGCCAGGCATAGTGGTGCATGCCCATAGTCCCGGCTACTTGGGAGGCTGAGGCAGGAGAGTCACATGAACCCAGGAGGCAGAGGATGCAGTGAGCCAAGATTGCACCACTGTACTCCAGCCTGGGTGACAGAGCGAGACTCTGTCTCAAACAAAAAAAAAAAGAATTAATTTACATATCATGAGATCATCTAGTCTAACACCCTTACTAGACAAGTTCAAAAAGGTTAAGACTTGGCCAAGATGACACAGCTATTTAATGTGATATCTGGGTTAGAATTCACCTCATCTGAATTCCTCTCAAATTGTGCTCTTTGAGGTCAATGTGCCTTTTAAAAAATGACAGAAAGCATGGCTGTAGATTTCAGATCATACCAAATTTGATGGAACAATGACCATTTTTAGCTTCCTATAGAGTCTAAGACTTGAACTTGCCAAGGGAGTCACAGCTGGATTTGTAAGCATCAAATCCACAAATGTACTTAATGTCAACCAAGGATTTTGTGTCACCTGTAATGCTCCCCCAGGAAGCCCCCAAGTCCACTAGTCCTAATCACTGTGTTTGGCTTCATAACCTGTTGGCCCAAACATTACGCAAAAAAGAGCAATATTCCCAAGGTGGTCATGTTAGTTGTGGTGAGATGTCAACCATAAGTAGATCTGACCGAGGAAATGCCTTAAGGAAGCAGCTCAGGAACACCTGAGTATATGTGTCTAGAATGAAGCCTATTAAAAAAACTACTGCAGAGCTAAAGACAGCTGAAAGCCATTATGACAGTCACAACTACTTGATAGATTGAAACCAAAGAGTTCCTTTGTGATTAGATAGATCAGGACTCTAAATCATGTTTTTACTTCATGTGTTCATTCATTCATCATACAGTCAGTGATTCAGTAAACAATATTGAGCATCCATTATGTGCCAAGCACTGTGTTAAATTCTGGAAACACAGAGATGGATTAGACCCCTGTCCCCAGGGAGCATAAAGACTAGCAGAGTTAGACCTCCCTCCCATATGAAGAAATTAAATGAGGTAAGGCATTAAAAGTGCTATGATTACATAATACAGAACCCAAAGGGGAAGGCATTTTCTGAAAAACAGAAAACTGAAAATACCAGCTTTTCAGCCTCACACAGACATAGGAAAACCAACCCCCATCAACATCATCTCTTCTTTTTTTTTTATTATTACTATAGTTTAAGTTCTAGGGTACATGTGCACAACGTGCAGGTTTGTTACATATGTATACATGTGCCATGTTGGTGTGCTGCACCCATTAACTCGTCATTTACATTAGGTATATCTCCTAATGCTATCCCTCCTCCCTCCCCTCACCCCAAAACAGTCCCTGGTGTGTGATGTTCTCCTTCCTGTGTCCATGTGTTCTCATTGTTCAATTCCCACTTATGAGTGAGAACATGCAATGTTTGGTTTTCTGTCCTTGTGATAGTTTGCTGAGAATGATGGTTTCCAGCTTCATCCATGTCCCTACAAAGGATATGAATTCATCCTTTTTTATGGCTGCATAGTATTCCATGGTGTATATGTGCCACATTTTCTTAATCCAGTCTATCATTGATGGACATTTGGGTTGGTTCCAAATCTTTGCTATTGTGAACAGTGCCGCAATAAACATACGTGTGCATGTGTCTTCATAGCAGCATGATTTATAATCCTTTGGGTATATACCCAGTAATGGGATGGCTGGGTCAAATGGTATTTCTAGTTCTAGATCCTTGAGGAATTGCCACACTGTCTTCCACAATGGTTGAACTAGTTTACAGTCCCACCAACAGTGTAAAAGTGCTATTTCTCCACATCCTCTCTGGCATCTGTTGTTTCCTGACTTTTGAATGATAGCCATTCTAACTGGTGTGAGATGGTACCTCATTGTGGTTTTGATTTGCATTTCTCTGAACATCATCTCTTAATATAAAAAGCATAATGTGCTGATTTCACATTGCATGCCTGTATCAAAACATCTCATATGCTCTATAAATATATACGCTTAATGTGTACCTACAAAAATTATAAGAATTTTTTTTAAAGCAACAATAAATATCTTCATTAGTCAACCAAATTAAATCTATTAATATATCCATGTTTGTGAACAGGATGGCCACAGAACCCTGTGGATGCTTACCACTTAAACATTTCCTGAAACAAATATGTTTCCAAAACATCTTGCCTGTCTAATCTGACAACTGCAGACATCCTAACTAGGCTCTGAAGGTGCTCTCCATAGCACTGATGTTATTGATTCAGTTGTTAACAGCGCAGGCATAAATGACTGATGATAACTCTCTAAACGTCCCTTCCTACTGCCGTTGAAATGGCTCTGGGCTTTATCCAAGCAGGGCTGCTAAATGAATAGTAGATGTACCAGCAGAGGAGAAATTGGTCCTGAGGTGAATTAACTCTCCTGAGGTAGATTTGTTTGTGCTTCCAACAACCTGTACGTTAAACCTTGTGAACCTTCATGTAGGAATTTTGAGGAGAAATGGGCAATTTTTGGAAAGCCTAATGTTTTATCAGCCGCTTTTTCTTCTCATTGAGACCTGTGTATTCTCAAGGGACTTTGGAAGTTTGCCATTTTAAGAACAGACTTGATGAGAATTATTTGAAGTCCTCCACGTTTCCATTTATCAGTTTTCCTAATACAGACATCCTACGCACATCGTTGAAAGAATGTTCTTTTTGCCTCACAGGTAGATCACAAAAGTGGGCCCATAATCATTGGGTAGAGGGTTTCTCAGCTCTGAGTTAAATTGCAGCTGGGTATTGTTTTTCTGTAATAGGATCTTCTCTGAGTGAATGGTGAAACATGCCCATTTTTGAGGTCATGAGAGCAGAGCTTTCCACATCATGGACAGAAAAGGGCAACCGGCCATGGTTTCAGTTATACAGGGAGAGGAAACAATAGGTTTTGTCTCTGCTTTGCTATTGCTTCAACAGCAGCATACTGTTGGACACTCAGACATTAGGGCACAATTTAGACTTGTTTCACAGCTGTCATTTCTTTCCTCAAAAACAACAAACCTGCATGGGGGAAATGAGTCTACATTTCAGGGTTTTTCAAGAATTGATAACATAACATGTACTTCACCATGAATTTATATTCCACAGGTCCCTGTTCTCTTCTCTGGTCATCAGAGTACAAAATCACAACCAAAAAGCAAGAATTGATATCTATGAAGCTAAAGTAGTAGTAGTAGTAGTAGTAGTAGTAGTAGTAGTAGTAGTAGTAGTAGTAGTGAAGCAGGATATTACCCTGATCCCCTCGCGGGCGGGAACTGGACTGCATAGCCGCTTCGGTGCTGGCAGGGGCAGACTCCACTGGCTCAGTCTCACTGAGTTCCACCCCTCATGGGAGAGGAAGCACAGGTGAGTGGGTACAGGAGCCAGGGTGAGTGCTTTTGGGCGCCAGCAGGAACAAAACTCTGTGTGGGCCCCATGGCAGTGTCTAGGAGGGTGCCCGCGACCCTTGAATCCCCAGAAGGAGTGTTACAGGGCCCTTTTATCTTTGCCATCTGCAGATGGCTTAAGTGTTAACAGCTCAGTGGAGGGTCAGTGTGACAGCCTTCTGTACTCGCACTTGTGGCACCTCAGATCTTGCCCATTTTCCAGGAGGAATGAGGTCACACAAACTAATTGGAGATGGTAAATGCGGGGGATTTTATTGCTGATGAAAGTGGCTCTCAGCAGGAAAAGGAGCTGAAAAGGGGACAGAGCAGGAAGGTAATCTTCACCTCGAGTCCAGCTGTCCGCAATCAGACTCCTCTCTGAAGCTATGCTGCCAGGCTGTCCCTCGGAAGTCAAGCCACTTCTCTCCAATGCACAACCATAGTTTCCAACATCCAGCTGCTTCTCCTCTGTGCCGGCTGAGCCTGGGATTTTTACAGGCACAGGATGGAGGGCAGGGTGGGCTATGGGTGGTTTTGGAAAAGGCAACATTTGAGCAGGAAAACAGGGATGTAAGTTCTCACTTTGGGCCACAGTTCCAGGCTTTTAGGCTTAAGGGTGGGGCCCTTGCCAGAGACCCGCCCTCTTCTGTCCAGAATTTCCCTGCCTCCTGTCCCTATCAGTAGTAATAGTAGTAGTAGTAGCAGCAGCAACAGAAGTAATACTAACTACTACATACCAAGCATTATCTACGTACTTCATATCTATTCACCAACCTAATTGTTACAACTTTCACTCGCGTCCGTGTGAAGAGACCACCAAACAGTCTTTGTGTGAGCAATAAAGCTTTGTAATCACCTGGGCGCAGGCGAGCTGAGTCCGAAAAGAGTCAGCGAAGGGAGATAGGGGTAGGGCCGTTCTATAAGATTTGGGTAGGTTAAGGAAAATTACAGTCAAAGGGGGGTTGTCCTCTGGTGGGCAGGAGTGGGGATCACAAGGTGCTCAGTGGGGGAGCTTTTGAGCCAGGAAGAGCCAGGAGAAGGAATTTCACAAGGTAATGTCATCAGTTAAGGCAAGGACCGGCCATTTTCACTTCTTTTGTGGTGGAATGTCATCAGTTAAGGCAGGAACAGGCCATTTAAATTTCACTTCTTTTGTGATTTTTCAGTTACTTCAGGCCATCTGGATGTATATGTGTAGGTCACAGGGGATATGATGGCTTAGCTTGGGCTCAGAGGCCTGACATTCCTGTCTTCTTATATTAATAAGAAAAATAAAACAAAATAGTGTTGAAGTGTTGGGGCGGCGAAAATTTTCGGGGTGGTGTGGAGAGATAATGGGTGATGTTTCTCAGGGCTGCTTCGAGGTGGATCAGGGGTGGCGTGGGAACCTAGAGTGGGAGGGATTAAGCTGAAGGAAGATTTTGTGGTAAGGGGTGATATTGTGGGGTTGTTAGAAGAAACATTTGTCATGTAGAATTATTGGTGATGGCCTGGATACGGTTTTGTATGAATTGAAAAACTAAACGGAATAAGAGAAGGAGAAAAACAGGTATTAAAGGACGAAGAATTGGGAGGACCTAGGACGTCTAATTAGAGAGTGCCTAAGGAGGTTCAGCATAGCCTTGCCAGCAAAGATTATTTACTTTAAGAGTTAAGAGTGGTGGTTTGGGGATAGCACCAAGAGATATCAGCTGTGATGGCTTGGAGAAACAGTGTAAACCAGCAGTGTAAACAAGAGCAGGGCATTTATGACTAGTTGAGACTGGTGAATAGGAGTATGACTAGACAGAAGATAGGAGGGATGACAAGTTTTTTGGGGTGCAGTCTAAGTTGGTCTGGTGTCTGGAATGAGACTGGGGCCTAATAAAAAGGAGCGTCCATACAGGAGCTTAAATGGGCTGTACCTTGTAGCATTCTGAGGACAGGCCTGAATTCTGAGAAGGGCAAGTGGTAAAAGTATTGTCCAGTCCTTTTTAAGTTGGTGGCTGAGCTTGGTGAGGTGTGTTTTTAAAAGACCATTAGTTCACTGAATACTAAGAGCCTGAGAAACTGCTTGGGTGATTTGACTAATAAAGTCCAGTCTGTTATAGGACCGTATAGAGGTGGGAAGGCCAAACCGAGGAATTATGTTTCCCTGTGGGAAAGGCCTCTACCTATCCAGTGAAAGTGTCTACCTAGACCAAGAGGTATTTTAGTTTCTTGACTCGGGGCATGTTTAGTAAAGCCAATTTGCCAGTCCTGGGCGGGGGCAAATCCTCGAACTTGATGTGTGGGGAAGGGAGGGGGCCTGAATAATCCCTGAGGAGTAGTAGAATAGCAGATGGAACACTGAGAAGTTATTTCTTTGAGGATAGATTTCCACGATGGAAAGGAAATGAGAAGTTCTAAGAGGCAGGCTAGTGGCTTGTACTATAGCATAGCCTGCCTTTGCTGGTGTGTGGCCATTAGGCCTGGTGGAACTGCCATCAATAAACCAAGTGTGATCAGGGTGAGGAACAGGAAAGAAGGAAATATGGGGAAATGGGGTTGAATGTCTGGTGGATCAGAGATACAGTCATGGGGGTCAGGCGTGGTATCAGGAATAATGTGGGAGGCCGGATTGAAGTCTGGGCCAGGAACAATGGTAATTGTGGGAGACTCAACAAAGAGTGAGTACAGCTGAAGGAGCCGGGGAGCAGAAAGCATATGCGTCAGGTGTGAGGAAGAAAATAGATTTTGGAAGTTATGAGAACTGTAGAGAGTGAGTTGAGCATAGTTTGTGATTTTGAGGGCCTCTAAAAGTATTAGGGTGGTGGCGGCTGCCGCACGCAGACATGAGGGCTAGGCAAAACAGTAAGGTCAAGTTGTTTGGATAAAAAGGCTACAGGACGTGATCCCAGTCCTTATGTAAGAATCCTGACTGCACAGCCCTGCACTTCAGCGGTGTGTAATGAAAAGGGTTGGGATGAGTCAGGGAGAGCTCGGGTGGGAGCAGTCTCTAAAGCTGTCTTCAAGGAATGGAAAGAGGAGTGGGGAAAGGATTTAGGATCTATGGGGTCAGCTAGGTTTCCTTTTGTGAGTTTATATAATGGTTTTGTTAGGATGGCAAAACCAGGTATCTAAAGTCGAAAGTATCTAACCATGCCTAGGAGGAAAAAACTTGTTGTTTTCTAGAAGGGATTGGGGTTTGGGAGATTAGTCAGACATGATCAGCAGGGAGAGCACGTGTGTTTTTATGAGAATTATGCCGAGATAGGTAACAGGTGAGGAAGAAATTTGGGCTTGACTGAAGTAATGGGGGCTGTCTGTGAAGCCTTGAGGCAGTACAGCCCAGGTAATTTGCTGAGCCTGATGGGTGTCAGGGTCAGTCCAAGTGAAAGTGAAGAGAGGCTGGGGTGAAGGGTGCAAAGGAATAGTGAAGAAAGCATGTTTGAGATCCAGAACAGAATAATGGGTTGTGGAGGGAGGTATTGAGGACAGGAGAGTATATGGGTTTGGCACCACAGGGTTGATAGGCAAAACAATTTGGTTGATAAGGTGCAGATCCTGAACTAACCTGTAAACCTTGTCTGCTTTTAGGACAGGTAAAATGGGGGAATTGTAAGGGGAGTTTATAGGCTTTAAAAGGCCATGCTGTAGCAGGCGAGTGATAACAGACTGTAATCCTTTTAAAGCGTGCTGTGGGATGGGATGTTGGCATTGAGCGGAGTAAGGGTGATTAGGTTTTAATGGGATGGTAAGGGGTGCATGATTGGTCGCTAAGGAGGGAGTAGAGGTGTCTTATGCTTGTGGGTTAAGGTGGGGAGATACAAGGGGAGATGTGAAGGAGGCTTTGAACTGGGGGAAAAGGCGGCAATGAGGTGTGGCTCTAGCCTAGGAATAGTCAGGGAAGCAGATCATTTAGTTAAAGTGTCTCGGCCTAATAGGGAACTGGGCAGGTGGGGATAACTAAAAAGGAGTGCTTAAAAGAGTATCGTCTAAGTTGGCACCAGAGTTTGGGAGTTTTAAGAGGTTTAGAAGCCTGGCCGTCAATACCTACAACAGTTATGGAGGTAAGGGAAACAGGCCCTTGAAAAGAAGGTAATGTGGAGTGGGTAGCCTCCGTATTGATTAAGAAGGGGACGGACTTACCCTCCACTGTGAGAGTTACCTGAAGATCGGCATCTGTGATGGTCTAGGGGGCTTCTGAGGCAATCGGGCAGCGTCAGTCTTCAGCCACTAAACCGAGAAGATCTGGGAAGGAGTCAGAGAGCCTTGGGCCAGAGTTCCAGGGGCTCTGGGAGTGGCTGCCAGGTGAGTTGAACAGTCCGATTTTCAGTGGGGTCCTCCACAGATGGGACATGGCTTAGGAGGAATCCCGGGCTGCGGGCATTCCTTGGCCCAGTGGCCAGATTTCTGGCACTTGTAGCAAGCTCCTGGGGGAGGCCATTCTGGAGGAACCCCTCGCAGCTGCAGTTCAGGCATTTGGAGTTCTTCTGTGCTGGAGATATGGCTGGGGTTTGTCTCACAGTGGAGGGAAGGAATTGCAACTCAGAAATACATTGCTACTTGGCTGCCTCTACTTTATTATTGTACACCTTGAAGGCGAGGTTAATTAAGTCTTGTGGGGTTTGAGGGCTGGAATTTAATTTTTGGAGTTTAATGTCGGGAGCAGATTGGGTAATAAAATATATATTGAGAATAAGACGGCCTTTTGACCTTTTAGGGTCTAGGGCTGTAAAGCATCTCAGGGTTGTTGCCAAACGAGCCATGAACTGGGCTTGTTTTTTTATTTGATGAAAAAGAGCCTAAACGCTATCTGATTTGGGATAAAGAAAAAGGAGCATTAACCTTGACTATGCCTTTAGCTCCAGCCACCTTTTTAAGAGGAAATTGCTGGGCAGGTGGGGGAGGGCTAGTCATGGAAGGAAACTGTAAGCCGGACCGGGTGTGAGGAGCGGAGGTGATAAAAGGATTATAGGGTGGAGGAGCAGAGGCTGAGGAATAATTGGGCCTGGCGAGGAGGGGAGAGGTCAGATGGGTCTGTAGAAAAGGAAGATTAGAAAGACTGAGCGATGCTTGGGGTTGGGACTGAGGGGACAGGTGGGAGGGAAAGAAGGAAGATTTGGAAGGAGTTGCATTGGGAACAGAGACTGGGGAGGGGCAGATGTGTAAAAGAATGCCTGGACATCAGGCACCTCAGACCGTTTGCCTATTTTATGACAAGAATTATTTAGAGCTTGTAGGATGGAAAAATTGAAAGTGCCGTTTTCTGGCTATTTGGAACTACTGTCAAGTTTGTACTGGGGTCAAGTGGCATCGCAGAAGAAAATAAGGCATTTAGGTTTTAGGTCAGGTGTGAGTTGAAGAGGTTTTAAGTTCTTGAGAGCACAGGCTAAGGGAGAAAAAGGAGGAATGGAGGGTGGAAGGTTGCCCATAGTGAAGGAGGCAAGCCCAGAGAAAAGGGAGTAGAGACACGGAGAGAAGGGGTGGGGGGTTCTTGTCCCCCAGAAAAGCGGAGAAGGGGTAGAGACATGGAGAGAAGGGTTGGGGGGTTCTTGCCCCCGAGAAAAGCGGTACTTGCCGCTAAAGGTGAAGGACCAAGGCAGGCGTCCCCGTGTGGTCAGACACCTCTGAAATGTGGGTGAATAATCAGGCAGGCATCCCCGCGTGATTAAATACCAAGGGAAGACTCTTCCGAGTCCGTGACCGGTGCCGGAGTTTTGGGTCCACGGATAAAACGCATCTCCTGTCTCTACCAGAAAAGGAAAGGAACTGAAGTTAAGAGAAGGGAGAGATTGAAGTGGGGCGCCAAGATTGAAAGGAGAAAGAGGTTGAGGGATAGTGAGAGGTTGGAGGAGAGAGTAAAAAGAGGCCGCTTACCTGATTTAAAATTGGTGTGATGTTCCTTGGGCTGGTTAGTCTGAGGACCAGAGGTCGTAGGTGGATCTTTCTCACAGAGCAAGGAGCAGGAGGACAGGGGATAGATCTCCCAAGGGAGGTCCCCTGATCCGAGTGATGGCACCAAATTTCATGCGCGTCCGTGTGAAGAGACCACCAAACAGGCTTTGTGTGAGCAATAAAACTTTTTAATCACCTGGATGCAGGCGGGCTGAGTCCAAAAAGAGTCAGCAAAGGGAGACAGGGGTGGGG
This sequence comes from Homo sapiens, assembly GCF_000001405.40. Lineage (NCBI taxonomy): Eukaryota > Metazoa > Chordata > Mammalia > Primates > Hominidae > Homo > Homo sapiens. Next base: position 31,378,049 of record NC_000023.11, on the reverse strand, counting down.
CCGTTTTATAAGATTTGGGTAGGTAAAGGAAAATTACAGTCAAATGGGGGGTGGTTTTCTGGCGGGCAGGAGTGGGAGTCACAAGGTGCTCAGTGGGGAAGCTTTTTGAGCCAGGATGAGCCAGGGAAAGGAATTTCACAAGGTAATGTCATCAGTTAAGGCAAGGACCGGCCATTTTCACTTCTTTTGTGGTGGAATGTCATCAGTTAAGGCAGGAACAGGCCATTTTCACTTCTTTTGTGATTTTTCAGTTACTTCAGGCCTTCTGGATGTATACGTGCAGGTCACAGGGGATATGATGGCTTAGCTTGGGCTCAGAGGCCTGACAACAACGATCTTGTAGATAGGTACTGTTGTAATTCCCAGTTTACAAATAAGAAGACTAAGGTATAGAGAGATTGAGTAATTTGCCCAAAGCCCACAGCTAGTAAGAAGCCAAGATTCAAACCCAGGTAATATGGCTGCAGACCTGGTAATCCTAACCATTACATTAGGCTGACTCTCGATAGTTAACTTATTTAAGCTAGTGTTAATCACATCTTAACAAGTTTGAGTAATAAAATCTTAGGTTGAAAGGGGCCTTCAAGATCTAGTCTAAATCCTTTCAGGAGTTCTTCCACATTTCTGCTAGAAAACACTTTGGCCTAGGCTTAAAACTTAGTGATGGGGAACTCCTCACTTTGTAAAGCAGCCTGTTCAGTTCACAAACACCCTAATAATTAGGCTGTTATCTCTTGCATTGAGCTGAAGTTGATCTTCCCATAACCTCTGCCTTTCTGTCTATATGTATGCTTTGGAAATATACACAGTAAGTGTAAACCCTCTTGGCAAAGACAGCCCTTCAAATACTTGGGAGGCATTCAATTCCCCCCGCCACCTCCCGCTCTACTCTCACTACCAAGTCTTTAGAATAGAGTACAGGTATCAAAATCAAAACAAACAGGGAGTAGAAACTTAGTGCCAGACTTTAAGTATTTTTTACTTATAAAATCTTTTTGTGTAACGAGTAGAGCAACTCCTAACTGCATATATGTACTAAGTTTGCAAATGGGGCAATTTGTTTTTCCCCATGCACTGGCATCAGAGGTGGTAAATGCTGGCCTGTCAGATTCAATGCATTTTGCTGGGTTAGAACCGCAAGGGCTTTCCAGGGGACCAAGCTCTCTCTGCTGTAATCATTAAAACCTGCAGAATCCTGTGTGACTCTGGGGAGAAGCCCAGTGCTCTTGGCCCTCATCCACCCTCACTAGGAAAGCTGCTTAAAACTAGGACAGAAGAAACAACCACTGGCTTAGGATCAGTCCTCAGACCTGCCTTGGCACTACCCCTTTTATTCCAAATTTTGCAGTGGCACCTCCAACTTCTTGGTCACGTTTTGTACCTTGTCTGTTTCCTCATATAACTTCATTCCAAATTCCAACCCATGCTCTGACATTTCCTCTCCATTCTTGCTAGACAGGAATTTCTGGATATTGGATATTGGCCCCTGCCCATACCCTGACTCTGTATATTCTTTTGTCCTGCTGACCAGTTTGAGCTTCTGAATAACAAAAACTCCCCAACCACTTTAAAGTCCTCTACTTTAGCTTGATGGGTCCCTCTCCTGTATTTTCTGACCTTGACTCTGCTCTCTGTACAAATAGTAATTACACTCACCCCCAAGCAGAGAATCTGTGTCAAAATCCATCAGGATATCTAAGCACATCATTATATCTGTCAACTTCCCCAGACTCCTGATCTCAATCCCTTATTTTCAACAACCTGGCACCGACAGAGTATAATTTCTTTTGTATCATGATGCAGTTTGATGTGCTTTTCGAAAGGTTATGGTGGTGATTTTAAAGAGATCTGTTTTGTTAGAGGAAGGAAGGAAAATAGTGCTGTTTGCTTCCATGCAGTTCCTCAGAGCCTATGCCAGGGTGATTTCAGCTCATGAGAGAATCTAAAGTCTAAAGAGATGTGTGGAGATTAGAAACATTGGTGTAAAAAATCAGATTACGGAGACGTAATATCCAGGGTGTCAGAGGAGGCAGGGAGCTTCAATCATGTTTGAAACTATAGGTCCCACCCAACAGGATGAGAAAATACAGGAGAAGCCAGAAAAGGTACCTGCTTGTGGGTAAAATCAATTAAATGGAATCAATGGTATGGTAGCCATCATTTCTTTCTTTTCAAATTGTGGTAAAAACACATAATGTAAAATTTACCATTTTAACCATTTTTTAGAGTATAGTTCAGTAATGTTAAGTATATTCATGTTGTCATGTAGTGGACTTGCAGAACTTTTTCACCTTGCAAATCTGAAACTGTACCCATTAAACCACTTCTCATTTCCTCCTTTCCCCCAGCCCCTGGCAGCCATCTTTCTACTTTCCGTCTCTATGCATTTGACTATTCTAGGAACATCATGTAAGCGGAATTATACAGTATTTGTTCCTTTTTGGACTGGCTTATTTCACGTAGCATAATGTCCTCAAGTATCACCTATTAGCTGTCATTGCTTGAACACGGTTTTCTGCCAAGCACATGATCTCGTTTTATTCCCAGCACAACTCTCAATAACAACTGTGTACCTTTTTTCCCTTTCACAGATTAGGAATAAAAGGCTCTCCAAGACTAGGCTCAGAAGCAGAAGCAGTTGGAGAGTTGCTTGCAGAAGGATTATTGTCATACTGGGAAGTGCTCTCAGGATTTACACCTCTAAGAAACTGAAAGGGGCATGACTGCGCAGAGGAAAAGCTGGTTCACCATGCAGTTGCAATTATGGCTGCAGCAGGAGCATGCAGGGAAGCTCTGGAGTAGGTTTGGCCTTTCAGAGTTGTCCCCAGTAAATCAAATGGGTGAAGACTTTAACCCATTTATGCTGGAGGTTGCAAAAATGTTTTGTGAAAAGTCAGACCTTGGCGATGACCTTGAGCAGTAGGATATAAAAAACTCCCACAAGCTTAGCGTCCCAATAATGGAACACTAGGCATAAATGAGTTAATCCCTGCATCAGCCAGTCATTGGCCCTAGGTCTCTCCCTGAGGGAGGGGATGTAGCTGTGTGAGGCAGTTCCCTGAGGGCACATTCCAATGAAGGCCCCAGCTGTGAGCCAGCAGCCAATAAGGCAGCAGGTGGCCCATGCATGCAAAGGCCCTAAAGAGGAGGTCCAGGGTGGAGCGCCACGGTGTCTACTACAGATGCTGAAAGAGTAAATACATTTTATTTATTTATTTATTTATTTTATTATACTTTAAGTTTTAGGGTACATGTGCACAATGTGCAGGTTAGTTACATGTGTATACATGTGCCATGCTGGTGTGCTGCACCCATTAACTCGTCATTTAGCATTAGGTATATCTCCTAATGCTATCCCTCCCCCCTCCCCCCACCCCACAACAGTCCCCAGAGTGTGATGTTCCCCTTCCTGTGTCCATGTGTTCTCATTGTTCAATTCCCACCTATGAGTGAGAACATGCGGTGTTTGGTCTTTTGTCCATGTGATAGTTTACTGAGAATGATGATTTCCAATTTCATCCATGTCCCTACAAAGGACATGAACTCATCATTTTTTATGGCTGCATAGTATTCCATGGTGCGTATGTGCCACATTTTCTTAATCCAGCCTATCATTGTTGGACATTTGGGTTGGTTCCAAGTCTTTGCTGTTGTGAATAGTGCCACAATAAACGTACGTGTGCATGTGTCTTTATAGCAGCATGATTTATAGTCCTTTGGGTATATACCCAGTAATGGGATGGCTGGGTCAAATGGTATTTCTAGTTCTAGATCCCTGAGGAATCGCCACACTGACTTCCACAATGGTTGAACTAGTTTACAGTCCCACCAACAGTGTAAAAGTGTTCCTATTTCTCCACATCCTCTCCAGCACCTGTTGTTTCCTGACTTTTTAATGACCGCCATTCTAACTGGTGTGAGATGGTATCTCATTGTGGTTTTGATTTGCATTTCTCTGATGGCCAGTGATGGTGAGCATTTTTTCATGTGTCTTTTGGCTGCATAAATGTCTTCTTTTGAGAAGTGTCTGTTCATGTCCTTCGCCCACTTTTTGATGGGGTTGTTTGTTTTTTTCTTGTACATTTGTTTGAGTTCATTGTAGATTCTGGATATTAGCCCTTTGTCAGATGAGCAGGTTGCGAAAATTTTTCTCCCATTTTGTAGGTTGCCTGTTCACTCTGATGGTAGTTTCTTTTGCTGTGCAGAAGCTCTTTAGTTTAATTAGATCCCATTTGTCAATTTTGGCTTTTGTTGCCATTGCTTTTGGTGTTGTAGACATGAAGTCCTTGCCCATGCCTATGTCCTGAATGGTAATGCCTAGGTTTTCTTCTAGAGTTTTTGTGGTTTTAGGTCTAACATTTAAGTCTTTAATCCATCTTGAATTAATTTTCGTATAAGGTGTAAGGAAGGGATCCAGTTTCAGCTTTCTACATATGGCTAGCCAGTTTTCCCAGCACCATTTATTAAATAGGGAATCCTTTCCCCATTGCTTGTTTTTCTCAGGTTTGTCAAAGATCAGATGGTTGTAGATATGCGGCATTATTTCTGAGGGCTCTGTTCTGTTCCATTGATCTATGTCTCTGTTTTGGTACCAGTACCATGCTGTTTTGCTTCCTGTAGCCTTGTAGTATAGTTTGAAGTCAGGTAGCGTGATGCCTCCAGCTTTGTTCTTTTGGCTTAGGATTGACTTGGCGATGCGGGCTCTTTTTTGGTTCCATATGAACTTTAAAGTAGTTTTTTCCAATTCTGTGAAGAAAGTCATTGGTAGCTTGATGGGGATGGCATTGAATCTATAAATTTCCTTGGGCAGTATGGCCATTTTCACGATATTGATTCTTCCTACCCATGAGCATGGAATGTTCTTCCATTTCTTTGTATCCTCTTTTATTTCCTTGAGCAGTGGTTTGTAGTTCTCCTTGAAGAGGTCCTTCACATCCCTTGTAAGTTGGATTCCTAGGTATTTTATTCTCTTTGAAGCAATTGTGAATGGGAGTTCACTCATGATTTGGCTCTCTGTCTGTTATTGGTGTATAAGAATGCTTGTGATTTTTGCACATTGCTTTTGTATCCTGAGACTTTGCTGAAGTTGCTTATCAGCTTAAGGAGATTTGGGGTTGAGACGATGGGGTTTTCTAGATATACAATCATGTCATCTGCAAACAGGGACAATTTGACTTCCTCTTTTCCTAATTGAATACCCTTTATTTCCTTCTCCTGCCTGATTGCCCTGGCCAGAACTTCCAACACTATGTTGAATAGGAGTGGTAAGAGAGGGCATCCCTGTCTTGTGCCAGTTTTCAGAGGGAATGCTTCCAGTTTTTGCCCATTCAGTATGATATTGGCTGTGGGTTTGTCATAGATAGCTCTTATTATTTTGAGATATGTCCCATCAATACCTAATTTATTGAGAGTTTTTAGCATGAAGGGTTGTTGAATTTTGTCAAAGGCCTTTTGTAAATACATTTTTTAAGGTCACACAAATGACATATGGGACAGAACAGTGTTTAACTTCAAAACTCATGTTCTTTCTGCTATACTGGGCCTTCTCTCCGAAAGAGGCCTAATTTGCACACTACAGTCAAGCTTAGAATCTATTCATAGTTAAAATGTGGAGTCAAAGCCCAGGAACTATGTCCTTCAATTCATCTTTCATTACTTACCTATTCCTTATCATTCCCGCTGACACCAACCATTTTTTCTGACCCTTGTCATGAGGAGTGAAGTTGTATCATTGCAGCAGCTTTCTACTTGTACTCTATGCCTAAAATCTCTCCTTCCTCCATCTGGTCAGCCAATTGCTGTCAAGTTAATCTTGCAAGAACACTACTTTTGCCAGTTTAATTTCGCAAAACTCCTGCTGTGTGCCAGGAGTGTCCCAGACATCAGGTAGTCTAAGATAAGCGATAGTCTCTGCCCCTAAGCCGTTTGCAACCTTTGGAGAGACAACGTCATTATCACCACCAGCACCCCCATTAAGCTCAGAGCTAATATATGCCAGATGAGACTCTGCCAGTCACTGTGCTAAGGACTTGACATACGTTATCTCCCTTAATTCTAACAACTACTTTCTGAGGTACCTCTGATGAGTAGTATCATTTTTAGATACAAAAGCAGAAACTTAGCGAGTTAAGTGCTTTGCCCAGTGGCTCTCAGTTGAGAAACGAGGTAGTCACACCAGGCAGTCCAACTTCAGTACCTGAGTTCTTAATCATCATGTTTACAACTTTGGCTCAACATTGTCACCAAGATCGGGTTCAAATACATCCATTATCAATATTCTTTCTGTCTCCTTGTATGTCCAAACAAACAAAACAAATGCTTCCCTCCTGATGAGGAAAGTCTCCAAATCTTGATACCTGCTGTGTCTGGACAGTTTTTCCTGCTATTTGCTGAGTGCTGGAAGGATTCCCTCAATCCAGATGTGATTGCAGATCCAGCTCAAGCTCAGCGTCCTCCAGGGAACCTTTGAACTAACCACCCAGAAACGAGCCTTTCACCGGACACTACTCATTTTCACATATCTAGATCTTATTTCCCCATCTGAACTGTAAGTGTCTTAAGAGCTGATTTTGTTGTTTTTTAATAAAAAATAATTCTTAGTTTTTTTTCTTATTACCAAAAAATTATTCGCCATTGAAGCCTTCTGAATTTTTAATAAGAAAACTATTGGTATATTGCTTCAAAAAGAAATCTAAGCTTCTAGATTCTTGAAAAGGGATAGTGACAGAACCTTAGAATTAATATTCAATATAACTAATCTGATGAAAATTCAGTCATTGATACATTACTGAGAACTACTAGATCTCAGCATTTTTAATTGTAGATTCACATGGAGTTGTAAGAAATTATACACGGACTCCACATACCTTTTTACCGAGTTTCCTCTAATGGTACACCTGCAAAACTCTAGTTCAATGTCACAACCAGGATTTTGACGTCAATATTGTCAGTATACAGAACATTTTCATCACTACAAAGATCCCTCCTATTGGCCTTTTATAGCCACACCCACTTCCCTGCCCCCCCTACCTCCTACTTCCAGCAACTACTAGTCTGTTTTCCATTTCTTTAATTTTGTTATTTCAATAATGTTATATGAATGGAACCATACAGTATGTAATATTTTGGGATGGACTTGACTCACTCAACATAATTCCCTAGAGATTTCTCTTTTTATATGCAGCAAGACTTGTTTCCTTTTTATCGTGAGTTGTATGCTATGGTTTGGATATACCCTAGTTTATTTAATCACTCACCCCTTGAAGACATCTGAGTTATCTGTAGTTTTGGACTATTGTGAATAAAGCTACCAACATTAATGTACAGGTTTTTGTGTGAACATAAGTTTTTATTTCCCTGAGATAAATGCTGAAGAGTGCAATTGTTAGGTCATATGGTAGTTGAATGTTTAGTTTTAAAACTGCCAAACTTTTCCGAAGCGTCTGTACTATTTTATATTCCACCAGCAATGTATGAGTGATCCAGTTTCTCTGCATCTTCACCAACATTTGGTGTTGTCATTATTTTTTATTTTTAGCCATTCTGATATGTGTGTAGGAATATCTCATTGTGCTTTTAATTTACGTTTCCCTCGTGGCAAATGCTGTTGAACAACTTTTCCTGTACTTGTTTGCCATATGTATATCCTCCTCATTGAAATGTCTGTTCATGTCTTTTGTCTATTTTCTAATTCAAAAGTTTTTTTATAGTTCGGTTTTGAGAGTTCTTTCTGTATCAGATACTAGTCCTTTCTTGTGTATAGGGTTTTCAAATGTTTTCTCTCTCATCTTTTCATCTTCTTAACAGGGGATGAAAAAGAATTTTAATTTTGGCGAGGTTGAATTTATCGCTTTTTCCTTTTATGGATCATGCTTTTGTGTTGAGTCTAAGAATACTTTGCCTAGCCCTGGATCCCAAAGATTTTCTCCTGTTCTTTTTTTTTTTTTTTTTTGAGACGGAGCCTCGCTCTGTCGCCCAGCTTGGAGTGCAGTGGCCCGATCTTGGCTCACTGCAAGTTCCGCCTCCCGGGTTCACGCCATTCTCCTGCCTCAGCCTCCCGAGTAGCTGGGACTACAGGCCTCCACCACCACACCCAGCTAATTTTTTGTATTTTTAGTAGAGACGGGGTTTCACCATTTTGGCTCTCCTGTTTTATATGTCTTATAGTTTTACATTTTATGTTTAAGTCTGTGATCCATTTGATTTTTATATAAAGTATGAGGTTTAAGTTGAGGTTTATTTTTTGCATATGGATGTTCAATTGCTCTAGCATAATTATTTGAAATGGCTGGCTTGATTATTGAAGTAAGGTCAGACTTATTTCTCTCCTGGGCTTCAGACCCAGCCACCTTCTATGTTTCTTGTCCACCACAACCTGAATGTCCCACAGACACCTCAGACTTAACATGTCCCCAGCAGCTCATTATTATCCTCCTTTTGTCCCAATCCACCCTCAACATTTTTCCCTCCCTAATTGTGCTGTTCTTATGAACGCTACGCTTCACCCAATTGCCCAAGTCAAAAATTAGGGTATTATTTCTGAATCTACTTTTATCTTTAAATCTAACATGATGCATTGCCAAATTCTGTCAGCTCTATCCCCAAGCCATCTCTTAATTCATTCCCTTATTTACACCTCCCTTGACTCCAATATCTTTTGACTCAAATGCTACATAGCCTCTAATTTATCTCCCTGATATTGTTCTTGCTTCCGAATCCCTTTTCCACAATGCGCCTATAGTAATCCTCCTAAAATGCAGATCTGATTAGGTGACTCTCCTTATTTTAAAGTCTTTCTTATTGTTTTCTCCTGCCCTAAGGCAGAAGTTCCAACAAATCTTGTTATCAGATTCTGGATTAAATCCCGGCCTCAGCAGTGGGACCTAAGATAGTGCCTGAATTTCCATGAACATTTATTGATGACAAAGAGGGTCTTAAATAATGAGTGATGTAGACTTTCCACTGTCAACATCACAGATTCTGGTTTTTAATGGTATTCACATTTGCCTTCTCCAAGAGTCCAGGTTTAATGATGGTGAGACCTATCCTAAGACCTGGCTTTGTAGTGAGGGGTTACCTCATCACAGAATCAAGAAGGGACCTCGGGCCGGGCATGGTGGCTCATGCCTGTAATACCAGTACTTTGGGAGGTTGAGGTGGGCAGATCACCTGAGGTCAGGAGTTCCAGACCAGCCTGGCCAACATGGTGAAACCCTGTCTCTACTAAAAATACAAAAATTAGCTGGGCTTGGTGGCACACACCTGTAATCCCAGCTACTTGGGAGGCTGAGACAGGAGAATCTCTTGAACCCGGGAGGCAGAGGCTGCACTGAGCCGAGATTGCACCACTGCACTCCAGCCTGGGCGACAGAGCAAGACTCTGTCTCAAAAAAAAAAGGGCGGGGGGACCTGGGTGCAAGTAATTCTAAGAAGCAGGAATAAGAGAACAAGAAGAATGAAGCGACAAAGAAAGATGAGCAATTCTCTGGAACTGTTGAGAAGTGTACAGAAGAAAACAAATCTGGATATAGGTAGCTACAGCCTGAAATATGGAAAGCCAGAGCATGTGTATACCTGCTCCTGCTCCCACTGGTTGAGAATTGATTCCTTTTTCATCTGATATGGGCAAGCATTGGATCTGAGTGGGACACATCCTCTCCAGTGCACCCCTGCCTTTTCCGCTGCTCTGAACTTCACACAACGTCGGAAAGATTCAAAACAATGTAGAAAATCTAAGTATAAATACAAAAAGGAAACAAGAAGTTTTTCTATCAAAGCTGTGAACTATATGATATGAGTAAGCTCAATAAACACTGTGCAGAAGTTGGGAGGGGAAAAAGAGAATTGCTGCCAAAGCACTAACCCCTGTGGCTGGCTATGCTTGCCCACCCAGGAAGCTCCCATGTCATGGGGGTCAGGGGAACCTAGAACAGAAAGCTGAAAGGCTCAGGGATCCCTTTTGAGAAGGGATGCTGGCTATACAGCACGAGTTAGAACTTGCACAGAACCGTCCACTACTGCTGACACTGGAATCACAGGTGGGCTGACAAGATGTGATGCAAGCACCAGACATATTTGCTACAAACCTCAAAGTGGAGCAGAGCAGCGGCAGTGTCAGTCTTCTTGGTGTCAATAGAATACCTGTTTATTTGTTGAATTCTCCCTATATGAATAATAATAATACAAGAATTCAAAGCAGGATAGGCTTTGTGTCATTGGAGGAGTATGGAGAACCATCAGTGCAGTAAGTGTCGTGGGAGGTTTCTAGACAGTTTTTAAAAGTCGATATTGAGTCAACCATCAAATGTGAACAATTCTGATATGCCAGAGCATTTGTATTCTTAACTCATGGGGTTATTACAAAGATCAAATGAAATAATCATTATAAAGCACTTTGTGCAGTGCCTGGCACAAAGCACGCACTCAATACATGTTAATGTTTATACAATTATTATTATTGATTGTCAGAATTATCAGCCCCACATCAGCAAAGAATAGTAGGTGGTCTGTCAGCAGGAACATGGAAACATTCTCATTACATAGAAGTCAGTGTTGCAGGGACAGTCATTAAAACAGGATCTAATTTTAGTCTTCTGAGGGAAAATGCTAGGTTCTCCGGAAATGTTGAATCCTTCCTCGAGCATGTAGTTTAATTTTTCAAAATTATATTGCATATCCTGTAAAATGAAAATGAAATTGTACTGCTGTTCATTAAAGGCCCCCAAAAATCTTAGGCACTATACAATATAAATGAAAAAAAAGGCGTTATTTTTCCATAGGGCATAATTAGAAATAAAGAAGCAAGGTCACTCACAAATTTCCGAGCTATAAAGGAGGAAAGGAACAAGATTTTCCCCCGGTTATTTTATAGCTGCCAGGTTGAACTCATACTTATCCAATGAGCCCCAGAATGGAATACCGTTCTACACCAACTGTACTGATGATAGTGATTCAGGGAGTAAATGATAAGATTCCATCCTTCTAAAGTGCTTTTGGGATTGGATTCTAGTAAGTTTCATTTTGCTATTGGCCAATCACAAAAGAGACTACAATAGAGAAAAGTGAAGACATCATGCTGAAGACAGACTGCTGCATAGAAAAGGAAGAGGGACCCCCTAATTTAGAGATATGGATGGAGAAAAAAAGGCACTTATGCTGTAGCATAAGGGAAACATTAAATAAAGCTATAATAGAGGAGAAAATGTCTTTGAATAGAAGAAAAAAATCAGACAGACAGAAATAGACTAAAATGCTAAAAAAAAAGATACAAAAGGACATTGAAGGGGACATACAGTGATTATTACACAAATTAAATGCACACAGTTAAAAGGGAGGTGAAAAGCTTCTAAAAAGAATGAGTGTGTAGTGAACTTAATTTTATCATCTTTACTAAGACAAAGTTAAAGTCCCTAAAATATTTTAAGACACTTAAAAAAAAAAGTCTTAAAATTTTGAGAGCCTTTCAGCTCTGTCAACTCTAGACTTTCCCTCCTACTTAAGTTTTTTTTCTTTTTTTTCTTTTATCTTTTTTATTTATTTATTTTTTTTTTTATGTTTTTTTTTTTTTTTTTTTTTTTTTTGAGAGAGAGAGAGAGTGGATCAGCCTTAATAAGAGAATGGTCTTCTGCCAGGTGGTATTCTCCTAATCCCTTTCCAGTGAGATCCACAAGGGTTCAAAACCACTTTCTGGGGTCTTAGAGGCACCACTTATCTCTCTTCCTCTGCTCATATCTTTCTGCTCCAGTGCCCGCATAGTTTGTGTTATCAGTGGTGCGTAGCCTGAGACATCCACGACCTATGCCAGCTCTCGAAGTAATGTGATTGGCATCCAAAGAAACACAAGAAGCCCATGATTTCGTCCCTTTGCAATTTAAAATCATATTTAAAATGCCTTTTGGTCATACAAATTTGAAAATGATCTTGTAAATCACTTCCGGGAATCTATGGTCAAAACTCAGCTTAGAGTTCTCTACTTCTTAACAGAGTGCCTGCCGGTAACTAGTGACTGTCAATGAGTTTGAAAACATAAATTGATGTGCAAATGCTAGATAATAGCAACATCCTGTGCAACTGGGCAGCATTTCTGTTGTTTGGCTTTTTTATTTTCGTGGACTCTCCCAATCTGAGAGAAAATAGATTTGAGTTCCTTTTTAATCGGTTTAGACCCAGACAAGGATTTAATTGGTTTAGACCCCATTCACCTACGTGTGTCACTCTGTCTCCAACATAACAGAGGAGATGACCAAGACAACATGCTCTCCAGCCAGGAGGTGGGGAATACTTTGGTGTCATAGCAGACAATTATTGATGGAAAACTCATGTTAGAAAATGTAAGGTACCTTCTTCTAGACGGAGTAAAAGGGGCAGCTGCCCAGACTTTCATTTTAAATAGGGAGCCCATGATACAAATCTTTTAATACAATTTTAAAAAGAAGAGACATAGGGGGTATCTCTTAGGACCTGTCAACAACCAACCCTCTATCAAATGGCCAAATCACAGGTGGTCTGCAGCTTAGCCAAAATGTCCAAGTACCTTTTTGTAACACAGAATCTCCTTTGAAGATCCAGCTTTCATTAATGATCCCCAGCAGCTCTGGTCAATGTGTCTTTTCACAAATGAAGCTTTTTAAAAGCTTTCAGTGGACAAATGTGGCTTTGAGTTTTCAACTAAATCTTTCTGTTTAAAAGGAGTGCTGAAATGGGCATACTTTATAATCTTAAATGCTGCACACAAAATACTGAAATATTATTGACCCTGAGAGGTTGGTTCAAATCAAATAGCATACTCACGTAAACGTTCTCTTTTCCTAATATTAGCAACAGGGAATGTGAAATAGAGAGGGGCGGGATATGCTGGATAGGGGTGCACCAAAATTTTCAAAAAGCCTCGAAACTAGTGTATATTGATAACCTTGTGGCATCTAATATCTAGTATTCTTTTTTTTTTTTTTTTTTTGAGATGGGGTCTCGCTCTGTCGCCCAGGCTGGAGTGCAGTGGTGTGATCTCGGCTCACTGCAACCTCCACCTCCCGGGTTCAAGTGATTCTCCTGCCTCAGCCTCCTGAGTAGCTGGGATTACAGGCGCCCGCCACCACGCCTGGCTAATTTTTTGTATTTTTAGTACAGACGGGGTTTCACCGTTAGCCAGGATGGCCTCGATCTCCTAATCTCGTGATCTGCCCGCCTCGGCCTCCCAAAGTGCTGGGATTACATGCGTGAGCCACCGCACCCAGCCTAGTATTCTATGTCTATTATTTCTTCATAATGAGACTGGGGGAAATCTTTGGAGAATTAATGCCGCAGTTGGTAAAATCATTCTATAATAATGGGTACCATTCTGCTCTGTCCCACATTTTTATGAAGTCTCTTTAAATTTAAAAAGGCAATGTGCTTTGTGGTTCTTGAGCAACTTAAATACGTTGCTCTGAATAGTTATTGTGATGAGGTAATTTGTAACAACTTTTAGGATCAATGCTAATTTTCTTAAATGTTTCTGTAGTTTCCCCTTTATTATAAAGTATATTAGGCTGGACTCTTGGCTGTAAGTGACAGAAAACTCAACTCAGATTAGTTAAGAAACAAAAGGGTGTTGGTGACAGTGGTGGCTTTCAGACTATTGCTGCAGGCCCACCTGCCATCCTCTTAACACCCTCAACATACCCTGCAGAAAAGAGAGAGCTACTCTGACCCGAGAGCTTAAAGACTGGTCAAGTATGGGCTTGACTCTTTATGGCCCAAATTGGGTCACATGCCCACCTAGGCTAGGGGAATGGAATCGTGGAATTGATTGATTGATTATTGTTGCAGGTTGAGTCCTCCAAGAAGCAGATGCCAGGGCAGATTTATTGCAGAATAACACCTGTGAAGAAATAGGGGTGGAAGCAGAATTGAACAAGGGAAGCCATCAGATCACAATGCAGATCTTCTAGACTCTGTGTCAGCACAACAAGGAATGCCAGAGCAAAGACTGCCAATTAGAGGAATACTGAATTGGGCAGATCTGACAATAGTCTGTATATAACTCGGGACTGTTAACTTCTCCTTCCTCAACCAGTTATAGACATAGAATAGGACTCTCTTATCTCAAACATCAATATCTGTGTATATGAAGTAGAGGGTGAAAGTTTACTGTACACTAGTGGTTCTCAACCAAGAGCAAGTCTGTCCCCCAGGGGACATGGCAATTTCTGGAGACATTTTCAGTTGTCCCAACTGGTGAGGAGGTGCTACTGGCATCTAGTGGGTAGAAGTTGTGGATGCTGCTAGGCATTCTCTATAATTCGTGGGATAGATAGCACAACAAAAAATTGCCCAGGCCAAAATGTCAATAATGCTGAAGTTGAGAAACCTTGCTCTATAAAGATACATGTCTTGGCCGGGCACGGTGGCTCACGCCTGTAATCCCAGTACTTTGGGAGGCCGAGGTGGGCGGATCACGAGATCAGGAGATCAAGACCATCCTGGGCAACATGGTGAAACTCATCTCTACTAAAAATACAAAAATTAGCCAGGCGTGGTGGTGCATGCCTGTAGTCCCAGCTACTGGGGAGGCCGAGGCAGGAGAATCGCTTGAACCCGGGAAGCGGAAGTTGCAGTGAGCCGAGATGGCGCCACTGCACTCCAGCCTGGTGACAGAGCAAGACTCTGTCTCAAAAAAAAAAAAAAAAAAAAAAAAAAAGATACATGTCTTATGTGTACTGAAAGAGGCCACGGAAACCTTTTGTTGATACATTCTTGATAGTTTTTGTTCTTATATGTAGTTATGAATACTTGAGATTCCATCCAATTTATTTAACTTTTGACCAGAAAGGGTAGATTGAATTGGTGAAACATCTATATCCTGAATATTTAAAAGATTCTGTTTTTTAAAACAAATATTAACTTGAATTAACGTAAATATTCTTAGTAGTTAAAGTCCTTAAAGACCTTAGTTTGGTGAACAGATAAGAATCATCTGTGTTCAGCATATGCATTGCCTTATGAAGATGGTAAGTCAAAAGTATGAGTTTATTTCTGATATTTAAATATCCCTGAGGTATAGATTTGTTTACTCTGGAAGTTTACTCTGTTGTTTGTTTGTTTGTTTTTGTTTTTGTTTTTTGAGACGGTGTCTCACTCTGTCACCCAGGCTGGAGTGCAGTGGCACGATCTCGGCTCACTGCAAGCTCCGCCTCCGGGGTTCACGCCATTCTCCTGCCTCAACCTCCCGAGCAGCTGGGACTACAGGTGCCCGCCACCATGCCCGGCTAATTTAATTTTTTTGTGTTTTTACTAGAGACGGGGTTTCACCGTGTTAGCCAGGATGGTCTCGATCTCCTGACCTCGTGATCCACCAGCCTCGGCCTCCCGAAGTGCTGGGATTACAGGCCTGAGCCACCGCACCCGGCCTTACTCTGTTGTTTTATTTCTTCATTATATATTACAAAGTTGAATGTTAGGGCCAGGTTAGATCGGAAAACAAGTTAAGTATTCCTTATCCAAAATGCTTGGGACCAGAAGTGTTTTGGATTTTTTATTTTTGTGGATTTTGGAATATTTGCATATTCCTCATGAGATATCTTGGGATGGGACCCAAGCCTAAACATGAAATTCATTTATATTTCGTATATACCTTATACACATACCCTGAAGGAAATTTTATACAATATTTTAAATACTTTTGTGCGTGAAACACAAAAGTTTTGACTGTGACCTGTCACATGAGGTCAGGTGTGAAATTTTCCACTTGTGACGTCATGTCAGTACTCAAAAAGTTTCAAAATTTGGAGCATTTCCGATTACTTTGGAAAAGTCTAGAAAAAGTTTGATATCAGTGCACTGAAATCATTTTCAAGTAGGAACAATAGCGATACTAGCCCTTTACTCATGCAAAATTCACAGTTTTTATCTAAACAACACAAAATCATTCAATGCTTTTATATTTAATCATCTATATTCACCTAACCATAAAAAATCAATTTCAATACAGTAAGGAAAAGACAAGAAAACGAATCATTCTAATCACTGTATTTTGAAAGTTCTTTGCAAACAACCGTGAAATGGTTAAAAGATAGGAGGATGGAGACCAGCCTGGCCAACAGGGTGAAACCCCATCTCTTCTAAAAAATACAAAAATTAGCCGGGTGGGTTGGCGCATGCCTGTAATCCCGGGTACTCGGGAGGCTGAGGCAGGAGAATTGCTTGAACCTGGGAGGCAGGGGTTGCAATGAGCTGAGATCATGCCACTGCACTCCAGACTGGGCAACAGAGCAGGACGTCTCAAAAAAAAAAAAAAAAAAAAGATGGTAAGAGAATGATGACTTGTTGCTTACTAAAATAAAGGAAAGATTGACACTATAAGTGATACTGTTTGAAATCTCAGGAATCTCTGAATCATTAAGATTATATCACAAATGGCATGCAAAATACCTGTTCAAAAAATACTCCTCATGGACATGAGATGCTAAGCTGCTGATACTGAGTCTGACCTAGGACAATGATGTTCTGTGTCACCTCTTTTCTGATGCCTCCCAGATTGCTCCTGGCCTCACTGCTGTCTCACTTCCAAAAATACATATTGCCCTTATTGGTCATAACACAGAGACTATCAGTTCAAAAGTCTCTAATTCGTCTCAGCTGCAGTCATCTCCCAGCAAGACACAAGGTTCTTGAGAAAAGAAATTTTTCATGTCCCATCTTTGCCATCCACCACACGATGAACATACAGTACAGTGTACATAGCAGCCCTTGAAAATGCTGGTGGAATCATTGATTCTTGAACCCAACTGTCATACTTTCCAGATTTAAGTCCTGGTAAATGATTAAAATCGTATGGGTTACCCTCAACAAACCAGCTCAAGTATTTACTATAAAAAAGGGAAGCTAGATATGGAACTTCCCCTAAAGATGGGTCTGTCAAACTCACCCCATTGTATTCTGCTCTGACACCATGTTTTTTGTTTGTGTTATTTTTTTTTAAGAGACAGGGTCTCACTATGTTGCCCAGGCTGGTCTTGAACTCCTGGGTTCAAGTGATCCTCCCACTTCAGCCTCCCAGGTCACTGTGAGAGATTACAGGCTTGCACCACCATGCCCAGCCCCACCTTTTAATACAAATAAGTAACAGTTACCATTTACTCAGTGCTCACCTTATAACAGATGCTGTTAAACGCTTTACACGCCTTAGCTCATTTTTAGTTAAATACATTGTTTTTGCCCCAGCTATGGTAGGGATCTTGCTAACAATGAGAATGAATGATAAGAGGGGCTTTAAGGAGAATTCACTGCCACACCTTTCATAATTTTCCCATCATTCCTCCAGTCTTTGTTCAACCGTCCATGATTTACTGATTTGCTATTACATCAAACTATGCTGCAACAAACCAGTGGTTCCTTCTGATTTTTATCCATCTCCTCCTCACCTAGGGTGAGAGTCTGAGGCTTCCTTGAGTCTACTTTCTGATATTGTTACATTTAACACAGAACATCTCTTGTTTTCGTTTCTGGCAGCTTATCCTCTCTTCGCTTTCTCCATGCTTTCATTCATCCTAAAACACCATTCTGACAATGATATTTAGGTTGGTACATAAGTAATTGTGGTTTTACCATTACCTTCAATGGCAAAAACTGCGATCACATTTGCACCAACGTAATATTTTTCTTACTTAAAAAATTAATGTAGAGTATGGAAATACTTGCCATCAGGGAATGGGGAAGAAAATGGCTAGAGAGACATGGTGAAAGAGAGACTTGATTTTTAAATAACTTTTTTTGTTTTTCTTGAATTTTATTATCATGTGAATGCATTTGAAAGAAATACAATTTTAAAATAATTATTAAAAAAATATTTGAATGCCTTCCCATGAACAACTAAATGAAGTCTCTATTCTTAAACCTGACAGTCAAGTACAGCTCTGGTTTGACTCCAAGCTACATTTCTAGCCTTGTATTATTCAACTCTTTTTCTGTTTATCCTTCATATCCGGGCCTTTACTAGTGCCAAAAAAAAAAAAATTGCTCATTCTACTCTTGTCACCCAGAGTGTTTCTTCTGTTTTTGCCCATCAAAAGCTTACCCAATTGTGAAGGCCCAGTTTCAAAGCAACCTCCTTCATTAATTTCATCCAGATACTCTGTAACCCCCATAGCTGTTTAGGCTTGTTCTAGCAATTTGCAGTTATCAGAAAAATGAGTACATACCGAGTGCCAGAAAGTGGTCTCTCCAACTGTGCACATTACAACATCTCATTCTCTGTGCCTCCATTTCCTCATCTGTAAAATGGTCACTATGGTGTACTTTCCTCATAGTGATGTTCATTCTTTCAAGTAGTTAGTTAGGTACCTACTATGAGACAGGCACTGACCTGGGTCCTGGGGGTACAGTAATGAATAAAATAGATTGAGTCCTGCCCTCATCAAATTTACCTTCTGATAAGAAAGACATAAATGAAATATACCTATAATGCTCTTGAAATAGCACTTGGGATATAGTAAATGCTCTATAAATGTTTGCTATTATTACTGTCATTGTTGGTAGTGTTGTTATGTGGTATTTCTATTAACACATAAAGAAACTAAGGTTCACAGGCTGTTAGATAAGATGCTGGTTAAATAGCTAGTAAGGGACTCCAACTCAGGTCTTCCTGAGTCATAAAATTCGTGGCATTTCCACTACACTGATGGATGTATACCAGGCTGTACATCAGAACTATCTGTGGAGACTTAAAGAAAGTAAAGATTCTCAAGCCTCAGCCTCAAATTAACTAAATCAGAAATTATTTAGACGAGCTAAGAATCTGTATTTTTTTGAAAAGTTCTCAAATAGTTGTGATACACTGTCAAATTGGGGAATGACTGCACTACATTAAAATCTTTCCCATAATACTTTATTATGCTTATTTGTAAATATCAAATCTACAAATTCACTAAAGACCATCCCCTTGTTTTCTTATTTATTTTTATTTTTTCTGCTTCCTCTCCTAGCAAAGTGCCTTATAAACACTCAATAAGTATTTGAGTAATTAATGGCTTAATTATTTAAAGTTGCACTTAAAATGCAAATACTCACAGCTGTGGTACTGGAAGCCTGTTATGAACAATCATTTATCTTCCTAGGGTTATTTACTAATCAGCTAAGGACAAGCAGTTGGGAAAGAAAGGCTGACTATTTGGGAACAGAACTGAGAAGGCCCTCAAACCAAATGTTAGCCACGTTATTGAACAGCCTAGGGCCCCGCCTTAACTTTACCTACACTTCGTTGACAATTTCAGGTAAAATGCAGAAAATATACGCTAACAATCAGGAGATTCCTCCCTCACACCATTGTAGTTTCATTTCTTTTAAGCCGACACATGTCTCTCTTATGGAAAATATGGGAACAACCTGTTTTAAAGAAAGAAAAAGAATCCTTTATTCTTGTCACACCACAAACATGGAGTTCACTGCTATACGTTAAGATTATAAAGCAAAATCCCAAAAACGCAGTGACTGATTATTCACAGTAGACATATGAAGTCAGGAAGCTTATTTTTTCTCTCTTTGCTAAGGCACAAAGCCTGGGGCTATATGCATTTTTATTACACTGTACTGTGTTGATTTCACTTGAGGATTAAAAAGAGAGTTGAGGCACAGTGCACGTATCTTGATGGATTTTAGGATTTCTTGCTTTCGTGAAAGAAAGAAGCTTATAAAGTACCTCAGATTATCGCCCAGGGAAGTGTACCTACTTCCATGATGACCTAGAAATTCAATCTTTTGTTTCTCCTATAAAAGATCACATTGTACTTTGGATGTTTTCCCTGTAGTTTTCTGCACTATGTAAAGCCACATTTGGAAAAACAAAATAGTTTTAGTTTAGAGTTGAAGTGAAAATATCTGAAATAGTTCAGGAAAGTCTTATGAGCATTTGGGGAGCTTACAAACAGCCTTGGGGGTGGGGTGAGGGGGAATGAGGGAAGAGGGAGGCAGGGGGAGAGAAGAGGAGGGCTAGGTCAGAAGTGTGCAAAGAAGACAGAGGGAGAGAGACCGTAGAGACTGTGAGTCCATGGCAGAGTTTTAATTCTGGTTCTCACACATCTACACAGAGAAACAATGGAAGCACATTGCTCCATCCCCTGTCCTTTACTAAGAAGCGTGAAGTAAATAACTTGTGGCTTATGATATGCGAAGAAGAGAGAAGACAGAATGTTGTAGGATTTGGAAGTACAGTAGATGAGATCTTCCGGTTTATTGATTTGTAAAGAACGGCTTGATACTGGTTTGTCAGTTCTGCATCAGTGAGAGAAAAGAAAGGCGCTTTTCAGTCACTTGCCAGAGGAGGAGAGCCGGGAAGTGGAAACAGGGTCTTCTGGCGGACAAGCTTCCTTGAGTGGTGGTCAAATTGACTGTGAAGGGAGTCAAGGTCAGGAAGCTTTGGAAATGCTGCAAGGATGGTACGGGATTTAAGGAGGGTTGATTTCCTCGGTTAAGGGTTGTTGCAGACTTCAGCAAATTCCCCCTTCCAGCCTTTATTAAAGAAGTGTTTAGTAGAACAAACTGAAAATCTACAAGTATATTGTTACCCAAAATATAAAAGCTTCTGCCACTGAGATGAAAATGTTTGATTTCCAGTGCTTTATCTTTTTGCATTTATCTACCTGTTTCAGTCATTCGTTAATATGAATTTCCTAATATATGCCGTCTTTTTTTTTTTTTTCGGACAATACCAGTTCTATGGTATCTCACTGATGATTATTTCAAATTGCCACTTTTGTTCCTTGGAAATACTCCTGTGTTCAAATACCAGGAGGCATAATTATGTAATTACCATGTGAACATTATGCTACTTATGGGCCAAAATGCCCCTAGAAAGGAATGCTCCAATGGCCTCAGAAAATTTCTGTGAGAACGATATCTTCCAAATGTGGTATAAATAAAGCTCAAGAATAAATAGCTAAGGCTGGAATGTAAATGATTTAATGTAATGATGTTGTAAGGTGAGAGCCACTTGACTTTAGTTCCTGTTGCAAATCATGAGATACATTAGGAAAACTTTTAAAAGGGAACCTATTTTTTAAGATAAAATCTGTATCAAGTTACATCACCTTCCAGGCAAAGTAATTCAACTTTCCTCTTTTCTCTCTGAGACCAAAAAAAAAAAAAAAAAAAAAGGCAGAAGAAATGCTTCCTATGATCTCTTCTCTTCCTGTCACAATTTTCATAAGTCTGTAGATGTAATTAAAACTAAAGATTTTGACAAATGAAACAGGATAGGAGGTTGATTGCTGCTTTTCTAAATTAAAATGAATGATACCCTTAAGGTACTTGGGTCTATGAAGTCAATTTAATGTTGATATAACCTGACTCCATTATCACAGAATGAGGCAGTTGCATAAGCAAGAAAACCAATAAACAAACATCCAAAGTGCATTTTAGAAATCGGTGAGGTGAAAGATTAAAGGCTTAACAACGGACAAAGAGCTTGCTGTTTTGTTCTCTCTTGCCTTCCAGTTTGATGGCAGAGTTCATCAGAATTAGAGGAAGAATGTTCTTGGAGAAGCGTTGGGCTGGCACTAGGCTAGGAGTCCTATTCATATCCTGCCTCGCTTGTCTTGCAAGCATGCACAGCCCCTTCATTTGAGGCACTGTTTGCCTCAGCAGAGTCTGTGTACTCTTCTGGTAGGTTGTATAGAACATAATAAAGGGGGAGGGCTGGAGGAGAAAGGACAGAAAAAGGAGGGAATAAAAAAAGGAGTCAGATTAAGAAAGAAGTCAGCACAGAAATATAAAATGGAAGGAAAAAAAGCTGTGATGCAGGAACCTTAAAAGGTAGATTAAGGATGGTCTCAGATGGCACGGCATTAGTATCAATGCCATAAGTCACACAAAATCTATTAAGAATTATGCTCCTACTCAGAGTGAGTGCCATGTTAGCACTAGTTGTTTCCCGTGATCTATCCTGAAGTCAAACGCAAGAAACACTGTTTAACTCCTAAGTGCCCTAATGTCAGGAAAACACAGAAATAAACTCAAAGGAAAGACAATTCAGTTAATCTTTGCATTCAACAAGCCCAGGTTGTTTTGCCGCAGAGCTATACCTATCACAAAACTTCATTCCAGAAGATGGCCGGTAGAGGTGGCTCATGCCTGTAATCCCAGCACTCTGGGAGGCCCAGGAGAGTTTGAAATCAAGACCAGAACTTATCTCAGACTTTTTTTTTTTTTATTATTTTTTCAGTTACAACTCAAAAGAATCAGAATTAGAATAATAATGGATTTTAACTGAAAGGGATTACCATTAGTTAAAAGGATTTTAACTGAAACTGTAATCAGTCTCAGGAGCGTTTCCCGGATAATGTTTGGGCACGTATTTATGAGTGTTACTTGTGAGGATTTGGGAGTAAGAATGAACGAGGAAGTTCCTCCCCCAACACAGACACATGCACACAGAAACTGTACAAACTGAAAAACTTCAGGACAAAAACTCGTGAATAGACTGGAGAGTCATTTGTGTGCATATGTGTGGTTTATTTACTAGCATCACAGCACAAGAGTTTCTGTCTTTTGCTTTTGTTTTTGTTTTAATAGGCTCATTTGTGTAAGTGTCATGTCTGTTTCTTGCATTCCCATGGATATTTATCTAGGGTCTAGACAAACTGAGAACCAGAAAATCAAAACATACGTTCCTAGTTACATATTTTCTCTAGACTGGAGTAAACATGATTTATGTATGTAGTAATCAGTAAGATGTAGCTTGGACACTAGGAAGAAACCACATTGCCTAGCAGTGTATTTCCACATGGGGAGGTAATGCCTGTCTCTCCTAAACTTCTAGTGAAGATAAAACTCAAAGTAGAGTAATTAACAGAAAGGTCAAAAGACAAAGTGGAAGCCCTTGAGAATCTAAAACAAAGTTAAAGAACCAACATTTACATTTAGATAAATTTATTTGAAATAATTTCTAAGAGCCATGATGTTGTTATCGGTCCTTTTTCTTTCTTTCTTTTATTCTTTTGGCTTATTTAAAAGCAATGTTGAAGAAAAAATGAAATAAAGCTTATCTTTCACAATACACAGAGGAATGGACTGAGCTTTGGGAAACAGTCACAGCTTGGAATTAAGAGTGTGTGTCGTATCGTAATTTAGTTGGATGATTTGGTGCTCATTCATTATACCCAGAATTACGCTTTCAAGTCTACCGTATTCATACTTATCTCAGTGCCTGACAAATAAGAGGAACTCAAAAAGCCTTTCATTCATTCATCCATTCAGTATTTCTTGATCATCTTCTATGTACTAGGCATTGTGATAAATTCTTAACAAGACAGATAAGATCTCTGTCTTTGTGGACAATAAACTTACATTCTAGTCAATATCTTTTGAATGAATGTAGTGATATTTCTTACTGAAGCTAAGAAAGGAAGGTCTCTGCAAACAGTATACTGTCTACAGAACTCATCTGAAATGAGAAGACCAAGGAGAATAATATATAGCCCTCATAACTCTCAAATCTTAAATATGATTATTTAAAAACTAGAGTAAAACAAATGTGGAGGAGATTTGGACTTCAGGGTTGTTTTATAAATTGCCGTTTTACATTTTTAAATCTAGTATTATAGGCAAAATTGAATCTAAATGGTTTTCTTCTTTTCTTTTTTTTACTTTCATCATCAAAAATGGAAGAAAGGAAGAAAAGGAGGAAGGAAGAAAAGAAGGAAAGGAAGAAGGGAGGGAGGGAAGTTTTTCAAAAGCTTGTGTCAGGGATCTTGAAAAAGAAATGATTCATTCAAAATATAGTTGTTAATAGTAAAGATCCGTGAATAAACAGTACATTAATTCATTCAACTAATATTAATTTAGCACCTATTATATGCCAGGTACTGTGCTACTCACTGAGGATTTAGCAGGGAAAGATGTGTCCCTGTCCTCATGGAACATATAAAAAAGGACCTTTTTTTCCTGAGATGCTTTTACTGAAGAATTGCTGCAACCTAGATTATGAGTTCTCATGGACCAGATGGCAGTTTTCTGCCCATCTGGGATAGTTCTGAAGAATAGACCCTCGTGTATCAATCAAGGTTTCTTCCAGTTCTAAGCTTTCGTGATCTATGATCTAATAGTTGAAACAGGATGTATGCTTCCAAAAAGATGTTATATTTGTATTACTTTTATAAAAGGAAACAGAGACATGCCCTATTAATTCAGAAGAGATTGGGTTCCTCCTGGCTGTTTAAATCATTCTATTTAAACTCCTTTATCTCTTCTTTCTTGGCTCACCTTCCAAAGCTCACTCTTACCCCTTTTAGTCTCACTTCCCTTTCCTTTCTTTAATTGCTGAGACAAATTGTTCATCTCTAACTGGCTATACATGACATCTCCAGTTAAATGTTTCACTGTTAGGACAAATTCATTATGTTCCAAATGAATTCATACATACATATGCTATTTCTTCCTTTTCTGATTTTCATATTGCCACCAGCAATATCTTCATTCTCCCAGTCTTCCTTACTCGAAATCCAAGAGTTTATTTGCTTCTTCAGATATTAATCTCCAACACCAAATTGGATAGTTCTTCCTCCTTTCAAAATACCTTCTCATATGTACCTTCTTTTACATTGAATACAATACAGCCTTAATTCTAATGCATATCAACCCAAGTCTAGTAAGTTACAACAGCCTCTTTCTGATCTCAGTCTCAGGTGCCCTTTCGAATCTGTTTTACACTATACTGATCTTCCCAAACCCTAACTTTCCTCTAAAATAGTGAGTCATGTCACAGAAATTTTCAGTGGTTCTCTTTGCCTGCAGGGTAAATCTTGAGCCTCAGAGTCTGGGACGCCTTGCTTTGCATCATCGGCTTTCAACATGACTAACTAATTGTATCTCACTGTCGTCCTCAACACCACTGTTCTGCAGCCCCAAGCCTTTCTTCAGCTTGTCACTACTTCTTACCTCCAAACCTTTACACTTGCAGAGATCAGGGACTATAGCATTTGTTTTTTGCCTATCTCTTTCAATATTAACAAATACTTATAAAATGAATAAACCACCAAGGAAAGAACTGATTGTGCCAGAACATAAGACACAGGTATATCATTTCTGGCTTTTGCTTCCTGTTTTGTATATACCACGGTATATTGATTTAACATACAGCCAGTTAGAAAGATCTAATGCATGGAGGCTCTCGTTTAATAGATTATCAAATTTCATTTCCTTGCATAATTGCTCAAAGAATAAAGTGCTTTGTTCCTAAGTCCCAAGCTAAAGCTTTCGAGGACTTTGGTTGCTTTCAAGTTTTTCTCATTCATAAATTTGTTTCTTTAT
The DNA here is from genome assembly GCF_000001405.40 of Homo sapiens. Lineage (NCBI taxonomy): Eukaryota > Metazoa > Chordata > Mammalia > Primates > Hominidae > Homo > Homo sapiens. The sequence continues at coordinate 31,352,771 of NC_000023.11, read as the reverse complement.
TTAGCCAGTTGTGCATTCAATCCACACAAAACCTTTCTCCAGTGATAATTTGTGGAAAGAAATATTTTATGCTTAATTCTTCTCGCTGTCATACCTTCTCTTAAGTTTGAGTTATGAAGATGGAAATTCACTTTGATCTCATTTTAAAATCTTGACAATATTGAATGTACACTGGAAACTACCACTGGAGCGCTCCTTGTATAAGAAGGCAAAATTCTTCAGAGAGAAGATTGGGAGTCTAGAATGAACTTTGATGCTGCATCGGCTCAGTCCCTATGAAACTAACATTCTTACTAGAGAAAGTGGCCTATGGCACAGTCATAATCCTTTACCATCTACATCTTCCCCTTGGGATTTCTTTCTCAGTATGTGCAAAGATTTCTGATCAGTGTCCACTCCCATATGGCATCTTCATCTTCTCCTCTCTACCCCCAAACACTCACATTTATCTCTAGATTGATTTATTCATGAAATGACCCATTCTAAATTTAGAAATAATGACATATGCCCAACATTTATTTGCACGCGTTTTCCCACAACCTTTCTCTATAATCTTATGGTATCACATTCTTCAAGACCAGGAATTGACCTTGCATTGGGCCATAAAATACGTTGAACAACTGCAGTTTCATCGATATGCACACTAGAATTGGTCTGCATTCAATAAACTGATTAAAGAAATTAAAAAGCCAATTACTTATTAAATATTTATAAAATACTTTTTTTCAACTTTAATCTTCAGGATAGCAGTTAAGAGCAAGACCCAGACTGAATGAGTTTGAATCCTAGCTCTGCCAATTTACTAACTACTGAAGCTTAGGCAAGTTTTTTTTTTTTAACCTCTCATGCCTCAGTTTTTATGTCAATGAAGTCGGGGGGAATAATATTAACTCCTATTGCAGAGTTACTGTGAAGATGAAATAACATAATTCATATTGTCATGCCACATATTGCTTAATAAACATTAGCCATTTTTGTATTGTATGTGGTGCCCTGCACATTATAGTCTATTGCTCTCCTTTTTTGCTTTTTTTTTTTTTTTTTTTGAGATGGAGTCTTGTTCTGTTACCTAGGCTGGAGTGTAGTGACACGATCTCGGCGCACTGCAACCTCCACCTCTCAGATTCAAGTGATTCTCCTGTCTCAGCTTCCCGAGTAGCTGGGATTACAGATGCCCACCACCACACCAAGCTAATTTTTGTATTTTTAGTAGAGACTGCGTTTCATCATGTTGGCCAGACCGGTCTCGAACTCCTGACCTCAAGTGATCCGCCTGCCTCGGCCTCCCAAAGTGCTGGGATTACAGGTGTGAGTCACCATGCCTGGCCTATTCCTCTCCTTTTATTAACCATAATAGTAGCAAGAACAGTAGCTGGTAACATTTATTGAGCAATTACCACGTGACAGAAACTAGGCTAAATGCTTTACATTGTATCATCTTATTTAATTCCCACAAAACCCTATAAGTTATATTATTTTCCACATTTTACTGATAAGGAAAGTTAAGAATAATTTACCCAGGGACATTGATTAGTCAAGGTTCTCCAGAGAAATAGAAGCAACAATATACATATGTATGTATGTATGTATATGTGTGTGTGTGTGTGTGTGTATATATGTATGTCTATGTGTGTGTGAATATATAAAATTAAGTATTATCTCATGCAGTTGGAGACTAAGAAGTCCCATGACCTGCTATCTGCAAGCTAGAGAGCCAGGAAAATTGGTAGTGTGATTTCAGTCCCAGTCTGAAGGCCTGAGAACCAGGGGAGTTGATGATGTAAATCCCAGTGCAAGTGCAGGAGAAGACTGACATCCCAGCTCAAGCAGGCCTGCAGGGAAAAAAGGAACATGCCTTTTTGTTCTGTTTAGGACCTCAACTGACAGGATGATGCCCGCCCACATTGGGGAGGGCAATCTACTGAATCCACTGAACCAAATGCTAATCTTGTCTGCAAAACACCCTCACAGACACACCCAGAAATAGTGGTTTACCTGGGCACCCCATAGTCCAGTCAACTTGACACATAGAATTAACCATTACAGACCTGCAGTCAGTGCACTCAGTGTCAGTAGGCATACTTGTTTGTTCCGCATCGCTTCTCTTCTCTTCTCTCTCTCTCTCTCTCTCTCTCTCTCACACACACACACACACACACACACACACACACACACACACGTACCACATTTACTCATTTACTCATCCATTTGTTTGGTCAACTAGTCATTAAACAAATATTTGCTACCATATACTATGTGCCTCCTGCAGAAAGGGTTGGAGACATTCGAAGAGAAAGGTAAACAAAAAATGGTCCCTGCTATCAAGAAGTTTCCAATCTATTGCAAGACACACTCATGTCCATATAACTAAAATGAATTATATGATAGAAGTGCTTCAGGTATAAACCATATACTGTTAGAATGCTGAGGAAGCCATTAATTCTAACCTGGGAGATGAGGAAGTAAACATATAAACACTAACAGCATTGATCTGGGAGAGAAGTGGGGTAAGAGCATTGCCGAGAGAAGGAGCAGCATGAAGAAGCCACGCACAAGAGTTATATTGGATGGAATAGTGCAGGACAGGCAGGTAGTTTTGGTGGGCTTAGCAGGTAGAGTTTGGGAGTGCAGGGTCATAAGGTTGGGAAGGTAGGTTTGATATGTCCCTCATGCTTTTGTGTATATAAAATAAAGTAAATCCTGCATTGTAGGGGAACCCCACTTGGTTATCCACGTATTTGGGCCAAGCAAAAATGGGCAAGTCTAGGGAGAGAGTGAAAAAATGAGATTGTTCTGGATATACACTAGGCACTTAATTGATATTGGAAGGCCAGAGTTGGTTTGAGACCAGGCTACCTGAGCCACTTTTCTGATGAGATTAACATCGATTTTTACCTCTCGGGAATTCTGCACACCACGGGAACTACCCCCTGAGTTCTGATTGCTCTGTGCAAGCTCTGATCAACCCCTAGTTTAGCATGGACTGTTCACAACTAAATCAAAATCCAGAGTTAGAGAGCTAGGATGCCTGGAGCCACCACTTATATTGGATTGGCAAAATGCCAAATAAGTAAGTATAGCATGTCACCCGTAAAATTATTCCTTTCTTCCCCACCAAGAATAGAACTCACTAAGTTGACAGCACACTGTGTCAATATATTATAGAAAAACCTAATAGGAAGAAAAGAATGGCAGTTTTCACTGCATGCCCCCTAAAGGTATATTTCTTAATAATTTCCAAGTCCACTGAAAACTGAATTCCGAAAATTAGTTTTATCTTACTACCCACCCTATTTTATCCCAAATTTAAGCCTTGCCTGTACTTCTTTGATACTTAATATTTTTTTCTTTGAGGTGGAGTTTCACTCTGTCACCCAGGCTGGAGTACAGTGGCGTGATCTCTGCTCACTGCAGCCTCCCTCCTGCCTCAGCCTCCCTAGGAGCTGGGACTACAGGCATGCGCCACCACACCTGACTAATTTTTGTATTTCTAGTAGAGACGGGTTTTCACCATGTTGGCCAGGCTGGCCTCGAACTTATGACCTCAAGTGATCCAGCCAACTTGGCCTCCCAAAGTGCTGGGATTACAGGCATGAGTCACTGTGCCCAGCCCATAATTAAATATTAATCAACCACTGGTTAATTAATAATTATCAATAATTAAATATCACTCAATGATTTATTATCTATTAATCAATATTGCTTCTTTAAAAATTTGTCAAAAACAATAGCCTAAGACTTAAAGACAAGACATGTCATTTCTGAGATTCTGTAGTCACCTATACCAAATGTCACCCTCCCTAATGTTTTTGTGAAAGTAAAGATTTGTATTTTTTTATGGTACTAATTGAAGCAGTAGTTCATTTGTGGCTGCCAATGAGTTGACTGTAAAAAAAAACCAAAATCTCATTTTAACATTGTCGAGAGAGGAAATCCTTTGTGTTTGGCCTTGGATTGATAAAAACGAGTCTGGAATACTATATACGGTAAGTGAATATTAAAACTAGAGTTATGAAATGTTGCTTTAGTGTTCTCAGTCTTGGAGACTCAAAGTATCTTATCAGAAAGGATACATTGTTTTAATTGTTCCTCATTATATAGAATGAGAGAACATCATTTCTCTCCTTTTCCTCCCAGGTGGCCGTCGAGGACCGAGTCAGGCAGCTGCATGAAGCCCACAGGGACTTTGGTCCAGCATCTCAGCACTTTCTTTCCAGTAAGTCATTTTCAGCTTTTATCACTTAACTTTATTGCATCTTGATTAATAAGAATAACAGTTGAAAAAACAAAAGAATTAAGAGTTGAATTATAGTAATCTTTTATCAGATGCAGTAGAAGCATAAATCATCCTGAAATATAACTTGGTTGATAAGTTGAGAAGGTTAGGAAGAGGAAGGCCAATTGGATCATTTTGTCCAGTCTTCAGCTAATGCATAATTGTTTCCTGCACTATATTCTCAAATGTTAACCATATTAATATTTTTGAGTCTTTTTGAAAAATGTGGAACACTTTGCTCAGGAGCCATGCTAGTATTCTCTGTATCATTATTCCAATGTTAGTATATGGGCTGCTGAAGCAAAAACATACTTTTGAGTTTTTAATTTCTGCCTATCAGTTCAGTTCATAAAGCTAATAATTATGATATCATGTAATTATAATATGATCATCCAATATATGTTACTGTGACTCTATAATTCTTTAAATAATTCATTAAATGATCCCTGCCTTATGAAATGAGTGACAATTCTCAAAAGAAGGCATACAAATGGCCAACAGGTATATGAAAAAATGCTCAACATCACTAATCACCAGGGAAATGCAAATCAAGACCACATGATATATCGTCTTACCCCAATTAGAATGGCTATTATTCAAAAGACAAAAAATAACAGATTCTGGTGAGAATGTGAAGAAAGGGAACTCTTTTACAGTGTTGATGAAAATGTAACAGTAAATTAGTAACAGTATGAAGATTCTCAACAAACTGTAAATAGAACTACCTTACCATCTGGCAATCCCACTACTGGTTATCCATCCCAAAGCTAAGAAATCAGTATATCAAAAGGGTACCTGCACTTGCATGCTTATCACAGCACTGTTTAAAACAGCAAAGATGTGAAATCAACCTAAGTGTATATCAACAGATGAATGGATAAAGAATATGTGGTATCTGTACACAATGAAACACTGCAAGAATGAAACCATGTCATTCACAGCAACATGGATGGAACTGGAGGTCATTATGTTAAGTGAAATAACCCTGGCACAGAAAGACAAAAATCGCATGTTCTTACTCTTGTGGGAGCTAAAAAAATTGATAATAAACATAGAATAGAATGATAGATACTAGTGGCTGGGAAAGGTGTGTGGGTAGAGGGGGAGATAAAGAGAGGGTGGTTAATGGGTACAAACATCCAGTTAGATAGAAGGACTACGTTATATCATTTGACAGCAGAATAGAGTGACTGTAGTTAACAACGATGTGTTGTATATTTCAAAGTACCAAGAAGAAAGGGCTTGAATTGTTCCCAATACATAGACAAATGACAAATACTCAAAGTAATGGATGCCTCAAATACCCTGACTTGATCATTATGCATTCTATGCCAGTAAAATATCACATTACCTCATAAATATGTAAAATATTATATATCAATAATAAATAAATACTATGCCTCCAAGTTGAAACCTCAGCCTATGGGCATTTCCTTTCCCTAACTGTTTGCATCCTTCCTTTTTTTTTTTTTTTTTTTTTTTTTTTTTTTTTTTGAGAGGGAGCCTCATTCTGTCACCCAGGCTGTGAGTGCAGTGGCGTGATCTTGGCTCACTGCAACCTCCGCCTCCCGGGTTCAAACTATTCTCCTGCCTCAGCCTCCCGAGTAGCTGGGACTACAGGTGTACACCACCAGGCCCAGATAATTTTTGTATTTTTTTAGTAGAGACGAGGCTTCACCACATTGGTCAGGCTGGTCTCGAGCTCCTGACCTCAAGTGATCCACTCGCCTTGGCCTCCCAAAGTGCTAGGATTACATTCGTGAGCCTTGTATTCTCCTTTTGTTCTTGACCTCTAGCCATTCTTTTTATTTACTGGTTTTGCTATTTTATTAATTATGTTTTTATAATTAATACTAAGAGAAATAACCTTGGTTAACTGAAAGTTTAAGTATTAGAAAATCCTATTTATACAATATTGCATATTAAATTGGCAAGCACCTGTTTTCCTCTGATTAATGTTAATTTATACCACTTTTTATTTGATTATAAAAGTATATGTGTTGAGTTTTTTGGTATTTAAAAAGCCATACTTTACCACATGGAGTTAACATCTGTTAGCATTCTGATGTATTTCCTTGTGGTCATATATGAGTATATATGAGGGTTTATCCATCATTTTAACGCAATTACTTTGTGCCTAGAAATGTTACAGATTTTAACTAGTTTAATCCTTATAGCAATCCCTTCAATCCCTTAAGGTAGGTACCATTATTATACCCATTTCAATGATGAAGAAACTGAGGCACACATTCATACAGCTAGTAGATGAGGGAGCCAGGATTGAAACTCAAGAAGTTGGCTCCAGAGTCTGTGTTTTTAAGCATCGCACTGTAATTTTACTTAATTTATATATTTTATAGAGAGGAAGTAATTCTGTATGATCTCCATTCTTCTGCCATATTCTTTCATTGCCATTTTCTGATCATTTCCTTTCTTTTCCATTCTCCACGGGTTAATAAAAAGATCCACGCTCACAAATACTTTAAAGTATTTGAGTAGATGTTGTCATGTGTGTCTCCAGTTGGCTGTTGTCTTTTTGAACAAAATTTCCTGGAAGGTGTTGGTCCTGTGTTTTTGTCATACATCGATAATAGATTAAGAAGAAGTATCTTATTTTCTGGACTGGCTCTAACTTTATTATCCGCATGTGGTCTAGTTATTTGGACACAGTTTCACAATGCTTTGGAGTTGCCAAGAAAAAGGGATAAGTTAAAGCAGTTTATCTAAATGAGTGGGATCGTGGCTTTTAGGAACGGCTCTAGAAAAATGATAAAGGCTACAGATTTCGTCTTCTGCATCTTTCCAAATCTCTGGTCTACTTAACTTGCCTTGGTGACAGCCATTCTATTCGATTTAATTGAGATTAAATGTGATAACATACTCCTAAGCGACTCATAAACCATAAATAAAAAATAGTACTATTATGAATATTAATTACTCCTCAGACACCAGGTATATTCATTCATATTTTCTTCTCCCTGACTCCCCCTCTGAATTCCCATGTCTTACCCATTAAAACCTATTTTCAGAAAATGATATACTCATTTAACCCAAGTGATAGGTAAAGTTTAATGTGTACTTCTCCTGGGTTATTTGCATTTTATTAGTGTGAAAATCCATAAGCCTGAGGTGGTAGAACATCGGCCATAAGCTCTGAGCTGTGAGGAAGGAACTTTGAGGGGCCAAGGGGAGCATTCTCACACCTTTCAAACCATATCACATCAGTGCCCACTTCCAGAAAGGTCAGGCCTGTTAGACACAGGTATTCATAAAGAGACTGATCTACCTGCCTGAATGGAGCCAGCCCCGGAAGTCATCAGTCTCTTGGATGCCCATGTGGAATATCAATATACGCTTAAAAGCTTTGCTTGCAGGTATAAAGAAAATACCAACTTGGTTTAAGGGATATTTAAGAAATAGGACGGTGAGACTAAGGATGGATTGTTTCTTTACATTGTACTTTTTAAAATTACAAAGGTACTCTATACACATCAAGAAAAATTTGGAAAGCCCACAGTACAAACAAGAAAAGAAAAAGTATCCATAATCCTATGACTCAGAGATAATCACTATCAGAAATTTGGTTTATATACTTTCTGTATTTCTCTTGTGGTTGCGTGTGTGTGTGTGTGTGTGTATCAAGGTTCTATCTTTTATTTTTTTATTTTTTTGTTTTTTGAGACAGAGTGCAATCTCAGCTCACTGCAACCTCCCCCGTCCTGGGTTCTAGCGATTCTCATGACTCAGCCTCCCGAGTAGCTGGGATTACAGGAATACGCCACCACGCTTGGCTAATTTTTTGTATTTTTAGTAGAGACGGGGTTTCACTATGTTGGCCAGGCTGGTCTCGAACTTGTGGCCTCAAGTAATCCACCCACTGAGGCCTCCCAAAGTGTTGAGATTACAGGCATGAGCCACCACGCCCGGCCTCTCTCTTTTCTTTTAAACCATGCGCAGATAAAAACATGCTACAGTTTTATGAGCTGCTTTTTTCCCTTAAAACTATCTTTCCAATATTTTCGTGTGTTTAAATATTCTTCTTCAGAGTAATTTTTCTAATGACTGGCTAATACTCTCTTCTGTGGCTGTACCAAATTTACCAACACAATTCTAAATTGCTCAATATAAAGATTATTTCACAATCTTTATTATATCGAGCATTATGGCTAATATCCTTTTTATACCTTTACAAATATCTCAGATTCTTTCTACAGGATAAATGCCTAAAGGTGGAATTGTCATGTTAAAGAATGTTTACATTCGTAAGCCTTTTCAAGTGTATTGCCAAACTTACCTCTAGAAAATTGCACCAGAAATTGGGTGTGCCATCCAAACCGTATTTGAGCTAGGCATGGTGTGGCTCATGCCTATAATCCCAATTCTTTGGGAAACTGAGGCAGGAGGATCACTTGAGCCCAAGAGGTCAAGGCTGCAGTGATCCATAATCCACCCCCCCCCGCACTCCAATCTGTGTGACAGAGCAAGACCCTGACCCTAAATTTAAAAAAAAAAAAAAAATCACCATATTTGAAGCAGGACATCTCTGAAGTCACGTATTTGCTACTATAAAAGCAGCTTCCCCCCACCAATGAATAAAAATATGTTTTAAATATTCCTCTAAGGTCATATTAAATGAATTTGAATTGATACTTTTTTTTAGACAGGCCTGAGTTGATACATGTTTAGTAATGTGCTTTCAGGTTACTATAAATAATAATAGGGTGGCTCCTAAAGCTTAGAAATTACAAAGAAAAGAAAAATAAGGAGGAACTACTAATTGCACCCGCCAGCGTAAACATGCTTACTGTCTCTGTTTATCTTATTCTCTCTCTCTCTCTGTCTCGCACGTGTGTGCACTCTCTCTCTCTCTCTCTCTCACACACACACACACACACACACACACACACACACACTCCCCTTTGGAAATTATTTGGAAATTACATTACCAGCTGTCTGTTGTTTATCAGAAGACAGAGGCAGCCTTTTACTAAAAAAAAGAATTCACTGTTTCTTCCTGGTGGCCCAATCTCTACATGTTAAAGAAATTTTTTCTTTTATCTTAGATCTAAGAGAAAATGAGAAGAGAAAAGCATTGTGAAATATGACCCTTCTCCGCTGATAGACACTAACTTGTCCTTACTTCTAGTTTTAATACACTGCTACTCCTAATTGACTTCTACAACTTAAACCAAGAAAAAGGAGAAATTCTAATAGTGTGACTTCAAATATGTATATAATTTACAATAAAATTATCATTTAAATTATTTAAATTATATACTAATTTATAGTTATATATGTATAATTGGTAGGTATATTGTCAGTCTCTTCATATGTCTGTGATTAAGAAAGTACTAAAGTATTCATTGGTTGGCATAGTAGTCTGAAAATTGTCCTTTTCTTTTGAAGAGTTTAAAGATTTGTTGGGCGTGGTGGCTCACACCTGTAATCCCATCACTTTGGGAGGCTGAGGTGGGCAGATCACTTGAGGTCAGGAGTTCAAGACCAGCCTGGCCAACCTGGTGAAACCCCCATCTGTACTAAAAATACAAAAATTAGCTGGGCGTGGTGGCACTCGCCTGTAATCCCAGCTGCTTAGGAGGCTGAGGCAGGAGAATGGCTTGAACCCTGGAGGTGGAGGTTGCAGTGAGCTGAGATCATGCCACTGCAGTCCAGCCTGGGTGATAGAGAGAGACTCTGTCTCAAAAAAAGAATTTAAAGATTTTTCCTGACCATTATTTCAATTCTCTGGTCTTCTGTTCTAAATTCTACTTTTCTCACCAAGAAAGATCACTATATATTTGGGTAAAGGGAGAAATCATTCTATAACAGTAAAAAGAATCCATGGTTTTCTTAATATTTTACAAGTTCCAGAGGTCCCTTAAAAGAATATTTTCCAAGCCAGGTTCTTTAAAACATTAATGTTATATTAGGTTTTGATAACTGTCCCTTGAAAAAAATAGTACTGATTAATAAGATTGGAAAAACACTAGGTTTCAAAGATAAGCAAGTTTATTTCTTGTTAGAATTCTTGGAATTTTTATTATACACTGAGACTCTAAGAGGATAAGGAGTCTATAGTTCTCCAGTTTTAGGTGACTGTGGAAGCCTTTTTCAGGCACACCAGTTAATTTCACACTAAACTTTATGCCATGGATCACAGTGAATCTTTGCCTTAATGTGGTATTTGCCAGATGCTTTAATGACAAAAAATTTCTGCTAAAGGTTGTAGAAACGTGATCCAATTAAAAAGAAAATGAGTATTTATGAGGCAAAAGGGTCAAGTCCCTCTCTTTACTGAAGTTCCCAGCCCCACTCCCACCCAGGAGCCCTCTTGTGCTGTGGAGTTTCCTAACTGGAGATAAGCTTAGAAAGTATCTATACCAGTAGTTTCCAAACTCTGAGGTGTGGCTCATTAGCAAATCCTAAAATCAGTTTAATGACTTACAACCAACAATTTTTGACTGGTATGGAATGGAATGGAATGGAACAGATTAGAAAATATCAGAGTGCATTACCTAAGCAAGGTTAAGTGTTGTTTTGGCGGTGGTTAATTTGTTAGATATGTGTGTACATGCGTGTGTGTGTGTGTGTGTGTGTGTGTGTGCGCGCGCGCACGCACGCGCGCACGCCAGATCACAGTGTAAAACGTTTTTCTTCTGTGGGTTGCAGTCGAAATAGTTTGAGAAACATTGAATCATTCGAGCCCTTTCCTTATTTTACAGATAATGAAATAGGTGCAGAACGATCAAATGACATAACCAAGGTCACAAAGATAGTTATAATACTGGGACTGGAACCCAGTTTCTGGACATCCAAGCCACACATCACACTGCCTTACCCGTTAAGAAGAAATGCCCAGGCCAATAACTGTCTAGTCTATCTGCTATTGCCAACGATTATTCTCTCGTATATTCCTCTTCGTTTGGCCATCCTAAGTTGATTTACATAACCTAAATTTTTCTCTCAACACCTCTGGGCTAAAAACTGCCTTATCAAAATGGTATCGATAGCGGTTAAGAGTAAAAGCTGTAAAATGAAACTGACTGGGTTCAAATATTGACTCAGACACTTTATGCTTTTTTCTTTCTCTTTATTCTTCATCTTTAAAATAGGGATAATAGTAACATATTTGGTCAATTGTAAGACACACTTTTCCACCCACGTTTCAACAGTTCTGAAATCAGAATGCACCATACGACCAATGGGATATTGAATTCGGTGAAATATGGCTGTATTATTTCATAGGGTTACAGTGAAGATCAAACAGTTAATATTTGTAAAACCCTTAGAGTAGTGCCTGGAACATAGTAAGTGCTATTCAAGTGTTTGCTATTAGCTTTAGCATTAGTATCATTATTACTATCAGCTTGATAGTATAACTTAATGCATGCCTGTTAGAGTCAAACTAGTCATGAAAGTTTCATTCATTCTCTTGCATTTAATGGTCAGTATAAGTAGTTCCTCTCCTTTCTGAAGATGATTTCCAAGGATCTAATCTGAAAGTCCAGTGTTTTGCACATTAGAACGGCTCAATAGTTGTTTGTATAACTAACGAGTGATAAATAATCAAAAAGATAGACCTTAATCTCTAAAATGTCAGGATAGTATTAGTCTTGTTGACAGTTATATTCTACAGTACCTAATGTGGTATGTGGTACTTGGTAGATGTTCAGTAAATATTTACAGAATGAATTATGTCTTATACCCAAAAGAAGAAGAGGTAAATTCACTCTTGACATTGATAATACACAGAGGCATGAGATTTAGCATAGTGGCTATCACATAGTAGACACTCAATAAATAATGTGACCTTTTCTGTTGCTTCTCAGCAAAGACTAATAGCATTCATAACTTTATATGGTCGTTTTTATCAAAGTCGACTGTACCATGTAATACATTAAGGGAAAAGGCTGACTTCAAAATTACAGCATGATCACAACTATATTACAAAATAAAATAAAAATAACAGAAATGTACACATAAAGGAAAAATGGAAAATAAAAAGATACCAAAAGACAAACAGTTATTGCATCATTTCTTTCTTTTTACTTTTACAAATTTTCTGGTAATAGCATGTACTACCTTTGTAATGGAAAAAAAACAATAAAGGTAACATTTTATACTCCAGCTTTTAACCAGTGACCTCTTGCAGTGGCAATGGGACTCTGAAAGACAAATTTCCTTTTTACTATTTATTCTGAATTTAAAAGCTGTTTCATTGAGTGACCTTCTCAGATTATGAGACACTGTAAAAAGAAATAACTGATCCATTATTTCTTGCAGGCTTTACAATCTTAACTGCCTTAATCATATCCCTGGTTAAGTCTTTTTCTCTCTTGTCAAAGTGACTCAAGCTTTTACAGTTTCTCCTTGATACATAGGGCCTAGCAGTTTGTTTCTATCTTGAGAGTTGCCAAGCTTTCATCCTGGACATTCCCCACTACACATACACACTTAATTTTAAAAAATAGGGGAAACCTTTAAGCACATCTAATAATTGCTGACATTTCACTTAACAGTGCTCCAACCTATGCTACCAGTGTCCTCAGGGGACAGACAATTTGAAATATGAGTGGGGCAATAATTTAAAGCTTCAGATTGGCTTAAATAAGCCATCATGAGGCCGGGTGCGGTGGCTCACGCCAGTAATCCCAGCACTTTGGGAGGCCGAGGCGGGCAGATCACCTGAGGTCAGGAGTTCAAGACCAGCCTGACCAACATGGAGAAACCCTGTCTCTACTAAAAATACAAAATTAGCTGGGCGTGGTGGCATGCATCTGTAATCCCAGCTACTCGAGAGGCTGAGGCAGGAGAATCACTTGAACCCAGGAGGCAGAGGTTGCAGTGAGCCGAGATTGCGCCATTGCACTCCAGCCTGGGCAACAAGAGTGAAACTGCATCTCAAAAAAATAAAAACATCAAAATAAGCCATCATGATAAAAGTCAGAAAGAATTTTGCAGGTCCAATGTGAGATGATTTGCAGGCTAAAATTCTCTTTCAAGTAAAATCTCAGGGTGAAATGATTTGAGCCAGTTTCTTCAGCAGTCACATGTTGTCCCAAGTGTTAGGAATTTGGGACAAATGCCATGTGACCTACCAGTGATGCTGATAATGCCCCTATAAATTCAAAGACAGCCTTTCCAATGCCCATAAAAAGCAGCTACAGCAGTAATAATTATATTCTCTTCTTAAAATGTGTTGTCATGGCCCTTTTCTCCTTTAGCTCAAATGTATACTCCCCAATAAGCTCTCAGATTTATTTGCTTTACAGTATCATTAGCAACCAGATTTTGCATCGTTGGCCCTATATATCCCATCAATTTGAACACATGAGGAAACAGAACGTTTTTGTTTCTGCTATGGGAATTTCTGTGCTGGGGCTGGCTTACAATGGCTCAAGAGAGCCAATTGTAAAATATACAGGAATTGTGAGCTAGTTATTAAGCCTACCTTTGGTAGCTTGAAATCAGGCATAGTGGGAAGATTTACTCCATGGAAATTGGCAAATACTACAAATTGGGGCACTTTGTTTTTTTTTTTTTTTTTTTTTTGTGCATAGATGGTTTCCCAGAAATGACTAATTTATCTATGTTATTTGGATCACTCAAGTCCCTGTAGGCAAAGAATCTTCATAAACTTAGCAGGAAGGATGCTCAGGATCCAAATATTTATGTGCGTTGCAGAGTGACCACTCATCCTGGTTTGTCTGGGACTTTCCCGGATTTAGCACTGGAATTCCCATTTTCCAGGAAATCTCTGTAGTCCCAGGCAAACCAAGATAGTTGCTCACCCTAGCCTTAGGTAAAATCCCTAGAAGTAGAGCCCTATTTAGATAGATGGGGCTTCTTGTAGAAGTAATTTGTTCAGGTGAAAGGGAGTGAGGGAAGCAGGATAAAGTAAGAAGGATGCTGGTCAAGGAGTTAAGTGGGAAGGAAGAGACTCACTTCAGCTTGATCCCACAGGGAGCTCTGGAGAACAAATTGTCCCTACTTTGAGATAAGGGGCCTGGGCTTTTTGTTTGTTTGTTTTGAGATGGAGTCTTGTTCTGTCACCCAAACTGGAGTGCAATGGCGTGATCTTGGCTCACTGCAACCTCCGCCTCCCAGGTTCAAGCTATTCTCCTGCCTCAGCCTCCCGAGTAGCTGGGACTACCGCGCCTGGATTTTTTTTTTTTTTTTTTTTTTTGTATTTTTACTAGAGACGGGGTTTCACTAGGTTGGCCAGGCTGGTCTCGAACTCCTGATCTCCTGATCCGCCTGCCTCGGTCTCCAAAAGTGCTGGGATTACAGGCGTGAGCCACCGCGCCCAGCCAGGGCTGGGCTTTTATTTTCCCGTGTGAATTAGTCATTGGCTGTGGATTTCTGGGGAGTAGGAGATAGCAAAGCAGTTCCCATTTGGCCAAGGGAGGATTTCTGGTGAAAGGACCAATGAGGCCTTAGCAACCAACACTCACAACAACTGCGGCTGGGTGAACCAGCTCAGTAAAAGGGATCTGAGTGGAACAACAATAGTATTAACCTCTCCTAGACTTTATGAAGCTGCTATCATACCCCATGCATAATCTGGCTTTAGAGCTGAATGGGCGCATTTAGCTGGATCACTAACCACCACTCCTTCGTCACGGACTTACATGGAAATTAGCCCGGTGGCATGGAAGAGATGAGACAAATGTCTGTTTCTTTCTTATTTCATCTTCCTCATTGTGACAGATTCTTCTGGGCCTCATGAGGAGCTAGGGCCAAGAGACCAGCACCAGAGTTCTGAATCAGTTTTATAACATGGGCACTATTTTGGTGGAATGCTGGCTCTGAAGGGTGTATTTTTACACTACCCAGAAAATGAAGGCATTTGTGAATTTGGCCTGGGGTAGCATTTTGTCATCTGTCCAAAATACAAAGCTTTGCACAACAGAAATAGTGGGATCACATCCCTGTGGGCAAGAATCATTACTTTCGTTTTTCCATTTGGATGTTTTCCATTTTCAGAACACAACCAGTTTGGGATTACAAAGTACTTTCTGGTGAGAACTTTGAAGTGAGGACAAAAGGCATTTTGTTCTTTAGTAGACTTACATAAACTGTTCCTGGTTTAAAAACCATTCTAGATTTTTAAATAGACTTTCAGATATCTGCAGTAAAAATCATCTTGATTTCAGGCGACTGCAGGTACTGCTCTGTTATGTGCTATGTCTCCTTAAGGCTGTAAGGGACAGGGATAGGCTTAGGTGATAAGGAACATTTTCAGGATACAGAGAGGCATGAAGAATAACATGGGCCGGGCGCGGTGGCTCACACCTATAATCCCAGCACTTTGGGAGGCTGAGGCGGGCGGATCACGAGGTCAGGAGTTGGAGACCAACCTGGCCAACATGGTGAAACCCTGTCTCTACTAAAGACACAAAAAATTAGCCAGGCATGGTGGCGCACACCTGTAATCCCAGCTACTCAGGAGGCTGAGGCAGGAGAATCGCTTGAACCCAGGAGACGGAGGTTGCAGTGAGCCAAGATCACACCATTGCACACCAGCCTAGGCAACAGGGCGAGACTCCATCTCAAAAAAAAAAAAAAAGAAAGAAAGAAAAGAATAACATGGAACAACAGACACCACGAAACATGTTTGCTTCTTTCTGTATATGCATTTGCTGCCATAGACTTCAGACTATTACAGTATCATATCTTCTCTCTTCTCTCCACCTAACACCTTCTACTTATAGTTTCTACTTTCTTATGACTTCCATTTTCTTCCTTTGTTATCCGACTTTTTAAACTTCCCCACCCATCTGTCATCTCTGTTTATCTCTGTGTATTACATTCAAGCTCTCCAAGACAAAGCATCTGATTGGATTAGTTATTTATTATCCATCTAAGGGTAATGCCATCTCACAGGCCACAGGCCAGACTGTAAACTAGGCTTTCTTGACCTGGGCACTATTGGCATTTGGGGCCAGATAATTAGTGGAATGCTGGCTCTGAAAAGTGTATTTTTACACTACTCAGAAAATGAAGGCATTTGTGAGTTTGGCCTGGGGTAGCATTTTGTCATCTGTCCTAGAATACAAAGCTTTGCGCAACAGAAATGGTGGGATCACACCTCTGTGGGCAAAAATTATTGGGGGCTGTCCTGTGCATTATCTCTGGCCTCTACTCACTACATGCCAGTAGCACTCCCCTCCCTTAGCTGTGACAACCAAAAATGTCTCCAGACATTGTCTGTCTGATGTCCCCTGTTGGGTGAAATTGCCCCTAGTTGAGAATCACTCCTTTATACCAATGCCTGCACAATTTGTGGTAATGAAAGTCATGTGGAACACTAAATACAGTGACCTATGCCTGAGGAATTATTTGAAGTTGCTTTTCTGCATCCTTAGGGACCCTTTAGTCTCTCGATGAAAGGGAGTGTCCTCAGCAGACAATCTTCAGGAATTGCATCAGCTGCCTCACCCAAGATCATACCCCTTACAGGGGCAGCTCTTCCTGATCAGTGTAGGGGAATAATGACCTGGCCATTTTGGCCCAACTCAGGAGAACATTAACATTCTAGCTCAAGAGCTCCCATGGGGTTGAATGAGACTGTCACTGGGTCTGCATTCACCTTGACTTCTCCCTATTTCTATTCCTGTTTCTTTCACTTCCCTTCCACAGTTGTCTATCCTGCTCTCTAATCATTGCCTTAGAGTTGGCTTCCTGGAGGAAGCCAATCTGTGAGGGGGCAATGAAATTGACAGGCATTTAGAAGCATCTAAGAAAAAGGTATTATAATAGGCCCATTACAGTCACTGGGTAATTTGATTTACTCTTGCTTTCATAATGAGGTTGATTATTTTGTTCAGGATAAGTAGTGATTATTATTATTTAAGGTGTCCAACCTCATGATCTCCATTAATAGGTAAGGACTTTGGGGACAGCATAAAATTACATGAATCTCTTACCTTAAACCTTAAGCTCAGCAGCATACATGCCCATGACAGGCAAGAGTTAGAACGTAAGATGGTCAGTAACATAGATCTTGAAAGGAAATATGTTGGAGTGTGAGCACTTTAAGGGCATAGGGCCTGCATTACTTTTTTATTAAAAATAATTTTGCATCTAACACAACATCTTGCATATTAGATGCAGGATATGCCTTGATTGAATGAATAACTGGGCACTTAAAAGATTGTTCCCAGTCTAATAAAATGAAAGAACTTAGCCTGGTGCTTAGTCTAATGTCCAGAAAGAGTTAATGAACTTCACTTTATCTTCAGTCAGTTAAGAATTGATTCACTTTGTTACTCAACAAATGTCTGTTGAATGACCAATGTAAATCAAACTCTGATCTAGGAACTGGGGAAACGGCAGTAAATAAAACAAAGTTTATTTATTGTGGAGCTTACATTTTAACAAGAGAAGATGGACAATCAGGTCATGATAAGTTTGATTTAAAAACAAAGAATAAAGCAGGCTAAAGGGGCTAGAGGATGGGAGAAGGGGACCCTTTTAGTGGAGTGGTCAGGAATGGTGACATTTCAGTAGAGATGTGAGGAAGTACACCAGTCAGATATTGGGGGACAAAGTGTTCCAGGTGGAGGAAACAGTAAAAGTAAAGGATCCAAGATGGAGCATGCTTAGAGGGTTTGAGAAATATTAATAGCAAGGAAGCCAGTATGACTGAAGCCAAGGAAGAAAGATGGTGAATGATAGGAGGTCAGTGAGTGACCAAGGGCCAGACGAGGAAGGGTCTTATCAACTATGGTTGGCTATCGTTAAAAGCCTTTGGCATATATGCTTTGTGAGAAGGGAAGTCATAGAATTCTGAGCTAAGAAGTGACATGGTGCCTGTAGCATTGTTACTTACTGTGCCTGTAGTATTCATTCATTCATTCCTATATTTATTAACAAAAACGAGTCACCTGAAATATGAAGATAAAAAGAGAATTATTGCCTTGGGACATTTAAATACCAATCACAAAAGACAGACCTATAAAAAATGACCTCCTACAGTGGTAGTAAATAGTGGGTGCAATGGGAGTAGAATGGAAGGGAGGAATCCATTCCACAGTGAGAGAAAGGAGATGTTCTATCTAGTTGAGTATTAACGCATATTGTCCCTGAGGCTACATGCAAATCCAAAGTAGAGGGTATTCCTTTTGATAGGAACTTAGCAAAGAATGTTTATAATTGCTTGGTCCCTGATCTCACCTAGCAAGAGTCACAAGATGCATTCAGTGATGAAAAATCAGTTTCTCCCTTCTACTTAGCCATTCTGATAAGATGAATATCTCGGGCCGGGCGCGGTGGCTCACGCCTGTGATCCCAGCACTTTGGGAGGCCAAGGTGGGTGGATCACCTGAGGTCAGGAGTTCAAGACCAGCCTGACCAACATGGTGAAACCCCGTCTCTACTGAAAAATACAAAAGTTAGCTGGGCATGGTGACAGGCACCTGTAATCCCAGCTACTTGGGAGGCTGAGGCAGGAGAATTGCTTGAACCCAGGAGGCGGAGGTTGCAGTGAGCCGAGATCGCGCCATTGCGCTCCAGCCTGGGTGACGGAGCAAGACTCTGTATCCAAAAAAAAAAAAAAAGATGAATATCTCCCTTTCCAGTTTCGTGTGTAGTCTCCTTACCGCCCTTCTGTTCAGAAAAGGGATTTCTTACGTATGTATAATGAATATAAATATAGGTTTTAGAGAGCACTAATGTTTTAATGAGATAGAAATAGGCAGACGAGAGAGAATAATTGAAGGATTAGTCAACATGAGGGCAATTTGATAGGGAAAGAAAAAGTCTGAGCAGGAAATGTCTGTGGAAAAAAAAAATCGAAGAGGAATGGAATGAAATGAGCTCATTTATGGTGTGAGTTAGGGACAGAAGGGATTTATTCTCAGGAGGTGAAAAGTGAAGGAGTTCATGTTATAGAATTCGACCTAGACCAGCTATCAAGGGAAAGAAAGTAATTCAAAAGACTTGGTCCAGGAGATCTGGAGCAGATACATCTATTAGAGGAAGATTCAGTTTTGAACTGCATCTTCAGTTATTCCTGGAACCCAACACAAAAGCTCATGACAACCTTGTTATCTTCAGGCAAAAAAAAAAAAAAAAAAAAAAAAAAGGCGGGGGCAGCAAGGCTTATGTCTTAAACAAGACAGCACATAACTTCAGGTCAGAGAATTCCATTAACATGAATCACCCACACCAATTTAAATAGGAAAAAAAATAGTAAGCTTGGTTATGTAAAAATTTAGTTTAAAAATCAGAACCAACAATTGAAATTAAACAAGAATGTTTTATTTATTTCTAAAAATATTTAGCTATTTATTTTGAATTCTGAAGCAATACTAATATAGTATATAATGATAAAACACAGTTGATTTTCATAGTAAACATCAGCATCAGAATGCCAAGAGGAAGATTTGTCTCCGTTCATGTTTTATTACTCTGAGAACCGCGTAACATTTTTTAAAGAGTCAGAAAATGGCTAGAAAAAGAGGAAGAAAGATTATTTCCTTAACTAGTTCCCTGGTCCCATGCTTTGGTGGTTAACAGTCAGTTTAACTCTAGAACCATGGAAAGTCTCTGTCACTTTCCTGGTTACCCTGGGATTCCTCACATTGGCAGTAAGTTCGTGAATGAGATAAATATCCTGATAACTAGCTACATTAATGATGAAAATAATTATAAACGTAGGAGTTGGAATTTTTAAAAAGTATCGAGCGCTCTGTGCTCTTAACACAGAGGAAGCATTTTGCATAGATTAACCCGTTTAATCCTCACACCAACCTTTAAAATAAGGACTGTTATTGTCTCCATTTCACAGAAGAGAAAACTGAGACTAGAACAATTTACTAACATATTCAAGTTCATACTTGTAACTATTATGGATTATCAGCCTTAGAAAAGGGGTTCCAGACACCAGTGAATAGCAACCCACACGTCTCAACTGCACAGACCAAAGAGGATGATAATCCCCATTAATCTTTGCATGTTAGTAGAGGCAGTGGCTAGTAACAAATGGGAGAGACTTTGGCTGGAGGATATTTTTTATTCTTTAATCTTTATGATACTGTTTCCCCTCTCCCCTTCTCTCTCTACTCCTCTCTCTGTCAGCTGTATCCACAATAATGCCACAATATAACTACTATACAAGAATATAAAGCTTCTGTTCTCATGCTTATGGGTCTACAGGTCAACTGTAATTCGGGTGATCTGGATAAAACTTGACTGGAAAGCTCTACTTCATACTGAAGCATGCCTGGGTTCGCCTCTAGGCTGTGAGTTCAGTTTAGATGGTTTCTAAATGTGTTGGGTTGTGAGCCCCAGACTAAAGGATCAGAAGCAACCTGGGGCATGTTCTCATGGCAGATTGCCAGTGTGACAAGCCTCTGTTCACATCATATCTGCTAAAGCAAGTCACATGGTCAAGCAAGCCAAGGTCAAGGAGCTAGGAAGCACACTGCGCTCACCATGAGGCCATGGCTAAGGTATACATGTTTAGTTCTTTCACAACTGAGTGAAAAATGGGCCCCAAATTCAATCTCTCCTATACTCTTTTTGCGTTAATTGCTAGTTCTTTCTCACTCTTCTCGCTTTCTAATGGATGTACATCCCATCTATGATCATTTGGTTTTTAATATCTGAGTTGCTCCCTACTGTCTCAGGTTTCAAATTTTACTTTCCTTGAAATTTCCCTGGTGCCTAATACAATACCTTTCACACAGAGAGCGTTCAGCAAATGGTGTGGACTGCCTGTCGTCTTTTAAAAGTACATCTGCAGAGACAGTAAAGGCACCTGGCGATATTGCATTGACTTGTTAGTAACCTGACTTAACCCAGATGGCCCAAAGACTGTAACCACCATTACCTGGAGGAAAGTTCCCTGGTAATGCAGTCAGCCAATTATGTTCGAATTTACTCGAAAATTCCTTGAGCATAAATTATTCATGGCTCTATTTATGTAGGTATCTATCTTCCTATATCTGACCTTAGGAAGCTTGATTGCTTTCTTACTCTTCTAATAATCACCGTGATGTTTTTGAAGTTTTCTATAAGTCGGTTAGAAGCAGCTTTTTTTTCTTTTTTTTTTTCATGAGTAATGCCGCCCAACTTTGGCTATTAGACTTTGTGTGACTGTGCAGCCATCAGCACTGGATATTAGATATAGTTTTATCTCTGCAACTCAGTCACCTTGCCAAGAATTTTAGTATGAACTCTTGACTTCCCAGATCAAATGTGAGCCTGATACTCTAAATGACTTGGCAATCTACTGACAAATCCCATGGTGTGGTATTCTGTTCACCATGTGCAATGGTCTCAGAGCTCAGCATTATCTGTCTGACAGCTCATATAATATTTACAGGTTGTTATTCGTTAGGAATTTTAGTTAGCCATAAAGATTTTCACAGCTATGGCAGACATTAGAGGTCTCATTCATCACTCTTGTGACCTTCCTCTCTGGAATGTAGCCCATCTGTCTCTGCTGTTGAAATCTTTATGGAAAGTCTGCCCATCTTTGAAAGTTTAGTAAGTGATCTTAAAGTTTTCATTGAATCTTTACTTTTGATATACGATATAGACATATAAAGCACTATCCTTATTTTAATTTAACGTTTTGAAAAGTGTTAAATTTAACTTGGCCTTTCATTTAAATGACAGAAAACTTACTCTTGCTACAGGAACTATATGCGTCACATCAAAAGAAAATAGAAATCATACAGAAAAAAATTGGAATGGGAAAAATTACACATATATACATATATATTCAACACTAATAACTACATGAAAGCTTAAATACTGTATTATAATCCTGATTATGACTTTAGGAAATGAAAACGATAGAAATACATTTTGCATATAATTTAACGTTATAAAGAAACCCTAAGCAAATTCAGTAATGAAGTGAACTGAATAGGCTGGGTTACAGAGCACAAGAGAGGGATGACCAACAATCAGATGTTGCCCCTTTCCATTTCTGTTTTCCTCTTTTTATACACAACTTCTCAAATGCTTGCTTCCCCTCCGTCTACTCCCTCCTTCAGCCTCTGATCACTAGTGTGAAATTGCCCTTTTGAGGTCACCAGTGATCGTGGGATCAAATACATCTTCTTCTTCTACACCCTTAGTCTGTCAGGCTCAAGAATTGCTTATACTTCACCAGCTAGGCTGTTCTTGTGTTTCATCCCACTTTATTCTAGCTTCTGTATTATTTTTCTTTGACAGCAGTTCTACTGCCACCGCCATTTGGGGGCATTTGCCAGGGTACATTCCCTTTTGTTTTCCTCCACTGTACTCATCTTTTTTTTTTTTTGTACTTTTATAGCTTTCTTGGGGTATAATTATATGCAAAAATATGCATATTTAATATATGTAATTTGGTAAGTTTGGACATATGTATACACCCAAGATACTATTGCCACAGTCAAACTAAAGATAACGAACATATTCATTACCTACAAAAGTTTTGTGTCCCTTTGCTTTTGTGTGTGTCTGTGCATGGCAAGAACACAACATGAGATGGACCCTCTTTTTTTTTTTTTTTTTTTTTTTTTTTTTTGAGATGGAATCTTGCTCTGTCGCCAGGCTGGAGTGCAGTGGCACGATCTCAGCTGACTGCAACCTCCACCTCCCAGGTTCAAGCGATTCTCCTGCCTCAGCCTCCCGAGTAGCTGGGACTATAGGTGCGCGCCACCTCGCCCAGCTAATTTTTGTATTTTTAGTAGAGATGGGGTTTCACCACATCGGCCAGGATGGTCTCGATCTCTTGACCTCGTGATCTGCTCACCTTGGCCTCCCAAAGTGCTGGGATTACAGGGGTGAGCCACCGCGCCCGGCCGAGGTGGACCCTCTTAATCCCCTTAAGTTTTAAGTGCACTACACAGTATTGTTAACTATAGGCACTATGTTGTACAGCAGATCTCTAGAACTTACTCATCTTGCATAAGTGAAACTTTATACTCATTGAATAACAATTTCTCGTTTCCCCTGCCCTGTCTTCTGGCAACCACTTTTCTATTTACTGCTTCTATGAGGTTGACTATTTCAGACACTTCATAAAAGTGGAGTCATACAGCATTTATCCTTCTATGACTGGCTTATTTCACTGAGCATGTCTGCAAGGCCCATCCACATTGTCACCAATGGTAGGAACCTTCTTTTTTTTAATGCTGAATGGTATTCCATTGTATGAAAATGTGGTGTATACATGCAGTTCTCTTTGTACGATCTTCCTTCCTTAAAGAGTCCAGCCATTCTCATAGCATCTGCTATGATTCTAGTACTTATGGTCTTGTCCTTTCACTTGCATTTCAGTGAAAAGAACCAAACTTATGCTGATGCAAATACCTGTACACAAATGTTGATACCAGCTTTATTCATGATTGCCAAATGCTAATCAGTCTATGGGCCTCTGATTTTCACTGCATAAAATATAGACTAATCTGTTTATCATTCATGCTGATGAATGGTGGATAAATGGTCTAGCTAAGAATGAAAGATCTGTTGTATAGATGTCATTGGTCTAGGAAGACAGAGATGTAGAAAGAAGTACCATAAGCCCAGGCAGTTAGATACTATTCAAAGGCATTTCTCTCTGCCATACTTTATACTACATGTGGCACATTAACAGTAGTTAGGAGTGGATTCAAGGCTGCAGATAAATGCTGCCCAGGTGAGAGAGAAAGAATTGGTTCCACAATTAACCATCATTCAGACAACACATCATAGCTATGTGATTACAAACATTATTTGTGTGGTGATTAACATTTTACAAAGCAATTTCATATTGATTTCCTCATTTTATCCTGACAACATTTTGGTGAGGGAGATATCATTATTCCCATTGGAATATAAGGAAAATAAGGCTTAGGCAGGAAAAAGACTAGCTTAAGATCATGAAGTGATAGGGGAGTCAGGACTCAAATCCAGTTCTTCTGAATCTGTACTCTGGACATTTTCTGCTATATCCAGCTCCCTCTCAAGATGCTGGATTGGGCTTTGAAATAGAAAGCCAACATCCTGAGTGCCTTTCTAAACTCTGAGTTTTACAGTCTATCAGGGGAAGAGGAGAGTGTGAGAGGAATGTTCCCAAATAATCTACTGTATCAAGCAGTATATCTAACTTGCTTTGAGAATTATGCCAACTAAATACTATTGACCTGCAGAAAATTGATTTTTCTCTTTACACTTATATCAATAAAGAGAGGCTTCTGCTGCCATAAGTGTAATTTATGTAAAATGTTTTTAAAACATTCATAGCCTTTAATCAAGTAAATATACTTCTAGGAATTTTGCTTTAAAAAAGTAACTAAAATATGTGCAAAGATTTATCTACAAAGATGTTCACTGTGGCCTTACTTAGAACAGTGAAAAACTGGAGACAACTTATATGTTCCCAAAGAGGGAATTTATTCAATAAATCATGGTACATCCATAAGTGGGAATTTTTTAGCAATGAAAAATCTGTTGTAACCCTACAAGCCCACTCTTAAGCATTCATCTTAGAGAAATGAAAACTTATGCTTATGCAAACACCTGTACACAAATGTTGATACCAGCTTTATTCATGATTGCCAAATGCTAAAAGCAACCTAATGTCTTTGAACAGGTGAATGGATAACTAAGCTGTAGTACACCCATATAATGGCATACTACTTAGCAATGAAAAGAAACAAATCGTTGATACAGCAATATGGATTATGCATTATGCTGAGTGAAATAAACCAGTATCAAAAGGTTACATACTGTATTTATATGACATTCTGGAAAAGACAAAACAAGTCTAGTAGATCCTCCCTAATGCCTTTTGTTCAACCCCAGAGGTGAGTTTTCTATTTTACCTCCAGTGATTGCTGTATCGGTTATTTATCTAAACTGTCCCCACTTTTTTGACCCACCTATGTTATCAAACTCCAAATCCACCAAGTATGAGAAAAGTAGAGAGATGAATGAAGGTATTTGTGTTGGAATTCCAGAAAGTGCTCTTTTGGCATGTCTTAAAATAACATTAGCATTCTTTTTAATTTTCTGGTTAGGCCCCTATGTTGATTAAAATATGACTTAACACCAGGGTGCATCACTTGGAACATTCTGTTCATCATGCATTTAAAAACGGCTGAAATAACAACTTCCCCTAAATAATGTGGCCTGTGCTTGTGATTTTCAAAACTACCTTGGGCACAATATTGAATCCTGTCACCTCAAGGAAGGAAAAGCATTTGAAGATAGAATTGCTACCCTTTCTTGCTCTTAATAACATACTGTGTCTGTAACACAAAAGGAAATTCAGAGGTTGGTTTTGCAATAAATAAATGCATGTGTAGTTTGCTATCTAAATTCAGTGGACAATACCCCATGATGCTGGTGCCGTATGATAATGGTTGATTTGTACATTCAAGAATCTGAATCACAAAGCTGCCCTGGAATTACACGTAGTGGTTATAAGCACATCTGTATAAGAAAATACCAAAGGACAACCCGGTGTCATATAGAAACTATTTGCCGATAAATTTGCTTTTGATGGGCTACTAAAAATGGACACATCAGGCATAAAAGATGTGTGTGTCTATTACGTAGGCTAGCTTTATGAAGAATGACAAGCTTCCACTGGTACACTGAGATAAGAAACAGCTGTTGTTGGCATCAGTACTGCTACAAGAAATGAAAAAATTCTGTGGCACACTTGTGAGCACTGCCACATATTTGATCAACTTTTGAATAGATGGAAGACCAGAATCATCTGGCAGCCCCAAATGAAATTGTCGACAACCCTTAAGAATCTCTTGAGAAGGAGCACTGAACCCAATTCCGTAGAACTATCATCCAATTGTGTGTTATTTCTAAAGCAAGTAGTTCCAGTGTGTGTGTATGTGATTATGATGGGGCAGGGAAGGAATGAGGGGAGGCTGTTGTTATTTTCCTTTTTTTTTTTTTTTTTATTGTGTCAAGGACATTTTTGAGCATAAAATTGTAAGGTTTCAAACAATGACTGCAAAGCAGTTGCTTAGGTGAATTTATAAACTGTGAATCAAAGGGGAAAAACATCTTTCAGAAAAAAAATACACTGAATCTCACCATTGGACCTATTTGATGGCTACACATAAGACAAAAAGCTTTTTTAAGGAAAATAAATGAACACTTAAGAACTGCAATTACAAAAGCTTGAAATTTCATATTGATCTAGAATTTATAATATTTTTAAAATTCTTTAAAAATATTTTCAGCTATTTAGTTCAAGCATATTCTGATAACTTCTCTGACATTTAATTGAAAATTTTCCCCTTTTAATGTAAACATAAAAAGTCAACTCTAGATACCCTACGTAGGTCTTCCCATTAGCTCAGCCAGGCAACGCCAATTTTCCTCTGTCTCTCGCTGCTTAGAGGTTGTTTCTTTCAGGCCGAAAGCCCCTAAGCCAGGCCAGGCAGCCAGCAGCCCTCTCCAGCACACTTCTTTCTGAGAGACGCCTAAGAATAGTGTAGGAAATCCAAAGTGATTCTTCTGCTATCAGAGGATGGTCTAGCATCCTCCAAATTAGAAAGAATTTCTGGACCACTAGAATGATAAAAAAAAAAAAAAACTAGAAAGGTATAATAAGAGAAATTGTGAGGCCTCAGCCCATAGATACCTTTAAGGAAAGAATAGCCATTCTTTTCTCAGTTTAGGTATTCACAGGCTTGGCATTCACAGCCAGTGAGGGCTGGACCAAGAGCTCTCTGGAGTTCTCTTCTTCCT
This sequence comes from Homo sapiens, assembly GCF_000001405.40. NCBI lineage: Eukaryota > Metazoa > Chordata > Mammalia > Primates > Hominidae > Homo > Homo sapiens. Next base: position 31,325,794 of record NC_000023.11, on the reverse strand, counting down.
TTTATGATGCTGGTATTTTAAGAAGAAGGTACACTGAGCAGCCAGGAGCTATAATTTCTGGCTCTCCACCATGTTTCCTGCTATAGAGGGCTAGCTTTTTAATATTTCCATAACAACAGACTCTGACCAGATAGGTCAGGAAGTCTAGCCCATGGTTTGTTTGTTTGTTTGTTTGTTTTTCAGTTGGAGTTTTGCTCTTGTCGCCCAGGCTGGAGTGCAGTGGTGCGATTTCAGCTCACTGCATCCTTTGCCTCCTGGGTTCAAGTGATTTTCCTGCCTCAGTCTCCCGAGTAGCTGGGATTACAGGCACCTGCCACCATGCCCGGCTTTTTTTTTTTTTTTTTTTTTGGTATTTTTAGTAGAGATAGCGTTTCCTCATGTTGGCCAGGCTGGTCTTGAACTCCTGAACTCAGATGATCTGCCTGCCTCAGCCTCCCAAAGTGTTGGGATTACAGGCGTGAGCCACCACGCCTGGCCTTAGCCCATGTTTTTAAATCAGATCTTATTTACTCTGTGAACTTATTTGGACAGGAGAGCTGCATCCTACAGAAGAAAAAAGGACAAGAGAAGAGTTGGGAAGAGAATGAGAAAGGCAAAGATGGAAAGGGAAGCAGGGAAGGCAGGAGGAAGGGAAAAGAAAGGAATAGAGAAAGAAGGACAGAAAGAAATGGAAAGTCAGAGACTACTTCAAAACAGCAGCTAAATGTCTTTTTTCTCTGTATTAAAAATTTCCGTCTGCCAAAATGAAAAAGCATAATTACCGGCCAAATACAAATCCATTTCCTATATCGTTTAAATGACATATCTCCAAGGTACAAAACAGCATGTCTGGTTAAAGGTTGGGTGATTTGATCCCTCTATTACTCTATATAAAACAAAGAAGCTGGAGTTTCATTACGCTTAAATTGTCTGGCAGTGGGTGAAGTTAACTTTTATTAGAAGCTGTTCTTTCATATTATACAGTGTAGTCGAGGATATATTAGCTTTGACGTTTTCTTACATCTCAATACACTGCGGAGTGAATTTACTGTGAGACTAATTTAAAAGGGAGTTTTTCATAGGAGGAAATAATGGTCAGCATCAGCTGTGCTTCAAATTATTAGCAGAATGAAAATTCAGGGGAAAAAGTATAGACACATAAAGTTGCTAGATATTAATAAGAATGCGTCTTTTATTTCTGTTTCTGATAATATTCTGTGTTTCTTAAAGCTCCAGTGTCTTAAAACTATATTCAGGAGGAAGATTATATTGTTGAGGAAATGTTATAGTGCCTCCTCAACAAGATTATTTTGTCTTAAAGAAAGAAAAAAAACCATCAGATCAAACAGTATATAAAATATATTTGTAGAGGTTCAGCTTTAGGGAAGAAATCCTACAACTTAAGCCTGAAAAAAAAAAAAACAATGCAAAGATCATTCATTTGACCAATACACAGTGAAGTCATAATAAAACAAATTCCTAGTATGTGAAATGAAATTTCACGTATAGGATTCATCACTCATAACAAAAGTCTTATTACGCTCTGATATCAGTAGACATTCCCTCACTTTTGGTCACCTTTTCTAATAAGATCACACTGGTCAGCTGACATTTTGAGGCACCAAATTAAGCATCTATTTGGTAAGTGAATTTGGATTCTCTTTAAACCAATAAAGATAAAAACAACCATATCAGAGTGATAAGCATATTACTTTAGCTTCAATAACTTAGAATGTAAATATATCACAGAGGGATATTTCAGCTACTGAAATAATAAAATCCAGTCAGTCAAATAGTAAAAAATATTGAGAACCAGCAACAGGAAGTATTATAAAAAAAAGCACTCAAGGGAGACACATACAAGAAACCCCGTCAGTCTACTCATTCAGTTTCTTATCTGTTCTATAGGTTTAGCAGTGGAAATGTTTGTGGGTTTTTTTTTTCTTCGCATTTATCTTTGTGCCTGAATGAGTTCAGTTTCGCTTAGATTAGGACAGAAATTTCAGAACAGCAGGTTAATCCATCCTGTCTTCATGGGCAGCTGAGCAAACAGACCAATATCAGTGTAAAATTGTAATTCTGGAGATTAATGTTGTCTTTCCTGTTTGCGATGAATTTGACCTCCTTGCCTTTCTTTTTTTCCTCCCTTCTTTTCAGCGTCTGTCCAGGGTCCCTGGGAGAGAGCCATCTCGCCAAACAAAGTGCCCTACTATATCAAGTAAGTTGGAAGTATCACATTTTTAAAAGAGCATTTATTGTGACTAACCTGTATATTCACAAGTGAGTTTATTTTTAAAATGCGACATTAGCCTGGCCTACAATACCTGTGTCTTTTTTTTCCTGAGGAAGCTTGGATAAAAAACTTATTCTAAAATTACCATTGTAAATTTGCTGATGCAATGGGGAACGACTTTTAAGAAAAGTTTATTTAATGCAGGATATATGGTGTGTTTTGTGACAGAGGGGGCGGATTTTTCACAATAGAACCAAAAGCTCCAGATAATTTTATTGATAGTGGGAGTCAATCTTTGCGAGAACAATTTCTTTTATTTAGGGGTTTTCTCACATTTCTTCTTCCGTCAAAGATAGAAGATTTCCGCAGTTATATGTACACAACTGTTTTGGGTGAATGAATACTACATGTTTCCAAAAGGCAGAAAGCAGCAGTCCTCGACTCGTAGGGCTTAGTTGTTCATTCTTGATACATAACACTCAGTATTTGTCACCTAACAACAGAAAGATACTGTTTTCTGGAAACATTTGTGCCAGTCAAAAGAATACGAGTGCTTGGAAGCACCTTCTGTAGTATTTTGCATGAAATATAAATGACAATACATTGGGTCAACGTGGAAGAGAGAGGAGAGAGGATATTGAGTGATTACGATACCTTCACAGTCTCTCATCCATTGTGCACTAGAGTCTAACTTAAATTTAACTTTGAATTGGAAACCTCAACAACAATTACAATTTACTGGGTTCATAAAATAGTCCTCGATACCAACCGAAGTCTTTGAACTTGCTTCTGCCATGAGTCTGACTAAAAATATTAGATGTTTTCCCATTTTTTTCCGCCTGCCATCTTTTATCGAATCTGTTTTTATTCTTTCACTGTCCATCAATTCTTCTTAATTCGGTTCTAAAGCAATAACAGCAGTCCTAGATCTTCATTACTACAGTCCTCAAGAAATTTGATTTTATGCCTCTATTTTGTTAACTCAGAAAAATGGGAGTGAAGGTAGTCTTTTGACTCTTTCAGGAGAAATACATACTTTAGGAAACGGTTTACCATTTGTCTTATTACATTTTTCCAGATGAGGTATCTCTTAACTTGAAAATTCTTTTTTAGTATGTTTGATTCTGCTTTTTAGTTTTCATATTTTATGAATTTAATTTTATTATTGTTATATTTAATTCATTAGTCACTCAAAACTGTACATTTTAAATACCTATTTAAATCACATGCTTTATTAAATAATATATTGCTGTAGACATGCACTGTATATTACCTTACATCCACTGTATATTTTATGGAACAATTTTCTTCAAACTCTAGACAGTGATTTCCTACATCAGTGTCTTTGTCCTCACAAATTTTTATTTCCGACTAAGATGTTTGAGACCTGCTACTTCTTCAACCAATTCATAAAGCTCTCACTTTTATCCAATTCCTTTATGAGCTGAAATAAAGACTCTTTTTCTCCTTTCATAGATGAGGTTTTAGGATCACTGGAGAATTCAAGACACCTTTAAGCTATTATTCTCCAAATGACTACTTGTTTGGGGCTCACTAGAGGTCTCACATGGATTGCTAGGGTCTCCCCGGTCCCATTGTCCTTTCCCTATATATTCATCTTCTCCCTGATGTTACTTCTACTACAAGAGATCCCAGTACATTGCTGTGAGGGAATGGAAATGAACTCCGTCCAAAAAATAATAAAGAGACAAATTCCAGAAAAGCTGTAATTCCCTTCTGTGTATTAGTCTCTTGCTGTTTCTCAGTGGAATTAGAGAGCAGCTACATATCCTATTTGTCCAATGCTCCTTCATGTACCTAAAGACCATGGTGATGGTATTGATAAGGGCACAGATCTATGAATAAGAAAACTTCAATTTTAGTCCTCCAGTCTAGTCTTAGAGGCTCTGTCATTAGGCGACTGTATGGCTTTAGGCAAGTCACTTAACCTATAAAAATCTTGGTTTCTTTCTTTTTTTTTTTTTTTTTTTTTTTTTTTGAGATGGAGTTTCACTCTGTTGCCCAGGCTGGAGTGCAGTGGCCCGATCTCGGCTCACTGCAACCCCTGCCTCCCGGGTTCAAGCAATTCTTTCGTCTTAGCTCCCGAGTAGCTGAGACTACAGGCACCTGCCACCATGCTTGGCTAATTTTTGTATTTTTAGTAGAGACGAGGTTTCACCATATTGGTCAGGCTCGTCTCGAACTCCTGACCTCAGGTGATCCACCCGCCTCGGCCTCCCAAAGTGCTGGGATTACAGGCTTGAGCCACCATGCCCAGCCAAACCTTGGTTTCTAATTTATAAAATAAAGAGTTGGACTAGATGATATCTAAGATCCTTTTTAGCTCTAAGACGTAATGAGCATGACTCATTCAGTTGTCCTGTCCAAACTTAAAAACCGAAGATCTCAGCTTTTGTTCGATAATATCTTTATTTTTAAAATTCATTATTTTAATGAACATAATGTAAATTCTTACTTTAAAAAACAGGAATTTTATTTTTCCACTGTTTAATTAGCTTTAGATATGCCCTATCAACCCACTCCAATTTCACCACACACCTCTTTAAAGAGCTCAAATCTTGGTATATAATTTAGGATTATTATGCTTCCTGGCTCATGATAAGAGAGAGAGAACAATAGGCAGGAAAATTTGCCAAAAGGTGAGTATGGAGACCTTAAAAGCCTCTGAAATAATCAGTTCCTTGAAATGAGGAAATTACGTAATTTCTCAAAAATATCTCTGAAACCTTATGGAGAGCAATTCTCTCTACAATTATAATCTCTTTGAAATTAGGGATGGTATAATTTCTCAAATATGAGTGTAAAATGTTAAACTGTAATATAGGGAAAACATACATGTTTATAAAATGAACATTGTCAGTAAGCAGATGATTAATGGCACTTGTGTCTTATTAGCCATTACTATTATCTAAAATGTTCTATGGAAACCAAATTAATTTGATGTACAAGGTTCGGTGGACTTTATGCACAGCTTAATGCCGTTCATAATCTGAGATGCCGTCTTGGTCTAAAAAGAACAAAAATACGTTTACAGTGACAGTGCTTCAACCAGTCCTCATTTTTCCTCTTTTTTATCTTGTTTGTCTTGACTTCCAGTCAAGAGTTTTTACCACAGATGCCCAGCTGCAAAACCAGGTGTCTTCTCTGGCTATGTTTTTAATGCTTTGTAACTTTTTCTTTTCAATGCTGGGATAAAGGGATCGCCCACATAACAAGAGGTTTCTATACCAGTGGCACAGTTCCTGTTGGTTGTTGAATTGTGCACTCATTCTTGAGATTTTAAGTCATTAACATCTTTTGCTCTAGTTTGCAAATCAGGCAGTGTTTATGCCTGCATCCTGACATCAGCTTTTCATATGAGGCTAAGAACCTTGATTTTGATACTTCAAACTACGTGTTTGTCTAGTTTATTTGTCCACAGCATACATCATTGTTACAGTTTTCATATTCCCTCTCCCTTGGGGCTCCCTTATTCCTGCCAGCATCTCTTTCAGGTTATTTGATTACAGCTTTCATTGCCACTGAAAAAATAATCACCAACAATGTTCAACCTGTTACAACTGCCTTTTCTACTCTCTGCCATTTTGTAGTTTTTTGGCCTACTGTCAAACTCATGAAAATTTCAATATAATAGCCTTTAACCAGCTGCTGCATTCTGTTAGGATTTCTTTCACCTTTTTATGTTGCATGCTCCCATATGGGTAAACCAAACAGAGCCAAGAGCTGGGACTCTCTTGCTTTCTTAATGAGTTAGAAAATTGTTCTTCTGTATTCTGGACTGTCAAAAGAATTTAGGAATCCCAAACATGCATGCAGGATGTTCCAGTATAGATGTCATAATAAAAGCATAAGAAATATCACACTGGGTCAGACCAACAGGGCAACTAGCCCGGAACTCTGTCCCAGATGAAGATACCAATGGTTGTTTTGTCAGGTAACCTAGTACATTTTACCTTAAAAATTCGGATACATCATGACCACTTCTTAATAATGCATTGTAAATCAACTGGCAGTGAGTTTATCCAATGGTGTCAAACTTTTCCTATTCCCCACTTCAGCTTTGTCTTAATAATAATATGTTCCATAAATGTACCGACTTCTATATAAATATAGGCATTTTAATTTCTCTTGAATCTGCATCCTTTAACCTCAAGGAATGGCCTTAATTAAATTCTTTGAAATTCAGTAAAAACATTTATATTTATCCAGAGTCGACTTTAGCCTCACATTCCCCTACTAATGCTTTTCATTTTCATCTTCCCAGTCTGAGAAATTCTAATCCTTTTTAGTCTTTTAGTCTGTCCTTGACGGAAAGATAAGCTTTCCCCTTGATTATCTTAGTTGTTTTTCCCTGGATCTTTTCCAGCTCTGTTATATCTTCTTTGGGATGTCGTGACTAGGGTGGCCCAAATATTGGTTATGAAATTTGTTAGCATTGTCTCTAGTTTCCACTCACTCATGAAGAAAGTAAATGTTATTTGCTGTCTCCCATTGGTGCAGAAATGGAGAGATCAATTGAGGTCATAACCTCTTCTGCATATATTAGTTCTAGCCGAAGGTTGGTTTTCTGCTACTTTTCTGTAATACCAGCAAAAGTGTTTGACCTTATATTTCTGCCAGCTGTCCCTTAGGAAGGATTTGATTTTTAGACAAGCTGGTCCTTTCCTCCTTCAAAGACGCTGTGGTTGCTAAATATTGGGAAGAATTCACTAATGAAACTCAGGAGTAAACCTGCTGACTCCATCAGCAGTAATGCATTTCATCAGGTTCCCTTTCGAAATATCTCTGAAGCCCTTCACAGAAGAGTGAAAGATGGGGTTCTTGGGAACTTGCTAACTGCTCAGCTTTTTTTACATGCAATGCTCAAGAAGCAACTCATGTCCAAAGGAGTGTTTATCTTTTCCTGCTGGTAATTTTGAATGTTGTATATACATTGCTGTATATGTTGCCTGATGACCTTGATCGACCCTTCTCTTCACTCTCAATCTCAGGCATGTTTCCACAACCATTTATTGCATCTGAGTTTTGCTCACAACTTTCTGCTGCTTCCTGCTTAGCAAAATGCGATATAAAACCTTATTGGATGAAGTTAACAGTTGCTTCAGTCAACATTTCTTGTTACTGTTGCTGTTTGTGCTGACAAAATTGCTGATTTGGGTTCTGACTGTCCTGTCTTCTTATGGCCTACCATTCCTATAGCTCTATTTGTACGAGTATTTGACTCTCTGCCTGGAACTGTGGCCATCTGTCTAGATTTACCTTTTGGTATATGTGGCTCTCTGTATCCTGTTGGTCTACATTCTGGTTTGAACTCACGGATCTTGGTCTGGTTTTTAGTACCAGTGTTCCCCTAACTCCAGTAGCATCTGAATCTTGACACCACCTTCCCCTGCCCCCTACTGTATTGCCTCTATTACTACTTTCATGGCAATTTTTTCGGATTCCAAATATGTCCCATGCTTAAAGCATATCTTGCTCTCATTCTTGTTCTAGCCCCTGTTGGTACCAGGCATTGCTCCAATTCAAGTTTTGGTTGGTTGATTTCTTCCTTCATAATATTGATTGCTATTTCAGTACCTGTATTTATATACAGAGGGAGCAGTGCCTAACTACATCTTAGCCTTAACAGCAATCAACGTGTTAAATATCCCTGTGTTGGCTGGTTTGCAGTAGACACGTCTTCTGACAATGAGATGGGCTCTTATTATAAAGAAACTGGAGTATGATATCAACATAGAAAACATTTCCTCAGGCCGGGTGCGGTGGCTCACGCCTGTAATCCCAGCACTTTGGGAGGCTGAGGCAGGCAGATCACGAGGTCAGGAGATGGAGACCATCCTGGCTAACATGGTGAAACCCCGTCTCTACTAAAAATACAAAAAATTAGCTGGGCGTGGTGGCGGGCGCCTGTAGTCCCAGCTACTTGGGAGGCTGAGGCAGGAGAATGGCGTAAACCCGGGAAGCGGAGCATGCAGTGGACGAGATCGCGCCACTGCACTCCAGCCTGGGTGACAGAGCAAGACTCTGCCTCAAAAAAAAAAAAAAAAAAAAATTTCCTCATTTCTTATTCCAGACACCTCACTCTTCTAAGAATGATACAAGTCTTCTGACATTGGGTTTGAAAATCAGTTGAATTTTGTCATAATCTTTCATACAATGTGAACACATCATGTAGTATATAATTTTGTGCTATTTCTGGTAAGATCCTTCTTATGTATATTTTTCTTCAAAATATACCTTTTAGCAGCTAAGACAACATTAAATAGGGGAAATTTTAAATAGGCTAGGCATCGCAAGACTTGAATTCTAGTTCCAGCTTTACTGTCACCTAGCTATTAATACTTGACCAATGGGAAATTGCTTATTTTCTGTGGGCCTCAGTTTCTCCCTCTGTCATTTAAGGAAGCAGAATGACATGATATCATAGGTCATTTCCAGTACTAACATTTTCTGATTTTGTGAATGTTGACTTCGAAATAGAAATTGTTTGTGATCATTTTCCAGAGAAGTGAAAATGAATCTTCATATTGCCCTTGAGGATTCTTATTGCACCATCAATCTTATCGGGATAGAAAGGACAAATAATATTAAATGTTTCACTTAACTATTTAGCACTATTGATGATAAGAAGTGGATGCAACAGAGAATCAGCTGTCTAATTTGATCTGTCAGTCTTTGAGGATGCTGGTGAATGATTCGGGGTAATTAAATTTTTGAAATCACTGCCAAAAGCCTGATGCTCTGACTTTTCAAAAGGCTTTAGTACACAAAGATAACCCAGAGGTCAATCTTCTCTGCTGTGTTTTCTCCTCTGCCATTTGATGGTTTCAAAGGTCACGTTACCTGAGTCTCAGTAAGCTCTGGAACCACAATGAAGGAATAGTTGGTAATACATTATTGATGATATAATCATGAAAACAATTCAGGTTAAGATATTAACTGAAAGAGAGTGAAAGGGGTGCCATAGTGTTGTGCAGAGTGCTGAGTCTGGTTTTGGTTTTATAGATCTTGTTGGGAGATGTAGATGTTGATATCATCTGTGTCTCATAGGTTCATGAAAAAAACCCTCACATCCTTTTTTGTAGTTTCATAAGCTGATTTGTATCACCTTGACTGAAATAACAGACTCCAGGAGGATAGCTGTTGTTATCTCTTTTTCTAGCATAGTGCCTCACAGATAACAGGTACTTGGTAAATATTGGAATGAATTCATGAACATATGTCAGTAATTCTATGTGCTTTTCAGTTTGCTGACTCATTTCACCTTCAAAACAATCTTGTAGTATTTGTGTGTCAATTTAGATTTACCACTCAAATCCATCTCTCATGCCCTCTAGACATGAACTTTAGTGTTAGGAAGCATGCCGAGTGTTTGATAGAGTTTCTCATAGCTCCTACAGTTTGGTGCTTAAGGGACAGTCCTTGGCATGGATGTATGAATGGTACATACCAAAACATGAGTTCTAGATTCCGTTCTATCTTAATCTAACAATATGATAAGGAGTATAACTTAGCTCAACCTCAATGAGAAGGTTGAACTAGATAATGCCTGGGACCACTCTCAGCTCTAGCTTTGTTTCAGTAGAACTAGAGTCTGTTTTTCCTAAATATCATTCATGAGGCTTCTTCTGGTTTTCTAGTGGTCAATAGAGCTTTAAATTGATCAACTACTGTTTTTCACTGAGCATTGTGGACAGGACCTACTTTTTGGGCCAGGATATAGTAGCCACTGAGTCTTAACAGAATGTCATCAATGATACATTTTTATTTTACAGAAAAATGTTGTAACATTCTATATGGCATATGTCATGTGGAAAGGTGGCAACATATATACATACACCTATACATGTGGCAGCTAAAATTTAATGTGTGTATGGGGAAAATAATCCTGTATTATAATACACATGGTATAGCATTCCCTGCCTCATTCGTGGCACTTTTGGAAATGTGAGAATGAGCATAGAACATATTCAAGTTGGTTTATCCAAAAGAAGAGGAGTAAATTATTTCAGCTATTTCCCCATTTTCTTTTTCTAACTTTCTTAAACATGCACTTTCTTACATAATCACGTGTTAGAAAAAAACCAGTAGTCACATCAAATAAATCTGCATTTGAAACAACTGTATCATATCCCAACTCTGTTCGTTTGAGCCATTTGCTTAACGTGACACCCATTCTACTTTATGACACATAAGGAATATTGCTTAAGAAATGTTAATTGGCTTTCCTTTTCTCCTCTGAAACTGGATTGAAGTCTTATTGACCTCTATTAGATACTGAGTGTTCAGGTTTTTAGGAAAACACTCATAGAGATATAGCCCCAGTGTGAGCTGCATTTTTAGAATATTTTCTAGAACCCAAATATGTCCCTAATCAAAGTTAGTTTATTTTCATTCTTAGCGTTCCCACGTAATTTGGGGTATGTGTGAATTCCCAAACATTCCCGGGCCTCTCCTAGGCTTCTCTAATTGCTTCTTATTCTGTTCCCCTGGGAAGCAGCATCCTGTTCCCTTCACAAAGGTCAGCAGCAACAGCCCAGGCAATGTTTTAAAATAACTTAATAACCCTGAACTGCCTCTCTCTTCTTTGGGATAATTTCCTTAGAGCATTAGTCCTTTGAACACTGACCTGGTTGCAGAAAATGCCCCTTTCTCAGTGGGAAAACTCCAAATCCCATTCAGTCTTCCCCTCCTTCCTTCCAGGGGATAGGGTGGGGGAGTAGGGGGTAGGGAGAGGGTATTAAATACTTTCTTCAGGAAAAATGTTAACACGGTAAAACACTCTCTCTCTCTCTCTCTCTCTCTCTCTCTCTCTCTCTGTGTATGTATTCTTTTTTAAAGAAATAGACTGTGAGTGCATTGTATAAATCAGTGCTGTCACGTTGCAAATTTTTTAAACCGTTGTACAAGATAGAAAAACAGTATCTCTGGATATTGACTCTGGAAAGCTTCTAAGAGCAGGTCCTAGATGAGACTTAGCTCACTGTCGGCATTCGGCAAATGATCACGTTTTCTGTGATACCATTAACTCCTGGGGGGATGAAACTGAAAAGCCTCGCTGCTCTTCCTGAAACTCTCAACTGCTTTTTTCTGTTTTTCTTTCTCAGCTTATCCACATCCATCTTGGTCCCCAAAGCCATTGCATGTCAGATGGTCAGTGCAATGTGTAATTTTTAACTTGCTTCTTTGTTGCTTTAGAAGGAATCGTTTTGTTGTTTTCTTTCCTTTTGGTCACTATTTCTTGTTCATGAGTTTTCTGTAAACAGTGTGTCTCATAGATAAGTCCATGTAATCTGCTAGACAGGAAGAAAAGCAAAGTTTAATGTGTGCCTACTATGTGCTAAATGACAAAGTGTTTCATCTGTATCTTCCCATTTAATCCTTGTAACACTCCACTTATTATCCAATAAAGAAAAAAACGGCTATCAGTCGGGCGTGGTGGCTCATGCCTGTAATCCCAGCACTTTGGCAGGCCAAGGTGGGTGGATCACTTGAGCTCAGCAGTTCAAGACCAGCCTGGGCAACATGGCGAAACCCCATCTCTACCAAAGATACAAAACAGTAGCTGAATGTAGTGGCATGCACCTGTGGTCCCAGCTACTCAGGAGGCTGGGGCAGGGGAATCCCTTGAACCAGGGAGGCGGAGGTTGCAGTGAGCCGAGATCACACCACTGCACTCCAGCCTGGGTGACAGAGTGAGACCCCATCTCAAAATAAATAAATAAATAAAAGTTAAAAAAAAAAAAAAGGAAGAAACAGCTGAGATTCAAAAAAGTTGGAGGCTTATCCAAGTCATTCTAATAAAGGGGAGGGGGGAGAATTGATACTTAAAATCATCATGATAAGAAGGATAGACATTGGAGATTCAGAAGGGCAGAATGCTGGGTGAGGGGTGGATAATGAGACATTACTTAATGGGTACAAGGTGCACTACTTTGGTGATGGATACACTAAAAGCCCAGGTTCACCACTATGCAATACATCCCTGTAACAAAACTGCACTTGTACCTCAGAAATTTATACGAATAAAAATAAATAAATCAAATAAAATAATCATCATCATCTCAGCTATTGCTTCTAGCTGTTTCAACTTTCTAATGTTTTTGATTGAAAACTGGCCATTTGTATAACCAAATGTGGCCAATCCACCACTGTGAGGCTGCCATCTTGGGCATCACCAAAACTACTCTAGTAGTCCTTCCCTGCACTGTTAGGTGGATTTTCCTTGGCGTATCTTCGCAATCAAGTTGCAGAGACCTAAGTTACTCTTTGCTGCTTTGGGCAATAAAGGGGAACAAAAAACAAAATGAAACAAAAACTTGGCCAGCCCTGATGTAAGCACTCTTCTACCTCCCTGCAGGCTGAGAAAACAAAGTATTTCTTTTTTTTTTTTTTAATTTTTAAAATGTTTGATTCTGGTCTAAATCAATTAAAATGAGATCTCCCCCCTTCTTTTTTCTTTTTTTCTTCTAAAAAAAAAAAACACACCAAAAAACCGAGATACATGTGCAGAACGTGCAGGTTTGTTACATAGGTATATGTATGCCATGGTGGTCTGCTGCACCTAATGACCCATCGTCTAAGTTCCCTCCCTTCAACCCCCAAACCCCAACAGGCCCTGGTGTGCATTGTTTCCCTCTCTGTGTCCATGTGTTCTTAATGTTCAACTCTCACTTGTGAGTGAGAACATGCAGCGTTTGGTTTTCTGTTCCTGTGTTAGTTTGCTGAGGATGATGGCTTCCAGTTTCATGTCCCTGCAAAGGACGTGATCTCATTCCTTTTTATGGCTGCGTAGTATTCCATGGTTTATATGTACCACATTTTCTTTATCCAGTCTATCATTGATGGGCATTTGGGTTGGTTCCATGTCTTTGCTATTGTAAATAGTGCTGCAATAAACATACATATGCATGTGTCTTTATAGTAGAATGATTTATATTCCTTTGGGTGTATACCCAGTAATGGGATGGCTGGGCCAAATGGTATTTCTGGTTCTAGATCCTTGAGGAATTGCCATACTGTTTTCCACAATGGTTGAACTAATTTACATTCCCATCAACAGTTCAAAAGCGTTCCCATTTCTCCACAGCCTAGCCAGCATCTGTTGTTTCCTGACTTTTTAATAATCACCATTCTGACTGGTGTGAGATGGTATCTCATTGTGGTTTTCATTTGCATTTCTCTGATGATCAGTGATGTTGAGCTTTTTTTCATATGTTTGTTGGCCATGTAAATGTCTTCTTTTGAGAAGTGTCTGTTCATATCCTTTGCCCACTTTTTGATAGGGTTGTTTGTCTTTTTCTTGTGAATATGTTTAAGTTCCTTGTAAATTCTGGATATTAGACCTTTGTCAGATGGGTAGATTGAAAAAATGTTTTCCCATTCTGTAGGTTGCCTATTCACTTTGATGATAGTTTCTTTTGCTGTGCAGAAGCTCTTTAGTTTAATTAGATTCCATTTCTCAATTTTGTCTTTTGTTGCAGTTGCTTTTGGCGTTTTTGTCATGAAGTCTTTGCCCATGCCTATGTCTTAAATGGTATTGCCTAGGTTTCCTTCTAGGGTTTTTAGGATTTGGGGTTTTACATTTAAGTCTTTAATCCATCTTGAGTTAATTTTTGTGTAAGCTGTAAGGGAGGGGTCCAGTTTCTGTTTTCTGCATATGGCTAGAGAGTTTTCCCAGCACCGTTTACTGAATAGGAGATCCTTTCCCCATTGCTTGTTTTTGTCAGGTTTATCAAAGATCAGATGTTTGTAGATGTGTGGTATTATTTCTGAGGTCTTTCATGGATAGGAAGAATCAATATCGTGAAAATGGTTATACTGCCCAAAGTAATTTATAGATTCAATGCTATTCCCATCAAACTACCATGACCTTCTTCACAGAATTAAAAAAAAAACTGTTTTAAATTTCATGTGGAATCAAAGAAGACCCCGTATAGCCAAGACAATTCTAAGCAAAAAGAACAAAGCTAGAGGCATCACACCACCTGAATTCAAACTATACTACAAGGCTACAGTAACCAAAACAGCATGGTACTGGTACCAAAACAGACATATAGACCAATGGAGCAGAAAAGCAAAGGATTTCTAAGTCATATTCCACCACCTCCATCAGGGCTTCCCTAAGATAGAGAGTATGGCCAAGACCATACTTAATAAATGTCATGGAATGTGTTTCTCTTCATACCCTCAATTGTAAGTCTTTCTGAAAGGTAGCGCGTGGTCAATTTAGATGGACAAGAAGTGCTCTGCAGGAGCCTTTGCAACATTTGTGCATGTCCTTGATTTTGACACCACCCCCCGCCCCCCATTCCAGAACAGATCGTCTCATCCTTCCCTTAAGCCAGAGGCCTATGGTTCTAGCTTTACTAGGCAAATATATATGGTCTGTGGCTATAAGTCACAATTTCTCCCAAGCCTTGAGCTGGGGGAATACTGAGTCTGCCCATGTATTACATGCAGAACATTTCATCTTATTGCAGAATGATACTTTATTCTTATTGCAGAATGATATTCATTATTGCAGAGTGATATTCTTTAGTCTTTATTTTTTATCATTATAACTACATGGTGCAAAAGAAGTATTTCTCATACTTTTTCTCATAATGACTCAAAATTACAAAAGCAATCTGGGCAATTAATATGTTTTTGAAGATAAATAATGGCTTATGTTTTCTGAAGATTAAGAAAAATCTCTGTCTGAATATAGCTGGGCACAGTGTCTCAAGCGTGTAATCCCAGCACTTTGGGGGGTCAAAGCAGAAGGAACACTTAAGCCCAGGAGTTCGAAGCCAGCCTGAGCAACAAAATGATACCTGGTCTCTACAAAAAAAAAAAAAAAAAAATCCTTGGCATGGTGGCATGTGCTTGTGGTCCCAGGCACACAGGATGCTGAGGCAGGAGGATTGCTTGAGCCCAGGGGGCCGAAAGTTGAGGCTATAGTGAACCGTGTTTGTGCCACTGCACTCCAGCTTGGGCAACACAGCAAGACTCTGTCTCTAGGAATAAAAAAAAAAGAAGAAAGAAAAGAAAAATCTCTATCCGAAAAATGTAGGCACCCTGTGTTAATATGTAAATACAAGTGCTTTATCAAATAAAGGCTAGATTAATTGTTTTTTCTCGCTCTTACTTATATCAATACTACAAGAACTTTTCTGCCAAAAAAAAAAATCAAATAATAGAAAAGAATGAATCCTAGATAGAGCAGGAGGGGCTGAGCAGGCACAGCAAAAGTTCAAGGTGGAAATATCTTTATGCATCCAATTAAAAGTAATTTGTGTACATTTTACTCATATATCTATATGTACACATACATACATACACAGACACACACACATATATATATATATATATATGGAGAGAGAGAGAGAGAGAGAGAGAGAGAGGACAACGAAGAGGAAACTAAAGAGAATAAAGGGTATTAACAGCAGGTCTGTGACTTATTCCCTGGGGGATGTGAAGGGAATAAATGACCTTAATAGACCACTTCATAAACATGTTAATGACCTCCCAGACCTTCTTGTTTATCTTGTTAATAGTGGTTAACTAGAGGAAAGATACCTGCAAATCCCTATCTATAAAATGATTTTAGTAGGGTATACCTGGCCTGGCTAGATAGCTTATTGTAAATAAACCTGGAATGTTTGGATTTATGAGTCGTGGCTGGCTGGAGAATAGGGCATAGCTACATGAACGTTTTTCTATTTTTGTAATTGACAGATTATAAAATGGAAAACTTTTGAGACTGAAATGATTTCCTTTCAATGTTTCTGTGTAAATTTTTAAAAACGTATCTGTTAATATGAAACCAAAGCACATCATAATGGGAAATAACATGGATGTTTTGGAAACGCATGTGTGATTATTTCAGGTTCCCCAGGGAAATAATGTTCTATCTGTGCCCAGCACTTCCCTATAATTCTTTCAGTCATTAATAAAGATTGGTACTAGATAAGAATCTGAGATTTGTGTGAGTCTGATGTGAGATCCAAATGTTATACTTACACAATTTGTGTTTATTTTAGTTTAAAAATTATCTTTGCCATGAGCAAGAGGGGAAAAAAAGGAGGATGAGCGGGCCTACATATTTTTCCTTAACATCTTGTCCCAAGTTTTAGGAAATCACAAGTCTAAGAAAAGGCCAGGGTCAGGACTAGGAAGTGATATAACAGTTATACATGTCTACCTTTAAAATTATATAAGTAATAATTAATTTTTAACCTTATTTTAAGCAGATCCTAGAAATAGCAAGAGCCTCTATAACGTCCCAGCTAAGACCCCAAGTTTTCTTTCTTGTTTAACTCTTGAAATATTTTGTTAATTTTCAGATCCCTTGTCTCCTCAGTTCAGCTGTAAACTCTCTGACAACGCTTGTGCCTTATGCATCTTTGCATCATCCCTAGCATGTATTATATATCTCACATGTAAAAATAATAATAAATACTTGATCATTTGTTTTGATTTTGATGATTAAGCACTGGAAGCTGAGCTATGATCCCAATAGGTATGCTTATTTAAAGAAAAATAGATGGCAGTCCAGGCGTGGTGGCTCACACCTGTAATCCTAGCACTTTGGGAGGCTGAGGTGGGCAAATCACCTGAGGTCAGGAGTTCAAGACCAGCCTGTCCAAGATGGTGAACCCCGTCTCTACTAAAAATACAAAAATTAGTCTGGTGTGGTGGCAGATGCCTGTAATCCCCACTACTCAGGAGGCTGAGGCAGGAGAATCACTTGAACCCTGGAGGCAGAGGTTGCAGTGAGCCGAGATCGCACCATTGCACTTCAGCCAGGGCGACAGAGTTGAGACTCCATCTCCAAAGAAAAAAAAAATCACACACAAAAAAATAGATGGCACGGCACAGCAGCTTATGCCTGCAGTCCCAACACTTTGGGAAGCCGAAGCAGGAAGATCACTTGAGTCCAGGAGTTTGAGACCAGGCTGAGCAATATAGCAAGACTCCATCTAGAAATAAATAAATAAATAAATAATTTTTAAAAAATAGACAATAACAGATAAAGAAGTTCCATGTTATTTTTTTAAATTCTAGATAGCCCCACTGGTGTTACAGTTTATTAAATTACATTTGGAAGCGATTTTTTAGCAGTCCATTTATTTTGTATATTTCAGTTTGTTGAGAGCAGATGGGGTTGAGTGTTGATGGGGTTGATTGCCTGGCTAGATTATGCTATAAACTATAAATCTTTGAAAGTTACTGTTTTGAAGAAAGCATCTTTAAGTGAATATATTCCTTCAGTAGCTCCTATTACCAAAACTGTTGTGAGAATATCTTAGGAAAACACCTTAAAATCCTCTTCTATCAAAACTCCCAAGCTTTCTTCAGGAGCCAGCATTGTTCAGTGAATGCATGTAAGCCTATGTCTTAATAGAGGGATCCCTAACCTCTGGACCATGGACTGGAACAGCAGGAGGTGAGTGGTGAGCAAGTGAACATTACTGCCTGAGCTCTGCCTCCTGTCAGATCAGTCGTGGCATTAGATTATCGTAGGTGCACAAGCCCTATTGTGAACTATGTATGCGAGGGATCTAGGTTGTGACCTCTTTATGAGAAACTAATGCCTGATGATCTGAGGTGGAACGGTTTCATCTCGAAACCATACCCCCGCCCCTGCCTCCCAGTCTGTGGAAAAATTGTCTTCCAGAAAACTCATGCCTGGTGCCAAAAAGGCTGGGGACCACTGTCTTAATAGATCTTGAAAAAAGTTGGAGTAAGGTAAGTGGTAAATCCTAAGACATACATTGAGGCAGAGCTGCAGTGGTATCCAGTAGGGAAGAAAAGACTTCAAGTTTAGAATTCAGTTATACTCAACCAGTTTTTGCCTTTCTCTGTTAAATATTAGATATCATTACCAGACACATACAAAAGATTTTAATTGCATGAATGCCCGATGTTGATACAAGAGAGCCGATTTTTTTTTCACACATAGTTTTTTGGGGTTTTTTTGGTAGGGAGAAACATCATCTCATGATATCGTTTTAAAGGTGCTTTATTATCAAGGACCTTAGAGCTTTTTCTCTCACTCATATTTCATATACTCTTAGTCCTCAAGCCATTTCTTTTTACTGAAAGCACTATAGAGTAGCAAAAGGCATCATTATATTGCTCAGCCTCATTCATCATCAACAAAATTGCCAATTATATTCCAAGTCCTTGAATGTATTGTTTAAAAAGATGTATAAGGTGAAAGGAAGCAGTTCAATGTTGAGGTGGAAGATGAAACATACTGACTGGTAGATTCAGAGCATACTAATCTTGTTTTCACTTGTGAACTGGAAAAAATTAACATGGAGGGATGGAGAAAACATGTTCAAACTACAAAGTCATTTTTTCTGAGAAGTTATCTGACTGTAACTGTAACTGTAACTATAACTCAGGGTATATCAGAGGGCTCAAATGTGGAACACTTCTTTAAAATTAAAACCTAAAAGTCCTGATGTGTAATAGAACGTGTAAAAATAGCAGCCTCTGAAGGATCTGAGATGAGCAGAGGAACACTGAATAATATAATCTGACAGTATGGGCCATACCCTTACAGTAGTTGCCGTGGCCTGGAAACTATAGAATTAATTCAGTAAAACATCAGAAAAAAAGCAACATAAATATAAAATATTTTAAATTAAAAAGACTGAATAAGAACAGAAAAAAATCCCCTAGCAAATCAATATTGCTTGGGGAAGCATGAATCCCAGACCAGCAATATTTTAATCCAAATAACTTTTAGTTCCATCGTGAACACCTTTATCACCAAGTTTTATAAAGAGTGGAGTGAAGAAAAAAAGTACTTGAGGTTGTTGGAAACACTTCTCAAAGTTGGTGGCTTTATTCAGAGATTCATGCTTGACTGTACCAACTTCTGTTTAATTTATACGTAGTACTTTGTCAATTTAGGAATTTGGTTTACTTGTCCTTTCCTAAATATGTGTATTACAAAACAAAAAATAGAGAAATGATAAAATAATTACAAAGATGATTAAGCAATAGTGTTGGCTATAGTGAACAGATTATTGCCATTTTATAGAGTAATAATATACCTAAGGAAATCTGTGGGAAATTTAATTTGGGATATAAAACACAGAAGTCAGGCGGAGATGAAATAATAAACCAATAGGAAATTAAATTTAGGCATGAGAGTCCAAAGATGTAAATTCTATAGATGTTATAAAATAATATGTATGCCCTTACATAATTTCATTACTCTCTGAACTTCATTTCTCAGTGAAATATGGGGAAATGATACTGAACAGTGCAGCAGCTCTTCCGCTTATGAACCAACCAGAAGATATATAAACAACTCTTAAGGGTTATACATTATAAAGATATAATTTAGTCTGGATTTTTTTTTAAATTTGAAAACTAATTTTATATAAACCCTAATTGGGCAATTCTCCATTCTTTGACTTGAATATTATAGTAAATATGTTTTCCCAATTTCCAAGTTTCATGTATTATTTTCAAAGAAAAAAGACAAACTTTTAAATGTCCAGCTACCTGGGACTTCCTCTGATTATCTTTTAAGGTAGTTCAAATATATACAATTTCAAACAACAACAACAACAGCAAAAAATATTTTGCCAGACAATATGTCTTGTTTGTTTTTAATGTTCACAATGTAAAGTACACTTATTGCCAAACCTCACTTTCAATGGTGTTACAAATTAGCCAAGTATAACTAGTTTGTAAATACTAATAAGAAGGTTGCTGAAATTCAGCCCTGAATATTTCTTTTCTGCAACTCCAAAGAGGAAAATTTTTGAAATGCAAACCTTGACCTTTATCAAAGCCTAGGTGAAGTTTGTTGGAGGTGTTTGGTTTTTTGCTGGTGCTTTGTTATAATGCAGTTTGAAAGTAGACTAGATTGGCAAGACATAATTGGCTGCTGTGTGGAGAATGCATTTGGTGGAACACGTGAGTTAGGGGTGAGGAAATATGAAGAGCCAGAGTGGAAGCAGGGAGACCAGATAGTAGTGTGGGAAGCACTGGTGTTAGATAAGATCTAGATAAAGGTAGCAGTGGAGATCACAAGAGGTGGTTGGAATCAGGGAATATGGTTTAGAAACAATCACAGGTCTTGCTGATGCATTGGAGGTCAGGAGGGACAGAAAGAGGGCAATCCAGGTGTCTCCTCGGCTTTCAGCAGGAACAGGTACTTAAAGAGGAACAAATTTGGTAGGGAAAATCAAGTTTTAGTGTTCCATTGCAGTACATGGTAACCATGGCTAATAATAATGTCTCATATATTTCAAAATTGCTAAAAGAATAGATTTTTAATGTTCTCACCGCAAAAAATAAATGATATGTTGGTGAGGTAATGGATACGTTAATTAGCTTGATCAACTCTTTCTACAATATATACCAAGATCAAAACATCACATCGTATCCCATAAATATACAAACTATTATTTGTCAATTACAAATAAATGAAATAAATAATTTTTTAAAGAGATGTCTTAAAGGGTGGCTTGAAGAGCTTCTGTGCTCCAATAATACCTGCCCATTAGCCATACTTTGCTTCCAGCAACAACAGGAAAACATTTAATCTAAACAAAAAAAAATTGCTTGTCAACTAGATAGCTACTCTTCCGTGTAGAAACCCTAGAGCTGCCTGGGTTTAGACATGTTTAAGTTTGAGGTACTTATTGGGTATCTAGCTGTGCAGTTCAAAATTTGGATCTGAAGCTAGGGGAAGACGTCAGGACAAGAGCTTTAACTTTTGTAATCATCAATATATACATCCTTCTTAGAGTCATGGGGTGGGATGCCATCATATTGGGATGAGGGAGGAAACCCTGGGACTTCACAATATCGAGCTAGTTTCTGTTTTGCAAAAGGCAAATGTATTAATGAATTCATTACATTAATTAAGCAAACTATATTTATTGGGGGCTATTGTACCAGCTATTGTAAATTTTATATTTTATATTATATATATATATATATAAAATGCTCACAAAATAAAGGAACTAAGTCATAAATATGCATATGATTTACATAAAGGAGCTAAAATAAGGATCTCTGTTTCTGTTTCAATTCTTTATTAAAGATCTATCTAAGACTATAAAGACATATATAACAAGGTACAGGAGGTAAAGAGTATATTCTTAGGCATCTAAAAATTTTTCCTATGCTTTTGAAATCTGTGTGATTTACTTTCTTGAATTGGCCTGTAATATAGGAGTACAATATCATTGCAGAGATTAATTAGTGTGTTTGTGAACTGTTCTCAAATGCTAAAATGAAAGCATAAAACTATAAAATGGCATCATTATTCCTTAAAGAAGCATAGTTTCCAAGGGTGTCTCTGATCATTGTCACAGCATAAATGACCAATTTCACCCATAATTAGCCAAGTTAGTAAGAAGTTATTTTTTACTGGGTATATTTTGTTTAACCTCAGTTATATTTGTAAAAGTAGAAACTGCTACTTGTTACTGCTTTCAGAATTTCTCACAAATGCTAAAATGCTTTTTAATTCTAATGCACTTAAATGGTTTGATTCTCCTTACCTAAGAAAAACATTTATCTAAAGATATACTCTTGACTGATTCATTCATTGATTCATTTGTCAATAGATGTTTATTTATCAGAATATGTGCACCAGATACATTGCTAGATGTAAAGGGTACATTTGGTGAGCAACATGCATGATACCTCCAAAGTATAGCCAGGGAATAGATAATGGAAATGACACTAAGAATGAATACATATTAACACAAAAAGAGAGAGAGAGTCATGTGTCAAGGCAATTTAGCAGGAGGGAACTTGTCAATACAAGGGATTAAAAGGACAGCATGACTAGGGCTGGAGGAGGTGAGGAGAAAACTCAAAAAGTCCTCTGGCTGATGCAAATGAATTGGATGAGGAGCCTATGAATACAAACGTTTGAAGGTTACTGATGAAAGCCAGGTGAGAGAAGATGGGATTTGGACCAAGATGATGATAGTTTGGATATGGTGAGAAAGGCATAGATTTGAGAGATTTTTAGGAGGTAAAAATCCTTAAGATTTGAGGATAGATATCATAGGAGGAAGGGCGCAAAGAGAAAGCAAAACATGTCAAGGAATCACACCTAGATTTCTGGGCAATGCACAGTTGGTAATTCTTTACAGTGAGTTAGGGAACTCTAAAGAAAGATCAGATTTAGGGTGGCAATTTGATTGTAAATGTTTGGATTTCAAATGATTGGTGACATCCAAAAAGCACTGTAAATAGACAGATAGTGTGCACCTAAAGAAAGAAGGAGGCGCATCTGGGTTGGAGTCACTAATTTACATATTACTTGTATATAGCTAGTAACTGAAACCATGAGTGTGAATGAGATTCT
This sequence comes from Homo sapiens, assembly GCF_000001405.40. NCBI lineage: Eukaryota > Metazoa > Chordata > Mammalia > Primates > Hominidae > Homo > Homo sapiens. Next base: position 31,303,220 of record NC_000023.11, on the reverse strand, counting down.
GATGCTAAATTCTGGAAGGTCACTTTTTAAAGTGTTTTGCTTTTTGAAGTACAGGTGCAATACTAAAAATAAAAAAGACTAATTTTTAAAAATTAAATTAAAATGAAAAGCCTGGAAAGATAAACACCAAAGTTATGATACTAGTTGTAGTATGGGAGAGGGGGCATCAGAGAGGATCGGAATTTCATCTTGAATGGTGTATTTTATTTCAAAAGAAGCTTTGAGCAAAGATAAAATGTTAATTCTGAGCATTAGAAGGAACACATTTGTTTTTTTGTACTGTGGATCTTTTTGTATTTCCTAGAACTCTTAATCTAAATCAAATATTGCAAAATATATCACTGTAAACAACTGGTTGGTCACTAGCTTTTTAAATACTTTGTAGCAACTTGGTTGCTTGTCAGAGGTCTTCTTTGAGTGAAGTCTTTAATTTATAGTTCTTTATGCTTGATCAGCATAATTGCACCAAACTGTTACTTAATCTGAAAAATAGCTGTTTCCTAGAGCCCTACTTAATACTGAAAACCTACTGTGTTTGTATTGCAATTGCATTTTTTTTTTTACTTTTCCCCCTGCTTTTCAGTTTGTATAATTTCTGTTACCCTATATTCAAGTTCACTGGTTCTTTCCTTGTCTTTGTTGAATCTACAGATGAGCCCATCTAAGGTATTTTTCTTTTCTGTTACTGCTTTTAATTTCTAGCATTTCCATTTGATTCACTTATAGTTTCCAGCTCTATACTGAAATATACTGAAATATAGAGCTGGAAACTATAAGAGTGAATCAAATCTAATCTTGCATATTGTCTTCTAATCTTACATATTTTCTATCTAATCTTGCATATTGTCTTTCTTTTCCCTCAAGAGTCTTTAAAATATTAATTATGGTTATTTTAAATTTCCTGTCTGATAGTTCCAACAACTGTTACATATCTAAGTCTGGTTCTGATTCTTGCTTTGTCTCCTTAGACTGTGATTTTTCTTGCTTAGGCATGCTTTGTATCTCAGGGGTAAAAGTCAGGCATCTTAGATAGCGTAATAGATACTGAGGTAAATAAACCTTTGACATGGTAATTTATCTTAATCTGACTGGGAATTGGGCTGTGTTTGATGTTGGTAGTTGCTTTGGTTGTCATTGTTGAGTTTTGTTGCTGCTGTGGCCACCAGAGACTTCAAATTCCTCTGGTAACTTTGTTTCCTCATTGGAAGCTTGTTAGTGTAGTGGTTGAGTGTCGGGCAGAGGCATTCTCTAATGTTTGAATTAATACACAGTTGGCCTGGGTCTTGGGGATGTGGTCTTTACAATTATTTCTTTCCCTTCCTCCAGAGGTAGAGTAACTTCAACCTCCCATTCCCTTCCTGGAGCTGCAGTGGATATCCACCAGTGTTCTCAGTCTATGGCCCCAAGGCCCTTTCTCCTGCATAAGGCTGAAAAACAACAACAACAACAAACAAACAAAAAAAAACAAACAAAAAAAGAACAAAACAAAACCACACATAGATGAGATCTGGTGTTCCCTTCCCCTAAAATGCAGTGGTATTTCCTCAGTGCCTGATATGGTTTGGTTCTGTGTCTCCACCCAAATGTCATGTCAAATTGTAATCCCCACATGTTGGAGGAGGGGCCTGATGGGAGGTGAATGAATCATGGGGGCAGATTTCTCCGTTGCTGTACTTGTGATAGTGAGTGAGTTCTCAAGAGATCTAGTTATTTGAGAGTATGTAGGACTTTCCCCTTCACTGTGTCTATCCTGCTGCTGTGTGAAGATGTGCTTGCTTCCCCTTTGCCTTCTGCCATGATTTTAAGCTTCCTGAGGGCTCCCCAGCCATGCCTCCTATACAGCCTGCAGAACTGTGAGTCAATTAAACCTCTTTGCTTTATAAACTACCCAGTCACGGGTAGTTCTTTATAGCAATGTGATGTCTTTTCCTCTGAAGAGAAGGGTATAAGCAGATTCATGGTGACTAGCTACTGTGACCCTTCCCCAATCAGCAACACAGAGGGTGTTGGGGAGGCTTTCTCCAGATTCTTCGCATCCTCCTTGTGAAGGCAAGGTACAGTTCCTGAAGGAAGAAGCTTGCAAAAGGTTGGGACTCCACCTATGGCAGTAGCCCCCAGGATCTTCACACTCTCAGGCTAGCTCCCACATGTCCCCCAACAATTTAATCTCCCTACTAGTTTATATGGCATCTGCTCCAGGGATCCAAATGCTCAGGCACTGCTTCTGGCTAAAGGCCAATCTCTCTCCAGATTTCAGGTTGTTCTATAATGTCATTTCTCTGATGGACTGATGAAAAGTCATTAATTTATCTGTCCAGCAGTTTTCTTGCTACAAGTATGGGAGCAACCTCTTTGCAGCTCTCCATCTCCATCTCCAAGTTGAAACTGGAAGTCTGAGCAATACATTTTAGAAATTAATATTTGTAAGTTTTCCGTGTCATAACAAAAATAATAAATGTTCACTGTGGAAAACATAGAAAAAGATTAAAAATATTTAAGTGCCCATCACCACCTAGACAACTGCAATGAACATGTTGGTAATGTCTTCTTCCAGTTTTTTAAAATCTGCTGATAAAATACAAAAGATATTGTTTATATAACTTTGTATCCTACCTTTTCTTGAGCAATGCAAGTTTAAACCTAAATACGAAGATACTCTAACTTCCTACTTTACATTTTTGACGGCAGATGTCAGCTGTCTTCCCAAGTGCAGTACCCTTGGCTTAATATCAGGTAGACAAATAAGGCCACCACAAATTCACCTTTCACCTCAATAACACAGGTAATTTGATAGTTCTACAGACCCTATAATATTACTTGACTGAAGACCCAGAATACAAGTCTTTCAAGGATTACTCTAGAAACTATATAAAGTATTGGTATCATCTCCCTTCATCATATCTTGCCAAATCCAACAGGTTTGGAACTTCTGTAGGAAGATTTTTGTAACATGAAAAATGCGTGTTGCACCTTCCATATCCAGCAAATACACCATCGGTTTTTTGTTGGCTGCACCAATGACATAAAATGATTTCACTGAATAGGGGGTGACCCAGAATGGAAATGTAGAGCATCGAAAATAAAATCAACCGACGCAGTCTTTGCAGCAAACCATGTGGAAACAAATTTAAATATGGAACATACTCTTTCCAACTCATCTTCAGATGTTGCTTTAAAATTTGTGCAGGTGAAAAAAAAATCTTTATTTTAAGGTAACTCAATCTTTTACCATTGGAGAGAATAGAATTATTTTTGTTTCCTCTTGTATATTCCCAGTTGTTTAAATGTTCTCTGTTTCCTTGTGTGGACACATAAATCCAAATATATCTAATATCAAGGTATTTACCATATGCAGCACTTTTTCCTCAGATAGTTATTTTTTGAAATATTCAAATAGCTTACCTGTATCATCCCCCCCATCCTTTTTTTTTTTTTTTTTTTTTTTTAAGACGGAGTCTTCCTCTGTCACCAGGCTGGAGTGCAGTGGTGCGATCTCGGCTCACTGCAACCTCCACCTCCCAGGTTCAAGCGATTCTCCTGCCTCAGCCTCCCAAGTAGCTGGGACTACAGTTGCATGCCACCATACCCAGCTAATTTTTGTATTTTTAGTAGAGACAGGGTTTCACCAATTTGGCCAGGATGGTCTTGATCTCTTGACCTCATGATCCACCCACCTCAGCGTCCCAAAGTGCTGGGATTACAGGCGTGAGCCATCACACCCAGCCTACCCTATTTTCTAAACGAACAATTAGTTGACTTTTCTTCAGTTCTTACTCAGAAATATCTGACCCTAGGTTCCAACTTTTGTTTTGCTCTTTGCAGTTAGTTTTTATGTGTACTGTTAGGGAGATGTGCTTTTTTTTTACCTTCAAATTTAAAAGAGAGAGTTTTCAATTCCTTTTAAGTCAAAATACAACTGTTCTACTCTAAAGCTTTCTTTAAAAAAAGAAAAGTACCAAATCCTCATCCGTAGTAATTAATTTTGACAGTGTAGGCTCAGTAGTGATTCACAAACCTGTATTTTGTGCATCAGCATTCCTTATTATTCTAATTAAAGTGGAACATTGTGCCCTCGCTAATCATTAATGGGTTTTCATTTTGTAAATGACATTTGCAGAAGTTAAAACAGCGAGTTCATGTGAAGTCCACAGGCAACGGTGTTGAAATTAGCATCACCATAGCAACAGTCTTCCATCATTAGCATTCAGGGCAACAGGAGGTGTTTTGTTGTGTTTTGTTTCCCAAAAAAAGAAAAAGAAAAAAACTTCAAAGGTAAAGCCTACAGAAACTCTCTCAGAAGATATTTATGTTCCTTGTGTGTATGTGTACTGTACTAGACCTCTAAGTCTACATAGAATTTTTTTTAAAAATTGCAATGTGGATCATCTCCTTTCCAGATTTGTGTTTTGCCTAGTATACTAGCTAAATTTCATGATCTTTCTCCAGCTGTACACGTCTGACCTGCTGAGCAGCATTTACTCATTGCCAACCTGCTGCTCACCAATAGGGTTTCCTACGTGGATGAAGAGAGTCTGTATTCATGAAAATATTTGGTTCAATCTAAAAGTATTATGTGTATTCATGAGTTTTTAATTTAATTCATGGAAAATAGATTTATGCTGTTAGATCCTCTGGTGAACTCATTTAGTCATGTTGTAGATATAGGTCAATGATTATTCTCATTCATGTTTAGACGGAATTAAAGAGGAGTCAAATAGAGAACAATATTATCTTAACTGAGTCTCTGGCAGTGGTATTACCACTATTACTCTGTATGTGTGTGTGTGTATGTGTGTGTGTGTGTGTGTGTATGTGTGTGTGTGTGTGTGTTTGAATTCTAATATTCTGGGAAACTTTAAAAGTGGCATATCTAGCACTTATGTTTTTCTCAGTACTAAAATGCATAAAAGAGCACCATATTGACCTACCAGCTGCTTCTAAATCACACCAGTAGTAGGTAATTATGAAATTCAAATGAAGTTTAATTTTCATTTATTATACAAAAATGTCATAGCTCAAACCCAGAAGTGTTACCCCCAAGCTTGGATATAGACAGGTATGTGTGTACATTTTACTTTTCAAGATGAATCATAGCAGTCTTCTCCATTACATGTAAGGACTAGAAGTTGTACATTCCACTCAGGTACCTAAAGGCAAGCCTGTGCTAGCCCACACTAACAAAGCAAAATGAAGCAAAGGATCTATCTGGCTTTCAATCAGGGATGCATCTATGCTATCATCAGCTCTGTCACATAATAAATGAGTCTATAGATAACTTGAACTACTCAGCCAATGGGCTGTAACCCAGTGATTCTGTGGTATTGAAAGGCAGCAACCCCCAGAAGCCACATGTCTCAGTGTGCACTCCAGGACTGTAGGCCCATAGAACTTGTATGTATGCACACATGCATATGCATTCCCCACTTTTCTAATGGCGATCCAATCTAGGCCTAATCCACAGCTAGTCCAGAAAAGAACTTTTTTAGGTTTTCTGTCTGCCATCACTTTGTTGAGAGGCAGTACAAGCCAAGCAGGTGTCTGTATTTATAATATGCACAATGTTAGGATAACTCAAACTCATAAGGGAAAGATTAATGGCTGACTACTATGAAAACCGCTTCTAGCCTTGTGATACCAGCACCTACTATCTTCCTTTTTCTCTTATATGATGAAAAGATTTCAATGTTGGCTTTTCATTCTGATAGAATGTGCAAGCCAAAATCTAAATAAAGTCCAGTGGCAATGATCCCCTTAAACATTATATCTTTCTTCTCGATATGCTGATGTTTTCCCTTATAAAAATCTATGTAAGTTTCAAGATTTATATGACAGACAAACCACACAAACAGGAGGTCCCTCACATTCACTACTAGTCACTTGCTCTATCACTCTGGGAATAGCGGTCTTCAGATTGCATCTCTACTCTACCTCTTGCTCTTTTCAACCCCTCTCCTCTTTTTTAGACCATACAGGGCATCAGACAAGGTTTAGTTTACCACTAAACTTTGGGATTTGGAAGATGGTGTATAAACTGATACAGGTAGTCCACTCACAGATGTAGTATATAATTACAGACTTGAGTTTTCAGGGGCTCTTCTCCAGTTTCCTGTCAATCAATTTCCCTGGCTGAGACATTAGCATTTGTCAGTGACCATGCTTACTATATACATACACAATTGTGTATACACAATTGTAAAATTAAATACGGGCTTTAGAAGAGATTATTTTTTCTTAAGAGTAGGTTACTCTATAAATGCCAAAGCATGTGTTATGACATAGAAATTCAAATGACTAAGAATAGCTAATTGTTTAGAAACATCTTACTTGATGTCTATTGTTCCAAAATTTGATCCAATTTAGAGTGGTACCAATCCATGGTGTAGAATATAAAAGCTAAAGGATAACAAAAATCCTAGGAATCTCATGCCAGTAAGAAAGTTCTACCAGTCAGATGAGATGTTGAGAGCATTTATGACTTGGCATCAGGAATATTATAAGTAAAATTCATGTGAGCAGTAATTGCAGCTATGAACCATGTTATTTGTTCCCACTTGTCCAACTGTAATTCTTTCACTTAGCTCAGAGTAGTTCTTTGTAACATTAGGGCCCACTCATCTGCCTTTAGGTAGGGTTTTAAAAGATGCCTAGAAAATAGTTCTGTGCTAGAAATCAGAGACTCTTGACCTACTGTAAAGGGAGCAGTAAGCACGTTTCCTCAGGAGAATCTTTCTACATACTGCAGATTCCCATAAAAATCTTTGTGACAAAATTGCCTTTACTGAAACCATCATCCATTGGATTAAAAAATAGCTTACCATTAGCTTTTTGAAAATAGAAAACGTTGAGCCTTTTCAATGATACTTTCAATAGTTTTTCACAACTATGAGTCCTCAAGCTATCAGTCTTATTTTTAGATACCATACTTATAAGATAGTTATAGAATTTATAGAGTATGGTTTAAAAGACTATTCAATTATAGAGCAATCATTCAGTTTATTCCCATGGCAGAAGTAAATGGAAACCACTCCAGATCAACAAGAATCTACTCTCTTCTGATTCAGAAAAGAGATTTCCTATCTTTTCATGAATAATCCATGTTCAATGTTTAACACCTCAGGAAGATTTTCTTAATAGCTTCTTCTGGTCATAAATCCTTGGTCTGTCATCAGGGACATATTGAAGAGTTAGTTACCAAAGTTCTTAATGTCTCCCATTGTAAAAAAAAAAAAAAAAAAAAGTCACTTTTTGGATTGTTTCTTTCATAGAGTCCATGCTTCTGTACGCTTAATACTTTAGCTTTTGACTTCAAGCTTTAGGTAATGCAAATGAAGCTATTACATCACCAAAGTTAAATTTTTCTTGTAAGTATATTCTCAACATTCACAATTGAGAGCTGCCTCTTCTTTGGCTGGTATAAGGTTTTAATTTATTGTAGCACTTTCACCCTAGAATGGCAAAAAATGTTGAAATCAATTCCATATATCACCAATACAAAGTACTAAGTCAAGGCCGGGTGTGGTGGCTACGCCTGTAATGCAAGCACTTTGGGAGGCCAAGGCGGGCAGATCACTTGATGTCAGGAGTTCGAGACCAGCCTGACCAACATGGTGAAACCCCATCTCTACTAAAAATACAAACATTAGCCAGGCGTTCATAGCGAGCGCTTGTAATCCCAGCTACTTGGGAGGCTGAGGCAGGAGAATCGCTTGGACTTGGGAGGTGGAGGTTGCAGTGAGCCAAGATCATGCCATTGCACTCTAGCCTGGGTGACAGAGCGAGTCTCAACAAACAAACAAACAAAAATATTGAATTGTACACCTTAAATGGGCGAATCGTATGGTATGTATACTAAATGTCAATAAAGCTGTTATATGAAAAAAAAATGCTAACACACACATTCTGAAAGTATATTAAAAGCAAACCTACGGCCGGGCGCGGTGGCTCACACCTGTAATCCCAGCACTTTGTGAGGCCGAGGTGGGCGGATCACAAGGTCGGGAGATCGAGATCATCCTGGCTAACACGGTGAAACCCAGTCTCTACTAAAAATACAAAAAATTAGCCAGGTGTGGTGGTGGACGCCTGTAGTCCCAGATACTCGGGAGGCTGAGGCAGGAGAATGGCGTGAACCCGGGGCTGGAGCTTGCAGTGAGCCGAGATCGCGCTACTGCACTACAGCCTGGGCAACAGAGTGAGACTCCATCTCAAAAGAAAAAATAAAAATAAAAAAGCAAACCTACAATGTCTCTTACAAACACAGGCAACTATTCAATTCCGAGTTTACACTACTGAAACACACATGAATATGACACTAAGAGAATCACGTGGATCTGCACTCTTCAATCAACACTACGTCTCTGAGCACAAGAATTTTACATCTGATTTCCATTTGGGGAAATAGATTCAGAATGCCATAAACCAGATACTTCTTGCCTTCCTTTAGTGGTCATTTCTGCCATTATCATTTAAGGGAATGGATCTCCTTCTCCCAAAACTGTTACCCTAAGATTACAAGCTTGTCCTTTAACTTATCTCTGAAAGCACACCTCTATAACGGGTCATCAGTATTCAGTCAGCTAATTAGACTGCAGAAGTACGTTTACTCAAATGTGAGGAGATAAAATTGTGAAATGTAAGAGGAAGAAAGAATGTCAAAGATAATCCAACCCAAACTCTTCATCTTACAGATAGGAAAATGGAAGTCCAAAAGGGGAAAGTAATTTTAGTAACATGGCTAAACTGGTCTAGAAAACCAGATCTTCTGATACCTGATCCCATGGTCTTTCTAATGCCATGGATGTTCGGGTAGAGGATATATTCAGGTAGATAACTTATAGATAGCCCCATGTGTTTGTATAGCACTTTATCGAACACTTTCACCTCTATTATCACACTTGATTCTTACAATATCCCATGGAATGTTTGAGTATCATATATGATTATTCTTATTCCCACAGACTTGGAAACTGAGGCTTTGAGATGTCTGGATCTATCTTAGATCATTTGCTATGGACTAGAATCTGGGACTAAGTTGCTTTTGTCTAAGCTGTGTGTTTGTTCTGTTGTGCCGTATTGTTAATTCATTTCTGTTGGTAAACAACACAAAGGAAAAACTTCTATAATTATGTTTCTTTTTCATCCTCAGGTCATCTATCCTACTTTTTATCTAAGCTTTGGAAAATATTATGTGCTTTCCTTTTTTTTGTATTTTCTTTTCGTAGAGATGGCAGCAGGGGGTAGTCTCACCATGTTGCCCAGGCTGACCTCGAACTCCTTGGCTCAAGCGATCCTCCTGCCTTGGCATCCCAAAGTGCTGGGATTACAGGCGTGAGCCACCACACCTGGCCTATTATGTCCTTTCTTTAGCTTGCTCGTTTAACCATTTGTTTGGCAGGGGGAGTCAGAACTGTGTTTTACTTAGTCGATTAACTGATAGGACAATTTAATATCTACCCTGCACTGGCAGTAACCCCCATAGCCCCGCTCTGTGTCTCATTCTGTGCCCTGAACAACCTTGTCTTAAAAACATTTTAAAAGCAGCAAGTATGGGGAGATTTCTTATCTCCATATAATACAGAAGCAAGTGTAGAGTATGGCTACGGAAAACAACCAGCAGGTGAGGCTGTGACATAACAATTTTAACCCAAGCCTCACTGCCACATTGAGGTATCCTTGTTCAATAAATAGATCAGAAAATATGGTGTAGTTTTTCCCTAACGCTGTCTAAACAGCAACAACAAAAAATCATTACCCATAGTATTTCAGTAATGTGTTGTATTGAATGCATTGTTTTCGAGGGCGTTTTCAAAAAATAAGTTGATTGAATCTCTTTTTTTTGCTTGAAGAATGACCCACATTCAGAAAGTATACAGATGAAACATGTTCAGCTCAATGCAATTATCACAAAATGAATACACCTATGTTCGCCATCTAGGACAGTAAATAAAACATTATCAGTAGCCCTAAACCAGATTACACACACACACACACACACACACACACACACACACACACACTAAACCAGACTACACACACACACACACACACACACACACACCGGGTTGGGGGAGTGGTGAGAGAGAGAGAGAGAAAGCGAATATTATGTTAACAGTTGGGGAGTCTAAGTGAATGGTTTATGGGTGTTCTTTTAACATTTCAATTGGTTTAAAATTTTCAAAATGAAAAGCTTGAGGAGAAACATAGAATATAACCACTACCTCAGAAATCACCACCCTACCTCACCCACATTCCCTCTCCCAATCACTATTCCTCCCTCATCTTAAAGGTAACTGCTACTCTGCCTTATAACACTATGGTTGAGTTTTGCCTGTTTATTTGAACTCTATAAAAATGGAATTGTACAGTATATAACCTTTTGTATCTAGGACTCAACATTGTGTTTATGAGATTAACTCATGTTGTTGCATGAATCTGTCATACATTTTCATTGCAATTTGATATCCCATTTAAAATGTATACTATAATTTATCCATTCTATTGTTGGGGAACATTTTGGTTCTTTCCAGTTTGAAGACATTATGAATAAGGCCTCCTATGAACATTCTTTAATGCGTTTTTTGGCACACACGTGTGTACAACTGTGTTTGGTATATACTTTGCAGTAAAATTGCCTATGTTGAGGGTAGGCATATGCTGAGCTTTAGTAGATACTCCTGGTTTTCCAAAGTGGTTGTACCAGTTTACACCATCATTAGCAGTATATGAAAGTTCTAGTAGCTCCACATCTCAACAATACTTGATACTTGTTAGTCTTTAAAATTTTCGCCATTGCAGTGAGTGTGTGAGTAGAATCTCATTGTTATTTTAATTTGCAATTGTCTGATTACTTATGAGGTTGAATATTTTTACGTGTATTTATTGACCATTTTGGATATCCTGTTGTGTGAAGTATCTATTCAGTCTCTTGCCTATTTTTTTTATTGATTCATCCTTCTTTTTCTTATTGATCTGTAGGAGTTTTTTTTACATATTCTAGTTTGTAGCCCTTTGTAAATTGTATGTGTTGCAAATATCTTCTCCCATTTTATAGCTTTCCTTTTAATTAAATTGTTTTTTTGATTGATAGTTCTTAACTTTAATATAGTCCAATATGTAAATTTTTCCTTAGGGTTAATTCTTTTGTGTCCTCTTTAAGAAATCTTTCCTAATACAAGATAATGAATGTATCCTCTTTTATTATCTTCTAGAAACTTACTATTTTTTAACTTTTCCATTTAGATATATAGTACACCTGGAATTGACCTTTTGTGTAATATGTGAGATAGAGATTGAGTTTTATTTTTCATAATATGGATATCTAGTTGGCCCAGTACTTGATGCTAAACATTCATTTAGAATTCATTTGATAGTATTTCCTTTAGAGTTATTGCATCTGTGTTTATTAGTTATATTGGTCTGCCATTCTTGTCAAGGTTTGGTATGTGGATTATTCTGGTTTCATAAAGGCAAGTAGGGAAGCATTGCCTCTTCTAGTCTCTGGAAGAGTTTCTTTAAGATTGGTATTTCTGCCAGTGATATGATTTGGCCTTGGAATTTTCCTAGTGGGAAAATTTATAATTACAGTGTTTATTTCTTAAATAGTACAGGGCTATTCCAATTTTCTATTTCTTCTTTTGTCAGTGTCAGTTGACTTAAAGCACACTAAGATACTCTAAGATTGCTATGGTCAGCCTTTGCTGGTCTAAACCAGAGGTTGCAAACTGAAATGCCAACAGAGGGGCTAGCCTGCTACTGTAACTGGGCAAGGCTAGCGAAGCGTAAGTTAATGGGAGCTGGTAGGGACTATAGAATACATGTGCCGTTATAGAATGGTGGCTCCGGAAAGTTATTGTCATGCAAGAATAGGAGCCCAGCATGGACAAATCATTCCTTTTAAATGAGAAGTCAGAAGGTTGGATTATTCTGTAAAATATCTCTGAATATTTAAATGTTGAGTAATTCAGATTAAAAAAAAAAAAACTGTGTGGGCTAATCAAAACATTTGTGCATGCCAAATTTAGCCCAAAGTCTGCTAGTTTGCAACTTGTACTTTCAACTAATGAAAAGCGTAATAGCACAGATATAATTCCATTTTCAAATAATATAATTCATTTATAGTTGACATTTATTTAATTTACACTTAAATATGAATTTGTCATTTAATTTACCATATTAAAAAAGTTTAGATTTTAAGACATCCAAGTCTGCAAATAACTAGAATATTTTCATTTACTCTCATGTTTGTGTACTTATTTTTCCTTAAATGTTATTTTCATGATATACTTAGTGTCTTGTGGACATTCCAAAAAACTGATTTGACTTAAATTGTCCTCACTCCAAGCTTTAAAATTGCTTAGTTCATAGCCTACCTTGCCTAAAGCAAACCTGGTAGTCTCATTTCAAGTTACTGGATTTTTTGTTTGTTTGTTTGTTTGCTTTTGCCTTGTTTCTTTTCAAGGTTATATAGAGTGAAGGAATATCAGACTTCTTTTAATTTTTGCAGGGAATTCAGATTGCTGTGGATTAAGATCCTATATATAAGATGCTTAGGATAGAGGCATCATGAATGAAAAATTATTCATATGAACACACTTTTTAGAGTATTATTTTTATTCATTCAGCAAATAATCATAGCTGCCATACTAGGCAGGTAGGGACCATGAAGACTACTGTCCTTGTAGTCTAAAGTCTTGTAGACTAATAAGATATGTATAACTGTTAAATAGTACACTGAAAATACAACCTTAAACAATCAAAATATTTGCAAATTGTATTTAGTTGACATGATTGCATAATTGTATTTATGTGACAATTATATTTGTTATTCACATATTTAGGGAGTCAATATGTACTTAAGGTAATCTTTGAGCTATTTTCAGGATGAGGTATTAGCTCATTACTATTAATACTACCATCACCAAATGCATTACCTACTTATCTGCATTTCCAGGAAAAATTCAGGAAATTAGGATTTTTAAAATAATAAAATAATAGTAAATAAGACTGGGCATGGTGGCTCATGCCTGTAGTCCTAGCACTTTGGGAGGCCGAGGCGGGTAGATTGCTTGATGCCAGGAGTTCAAGACCAGCCTGGCCAACATGGCTAAACCCCATCTCTACTAAAAATATAAAAATCAGCCAGGCATGGTGGCGTGCACCTGTAATCCCAGCTACTCGGGAGGCTGAGGCATGAGAATTGCTTGAACCCAGGAGGCGGAGGTTGCAGTGAGCAGAGATCATGCCACTGCACTCCAGCCTGGGCGACAGAGTGAGACTCTGTCTCAAATAATAATAATAATAATAATAATAATAATAATAATAAACAGAATAATAACCTAAGTGACTATATTTGATATATAGTTAAGTGATGTTTTTGTAGACTTTACTAAACTAAAAAATAAATTAGCAGTTATTTAATTTTCTAGTTTATAAAGTACCTACTTACATAAAGTTGCATATATTACTTCATTTAATTTTAAAAGAATATCGTAAAATATGTAGGATAGATTTCCATTTTATAGTCAACAATACTTATTATTTCAATACATTATGTGATTTTTTTTCCCCCAGTATCACAGTGTTAGAGCCCAGGTTCAAACCAGCATTTTCTAACTGTAAGTCTGGAAGTCTGTCTGCTTACTCTATGTAAGATGCCTTATGAAGTTCATAGAGGAGACAGCTCAGTGGATTCAGGCCTGGTCTTATATTTTGCTGTTCATCTTGTTTTAAGTGTTATGTTAAGCAAATAAAACATAACTTTAAACATTCTGTTTACTTTTAAAATTTGATTTAGAGCTAACAAAAATTAGAATTTGTACTCCATTTACAACGAACAGAACAACCAAATAAGCAAAATTGTATTTGCGTTGTCAATTACAATAAATAATTATAATGGTATATCAGAGTGTTAAATTTTGATTTTTTTTTTTTTGAGATGGATTTTATTTTATTTTTTATTTTTTTTTTTTTTGCTCTGTCACCCAGGCTGGAGTGCAGTGGACTGCAACCTCCACCTGCTGGGTTCAAGTGATTCTCCCGCCTCAGCCTCTCGAGTGGCTGGGATTACAGGCACCCGCCATCATGCCCAGCTAATTTTTGTATTTTTATAGAGATAGAGTTTCACCATGTTGGCCAGGTTGGTCTCAAACTCCTGGCCTTAGATGATCCACCCGCCTCGACCTCCCAACGTGCCAGGATTACAGATGTGAGCCGCCACACCTAGACTAAAATTTTATGTTCTTATATTTCTTTAAGGAAAGCAAAAATGTTGACAGAGAGGGTTAATACTAGTTATATATACAAAAAACCTAAAAATAAGATTTTGGATTATTCTATTATATGATTATTCATTTATTGAAAATCATAAACTAATTGAATGACTGAGAGCAGCACTAATGTGATTACTTTGGTAGGAATCTGTCCTCCAAAGTTGTCAGTTGTCAGTTATTCTTAGCATTTTGAACTGAAGTCTATGTAATTAAGTCACCTGTTGTTTCTGACAAAATGAGCAAACACACATAAAATCTCTTGGTTCGTCTTCATGTCTCTGTGGCAGAGAACTGACCACATTATTCAGTTCCTTTGTCCTTTTTAGACAAAAGCCACCTCTACATGGCCCTATAAGTCTTCAATTCAAGGACTATAGCCGTTATCTTAATGGGATTGTACTTGGTTATCTGATAAATTGTCGGGAACATACCCACATTGCTTCCTTTACCTGACATAAAATTTAGTCAGCTGGGGCTCAACGATTGACCAGCTTTATCTTGCACGTAGTGAAGGGAAGGACTTTCTTACTCCTGGATGTGCCTAAATTTAAGCCTTTGAAAAAGATTGAAGATACCAATTGGCCTACCTGCCCTAAGTAGATGCTTCCCACAGACTTAACTGGTGAAGTGCTTGTCTAAGGTAGACAGAATTTTTTCTTTAGAGAGGAGCAAACAAAAACCCAAAAATACTGGCGTGTTCTTTTGATGTTCTATTTCCCAATTGATTTCCGGGTTCACACTACTCCACAACATCTTACTGTCCCATTGCATCTTAACCCTCTCTCCTCTCCCGCCCCCACTTTTTTTTTGTCTGTTTCTTCTGCTTCCACCGTTGCTTCTGCTCTGAAGCAATCATTTTCTCTCCCTTCAACCAAGGGTGGAATTGGCACACAGTCAATTGGCTTGGGAGACTGCTTACTGATCTGTCTTTTTTGAACACTGGAATCTTGACACTGGTTATCATTTTGAGGACAGCCTGGTTTGGATATTTATCTATTAAGAGGAATCCTTAATTGGTGTCTTTGACTGGAGTATTTGAAGGAGTCTTTAATTGGGAGGTTTTAAGGCACCAGAAAAGATTCATTAGGAATGACTGACCTCATGTTATATAAATGAGAAATATTTACCATTTGCTGTACACGTAATTGAAGCATGATTATACATAAAAGCATATAATTAAAAAATGTAAATAAATACCTAAATAAATAAATGCCTATAACTAGCATGGCAAAGGATTCTGATATCAGCTTTCAATCTCTTTTAGTAGAGACTGGACAAATCAGAAAAAGAGGATTTATACCTGTCCTCCTATAGATTATGCTTTCTTCTCCCATCATCCAGTTTTAATTGAATCTCCTCATTGTGCTTTCTTTCAATCTTGAGCTGCACAAGTTGTTTTCTCCTGTCAGAGCTTTTAATACACATTGACAAGAATTATTAGTCTCTATCTGCAGTTGTTCCAAGTGCAGGTTTGAAATAAGGAGTCGTCATCAATGTGCTAACGCGTGCTACTTTTGGTATTTATACAAAGTGCCTGCTGCCAGTTACTTGCCACTTAGAATGTGTTTTTCTTTTCCTCTCTTGCGTTGTGGGAGTAGAAGGATTCTCTGTTTCTTTTGGCAGACAGAGAAATTTTCAGATTGGGGTCTAATGAAAGAAATAGGTTCCATTATACAGATGTACAGATGTTCTAAGGTCACGATACCTCCTATAATATTCTTATGTGAAACCTCCTCTTTATGTTCAACCTGTGTACGTTACACTTATACATAGCAGGCATAGTAGCCATCAATATTAGTTACTTTAAAACCCAGGCCTCCTAGGCTGTGGTTTGTACTAAAACATCATATTCAAATAAAAGCATTCCAATACAAAGTGGAGAAACAGGGACAGGCATGGTGGCTTAAGCCTGTAATCCCAACAGGCTTTGGGAGGCCGAGGAGGGCAGATCGCTTAATCCCAGGAGGTTTAGACCAGCCTGGCCAACATGGCGAAACCTGTCTCTACTAAAAATACAAAACTTAGCCGGGCATGGCGGCACATGCCTGTAATCCCAGCTGTAATCCCAGGCTGAGTTATGAGAATCACTTGAACATGGGAGGCGGAGGTTGCAGTGAGCCGAGATCACGCCGCTGCACTCCAGCTTTGGTAAGCCTCGGTAACAGAGTGAGACTCTGTCTCAAAAAAAAGAAAGAAAAAACGTGTAGAAAGAAAGAGAGGATCTGATTAAGCTCACAGGAACATTGCTTCTCAAATTTTAATGTGCATACAAATTGTCTGGGAATCTTGTTAAAATCCAGATTATGAGCCAGTGGGTCTAAAATGAGACATGATGTTCTGCATTTCTAACAGGTGATGCTAATGCTGCTAATCTGTGGACCAACCACACTTTGAGAAGGAAGGAAGTAGACTATTATATTTACTCATTCACTTGTTCCATGATAACTCTTAAAACAGACTGGTGACTTTAATACAATTCAGAGCACCAAATAAAGATTGTCATATGCCTTATTTTTAACCTATCGTCTTATATCAAAATTATCTGATAAACTTCCCAAGTGTGCATATATATTGTCATTTTAAATAGGTTTCAATAAAATGAAGATTCGTGAGTAAGAATATAGGAATAAATGACATTAAAATCTTTCTTTATAATTTATATTTCTACTTTCTTTTGAAAGAATTTGTAGTGGCTTAAACATAAGAGCACAAGATGAGCCAGTGACAGGAAAAACCAAGTGCATCTGACATCTTAGCTTATTAGGTCTAGAAGACAACCTCCATTACTTGGTAGCAAGCGGCTGGGAATATTGGTGTTCAAAGCTGTGCTTTCCTGAAGGCAAAAACAGCATCAAAATATGAAAAGCTTTTTACTTCTGGCATGAGTGATAAAGATGCCGATCTGAGAAGCAGGTGAAAAAACTTAGCTTATGCTTCTAAAGGCTAATTTTATATAAGTGTTCTTGTCCAGCTGTTCTTGGTAAGTCCAGCTGCTAGTTGAACAGGACAGGTGGTAATCCCTGTTCAGTGGCTCATTATCACCCAGAGGCTTTGATCTGGCTAATACATAATCAATCAGCTTCTGAATATTAATATTCTTCCTATTTTCATTTCACTTGTTTTACCTAAATTTATTTTCCAAAGTTCCAGTATGTTTTTGTTTTTTAATAAGATTTTTGATCATTTATTTATTTTGACATAACTAGGCTCATGATATGCCAGCTGGAGTTTATTACACCCCTGAATCACAAACTTTTTTTCTTCCCTCTTTATCTCCTTACAAGATCCAAATTGCAAAACCTAAGGATAAAGTTCTAATTTTGGAAGCACAAAAGACTGAAACTATTTTAGAGGAGAGCGTTAATGAAAATCAATATCTAAAATCCTCATTTTAAGACTGTGAACCCTATAGTCTATACTTCTAGTGTCTTCAGAGTTGTGATATGCATACATTAAGGACTAAGAAACATTTTTTTAAATAGTCAGATTTGGGAGCATTAGATATGTTTGTAGAGGGAAAAATCAATTTATGATAAAAATTACTGACAATGGTTTAATTTGTATTAGTTTTGCCCACTTCCCTGTTATCTCAGAATGGCACCTCCATGGACAGTGGAATGGTCCTAACAGCCTAAATATGGTAAGCTTTAAAAACAGATGGCTTGGGGCCATTCTGCTTATTATATCATTGCTTTCAATAGCATAACTGTTCTTCTCCAATGGCCCTCTTTGTTGTTTGCTTCATTACTGGCACATTTCTTTAATATGTAATCTATAACATTAACATGAAAATGGCTCTCAAATACTATTACTTTCTCCATCTGTGACCCAGTACTGTTTATCATCATCTAATGATCATTCTTATTGCAGATGGCCCTCTTTAAATGTTTCAGAATAGCATTTTAAAGACATTGAGGGTGCTTCCTACGTACATTGGCAGACTGAATGTTTTAATATCGAAAATCTCGGTCTACACGATGTGTGATAAATGACTGGAGATGCAAGGCACCAGTCAGTTCCAAAGCAAGGTGTAAGAGGGACAGGAGGAGAGTGATAAAAAAGAATACATACTTTGCGTGTGTGGGTGTGGGTGTGTGTGTGTGTGTGTGTGTGTGTGTGTGTGTGTGTTTAAGCCATTAGATTTATCTTTAAGGAAGCATTATCTTTAAGGAAAGTTGGAGTAGGAAGAACAAAATTTAATCAAAAGAAACAGTTCTTGGCCAGAGGAGGTGGCTAATGCCGGTTATCCGAACACTTTGGGAGGCTGAGGTGGGAGCATTGCTTGAGGCCAGCAGTTCAAGACCTGCCTAGTCAAGGTAGCGAGACACCCCACCTCTGCCAAAAAAAAGAAGAAGAAGAAGAAGAAGAAGAAGAAGAAGAAGAAGAAGAAGAAGAAACAGTTCGTTATTGCAGTTCTTAAAGAAGGAGTTTGTGTTTCCTTTCTGATCATTCACCATGGCAGTGATACAAAGGAGTGATATCAAATTGATAAATGAGTTCCCTAAGGCTCAACATATACTAAATGCCTATGCTGAACTTCCAGGTTTCAAGTCCCTAGAGCCTCTCTGTCTGAAGATCCTATCACCAAGGATTCTTTGTCTTCATCTAGTACTTTCTTTCTCCTCTCTCTATTCTTTCCTCATTTGCGGATGCTTGCTGGGGCCTGTCAATCAAACATAGATGATCCCTGACTTACAATGGTTGGATTTAGGATTTTTTTACTTGATAATGCTGCAAAAGTGATACACATTCAGTAGAAACCATACTTCAGGTATCCACACAACCCCTCTGTTTTTCACTTTCAGTACAGTATTCAATAAATTACATGAGCTATTCAATGCTTTAGTATAAAATAGGCTTTGTGTTAGATGATTTTGCCCAACTGTAGGCTAACGTAAGTGTTCTGAGTAAGTTTAAGGTAGGCTAGGCTGAGCTATGATGTTGAGTAGATTAGGTATGTTAAATGCATTTTTGACTTAGAATATTTTCAACTTATGATGAGTTTATTGGTACATAACCTCATTGTAAGTTGAAGAGCATCTGTATCTGGGTTGGAGCAGAAGTATTGCTAGTAATGCATCCATGAGTCAACTGTTTGCTTAATTGGTATGCTACCACACATGTCTTGAGCTTGTTCATCCCATGGCTTGCCATTGTGTTGGAAAGGAAGGTGTTACAGCATTGCCGTTAATAACATTTCTAAATGGGACCAAAAACAGTATTTTCTTTATCTGCTAGATCTTTTTATTTTCTTCTTTCTCTGTATACGTGAGCTGTTCCCAAAATTTAGCACACATGTTTTATGATTCTCAACATAACGTTTATGGTCCTTAACATTAATCTCATATTAGAAAATAAATCATGATGAAGGTGAAATATAGACCAAGCAGGGGCAGTTATGAGGACCAAATCGTCAGTATAAAACTTTTATAATTAATATTTTCATGAATTGATAGCACTTGCTTCAGAGAGCTAAACTCAGAAAAAAGAGAAATATTCTAACCTGAAAATATATTTTTAAAAACTCATAATTTAAGGTAGGGGGCAAGTAGATTTGGCCATATTTTGGGCTTTCTTCACCAATTCAGACACGATAATGACTACATTTGTATCCTAGATTTAAATTTGCTAGATGGAAAAGAAACACATAAATATAAACCCCATCTGCGCAAACAAACATAACCATTCACATTCTTATGCAGGATTCTGGGGTAGGGGAGGGCTTTTTTTGTATTATAACATAGCATGTTAATTTTTAAGATAAAATGGAAATATTTTTGTGCTTTTGTTAATTTTTATGTTAAAAATGACATTTTAGGCACCTAATCAAATTCTCTGAGTTCTTTCACTAAAGAATTTTGCCTAATATTTGATTAAATTCATTATTATTAAAGATCAATGGAATTTCTTTCAGTTTGAAAAGTTGAAAAAATGAGTTGACACATTGATTCATAGAAAAAGTTATGAAATTTGAGAAAAATTATTGAACCAATTTTATTTAAAATACATATAGATATTATGTGTATCTGCCTTCATTTTCAGGATAATGAATGTCAGTGTTAAATGTGGAAACATTCTAAAATTGGAAATCAGACTCCACTTGGTTCAAAGAACACCTTATTTTAGATAAGCCTTTTAAAATAATGATTGAAATCCAGTCAATCCATACCCTCACACATAATCCTCATGCATGATCTTTGTTTTTCCCTATCTCTCCTCTAAATGTCCTTTACAAAGATGAGAAATGTTCTTCCCAACACAAAATTCCTTTGATTGTATATTAGAAAGAACTGACACTTTGCAGCAAGGTTTAGGAAAAGCTAACGTAAGTAGAGCTTCTCTGAAAACTGTTTTACCAAAACATACTGGATTTACTGCTGTTAAATAATGGATTTTTTTTTTTTTACTATTTATATTTGCTCCTCATTGAAACTTGTAAATGACTTTATTAGTCTTAGGCAACACATTTCATTTTGCATTGGATAAAGATGCTTCTTCAGTAAAGTGTTCATTTATAGCATTGAGAATCTTGAAATATAACCGGTGTCATCAAAGGGTAGGAAGGTAGAGGCACAGAGAAGTGATTAATCACTTTTCCCTCCAATGAATGATCTACTGTCAAGTTCAATAATCATATTTCATCTATAAAGAGCACTTTGAGCAAAGCCTGTTTTGCACACGTCATTACATTTGATTACAATTAAGTATAAATATATGCCTATTATTTAGCTCTAGTTAAAATCTGCAAAAATATAGAAGGCTTGTGGGTGATGTAAATTGGAGATTTGCATAGGTTTAGGGTACAATATTAGAAAACACTGTAGTTTTATTTTTGCTTTATGACTAAAAGGCACTAGCTATGTTATCTCGTTTGTTCACCAAACTAAAAAACAACAGCTAAAAAGCAATGTAACAAATTTCCTCTAACCTTCTTAACCCATCCACTGCTGTCGCATGACTCTCACAAATCAGAAATAAAGAACCATTTCTCTACTGAAGGTCATCAACTCATTTGAGGGCCATAGATCAGTAAAAAATAACTTAGTCTGAGACATTCAAATCACTTGCTTTTTAGGTAAATATTTTGGCTTTTAAAATGACACAAATCTGACCAAAATGTTACTCAGCTTTATGGGAACGGGATTCTTTTCTAGATAATCTTAGGGACGATCTTAACTCATATTGTTTTTGTTCAGAGACTAGGTCTAATTTGTTAGAAGTGCTGCCATGGGATCTCATTCTACTCAACAGGAGTGCATTCTTCTTATCCAGTATCCACTAAAAGTCACTCCTCCTCCCATGAAAAGAGTTGCCAGTGGAAAACTCAGAGAAAACATGGGAAGGGATTGGTGATGTCATATAAGGAGATTAGAAAACATTTTTTTAACGTTTAAAAAGTAAAGAGATGAATTTTAAAATTTACAAACCAATAAGTTTGATGTTGATGAGCAACAAAATCCTGGAAAATGACATCGTACTGATTATTAATGATTACATAGGATAACATGCTGCTGGGAATCAGCGTGATACTCTCAAAATCTGCCATGTCACATGCACCTCATTTTCATTTTTTTTATGGCTGCTTGATGGTTAGATGAGAAGACTGTTAGAGACAGCATAACTTAGGATTTTACACCACATTTTTCAAGTTCTCTTTTGAGAATATTGGGTACAAGATAAAGAACAGTGGGGCTGGCTAATAGGCTGAATTTGAAGCTGATTAAATAATGACATCTAAAGAATGTCAATTAATAGATCTAGATCAACACAAAATAGAGTCTCTGTCGTTGGCCCTGCCTTTGCACATGGCTGTTTCTTCTTCAGTCATCTCTTAAGCTCAACTCAGCCCTCTGCCTGAAGACCTCATTTGGCCAGTTTTGCCCATTCATTACTACTGTGAACTCTCTTTTGTTATTTTTTTCCTGTTTTATTCTGAGAATGGATTGAGCTAGATATGTGGAAGTTATGGGAAAGCATATTTTAACTAAATATTAAAGAAACTTTTGTAATCGAGCTCTCCAAAAAATAAAATCCGCCACTTTGAAAAGCATTAAACTCCCTGTACAGTAGATTTTCAAGACTGAAATGACTGTCTCACCCCTAAAGGCAATTTCTGTATTGGATGAGAGGATATAATTCATTAACCTTTAAGGTCACTTGTGAATCTAATGTTTTGATATTTTCGGAATTAATCAGAAGGGAACTGACAGCATGACCTGAATCTGTCCTATATTTATGTAAACATCCTGTGTGATGCACCTCATTCTTTGTGCAGTTGTATGCATTTTTGAATGTTAAATTTGATTTTAGGGCAAACGCTTTTTTAAAAAAATTTTAAAATAAACTTTATTAAATAAAAATTTACACACAGTAAACTGCCTCCATTTAAAGTGGTTCAGCGATTTTTGGCAGATGTGTACTTGTGAAACCACCACTGCAGTCAAATGACAGAACGTTCTTACTCCCCCAAAAGCCTCCTTGTGCCCCTTTGCAGGTCATTTTTCCTTTCACCCCTGATTCTAGGCAACCACTGATCGTCTTTCTCTCACTGTGTATTACTTTGCATTTTCAAGAATTTTCTATAAATAGAATCATACAGTATTTTTGTATGTATCTGGTCTCTTATATTCAGCATAATGATTTTGTTTCCAGCTTGAGGATATTATGAATAAGACTGCTAAAAATTGTATACTTGTTTTTCTAAATACCCCTTATAAAATCTTACTTTTGAGAAGCATATTACTAAAATAACTTCCCAGGTTATATGTGTATTTGTTCTTTCTGTTCATTTCAGCATTATCTTATTAACAAGCAACTGGAGGACATGCACCAAGGATAAATTGACTAGGTGCTAACTGAATTTGTGAGAAAGGCCTAGTTTCTAACGTTCTTTCTTGGGAGCAGATGTGTAACAGCTACTTTTGCTGTATAACAGACCAACCCCAAAACTTACTGGCTTAACACTGAGGTCAGCAAACATTTTCTGTAAAGGACAACATAGTAAACACTATAGGCTTTGTGGAGCACTTTGCATCTTTGTTGCACATTCTTTTTCTTTTTACAACTCTAAAAATGTAGTCATACTTAGCTGAGAGGCTGTACAGAAGCAGGCCATAGACCAAATTTGAACAATAGTTCATAAACTCTATAACACAATGGCCAGCCATTTACTTAGCTCACTATTTGATGGGTGGATTGGGCCATTTATGTGGTGTGACCAGTTGTACTACTGTTTGCCAGGCATGCTTATGCATCTGTAGTCAGCTGGCAGCTGGATAAGCTATCGTGACCTGACTCATATGTCTGATGGTTGACAGGCTGTCATCTAGGAACAGATGCAACTAGGTTTGTGTGTATCTCATCATCCAACATGCTAGTTCAGGCTAGTTCACATGGAAACTTCTCAGGTTTCTGCTTGTGTCATGTTTGGTAGTGTCCATTAGCCGAAGCAAGTCATGTCATAGGGCCATCCCAGATGTAAGGAGTGGGGAAAGACTCCACCTGTTGGTGGGAAGAGATACAAAGGCACACTGCAAGAGCTGGACACCAAGGAGAGGGCTAGAACTTTTGGCCATGTTGCAAGATATCACAAAATATTCAAGAAAAGTTACAGGAAGGTTCCTCTGTGGACTAAATTCTCTTCTGAATTTAGATGTAGGTAAAATGGAGTGTGCTGTTAAAATTCATGCTTTGTGAGTAATCATTGCTAGGCTAAACTGTTTGTGGCTTCACAGCCAATGGTAGACATACAGCATCCATAATCTAGTGCTTTTAAAAATATAAGAAATACTGATTACAAACATAGTTAACCACTTATTAGTACTGGGAATTTAATGAAAGCTGCTGTGATTAAATACTGAAAAAAGAAAGATTGTGGGTTTCCTTCTGGTAACTTTCAAAGCTGGTCACTCTTTTGAAAGGAATTTTATTCTTAAAGCTGTTATTTTTACTCATAATATGCTTAATACCCCCATGGCTGCAGACTGTCTAAAATGTTCCTACAATTATATGAGAATACTTTTAAAAATCATGATAATTATCAGTCTTCATGGACACTTATTCAGATTAATTTCCCCAAGCACTTAATAGGATGAATTTATAAGCATTAAATAGAATGGGGACCATCCAGCCCTAAAATGTGACCATTCTGTCAGGCACACACTTGCCAATTTGTTGGCGTGGACCTGAGCACACTAGCAAGGACTTTGAATTAGGTCTCACTGCAAGATGGAAGCAGAAGGGCATTTCTCAGTTTATGTTTTGAAGTGTTTTGTTCAGACAGGCAACGTGCAGTTGTGTATAGTAGTGTGAGCTACCTGTTACTCCCCTTAACAATACTTTTAGCAGCAATGTTTTTCCTCCTGCAATGTGACAATATCACCATGCCATTTGGAAGAAAACAAAAAGGCTGAGTGATTCCTGGTATACTCCCAAACAGCCACCCAAACGAACAGCTGGCAGAGAAGACACCCCCTAAAACTTGGAGCAGATTCTCAGCCCCTGCAGCATCTCATGTGGTTAGAACTTCAGACTTGATGAACGCCTCCCCAACTTGCTCCCCCTCCTGAATCTTTTAATCCTCCTCCAGTCTCTTGTAATGTTCCAGCCCTTACCAGGGAATAAGACTGCAAACTGTCTTCCGTCAACTTCTTTCCAAATCCTAGTCTAGAGAAATTATAATGATGCATGATTGTCCAGTGGGCATGTATAGTTTGTCCATTTCTTTATGTAGTAAAGCCTGTAGCTTTCATCTTTTTTGCCAATCCACTATAAAAATTAATTTTATATGTCATCCTGGTACACACACACACGCACACACGCATCTATATCTGTAAATCTTTTTCTGTCTATTCATGCTTGTATGATTGAAAGAAAAGTTTCACAAAACATTACTTACCCATACCAAATAGTACACTTTCATATTTTTTTTTTTTTTTTAATTTCAACTTCTATTTTAGATACAGGAGGTACATGTACAGGTTTGTTACATGGGAACATTGCATGATGCTAAGGTGTGGGGCTCATGACCTGTTACCCAGATTGTGAGCATAGTACCCAATAGGTAGTTTTATAACCCATTTTCCCCACTCCAACCTCTACACTGTCATATTTTCTATTCTTTTCTGTTTCATTAAGAACAATACTGGTAATGATCCACTATATAGATTTCATGACGTACTAAGGGTTCATGACCTGCAGTTTGAAAAACACTGTAGTTAGTTTTATCTCCACCTCAGGCCAGGTCATCAGAAAGCTGCATTCTTAGACCACTTTGCCTTGGCCCCCATAAGATTGCCTCAACTCAGGTGTACCTCGGCATCATGTTCCTGGCTTATGTCGAGGGGCACTGAAAACTGCTGAAGGGATTTTTCTGAAAGTCGACACCATGCAGTGTCTCCCACCTTAGATCCCATGCAGATCTGTTTATTCAATCTAAGTCATTCCAGACTTGGATTTTCCTTTGTTTCACTTACACTCTTTCCTCCTTATCAATAATCCAAATAATAAAATCGATCATATTTCCTTTTATATTTTTTCTTTTGCTTTGACATCTACAAAGGCCACAACCAAATTATACCCACCTTTTAAAACACTTTTTTACTGAAATATATTAGGCATGTAGAAAATAAGGGAGATGCTGGTTAAAGGATATGAAACTTCGGTTAGGAGGAATAAGTTCAAGAGCTCTATTGTACACCATGGTGACTATAGGTAATGAAAATCTAGTATAGTCTTGAAAATTGCTAAGAGAGTAGATTTAAGTATTATCACCATAAGAAATGATAAGTATATGAGGTAATGCATATGTTACTTAGCTTGGTTTAGCCATTCCACAGTGTATACATATTTCAAAACATGTTATACATGATAAAGATATACAATTTTTATTTGTCAATTAAAAAAAAAGAAAAAATGGCTTAAACTTATACAGTTCAGTGAATTTTCACAATCTGAACACACTCATTTAACCAGCATCCAAATAAAGAAACAGAACATTACCAACCTTTAGAAGGCCCTTTGTGTGCCCTTCTGATAGTTACCTGTCCTCCAAGGGTAACCACAATCTTGATTTTGAACACCATTAAATATTCTGGCCTGTTCTTGTCCTTTATATAAATGAAATTGCACAGCATGTACTCTTTTGTGTCTGACTTCTTTAAACCTGGATTCATCCATGCTGTTGTATGAAGTGGTGGATTGTTCATTCTAATTGCTATGTAATATCCCATTGTGTCAATATCCTGCAGTATATTATATACTCTACTGTGGATGGGCATTTGGTAGAAAAAAATGATGTTATAAACATTCTAAGACATGCCATTTGATGAATATATGTATGCATTCCTTTGAGGACTATATCAAGGGGTAGAATTTCTGGGTTATAGGGTCTGTGTGTGTTCAGCTTCTGTACATTCTTCCAAACAGTTTTCCAATGTGGTTGTACCAGTTTGCACTCCTACTAACAGAGCATGAGAGTTGTAGTTGCTCCACATCCTTTCTAACCCTGTGTTGTTTGTCTTGCTCATTCTGGTGGGTATGCATAGCAAAATTTTCATAACCACATCATGCACTGTGATCTTCAAAGCTGTGTTCTGGCTGGGCATGGTGGCTCACACCTGTAATCCCTACACTTTGGGAGGCCAAGGTGGGCTGATCACTAGAGGTCAGGAGTTCGACACCAGCCCGGCCAACATGGTGAAACCCCGTCTCTACCAAAAATACAAAAAAATTAGCCGGGCGTGGTGGCAGGCACCTGTAATCCCAGCTACTTGGGAGGCTGAGGCACGAGAATTGCTTGAAGCTGGGAGGCAGAGTTTGCAGTGAGCCGAGATCGTGCCACTGCTCTCCGACCTGGGTGACAGAGTGAGACTCCGTCTCAAAACAAAAAACAAAAAACAAATCTGTGTTCTAAATTTTCCTCGCTTCTTAAAGTTTTATGCTATTTATATTTCCTTAGTGCTGGGTTTTATTAATTTTTAAGAGTTATACATTGTTATAAGTTGCCCTAAAGCCTTTACAGAACAATGCACAGTATAAATATGTACATAGTATATACACAAATATGAATCCATGAATGCACAGCTAATAGGGCCATTATCAAAAATCCTACACTTTTCCTTTTCCTCTAGCCCTCACATTCAATTGGCTCAAAAGTAGCATTGATTTTATTCTATAACCTGTCATGAATTCAGCCTCTCCACAAATTCCCAGTGCTCCTTTCTTAGTTCAGACTTTCATCCACTCTTAACTGGGCTGTTGTCATCATCTACTTGGCATACATTTCCATTCTGATCCCTACCCTCTTTTCCACCCTTGTTTCTTCCCACCTCAAATTTAATTCTATTTTAAAAAGAAAGATATTCAAAAGTACAGGTGGTGCCAATTTTTTCTTCTCTATCCATCATATGCAAAGAGGCTTCCAATTCTTTGTCGACCTGTTTCTAAGGGATGAGAGTAGGTCAAGCTGTGAGGACTTCAATTCCCACGTGAAGGTCTTGTTCATATTAACTCAATAATGTGCTTTGATGTCCTAATGGGGAAAGTAGTATTTTCTGCCAGTTAGCCTTCCCAAGATATCAAATCCAATATTGGCCAAATACATTTTTGAATTCCTAAAAAGCCTAAACTGATGTCGTAACACAGCTGTATATTAACATAAAAACTCTGTACCTTAGTAAATTATTAATATGAGCGATTAGCTCACAGAGTCAATGTAAGAAACTTGTTTCAACTCTTCATATTCTAGCAAAAAGAACACACACACACACACACACACACACACACACACACACACACAAAACCTGATTTAAGAACTAACTAGGTGATTAAAGCCTACTTAGTTTTTAATTGAAGTGCATATTCTCTAATCCCAAGAGGCCAAACTAATCACCTTTCCCTTTTTGCTGCTTTTTTTCTCTCTATTTCTGTAATTATTATAATCTGTCTGATACTGTGTTTAGCTATATATGGGTCTATCTTCTCTCATTAGATCATAAGCTCCTTAAGGAAAAGGCCATATTTCCTTGGGATCCCACTTAAAAAAAAACTGGATTACAATGTTGAAATTTTTATATATTTCCATGTCATTCTCCAAACACTCCCCAGTTTTTACCAACCATAAAGAAAAAATGAGAAGAGTTTAAATGATAAGCAAATACATATGTAAGTGTTCCATAAATACACTATGTTTGAAGTTATTTAAAGAACTTAATATAGGATAATATTTAATAGAGAAACTTAGTCTAGATAGAGCACATAAAAAACATTCTTGGAAATTTGTGGATAAATAAAAGTTCCTTGCATCTGTATTTTCCTTTCATCTTGAAAACATGCCTTGACAAAAGTAAGCCAGAGCTGGAGTACAAGATTCAGACATTGGTAGATCATTAATTGGTTAAACTGGATTTTATCTTATTTCCCCTTTTATGGATCCCTGTCTTTGTGTGGAATTCCTGCCACTTGCTGGCTGTTCAAGGCTTGCCACCAGGAGACTTTCTCCATCAAGCTAGGGGATATTTCTCCCTCACTGTCCCCCACCAAATCAATATTCACTTGCTCTCTGACTACTCCAGGTTTCTGCTGTCTGAGAATATGAACATGGATATACCTTTTAACATGCGTGAATACTATTCATATTTTAATCTCGGCCCCACTGAATGATAGCAAACGCTGTGAATTTTATGCCTATCTCAGGCTACAGCTAGTGCCTTATCTTGCACACACACAAAAAAAATCTTACTTTTCCTACTTGCTTCCTTCTTAAGTGTAAAAAGCAAAAAGAGGAAAGGTGCCTTTTGTAAACTGCTAAAGAGCAGTTTACAGAAGAGCAGTTTACTAAACTCAGACCTCTCATTTTCCCTCACACGACAATCTAAAACAGAATGTTAAAGTGAATTTATTTGGTTCTGTATACCTAACTATTCCTGAACATACTGAGTTCTCTTTTAAGAAATCATACCTGCCTGACAGGCTGCTTTGCATGAACACAGCATTCCCCAGCCTTCAAATTGCTGTCAGAGCCGTTGTGTCATTTTGACCCACAATATGGCAGTATTATCCACATTCTATAGATGAGTTAACAAAAGCTTCCAAGTGGTTAAGTGACTTGCCTGTAAAGGGTTAAGTGACCCACCTCTAAGGGGTAGAATTGGTCTGGACACTCTGCCCCTCTATCTTCATGCCTTTGCTATAATACACAGCTACGCTTGCTGAAGATTAAGGAAGCTGCTTTTGATAAAGCGTGATTCTTGTAGATATTCATCTCAGGAAAAAAAAAAAGAAAAACGCTGGTGTCTTCATCTGTAGCATTTGATTATTACATTTTCCTTATCTGTTTCAACTTAGGATGACTTCCTTGTTCGCTTAATTGACTGGTAATTCCTTTGTTTACTTTTTTCCAAATCTCAAGAAGCAAGTCTAGAGTATTAACAATGGTTACATTAGCATTTAAAATTTTTTTTTGAAATTTGAGTATTTCAGAAAGGGGTAATTTAGGCAGGCATGTATGTAGAACTTTGCATTTTAATTAAAAAGACTCAAAATGAAATGAACCTCTGACAGTAACAGATGACTACTTCTAAAAGCTGCATTACTACTTGATATATGCTCAGTATTTTCTTGTGGGTAAGTCCTACGACTTGTTTCAAGAAAAGTGACAGGACTAAAACAATTAAAAAAGACAAAGCTGCTGTTTTTTAATCATATGTTCATAAATAAAACTAGGTTGTGAATTGTTTCCAGAGAAGCAATTGACAAAGTATGAGTAAATCACTCTAAGAACTAAAGCTGCGTTGATTTTTTTTAATGTTCAACCAAACATCTATCCTTGTCCAATGATGAATTTTCTTTGACAAATAAATATTTACAAAGTATGAAATATAGACTCTGTGCCTTTCCTAAGGCCAAAGCATACTGTTTAAACTAAAATTTAATTTTTTTTCTCACCTCAAATACACCAAAATAAGAACATAACTAAAAATTAATTCTCTCTTGTAGTAGACTGTCCATTAATCTTTTGTTAGATAATATTAGCATTGTGAGTGTCAGGTAGAAAGAAAAACTGTAATTTCTAGATTGATCAGAAAATGTGAGTATTTATGGATTTGAAGAAAACAATAAAGTCTGATAAAATAGAATTTTCTGTAACCTCCCTTATGGAGTCAAGAAGGAGGAATCTTTCAACATCCTCCCATTTTGCAGTGAAAAGTCTTCATGCAGTAAATAGTTTGCTTGGGTAGATCAAAGGGTTAATTTACTTCTGATTTGAGAAGAGACGCAGACTTCCCTGATTTTTTTACAAAAATGTGTTGTGTGGGAGGAAGGTAGAGGCCTCAGAATGAATTCACTAATTGGGGTTTTCACCTGCTGTGAGTCTAATCGAATACAAAGCCTTATTTGTAGCTGAAGAGGAAGAGAGATTATGCAGAGTGTAAGAATTTCTGCCCAGTTTTGAAATTCCGCTTATTTGGCACAATCGGTGGGGAAAGGCAGACAAATAGTTACAAGTTTGAGCTGTTAAGGTAGACCAGGAATGCTGTAGTCAGATATACTTGAACCACATTAACCAGTGATCCATTTTTAGCAGGAGGTGGTGTGGGTCATATACATGGGTTATCGCTATAGCTGGCAGGCTAATAGGTACTCCAAATTCTTTCCCATGAAGCAACCGTCGGCCTGTGAGGTTAATGAAGTATGGCTTTATTTTAGTGAAGATGCTAAAATTCACATCTTTTTAGATGTTCGGCTTGATATAGGTGGCTCTGTGAAGCTTTGAGAAATCTTATTAAAAGAAAACTGTGTGAGAGTGAAGCAGAGCTCGACTTTATCTGGAACCTGTCTGGTGAAATCTCTGGTTTAGATGGCAGCTGGCTCACAGAGAACTTTCCTGAGTCTGGCTTACTCTGCCTCCCTAAAGAGACAGGGCCTGGAAAAATAGGCTTTTGTGTGGGTGTGAAGTGCTCTGTGTCTGAACTTAGAGGCCTCTTCATTTGCTGGTTAATGTGACCTGGCTGGATATTCTTACATCCAGAAGATGTTGGTTTCAGATTGATCTAGGGGGATTGTTATATATATATTTCAATTAGTATGCTATAATATTTGCCCTAACCAGCAATGATTCACCATACACCAACCCATTTGTTAGATGTCTGAGTCACTGTTCATGGTTAGTACTTGTACTATGCAAAGAGGAATATGGAATTCTTATGTCTTTATTGTATACCCAAATGCTGACATTTTACTATAGAATATGTATTCGAGTTAATTGAAGTGATACCTATACTCTAAATGAATTTTTATAAAGTGATGCAGGTTATACTAAAACTTAGGGCGCACTATAGATAGAGAGAAGCTGAACCCTAGGAGTTGGTGAAGTCTCTCGGGACCATCCCTCCAGGCAAGTACCCAGTTCAAACCATTCCTTGTCTTTGTCCTTTCCTATGCCACTCTGCATTTTTACACAGCTAGCATCAGGCCAACATTGAAACCACATGCAACCCAGAAAGGAAAAAGATGTGTTTGTGGAAGGTAGGAACAGCCTAGTTTCAGCTGTTGGCCCTTCACAGCCTCCACTAGATGGGCTCATTCGAACCCAAGACCCTTCCAACAGTACACTGCAAATCCATAGCTCCAATTCAGACATCTTCCCTCTGAGCTCAAGACTCAGATGTCCAACTGTCTCTTGGATACCTGCACTTTTACATCACCACCTCCAATTCATTATGTTCAAGACTGGATTCATCATCTCTTTCCTAACCCTCTTCTGCCCCCTCCTCCTGAAATTCCTAGCTCGGAGAATGCTACTCATCCAATCTTTGTTGTCACTCAAGGACAATGGTCCTTAACCTTCACTGCATATTAGAATCACTTGGAGAGTCTTAGAAATCCTAATGTCCAAGACCAATTAAATTAGAATCTCAGGGTGGTGAGACCCAAACATCTAAATTTATTAACAATCCCTGAGTGATTCCAAAGGGCGGCCAAGCTTGAGGACTATTGCTTTACTTCTTCCCTCTCTTCCATTCATACATCCAGTCAGTCAAGACTCCTGTAGTTGGAACCTTATTGTATCATTTCTCCACCTCCTCTGCCACTGCTGTAATTCAGATCCTCCTCATACTGCAATCTCCTTGTACCTGATGTCTGAATTTCAGACTCTTGTCTTCTGATCAAGCCCCCATACCATTGCCTGAGTGATTTTTCTAAAAGACAAACCGGACAGAGCCACACTCATGCTTTAATTCTTTCTTCCTTAAAAAGCTCCCTCATACCTTTCAGGATACAAGTCAAACTCCAGATTGTCACACTAAGCCCTTTCCAGTTTGCCCATTTCTCTAACCCTTATCTTGACATTCTCTCCAAAAGATCAAGCAGACCGTTGAAGCTCTTGTAAAGAACAAGCTGGTTGCATCCTTTTTACCCTCACATCTGCTGTTGTCACCATCATAATTGTTGATATGCCTTTACCCTCAAAAGGCCAGAAGCTCTTTGTGGGCCTACAGAGGAGGCTTCTCTGAATATTTATCCAATGACTGAGTCTCATCTGCTTTTTAGCCCCAGAGTGGGGGGATCTGACTTTCTCCTCTATCAGTAGTCCCCACTCAGCATCAAGTCTATTGCCCCAGAGGGTGGCTTTGGCTGGATGGGTCTCAGTTTGGTCAGGGTCCTGGGAGAAACAGATGGTACATTCAAACGGAACACTTGAAGAGAGTATAATGAAAAGGCTATTTACAAGGCTCTAGGCAGGCTAGGAGAAAAAAAAAAAAACAAGGAATGGTAAACTTTTGCCCAAAGGGATAAAGGGAGGAATGGTTTGCGTAACTGGTGGAATGCTATTGCTGTAGGAAAGGACTGGCCAACAAGACTTGTGGCTGCAGGTCAAGGAACTCAGCAGCTGCCAGGCCAGAGATCAGTAGGAGGGAACCTGAAGAATAAATACCCAAACATCACCTTCCTCCTGTCCTTTCCTCTCCTTCTGTAGGCCTTTCATCACTGCCTCCCAATTGGCTGAAAGCAAAAGGAAGCCAAACGGCAGGAAAGCCTGATTGATGTCCCCACAGAGGTCCAACCTCCTGGGCCACAGAGCAGAATGGAGAAGGACAAAGAATAGAGATGGATGGGAGAATGGGGAAGCATCCTGCACAGTCCCTTAGGTCAGAGATGCCCTTATTCTCTAAAGATACCCTCAAAGTTTAAGTGGTTCAAAGACCAGAGTTTTGGCTACGGGAAAATGTACTGGGTCGCCTTCTTTGACCTCATCCCATTTCATTTCTTCTTTATCTCTATTTCTAGCAAATTTACTCTTCTCTGCTCTGAGCCATCAGTGAGATTGTCTATGAGTATACTAGAAAAAACACAGACCTTTCTCACAGGAAAAGAAGCCATGTCTCTTCATGGCAGCATAGCAGAATAGCTAAGCGCATGAGTCTTCGAGCTGGATTCCCCAATTCCAATCCTTGCACCATTCTAGACAGTGGTACTGGGAACAAGTAGGTCATGGCTGATTCTGAAGTCAAAATTTTAGCTGAAGTTTGTTCTGGTAGCAGAGCTTCAGGCTCTTTTCATGTCCGTGGTTCATATCAAAACAGTAATAATAATAATAATAATATAATCAGAAGGAGGAGAAGAAGAAACATCTACTATAAACAAACAATATATTATCATACATGGCATCACTACATAATTTACATATGACACGAAGGTATATCAATTATGTTCTTTTCCAAATGCTTTCCTCTAATAAGCAAAATTCATAATCTGACTGCAATTGAACAACAAAACAGTCTCTGTGATGCCCGCGTCATTTCTTAATACTTTCAGTATTTAATTATAATATGACGTCAAGATTTGGGAACAAGTCTTCAAGTGCCTATAACTCCAGTCTAAAAAAGAACTTAAAGATGTATTTTTGAGGATTGCCATCTGTCAATTTTTTTAAAAAGTCTGAATAGTGATTTCTTATTCCATTCTTTTTTCTTGTCAACAGATTATTCTTAGTAGTTTTCTAATTGGACACTGAGAAAAGAGACTTAAGCATTTATAGAGAAGCGTGTCAGAACTCCTGAATTTTGAGCAGGTAATTTAAAAGTGTAAAACAAACAAACAAAAAACAGGAAAGGAAGAGAGTGACAAATGTCTTACTATCCAGGTGTTACAAATCCTTAGTTTATCGATTTGTAATATTTACAAATGTCCATGCTCTGAGGCTTCTGTCTTTTCGTTGAAATAAACATAAACAGTAGTTAAGTGATTTGCCACACTGACACAGAGATTGGTGTCTCTGATTTACTGCAAAGGGCACTACTTCCTCATTACAGGACACTAATCCCTCTTCCCCAAGGATCGGAGCAGACCTAGAATATACTATTAGACCAAGGGACAACTTCAGCCAAAGCAAATCTTAGTGTGCCCCCCTCAGACCGTAATAGCAGCTGCCTCCACAACTCACTAGCTTAAAATTGCTAAAGGGCAACACTAAGTAATCTCAGTGTATGAGCCAGAATGCCAGAAGAAGTGCCATATTTGCTTAAAAATAGCAATACCGATCATACTTACATGCACATATCTTTAGTGATAACATTTACCTTTATATTTGGTTTGTTAAAGGTAATAAAGAATCCTGGCATTCCCTTTTGCTTTTGTCCAGATACTTTATTTTTGCCTCTTTTGCCATGCTATAGCATTAGATAAAGCAAAACGGGTGTGCTTCCACCTAAAACATTCTAGGGGGAAAAATGTTGAGCAGAAAAGGATTATTTCAAAAGAAGCCGGATATGGTGGCATGCACCTGTCATCGCAGGCACTTGGAGGCTGAAGTGGGAGGATTGCTTGAGCCCAGGAGTTGGGAGACCAGCCTGGGCAACACAGTGAGACCCCCATCCCTTAAGAAATAAATTTTAAAAAGGGGACCACATTTAAACTGTAGACCGAAGTGGAATGAATCAATCGGAAAGGAGAGTGGAAAGCAAATGTTTGAAAGAAAATAAAAAGAAAAGCAAGCCAACAAAATAAATGGACAAAGAAGGGCAGTGAAAATATCACTAACAGTTTATCGTAAGATGCTCTTTGGATGCTAATCTAAGGTGTTATGTGAAGTTTGCAGAAAATTCTTGTGCTAATGAAGGCTTTCTTCTTCTTTTGAGTATTTCCAAGCTTGAAATAATTGTGTGTAGTTAACTTCTATCATCATACTGCAAACTCTAAAATTAGAATTATTTGAACTGTTCAGGCCCTGTAACTTTTCCAATAAAATATTCTATTAGAAACAAGTTCCTTCTAGATCTTCCTAAAAGAATACTAAAGGACCAAACCGTGCAACAGCACTGGTGGTATTGTCTTAATTTAGAGAGTCCATACCAGTGATTCTCAAACATTAGTATGCTCAGAGTTTCTGGTTCAATAGGTCTGGGCCGGGCCCAGGGAATTTTCATTTCTAAGAAGTTCGCAGGTGATACTGATAACTGCTGTTCCCAGGGTCTACATTTTGAGATCCGCTGCTATGTCACAAATCCAAATCCAAAGTCTTTTTAACAATCCCTTTTAGCCCAGGATGAGCCTAACGGCAATTTCACGTCCTTATCGCCGGCCACTTTAATCTTCAACTGAGGAGGAAGGGAGAGTGAGAATTATGTATATAATTTTTTTCTTTTATTTTTTAAAAAGAAAACTCCAAGCCCACACTCTTAATTATCTGGGATGAGGTCATTTGCACCTGGGTCATTTATTTAGACAACAAGTAGTCTTGCTAGAGGCTTTAAGGAGGTGTTAGCAGAGCGGTGTGTGGCTTCCAGGTTCCTGGGTCTACCTTAAATCCCCATCCTCTTTCTTTCTTTCTTTCTTTCTTTCTTTCTCTTTTCTTTTTCCTTTCCGTTTTGAAAGCCCCAACTGCCCAGTCTCTGGGTGTCCGGGTTCCCAGGTCCCTAGGTGGGGGCGGAGCCCGACACGGCCCCGCCCCGTCTGCCCGCAGCGCCCCCTCCCCGGCCCGCCCGCGCCGGCTCCTCCGCAGTGCTTTCAGCTGTGAGCTTGGGCGGCGGCGGCGGCGGCGCTCCACTTTCGGGGAGCCCGGCGGCTCTGGGAAGCTCACTCCTCCACTCGTACCCACACTCGACCGCGGAGCCCTTGCAGCCATGAGGGAACAGCTCAAAGGGTAAGTGGATCGCGGCCCCGGCCCCGTCTGATGGCCGCAATCCGTGCACTTGTGGCGCGAGCAGGGGGCAAGCTGAGGCGGTCAAAACTTGGACAGGCGCGGCGGCTGGACCCGGGGCGCCGGGCGGCTGGGCGTCTAGGAACCTCTCCCGCGGGTTCCCGCGGCGCGGCTGCAGGTGCGCCCCCGGGGTTTCTCCCCAGGCGCCGGGCTAGTGGGGGAACCTCTTCCCTCGGCTTTGGGACGGGCTCGGAGAGAAAAAGCTGATTTCTCCCCGTCCCCAGAGGGGATAACGCGTTCCTCACGCGGGGATTGGGGCCGGGGGAGCTTTTCACTCCTTTCCAGGCTGCCAGTGTGGACGTGAGCAAGGCTGGCTGTTCCTAAATCGTCGCTCTTACTCGTAGAAGGAAGGGGCGCACGCGGCGCTACCTTCCATTGCACTGCAAGTGCCAAAAGGTCAACTTTCTGCCTGATTTCTTCCGAGGATTCCAACTGACATTTCCCTCGCTGCATTTTCTACCGTGCTCATTCCATGCCCCAAGACCTGCAGAAATCAGGAAAGAAAGAACAAACAACTAAAGCCCAGAAGTCAAAGATTTCAGGGGGTGGGGATTTTTGTTTGTTTGGGCTTTTTTTTTTTTTTTTTTTTTTTTGCCCTTCGGGATTGGGTGTGGAGTCATTTCTAGGGTGTTCTCTCGCATTTCTCCAGGTGTCTGTGCTCATCTTCAAGCAAAGTTTGTCACTCCCAATCCCAGCACGGCAATAAAAAGGGCAGAACACTTTGCTTATATTAGTCAAATTTGAAGTTAAGTTTGAAGCTTTAAATTGAAGGGGTTTAGTTGCTCGAGGGAGGCATAATATTAATTATAAACTGTTTTTACATCATGAAAAAAATCCATCCGATTTAAGTGGTGAACTTTTAAGTGGCGTCTTTAAGTGAAATCTACATTTTTCCTTGGGCAATAAACTCTTCTTGGTCTTCTGCTTTATCCCTGTCATCTCTCCTTGTCACCCACCCCCCCCCCCCCCACACCCCCAATCAACCTTTCTTTTTTTGCCTAGCTTTTTTATTGCCTTTTACTCAAGCCCCTCTTTGGAGGATACATTTGCTGTTGGAGAAGCGAGTGGAGCAAATGAAGCAACACGGTTATATGAAAGGTCTCTGACCCTTGAACACCGTGGAATTGGTTTCAGTCATCATTGTTTGATCTCCGATTGGACACGACCCTGAAAAGAAATTGCTTTGACCAAAGTTGAGGGTGGGTAGGAGTTAAACCTTGAAAAGCAAATAAAACGGAGGACAACTAACAGCTGGAACAGCCACCGAGGCAATCATCTTTGCCCTGGCTTTAGCCAGACAGAATAAAATGGTAAATATCCCAGGGAACAAGAAATGGGGAACTAGAATGGATTTCTGATGCTTATATTGATGCCCACCCCTCCAAACCCCTGCCCCACGGTAGCAGAAACTTTAAAATATATTTTACCATCCACACCCTGCCAGTATTCCAGCAATGCAAGCCAAGTTCAACAATTCAGCACGCAAATGCCAAGGTTCCTCTAGAAAAAGAGTCTGATCCTCAGATTAAAGGGAAATCATTTGTGTGTGTGGATCAATGGGCTCCAGATTATATATGAAACCAAACTCTAATCCTCTGCAAATCGCAAGAGAACGCTCCCTTTTTATATTGCTGCATAGCGATTAGTTTTCTCCCTGGGAAGTAGTGGACAGATAGTTTTTTAAAAAGGCAACTGTTTGGAATATTTTCAGTACCAAATAACAATGGTGGCAGAAGAAATCTTATTTTAATTAGGCAACTGCCATTTTCCCAGCCACAGCAGTAGATATTTGTTACTTTTTATAAGTGTTTAATGTTTGTTTTTAAGAAACTAAAAAAGCAATTCCAATAAGTCTGATTATTCCAGCACTGACAGCAGGAACAGCTCTGAGGCAGTTATAATAACCTTGCACACTACTTGAAACTAAAGCAGGTGAGAGAAAATTTAAATTGTATGGTAGGAAATTAGGTCAGCCTTGTGCTCAGTAGAGTAATGCTTTAATTTCTTATTATTGACAAGTAGGTGTTGCTGGGGTCTTTTGTCATAGTCGATGACTTTATATTTTAATTTGCATCAGGGTCCTATCACCGCCTCAAATAAAAGGGAAAAAGATTATCATGGTTTGTAGAAAGAAGAAGGAGAGGGGAAATCTTCGTATAAATACTGCTCAGAGAGGCATATCTGATGCCAGGCTTTGGAACCAGCAGGGCCAAAATCAATAACATTTTTTAAAGATGTAAAGAGCGTTTTAAGGATTATTTATGAAGCTGATCTCTGTGTTAATGTACGTACAGACTTGTGATCTATGTTGAACATTGTTGTTCTCAGAAAGGCCAAACAAAGATGTACCCATTAACATGTGAACAGGTTTCAGAATTTCCCTTTTGGTTGTTCATGGTATATGGGGAGTGTATTTCCGATGTGGAGAGTGAAATGCAGAAAAGAGACAATTACCAAAACAGTGCCACCCACCCTTCCACTCCCTCCTCCCTAGCACACCGTGTTTTTCTATATCGTCTGCATATTCCAGGTAAATGTGGGCTCTTCTCATGGAGTTACTGAGAATTCTCTACTGTTTTAGAAGGCAGGCACAGAGTAAGAAACGAAGCTGTAAAATCGGTATTGATCACAGACAAAAATGTGGTTTGTCCTTCAAGGTACAAGATAGATATGAGTTATGCAGATTTGTGCTTACAGTTTCATCCAGTCCATATTCATAGTTCCTATCTATTTTGGAGGGTTAAATGTGTCCCAGTGGGGCTCTGGATTCATCACAGGTAGAAAATAACAAGCCGTGAAGTGAATATTTGGTTCGTCATATAGTTACCAAAGAATCTGAAGGTTTTTTGGCTACGTTGCCAAGCATTTTTAGCATTAAATGATTAAAAGACTATTTTTCTCGTTTTAAGAATTAGTCACACCCTTTATTCTTTTCTTCTTTCCACTTGTGCTCACTTCTTTTGCTTAGAACTGATTTGCAATTGAAGTGAAACTAAGACTGCAAAGGTGAAATCTAAATCTGTTTTTCTAGTTCTTTTGCATTGCTTAGAAATAAAAGGTTTGTGTGTTGAAGGTGAGAAAGGTTAGCTTCTGGAATTGTTTGAGGAGTTCATTTATCTATGTTATTCAAGTCCCCCAGAATCACAGATAACTGGGAGAATAGTACCTATCAAGGACTAGTATCTTAACTCACAAATGGGCAATGGAATTGGGGGCTTAGAATTTCCTCCTTCTTCCAGTAAAGGAGATTTTCAGTTTTGCCGAGGACTGATGGATTAAAAAAAAATAATTTCTAAAACCCTTTTCATAATTTTAACCTTCAAAATAAATTCTTTAAAAAGGCAGGAATGTATGTATGCCAACAGTCATGAAATTTCTTTAGAAGATGGGGAGCTCCATGAAGCCCTCATTCATTCTATGTGGGATTCTCCTGTAAATTGTACACACTGTTTCCCTTTCCTTTTAGAACTGTGTTTGGTACAGGTTTATTTCTTGCCTATGTTCCTCTAATTTGAAGTCCATTCCAGATGGTGGCTTTTCACCGTGGTTCCCTGTCTCTGTCTGATCAGGCTTATCAGCTCAGCTAAATGTTTTTCTGCAGACCTATAGAAGATGCTACGGTCCTTACAAATATCCTGGAGATGGGACATTGTTGTTACACAGTGTGACTAGTAAGGGCCTGTGTGAGCCCTTGTACATGTGGGCACACATGTGTGTGCTTCCTCTCTTCGCTCTTCCTTTCTCCCTGGTGCTTATATCACATCTGGATGACCTTTGGAAATAGAGGAGGCCTGAATGCAGGGTGGTCTCAATAGAAGGTAACCTTTCCTTGCTCTGCACTTATATATGGAATTGGTATACACTCACTTTCCGAGCTGAGAAATGCCTGAGAACAAGCAACACTTTTTCCACGAAGCTGCAAGCTGCAGCCTCCTTGTGCTGTGCATGTAAAGTACCAGTCCTGCCTACCCCTTCTCCAGATCATAAACCGGCTTGGTCATGGGGTGTCCTAAAACCCCTTAAAGCATAGAGACCATATCTCCTGCTCTTCTTGCTCTTTAAGACTTGAATGTCACTCTGTTATATTCCCTCAACTGATAAGCCCTTGTTATAGTCCTCAAATGTGAGTTGTCTCTATGGAAAAGTAAAACTGAAATAAACGTA
Organism: Homo sapiens; assembly: GCF_000001405.40. Classification (NCBI taxonomy): domain Eukaryota; kingdom Metazoa; phylum Chordata; class Mammalia; order Primates; family Hominidae; genus Homo; species Homo sapiens. The sequence continues at coordinate 31,262,588 of NC_000023.11, read as the reverse complement.
TTTGGAAGACAGTGAAACAGCACTTCACAAGTGAACATTTTCTTGCAAATTGATTTCAGTAGCCCTCACTGTTCAATCACTGACTAGTAAATATTACAGGGATGGTCTTTGAAGTTGTACAGTTTGGATGATTTCCATATGTCTTTATGAGGTTTATGATTGTGTTCCATTTCTTAAACCAACTTAAACGGTTGTTTTAACTTATTTTTTTTAAACATAGGTGATAACATGTAGTGTGTTGGTTTTGCTCTCTAGGAAGGGTCTTTCTTCGCCTTGATTGACTTAATTACAGTTGGATCCACATCTATATTGTAATCAACTAATAACAGATTTGCTTTTAATAGATGACAATTTGAGGGGCACATGATACCAAAAGCGACCACATATTGAGCACCAAATGGTGCCGGTCACTTACCTATTTCAACTAATCCTTTAACCCTCCAAGGTAGGCAGGCTTGCTTTAAATTTCACCGCCAGTAGGGCGCAGAGCCCTAAAATTCAAAACATACGCTAAGGCCATTCGACATTGTTGCCTCTCCAGACTCCTCTTTCTGTGTGAGGCCCCTGTACTTTCTGGTCCTCTGGAAATGCCCCAGTTTAAGCGATTTCTCTTTTTTCCTTCCCTCCCCTTCCCCTCAAAAGTTTATGAATAGGCTCTGCATATGAGTACCCAAATATCATTCAGAACTGCATTTTACTGTATCAAAGCCTGTCATGCAATCCCTGAAAACTGGAAATATGACGCTATGGTGATTTATGTAGATGGGCCAAAGTAAGGAAAAGTATATGTAGTTATTTCTCCAGGGTTTATTCATGTAATTGAATGAGGAACAAAGGTGTTTTGTTCTTTTTGTGGCAGGAGCTGATAGCCAGCAACCACACTTCAAGAAATGGAAGACAGCTGTGAATGCTTCATTCAGGCCCAAGTAAATATAGGAAGAGGTGTAGTGGTGTATAGCGTACTGCGTTTAAAGAAAAAACACTCTGAAATAATGGGAAGAAGGAAGTTATGATATATTAGTCAGGCAGTAGATATACCTTAAGCTGAAATGAAATACAGGTATCATGGATATGAGATCTGTATATGTAGAGGAAAGAGTAATGGAAAAATGTCAGGGGCAGTGAAAGCAAATGAGAAGTGAGATGATTTATATTTATTGAACTAATGTCCGGTATCTCTTTGACAGAGTTGAATAATAATCAGTTGTCGGTGTCCTTTCTGTAGTGTTCCACATTGGATGGGTGAAGAAGTCCTGATAGTCGATTATTGATCACATAACAAGGTCAATTTATCATAACTGAAGTGCGATCGATTTGTGGGTGCAAAGAAGAAACAAATTCTGGAACCGAATAATGTTTATATTGCTTTTCTCTTTGGAAACAAAGCAGAAAGGGGCCTTTCTGCTTGTAAGATAAACATTTCTTCAATACACTATGGAAGCGCTTTGAAATAAAGATTCCGAATGGTTCAAAAGCAAAAATCATGTTGTTGTTATTGTTGTTTTCTTTTTTCCTGTTTTCTTGACTACTCATTGTAAATGCTAAAGTCTTTCTTTATGTTTTGTGTTTTAGCCACGAGACTCAAACAACTTGCTGGGACCATCCCAAAATGACAGAGCTCTACCAGTCTTTAGGTAAGGACATGGCCATGTTTCCTCCAAGTTAAATGACAGGTGACCTTTAGGATAAAGTAGTTTGCAGTGTGAAAGTTACTTGCTATATAAATACATCACTAGATTGTTTCAAGGGTGAAAGCAGTGGCACCTTCCTATCCAAAATTGACAGTCAGCTTTCTTTTTATCAGAGGTTCCTTAAAAACAAGTTTTAGAAGTTGATTGATTCCTAAAAATTCAATATACCTGAGAGGGCCTATAGGTCTTTGTAGTTCTCTTTGGTGCCTAAAATGATGGAAAAACAGTTGCAATTTATGGCTATTTTTTTTTTTCTTCCCACGAAGATAGAAAACTGTTTCAGGTGCTTGTTGATTTCTTCCGTGTGAAACCAAGACAACCCTTTTGCCAAACCACAAATGTTGTGTAAAGGAATTTTCTGCCGTCTTTCCGGTGCTCACAATTCCTAAGGCCTGGCGGGTCATTAATGTGAACATTTAAATGATTTCTTTAGTATGGCTTGTTTTGTGTTTATGTAAGAGCCTGACAGTTCTGTTTTCTTTCCCCTCATAACTTGAATTATTTTGAATGGGTACAGAGCATACAAATAAGGGTTTGAAAACACCAGTCTTTTTACACTGGACAAATGTCCAGATGTCTGGTTTGTCGTTTTAGATCTACAAGGAATATTCTGAAATGAGTTATCTTAAGTTGCAGCTTGTTTTGGGTTTTGTTTTGGGACAGGGTCTTGCTCTGTCTCCCAGGCTGGAGTGCAGTGGTGCGGTTATAGCTTATTGCAGCCTCGAACCCCTGGGCTCATGGCGGTTCTTCTGCCTCAGCCTCCTGAGTAGCTGGGACAACAGGAATGCACCACCACACCCAGCTCATTTTTAAAATTTATTTTTATTTATTTTTGTAGAGATGGGTCTCACTATGTTGCCCAGGCTGTGTTTTTATGTATTTTTTTAATATAAAAACGTCATGTCTTTTCTACTTTTTCAAGCCTGCATTTCTGTGAATGGACATATTGATAGAAAAACACATAAGGCGATCTCTTTGGATTTAAGGTTATGTGATGAACACTGTGGGAATCAGGGTACTTAAACATAAATTCTGTGTAGGTATACGTAAGTGGGGTGTGTGTGTGTCAGGGGGTACGTAGCTATTACTGCTTTTGTGTCATAGATTCTCACAAAATGAATTGCAGCTATAGAGACACCAAGGACTAGAGAAGAGATATTAGCCAAAAAATGGTTTTATTAAACATTTTTCTAATTATAAATGATTAAATGTCTTCTAGAAAACCTGAAAAATGTAAATAAAAAACATGAAAAAGGAAAAACAAAGTCACTTATACTAGCCAGAGAGATCCAATACATTTCGAGTAATATTATGTCATTTCAGTCTGGTTATAAGTGTGTAAACGTTTAAAATTTTAAATAAAATTGGGATCAGCTAATTTTCAAGTGCTACATTTCCAGCCCCTACAGAATGTTTTTGGCTTATAATTGTGGACTGTTTATACCACAGGTGGAAAACGTGAATGCTTATCTTTTGGCAAATGAGAGAATGAAAAGGCTTCATCTGAAGTGGGCAGCAGCTGTCCTGGGCAAGCTGGTCTTTCTATCCCAGTACTCCCAGGACCCCTGATTGTACAAGAGAAAAACTAGAAATCTGTCCACAAAGAGCTAATTTAAATTAGTCTGTGGGCCTCCTGATCGTAACCTGTGGTTTACACAGATTTAGCCCACTTCTAACATTTCCTACTCTAATTACAGTAATTTCTAGTTGTAATATTTTAATTCACTCTTATTTTAAAATCATTATTATTATAGAATTAATACCTATTCATATTTTTGAAGTTTAAAAATATAGACAGGCTAACAATAAAGAAGAGACAAATCATTCGTAACCCCACTTCTTAGAGTTAGCTGGTGTTTAATAGTCTAGGATCTTCAAAAATGTCTTTCTATACATATATTTTTATAGAAGTTGAATCATTCTGTCTTATAACTTGCTTTTTTTTTTTCCACTGGAAAGTAATGTATTACCATGGCCATATTTCCATTTTGTTGTATAGTATTCTCTACCACTTTCAATTACTCTGTAATGAGAAATTGCAAACATGTTTGATGAAAAGCTAATTATGGACTATCAATGAATACATGTTTGCTCCTTTAATACAAATTAAATATACATTTAATCATTATATTTCTAAAATTTTCTCCATACTTTAGATGTGGTGATAAACTCAAAACTGATAATCTCTCATGACTTGTGACATTGGGCTTGTGACATCACTCAATTTTGAATTATAACAGAATTTTACAGTTGCAGGGGATTTTAGAACTCATTTATTGCAAACTTTCTCTTTTATGAAATCAACTTTCAGGTATAATTTTTATATAATAAAAGGAAGTCATCGTAAGTGTGTGATCAATTCCAGCCCCCTTTGAAATTCTGTTTCTTGCTAGCCCAATAACAAACCACTTGCAAGTGAACTAAGTGTTGAAGTTTGCTTTTCACCTTTCAGAGTTAATATTTCCAATAGTTTTGTAACAATCAAACATTCGTTGGGCTTTTATCCAAGTGGTGATTCATCAGATAACATCTCCCATTTATTGCGGGCCTATTGTATGTTTTCCACATGGGATGTGCCAGCAACCAACCTGCATGGTGGATGGTATCAACATCCACATTTCACAGGACAGCGAAGCCAGGCTCAGGGAGGAATTGATCAGGGCTACACAGCTATGTGGGGCTACACCTGGATTTGTCCTCAGTTTTCTGTTAGTACTTTCACTGTTCTCATTGATTTTATTTACTAGGTAAAGTATATTTATGTTGGTTACTACATACCTGCTACACGTATATAGGAATTGATAGTTTTACCTATGAATAGTAAGTTACTTGAGTGGTATTTCTGGAAATGGTATGGTGGGTCCTAAACAATGGGCACTCCTTTCACTGTTGCCTGGCACATATAGAATGATTGTTATATGGCTACATCCTTTTTTGTTTGTTTGTTTTTTGAGACAGATTCTCACTCTGTCACCCAGGCTGGAATGCAGTGGCACGATCTTGGCTCACGGCAACCTCCGCCTCCCCAGGATGAAGTGATTCTCCTGCTTCAGCCTCCCGAGTAGCTGGGATTACTAGGCACCCGCCACCATACCCAGCTAATTTTTGTATTTTTACTAGGGACGGGGTTTTGCCATGTTGGCTAGGCTGGTCTCGAACTCCTGACCTCAGGTGATCCTCCCACCTTGGCCTCCCAAATTGTTAGGATTACAAGCGTAAGCCACAGCGCCCAGCCTGCCTACATCCTTGAGATCCCATATAAGATTAACTACCAGCACTGCCTTTCCCCCTCTCCAAAATTACAGTGTTTCAGAGTCGAAACATAAGCATAAAATACTGAAAAGAAACTTTTCATTGATTTTAGTTTTTACTTATTAGTTTATATTTTTCTTCTTCAAGAGGTATCCCTTTAGGTCCAAATTGCTCTTTGAGCTGGATGAAATGGTCGGAAGCCTTCAACTACAGTCAGTTGGTGAAAGGTATCTTGAAAGCAGAAATGGTGTTGTGGTCTGGCGTGTCAAATGTTTAAGACCACATCTAGCCCCCTCTCCTAATCGAACCTGAACCTCATGTCTCTGGTGAGGTGCTGAAAATATCAAGATGTTGCTTTTTCCCTCTGTACCCCCACTCCAGGCATACTCTACCGTGGAAGCTACAGTGGTTCACAGTATGCATGGTAGGTTACACATTCCTAGAGACGCCCACTTCTAAGGAGATTTCCATTCTCTAATTTGCCAAAGTTCCCAAGCAGCCTGTTCAACACATGTTTATGTTACCTGCCTTGCCCTCAAAAGCATTCAGGTGTTCCCCTGCACCCAGGGTTTGAACACAATAGGATTAGAAGGTGAAAACATTTTGTTAGAACTGAAAAAGTAGCAAGTATTTACTGATGAAAAGCTATAATATTGCTTGAGATATTACCATTGGAGCTCTCTAATACATTCTGGGTGGTTTTCTTTTTCATTCCTTTTCCACTGATTTTCTACAATGAATTTATATTATTTACAGTTAGATGTTTGGTAAAAAAGTTTCTTCGTCGATACCCCCATTCCATTTCTTACTTAGTGTCTCTATAGCTACAATTCATTAACTAATGAGAACTTATGACAGAAAAGCAGCAGTAGCCACACACACACACACACACACACACACACACGCCCCACATATATGTAGATAATTTATACTTAAGGACCCTGATTCTCATGGACTTTGTCAGGTAACTTTAAACTCAAAGAGATCATCTCATGTATTTTTAGTCTGTATGTCCAGTTGTGAAAAATGCAGATGTAGACATTTTAGTGGTAGAGAAAATAGAACTTTTTTGATTAAAAAATAGATAAAAAACAATATAAGATAATTAATTTTAGATTATTTCCAACAGATCTAAAATGGCTTTGCAGAGGAGGTTTCCATCAAGTGTTAGAAATATTGTGTTTCCCTCATTTATCGGCTGTGTACCTACACAAAAAATTGAGAGAAAATATTGCCAGAGTCCTACACAAACAAAGCAAGACATAGTAAAGAAATAATTTAAAGGTTCACTATGATGACTGAACAGTCATTAGGAATTTGAGTCCCCAGAAAATTTTTTACATCACATTAATGGTTTGACAAAAGCATTGTCTTGGATTTTCACAGGGAATAAATCACTAAAAGCAACTGGAAATCAGTTTTCTTTCAGCATTTGTCTGTGACTACCCCCAATAGTCATAGAATGGTAGTAGAGAATAGTAGTGGAGTAAGTGGGATATAAGAGACCAAGTGTCTCATGTCTATTTTTTGTAGACCTTGGTGCTTTATCTTTAAAATGTGAGGATATTGGGGCTGGGCACGGTGGCTCACGCCTGTAATCCCAGCACTTTGGGAGGTCGAGGTGGGCGGATCACCTGAGTCAGGAGATCAAGACCTTCCTGGCTAACATGGTGAAACCCCATCTTTACTAAAAAAACAAAAAATTAGCCAGGTGTGGTGGCACATGCCTGTAATCCCAGCTACTCAAGAGGCCGAGGCTGAAGAATCACTTGAACCCAGGAGTCGGAGGTTGCAATGAGCTGAGATCACGCTGTAGCACTCCCTCCTGGGCAACAAGAGTGAAACTCCATCTCAAAAAAAAAAAAAAAAAAAAAAAGTAACGATATTGGACAAGTGTCTAAGATTTTTGTTTTTCTTTTACTTTGGGCTGAGGGTGGGGCAGGCTGTTTCTAAACTTGCTGTGATCATTATTTTTCAAGAGGTACCTTTCGGCTAACTCTGCAGACAAGTGGATTTCTAAAAATGTAATCATTCCTATGTTTTAAAATGTACATTCTGAGAAAACAAACAACAGGAGAAGATTATGCCACCCATCCGTGTCTTACAGGCTGAGTGAGGCAAGCTGTTGTCAAATAGAGAGGCTCTTGAGATATTTCCCATTAGACTCCTCTGGGTCATTCATTTGTTATTGAGAGGGTACATTCTTCGTCACTCCCTAGAAGTAATAATATGTTTGATTCATGAGGTGAGTTTTAGATTTCTATTAGCATTTTTACAAATGTAATGGAAAGACTGTTCCAATAGGTTAGCTTGGTGATTTAAAACTCTGAGCTCTTCAAGGCTCCAGAAAGCATTTACAACATCAGTAGATGTTAGATAGTAATATGCTCTGGAATTTATTTTGAAATACTAATATAATATTGATTTACATGAAGTGCAATTATGTGGTTAAAAGCCTGTCCTTTTCTCACAATTTATGTCTAGGTCCCTAAGTTCATTACTGAAATTTTAAGAAAATATTTTTTAAAAAGCTCACCCTGCCCCCACACACATAATATATGCTGCTTAGAGATACTTTTATTGGGGTTTTTTTTTTTTTTTTTGACAGCATCTTGCTCTGTCACATAGACTGGAGTGCAGTGGCCTGATCATGGCTCACTGCAGCTTTGAACACCCAGGCTCAAGTGACCCTCCCACCTCAGCCTTCCAAGTAGCTGGGACTATAGCCGTGTGCCACCGTGTCTGGCTAATCTTTTTTTAAATTTTTTGTAGAGATGGAGGTCTTACCATGTTGCCCAGCCTGGTCTCAAACTCTTGGGCTCAAGCGATCCTCCCACCTTGGCCTCCCACAGCTCTGAGATCCCAAGGGTGAGCCACTGCACCTGGCCTTCACAATTTCCAATGTCAAATCTTACTACAAATTTAAGTAATCAAGAGTATTTACATATGGACAGATATACTGACCAACAGAGTAGAATTTAGGCTGGGCACAGTGGCTCACATTTGTAATCCTAGCACTTTTGGAGGCCGAGGCGAGCAGCTCACTTGAGCTCAGGAGTTCAAGACCAGCCTGGGCAACGTGGTGAAACCCCGTCTCCCCATCTCTACAAAAAATACAAAAATTAGCCGAGCATGGTGGCATGTGCCTGTAGTCCCAGATACTCAGGAGGCTGAGGTGGGAGGGTCGCTTGAGCCCGGGAGGACGAGACTGCAGTGAGCCGAGGTTACATCACTGCACTCCAGCCTGGGCAACAGAACGAGACCCTGTTTAAAAACATTATTTCTTAGCCTGTCTTATTGGGGGGGGGTCTCTTAATTATAAATACAATAAAATATGTGGTTCCCCAATGGTTCCTTTTTAAATTACAATGTGAGTTTTTTTGCATTTGTGATACTGTCAGTATAGTACAAGAAGACCAGTTTATGAAGGAGACATGTAGGTAAAAATAGGATAATGTGAAGAGAGAATCGCTGCACTTCAGAAAGCTGATTTTATTTCAAGCAGTTTATTAAAATCTAGATGCACCGTATGTTCTGGTGTTACTTATTCCAATTTCCTTTTCCTTCATTGAAGCCCTCTTAACCACAAGTGTTTTCTCAAGGGGTACTGGTTTTCCTTTTCTTAAGTTATAGCGTTCTTCAGAAGGATCTAGCCCTTTTTAATCTGTTGCCCAATTTTTGGATCCTACTATCCAGCATGATGCTCACCTGAATGATGCGAAAGCTCTCAATTTTCAAAAATGGACTTCTGAGTGTTTTTGGAATTCTTAGGAAAAGTGGTCTTTAAAAACCATAAGATTTGAAGGCAGTCTATCAGCACGTAGCCCTTAGCTTCATGTCTATGGTTTGCAGAGAGCTTCAGAATGTTAAAATGAGGGTTTAATTTTAGGGTCTGCTGGGCCTGAGGTTAGGGGTGTGATTCTTCAGCAGTTCTAGTTAGGAGAACTAGTTAAGTCCTAGTTAAGTCAATGGGGCTAAAAGCTTTTTAAAGATACATCAATATCATTATAAATCAGCAATTTGCAAGAGAGTTAAAAACACTGCTATCAAAATCCTTGTACCTCTTTCCTCAGCTTGCCCAAGAGGAAGGGATATTGTAGTTATTTGTTCACTCTCCTCTTTTGATAGGCTTTCTACATTCCATTAAGTATTCCCTCCTGAGGATGCTCTTGGGTTAGAAACTGCAGGATTCTGAATGACTATGAATTCCTTCCTTTTGCATTAGGAGCTTGTCCTAATGCTTTTCTCAGCATATTTTGTGAACTAAACTGTTCTCCACTAAGCTACTCAATATTTAGCTTTCCTTGGCTCTTGCTTCTAGTTCCTTAATATATTGCTCAGTGTTAAAACCTCTGCCTTTTGACTTTTTACTGCCATAACGCTTTGAACTGGAAAGGATAGCTAGATTCAGATGCCAGCTTTGGTGTGACCTCGGGCAAGTCCCTTGCTTTCTATTGGTCTTCATTTTCTTATATGTCATGTTGGCCAGTGATCTTTCATCATTAAATGACTGGTTTTGTTTTAACCCCTGGCTAGAGTAAAGCTTGGTTGTATGAATGTTGTCAGCCCTAAACCCCCAGTTCCTCTTTGTCACCACCAACCTAAAGGATATGAATAATAGGATAATCATATTTATTAATTTAATTTTTTTTTTTTGAGACGGAGTCTCACTCTGTCGCCAGGCTGGAGTGCAGTTGCACGATCTCATCTCACTGCAACCTCCACCGCCCGCGTTCAAGCGATTCTCCTGCCTCAGCAGCCTCCCGCCACCATGCTCAGCTAATTTTTGTATTTTTAGTAGAGACGGGGTTTCACCATGTTGGCCAGGATGGTCTCGATCTCTTGACCTCATGATCCACCCGCCTCGGCCTCCCAGAGTGCTGAGATTACAGGCGTGAGCCACCGCTCCTAGCCTATAATCATATTTGTAATAATTGTACTTTATTTGTGTAGCACTTTACAATGGCGAAGAGTTTTCAGAAATAACCATATTTAATCCTCACACAGCTATAGAGTAGGTGGCATATGACCTGGATTTTCTATCAATTTCAGTTTCAGATTTTTTGTCCTGTCATCCCTTTGAGTGTCCTTCCAGTTTTTGATTTGGGAAATAATGCTACCATACCGGTGGATGGGGCAACTTTTCCCTTCTTTCCATTTGGACTTGAGCAGACTGAGACTCAAGACTTGATTTGATTTATACTCACTATGGTAGAAGATAAGGAACCAAGTCCAGAACACACATTTTACAAACTCCGAGTTCTCTGTTCTCAAAGGAACATCCATTACTCTTAGCATGATTTATAAAACTGCTTTATCGGCATAATTAAACTGGAATCCATATGACATTCTTTATTCCCTAGCTGACAAAATTAGCACAGGAGATTTACTCAAATTTGTTATTAAGGCTGTTATAAATGTTCTTCCTTTACTATTCAGCTTATAAAAGAAAAAAGAAAAATAATCTGCTCTTTTAACTTTGATTAGGATCCATTGACTTTCCCCATTTGTAAAATAGAAATGTAACTTCCAAATCAAAATTTATGGCATTTTAATGGACTGTTCTAAATATTATAATATTTTTTCTTGTTCAAATAACTTGATTTAAAGCTTCTAATTGAAGAACATAATAGATATTTCTGAATTGCATCTCTCCAAGCTTATTTCAGAAGGAAACTCAAAAAGAATTGTTCCTTAGACTTTGACTGGTTTACAGTTTTAAAAGAGCTGCCAAATTGTAGTTTACTGATCTAAATAAGAGGAACATTAAGGTTACACCTGCAGCTAGAAGAAAAGTGCTGGATATGTACAATTTTATGTAGCTGGATCTGCAGAAGATGATTTTTGCACACAGAGTAAAGGCATCTAAAAACGTGTCTGCTCTTATTCAGACATTTCCAATATTTCTTTTTTAAGCCCACAAGTCTGATTACCTCTGTATGTCTCTTGGGAGCTGCAATTTTGCTGGAAAGAGATTCAGAACAGTCAGAGCACTCACATAAAATAGATAGTTTTTAAAGTCTGTACCCTCTACGGTAGTAATAAAATGACCTAAAAATATTCTGAAAGTCTCTCTTATGACATAGTGGATGAATCATTAGCTTATTTATGAATTGGTGATATTCTGTGGGAATGTTTCAAAATTTGCTATTCCACAAAGCGTTCATCGCTTGCATAACTCCAGGAAAGTCATTACACCCCCTCATAAATAGAAGCTTATATAACGGAGACAAATGTTGCTTATATTGATATATTTACATACAGATTTCTTTACCAAGCATTAATTTTGGTAAGAAAGTGATTGTTTTTATATTTTACTTTCTTGGTCTGTAAAGAGGCTATCACTTTAAGGCCAGGCATGGTGGCACGCACCTGTAGTCCCAGCGCTTCCAGAGGCTGAGGCAGAAGGATCCCTTGAGCCCAGGAATTTGAGTCCAGCCTGGGCAATATAGCAAGACGTTGTCTTAGAAAAAAAAAAAAAGAAGCTATCACTGAAGAGCAGTGCTTCTCAAACTGGTGAAGGGCCAGGTTTTTGTTGGTGGTGGGTTTTTTTTTTTGTTTTTTTGAGACAGAGTCTTGCTCTGTTGCCAGGCTGGAGTGCAGTGGTGCGATTTTAGCTCACTGCAAACTCTGCCTCCCGGGTTCAAGCGATTTTCCTGCCTCAGCCTCCCGAGTAGCTGGGATTACAGGTGTGCACCACCACACCCAGCTAATTTTTGCATTTTTAGTAGAGACGGGGTTTCACCATGTTGGCTAGGATGGTCTCGATCTCTTGACCTCATGATCTGCCAGCCTCCGCCTCCCAAACTGCTGGGATTACAGGCGTGAACCACTGCACCCAGCCGCGGTGGTGGTTTTTAACATACTACACATCACAGATTTTTAGGTGGTGCTAATGAAACTGACAAGTATGCATTCACACCACATGTAACTCAACAGTCAAGTTCAACAACACTTGACCTCGTCTGTACCCTGCTCCATGAGATGAATTCATTGATCATGAATTTGGATGTCATGGCAATGTCAAATTGCTATAGAAGTTACTTAACACACTGTCCATATCTATGCTTGTGAAAGACCATATTTTGAGTAGCACTGTTCTAGAGCACTTAATTTTTGAAAGTATAAATGTAAACTCAAATCAAGTGACTCAGGTCGGGGGAGGATAATTAACCAAACAGGAACACCTGAAAATGTTATTTATGCGGTTTAATGTTTTGCCAGTTGAGTCAAGTTCAGGCAGAGGAGGGATCTATTTTCTTTCCCACTTGGTAGCTCTCCTTAGCAATTGTTTTAGAAGACAAAGCATAGAAATCATTGTGTTACAGGAAGGAACCAGAGATTAAGCGGCAGAGCCACTGCTGCCTAGTTTAATGTCTCTCGCACCCCCTATAATTAAATATAATGTATATAATGTGATAAGTTTAAAATACAGGTTTGCTTTTATCTAGAATATAAACTGTGATATATGCACTCTTTATGGGGTGCATTCAGTGGGGGAACTAATTGATTATACTGTGACTTTCCTATTGTCACTTTATGAGTTTAGGTTTGGAGGCAATGTTTTGCAGCAACAAAATTGTTCATTGACTTTGAGGCTGGATTTAAATTCTGATTCTGTCACCAGTTCTCTGTGGTCAAAAAGGAAGCCACTAATAATTTTAAACCTCAGTTATGTGATGTATTAAATAGTTATGATGAGACTTATCTTGTGTTGTGAGGATTAGAATGACATATGTAAGGTAACAGAATGTCTGATGTAGTAACTGCTCAAGGAATTATAATTGCTATTAGTGATATGCATTATTATTATTAGTTATTATTATCATATACCAGTGTCTCTCCTTATTTAATAATCTATTGGGTTCCTGAATTGAGATACCAAGAATTCAGATAGTGAGAGACACCTAGGTTTAGGTCTTCACATTTGACACTCAAGGAGCCACTAAATTTTTCTGAAGTATTTTACTTCTTAACCAAGGTGATAAAGATCACCTGATCACAATTTATCCTAACTTTTGGAAAGCATACACGTACTTTAATTTGACATGCAAATTAAAATAATACATTTTGTACTGTGTTGTTTGCCCTCCCCCAATTCTAAAATAATATATCATTCAGGATAAAAAAGACTACACTTTGGGAGGCCGAGGCAGGTGGATCACCTGAGGTCAGGAGTTCGAGACCAGCCTGGGCAACACGGTGAAACCCCATCTCTACTAAAATAAAAATTTAAAAAAGCCAGAAGTGGTGGCGTCTGCCTGTAGTACCAGATACTCGGGAAGCTGAGGCAGGAGAATTGCTTGAACCTGGGAGGCACGGGTTGCAGTGAGCCAAGATCGCACCACTGCACTTCAGCCTGGGCAACAGAGTGAGACTCTGTCTCAAAAAAGAGCATAAATATCTAATAAATGATGGTGGTACTAGTCTGTGGTAGTGGAGGTATCACAGAATGGCTGTAGAGATGAGGAGGGCTAAAACTGTGAAAAGCCTTATATGGTATGTTGAAGGTTTTTTATACTAAGGTTTTTGATTTGGAAGATGTATCAATCAGGGTCTGCCTGGTCAGAAAACATAAACCCTCTAGTTATTTCAAACAAAGGGAATTTAATGCGGGAAATTGGTTACTCAAGAATGGAAGTGCTGAGAAGCCACACACACAGCATGAAGTTTCTGTTATACCTAGGGCTGGAGGGACAATGACAAGAGGTGGTATCACCAGAGCCCCAGATGTCATGGGCATCAAGGCGGAGTTGGAACCTTTGGCCAGCTGGGACCAATGAGGGAGGGGCTCCGAGGGAGCTGGAGCCAGGAAGGAGACACAGTTAGCCAGACCTATTGCCGGAGGTAGAATGAAAAAGGAAGTACGCCCGGCTTCTCCTTTCCGCCTGCCCTCTAGGCTTCTGCCAGTGACTCCTATTGGCCAAACTTACTTGGAAGCCAATTGGTAAGGGAGCAGGAAAATGTACTGTAATAAACAGCAGAGCAGAGAAAAGGCAGAGAAAGTATCAAAAACCAACAAGCAAATGATTGAAGTACAGGAGATCCCATGGACAGTAAGGCAACCAACCCTCTATGCAGATATTTCGGGAACAAGAAACATAAAAAAACTAAAAAGCTTTCATAGGAGTTTGAGGTGACATAGATAAGATACCAGAAGGACATCCTGGGTTCAAAGGAAACTGATCTTAAAGGAGAGGAGGTAGCAATTAAAACAAATTATCTGCAGAGAAGTCCAAACACTAAGGATAAGCTTCCATGCATTTGATGAAAGTACTTGCGACGTTTACAGGTGTTTATGCTCATGACTCTCAAGACTAAATACAGACATACCTTGGAGATTTTGCAGGTTCAGTTCCAGAACACTTCAGTAAAGCAAATATCACAATAAAGTAAGTCACACAAGTGTTTTGGTTTTCTAGTACATATAAGTTATGTTTACTCTATAATGTAGTCTAGTAAGTGTGCAACAGCATTATGTCTTAAAAAACAATGTACATACCTTAATTTAAAATACTTTATTGTTAAAAAAGCTAACGATCACCTGAGCCTTCAGCCAGTAATGATCCTTTTGCTGGTGGAGGGTCTTGCCTCGATGTTGATGGCTGCACAGCATGGTGGTTGCTGAAGGTTGGGGTGGCTGTGGCAATTTCTTAAAATAAGACAACAATGAAGACTGCCACTCAGTTGACTCTTCCTTTTGTGAAAGATTTCTCTGTAGAATGTGATACTATCTCATGAAACCACTTACTTTGCTCATCCATAAGTAGCAACTCCCTATCCATTAAAGTTTGATCATGAAATTGCAGCAATTCAGCCATATCTTCACGCCCCACTTGTGATTTCAATTTTCTTCCTGTTTCCACTACATCTGCAGTTACATCCTCCACTGAAGTCTTGAACCCCTGACAGTCATCCATGAGGGTTGGAATCAACGTCTTCCAAACTCCTGGTAATGTTGATATTTTGACGACCTCCTATCAATCACAAATGTTCTTAATGGCATCAAGAATCACTTCCAGAGATTTTTTTTTTTTTTTTTTTTGAGACACAGTCTTGCTATGTTGTCCAGGCTGGAGTGCAGTGGCGTGATCTAGGCTCACTGCAACCTCTGCCTTCCTGGGTTCAAGTGATTCTTCTGCCTCAGCTTCCCGAGTAGCTGGGACTACAGGCGTGTGCCACTACGCCCGGCTAATTTTTGTATTTTTAGTAGAGACGGGGTTTCACCATTTTGGCCAGGCTGGTCTCAAACTCCTGACCTCATGATCCACCTGCCTCGGCCTCCCAAAGTGCTGGGATTACAGCCGTGAGCCACCACACCTGACTTCCAGAGATTTTCCATTTACTTTGCCCAGATCCATCAGAGGAATCACTGTCTATGTCAAGCTATAGCCTTACAAAATATTTCTCAACTAATAAGAGTTGAAAGTCACAATTTTTTCTTAATCCTTGGGCTACAGAATGGATGTTGTGTAAGCGGGCATGAAAACGTGAATCTCTTTGTACATCTCCATCCAAGCTTTTGGGTGACAAGGTGCATTGTCAGTGAGCAGTTATATTTTGAAAGGAAACCTATTTTGAACACTAGGTCTTACAGTGAGCTTGAAATATTCAGTAAACCATGCCGTAAACAGATACGCTGTCATCCAAGCTTTGTTTTTCCATTTATACAGCACAGGCAAAGTAGATTTCACATAATTCCTTTTTTTTTTTTCCTTCCAAGACGGAGTCTTGCTCTGTCACCCAGGCTGGAGTGCAGTGGTACGATCTTGGCTCACTGCAACCTCCACCTCCCGGGTTCAAGCAATTCTCCTGCCTCAGCCTCCTGAGTAGCTGGGATTACAGGCGTCTGCCACCACACCTGGTTAATTTTTGTATTTTTAGTGGAGACGGGGTTTCACCATGTTGGCCAGGCTGGTCTCCAACTCCTGACCTCGTGATCTGCCCGCCTCAGCCTCCCAAAGTGCTGGGATTACAGGCATGAGCCACTGTGCCCGGCCTGATTTCACATAATTCTTAAGGGCCCTGTGATTTCAGAATGGTAGATGAGCATTGGCTTCAACTTAGTCACCAGCTGCATTAGGCCCTACTAAGAGATACAGCCTGTCCATTGAAGCTTTGAAGGCAGTCATTGATTTCTCCTCTAGAGCTATGAAAGTCCTAGATAGTATCACCTTTAAATAGAAGGCTGTTTCATCTATGTTGAAAATCTGTTGTTCGTTGTAGCCACCTTCATCCATGACCTTAGCTTCATCTGGAAAACTTGGCTGCAGCTTCTGCATCAATGCTTGCTGCTTCATCTTGCACCTTAATGTTATGGATATGGCTTGTTTCCTTAAGCTTCTTGAAGCAACCTCTACTAGCTTCCAACTTTTCTTCTGCAGCTTCCTCATCTCTTTTAGCCTTCATAGAATTGAAGGGAGTTAAGGTTTTGCTCTGGATTAGGCTTTGGCTTAAAGAAATGTTGTGGCTAGTTTGATCTTCTATTCAGAGCACTCAAACTTTCTCCATATCAGGAATAAGGCTGTTTTACTTTCTTATCATTTGTGTGCTCGCAGGGTAGTACTTTTAATTTCCTTCATTAACTTTTCCTTTGCATTCACAACTTGACTGTTTGGCATGAGAGGCCTAGCTTTCAGTCTGTCTCATCTTTCAACATGCTTTCCTCACTAAGCTCAATCATTAATAGCTTCTGATGTAAAGTGACAGAGGTATGGCTCTTTCTTCCCTTGAACACTTAGAGGCCATTGTAGGGTTATTAATTACCCTGATTTTAATATTGTTGTGTCTCAGAACAGGAAGGCCAGAGGAGAGGGAAAGAGATGGGGGAACAGCTGGTCGGTGGAGCAGTCAGAACACGTATGACGTTGATCAATTAAGTTTGCCATCTTATGTGGGTGTGGTTAGTTGCACCCCAAAACAATTTCAGTAGTAACATCAACGATTACTGATCACGATTCACCATAATAGATATAAAAATAATGACAAATTTGAAATATTGAGGGAATTTTCAAAACGAGACACAGACCCAAAGTGAGCACATGCTGCTGGAAAAATGTCCATAGACATGCTCAACACAGGATTGCCACAAACCTTCAGTTTGTAAACAATGCAATTTTCACAAAGTGCAATACAGCAAAGTGCAATTTAATGAGATGAGCCTGTAATGAGCCTCTTTAAAGCAGGAACTGTCTTCCTCATCTTTGTCACCAGTGCCTGGTGCATGGTAGCCTCTGAAAAAATAATTGTTCATTGAATGAAGCACAGTAGAGCAAGGGAGAGTGATTTTGCTCGGGAGGAAAACAAATACCACTCAAGAAGATGGAAAGATACAGATGAGGGTTTTCTAAGGCGGATTATTAAACTGGCAAGATGGAACTCTGGAGAGATGGAGTTCTTTCCAGAAAGTAGAAGATAAAGCCTCAAAGTAATTAAAATAGGGAATATCAGTTAAGTTGTAGATTTTATTGGCAATTTGTTATCTTAGCAAAACCAAGTGAACTGCTATTCTGGAATTAATTTTGCCCTAAAAGGAATAATTAATTGATAAGGAGAAATAAGACCCGTAAAAAGTGTCACTATGGATTCAGAATTTATATGACAAAGAAAGGAAACACTGAACACAATTTGATGTGCTGATGGCCTCGTTCGTTCATTGGTTTCCTGCTTCAGTAAACATTTAAGAGCGTGCCATGTATTTTCAAACTTTAGGGCAACAGGCTAAAAATATCAAGGAGAAAAACGTTTACTGAGGGTATAGAAGTTTTTATGATCTTACTTTTATTGAACATTAAAACATGGATGTTCATTCTAGAAATTTTAGAAGGTGAAGTGCAAAAACAAAATGAAAATCACCTCACATCTCAGTACCCAGAAATAGCCACTATTTACATTTTAAAAGATTGCTTCCGGTCTTCTTTCCTATGCATTTTTATATAGTTGTTTGAGATAATAGAATGTTTAAAGTGTTGTATCCTACTGTAATCATAAGTCTTCTCTTATTCTTAGTTCCTCAGAGATGTTATTTTTCGCTAGTTGCAGTTTATTGGGGTACCACTTTTGTAAAAAAATATTTCCCAATTTTTGAAAATTGTGACAAAGAAAAGTCAAATTCGTGTTGAATTTATGGAAGGAAATCTTTAAGAATCTGGAGGCTTATTACTAACAAGCTTCTGAGAAGAAAGCCAAGTAAAGTGTTATAATACCTTCTGTCCAACAAGCTACTTATGTATAAGTGATGTTACAGAATAAAGTCAGTGTGGTCAAAAACAGACAGTCAGTTATCAGAAAGTTGATAAGTAACATTTATCCTATGAAAAATATAGCTATGAATTTAAATCAATAGTTTTCTACCACAAATATCTTAATGGATAAAATTTTCTTTACCAAATATGTATGGTGTCAAGGTGACAAGGCAAGTATCCTTGTAAACTTTCCGAATTACAGGAACAACTTTGCCCTTCTTAGCAAGCAATTTTATACAGAAACTCAACTTTATGATGGGTTTCTGTAAGTTTTAATTTTTATAATAACTGATATGTAAATATTTAGTTACCTTTAACTTATCTCTCCAGGTAGAATGGCTAGCAGACTGTTTTATCTTCTCAAAACATTTGTGTGTACAGTTCCCATGTTCTTTTCAAGGTTCTTGCTTCTAACTGTCAGTTAAGGCTTTTGTAGCCTCTTACTTCAGTTACATTTTCTGGCCAAGACGCAATTAAAGAATATAGAGCTGATAATTATTTCCATAGTCGTTTCCAATTTTTCTACTGTTCCACGTAAGACTTTGAGGAACACCTTTATGCATAACACCTTTCTACATTTGATTCATGTAAGTGGAATCACTGAGTCAAATGGTGTTAATGTTTCTAAGCTTCTTGGAATGCACTGCCTGAAACTTTCTCAAAAGGCTGTAGCCATTTACACTCATAATACTTCAAAGTGCCAATCTAACCATGTCCTTCCCAGCATGGAGTATTATTTTTACTTTTGCTATTGTAACAAGGAAAATTAAACCATCTCATTGTTAATATTTGTGTATTTTTTATTTCTAGTGACCACAAATGTTTTCTTTTAAATATCTGCTGGGTGTTTTTCTTCTTTTTTGAGTAATGTGAAAACAAAACGAAGTTAACCAAACACAACTCTTCCAAACTTTTCTGATATAATACACACTTTTTTGTGTGTTATGTTGAGGGGCTCTAGTTGGTAACAGCCTCCTGGTTACATAAATACTGTACAGTTTAATTTTTTTTCAGCTAAATAAGCCTTATCCCTTTATCCATCCTTAGTGGATCTATTATCTACCCATTAAATTAAATTTTATTCTCTATACCAACTCCTGTTTCTTCACATTTTTTAAATATATGCAGAGCCCTAAATTACAGTGGCTGTCCTAATAAAAGGCTATTCAGTTATTAACAGAAAAGGAAGATTGCTTCCTGCCTCTTGGGTGAGGAAGACTCATGTATACCATAGATATGGTCAGTTTACATTTACAGTTTTCTGTGAGGCATTGATTTTTTTCCCCCATAAATATGGAGTACTTAGAATGTTCAAAACCTTTCTCTGGGTAATAGAATGCACAAAAGTATAAGGCATGATCCCTGTTCATTGCCCAAGCTGGCGTGACTCTGGTCATGCAGCGGACTTCATGATGTGATAGAATTCCTTGCCTATGAGAGTGAAGGAGATGGTACCAGGTCTACTTGTGGCCGGTGGTGGAACACTTACATTATTCTAAGTCCTTTCTGTCTGTAGAACCCAAATGACAACCATATTATTTTATCTTCTCTTATTGCTAGTGGTATCGTTTATTAATGCCAACGTATACCCATTTTGCTTTTCAAGGTTACTTTAGATGTCTTAGGTTGGAATGACTGAAGGCTTATACATTCAAATTTATATATGACACACACACACACACACACACACACACACACACATATCTTATTGTTGCCTGCTATCTTTCTACCTGTTGTATAAGAAATCCTTTGAAAAAAGCCTATGTCAGCTTCACAAAAGATGTTACTGTGTTTTGGGGGAAATAAAATTGGGAAGTAATAAAACAGTTAATAAATGTTACAAGACCGTGTACACCAACTTAAATAAGATTAAGGTCAAACGTATGGTACCTTATATAGGTAGGAAGAGCAGTATTAATTAGAATAATTAGGGAGAGTTGTTTGGAGAGTGGAAAAAAACATTGTTCTAGGAAGAAATTTTGTAATACTCAGGTAAAGTAAAATGTAGGGCCAAGATATTCCAGATAGTGTAGCAGCATAAACAAAGGTATGAAAGACTGGCTTGTTTGCGAGTCAGTGAAGACATTGTTCTCTGAGAATCTACTCCAGATTTTTTTTTTTTTTTTTTTTTTTTTTTTTGCTTTTTGAGACAGGGTCTCACTTTGTCGCCCAGGCTGGGGTGCAGTGGTGCGAACATGGCTCACTGGTGCCACAACCTCCTGGGCTCAAGTGATTCTCCTGCCTCAGCCCCCCAGGCAGCTGGGACTACAGGCACACACCGCCATACCTGGCTAATTTTTGTATTTTTGGTAGAGACAGGGTTTTGCCATGTTATCCAGGCTGTTCTCAACTCTTGAGCTCAAGCCATCTGCCCATCTCGGCTTCCTAAAGTGCTGGGATTACAAGAATGAGCCACCGCGCCTGGCCACTCCAGATTTTTAAAAGGGAAATCTGATTCAGTGCCCCTGGGGTGAACTAAGTGCCTTAAATTATAGAGTGAGAAATTTACATTGCATTTGATTGGCAATGGGAAAAACATTGTTAAATCTTCAGAAAAGAGAAATAATGAAGTCCGTCTTCTGTGTTTTGGAATAGGAATTTGGTGGGTGAGTTTAAGGACAGTTAGAGAGGGGAGAGATTATTTCGTTTTGTTTTGAGGTAATTGACATGATGAGGGTCTTAGGATAGCAATGGGGGAAGGAAAAGGGAACGTGACTCCAGAGGTTTTTCTTAACAAGGTAGAATTGCCAGAAGGTAATCACAGATTGGACAGGTTTTAAAGAAAAAGGGAGTTATATGTCTTCAAAATTTGAAGGCGTGGTGACACAGAGAATGGTGATACCATTGAGGAAAAGAGGAAATTGCAAACTGAGCGGAGCAACAGGGAATAGATATGAATTTGATTGAATTACATACTTATGGGTTTATTTACAATTTCTCTTCTTAGAAAAATTTATTTTTGGTGGCTCATATAAATGTATGTGCTGCCATACCATAAGCATATATTTCTCATTAATCCTTTCAAAAACCCTGTAAAAGATATTTGTATCTCCATTGTGCAGATGAGGCTCAGAGAAAATAGGTAATTTTCTCACATTGCAAAGCAGGGATTTACGTGTACTTTTAACTCCTAAACCAGCGATTTAGCCCCTCAGCTATACTTTCTTCCTGAGAGGGGACAGTGGCATTTTGAAGAGGAAATACTCTAAAGCCATTTGAAAAGGGGAACCGAAGAAAGAGTTTGGTCCACAGCATGATAAAAATATTACTTGCACTTTTATTATACTTTATAACAAGAAGTACAGGGGCAGAGAAAGGTTCCTAACTTTTACTGAGCAAGTATATATCCAAGATACATCTCCTCTTTGGAGCTTTTGAGATACACTATCTCTCTTAGTTTTGCAACAGCCCTAGGAATAGGTACTATTACTGTTCCCTTTAAAAATGAACAAAAAAAAAATGAAGCTTAGGAAAGTTAAGGTTACTAGACCAAGCTTATTGGGAGACCATAGTGATGAAGAGGAAGGGCTTTAGGGTCAAATGGATTTGAATTTTACTTCTTAGGCCTTTGGTTTCCTTATTTATAAAATGGGATTGAAATAATGATATCACAGTTGAAGGTAATTATATGAGAATTTATGTTATTTATTGCAAACATAGGGTAAGCACCTAATAAATGATAACCTGAGAATTTATGTTATTTATTGCAAACATAGGGTAAGCACCTAATAAATGATAACCATTATTACTATTATTTTACAGCAAAGACATAAATAGAGCCCATTAAGTTTTCTTCTCTACCCAGTAGTTTTTCCATTGTACAATAGTACTCTCCTGAAGGACAGCGGGTGAAGCTAAGAATTTGGAAGAAATCCCAGATAGAGAAATCTTGAAAAGAAGATAGATAGATTTAATACTCAATCATTAAAAAAAGTGCACATGACTTTAAGAAATCAAACATTGTAAGAGGATAGTATTGAAAAGTAAGTCTCCAACCACTCTTGGTATCAATCCCCTAATTTTACTTCCTAGAGACAATTAACAGTATAGTTTTTATGTTTGCTTCTGTAAATATTTTTGCATATACAAACATACACATAAAAATATGCCCATTTTTGCACATTGAGAGTATAATAGGCACAATGTTCTGTTCTTTGATGCTATTACCTTTTACATAATTAACCTGGAGTTTTTTTTTTCCTGTAGCGCAATAGACTGACAGATGGTGAATGAAAACTTGCACTATGGAGAGTTATGTCAGTGTTTTAATAAGACAGGAACCCAGAAATAAATGTACGAAGTTTAACATCAGCATCTCGTGGCCTTTAAGTCAAATTGGACAACCATTCAAAGCTTCATAAATGCTAACTGCTTCTCATGACTTCAGAAGCAAACAAAAAAATCATTATTCAAATGGGAAATTAAGCTGATCATCAGAAGTACAGAGAGGATGTCCTTTCTTAAAGGCGGCACGTCTAAGGGAGTGTCTGAGACCTGGCTTCTTCATTCAGGATGGAGGCTGCTGCTACTCTTTAAAAGAAATGTTCACATCCTTACTTCCTGACTTCCTTCTATAACACAGTCTGCTTCACAACACTATGACTTTATATGTCAGAGCGGGTTAGGAGGAGCTGAATCTTAAAAATTTAAGAAGATGCCAAGGTCTAGAAACCACTCTTAACAGGGGAAAATTAGACCCTGCTTGCTTTTGGGAAAATTTGTTTTCCAGTCAGATGTTTGTCAAGGTTAAAGAAATTCACGGGCCCTCTGTTCGAATTGGGAGCAATTGGGAGCCCTTAAGCTGAATGAGTAGACTTGAAGTCCCACTTAGAATGAGCCTTTATATTTTTGTTCTGTGGCTTGCTCAGGGAAGGGATACACACTTGGGGAGAAAAAGACTTGGATTCTAGTTGATGTTTTTCTCCTAGCTGACTAGGGAATTCAGAACAAGTTACTAAGAGCTTTCTAGTCCTTAGTTCTCTCATTTGGAAAATGAAAATTTTAAATTAGAGATTCTATTTCTAAGGCACCATGTATTTCATTTTCTTAATAAAAAGTATATATATTCCCCTAAAGAATACTCATAAGAAAAAGGTAGAGTTAAAATTTCCCAAATTATTTAATTCCTGGTTGCCCAGTAACCATTAAATTTCTCAGCAGTCAGGCAAGAACCACATTCCCACCTTGAGACAAGATTTAGGCCTTTCCAAACTTACCCTCGGGCTCTGTTCCAAGTTTATTTGTAAGTCAGTTGCATACAATTTGGAATGAAATGTGTTATAAATGGTGGTTAGGTCCCTAAGTCACAGAATCTTAGTTAACCCTCAGAGTGCCTGATATACTGCACCATGTAAATAGAAAGCAGCTGTATGTTTCTATGGGAGCAAAAAACTTTTGTAGGAAAAATGGTAGAAACTCGTACTGCAGGTGTTGATTATTCAGCAAACTTCTCTAGATAAGGAGGACTGGGAACTTCATCATTATTGGTCTAGTTACATTCCTGGTCACTCCCTCATCCCATTGACTGGTCAGTTTCCCTCCCTGTGGTCCTTGTGCAAGGGTTTCTGCCTCACCCCATACCCTCTGCTCCTTGCCCGGTATCATGGTTCTTCTGAGGGTACTACTGCCCATTCACCCTTGTGCTAATTAGGATTACACTGGGTAAGGAAAGACATTTGTTCTGTAGCGGAGAAGCGGGGAAGGCCATCAGAGGCTTTGAGTGTCAGAAAGATTTGGTCTTGAATGCAGGCTCTGGGATGCAACCGTAGGGAAGTTACCAAACATTTGTGAGCCTCATTTTATCTTTAACAAAGCTGATAATACAGAACTCAGGGCCTTGTAAGGACTCGATGGTATCAGGTACACACGACATTTGCCCTTGAGTGCTCAGCGAATGTTAGTATTCCTTCTGCCATCGGCCTGTCACTTCCGTTTTTCTCTTTGGCTCTACAGGGAATACTTGCATACAAAAAGAGCTGAAGTAAGAGTCACCTACATCTTAGGAAAAAAGGGCTGCTTTAGGTTTATCCTCAAGTAGTTTTGTCCAGGATTCTGAGGAGAATAAAAGCTGGGTCAGATCCAGTGTGTTGAAAAGAAAGCTGAGGTGAGAAGTGAGAGAAACAGAGAGGCAGAGAAAGGGGGAATGAGCCCTGTCTGCTATGAAGTAGGAGGCAATCCAAAAGACAAGGAATCCGTGGTCATTGCCACTGAGAGGAGAAAGAAGGCAAACTCACTCCTGTGACTTCAGGGCCATCCATGAGGTGGGCAGAGGAACTCAGAGTCTGCCCGATTCTTGGATTGAATCTTCAAATTGGTAAAGCTTTATATCAAGCAACTCCCAAATGCAGCATAGTTTTGAGGTGATAAAGAAGAGTCTTTTCAAGGCTGGGCACAATAGTTCACGCCTGTAATCTCAGCACTTTGGGAGGCCAAGGCAGGCAGATCACTTGAGGTCGGGAGTTCGAGACCAGCCTGGCCAGCATGGTGAAACCTCATCTCTACTAAAAATATGAAAATTAGCTGGGCGTGGTGGTGGGCACCTGTAATACCAGCTACTTGGGAGGCTGAGGCACAAGCATCACTTGAACCCAGGAGGCAGAGGTTGCAGTGAGCCGAGATCATGCCACTGCATTCCAGCCTGGGCGAGAGAATGAGACTCCGTCTAAAAAAAATAAAAATAAAATAAAAAGAGTATTTTCCCGGAGTACCGGTAATATTGGTTCCAGATTCAAATGTATTGTCCAGATACACAGAGGGTAAACAGGAACGCTTCAGGCATCCTTTATTAAAAGCACCTCAGTCTATGTCAGAGGGCCAGGCAGTCCATTATCTAATGAAAATCTCCTACCATTGATTTATTTTATCATAACTGCAGCTGCTAAGTAATTTTGTTTAAGGAATGATTTACATATTAGTGTCTTCAGCAGGATCTCATCATTAGCATCTAGTCTCCAGAAAAGTTAACACATAACAGTGAAAAGAAAACATTCTCTATCACATGCTTCTGCATGCATGGGCAATTTGAGTCATACCACCTGTTCCCCTCTTCTGTTATGCTAGAGTATACAAAAAGCAGAGATACGCATAGTTTACTATGATCCTAGATGCTTAAATATCTTGAATTGTGTTCTATCTTGGACTCATTATTCATGCATAAAGACTCAACAGATTCTCTTCTTGCACCTCTCAAACAGCAACATCAACAAAACCCAAACAATGTATCTTTCCTAATGAGGTGAAAGCATGCATACCAGCCTAAGACAGAAATGTTGCAAAAATGTTTTTTGCAAGAAGGTCAGTTTGCTTTTCCCATGGTAACTAAGGTTAATTTCTACTGTGGTTCATTTTGGCATCCATTTTATTCATGATGATTATTAGAGGGCATGGATATTGGGGGTGTGTTGATGTTGGGCACCAGAGAAATGGAAAGAGGCAGATGGAGGATGCAAATCATTTTCACTCAGAACCTAAAATGTTTACTGTTAGATAAAGGGTAGAGAAGAATCTTAATTTGACTGTCAAAACATATGATTAGTTGAAGTTACCAAAACTATTTTTTTAAATAACATTTATCTTAAGAGCTATAAATAAAGAGGAAATTTTGCACTAGAGATGAAGTTATGAACATTTCATTAACTCTAAAGAGTTAATGAAAAACTAGTTGATTATATGTGTTCATTTATAGGTTGACACGTGAATTTCCAGAGAAGTAACTTGTATGTTTTTAAATTCCAATCCTTATCTTACATCTGGGCAGAATCAGACTTGTGAACGTCCCATTCCAAACAAATGGCTAAACACTTTGCAGACTTTGTCTAGAAGAGTGCCTTACCCATATAAGCCCTCTGTTATAAAATTGTTTTAAACGTTAAATTAGCTGTCAAGCTGTTCTGCATCAGTGGCACCACCTGGTAGCAAGGATGGAGATCTCTGCCACCCAAGATCTCTTTAGTGCTCACGTCATTTCTCCACCGCAAGGAGGATTGCGGGGGTGGACGATGCTCCCTATTTAGTCTTCTGCATTTTGTTGCTTACAGTTCAATTAACATGTCAGTTAGAGATGACTTTTGGTTGCAGTTAATAAAATATCTGACCAATTGTATCTTAAACACAGAGGAGTTGATATTTTTTGTAGAACAAGAAGTCTGGAGGCAGGTAGTTGAGAGCTATGGAAGAGTTCCGTGATGTCATCAGAGACCTGGGCCATGGTTTATTCTGCTGTACCATTTTTAACGAGTGACTTTGGTCCTGATGGTTCCAAGACGACTGCTGCTTCTCAGGCAGGAAGAAAGAGAAAGGACGTTCAGCCTCAGAGTCTCTTTGTCTTTCCATTTGGGAAGGGAAATCCTTTCTTGCAGATATCTTCTCAAGCATTGGCCAAAACTGTGTCCACACAGCTTCCCCTGGCTGGATCAGGGAATTGAGATCCTCCAGCCTTTGTAGCAGAGAAAGACCAAGGAGAAAGAATTTGGGAAGGGGTGTTGAGTGAGCCAACATACAGTTATCTGCCACAATTAAATACAGCGGATTCACCTTGCAAATAAGCATTCTTTTTAGACCATTTATTTTCTTTCTCTCTTTGTCCCAATTCCTTTATTCCTTAGGAAAGTCTTGATATCTTTGTGAGGTGTGTTTCAAAAAAGAAGCTCCAGCTCAGGTTGTAAGGAGTAAGCAAAAATAATAATTCCAGTGATTCAGCCATAGAAGTGGAAAATTATATTATTTGAAGAAAAATTAGATGTAAAATCAATGTCATCGACAGCTTAAACCTGGTAAAAGCAAGGAAGTTCCTTTCAGAATCTAATTTTATTCCAAATACATTTATTGAGCACCATCATTTATTGCCCTAGATGCCAAGGATAAGTGAACACAACATGACCTCTTCAGAAGTCTGCATTTTTCTCATCTTTTTTCCCTCAAGTATAAGAATGAAAAATAAAGCTATTTCTAATTAGTTACATCAGTCATTTCTATCAGTATTACTATAGATTTTATTTTTATTGTATACTGGATATTTAAACTAAATTTAAGCCTTTGTGGGCTTAGAAATTACTGTTTCATGAGTAACATGGCTTATGTAGGAAATTTCCAATGCCATTAACCTTAAAAATGTTCATTGGAATACTGCTTATGTCATCTTGGAAACTACCTTTGCGGTTGACATATAAACTGCACGATGGTCTATTTTCATTATATGTTTCTGTATGTACATAAGCATCCTCATGATAAAGATTGTCTACTTGATCAAACTTCAGCCAGACTCCTGAACCTTCTCCTAGGCCCACCTGTGCACTTCTTTGTAAAAATCCAGCTGTAGCGAGAATCCTGCTAAATCAGTTTAGCAAGAACCACCTTCCTCTTATGTATCTGATCAGGTTCCTCATCCTCCACCATCCCCCATGTGACGTCTGATCACCCTGGCCTGTGTCTTCAGCAAGGTTCCTGTTAAGTTTTTTTTAGCTAGAATCCCCCTTACCCCCATGCTTTCTCTTAGTAGTTTTCCATCCACCAAACCCCACCCTGCTCCTTGGCTATCAATTCCCACTTGTCCATGCTGTATTCAGAGTTGAGCCCAGTTCTATACTGAGGTCTCTTTCCCACTATTGCAATATTCCTGAATAAAATCTGTTTTTACCACTTTACCGTCCATCTCTGGTTTTTCTTTGACACTCACATAACCAGAGTTTTGTATGTGTGTGTTGCTTGACACATCACAAATACCTGGGATACGTGTACTGATTTTTTACAGGGTGAATAATCTTTTTGTTTTCCCCAATATCTTAGAAACCTGAATCTTTAACCCCTGGGCTTAGTACACAGTTAGGCATATAATAGGTGCTTAAGTAAGCGTCAACTGATGATTTTAAATGCAGAAGTAATTGTCACTTAATGAAATATAGTCAGGAGACTCATGGATTTTGGCCTGTCTTCCTACCTGTTCTTGTACTGCAACAGTAAGTGTATTAAGGCAATATTTTTGGCAGCACAATCATTTAGTTTGAATGCATTAGTAAAAGGTGGAGTCCAAAGAATTAATCGCTGGAAAGTTTTGGGAAAACCCAGTAACAACTGTTTCCATAGAGTAATTTGAGTGACAGCCAGGTAATAGCTACTTATTGGAGGGACTCCACAGTCAGAGCCTTGACAGGGACCTGAAAAAGAGTGTAACTGAAGGGTAAATGTAAAAGCTTTTGGGAGAACAAGGGAGTGGTCAGGCTGAGGCAAAGATCTGAAAAGAAATGCCTCCTGGGGCCAAGCTGGTAATTTGAATGACTGAAGGTGACTGGGTGGGAACTGGGGCAACCTGAAAAGCTTCTGTTAGGGTAACAGAGCCTCCGTTGCAGCTGACTGTTCTATGAGAATGTGAGTCTCTATTGTCAGGTCTTCAGGTTCTTCCAGAGAAGCAAGACAACGGGAAATCACCAGATTTTTAACTAATGGCGTATCATTCAACAATTTCAAAAACCATTATGTGAGCCCAAACTGACCAACGAATCAAACACACACACACACAAAAAAAGAGTCTGCAGACTAAATTCAACCAGTTGGTGACCTCTGGTCTGTGGTTACCAGAGAAGTAATTGAAATGGAGTTTTGGGAGAAAGATCATATGTTGAAATCTTGGGAGATAAGGGCAGAGAAATAAGTAAGCCGAGACGGCGGTAAGGCCAAGGTAGAAAAGGTAGCCTTTAGGAAAATTAAGTTAAGACTTTTTAAAACAGGAAGGGGCAAAAGATGAGGTTAAAGCAGATGAGGAAATTTACTGTTATTTATTTTCATCATTAAAATACGCTTTCCACAAATTTTTCAACTGTAAGAGAGAGTGATAAATTCAAAATAGGTAATGTCAACCATATTATGAAGAGTATGTTTTTGCAATCCAAAAAAGCTAAGGCACAACATTAAAAAAAAAAATCTGTGAATTTGGCTTTGCAAAGGTATAAGAATTAAGTCACATCTGATCATTTTTAGAGTCTTACCTTTTATAACAAAGAGGAAAATTTAATTAAACTGGCTCTGCCCTGGCGAATCTGGGATGTGTGTTCACTTATGAAGAGAGACTGTTAAGATTCGTTAATTAATGAGGTTGAGAATAGAGTTGAAGGAGATTGGGGTAAATTTATAAGTTTGTGTCATTCTGAGAGTTCTGTAAGTAGCTGAGTTACCCATGTTGTGACTGAGAAAAACAGGAGAGAGCAGTGACTGAAGGTTCTGAGCCAAAGGAGGAGAATAGTATTGTTTATTCCAGCAGCCAGAGTGGCCTGTGTGACTGTAAGTCGCCTGTCAAGAGGGAGACTGCAAGGAAAGTGCATTGATTTGATTTGGAGTAGTTGTAACTGCAGCATGAAGAATATGATATATAGGGATGATAATTGAGGAACAATTTAATGGCTGCATACCTTGCTGAAGTTGAAGTTCCTTCTGGAGATAAAGGTGGCAAAAAAGAAAGTGCTTAGGTAGAAGAGCTTTTTAAAATGAGTTAACAGAAAACAGCAGACTAAATATGGAATTGAGGAGTAGGAAATGAAGGAAATGAATTTGAAGATTTACTTTCTTTCAGGATGCAGAGCTGGTATGTAATCCCTCTGTTTCCAGTGCCTTCTCCCACTTCCAAATTTCACTGCTCCTCATGCGCCCTGGTGTGTGGTGCAGCTTCGAGATTAAGCCTCCAGCCTTCTGTCAGGATGAAGCAGCAGGTGGCTGAGATGCTAGGCTCCAAGTGGGGGAGGTGTTTAGGGCTCTAAAGACTTTCAACCAGTCCTTGTATTTTCAGCCACATTTCAGTCTTCAGAGGAACCTGGAGCCTTTCATTTCTGAGACTTCTTGGCTACATAAACTGGCATGCGTCTTGTTAGTTCCTCCCACTCCCTGCCCCAATCTCCTTGTCTCCCCAACATCATTAATTGAGCTTGGGATTTCTCTGGTCTCCTAAGTTGGTTACCAGCAGGTCATTTTCTAAGCCACCAAAATACTGGAGCTCTGATCTGTTCTCATCTCCTCTCCTGTTTTGTTAATTTTCTTTTGGGTAAATGCCATTTTTTATTCCTCTTCTATCAACCTGGTAGAGTTTCAGGGATAAAGAGAGACAAATGAGTCTGCTCCATCTGCTGTGTTTAACTAGAAGTCCCAACACCCAAAATCCTTCACACGATGTGCAGGGCTCTGCAGTGGGCCTCCCCCTGCCTACCTGTCAGGCCTTATCTGTGCCCACTCTTCCTCCTTCCTCTCTGAGATTTCAGCAATATTGGCCTTCTAAGGATTCTTAAAGCCCCACCTTCTTCTCTGCTTCAGAGCTTTTTTTTTTTTTTTTTTTTTTTTTTAACATGTGCTGACCTATTACGCTGCTGTGTTCTTACCTGGCACGCTCCCATCATCCTTCAAGTCTTTGCTTCAATGTCACCTTCTCCAAGAAGCCTCTCGGACCTATGTTTCCCTATGTATACAGTCTCATCACTTCCTGTGTGTTTCCTTCACCATTTTACCACAGTACATATGAATATTTGTTTGTTAGTTTGTTTGAGACGGAGTTTTGCTCTTGTTGCCCAGGCTGGAGTGCAACGGCACAATCTCGGCTCACTGCAGCCTCCACCTCCCAGGTTCAAGCGATTCTCCTGCCTCAGCCTCCCAGGTAGTAGCTGGGATTACAGGTGCCTGCCGCCGCATCCAGCTAATTTTTTGTATTTTTAGTAGAGACGGGGTTTCGCCATGTTGGCCCAGGTGGTCTCGAACTTCTGACCTCAGGTGATCTGCCTGCCTTGGCCTCCCAAAGGCTGGGATTACAGGCGCGAGCCACCGCACCTGGCCTACATATGAATATTTGATTATTATCCATCTCCTTCGCTACACTGCAAAGTCAATAAAGGCAGAGATTTATTTTGGTTACCAGTGTATTCCATGTACTTGGCATGGTTCTTGGCTTATAGTACATGCACAATAAATATTGAAAGGATAGATGAAAGGATTATGGATAGATGAATGTCTTTTAAGCAGTTATAAAACAGTTCTGCCTAAAGAGTCTTTTTTAATCAGTAGTATTACTTCAAATACATATTTAAATACACATATGTTATAAATATATAAAATATGTATTTAAATATGTCATTTGTACTATTTTAAATGTATTTAAAATAATATATGTTATATATTAAAATAATACTAATGATTTTTAAAAGATCAGGCAACACTGCTTTGTAGCTTTTTAGAAGACATTTATCCTTATGGATCCATAATTATTATGGATTGTATGTTTTATATATAATGAAGGTTTTGGGAGTTAGAGCCCTGATCCTTCCGCTCTTGAAGCTTGATTTAAAGGAGCATGGCACAGTGGTGCCTATATGAGTCAGCCCTCCATTATCTGGGGCAGAATTCAGGCCCCAGAAATGGTACTTAAGATACACAGTTCTCCCCCAGAAAACTTTATATCGGCCATTTGTTACAGAAACTGCTTTCTCAACAAACCTTTTACCAGGGCAGCTAACAATGAGCAAAACTAATTTGAATTTCAACTCTGCCATTATTACAGTGTTGCTAAGAAGTAGTGAGATTCTGCTGAGGAAGGCCAAGCAAGAGGAGGGAGCCAGAAATGCCTTAAACAATCCACAGCCAGGATTTTGTGCTATCTTTTATTTCACAGTTGAACTTCTCAGTATTTTTTGGTTCATAACCTTTTTCTCTTTTCCTCAATTCTGAGTCTTCCACATTTGTGCCATACTAGGTACTTTATTGCTTCTCTCCCTTTTTTTTTTTTCTTGAGATGGAGTCTCATTCTGTCGCCCAGGCTGAAGTGCAGTGGTGCGATCTCAGCTCACTACAACCTCCACCTCCTGGGTTCAAGCAATTATCCTGCTTCAGCCTCCTGAGTAGCTAGGATTACAGGTGTGCACCACCATGCCTGGCTAATTTTTTTGTGTTTTTAATAGAGACGGGGTTTCACCATGTTGGCCAGGCTGCTCTCGAACTCCTGACCTCGTGATCCGCCCGCCTCGACCTCCATAAGTGCTGGGATTACAGGTGTGAGCCACCACACCTGGCCCTCTCCTTCATTTCTTAGAAGAGTTTTACAAAGTCATTGGTGATAAATAAGTAATACCATTTCACATCTGGAAACATAACTTGATAGTAATTATAAATTCACAGACTGTACTTTCTGTACTTATCTAAGTATGAATGCATAATTCCTGTTTATCTGTGTGTAGGTTTATTTTTCCCCCATTTAAGTAAAGCTCTATGTTGATGATGAGGTTTTTACGAGTTGAGATTTTAAGAGGCCTCAAATATATCTAAAAAATTATAGACCAAGTATGATGTGTTAGTGTTCCTCTTCTCTCAGCTAATTCTTTAAAGATATGTTCCAGAATTCCTGGTCTGTTCTTGAAGATCTCCCAATAATTCTAGACTTCTGAAGCCTGGATATTTTGGCTTAATTTGCTTTCAAGACAGACTGGATTTAAATTACTCAATTTGTCTGAAGTCTCATTAAGATCCAAGGTTCTTGTCTGTTCTAGTGAGTTTGAGCTGGCAAGAATAATACTTGTCATCTGAAAAGTCCATTAGAATCCTTTGGAGGAGTGAGACTGGAAAATTGGAGACATATTATTATATTTTAAAATATGCCACCTTTCTATAATAGGAGTATGTGGGGAGACTGCCTTGTTTTGGCTTCTTGGGAAAATTTGGAAAATTAGTAAAATAGGCAGGCAGTAGTAGTTCAATGCGTATTGTATGCCAAACACTGAATTTAGAACAATACTCCCCCAAAAGCATATGTGCTCTAAATTTTATTTTTCACTTACCACCTGGGAGATTTGGATTAAATTTCTTCTGGGAAATAGAGTTGGTATGAAGAAACAAAGACCACTATACCAATTTATCTGTTGGAATAATCATTTAGCCGTACAGCTCTTTCCACTCATAAAGTTAATGAGGTCATTATTGTTCTTTCTAGCTAATAGATAGGCATATTGAAACCTTAGGCCTTTCCAAAAAGTCTCCATAAGCCATTGGAAAGATAGACTAAAACACTCCTTGTTTTAAATTCTAGACCTCAGTTCAGTCAGAGATAGTAGGATTTTTGCAGTATTATTAAAAAGACAGAAACCAGCTATAAAATTGAAATGAAGGGACTTAATGTTTTTTTTCTGTAATATCTTTGGAATGCTTCCATGGCTTTAAAATGCTGAGGTGTTTCTCACTATTTTTCAAAAGCATGTAACATGTAGATATGTGACGCAAACTTGACCAGTTGTTCCTCTTTTCTGGTGAATTTTGACACCTGCTACTATTACACAGAGTAAAAGTGAAAGTCATAAAACAGAAATACTTACCAAAGTCAAGAAAAATGCATAGACTAAACAAAGGGGCAAGAGAAGCCTATTACTTGTTTCATGTTTCAAAATAAAAGATGAATGGCCTATCACTTCAGTAGTTGGAAATTCAACTTGAGAAGGTAGGTGGTTTGATGTTTGCCCTTGTTCCTTACGTTTCTAGATTTCTCTATTTATAGGCTAGAACCAGCCCTGGATAAAATAATACAAGTTATGAAGAGAAATGTGCAGTTCAGCATTTTTACCCTTCTGAAGTGCGCTTTCTCCCAGCTGCCATGGAAACATGGCGTAACTGGTTTCTTGGATAGTCTCACTCCTCTTGAGTTCCGGCTGTGAGAGCTAGTGAGCTCATTACAACTTGGATCAGAGTCCTGGAAAGTCAGCTCCCAGGGAAAGTGGAGGACAGTCTCTCATGGGGCACGGGAATGGGGGGCTTTAGCTTTATTAAACTGCATACATACTTTCACTACACAGTCATCCCAAGCTTTAGCCCAGGACAGTGTCACATTGTTCACAGCTGTATTGCATCTTGAGGTTTCTGTGTGCATCCTACACACTTTCCTAAGGCAGAGACTTATCTCTTCCAGCTGTAAGCCGGAGGGAGTGGTGCTGCAGACTCCTAGCAACACATGCGGACTCAAACAACACAGGCAGTTAACTCTCTTGAGTAGTAGACTTGTAGGGCACCAGAACTCCGTTGCAGTTCACTGACAGTTACCAGATATACATTTGTATGGCTTCCGTAGCATTGTGATGGAAGCTAAACGTTTGCCCTGCTACTTTCTTTTTTTTTTTTTTTTATTTTTTTATTTTTTTTTTATTATACTTTAAGTTTTAGGGTACATGTGCACATTGTGCAGGTTAGTTACATATGTATACATGTGCCATGCTGGTGCGCTGCACCCACTAACTCGTCATCTAGCATTAGGTATATCACCCAGTGCTATCCCCCCCACTCCCCCCACCCCACCACAGTCCCCAGAGTGTGATATTCCCCTTCCTGTGTCCATGTGATCTCATTGTTCAATTCCCACCTATGAGTGAGAATATGCGGTGTTTGGTTTTTTGTTCTTGCGATAGTTTACTGAGAATGATGATTTCCAATTTCATCCATGTCCCTACAAAGGACATGAACTCATCCTTTTTTATGGCTGCATAGTATTCCATGGTGTATATGTGCCACATTTTCTTAATCCAGTCTATCATTGTTGGACATTTGGGTTGGTTCCAAGTCTTTGCTATTGTGAATAATGCCACAATGTGAAGGACCTCTTCAAGGAGAACTACAAACCACTGCTCAAGGAAATAAAAGAGGATACAAACAAATGGAAGAACATTCCATGCTCATGGGTAGGAAGAATCAATATCGTGAAAATGGTCATACTGCCCAAGGTAATTTACAGATTCAATGCCATCCCCATCAAGCTACCAATGACTTTCTTCACAGAATTGGAAAAAACTACTTTAAAGTTCATATGGAACCAAAAAAGAGCCCGCATTGCCAAGTCAGTCCTAAGCCAAAAGAACAAAGCTGGAGGCATTCCCTGCTACTTTCTTCTGGTATGCCTGAATCACTGTTTGAGAATGGATTGGACTTTGGTGCGTGGAAAACTGGTAGCAGAAGGCTTATTCACTGCAGTGGGTTGGGGGTAGGCTGAAAAGATGTCAGGGAGGATTAACTAGAGGCAGAATGTGTCATAGTTAGAAGTATTTAGAAGGGAAGAAAGTTTGAACTCTGATACTGTTCCACACTAATATTCATGCCCTGAAAGAATCAGATCATTCTTGCCTCTCCCACTTGGATCTCTAGCTACTGGAATTTGCCAATTCTTGATATGAACGCTAAGATTTGGATGGAGCTTGTGACCTCATTTAGACCATTTGTTCTAAATGCTGAATAGAACCAGGAAAATAGGAAAAGAGGGTAGAATTGGGGTCATAAGAGAGGAATCGTCGTTCTTTGAAAGAAGAAAGATGATAGGAAACTAGGCACATGAGTTACGAGGCAGTGGAGAAGGAGGATTAGAAAGGGAAAAAAAGAAGAGAAACTTTATGCCAATATCTTCTACAAGATGTTTGGCTGGCACAAAACTAACACTCAATACTTTTGCATAAGTAAAGGAATGAGAGAAAATTTGGGATTGGATGCTTATCCCCTGGAAACTGCTACAGGCTGGTGTTAATGGGAAAGGGATCTGTATTTGACCAAAAGTGCATTTCCACGTCTCTACATTTCTTTTTATAAAGAGTCAAAGGGACTCAATGATGAGTGTGTGTGTAAGGGAACTCCACACTAGCAAGTACAGGAAAAATTTGATGGTACTGGTGAAGGATGTTGCACCAATCTGGAGGGGAGGACAGGAATTGGTTTCTCATGGATTGATGCCGCAAGACAATTCATACCATGAGTTGGCTGAGACCACTTAAAAAAGTAAGCAGTGATGACTGGGCAAAAGAGACAAAGGAAGAACCACATCTTTTAGGGGAGAGAGAGAGAAGGACAATTAAAGGGACTCAACTAGATCAAGTTCTGCTCACTAAAGGACAGCGTCCAGGCAAATGTTAATTATCTTCAAGAAGCAATCTGTATATATAGCATTTCAAGATACTCCGAGATGCTTTTAATTTATTGAATACTTTTTATTGGTATTTATCATAAACAAGAGACTCACAAATATATCCCAGAGGGGAGGTTTTGGTGTAGTTGACTATAGTAGTTATTAAATAATCTATTAATAAAAGCCCACAAAATGGAAGATAGAAAGATAGAAAAACAAAAGACAACACAGGATGGTGTTGGTATACAGAATTTATACTTGAAGTTTAACAACACGGAACAAGAAACTTTATTAAAATATTCATTTAAAGAACTTCCA
The DNA here is from genome assembly GCF_000001405.40 of Homo sapiens. Classification (NCBI taxonomy): domain Eukaryota; kingdom Metazoa; phylum Chordata; class Mammalia; order Primates; family Hominidae; genus Homo; species Homo sapiens. Next base: position 31,226,199 of record NC_000023.11, on the reverse strand, counting down.
TATGAATCACCAGAGGCTCTTAGTAAAATATTGATTCGGATTCACAGATCTGGGTGGGGCCTGAGATTCTGCATTTCTCATAAGCTCCAAGCAGATACTGATGCTATTCTTCCTCAAATCACACTTTGACTAACAAGGACTCACACAGGTTCTCTGTAATTGGTGTTGGTAGTCATTCATGGTTAGATGTAGTTGAGGACTGCCCTCTTAACTACCTCTCGGCTGCCAGGTTATAAAGAAAGCAAGTCTCAGTACAAGTTCTGTCACTTAGGAGCATTTATTAGCCAATGGGTACAAAACAATCTTACAGCCTGTGCCAGAGACACAGTGAAGTCACAGTTCTGTCTTTTGGGGTGCTTGGTGTGAGAGGCTCACAGTCTACACAGGCCACAGTCCTCTATTAGAGTGGTTCTCAAAGTGTGGTCCCTGGACCAGCAGCATCAGCATCACCTGGAAACTTGCTAGAAATTCAGATTCCCAGGCCCTTCCCATACCTACTGAATTAGAAAATCTGGAGGTGGGGCCTAGGAAATCTGCATCTTTAAACTATCCACTCCAGGTGATTCTGATGTTTGCTCAAGTCTGAAAACCATTGTTCTAGCAGCAGGATTCCCTCAACCATCTAACTGAATTCTGGCAACTAAGAATCCGGTGAACCACAGCTGGACATTTTGGAATTCAGCCTAGGGCACCATTTCTAAAGATGGAGAACCTACTGGATTCTTCTTAAACTCAATTTAAAGGCAGGGAGTGTTTCTAAATGTTTTTCAACAATCTTCATATTTTGCAAACCACTAATATCACTACACAGGCCCGTCTAACTATTAATTAGGAAAATTAATGAAACCCCTGGTGTAATAAGAGCTAAATATAACTGAATCACTTACAGTGGCCGCCTGTGGCATGAGGCTTTTTGATTAATTGCTAGCCAACCACCCTTGGAGTTCACTCCTGATTAAGACAACTGACCACCTCTACAGTGTAGCTTAAGCTAACACACACATACATCAGAGTGTACTGTTCATGTGAGGGTTTTTAAAGACTCTTAAAATTTACCTTATCAGGGCATAATTTAAACACTATAACATGTTTCCATTTTAAGTGTTCAGGTTAGATTTTGGCAAATGTATACACTCGTGTAACCACCATGCCAATCAAGATATAACATTTCGATCACCTAGAAAACACCCTTGTGTTCCTTTGAGGTCAGTTACCTACTCCCACCACACCCCAGGCTACCATCTGGCATAGTAGCTAAGTTTTGCCTGTTCTAGAAGTTGATATAAGTGAAATCAAACAGTATGTACTGTTTTGTGCCTGGCTTCTTTTACCCAGCTTAGTGTTTTTCAGATCAGTTCACATTGTTGCATTATCAGTAGTTAGTTCCTTTTTATTGCACTTTGCACAGTAGTATCCCACTGAATGACTTTACCACAACTTGTTTATCCATTACCTTACTGGTTGGTTTCCGGTTTTTGACTATTATGAATAAAGCTGCTATGGATATTCATGTACACATCTTTTTGTGGACATACATTTTTTTTTATTCTGTGCAAATATCCAGGAAAAGAATATTTGAGTCATAATATACATGTGTGTTTAATTTCATAAGAAACTGCCTAACTGGTTTCCCAAAGTTGTCGTACATTCCCAACAAGCAGTGTCTGAGAATTCCAGTCGCTCCATATCCTCACCAACATTTGGTATTCCGGTCTTTTAAACAAAATTGTATGCTGAATAGTTTAAATTACAGACATTGTTTTCTTTCCCCTAGTTGAAATTCAGGCTTTTATGTTTGGTCTCTGCGATGGCCATAAAGCTGAAAATGTTGACCCAAGTGACTTGGATATGGATTGAATTATTGCCCTTTCCTAACACCTCATCAGAATTGGTTTCGTAGGTGTCATTTGATTATGGCAGTCATGTATGTCAGTGTACTTTTTCTTTCTTTCATTCTTTTGTTTATTGATTCAGTTGGTCAGTCGGTCCATGATCTGTATTAAAACAGCTTTTTCAGAGGGCAGTTGCATATTAAGTTGCTAGGAAAAATGACAGAAGTAGGTGACAGAGTTCTTGTCTTCAAGGAGCTTTTTGGAGCTGAGTTCCTGAAATAAATGTAGCCCAGTATCTATCAAGGCTTGTGCAGACTTGAGTAAGAACATCATCTAAATATAGCTTCCTGCTAGGTGGCGTGAGTCAGGGCTTGATAGACCGGTGACTGCAGAAACCACAGTAACATATATTGTTGTTATTCTGTGCTGAACATTAGAATGATTGTACCTTAGAATATAGAGCCAAATGTTTATTTTATTCCTAATTATATTTTTAAATACATATCACACACATAGACACATATGTTGGATAAAAAATACTCAAAATGTTAACAGTGCTTATTTAAAAGGTTTATATAAACTTTTTTTGTAGAGATGGGATCTCACTATGTTGCCCAAGCTGGTCTTAAGCTCCTGGCCTCAAGCAGTCCTCCCACCTTGGCCTCTCAAAGCGTTGGGATTACAGGCATGAGCCACTGAATCCAGCCAGTTGTGCCTATTTTTGAGTTTATGGGCTTGTGGATGATTTATTTGATTATATATGTATATGTTAAATGTCTAAGTTACCCAAAGTGAGCATGTATAACTTCTACAGTCAGAAAAAATGTTATATTGCCACTTGATTGTTTAAGGTCTTATAGCTATTTAAATAATGTATTTCTTGTTCTCTTTAATCTTGTGCAGAAAAGATTCACTACAGTAGATCCAGATTACTTTCTAGAAAAAAATAATGCCTGTCCATCTCTTTCCTCTTGGGAACAGGACTACATGAATGCCCTTCAGGCTATACCACTTTAGTCTTCACAGAACTTAGCCTTCCTGGTTGTCAAAGGGCAAAAGGAATTATTTTTTCTTTTCCCCACGTTAACAGAATTTTCACCTCCGAAAGCTTGGCGTATACACACTATATGTTTTCTAGGCTATTTTTGTGGTGGTTGTAGTTATTGGCAAATCACTGGGCGTCGGGGGTGGGTTGTCTGTTATTTCTGATGGAATAACAAATGCTCTTTGTTTTCCCTCTTTTCAGCTGACCTGAATAATGTCAGATTCTCAGCTTATAGGACTGCCATGAAACTCCGAAGACTGCAGAAGGCCCTTTGCTGTAAGTATTGGCCAGTATTTGAAGATCTTGATACTATGTCTTTGCTTAGAATAAAAAGTAGGTTGGGTACATTTTTACTTAGAGAGGGGAGAAACAGCTGTCACAATTCCTGTTGCAATGTATAATTCATTCTTTAATGTATCCTTGGCCTAGAGTTTGCCTAGAATGTTTTGTTTTATTTTTAGAATCATTCCTGTCACCATTCCTCAGCTACTGATGTTGAATTAAGATATTGAGAATTTTTATTTTCCAACTACTGGCATTGGCATCGGCATCCATAATTACCTTTGTGAAACTTGCACAATCCTTGTTCTACCTTTGTTTTTTTTTCTTTTTACAAAATGTACTTAGTATTAGAAGACTATGACTATCTGATCTAAACCAAACTTCATAGACATGTGTGGTTTATTAGCTTGAATGCTAACGTGCAGATGAATGAAGTGGTAGAGGAAAAATGACAGAATTGCTTTCCTCCTTTTTTATCATACATCTGTGGAAAAATCCTGAAGTGTTACACAGCTCTATCATGTCATCAAATAGTTTATGTATAACTCTACTATTGTCTGAGGGTCTGTGTGCATTGATGATATGCCCATGAAACAGGCACAGTTTCTTTTTCTTTTTTTCTGTTTTTTTTTTTTTTTTTTTTTTTTTGAGATGGAGTCTTGCTCTGTTGCCCAGGCTGGAGTGCAGTGGAGTGGCGCAATATGGGCTCACTGCAACCTCCACCTCCCAGGTTCAAGTGATTCTCCTGCGTCAGCCTCCCAGGTAGCTGGGATTACAGGCATGCCCCACCATGCCCGGCTAATTTTTGTTTTTTGTTTGTTTGTTTGTTTGTTTTGTTTTTTTTTGAGACAGAGTCTCGCTCTGTCACCCTGGCTGGAGTGCAGTGGCGCGTTCTAGGCTCACTGCAGACTCCACCTCCCGGGTTCACGCCATTCTCCTGGCTCAGCCTCCGGAGTAGCTGGGACTACAGGCACCCACCACCACGCCTGGCTAATTTTGTTTTTGTAATTTTAGTAGAGGCGGGGTTTCACCGTGTTAGCCAGGATGGTCTCGATCTCCTGACCTTGTGATCCGCCCTCCTCGGCCTCCCAAAGTGCTGGGATTACAGGCATGAGCCACCACGCCCGGCCTAATTTTTGTATTTTTTAATAGAGACGGGGTTTCACCATGTTGGTCAGGCTGGTCTCGAACTCCTGACCTCAGGTGATTCACCCGCCTCAGCCTCCCAAAGTGCTGGGATTACAGGCGTGAGCCAATGCGCCCGGCCCAACAGGCACAGTTTCTGCTCTGATGGAACTTACAGTCTAACAAGGGATAACCAGGATGTTCATGAAATTTGTAGACATAAGCAAATATATGTATAATGTATTAAGAATGTCTACAGTTGGTTAAAAAAATAAAGTGATCTTGTCTCTATTTCCAAGACCATTTCAATGTCATATATTTAGTTGTGCAACAGTGGGACAATGGGGTACTATGTGAACAGCTAACTGTGTGGAATGAGATTCAAAGAATGTTTGTTTGAAGAGGTGATGTCTAAGCTAGGTAACTCTAGAAGAGTAAGCAGCTCTCTCTCTAGGAAGAGCGTTCTAGTCAGAAAGAAGAGCATGTGCTGAAGGGCCCAGAGAAAGCATGACACATTCAGGAACTGAAAATATGTCAGTATGGCTAAAGCACAGAATTCCAGGGGAAAGATCTATTGTGAAATAATAGGCTGGAGAGAGAAGCAGGAAGCAGATTGTGCAAGGTTTTTAAAACCCAAGTTAAGGAATTTAGAGGTCAGGGGATTTGGCCTGGGGGTGACATAATCAGATTGTCGCTTAGAAAGATGATTCTTGCTGTGGAACAGAGTATGGATTGGTGCGATGTGGGAGTGACAGGAGAAAAACCTGTTGCAGTAATCTAAACCAGCAATGTGGTGGCTTGAATTAGCAGAGTAGTAAGGGAGATAAGTGGAGAGAATTTAGAAATATTTAGGAAGTGGATTTGACAGGCCTCAGTGATTCATTTGATGTGGTGCAGGGATGTCCAATCTTTTGGCTTCTCCGGGCCACAGTGGAAGAAGAATTGTCTTGGACCCCACATAAAATACACTAACGCTAACGGTAGCTGATGAGCTAAAAAAAAAAAAAAAAAAAAAAAAATCGCAAAAAAAAAAAAAAATGTTTTAGGAAAGTTTACGAATTCATTTGGGCCTCATTCAAAGCCATCCTGGGCCACAGGTTGGACAAGCTTGATGTGGTGGGTGAAAGGGAGTCAAGGAAGACACTTAGGTGCTTGGCTTGGAATATCAGGTGAATGTGGGACTTGTCTGGTAAGGTTAGACACGGAGCTGTGGTGCTCAGGAGAAATATACAAACAACGTTTAGGGATCATGAGCCTGTAGGTGCTGCTTGTAACGGGGGAGAGGATTGGATAGCTCCAGGAAAGTGTAGCGTGAGAAGGGAAGTTATTTAGGACACAGGATAAGCAACCTACAGAAGGGACTGCAAAGGAATGGCCAGGAGGAAAGAAGGAAAATTCCAAGAGGTTATGATGCCACATGCTCCATGGGAAGAAAGAAAGAACCCGTTACCAGGGTCAGATGTTGCTGGGATGTCAGCATAAAGTTGCGGAAAATGCCCATTGGACTTAGCAACAGGAAGGTCCCTAGTAACTTTGGTGAGATTTTAGAGGCACAGTGGAAGTGGTGTGGTGAGTTCAAAAGTGAACCAAAAGTGGAGAATTAGAGAAGGTATGAATGATTCTTGGAGAAATTTACTTATGAAGGGGAGAAGAGTGGGGTGGTAGCTAGTTGGAGGGGGCTGAGGAGTTAATGGAAATGTATGTACAGTCACGTGTTGCTTAACAATGGGGATATGTTCTAAGAAATGTGTTGTTAGGCAACTTTGTTGTTATGTCAATATAGGAGAGTACTACACAAACTTAGATGGTATAGCCTAGTACACACCTAGGCTGTATGGGATAGCCTATTGCTCCTAGGCTATACACCTGTACAGCACGTGACTGTTCTGAATACTGTAGGCAGTTGGAACACAATAGTAAGTATTGTGTATCGAAACGTATTTAAACATAGAAAGATACAGTAAAAATATATAATAGTGTAATCTCATGGGCTCGCTGTCATATAGGCAGTCCATTGTTGACTGAAATGTCATTATGTGGCACAATATGTGTATATAAGTGTGTGTGTGTGTGTGTGTGTGTATACATTGATCCTTGAACAACATGGGTTTGAACTGCTTGGGTCAACTTACGTGGATTTTTTTCAATCAAATGCAGGCCAAACATATAGTATTCGTGGGAATGTATTTATATGAGTATGAGAAGACAGGGTGAGATTACAATTATTGGCCCAAGAGGAGATGATAAATAATGGGTGTTCTCAGAGAATACGGGCAGGTAATCCAGAGCCCAAGGGAGGGAAGAGATACCTCTCTTCCACTGTAATGGGTGGGGTAGAGGGAAGGATCTGGGCAGGTCCAGGTAACTAAGAAACCAGGTAGCAGCAAGGTGAAGGATGTCTTACTATAAAGGCTTCCATTTTTTGTATGGAGTGGAGAGTCCCTGCAACGCAGTTAACAGCAGGAGATGATGAAGTTGGGCTTATCTTTGTGGAGAATAAGAGAGAGGGCGGAGTTGAAAACCAGCTGTGTGAACCCAGAGGCGGCTGAGTGTTTCACGGTAGCTCCAATCTGCAGGGGTGTGGTATTTCCCCAGGCACGCTTAGCACTTGGGAGCCAGATGCTTCTGTCCTGGGGTAGGGAGGGAACAGCTGGGCAAGAGAAGTGAGGATTTGGGCAAAAGATTGATTAAAATGATACTGACAAGTCCCTGTTGGGTAGGAGAAGCTGTGAACGCATATGGAAACTGGTAATTAGGAGGTAGAGGGATGAAAATGCTAACTCTTCAGGGAGGTAGGGGAAGAAGTAGTAAAGGAACTGAAGGTCAAGAAGTTGTGGTCAGAGAGAATCATAGATGAACATTATTTTGAAGGTGGAACAGTTTCAGGTGATTAGATCTAGGATATAGCCATTTGAGTAGGTGGCAGAGGTAGAGTGGATGTGAATTTCCATGGAGGTGAAATAGCAAGTTAAGGAACTGAGAGGCTAGAATGATGCATGAGTCCCCCATGCCAATGTTGAAATCATGCAGAATTGGAGCGAGAACTGGGCAAAAGAGAAGGACCGTGAACCCTGGCTGCCAGGTCTTCAGAAATAAAGGGGTTCAACCAGAGGATCTGCAGAGGCTAGCAATAAGATAGTCAAGGAGTCACTTGGCATATGGTTCTTACACAGAGATAGAGAAGAAATGCCTTAGAAGTGGAATTATTTGGAAAGAGAGACTAGGCCTTTTCCCTTCATCTTGGTATCCCCAATGCTTAGTACAAAACCTGGCACACAGCATGGTTCAATATGTTTTCATGAGATGAATGCATGAATGAAAGTAAACCAAGGCTTCCATTTCCTTATAGCCCGAAGTTATCATTTTTCAGCTATATAGTTGCCAAGTTTAACTGGTGTTTAAAGGGCTTTCCAGGTCGAGGGTTTCCTTAGGACCTGTTAATACGTCATAGCTGGGAAAAAGTAGTTTGGGATGGGATCGAGTCAGGGGGCTGAATAGAGAAAGTTTTCTTGCCTCTTTTTCTTCACCTGCCCCTGCCCCTGCCCCTGCCCCATCCCAGAGCTACTGCTTTCCTTTAATAAAGGAGTAATTAGGCACTGGTTATCATGAAGTGCTAGAGAATATTCCTGTGAGATCCTAAAAGTTCAGAAGCTAACCATTTGTTCCAGTTTATACTATGGAAAAAAAAAAAAAAGAAACCCAGAAATAGACCAGATGGAAAAACCTTATAATGACTGTTCCTTTCTATAATGTCCATTTTCACCCTGGATTTAGGCATTATTCGATTTTCCTGCTCAAAAAAAATTCCATTCACATATGTGTTTTATTGTCTGTCATTTCAACTTATAATTTCCAATAAACTTTGGGAAAATGGGGGAATTTCATAATATACAAAATTTTGTCCATTTGAGGTGATAACCTTGTAATAAAGGTAAGCTCCGAATGTAGAATAATTTCTTTAAATTTTCACTTTTAAATCAATTTGAAATTCTCTGCATTTCCTTTCTGAGCATGGCTTTTCTAATATGTGAAAAAGATTCAAGTATGCCAAAATTAAGGTGTATGTATCTAAATTAAGTATTGAATTCTCATTAATGCTAGGAGGGTGCCATATATAGTAAAACTATAGAATGAAGAGTTCACCCCATCCTTTTATTGAACATATGTGTGGTCACATTACTTACTTTCAATATATGATTTAAGAATTTTCTCCTAATTTTATATTTGCTTAGATTTAGCTTCCAGGCTTTTGTCATTTCTAAGCCTGCAAAGCCATGATAAAGAGCTATTGTCTGCGGTACAGGCAAATAAAACTTGCCCTGGCTAGCTTTCCCTACCAAAGGCCACTTCTACCAACTCTAACTTTAAGGAAAATTAATGATGTTATCTCAGTGATTTCCTGGTGCCAGTGAAGAGTTTGAATTACAGATGCCTTGGAAATATGCACTTCCACCTCTATTAAGCACTTGATCTTATTTTTTTTTCACTTCCCTATCAATGTTTCCGTATTGCAGAAAGCCAAATAACCCAATTGTATCCACTATAGAGAATTCACTATTTAAGTGGAGAGCATCACCGTTGGCCTATAATGTCCCCAGTTTGTAATCAGTTAAGTGTTGCATGACTCCTTACTGCCTCTCAACACATTGGAAATGAAAATGAAACTTGGTAGAAAAGCAGGAACAAAGATAAAATCTTGGTAAGAAGGATTTATAAACTGTTTCATATAGCTGATACTCCATTGAAAGTTATGAAGAAGGTAATTTAAGCATTTTCTTTCTCCCTTTGTAGTTCTGATGACATTCTACAGGTGTGAGGCTTCTAAAATTAAAAAGCCAACTTGTAAGAGCAGAAATAAAAACGCACTTAACAAAGCAAGTGTATTTAGTTTATTAATAATGTGTGGTGGGTTGGAGAGAGCCCAAACCATAGGGCTAAATATACTGCAGTTGATAAGTGTGACAAATATTCTGCAAACAGTAAGAAATAGAGAACATTTTGCCTCTATTCAGCAACTAAAGCACACATTATAGAGATTTGGTACAGGCTGGAGTTGTGTGAATAGTCACAGTTTCTGGACTCGCCCTCACCATGACAAACCAGGTGAAAAATGCACCGCCTTCTCTGTAAATGCACCTCACCTTTTGATGGTGCGCTAAGGGTGACATTAGATAGGCTTCAGTTGCTAAAGAAGACTCTCAGGACCCACAATAACATGGCTTACAAATCCGCGCTCTATTGCCAGAAAAGGCTACATTACAAGAGCATTACTGTCAGGATATGGATCCACAGCCACAGGCTGCCTCCACAGCAAGGGGGTCTCGAGAGGCCAGTGTAATTATTTTGCCACTGTCCTACAAAAATCTACTTTTTCTATATACCATGTATTATTTTTCACATAGGTTAGAGGCCATGTCTCTGTTAGTTCTGAGTTTAAGACGTCTTGAGGACATGGCCAAACTAATTTTCTCAGTTTATATGGTTTGACAGATATTAGTGCCCAAGAGAGGTCTCATAACATGACCCATCTATCTCCCAGGGGAAATACTGTAATCTTGTTTAGCTGTTACCCACTAGGGAAAGAATGGTTTTCTCTCAGTCAGATGCTAAAGAGATTAAAGAACACCTCGTAGGTTCCGTTTTCTAGTAATTATTGGTTCCATTCTCCAGCTATCAACCTTGGCAGCTTGCCATCCCTATCCTTCCTCCTGGAATTGGATGCCCTTGAAGTGCGCTTCTTGCACTAGGAAGTCTTTCTCGTCAGTTTATCATTTCTCATTCAAAGCAAATTCTACCTGGCCAGGTATCTCTAGCCCAGTTCCTAATTCTCCTAATAGAAGTTTCTTTTATTTCAAGTGGATTCATGCCCCTTGGCCCACCAGACATGTTGCCATTGAGAAATAGCAGCTTTAATGGGAAATACACATGAGACACAAAAATGTGACTAGGCTAAAATCATATGAATAGTAGTCACTCCTAAAAGGACTTTGGTTTGGGTATGTCACAGAAATTTCTGTAGCCATCCATATCCAATTTCTAGCTTTTCAGTCTCAGGAAAGTAGGCCCACCAAATTCAACTTAAATATCTGTCACTGATTCAAGCTGTCCCAATTGTCCCTCCACCCACTAATGGCTTTCCACACGGAGTAATGGGGCAAATAGCTATTTTTTTAAACACATAATGTTATGACAGATGAAACATACAGCACGTAAGCCTTCTATCACATGCCCAATACCTTTGTTAAACCTTCATCATCACAATTGATGGCCACACAGTGTTTATTGAGATTGTTATAAATCATTGTTCTTCAGATTTGACTGGGTAAATATTCCCTCAGGTTATTTCCTGACACAGCTGATTAATAACAGATATGTCCTGTGAAAGAAGAACCAAAAGACATTAACGAATACTAACCAAAAGCCACATTAATATTGCTCCATGGTGTTGTAGTCGCAGTTAGAACGCCCATCTCGTCATCCAGTGTGTTGGATAGGTTGGCTGACTCTCCCACTCACATCTTGGCTCTTTCAAGGAGGAGGAGGTTTTAGCAGAGTCCCCCACCCCAAGAGGCATCTGAGTCTAAGCCAAGGGAGCATATTATTCTCTTATTTTAAACCTCTCCGTAGGCAGCAACATTATATTAGGTTTTCCCTTTAAAAAAAAAAAAAAGTATCGGCTGGGCTCGGTGGCTCACGCCTGTAATCCCAGCACTTCGGGAGGCCGAGGCAGGCAGATCACGAGGTCAGGAGTTCGAGGCCATCCTGGCTAACACGGTGAAACCCCATCTCTACTAAAAATACAAAAAATTAGCCAGGCGTGATGGCGAGCGACTGTAGTCCCAGCTACTCGGGAGTCTGAGGCAGGAGAATGGCGTGAACCTGGGAGGCGGAGCTTGCAGCGAGCCGAGATCGCGCCACTGTCCTCCAGCCTGGGTGACAGAGCAAGACTCGGTCTCAAAAAAAAAAAAAAAAAAAAAAGAAAAAAGAAATAAAAAAGTATCTTTGGTGGTTTCCTTCCCCTTGCAACAATCTCACCTTTTTCCTTTTATCATTAATTTTAAGCCAAACCTCTTCCCCAGCTACACACACACACCACACAATGCAGACAGTCCCCAACTTGTGAAGTTTCAACTTAACAATTTTTTGATTTCACAGTGATGCAAAGTGATATGCATTCAATAGAAACTCTACTTCTAGATTTGAATTTTGATCTTTTCCAAGGCTAGTAATATGCGGTATGATACTCTCTCCCCTTGCTGGGCAGCAGCACTGAACCTCAGCTCCCAGTCAGCCACAAGATCATGAGGCTAAACAACTGACACTTTACTGTGTAAGGTGTTGCTAGACAGTTTTGCCCAACTGTAGGCCGATGTAAGTGTTGGGAGCACATTGAAGGTAGGCTAGGCTAAGCTGTGAGTTTCAGTTAGTTAGGTGTATTAAATGCATTTGTGACTTAAGATATTTTCAACCTATGATGGGGTTGTGTGATAGCTTCAATTAGGCAAGGCACAAGGAAGGAGTAATCCATTCCATTGATCCTTGTGGAATGCTTGTGCTTAAGTACCAACTAATAGCCATAGTATCTTATTTTGGAATATTACCAGCCTTTGAAACTCTTAATTGTAGCCCCAGTTCAGGGACTACTAGGTCTGGCATCAAAAAAGAAACCTGTAGTGACATAGGGAATACCTGTAAGTGCCCCACTTGAATTATCTTTTTAATTGTAACTGGTCTCACAGGTGTAGCCCATTTCTCAAAAATGATAGTTGCTTCAGCTTTTTGGTTGGGACTCCACCTGCAGGCCAGAGAGGGTGAAGCCCAGTGGAAAGAAATTCTGAACTTAACATTAGCTTTTGGATTTTTTTTTAGCAGCCTTGCCATCAGTTTGCAATTGCCTCCTAATCCATTTTGTTAGCTCCTTAGGTTCAAGTTCTCTCACTTCCAGATTCCACTAGAAAGTTACACCATCAGTAACCAATTTCAAAGCCTGTGTTACTTTTCAACCAAGCGTAGCTTGTTGAGCAACTTCAAAGGTTCTTTTTCATCCCTTTTATCAGAATCTTCTTTTTTTCTTTCTAAATAATGCCTCAGTCATACTTTTAGCTAAGAATGAGTTGGAGGTGTTCTAAACAATCTTGCTTCTGACACTCACTGCCCTGACAGTGGAAGTTAAACAGGGTTCAATTGCTAAAGAGGACTCACAGGAACCAAATGACAGTGCTTACGAATCTAGAGTTCCTTGCAGAAAAAGGATGCAATATACCCACAACATTAAAACAAGAATAAGTGTCACAGCCACAGCCTGCCTCACAGCATAGGGTCCAGAGAGGACAGGTGCAAGCTATAATTGCCCTCTGTCTGCAAGAGCCACACCACGATGCATTTTCTCTCTTGGAACAAGAGCTACTGATGTGAGCACAGAACACCTTGGAAACCAGGGAGCACAAATTGGAGTTTCAGCCAGGGTTTCTTATATCCCGTGGGTAACCTAGGCATACTGTTCCTATGTAACCAGCCTCAAACTCAGTGGCTTCCGTTGGTCTGACTGTGCCCGGGTAAAAATGGTCAATGTTACTGTTAGCAATAAACAATGGTGATAACCTGCAACCCATGGCTACACTTCAACACAGTAAGTCACTTTGAAAAGCAAGTGCTTTGACCAGGGCTCTGCACTGTGTAGATATTTTAGCAAGTCATCTCGTGCCAACTCCAGCCTCTCTGGAATTAACCCTTACTGCACAGACAACTACATCAAAGTGCATTGACTTTCTTGAAGTGCAAAGATTTGCTTGGGAGGTCCCTCAGCCATAAGTGTAAGTTGCCTGTAGAGTGGCATGCCTGGGCAAGAAAAATCAGCAAACATACAGCAGTTCTTCCACCATTACTCACCTCTTTCTGTTTCTGTGCTAATTAGATCACAGAATTATTTATACATCAACATAGAATATACAGATTGACCTATAGGATGAACTTGGGGTTATATGGGCACCATGAGACTTTTTTTTTCTCCACTAACCAACTTTTTGGTGCTTCTGTTTTATCCTACTGTTGTCATTAGCATGGAATGCAGAATGGTTTTCCTGTTCTGTAAAGTCAGTAAGGACACCTTCTGCCACCCACTTTTCCCCCTTACAATATGTACCTCCATGAGAAATCAGAAAACCTAGATATCCTGCCATAACACCCAGAGTGAGTCTCCATATCTCTGGTCTCAGTTGTCTCAACTGCAAAATGATTTTAAAGCAACCTTCTGGCTCTAAGAGTCTATCACTCTGTAAAAGACAAAAAAAATCTGTCTTACATAGGAAGGAATAGCAAGAGTTAGCTACTGTGGCATACATAGAAAGGAAAAGAATGAGCTTTTGAAGCTAGAAGGTTGAGAAGATGATTAGGCACAACCAGAGCCTCAGGAACCATTAGTGGGATCCCTGTGTTGAAGTCCTGCCTGCTCGCCGCCCCCCAACCGCCACTGTCTGCTTTTCCTGCACAGCAAAGAGGATCCTGGAGAGTCAGCCATTTCTTTTATCCTGTCCCCACCCTCTCTCACCCCCACAGCCCTCATGCATAGGGTACCACCACATGGTCCCTGTTCTTCAATGGCTTCAAAGCCTATAGCATCCTCTACTGTAAACATAATTTAGAAAGTGAAGATGTATTAGAATACTTGGGTTTTTATGTAGCTTTAAAGATATATCTACTAGTGAATACACACAAACACACACACACACACACACACATACACACACACATATATATATATATATATATAATATATTTAATGGAAATTCCTAGCTTAAGGAAACAATGGTTTCACACAACTGTATCTGCTGGTTGCTTATTGAGGGTCCTAGAAAGAGCTAATCATTACATTTAATGTTTCATCAAAAAGTCTAGGTGTGTTCTCTAAGATGCTCATTTTGAAAAGCATATGCATGGCAATTAAATTGTCCCTATTGATATTCTCACCTCCTTTTCGGGTCCATAGCATGGATTGTGTATACCTAAATGGAAATTTTTTCAAAATAGCTCCATGAAAGTTGAATTCTGTTTGACATGTTTGTTTAGGGAAATGTGCTCTTCAGTCTTCTGTGATGGATTGTTCTTGTGTTTAACCACATCCAGTTTTAGCAGAGCACACTGCACAGTATTTCTCTCCTAACTGTGTCATCTTCTGCTCCTGTAATTTCAGAGCAATTGCTTTGCTCCCCTCTGGAGCTATTTCTACTCAACATTTGCTGTTCTATGTGTTACCCATTCACCTGTACAGAGATAAGAGCAGGCCCCATAAAATGAAATGCATGCAGTTTTTCTCTGTTCATTTCCATCACACGGCTAAATAAGACTCTTAATACAAAAGTGATTCGAAAAATTTTCACTAGTTACTTCTTAAATGCCTGGATCAGAGGCAAAATATTTATGATGACTAAAGCAGAGTAACAAAAAAGAAAATAATTGAAAAACTTCAAACCACCCATAGCTTCCTTCAGTATATAAGGAAACATGTTGGGAATATTGGTGTTTGGAAGAAATCCATTCCTCTCTTCCAGTAATGGAGCTGGCATACCGTGTTTCTAAGTGTTCCTACTACGTGCACTTGAGTATGTGCCCTCTGAGGAAAACAAGCACACAGAAGAGAGAGAGAAGAAAAGTTTGAGTCTTTTGTCTCTGGACCTCGCTCCAGCCTCCCACGCAGTCTTCTTTCAGCCATTCCCTCCTCACGTCCTCCCGTCCTCCTGCCTCCTTGCATTGCTTTTTAAAATTCTTTATTATTTTTCTCACTTGATTCTTCAGATAAGTCTCCCAAGTTATCTTCCTTCCTCCCACTTTAAAGAAAGTCTCAGCTTCCATGAAAAGGGTCATTTCTCTATCTTTAGAGTATTTCAGAGCAAAAACAGAGGGGCCTTCCCTTCCAAGGGAGGAGTGCAGACTCCTGCTTCCACCACCATGTCTGTTTCATGCTTCTGGGGAAACTCCAGGATTTTCTGTTTTCCTTTTTTTAAAAGAGAAAAATGTGTGCGCAATATAGGTGGAAAAGTATTTTTGCACAAACCTACATAGGTATTAACCACTATTTTTGTTTTTTTCTTAATATTTAATTAGAACTGGCCATGAATAACTTGTAAAATATACTAAAGCCTTAAGTTTGCATTTCTTTATTACTGGGAAAGGTGTTTACTGAGCGGGATTTACCTCTATTTATGTGAACTACATTTATAATTGAATTGCCCCTTCCCCCTAGATGCATGAGAGATTTACTTAATTAGCATTGATTCCTTGCCTCAAAGGACTGAGAATTCCAACCAGAGCTTAGGTGTATAAGGTAGTATAAAAGCAATGTTGTTGTGTTTCTAGTTTGGCTAATAAATTGGCTTTAGAGAAATGCATCTTTTCATGACACTTGGGAATAAAGCTTGTGATTTGCTGATGTTGGACAAGGTTGAAGTTTCACTTTTGTTAAATTTTTGTCCCCAGCATAAGATTAAACACCTCCTCAGATCAAGGGAATTTTCCTCCCTCAGCCTTATAAAGTTGTTAGAGGACTTAGAAAGAATATTATGAAATACAATTTGAAGGTGAAAGGAGAAATAAGCGAGCCTCAGGTCTGAAAACTGGATAGATTATGCAATTACTTTAGTTTGCCTATAGAAAATTTTAGTGGAGAGTATTTTTTTCACCTAATATTAGGGTAGCAGAGAGATGCTGAGGTGACTGATATTTCAAGGAGAAAAGCGCTTAATGATTATAAATGCATAGCTAGAAATAGAGTTTACACAACCTTAGCCATACAGATTAATCTAACAGATCTTCTCTAATGCTAATACAAGAAAGTATCATCGGATCTCTTTAAAAATTTCTGCTAAAACATTTTTTTTTTCTTATTCAGGTGACAATTGACTCTGTTTATGTAGAACAGGCTAGGTCCCCTTAACTCTCAGATATTCCCCAGTAATCCAAGGATGGGAATTATATCTTTGCCCATATCTTCACCCAATGCCAGTGAGATTTAAGAACAACTTCAGATCCTGAATACTGATCAAACTCATCAACTTAGAGTCGAGGCATAAAAATAAAACACCTTTCAAAGAGAGTGTGGTTCACGTTTGGTGTTTATTAAAGGGTATGAGAGAGTCCTAGCTAGGATTCTCAGAGGAAAAAGGACACTGAAAGGAAGGTTTTACTCTTTGAGTCATTTGTGATTTTATTTGTTTTTTGCAGTGGATCTCTTGAGCCTGTCAGCTGCATGTGATGCCTTGGACCAGCACAACCTCAAGCAAAATGACCAGCCCATGGATATCCTGCAGATTATTAATTGTTTGACCACTATTTATGACCGCCTGGAGCAAGAGCACAACAATTTGGTCAACGTCCCTCTCTGCGTGGATATGTGTCTGAACTGGCTGCTGAATGTTTATGATACGTACGTATGGCATGTTTTTATTTCCCGGGCTCTGTCACAGGAGGCTTAGCGTACAGAATGGTGAAGTGTAATTAGCATTACAACAGGGCCCTGGAAGCTGTGGACCTAATGCTCTTCCTGTGATAAATCATTTTTGCATTTATGACTTGAAAAATATTTTGATAAGCTAGGAGTTAAGAGCCAGAATGTAGATTGCTCTCAGATTAGAAAACAAACAAAACCCTGAGACACTCATTTTGCAAATAGTGGAATGAGTCGACATATAGCCTTTGGTTCTTTCCCTTTCTCGCCCATGGATTTTGGAATTCTTCCATGCACTTCAGGGGTGGCTTCCTCTCACTGGCGGCCATGGCTGTGCTCCTGGAGATACTGGCACACCTGTCTCCAGATCAGAATGGTCTTAGCTGATACTTAGGACACTTTTGCAGAAGATTATGAATTGATAGGCCAAACAAAATGAAAACAAGCCCTTAATACAGCAAACTTAGCTTCTCAAACTGAGAACATTTTTCGTTTTCTTTTGTTTTTTAATAAGATTTTATGAAGTTTCAGTTTGGCGCCTCCATTCATCACTCTCTCTTAGAGAACAATTGTTTGTTTTGGATTGCACACAAGGGAGATATCCCCAGTTCTGATTTTTTTTTTTCTTGAGCTTAATGAAGACAATTGAAGAAGGGAGCAGAAGGAATTGGTCTTAATTTTGCCTAAATTCTTCTTAGATCTCAAAATTATTACATGCCTCATTTCACCAATCAAGAACATACTCCCATTTGGAAATCTGGGAAGGTTTTCTGAAAAGAGTTGCAAAACAACTGTTTTGCCTTTTACCTTTGTTGTAGACTTCTACTACCTTTTGAACTAAAATTTATACCTTTTTTTCTTTCTTATTTTGATAAGGTATTGCTTTTTAAAATTTCAGGACCACCTGACTATTACATTCATCATAGTCATCTACCAAGTCCTTGAACATGTCGGATTTCAATTGTGAACTACGTTCACATTAGTTTTGATAAGAGTTTGTATTCAGGTTTCCCCTCAAATATATTTTGGCACTGTTTTCTTTGCAGATGACATGTGAATGCATTCTGAATGTATAACTTCCTTCTACCTGACTGAAAAGTATTTGGTGACAATTTTAACTCCTTGAAGACCTGAGTTGCTGTATAAAGTGGATTTGTTAAATTTTGATCTACCTTTTCTTAAGAGGGAGAAAGATAAGAAAATTTTCCAGTGATAGGAATTTGTTTAGTCCATTAGTGCCCAGGATTTCTTTTTGACTGAGGGATTTAATAAATTTTAGTAGCTGGAAGTTGAGCATATTGTTCACCGAAAATAACCGCCATTGGGACCTATCCTTTGTGATTTTGAAGTGCTAATAGGCGAATTATTCTGAAATATTTTCTCCTTTTTCTTTTTACCAATATCTAAGGGCCAGTAGCTTTCCGTAATAAAATAAGAAGCCAAAAAACTATTGAAAGACACTTTTTAACTTTAATTTTAGGTTTCGGGGTATTATGTGAAGGTCTGTTACATAGGTAAACTCACGTCACGGGGGTTTGTTGTACAGATTATTTCATCACTCAGGTATTAACCCATTTATGCCTAGTGTTCCATTATTGGAACACTAAGCTTGTGGGAATTATTCCTATCCTACTGCTCAAGGTCATCGCCAAGGTCTGATTTTCACAAAAAGTAATATGCAGCCTCCAGCATAAATGGGTTAAGCGCAGTACCCAACAGTTGTCTTTTCTGCTCCTCTCCCTCCTTCCACCCTCCACCCTCAAGACCCCAGTATCTGTTGTTCCCTTGTGTTCGTGAGCTCTCATCATTTAGCTTCCACTTAGAAGTGAGAACATGCAGTATTTACTTTTCTGTTTCTGCATTAGTTTGCTAAGGATAATAGTCTCCAGCTAATCCGTGTTCAAAAGACATGATCTCATTCTTTTTTATAGCTGCATGGTATTCCATAGTGTATATGTACCATATTTCTCATTGATGGGCATTCATATTGATTCCATGTCTTGAAAGACATTTTCTACAAAATGGAAAACTTTTCATTCTTATTTTTCCTTTTTTTCCCCCATGGATAAAATTAGCTTATTAATAAATTTGTTATGTGAAATGCTTTATTTCAGTTTTCTATATGCAAATATAGAAAATGCTATGCAAATAAAAGCAATCTATATTAAAACACTGATATAGCAACAGGTTATTTATAAATTTATTTTTTAGATCATATATTTGAATGTTGTTTAATAGAGTATGATATTTTTCTTACGGAGATAAACATTTATATTCTATATTATGTGTTATGTGGCCTGAAGTAATTAATTTTCTTTCAATAAGGGGCAATCTGATGAAGATCTGAGCATTTAAGAGGGCTGAGCAGTTAGTTGCTGGTAATTTTTTTGGCTTCCATGACCAAAGTAGGTAATTTGCTTTAGTAACCAAAGTAGATTGGTGAAGATTAGTAATTCTTCTGCTTACCAACTTAAACCAAGGTGGCTTTCCATAGGTGAATAGAATTTTTTTTTCTTAATTTATGTAGAACTTTTGCAGTTCAAATAAGGGTTTTTAGGAATTGAAACTTGGTAAACATTCAGTGGTCAAGTTGGTTGAATTTCCATTGCATTGTAGGTCATCAGTCAAAGAGATAATGAATTTGGAAAAGTTCAAAACAATCTTAATAAAACAGTGGTCAATAGAGTTCACACATCATTGAGCACTTTACTCCTTTATTTTTCCTTTTCAAGGCTTTATTCTTAACTAGAAGTGTTTACCCTCTAGGAAAGGGTCAGTAATTGTTTTCTGCTTTGATTCTTCATAATAGGGGACGAACAGGGAGGATCCGTGTCCTGTCTTTTAAAACTGGCATCATTTCCCTGTGTAAAGCACATTTGGAAGACAAGTACAGATGTAAGTCGTGTATATTAATGCTGTATTCTTTTATTAATGTTGGCTAATTACCCTAGTTCTAGATGGGAAATGACAGACTGTTCTTATTTGACAGCAGATTCCTCATGTAAGATGTAGAACTGCTTTTAGAGTGTCATAAAATTTGGTTTGTGCCATTCCTTGTCAAACATTAAATTGCAGGCATTTAAGTAGAGAATGAGGATTAGCTTTTCCAGTCCAGGTATTATTTTACATTACATTGACTGTGTCTGAATAAAACACATGTTCCTAGGGGATAAAGTCTGATTTTCTAACCTCTTTCTGTAAGTCGGAAAAATAAGTGTGAAGATTTAATCTCTGCACTTGTCTAGTCTTTGGGTTCTTATTTAAAGAATACCATGTGACATTCATGTTCAAGAAACATTGTTTATTTTATAATCATCTTACTGCAAGTTGTACTGACACATCCAATTCCGTGACGTGACTAACATTTTATTATTTGAGAGACAGATAGCTTGCTGTTTCTTAAAGGATAGATACGTACCACCCTACAGAATTTCCTTTTGATTACGCATTGGGTTCTTCTGCTTAAAAACTGTAAAACCAAATTAAAAGCCAATGCTAGAGGAGTGATGGTTCAGATGACCAAGTGACCATCCATTCATATTGTGAAAGGCTGCAGTTGGTTTTCCCCTTGAAATGCTTATAAGCAATCTTTTCAGTAGGAATATTAAACAAATTCAGCCTAGCTTGTCTTTTCTCTCTTCCCCTGAGGCCTAGCCACACATGTGAGGAGATGTGCTAAGCTTCAGGACAGGCAGGAGATAAAAGCCACTCTGTCTCCTACTGATCATTTCTCCTTCAGGAGTAAGCCACAAAATACACAAACCATTTTGGCCCTCACTTTTATGTAGTTTCCACTTGAGTTTTCTCATCCTCAGAACGAGAGAAAAATAACTGAACAGCTTTTGTTAACCATTTTAAAATGTATTTCGGATGAGATGGGATACCTGTGTGCTTTTCTCCTTTAAATATTGTAGTTACTTAGTATAGGTTAGGTTCTAATCTACCGTATATATGGTATAGTGACAGCACATTGTAAATATAATATTAAATTGAATAATTGAGGAAGCTTTGAGTTGGTGTTTCGAATAACTACTAAGAGGGAACATGTTTTTAGGTTGGTGAAACAAAAATATTAAATGCAAAATGAGATGTTTGAAAGTAACTCATAACTTTGAAAATAAACACCTAGGTATGTATATCGGAGAGCAGATAAAAAGCTGTGCGTACAATCTCAATTTTTAGTGCCATCTTAGGTATCCTGTTAAAACATTTAATTTCCTAGAGTTTAAAGTGTGCTTATGGGTACAGAAAGCTTTCTTGGATTTACTTTTTTTGAGGGGCAACTTCTAGGTGAATATAAGGTATGATTAAAATTTTATATCTGAGAACAAAACATAACATTGCAAGCATTCAGTATGTTCATTCATTCTGTTACATATATTGGGCACCTACTATCCACCGGGTACTGCCATTCTACTGTAGATACTTCTGGCACACAACTGACCAAGATATGGTTCCTTCCCTCAAGGGGATATAAGTCTCCTGCCAAAAACGATAGACACATATTGAATCAATGCCAGCATAACATGATGTGAGCTATTAATTAGAAATACGCAGCCAGGCGCAGTAGCTCACACCTGTAATCCCAGCACTTAGGGAGGCCGAGGTAGGAGGATCACTTGAGGTCAGGAGTTCAAGACCAGCCTGGCCATCATGGTGAAACACGTCTCCAGTAAAAATACAAAAATTAGCTGGGTGTGATGGCATGTGCCTGTAATCGCAGCTACTCAGGCGGCTGAGGCAGGAGAATGGCTTGAACCCGGGAGGCAGAGGTTGCGGTGAGCAGAGATCGCACCACTGCACTGCAGCCTGGGCGACAGAGCAAGACTCCGTCTCAAAAAACAACAACAACAACAACAAACTATGCACAGTATCCTGTGGGAACACATACATGATGGACTAGAAGCTCAGTGATCTTATGACTCCATAAAGAAGTCCCAACTGTGGTACATTTTTGAATCTCTGGTGTCCAAGGAGGGTGGTGCTTTGGGCCAGTTATATGTCTCTTAATGCTAAAACACTTATTTTTTGATGTAGTTACATCCTATATACAATAATTCCCAAGGATTATGTTCTGGCTTAGAAGAAATTTAAGTGTCGAGGGTACGTGTAAGCTTGCGCTTCTTGCAGTGACACAGTTTATGTAAAAGTTATCACACTTCATATATATACAGTGATCATTAACTTGATTCATAAAAATAATAAATATCCAGATTAGCACAAATTAGAAGTAACCCCACTCTGTGGAAATACTGGCTACTCTTGAGAATTGCTACTGGAATTGAGTTGGATGTCAGGTTCTGCTGGCATCCATGGGTGCTGTGTTTTGACTGTTGCAATTTTCTTCTTCCTTTGTAGACCTTTTCAAGCAAGTGGCAAGTTCAACAGGATTTTGTGACCAGCGCAGGCTGGGCCTCCTTCTGCATGATTCTATCCAAATTCCAAGACAGTTGGGTGAAGTTGCATCCTTTGGGGGCAGTAACATTGAGCCAAGTGTCCGGAGCTGCTTCCAATTTGTAAGTTATTCACCTTCTAGGTAACATATTTATTCTTTCATATTTTAGAAATTAATTAAAAAACCCACAGAGCTTCGTTTTCTCATATTAGCTCTTCAGTAGGCAGTAGGTATGGGATTTGGGATATTTGGAACCTCTGTAAGTAAGCAGCTTCTGGAACTCTAGGTTTTGGGAAAGAAGACAGTGCTGAGGAAGGAAAAGAAATCTCCATCTGCAGCAGGGACCCCACAGTTATTGAGGTGCTAGAGGGGAAGAAGTTCAGCAAGGGAGGAAATAAGTCTCTAGCCACAGAAATCCTATGTATATAAGAAAATGGCCTTTGTAGGCGAGTCTCTTAGTCTCTGAGTCCTTTCTCTAATTCTATCATTATAGCCTCCTTTCAATGGCTGTTGGTAAATTGTTAGCACAGCTGTCCTTTTTTTTAAAACTGTCCTTTGTAGCTTTGACATTCCCCTATTATTCCAAAGTCTAGAGGTGTATACTCTCTGCTAATGTCCATCACTGACTGAACACACTCTTGTCCGTTCTCTTTCCTATCCTGTCCCATTGCTTTTTCTCTGTCGTAGTCAGTGCCCCAGAAACACCCTCTTCTTCCCAAATGCCTGAGCACTCCACTGGTAGACATTCATCTTGTTCTAATTTTTTTTTCTCTTTCCTTTTTTTTTTTTTTTTCTTTTTTGAGTTGCAGTCTCGCTCTGTCACCCAGGCTGGAGTGCAGTGGTGAGATCTCTGCTCACTGCAACCTCCACCTCCCGGGTTCAAGTGATTCTGCTACCTCAGCCTCCCGAGTAGCTGGGATTACAGGCGCCCACCGCCACCCCAAGCTAATTTTTGTATTTTTAGTAGAGACAGGGTTTCACCAGGTTGGCCAGGCTGGTCTCAAACTCCTGACCTCAGGTGATCCACCTGCCTCGAACTCCCAAAGTGCTCGGATTACAGGCGTAAGCCACCGTGCCTGGCCTCTAATTTTTATTAGGTAGATAGTGCTACAATGAACATCCTTATCGTTTAGCTTTTGTCTTTGAAGCTTTCTTTATAGGATCAATTCTCAGGCGTGTGATTGCCAGACAAAATAATATAAACATTTTTTGTGGCCTTTCTTCAAAAGTTGTTCTAATTGTAACGCTATCAGTATTGAAGGAGTAAGATGCTTTCGGTATCACATTATTCACAGTGTTCTTATGTTTTTGTTTTTGGTTTTTTCAAGTGCTAAGAGCTGTTTTTCTTATGTAGGGTTTCTCAATCCATTCTAATTCTATTAACAATGGCTGAGATTTACAAAATGGAACTAGCTGTAGAACTAACTGGGTTATATCTGAAGTCTTTGACCACAGACTAGGATGAAACTATAGAAGGTTTCCTGGGCAGATCACTGTGAATATTTAGGTGTTTAAAGCAGTTTGAGTATTTATTTAATAGTTAGTTGGATAGATTTACCGGATGCACACATAATAAGTTCATTTATGTAAAGTGGGATATACTGTTTGAATTATTTTGCCAAAATTATGGCAAATTAGTTGTAAATGTAAAATGCATGTGGAGAAATAAATATCTTTTCCTCCTCATACCCAAACCTTCCAAAATGCAGATAGATGATCAATCCAATCAATCATCAAAATGTAGACACAAGTAACTTCCATACAATGAATATTAATGGCCACAGGCAATCTAGGTTCATTTTGATTTTTTAAAATCCAATTATAAAACAACTTGCCATAAACGCGAGTTATTTCCTAATCTTTTGGTTGTGTGTTTTTTTTGTTTTGTTTTGTTTTGAGATGGAGTCTCCCTCTGTCGCCCAGGCTGGAGTGCAATGGCGCGATCTCGGCTCACTGCAACCTCCGCCTCCCTGGTTCAAGCAATTGTCATGCCTCAGCCTCCCGAGTAGCTGGGATTACAGGGTGCCTGCCACCATGCCTGGCTAATTTTTTGTGGAGACAGGGTTTCACCATGTTGGCCAGGCTGAGCTCAAACTCCTGATCTCAAGCAATCCACCTGCCTCGGCCTCCCAAAGTGCTGGGATTACAGGTCCTAATCATTTTTCCCCTTTAGTCAAGTCTCAGTTACTCTTTGAGTTCTAGTGAAACACACACACGTGTTCATATATAGGGATATATAAACATATGTGTGTGCATTGTGACTTGGGTTAAAGGTAAGGCTCAGTGATGGTCCCTGCTGCAAAGTAAACTAGGCTGTATTCAGGGCCAGCTGGATTCTTTGTTTTCTCGCCCGAGTACTGACTCATCAGGAAGCCACCACCATCCTCACTGCAGCCTCTGGCCCTCTTGGATTTGGTTGTCAGGATAAGCGGTGGCCATACAGAAGCTCTGCTTTCCCTGGGCTGCCCCCCTTATCAGGAGACCAACCTATTCCATTTCTGCCTGCTACATCCTTTTGCTGGATAACCTCCTACTCCCCTAAGCCCATGTCTCTGGTTTGGTTACATTTCTGTCTCTGTAATAACAACTCTGTATTCTCAGTCTCAAAGCTTTGAATTCAGTCCATCCTTGCATATTTGTTGAATGCCTCCTGGTTGGCCAGCCAGTCTCCAAGCTCTTTGAAATGTGAAATGTGTTTTGTTTTGTTTTCAGAAGGGGTCTAACTTCGTCACCCAGGCTGGAGTGCAGTGGCACGATCACAGCTCATTGCAGCCTCGACCTCTGGGCTCAAGTGATCCTCCCACCTCAGCCTCCTGAGTAGCTGGGACTACAGGCATGGACCGCCACGCCTGGCATTTTTTTGGTGTATGTGTGTGTGTGTGCGTGTGTGTGTGTGTGTGTGTGTGTGTGTGTGTGTGTGTGTACAGGGTCTCTCGCCATGTTGCCTAGGCTGGTCTCGAGCTCTTGGGCTCAAGCTGTCCACCCACCTCAGCCTCCCAAAATGTTGGGAGTACAGGCGTGAGCCACGGCATCCAGCCTTGAAATGTTTTCTATGAGACTGGGGGGAAATCAGTCAAGATATGAATGGTGGTAACAGGTGGCTTTTGATTTTCTCTGTACTATTTTTATTTTCTGAGTTTTCTTCTTTGAACATTTATAATTAGAAAAAAAATTAGTAAAGTGCTGCCTCTTTTTTTAGGGAAAGAAACATGTTTTGTTTGATTGCTTTCCATTGCCATTCTTACATTGTTTCCAGGCCTTCTCATCATTGCACTGGCTTCCTAGCAAGCCTCCACTTCACACTCCAGTCCTTTTCATTGGTCTTATTGCCCTCATACTAGTTTTAGAGAAAAGCATTTCCCATATGATGCCGTCCTTGAAAATGTCAGTATCTTTCTGTTGTCTAGTGAACAAATCCTAATTCCTCTATTTAACTCTCAGACCTTTCCTACTCTGGTTTCATAACCACCCATAGTTTGCTTTCACTATCATGAAACAGCTTCTCCTTACCATTTGTACCTATTATGCTTATAAATAATATTGTTACCATTGCTACTAACAAAACTTTGTTCACATGAATTCTCTCATTTAATCCTCACCAAGTCTTTGAGGGGAACAGAATAGTCAGGCTTTGGAGATTTTGCTTTTATTATTGTTTAAGTGGATGAATAATTTATTTGCGCCCTTAAAGTCCCTCAGCTGGTGGAAGGGTTTGATTCCTAGTCCAGTATGCCCACCGCCACATTTACTACCTCATTCCCAAATATGTAGTTTCTGATACTTCTGCTCTCCAGCTTCCCAAGGCCAAACAACAGCTACTTTTCCTGAGTCCTGGATAGAATAAGAAAAGGTATAACAAGACAGGGGACCCTTGAGGGGGAAGAGGAATTAGTTTGAAGTGCTGGCAAATGTAGTATTTCTAATCAGATGCTAGTAAATTCCATATGTATGGCGAGGCTTTCATTACTTAGATTTGGGGAGCCTCTCAGCGTTTTAGCAATTTGCAATCAGGTTGAATGGATCCATTGTAAATACTTAGGAATACTTAGGAATCCACGTCCTGGCCCTGGCATGCTTTTCCTCGGCCAGGTGCACTGGCGGTCACCTTGCCTTTCATTGTGCCACGTGCATAAAAATACAATGTTTGCTGTAGGGAAAGATAACAGGAGTGAAAATGTCCTCTGCCCTTTGTTTGAAGTATAGGACCTTCAGAATGAGGCTGGGCTGGTTCCTTCAGCAAGCTTGTGCTCAAAGGCTGCTATTTCTACCAGCCTGAGGTAAACGGTAATAAAGTACTTGTTTATCCTACAAGTGCATTCCTTGCATTGCAGATTTGATTTCCTTTGATTTCTTGTCACCACCTGGAAACCTTACTTTGTTTCAGGTTGGTACAGTTAGAAAGGTACTGAATCTTCTGATTCAGACAAGGGCCCAGTAGTGGCAAGAAGAGAGGTACGTGTTTGTGTGCCACACTCTCTGGATTATCTATTAAAGGTTTTCTCATATCCCTCCCCACTAACCACTTAGAAAAGGAAATCACCTATCAGGTCTAAATGTAAAATTTTGCTTATTTAAAAATCACTATAGGTCTTCCAAGGAATTATCCATTAAGCCAGGAAATGAAGTCACATCCATGGATATGAAAAAGGAATAGTCACTGTAAATTTATGGCTTTGACAGTGGTATCTTCGTAGATACTAAATGAGGCAACAGGATATGTTTCCACATTAATAGCATATTGCAGTCAACACATTTACTGGGAAATTGACTCATTTTGGTAGTGATAGAAGTAAAGTTTTGCAACGAGTTTAAGAGATACAGCTGTAATTAATATATTGCCAGCTTGTTCCTTTCTCATATTCCATGGAAACAGCCCTGTTGAGAGATTAGATTGATTTTTACGACCTTAGTAAGGCCAAGCCTGCCCTGGCAGTGAGTCACATAGACTGCCTGAAGGAACCTTGAGGATTTTCTGCACCTCTCCTTTTTCAGATGAGAAAACAGGCCCACAGTGGCACAATGAATCTAGTCTACATCGTGCAATTTACATCATGTTATGGCTTCAACCAGTTCGGAGACTAGATTGAAATGACAGAGTGTTAATGTGTCAATGTGATCCCCTATATGAATTTTAGATTGTAATAGAATGAGATAGATAAATAAACACCCCTCCCCCAAAACACATACATGCACACACACCCATCTTTATTGAAAATACTCTAATCCCAACATAGCTGTTTAGTCTATCTTCAGATAAAACCAAGTATCACTTTTAGGTGGGAAAACTATACAGTCATGTGCTGAAGAATGACGTTTTGGTCAATGACAGGCCATATATACTATGGTGGTCCCATAAGATCAACGTAAGAAGAGATTATAATGGAACTGAAAAATTCGCATTACTTTGTGACACTGTAGCCATTGTAACATCATAGCACGAAGAATTATTTCACAAACCTGCACTGCCAGTCATTTAACAGGTAAAAAAGTATGTTTTAAAATATTTTTAATTATTATGGACACATAATAGTACTCATTTATGGGTTACATGTGATATTTTGATACAAGCATACAATGTGTAGGGTAACACAATCAGAGTAATTGGGGTGTCCATCATCTCAAACATTCATCATTTCTCTGGTAGGAACATTCCCATTTCACTCTTTTAGTTATTTTGAAATATACAATAAATTATTGTTGCCATGCATGGTAGCACGCACCTGTAGGACCAGCGTTTCAGGAGGCTGAGGTGGGAGGATCACTTGCGCCCAGGAATTCAAGGCTGTAATGCACAACAATTGCACCTGTGAATAGTCACTACACTCCAACATGGACAGCATAGTGAGACCCTATCTGTAAAAAGATTTAAAAATATATTGATTACTATAGTGGCCTTATTGTGCTACCAAACACTAGATCATATTTCTTCTTACTGTATTTTTGTACCCATTAACCATCCCTTTTTTATCCCCCGATCTTCACTACATTTCCCAGACTCTGGTAGTCATGATTTTACTCTATCTCCATGAGTTCAATTTTTTTTTTTTTTTTTTTTTTTAGCTCCCACACATGAGTGAGAACATGGGATACTTGTCTTTCTGTGTGTGGCTGATCTCAACATAACGTCTTCCGGTTCCGTACATGTTGCTGCAAATAATGGGATTTCATTTTTTATGGCTGAATAATATTCCATTATGTGTTTATAGTACATTTTCTTTATGCATTCATCCACTGATGGGCGCTTAGGTTGATTCTATATCTTGGCTATTGTGAACAATGCTGCAGTCAACATGGGAGTGCAGATATCTTTTTGTGGTTTCGATTTTGTAGTATCTTCTTCAGTAAACATTTTAAGGACTTTATTGTTTAGATAACGTCAAGTATACCAACTTTATATTCAATATGCTTCACCTATGAGAGCTGGAGTGTCAAAATCTGTTTATTTTACATCTGTTTTCTGCCTCCTGTTGTACTTAGTATTCCAAATGAGTAAGTTGCTTTTCCATCTATCTTCTGAATTTCTCTATTTGTATGACAAAAATGAATACCATCTATGCACAGTTGTTGTAATAATGTAGAATGATATGAAAATGAGAATAAATTACAGTCTCAACTGTTGAGAACAAGTATTTCTCTGTGTTAGAAACATTCCCAATTCTACTCTTTTAGTTATTTTGAAATATACAATGTATTATTGTTGCCATGCATGGTGGCATGCCCCTGTAGTCCCAGCTACTCAGGAGACTGAGGTGGGAGGATCAGTAACACATAAATGAGAAAGCATTCCAGAATATCTGGAGAAGTGACTGGCAGAGTGGTTAAGTGCATAGGCTTTGAAACCGAACTGTGCCTGAGTCCAAATCTGAGCTCTGCTATTTGCTGGCTGTGTGACTGTGGACACATTTCTTAACCTTCCTGGCCCCTGAACTCCTGGAGGTGATTGTGAGGATTAAATGAACCAATAGAAGCAAAGCACTTAAGAGCTGTAGTGGATACATAGAAGGTGCCCAGTGAATGTTAGCTATGATTATCTAAAGTGTGTTGTGGCATGAAAATATCCTGCCAATGTTAACAGTTGCTTTTATCTATAACAAAACATCATCTGTGGATTGCATTTTAGAGATTCTGGAGATTCTGTTTCTCTGCAAATGTTAAAATGCCATATCAGGAGACTTTTGGCTGGTTAGACAGCATTCCCCGGGTCAACTGATTACTTTTTTTTTTTTTTTTTTTTTTTTTTTTTTTTTTTTTTTTTTTTTTTTGAGACAGAGTCTCGCTCTGTTGCCAGGCTGGAGTCCAGTGGTGCCATCTCGGCACACTGCAACCTCCACCTCCCAGGTTCAAGTGATTCTCCTGCCTCAGCCTCCCAAGTAGCTGGGACTACAGGCACGTGCCACCACGCCCAGCTAATTTTTGTATTTTTAATAGAGAAGGTTTCACCATGTTGGCCAGGATGGTCTCAATCTCTTGACCTTGTGATCCGCCCACCTCAGCCTCCCAAAGTGCTGGGATTACAGGCATGAGCCATCACACCTGGCCGATTCCATTTTATTAATAGATTTTCCATCCTGAAAGTAACTCCTAAAAACCCTCCTTCACTTAGGTTTCCTTTGGCTTTTTGTGTATTAATCAGACTGTGGGCCCTTTGGTTCCATAGACATTCCTTTTACACCCCTTTTGGACGGATGAATACTCACTAGTAACTAAGTAATTAGTAAGAGTTACTACAATTTGGTATTTATAAAGAGGTGGCCTTTCCCAGAATTGAAGGTAGACCCTAATAGTCCAATCAGCCTTCCATAGAGATAGCTGGCTGCCATGAAAAGCTGAGAGATATCACCGACCTCTTACTGGGCCTGCTCATGAACAGTTAGTTAAAATTCCTGCAATTTTCAGAAAAGACCCTTATCAGAGTATTATCAGTATTGTCTTAAGTTTAATATTGGTTTCCAGTTGTTATTTTTAAAAATTTTAAGCTACCGTGGGTTAAGCTTTATGATGATCTGTTTAAGTGGTTTGTTTGATTAACTTCTCTATTGGAGTAATGGATGTTTTCTTCACCAGAATTTTGAAGATAGGTTTGTGTTGTAGTTGAAACCTGTTTTGTTTATACACTTACTGCTAAGGAAAAGCACATGTCATTTTGTTTTCCATCTTCATCCTTCTAAAGTAGCACTTCATTGTTATGACCAAATCTTTCTTTCTTCCTTCCTTCCTCTCACCCTGTCTTTTCCTTCCTTCCTTCCTGCCCTCCCTCCCGCCTCTCTTCCTTTCCTCTCCTCTCCTTTCCTTTCTTTCTTTCTTTTCTCTTTTCTTTCGTTCTCTCTCTCTCCCTCCCTCCCTCTCTCTGTCCCCTTCTCCTTCCCTCCTTCCTTCCTTTCTTCCTTCCATTTCTATCACCCCTAAAATTCCATCATGCTGTATCATCTCACTAAGTCCCAATCTCTGGAAACCACAGCTCTGTTTTCTGTTCCTGTAATTTTGCCTTTTCCTGAACTGGATTTTAAAGGATTGTAGGAGGCAGTAGTGGAAGAGCTAACTTTATATCTTGTTCTTTTACATAATGCGCCCTGATCCACACTTGGGAAAGTATATTCCATGGTACCTATAGACAGATATATGTGCTTTACCATGTATATGTGAAACTTTTCTAATTTAACTTTCCTGTTAAATTAGAACTCGGTAGCATAAATTAATACTGTTGAGTATACTTAGGGATTTGCATAGATTTAAAATTGTGCATATGTTCCCTAGGGCCATGGCGTTAATTGGTTTATTAGTCAGGTGGAGTGCAGAGCCTGAGGTCAGGACAGTTGTCCTTGAACATGGAAATGAAGAGTGGATAATCACCATGTGTTATTGTTTGGGCTGATTTTATCTTTAATGGGTGATTCAGAGTCCTGATTAATATTTAGAGCAGTGACTGCTGGCCTCCTACCTGCTCATTATCTTCAGAACTTTAAATAAAATACTTGATTTCTACCCAAGATGGTAGTTATGGGAAGCCTTTTACTTCTTCTTGTCTCACAAAGACAACTCTTGACCTCTCAATCCTTAAACAAAAAGTTCTGCTTCTGCGCATGTGGGGACTCTTAAACTCATTTTCATGCCTGGAGATTCACATTTAGGGATCTAGGAAAAGCACATCTAGGCAGAGTCGATGAGGAGATGCTTTAAGAACCGTGACAAGGACAGGAAGGAAATCAATTTTGCGTTAGGTTTGTATTTTTAGAGAAAACGAATCCTGGGGAACTTTTCACACTCATTACTATTGACATTAATACCATTGTCCTGTCCCTTTCACAGTTACTAAAATCACTCTTGCCCACCCTCCTGCCTTGCCCACAACCTATTCCCATGAAGGGGTGACTTGGGAGAAATAACGGTTTCCAACCAACGTTTTATTTTGGAAACATTTCAAGCACAAAGAGTAGTTGAAAGGATAGTCTAAAGAACACTCATCTGTGTCATACATCTGTTCAATCCATGGTTGCTTTTCGCTCTACTTACCTCCTCCACCCTCTCAGCTCTGTTTATGTATGTGTCTGTCTGTGTACATACACACACAAACACATTTTCCCCTATGCCATTTAAAAGTAAAGGAGCATCACAACATAAACCCCTAAACACTTCACCATACACCATTTTCTTAAAGGATGACATTCTCTAACATAACTGCAATGCTATCGTTACACACAAATTTAACAGCAATCCAGCAATACCCTCTGATATGCAGTCCACACTGAACTTTCCCCAGTGCCCCAGAATTGTTCCTTATAGCCACTGTTTTCTTCCAGCATCTAGTCAAGGTTTTTGTCTGTCATGTCTCTGTACCTTCATTTAGTTTTGAACAGTCTCCCAGCATTTTGTTTTCCTTTCATGACATTGACTTTTTTGGTAGGGGGACAGAGTCTCGCTCTGTCACCCAGGCTGGAGTGCAGTGGCGCAATCTCGGCTCACTGCAACCTCTGCTTCCCGAGTTCATGTGACTCTCCACCTCAGCCTCAGGAGTAGCTGGGATTACAGGCATGCACCACCACACCCGGCTGATTTTTGTATTTTTAGTAGAGACAGGGTTTCACCACGTTGGCCAGGCTGGTCTTGAACTCCTGACCTCAGGTGATCCACCTGCCTCGGCCTCCCAAAGTACTGGAATTACAGGTATCAGCCACCACGCCGGGCTGACGTTGACATTTTTGAAGAGTTCAGACCAGTTCTCTTGAAGAATGTCCCATACTCTGGGCTTTTCTGATGGTTTCCTTGTGATTAGATTAATGTTAACATTTTTTGGCCAAAAGACGATAAGATGATGCTCTGTACCTACCACTGTATCACAATCTGGAGGAACAAAATAACATTTTGTTCCTATTGGTATCACTAAGAATGTTAAGGTGGTGTCTACAAGATACTTTCCTTGTAAAATATCCTTTTCCCTTTGTAATGAGAAAGTAATTTTTTGATATTTTGACATATTATAATATCCATTCCTTAACCTTTTACCCTATGGTTTTAGCATTTATGGATGATCCTTGTCTAATTCAGTTATAATATTGGTGGTTGCATAATGGTGGCTTTCTAATTCTACCATACTTTCTGCATGTATTAGACCATTTTCTTATGTAAAGAAGAGCTTCTACCTCTCCCCCGTCTATTCATGAATATCACTGTGGACATCCAAGGTGGTTCTGAGTGTACAAAGAATGATATCTCTCTTTACTGAACTGCCATTGGATACTATTTTTGTCTTGGAATTGTTTAAAATGGCAGTGTATGGAATTGAAAGTCCTTTCTCCAGAGAGCCACATAAACAGATGTCTAATAAATACATTTCCATATTAACCAATCCTTTTATGGGAACAACACATTGACATAATTAAAACACGTAACATGAAAACTGTGCTGAATTGAGAAGCTCATAGAGTTTTGTTTCTTTTTTTTCCTTTTTGCCACTTCAATATATATGGACCCGCACCTGTCAGTCCAGGTAGCTCATACATGCCGTAGCATCTAATGGTACGAGGGACATGTAATGCTGAAAAGAAGGGGGAAAGGAGTTGATCAGATGAGATATAAGTATGCATTTATCAGTGTTGTGGGGTATTCACTTGCACCTTCCATTGGCTCTCGCAGCCATGTTATCGGCATATAATTCAGTTGAAGATTTATATTCACCTGGAAATTGTCCTAAGTGGGCCTTGCTTACTTAGCTATCAGACTCTAGTACTTTCAAACAAATTAAAGATTCAAAAGATTTTGGGGATCGCCTTGCTTTTTCCCATAGGAAATCACTTTTGTCCTGTCTTTTTAAGACTATTTTAAGCATATATTTCAGTATTAAAATCGTAGATAATCTTAAGCTGTTTCCTTAACCTCTTTGGGCCTTTTCTTATCTGTAACATAAAGTTAAAACAGGTTATCTCAAAAGTTACTTATCCCTAAGTGTCTTTGATTCTATGCTAAATGTTATAAAGGCCGAAAGGGAAATGGATTATTGTACTTATTTCAAAGCTTGGCCATGATCAGCAAAGTCTTACCTGATCTTCCGGGTAACAACTCTTGTATCAGAGCTATAAGATATAGAAAACAGTCTTGTACATAGAGTGTGGCATTTCACATGAGACCAAGTGTTCTCTGAATGGAAACACACACTAAGAGCAAGATGTGAAAAACCATTGTGTACAACCTCATGTAAATGATCCCTTGCGTCCGTACACTATAGTTTCCTCAGTAACTCAAAGGTAAAACCCAAGTATCTTGTGTCTAAGAGGATCAAAATGTCACCTTCCTTCTGTTTTATTTGTTACATGCAGGTTTTGTATAGTTTTATAGAGTCTTTTTATCACTCATTTGATTTTCATAAAAATTGGGATTGTTTGGAAGAAGAGTCATTAATATTCTTTACAGCTTGTTCTTGTTCCTCCTTTTATGTTCTCTGCTGGTGCAGACTTCTCTCTTATGTAAAATATTCCACTGATGCCCTTGGTAGATTTAGAGGTTGTTAAAGAAATTGTAATAACAGATCAGGGAACAGTCAGGGACTGCCTGTCCTATACTGTCTGACCCTGACTAACCGTTCTCCTTGTAGTTTTAAATCTTTGTGTACAGACTGTAATTCAAAAAACAGTTTTTATAAATTTAAATTCAGCAAATCTTTCCAAATGCTAAGGCTTTTTATAACGAGGGCTAGAAAAGTTGAGTTGTCAGCTATTAATGCCAATACCTATTAACAATGGCAATGACATTGAAATGATTTTTTGGATTTATGAAGGGAACATGTTACTAATGAAAATAGCAAATGAAAATGGCCACTGTATTAGTCCGTTTTCACGCTGCTGATAAAGACATACCTGAGATGGGGCAATTTACAAAAGAGAGAGGGTCATTGGACTTAACAGTTCCACGTGGCTGGGGAGGCCTCACAATCATGGCAGAAGGCAAGGAGGAGCAAGTCACAACTTACCTGGATGGCAGCAGGCAAAAAAAGAGCTTGTGCAGAGAAACTCCCGTTTTTAAAACCATCAGATAGTGTGAGACTCATTCACTATCACGAGAACGGCGCAGGAAAGACCAACCCCCATAAGTCAATCACCTCCCACCAGGCTCCTCCCACGACATGTGGGAATTGTGGGAGTTATAATTCAAGATGAGATTTGGGTGGGGACACAGCCAAACCATATCAGCCACAAAGGAGAGATTACCCTTTTTAAAAATCTGTGGTTTGCCCACAATGTTTTCCATAAATTTACCTTTTTCTGTCAATAAAAATGTTTAGGAATTCTATTTATGGATATGTATGTATTTAATATTTGCATATTTAGTTCTTATTTTTTCTCTAAATGGTTATGACCTGTACTAAGTAAAATCAAAACACACACACACACACACACACATACACATTGTACTAGCAGACCTGCTTTACCTTGCTTGGGATAATTATCTGCCATGATTAAATAAATAAATTTCTGCAACTGTTTATCCTGGAATACACTGCATAGAGTTGTCAGTTTGAGAAGCAACTTGATTTCAAATCTGAGTCTACAATTTTAGCGTGTTTCCTTGTGACTTCTAGTTTGGGGCTTTTAATTTCCCTTTTGCTCTCTCTACCCTCAGTTTATGAACGAGTGTGGCATTTCGGCAGTTGAATAGGCCTATGGTAGCCTCCCAGTTTCTGTGTTGTAGAGGATAGTTGCCGGCTTATTAAATGCCCTTGCAGGACTCTCAGGGAAGTCTGTTGTTTAGTGAATAGTGATGAATCAATGTGGATTTCTTAGTTTTGACAAGTGAACCATATGGTTATGTAAGATGTTAACATTGGGGCAGGGTTTCTCAACCTTGGTGCTACTGATGCTTTGGCCCGAATCATTCTAGTTCTTTGTTGTGGGAAGCTGCCCTGTGTGCTGCTGGATGTTTTGCAGAATCCTGGCCTCTATCTACTAAATGCTAGTAGCACCCCCTCCCCGCCCTCCCCCTCCCCCCCCCCCCCCCCCCCCCGCCCAGTTGTGACAACCAAAAATGTCTCCCGTAAAAGATACCAGGATGAAATCACTTTTTGTCAGTCCCAAACTAACTAGAGCCAGGGCAGCATGAAAGGAGGAGGGTTCATGGTTACATGCCTGAGATAAAGACTGTCTCAAGGACTTTCTAAAATCGCCCCACAAGAAATTCCTCTGTTAGGACTGCAGCAGTGCACGTAATATGCTCTCAAAAGAACATCTGCCCAGTAATGGCATCCCCACTAATAAACTGACACCAGTTCTGGCGTTGAGCATCTGAAACGAACTATGTTTCCAAGCAGCTTATGTAAACTTCTGTTTTTACCAATAAAAGTTTCCCTCTACAGTCTCCTCTTCAGATGCATCTTGGGTTGTAATCCTCATTTCTAATTCCAAAATAAATTTAACATATTTGGCGATGTTTTTCTCTGATGTTTTTTGGTCGACACTCCAAACATTGTTATATTTCCTCTGGGGTACGGCATCATTTCCGGTTGAGAACCACCGACCTAGAGAAAAGCTATCTGCCTGTGCAGTTCCTTTCAAGGGCCCCAAGTGTGAATTTTGTGTATACCTATATTTTAAGCCAGATCATTCTGTACATACCTTCTAAGTCCAGATGAAGTCTGTTAGCCTTTTATGTGTGATACCATCACATAGAAACCAACACAAGGACATTTACTGTAATCGATAAAGGAAATTTTGGACAGTTTGAGAAAGTAACTTATTTTGTCTTCTGCTCTTTATAAAATCTTTACAAGTGTATGTTTTTGCTCTTCAGGATGACTAGGCAGCTTTTTAAAATTCTGACTTCATACAGATTTTATAATCTTCCTTTTATTTCTTGCGATCATATTGCAGTTGAATTCCCACCCACTGTTCAATTCAGCAGATTTTAACAGAGACTCCAGAAGTATAGTTCCTGTCTTTAATTAATCTGCAATTTAGGAAAGAAATTAAGGAGGTATCGTTCTGTATTGTTTCCAGGATGGTGGTTTCTTGTTATCTGAGAATTACTGGGCACAGTCTCTTGCCCAATGTTTACTTCTCTATATAGAGTTGACCCTTGAAAAACATAGATTTGAACTGTGTGGGTCCACTTATAAGTGGATCGTTTTCAACCAAATGCGTATCGAAAATGCAGTACTCAAGAGATGTGAAACCTGCGGATATGCGTTCAGCTGGGCCTACTGTGGGACTTGCGTATGCGTGGATTTTGCTGTATCTCAACAGCAAAATCCCCGTGGGAGTGGGGCTGCGGCGGGCCAGGAAGCAACCCCTAGCATATACTGAGGGATGACTGTACTAATTATTGTAGTTTATTAAGTGTTCACATGGTTTTCACAAACCTCACAATTGAAATGCCAATTGCCTTCTCCTAAAAAATACAATGTACGTGTTCATGGTAGCTGGGATGCAGGGCTTGCTGAGAAATACTTAATTGCATTTCTTCTGTAGCCATGAATTGATTTTATTACCTTGAGAGAAAAATGAGTATTCAGGTGGACCTCCTGGCAGGCGGTTGGCCCTTCAGTGTCCAAGGATTTATAGAAAGCACAACATCAAAGAAAT
The DNA here is from genome assembly GCF_000001405.40 of Homo sapiens. Taxonomy (NCBI): domain Eukaryota; kingdom Metazoa; phylum Chordata; class Mammalia; order Primates; family Hominidae; genus Homo; species Homo sapiens. The sequence continues at coordinate 31,189,016 of NC_000023.11, read as the reverse complement.
CCAAAAGTTCTTCGGAACCCCAGCAACTCTCCTACCTCCAAACTTGCCATGTAATGCCCTTTTAAACTTATTATATTGATAGGTAAATCGGTTTGCTAGAAATTCCAGATATTGAGAATTCTTTGTCTGTGTACCTTGTTATATTTGTATAAAGGTGATATTTGTATGAAGCCACCCTCCAGTGTGCTGTAACAGAGCAATAGTAATGACAACTGATTCCTTCCCCTAGCTTTTCTGTTATGGATAGTTGCTGGCAGGTGAGGACCAACAGAAAAAGAGGAGAAACCCAACATAATTCCAAACTGTGACCATCATAATGGAAGGAGCTGTGATAGCTTTGCTTTCTGTGTGTGCATGACATAGAAGGGGAAAATGGAGTTATTGCCAAAACAACAGCAAAAGCAAAACAAAGCCAACAAACAAAACAAAACCCAGGGCTAAATGACCTTTCCAAGAGATTTTGCTTGCATGGCTTGAAACTGGTGTTTAGAGATGAGGACAAGGTCACCCTTGATACTGAGAGGGGATTATATCTGAGACTTATATGTATCTCAACAAATAATGGTACTTACAAAGATTATCTCAGTCCAGTGAATGCCATCATACTTATCTTTTGACCTTAATAACTTCCTGCTATTCCAATCTATCCCTATATATTTTTTTCTGGAATGATCGAAATGTAATTTTAGCTGGGTTTAATTCTAGTTCTGTTAGGTCTTTACAGAAGCTTGCCTGGCTTTTAATTCTTTCCTTCTTCATTGCCAGACAAAAGGAGAGGGAATATACCACTAGGATACAGAGTAGTTTGTCATAAAAATGAAAGATTGAAACAGAATGAGAACGTGAATCCCCGTACCTTGTCTTCAGTCTGTCAGTTGGCGTAGGTGAGCAGTTTTAAAAGAGCCAACATGATGGATCTTGCATCTTAGGGGCTAGAAATTTGAGAATGTTCAACCTTTAAGCATAGAAGAATCTATAGTTTTTTGAAAGAGTAGAACATTCTACAGCCTCCCTTGGTAATTCACACTAATGCTTTAACAACTTTCAGCATCAGGAAATTCTTCCATATGAGCTACAGCCTAAATTCTTCATGCTGCTTAAGTCTGTTTCTTCTTGTTCTGTCCTCAGTGGAGAGATCGAACAGCTGGTCACAGGCCCCTATGCGAGAGCCATTCACATAATTGAAAACTGTTATTAAATCGCCCCTTCAGAAGTCACTCTTGCTTGTTCTCTCTCTCTCTCTCTCTCTCTCTCTCTCTCTCTCTCTCTCTCTCTCTCTCTCTCTCTCTCTCTCTCTCTGAGAATCTGGGAAGATTCCAGAGCTGATTAACATGTTGCTTTACTGATGACCTTCTCAGCTTTTAATATGTTAACGTGCTCTAAGAATTTTAAGAGGCAGATATAATGTGCACTGTTTCTTTCATTAATTTGACCTTCTCGTGAAGCATTTTGCTGGACGATTGATCTGCTGGACATACTGGGAAACACTGACTCAGAGATTTTAGTTGAGTAGGAACCGTGTGTGAGCCTACGGTACAGAACAAAAGAAAGTAATCCAGTTACACTGTCTGGAGAAATAGAGGTACATTCTCCGCAATCATATTTGAAGAATAGTTTTCTAAATGACAATGGCAAACTAAGCCGTGTCATATGAAGAAGAAGTAAAAAGAATAGGAATGAAGAGGCATGGACAGATAAGACAGCTCTGGTAAAATATTTAAAGGGCTGTTCAAAGACCAAGAACTTCTGGGTTGCTGGTCAGATGGATAATAATAATGACAATAACAATAGCAAACATGATTCTTGCTATGTGTCAGACACGGTTCCAATTGCCTTTCATTTGCTGACTCACGTAATCATAAAATAACTCTATGAGGTAGGCACTATTAATATTTCCAGTTTGTAGCAGAGAAAAAGTAAGACACAGAGAGATAAAGTTATTTTCCTAAGGTCACACAGCCAGTGAGTGGTGAACTCCAGTGGTTTAACTCTGGAACTTCTATATGCTGTGCTGATGGATTTCAGCTCAATGTGATGCAGCACTTTTGACAGGGGTATCTGGACACAGGTGTTCAGGATCACCTTCTAAGGATGTTTCCCAGCTCTCTCACATGGGTGGTGTAGTGGCTGTAAGCACACACTGGCATGGGTAAGAGTTTGGACTCGATGAATGCTGAGTTTGGACTCAGTGAATCCTGAAAGTCTTACAGCTCTGTGGTGCCATGCCAAAAGGATGAATGGACTTGCATGATCTTTTTCATTTTTAGATTGCATAATTCTTTATAAACTTTTTTTTCCACAAAGTACCTCTGTGATGGAACTCTACACAGAGAAAAGTGCTCAGCAACAGCTTTTTAAAATTTAACTTGTAAGTTCAGGGGTACCTGTCTAGGTTTCTTATGAGGTAAACTTGTGTCATGGGGGTTTGTTGTACAGATTATTTTGTCACCCAAGTATTAAGCCTAATACCCATTAGTTATTTTCCTGATCTTCTCCCTCCTCCCACCCTCCATCCTCTGATAAGCCACAGTGTGTGTTTTTCCCCTCTATCTGCCCATGTGTTCTCATCATTTAACTCCCACTTATAAGTGAAAACATGCAATACTTGGTTTTCTGTTCCTGCATTAGTTTGCTAAGGATAATGGCCTCCAGCTCCATCCATGTTCCTGCAAAGAACATGATCTCATTCTTTTTTCTGGCTCCGGAGTATTCCAGGGTGTATATGTACCACGTTTTCTTTATTCAGTCTTCCATTGGTGGGCATTTAGATTGATTCTAGGTCTTTGGTAAACAGTAGCATTTGATCGGAAGTTTGAACTGATACCATTTTGCAGCTAGGAAATCCAAAGTTAAACAGTTTATTATAGTGTTGCTAAATTTAGAATTAGGGGTAATGACTGGAGTGCTGTTGAGGTGATCAGTGTTATAAGCCAAATGACCTGTCAGTCTAAACCCTCCTGCCTTTCTATCTGAAATGTGGATATGTCCTTTATTAGGAAACCACATTACAAGAGAAGCAACTTGGCTTTGCAGCTCAAATACCCATGACTTGTGTGATACTAAGTATTCCCATGTCATATATTCAACTGAAATTGGCTGTGGAATAAGTAATGCTTCTTGGTTCTTGGCAAAAGCAAAGGAGAATCATCTCTGGAGAAAGCACTTTTATTCTAGGCTCAAGCTTTTATTTATCTCTAGAAAATATTGGTAAGGTCAGTTTAGTACGTGGTAAAAAAAAAAAACAAAAAACATATTAAGCACACAAGAAATCAAGGTGGAAAAAGAAAGAAATCAAGGTGAATGAGAACCAGAAGAAATAGCAAACCATAGAAGCAGACCTACGATAACATCATATTCCAGAATTATTAGACAGATTATTTTCTTAATTGTGTTTATGCAGTTAGAAAAATAAAAAACAACATTGAAAAATATCTACAGGGAACCACAAACCTGAGAAGTTACCTTAAAAATGACCAAGTAGTATTTCTAGATGTCAAAAGTACAATAATCAAAATTTAAAACTGTATGGGTTTACAGCAGACCGGCAAGAGAAATGGATACCCAGACAGTAAGGCAGAAGGAATTAATAAGAATGAAGCACAGAAGGATGTTTTAAAAAGATGTGGGGCAGAGAGGGGGGAACTAGGGAAGTCCTGTTCAGAGAAATATAGATTGAAGAAGAGTAACATTTATGTAACAGAGTTCTGAAAGTAGAATGGAGAGGGAATGGAGAAGAGGCACTATTTGTTGAGAGAATGACGGAGAAGATTCCACAGCTGATTAAAGACTCTAAATCACAGGTTTAAGAAGTCCAGTGAATCCTAAGCAGTCTAAATCAAATCCTAGAAACAGCACAAGATAGAAAACAGATAGATTATCTTTATTTTTTTTATTTTATTTTTATTATACTTTAAGTTTTAGGGTACATGTGCACAATGTGCAGGTTAGTTACATATGTATACATGTGCCATGCTGGTGTGCTGCACCCACTAACTCGTCATCTAGCATTAGGTATATCTCCTAATGCTATCCCTCCCCCCTCCCCCCACCCCACAACAGTCCCCAGAGTGTGATGTTCCCCTTCCTATGTCCATGTGTTCTCATTGTTCCATTCCCACCTATGAGTGAGAACATGCGGTGTTTGGTTTTTTGTCCTTGCGATAGTTTACTGAGAATGATGATTTCCAATTTCATCCATGTCCCTACAAAGGACATGAACTCATCCTTTTTTATGGCTGCATAGTATTCCATGGTGTATATGTGCCACATTTTCTTAATCCAGTCTATCATTGTTGGGCATTTGGGTTGGTTCCAAGTCTTTGCTATTGTGAATAGTGCCGCAATAAACATACGTGTGCATGTGTCTTTATAGCAGCATGATTTATAGTCCTTTGGGTATATACCCAGTAATGGGATGGCTGGGTCAAATGGTATTTCTAGTTCTAGATCCCTGAGGAATCGCCACACTGACTTCCACAATGGTTGAACTAGTTTACAGTCCCACCAACAGTGTAAAAGTGTTCCTATTTCTCCACATCCTCTCCAGCACCTGTTGTTTCCTGACTTTTTAATGATTGCCATTCTAACTGGTGTGAGATGGTATCTCATTGTGGTTTTGATTTGCATTTCTCTGATGGCCAGTGATGGTGAGCATTTTTTCATGTGTTTTTTGCAAAGGAGCAACAGTCATCTTTACTATTGACTTCTCAGCAGCAACAGAGATAGACGAAAGTGGAGTAATATTTCAGTATTCAAAAACAAAATAAAAACAAGACCCCAAAACCTTTCAATCAAAAATTTTATACTTGGGCCAGGCGCAGTGGCTCACGCCTGTTATCCCAGCACTTTGGGAGGCCGAGGCGGGTGGATCATTTTAAGTCAGGAGTTCGAGACCTGCCTAGTCAACATGGTGAAACCCCATCTCTACTAAAAATACAAAAAGTAGCCGGGTGGGGTGGCGTGTGCCCATGGTCCCAGCTACTTGGGAGGCTGAGGCATGAGAATCACTTGAACCCAGGAGGCGGAGATTGCAGGAGCCGAGATCACGCCACTGCACTCCAGCCTGGGCAATAGAGATAGAGTCAGTCTCAAAAAAAAAAAAAATTGTATTTAATGAAGATAACTATCAGGAATATGGATTTTTTTTTTAAAAAAAGGAGGTATTTTCAGACAAACAGAGCTTGAGAAATGCACCACCAACAGCTAAAGGAAATTCTAAGGGACATATTTCAGGCAGAACTAATCCCAGATGGAAGATTTGAGATGAAAGAAAGCAATGAAGAGCAAAAAAGTAGTCAATATATAGGTCAATCTATCTAATAATATAAAAAATTAAAACAATCCTATAGGGTTGAAAAAAACAAGGTATAATTAAAATTCATGAATATAGTAACATATAAATCAAATGGTGGTATTTTGAGATTGTTGAGATCATTGTCCTGTCTGGGATGAATTGTATTTCTTACATTTAGACTTTGAAAGAGAGAGAAATAGAGAGGCAGACAGAATCAACAGGGCATCATGAAAACAGCGCTAAGCCAGGAGGTTTGGATTCTATTATCAGCTCTGCTGCTAGCTGTATGGCCTTTGAAAAGCTCCTTTTCTGGTCTACAAAATCAGTTTGCTTGTCTGTTAGATGAGGCTTTGGAACCAGATGAATTTTAAAGCCCCTCATTATGATTCTATGAGAAACAGATTCTCTAGAAAAAAAAATCAGTTGTCCCCCTCCTTTGAAATTTTATCAGTAAACACCTGCATTTCACTTCTGGCTAACTTTTATGTATCAGTTCAAAAATTAAAGCTAAATAAAGTCTCGCTCAGGTGTGTAGTTTGCTTACCTTTCTCGTTTGTTGGTTTTGTTTTCTTTTCTTGTCATCTAGTAGCCAAAAAGAGTAATGGCAGTTTACCAAAGCCTTAGGAGTGGGTAGCTCTTTGGATATCAGGGAGCATTTGCAGAAACAAGCTGTGAAAAGCCAGCCTAGCTTTGCAACCATTGTTCTTTCTATCTTTTCTGTTTAACTTATTAATCGAACTGATATACACCTCCTTTGCCATCTTGCCTTCTTTCCTTTCATCCTTTTGCCCTCCTTCTCTCTCCCTCCTGTCTTTGCAGGCTAATAATAAGCCAGAGATCGAAGCGGCCCTCTTCCTAGACTGGATGAGACTGGAACCCCAGTCCATGGTGTGGCTGCCCGTCCTGCACAGAGTGGCTGCTGCAGAAACTGCCAAGCATCAGGCCAAATGTAACATCTGCAAAGAGTGTCCAATCATTGGATTCAGGTATTAGGAACCAAAAAAAAAATGTCATTTTTTTCTCATCATTTTTCACCTTTTTATGACTTGATCTTTTATCTCCTGTGCCAGTTGCTGTTAGTTCGTACCGTCTCCAAAGTGGGAGAGAAGGTGATTGGGCTGGAACATCGATCATTCCTGTCACCCTCCTGATCGCTAGGTTATTTTGGTGGATCTCACTTATTAGGCTGGTGTCCCTTACCACCTTCACTCTTCAGCTCTTCGGAGCCACATTTTTGGTTGAGCAGGCCAAAGTGCGTGTCTTCACGGAGGTATTACAGATGAACTGTACCTCCTCCTTCCTGGAACCAAAACATTTTTACCATCTTTCCTTTTTCACGGTCTTTCCTGTTTATAGAAACTTCCCAAGAATCAGTTATAAAACTGAGAGATGATTCTATTCTGGGAGGAACCATAATAGTAGCTCAGTCTCTCATTCACTTTGCACCATTTTTTTTTCTCCCTTAAGTAACAAGAATTGTTTTCAGCATCTTAGAACTTGCTTCTTTATCTGTGAATCTGATTACATTCTTTGTATAGTATCCCAGTGAACTTCTAAAGGAATAAAAAGTAGGCAAGTAAATGGAAGATTCACAAAGCAGCTAAAAAACAACCAGTCCTTATACATTTAGAAGTGAAAGAGATAGGAAACGTAGCAGGTTATTCTGATAGTCTTAAAATATCATGGAAAACAAGGCCAAATAAATCTTTAGCCCTGCTGACCTGTTTGGGGAGACAGGATTTTTTTTTAAATGAATTAATCTCACTTAACATTAATCCTAAATCCTAATTCTGAAACTGCGATGTCCTTAAATGTGTGAATCAACATCAAGGTTTCTATAGTGATGAATAAGCCACAAAGTTGTAAACTAGCTCTATGGTCTATGCCTGTGCAGAATCCACTTAGCAGCAAAGTAAACACTCTTTTCCAGTTACGTGTGAACTGGTTTTGTTACTTTATTTTCTAATAACTACCTTGTACTGTTGCGTGCTTTTTATTCATAGTGCTTTTTTACTTTTGGTGTTTATTGTTCCATAGTCATGCTGTTTACAAAGAGGTTTTACAAAAACTTTTAGAGGTTTCTGAAGCCTAGATAGACAACAGTGAGTAGGTACTGCTTGCAAAGGTCACCTTCTTTCCTTCCCGGTTTCTTGGCAGGTAAAAATGATACCATGGGGGTGGGGAGTGGGGAAGGGAAGCCACAGTGACTGCATTAGATTTCTAAGCTACCTTTTCTCTGCTTCCTTAGCTAGTGGGCTTTGTATACAAGGGAAATTTTTATAAAATAAAGAAGAAGAATGCCTTGGAGGATCTGAAAGAGCACTTTCACCTTCAATTCTTTTGCCCTTATCATATTATATTATTTTAGGACCCAGCACTTCTCATTCCTCCTGTCCCCCTCTTGAAAGATGGCTGGAATCTAAAAAAGATAGCTTTCCTTCCCACTTCCCCATATGTGACATAAGAAATATGTTTATTTGAATTGGCTAAGGTTCTTATCTGAGAAAGCAAAAGGCAGGAGAGTATGAAACAAAGAATATCGCATTCTGATAATGGAGGAAATGTACCAACTAGTATTTACAGATTATAAATTCTTCCATCTAATCCAAATTTCATGTTCTCTTGGGGCTTCAGTTATCATTTGTAGGTAATGGGGTGAGAGATTTCTGAAGAGATAGAGATAAAAGAGTTCATTCGAGTAACTGTTTGAAGATGAATCGTATCAGTCAATTAGAAAACATTATTAAAGCGAGACTTGTTTTAATTGAAAGTTCTTGTTCACATTTCTTTTGTCTTGTGAAATTGCTTTATCTTGACAATGTTTTGAAAATAATTGCTTCAGAAAACTTTTGTCCCATGATGGGTAAGGGGCATGCACAGCGTAAGTCTGTCGCTCCTGGAAGTTCTTTTAAATTTGAGTATTTGGTTTTCAAAAGACTGGAAATTTTCCAGTACCTTCCTACTTAATCTCAAAGAGTTCCTAGTGGAGTTTAAATAAAAGCTGAGTTTTTCTTCCCTCCTTCCATATGTTTATAGGATAATCTTTCTGCCAAAATGTTTTGGTACTGTAGGAGAGGCACCGGAAAAATCTGGAGGCAGAAAGTTAATCACTTACCTTGTGGGACTAATGAACATTGCTTTCTGTTTCTCAAATTAGAACGTGGTAGAAGGTTTATTAAAGAGTGTTCTTTGGGAATTTGATTCGAAGAAATACATACGTGTTTGTTTTTGCTCTTTATCAGGTACAGGAGTCTAAAGCACTTTAATTATGACATCTGCCAAAGCTGCTTTTTTTCTGGTCGAGTTGCAAAAGGCCATAAAATGCACTATCCCATGGTGGAATATTGCACTCCGGTAAGTTTGACGCCAGCCTGACGTGAGAGTTAGTTCACCTGGGATAAATTTCAGTTTTGTACAATACTGCAGATCATGTATAATGCTGTGATTTGTCACTTCCCCAGATGTTCCCCAGCTAAAGTGGCTCTCAACTGTAGGCTTCAGGATTTACCCTATCCCTGGTGCCTAGGGGAGTGCCTGGCACATATGGAACATGATAGACCCTCAATAAATATTGTTGGATGAATAAATAGGGTTTTCATTCTGTGTGCATGGTTGTATTGAAGACGTTTTCACGTTTATTTTGCACAGCCTTAGAGGTTGTGTGGGGCGATCTTATGGCCATGAGGCATGTTGAGTATGGGGGATGGTTCTAGGTTCCCCCAAATTCATAAACTACCACTTTTAATCAATGTTGCTCACCTATTATCTGTCCTGTATACTAGTGACATTTTAAAAATCCATTTTATATGCTAACACTTACTAAATGCTAGGCATTTACCTTTTAAACTACCCTGTGTAAAATAAGTACTATGATTTTTATCCCCTCTATACAGATGAGGACCCTGAGGTCCTGAGGTTAAATAATTTACTCAAGGTTCTATAAGTAAGAGTTGAAGCCATCTCCTAAGATGTTATTTTAGGAAAATGTTAAGTGGCCAATAGAACTGTGAAAAATCACTAGGGAAATGGCAAGGATGTAGACTTGGTGGCCAGACAGACCTGAGTACAAATCTGCCTAAGAATTAAAGACAGGCTCCTCTCAGGTTTGTTTTTTCTAAAATAAACCTGTCCCTGTTGACTGTAGAGCCACCCTTCGTGTTTCTCTTCTCTTTCTTTAATTCTTACAGTCTCCTCTTCTCTAAACTTTGCATGCTTGCTATTCAAGATACGGTCTGTTGACTAATCATCATATGTCTATTGGCATTACCTTGGTCTTTATTAGAAATGTGAAACCACAGGCCCCAACTCCTGATGCTCTAAATCAAAACCCACATTTTAGCGAGATCTGCAGCTGGTTCCCATACACAACAAAGTATGAGAAGCTCTGCTTTAGAGCATCTCTCTCTTCCATCATCAGAGTGATCCTCCCAGATATTTGCCTGTCTCACTTTTATTCCTCTTATAGAGATGGTCAGTGATTGAGAATGTACCATGCTATGAATAGACCGAAATTTAGTGGGTGAAGCATGCTATCATTTTGTACTAAGTAGTTTTTAAAATACCATAAAGTGTGGTAAAATTTAATGTCACCTTTTTGACCTTAAGACCTATAAACTACCATTTATTGAGTAGCCTAGTAAGCTTGTATGTTTCTTTTATTTATCATAACAACGTGTTGAGGTGTTGTTGCTCCCATTTTACTGATGATCAGAGCCTCTGAGAAGTAAATAACTCAGCCAAATTAGTACATGCCAGGCCTGGTTTCAGAGCCCCATTTGTCTGATTCCAAAGCCTTTGCTCACAACCACAACACTCTCCTTAATTACAAAACAAGTGTCATGGGGCAGAAGACTGGAGTGGTCATTAGTTTTGAAATCATCCTGTCCTAAATCTGATCTCACCATGATCTCCCTTTTAGACTACATCAGGAGAAGATGTTCGAGACTTTGCCAAGGTACTAAAAAACAAATTTCGAACCAAAAGGTATTTTGCGAAGCATCCCCGAATGGGCTACCTGCCAGTGCAGACTGTCTTAGAGGGGGACAACATGGAAACGTGAGTAGTAGCAAAAGCAGAACACACTCTTGTTTGATGTATATTTGAACTCCTCTCAGCTGAACACCCTCCTTCACTCCCAAATGCAAACAGTCTCTTCTATTTCTTTCTTTTTATTTACATTAGCTGAAAAGAGAAAAATAAGCTGATGTCCAGTTGCCACTTTCCCACGTCACTTGACAATTTCTTTTTCCAAAAGTTAAACTTTATCTCACAGGGGGAAAAAAAAAAAAAAACCACAACACAATACAGCCACTAATTGCCTTACAAGCCTTATAAGAAATATGGGACTGTTTACAAATGAGTGATTCCAGTATTTCATTTTGATTTTCCTCTCTCACAAATCAGTAAATGTGTGTCTTTTTGTATCTCATTGTGTGGTCATATCTAGTCACTTGTTTCTACTCAAAAGAAAATATAGTCACAGGAAACTACTTCACAGTAAGTAGTAATGATTCTCAAGATCAAAGGGGACGTCTTCACCTCTTTTCAACCTGCTCCTCTTTTTTGCCTTAACTCTGATGGCAGTCACACAACTGTGTGTTTTTCTTTTAATTCACTTTACACCTTGGTTTGGCTATTGCTTTCCATGGTTCATACTTAATTGGCTGGATTTTATTTATTTTGACCTTTCAGTAAATTTTTTTGCGGCTGAGTTTGCGTGTGTCTCCTTCACCACCTCATTTTTTGTTTTGCAGTCCCGTTACTCTGATCAACTTCTGGCCAGTAGATTCTGCGTGAGTACTTTTTTTGCTGAAGGGTGCTGCTACCACCAACACATTCGCTCGCTTGGTTCTCTTTTGTTCTGTTTATTTGTTTGTTTTCTTTTGTTTTGTTTTGTTTTATGGACATATTAATTCCCCTTCCTTCATTTCAGTTTTTTTTTTTCTTTTCTTGATGAGACTTTGAAAGTACCATCTACACAGATCAGGAGAATCAGAGTGGGTTTTTTGGTTCCTCCACCAGGTGAAATTCAAACCAGCAGAAATCCTGGCTTGAATTCAAATTATAATCAAAGAAGTTATTGGAGTTTTAGCTGTATTCCTGGGAGACATGTTTATATATTTCTTCATATAAAAGCAAGGAAGAAGCTTCTGATTACATAATAACATTCTTTAGCCATATTTCTTGAGATTCGATGCTTTTTAGAATCTTTAGGGTCTGTTATAAGTGGACTATTAAAAATCAGCAGAATTCGTTTTAAAGTATGATGCTGAGTTTGGTTGAATAATTTTAATGAGGTGTGCGGACTGTTTATCAGGTTATGCCATGCTATTTGACTAATCATTATATACAAGGGTTTCTAAATTTTGAACTAAACTCACTTTGCTCTCCTCTCCAAGCTAAATATTCAGCTCATAAACAATTATACATTTGCTCTAGGAGGAAAGTATTTCTTTGTTATTACTATTGGTGTGTATTAATAATACTGAGCTTAGATACCAGCAGATGATTTATCTCAGAGTTTATAATGCTAGAAAACTCTTTTTTGGGGCCTGTGATTTCTATATTAGCAAACAAAGTGCCTATTTTAAAACTACATTATGTAGGGTTGTTATAACAAACTTTTGGTATTTCAAAGTATGCTTTATTAAAATATTTATTGAAAATCAGACAGCTCTGTTATGGATAAAGGGGAAATGACCAATTCGGAAGATAAGCTTGTGTAAGAATTCAATTTCTTTTTATTAAATCTTTTTTATTGTTCCACCATATAATTTAATCTAAACTAGATCCTTTTTTAAAAACCCTGTCGTGATAAATGCATATTATTAATTGAGGTTTATTTTCAGTCTTTAATAGGCCTAAAGGAAGTGGAAGGCTATGCTTTCCTTTTTAAAACTTCGTTATTGCGCCCCTTAATTTTGAGATATGGTAGCTATAAGTAGTATATTATCTGATTTATTTAATCATCATGCTTAAAGAACTTAGGGAGTTATTTAGGTTCAGTTATGTCCTCTGCCTCTTGGAAATTGTGTTTCCTAACCCAGGTAGTCTGTTATAGAAGTTACAACCGTTCATAAATAAGAAACTTTTAAAGAGTTGATACACTACAGTTTCAGCTTGATTGGATCCTGATAAGGGAATGGATTTACTCTATGTGGAAATAAGTTTAACCGAGTAAGAAATCCAAACGACAAATATGCTAAAGAACAGTTGTTACAAATACATAGATAAAAGTAGCACCAAATAATAAACAAAGAGTAATTAATAGTCCTTGAAAGGCAAAAAGGAGCTACACGTAAGCTAATGAGAAAAACATTATGACAATCAGATTAACTTATTTTAAGTAGAAGATTTTGTCTGTCTTAAACGTTGAAAGACTTTAAAATTAATAACATCTTTTATTTAAAAATATTTTCTAACAACTAAAACACACCTCCCAATTTGCCTTTTTATGAAGAGTTGGTTAGATTATTCAGAAATAGTGGGAAGTTTTAATTTTGAGGAAGAAAACAAATCTAGCAGACTGAAGTCTGTGTTTTCTTTAATAGCAGTAATTGTATTTAAAGTATTTATTCATAGGATTATAAATACTGTATAAAATATATTACAAAGCCATCCTATTCAGGCATAAGAGCCAGGTCCTAACGTGTTTCATTTTGCAAGACTTGTATCTAATGTTAACAAATCCTATGATGATTACAATATTTGATCCATTTGATATGGATCACAGAATTTGAAAGTTTCCAGAGATACAGACCGTTTGGTTTTCCTTAGACTAAACTCTTATTTGCTTGTGTTTGTCATATTACTTTAAAACTAAAGCTAACATAGGCCTTTACGTTGTCTGTCCATAAGTGAGCCAGTCAAACGATATTCTTTGAGCGATTCTGCATTGAAACCTAAATGAATGTCAGCTTTTAATTAATAGAGTTTTCATAAAAGAGAAGGTGGTGGTGGGTGGGATGGAATTGACCAAGTAGGTCATTAACTCTTATAGTAAGTAATCCTTCTGGGTATATGGTTTTGTGTTTAGGAAGTGGGAAGCGGGGAACAGTATTATTACCTTCTTTTGGAAGTGTTTTAGAAGGCTTTGCACTTAGTTTTGTTTGTGGACTAAGTGGCTTTGTATTTTCACTAATTCTTGGTTTTTAAATGATTCATCTCTGACCAGTACTCCCTTTTGGCTCATTTTCTGGTTTAATAAATGTCTCTTTTAGTGTATATTTTTTAAGATTTCTGGTTATTGTAAGTTCTTGTGCTTATGCATGCTGTGATAGGCGCCACTGATATTAATAAGAAAAATAACATGGAATTATCCTTGAGGCAAAGAATTAAAGCTCTGTATAAGATTTTCTGTATAAAATGGTATTAAAGTATTTTGGATTTATATGCCTACTTTTCTTGGTGTACTTATGCTCCAAGGTCTTAGGCTTTCATTCTTGTACACACTTCCAGGATAGCAACTATTACAAGGGAAAACACTACTAATGTATTTTCCCTGATGGTAGGCTTTTTGCTTATTAAAAAAATATGTAATTGAAAGACTGGTCTGTTCCAAAAGATAGTTCTTATAATACAAATAATCCAAGTATTAATTTATCTTGATCTGCAGTGAAGATTTCAAAACAGACCTTAGCATTTTTCTAATAATGGGCTATGCCAGGGTTCTAGAAGATTAACAGATTAACTCTCCAAAACTATAGTGAAGTTTCACATGGAAATCTTTGGATCTGCTTATTAAATTGAGTAGTCATCGTTTTGTTTCCTCTTGACAATTTAAACGTCTTTATAACTCATTTCAATTTGATTATGATTACACTTGACCTAGATGACATTGGTTTCATAAATAAGACCTTTCTCTCTCAGGGAAGAATTCCATTTCCCTAGTTATTTGCTATAGTGTGTCGTAATTATCTTACTGTAGTATATTAAGAAATATGAATTTCTGGCACATTTTCTAATGCAAGCTTAGCTACTGGTAACTGCATCTTTTTCTTTTTTAATGTAAGAAGAAACAAACACATTCTCCTTAGTGTTTCAACCAAGTCCTTCAACGCTACTTGGACACTGGGCTAAACCAGGGTCCTCTCTGAATTACATTATCGTTGACTTTTGGATTTATGCCTTTACCTAAGGGCTTTCTGTGTCAGCAGAGAAATGGAAGAGACCTTTTGTGCTATTCCAATTAAAAGAAAAAGTCCAAGCCTAAACTGGTTTTCAGAACAGATGGTTTTTTTTCCTAAGGTTAATCCAAAAGATACTATAAAAACTTCAAGGATAATTAATAGATCAGATATGAAAGGATGAAAAAATGTTAACCCTACCAGAATTCTAGCCTATGGAGATAAGAAAAGATAGGTGTTTATATACAAAAAGCATATAGACTATTCCTGCTAATGATCTCCTCTTATTTTCTCACCTATGTTTTAGCACACAGTATCTCTAAGAAATATTTCAGATATCATGACGTTCTATGAAATTTAGTCATTCTTTTTTAAAACCTCACAATATAATCCAGGGTCATTCTATTTTGTGCTAGAAATTAGTGGTATAGTCTTGCTGCTGAATTGGAAGATACATTTCTTCTTTACAAAATTGCATAGATCAAGACATCTTGATACATGGAGTTTTAAGAAGTCTTGTACTAGAGTAGCCTCTTTGAAGCTAAAATAATTGTAAGTATCTAGGCAGATATACAGCTTTGATCCAATAAGAAGATAGCCTATAAATGGCGCAGGTGTAAACTATTTAAAATTTTAAACCACATAGGGCTAACACAATTTCGGAATTATAGGATGTGAGAAATTACAAAGTAGGAGGACAAAATGCTTCCTAGAAACTGTCTCCCCCAACCTTTTCTACGATGGGAATTTTCCAGAGAAGATTTTGGCCTCTCTTCATGGCTTTTAATAAAAGCAGAAGTATGAGAAATCATCTCTCAATCCTGGATTTTAAAATACTTGATAATATTTAAGATATAGGAGCAACTAAATGTATACATTATCCATAGAATTAGAATAAAAGCATTCTAGGCCATGTGTATAACATAACTGTGTGGTGGGTTTTTTCTCCATTAATGGATGGTATCTGTGACTAATCACATTTTCTGCCTTATAGGCCTGCCTCGTCCCCTCAGCTTTCACACGATGATACTCATTCACGCATTGAACATTATGCTAGCAGGTATGAGACTAGTTGTATGCCAGGCAAATATTGATTGAAATAACTAACCAAGGAAAGCTAACCTATGATATTTTAAACAAATCTTTTCTTTTTTTCCCCAAACTTGTCTGATTCCTACTAATCAACTTGCCCTCTAACGTGCATGCCGTTCCACTGCATGTTGTTTTTGGTCACCAACAAGAGCATTAGTCCAGAATAATCTTCCCTAACCCTGGCTTTTAAACATTTCCGGTAGCCTTGCTATGTTTTTTTATACTGAGCACATTTACTAAATTGGCTTACAAATAGTTTAACCTCCTTAGAAAACTGCTAGACCAGACATTCATATATGAAAAAATGATACTATATTATATGGAGAATATGAAAGCATCAGCTTTCCGTTTGTGTATTTATTTTACATGATATGCTGTAAAGAAGAGAATAATTAATTTTCCTAATCCTTGGACTTTTCTGTCTCACCTTCTTTGTGTTTGAGATGATTTTTATACCTAAAAACTGAATTACTAATTTTAAAATATTTTATGCTTGTTAAATCCGTAAGAGTTTGGTTAACTTTTTTAGTTGTAAAAAAACAAACAAACAAACAAACAAAAAACCCCCTGTATAATTGCCTGAGGTGAAGAAGATTTTAAAGGTAAAAATTGGTGGCAGAATGTTTAGAGAGCTTACTGTGCATCCATCCTTTGTCAATATTCTAACTGCTGGACATGTTTACCAATCGTGAAAAGCATTAGCTAGCTGTGTAAGTCTGTCATCAGTGGAAAGTAGTAATTGTCCTAAAAGACAAGGGGTAGTGTAAGGTAGGGAGTGCACTTATTGTTAGGGAAGCTTTTCTTCTGAAAACAAAGACCTGTTCTCAGTGAAAGCAAGACTGATCTGTAGGGGGAAAACAGTGAAATATAACTTTCCTTAGAATTTCTATCATAAATGTAGTGCTACTAACTAGCTGTGGTCTACCACACACTGCCTCAAATGGTTAAGCCAACACACACATCCTTTAATTTGAAGGATTCCTTTCTCTTCTTGCCATGATTTATCCTTTAGTTTTCAGGAATGTTCGATTAGGTCTTGAATAGATTCTAAGACGTCACATAAGTTTTAATGAGCTTTTACGTTTTTTATCAGGCTAGCAGAAATGGAAAACAGCAATGGATCTTATCTAAATGATAGCATCTCTCCTAATGAGAGCATGTAAGTATCCCATCTCTTTTTACAAAATGTTCCTGACAATGAAATTGCTTTGAGGGATTTAGAGGTAGGATAGCACAGGATATAGGAATTAGCATCATATTCATTTGATCTTTTAAGGAGCCATTCATTTACTTTTTTCCTTTAATTCTTAATGCCCTGGCATGGAATGAGCTCATCCAAATTCTGGCATTATTAGTATTCAGAGTAGCAAAAATAGTTTGCCTTACTCTTATTTGAACTTATTTCATACCATATGATTACAAATTGCAGAGTCCCAAGTATTTATAGTAATGCTTAATCTTTGACCAAACCTGCCAGATATTTAAAGGGATAGGATATTAATTTTAAAGTCATGGCTAAGTACTATTTTCTCCACTCATGGGGAGTGGAAACGTGATCTTGGTATAGCATGGCTATTCACATATGGTAGGTTAGTTGGGCATTTTCCTTCAGAAATCCAAAGAAGTAGATTTTTGTGATTTAGCATCTTCACAAGATAAATAAAGTGAGGCAATCTTATGAAGAGTTTCCAGAGGAGAAGTACCAATTCAGGTTGCAGGTTGTTAGCAGGATGATAAGCCAACCCTGTTAAACTTTAAGGACGGAGATAGAGCGGTGCTAAGAGCAGCAGGGAACACAGCTATGGCAGGGAAACAGGCTTCATTATAGAGTGAGGGCAGTGTTCACAATACAGAGCACAAAGGAACATTGCCATGAACCAAGTAAATGCTGACCGGGGCTTGAGGTAGAGAGAGCAGACATTGAAGCAAATATGAAGGAAAAAATAAGGATTTGCCAAGTGAATAAATAACATAAAGAGAAGAAATCTAGTCAAAGTATTACGATGCCTTTTTAGTTTGATAAAGTAAGGATATCTCACCCATCTTGGAGAATATAGACAAAGGGAAGAATGGTAAATTTATCATATGTAGTTGGTGTGGCAACACAAAGTCATGCTCAGATGAGAAAAGAACCTTCATAAGGATTAGGCCAAAAGAAATAGTATCAAAGTGGCATATATATAACTAGTTATTGAAGACATGAGAATAAATAATCTCATCTGGTACATAAACGATCAAGCTAATAATAAAGAATCAAGTCAACCCTCAGTCATTTGTATATGACTTACTTCCTTCAAACAAACAAACAAAAAAGCCTTTCCCCAACCATAACTGTGATGCCTTATCTTTCTTAGCTATGGGAAAAAGTATTAATGGTACTAATATATAAGATACTTCAACAGTAAAATGTGTGGCCAAAGAATCAGCCAAATGTAAATAGCTTGTGCTTCTTTGGCTCACTGATTTTGGTATTAGAAGCTCTAGCACATTCAGATTAATTCGAGTTGTATCTACGTAACAGTGGCTGTCATTCATTGACTGCCTAAGAGAACAGGAAGAAAAGTGTAGTTACAACTCTAGGTTATAATTAAACATGGGAAGTTCTAGCAGTACAACTTCAGAATTTGGAATGAGTGTGATAAATTAGGTGGTAAAACTGCTTTTGTTTTATTTTAAAATAAGCTTTAGCTTATTCTGAGGACATAAAATCCATTTTGACTCAATGTTGGATGGCAAAAACTCATGGCATTTTAGGGGCAGGTTTGGGGAAGTGGTTTGGTGGATTGGTTGACTTCACTTAAATGTGTGTTTTTAATACCCAATAATTATTTTTAGTCAGCTTTTCACATCTAAACCAGGTAACTGGCTTGATAAACAAAAATAATTCAAATGAGAAGGACTTTTTCCTAAATTTCTGATATTTTTCAACTTAAGTGGGTATGGAGAGGAGAATATTAGCGTATCATCTTAATGATATCTAACCAGAAACAATGAGCTTTAGCCTGTCATTACGGACAGAAGAAAATTCTTATAACTTGGAGGTAAACAGGCCTTTCCGGAGCTTGGAGCAATGCATTCAGAAAAAAGTTTGTCCTGTGTATTAGAGAGTTCCTAGTTTCCAGGAAAGATTGTAGCTGCCTCCCCAAATAGAAGCCTTTTTGCCTCCTTTTCCCGCAAGATTAGTCCTTAAAACCATTATGTATAAATTTAAAAATAAATAAAACTTGTATTTAAAAAAACTCTGCCCCGAGGAATGAGATGTTCAGTCTTCTTTTAATCAGTCACCTTAATGTCTTTTTTCCCCTTAATTTTCGTTCTTCTGTCTAAACAATAACTGAATGAAACAATCATGTATCTCCAGTTTAATTGTTGTTGTCATTCTGCCTCAATGACTTATATAAGTTAAAACTGACTTACTGAAGCAATACTTTTTGGTTACATTGCCTTCCACTTAATAAAATATTTCCTCTGTTACTTTTAGAGCTGCAAGGTATTTTTTCCTACTCAGTACAACAATAGCGTGGGTTAGTGAACAGATTATCTTGACAGGCTTGGTGGCCAAAGCATTATACAGCCATTATTATATCTTTTAATATTTTTTAGCTATTGACTAACATCAACGTAGAGTCCCAGTATTTCTGTAATTCTGCCTTTCATTTATCCGTGTAAATAGGCCAATCAATTTCATTTGAAAATCTGAGCAAGAAAACACTTTGAATTGGTACCAGTAGAATGGTAGATCACAACCTCAGCAGTATCAAAAGGTCTTTAGAAGCAGGAAAAAAGGTCTAATTAATTGTTAAGAGCAAATAAATGTTTCTATTTTCAAATACACTCCTGAGTCCCTAACCCCCAAAGCAAAATAAGGGGGGGAAAAAACCAAAACCTTTGATTTTATTTTCCAGAGATGATGAACATTTGTTAATCCAGCATTACTGCCAAAGTTTGAACCAGGACTCCCCCCTGAGCCAGCCTCGTAGTCCTGCCCAGATCTTGATTTCCTTAGAGAGTGAGGAAAGAGGGGAGCTAGAGAGAATCCTAGCAGATCTTGAGGAAGAAAACAGGTGAGTTTTCTTTCTAGCTTTGTCATTGGTATGCAGAGTGCATACACTTGCACACATAGAAAAGTGCCAGGAATCTTCACTTAGAGTCATTTTATGTCTAATTGTTTTCTAAAATAATCTGTTTAGCTCCATTTGCAGATTCTCTCTCTCTTTTTTTTTTTTGTTATCTGAAAGAAGACAATGGATGCAATAGTATGATGAAGAACTCATATTTTAGGTGTGAAGGAGTTAATGCTGATGGTGGTATTTGACTTGTTGCATGTGTCTCCAAGGCTTTGATTTTATATTTCAGAATAGAATTTAAGAAAAAAGTAGGTTATTTAATTTTATGATTATATGATTTTTTTTACATGTGTTTGGCCATATTATCTACCTCAAACATTTAAGAAAGTAGGGTTATTGGCTTGGTCATATTGGGAAACCAATTGTTTCATCTTATTTTTCATCATCAAATGCAGAAATTATTATTTATGCTCACCATCATAGCAGGTTAGTGAGACAATTCCAATTGTCAGCCATCACCTGTAAAAGACAGTCATGTAAAAATAGCAGAAATTGTAGAAGAGAAAAAGGCTAAAGAACTCTCATAATGACTGCAGGGAGGACAAAGATGTAAACATCTGGGGTACTGTATTGTGTCAGGATAATGCAAATCATTGGACTTTCAGTTCTGTATTACATTTATTATGTCACAGGTCCCTTGGTTTAAAAAGTCTTCTCACATGATCACTTCTAACTCACAATGTGCCTTCTTCAGACAGATGCCACCAAGCAAGGATTTAAAGTAGATGTTGCTCAGATTTGTGGGTCTTAAGTACTTTCATCTCTTTGGTTGAGCCCAAGGCACCAAAAGCTCTTAACGTAGGCAACGCAGTGTGTCTGAGATCAGTGCCCTCGGGAGTATGCCACTTCAGGATGAAAAAACAAACTGCCACTCTTCCATTGCTTCCTGCTGCCACTGCGAGCCTTCTAGCTCTTAACACCTTTTACCTATGGCCATAGCTCCTTATCTGGTTGGCTTCCCTTTAGTCTCTTTCCCACCCTTGCAATAAATCCTCCATACTGACTCTACTTGTACATCTTGCCAGAACCAAGACCCATCATGGCATTCCCCTTTCACTGGATTTCTGCATGTAGAAAAAAATCAAGCTTCTTAGTGGGGCGTTCAAACCCTTCCACAATATTCTCTTGACTTGCTTTTTCTATGCCATCTTCTTTTGTTCTCCCTGTGTTCTGGCTATGCTGTTGTAGCTAGTATTTCTGAATACATCCTGCTCTCATCTACCTTTGGGGTCAAGCTCAAGCTTGAGTCTCAGCCTAACTGCTAACCTCTAACCCACCACTGCCGTATCTGACAAAGGAATCCCACCTATCCTCCATCACACTGCTCAAAATAACTTTCCCCATGGAGCCCTGCTAGATCCCTGCAGTTGGAAGAAATCTGTCTTTTGCCTCTATTCCCAGAGCACTTTGGACCTTTCTCAGAAAATTCCTTGACAGTTTTCCTTTTTATCAGTTATTACCAGTGCCTCTCTTTAATGAGCTAGTGTGTGTCTTTGGGGCATGGACTGTATCTTAATCATCTTCATATCCTCCAGAGTACTTAGCATGGTTTGAATATTTAATGGCTACTCAGGAAATGTTTGCTAAAAACCTGAAAATACAGCAAGAACATCACATGAGTACCATCCACGAGATAATATTGAACTTTTTTTGTTGTTTTAATGATAGCTTTATTTTTGGCCGTACTTTTGAGATCATTTGTCAGTGAAGACCATGGTAGAGAAAACATTTCTACTTTATTGAGAATAATCAGTAATATCCATTTATGTTAAATCTGTAATTATTGTAGGGGTCAAAGTCAAATCGGAATAAAAAGTTGGAACTGACACTGTAAATAGAATTTGATGTTACCAAGGAGTAAATATATTTTTGAAGTATATGATCGTGTAATATATCTTTTGAGCTCATTGGTCAAGAGCCCTGCCTCGTTTGTGGTTAGCATAGTCTTTCTCCGTACCATTGCACCCGGGTCAAAGAATGTTTGTAAAGAGTACTGATAACTATCATTTATTTATCATTTTATCATTTTGAGTGCACTTTTACATATTTTAGATCATTTAATCTTCTTACAAACGCTATGGAGAAGAGACTGTCGCCTTTCTGTGAATGAGACACAGGTTCTTAGAGGTTCACACAGCTTGCCCCAGATTTCCCAGTCAGCCAGTGGTAGAACTGAATTGAAATCCAGATTTTTCTGACTCTAAATAGGCAACTCTGCCTTCAACCAGATAATAAAGAAGAGTAAGTCTCTGTGAATGTCATTTACATAGAATTGCGGCATATTCCCCAGAATGTGCCTTAACTTGAGGGACTATCTATGAGGACTGAGTGTCCCGGAATAAACCTGTTCATCTACTTGTGGCACAGCGATAACCGCTTTACCCTGGAAGATATCCAAGACCATTCTCCAAGAATGGGATGGTTTGTTCTCTAAAAGAACAAAAAACATAACACCAGGCCTACTTAGAGCTCCAAAATGAGGACTCTGGGGTTGATGCAAATCTTTGTGTAAGTTACCTTGACCTTCACGAAATGATCAGGATGAGCTTCCTTCATTGTCCCTTCATTTTGTCCTATTTGACCTTCTACCAAATTCCAAAGAAATGTCTCCACAGAGTTCCCTTCCTGAAAACAGCCCGTGTGTTTTCTTTGATCTGCCCTGTCCTGTCTTCTTGCAGTTCTGCGCAAGGAGCTTCAGAGCCCTAGATTTGCCTTCGCTACCCTTGAATTCAGTGTTGCTTAAGGAGCCTTTAATTTGCCATTTCCTGTTGAGAAAACCCAGGAATTCTTTAGATGCCCTCTCTGTGCATGTCTAGCTGGCTATGTCCTAAGTCAGCATTGGGCTACGCAATCTGACAAATACGAGCATACTTTTAGAGAAAATAAGAAAGTATATTTAAAATTGAGATTGCCCCAAGTCCTTTGGATGTGTACTTATTGATCTGTTAATATATATATTTTATGTTCCTTTAGCTGTGATTTATCTCCAAATAACAGCAAAAGAGAGAGGCCTGGAGAGCCCCATTCCTGACTAGATATTTATTAAATTCCATTAATTGTTCTTATTCATGACACCTCCCTACAACCCCCTAGAAAAACAGAGGATGGCTGTTTGAGAAGTGTCTCAGAGGTATCTTATCTCTGCCTTTAGAATTCCATTTCTCCTGGTTGTTGCACATAGTATTCAATAAATATTTGTTGAATGCATTAATGAATAAATGAATTGAAGCTGAATTTATTTTAATTGTAGCATACATGCATGCACTTTTGACTAAAGTTCTTTTACAAACCTAATTTCGTAGAGAAAAGCCTTTCAAAGACTTTGTTTTCTGCTTGCTTTTCAAAATTCTCCCCTTTTTCAAACTGCCTTGATTAGCACCAGGCATGGCTTTGTCATAAATTTAGAATGTTAAGAACCCGTTTTCCAAATCACAGGCACTGTATGTATCCCACATTGGTGTTCTCTGATTCTTGGTTGATGCCACAGAGATAAGGCTAAAGCTCTGAGTAAAAGCTAAATCTGACTGAGTTTTTCCCATAGTGCCTCCCATAAGTTTGGATGACTAATGGTGTTAGTGAGATATCTAATCTTTAATATTTCGCTTCTGCATCATATTTCTCCCTCATTACCACATATAATTCAGATACATCTTTATTTGGCAAAGAGCCACTGGATCTTGGGTTTTTGCCCCATTGTGTGTCCTTAGCATTGCAGACTCAAGGTTTACTTTTTTTTCTTGCGTTGATTAAAGCCTTCAGTCTCCTGACTTAAGCCTGTAGTGTTCAAATACAGAGATGTATTTGTCTCTGCACTGTCTAAATAAACCAAGACTTGCTCTGAAATTCAAGGTATGATCCTAGCAATGAAAAGGTAGCCTTTCTGAGAGACAAAGACATTGTCGTTCTACTACCTGCAGAGCAAATTGATTAGATTGTTCTCAAGTCAACAAGGTGGCTAAATATTAACCTAATTCACCATAAAGTCTAAAGTTAAAGTTGTTAGTAGATGTTATATAACACGAGGGAACTCTGTAGATTCTTAATACCTACTCAGGACCTTTCATATGTCTTGTTGGGCAGTAAGACCTTATGAAGCCAAAATTTGAGTTTTCTCTTTTTCCTTTAAATTCCTCCAGTGATTGTGCAAGATTATTATTGTTACAGTCAAAGAAGTTCTAGATCAGTTACTGATACCACTGAATTAAAGTAGCTGGAAATCATGATCCCGTTGCTTTACTTTGTAATTGACTTGATGACTTTGGACCTAGTCTAGTAGCTATCAATCTTCATAGCTACGGGAAATCTTTATTCAATGTTCTTTCATTAGGTCTTTGTGCAAGTCTCCAATGATGGTGAAAAGATGGCCAAAATGAAGGGAATCTGAAGAGGTTAGGAATGGGCATTCCTATGGAATATAAACAAAGGTGTCAGGGTGAGGAATGGCAGAGTTTGTTTGAGGGAAACTGCAGTTGTATTACCTTTTTTAAGAAGGCAAAGAATGAGAGGAGATGAGGCTGACCAGGTCAGCAAGGGCAGGTCGGGAAGGGTGTGGTACCCACTGCAGAGTTGCTGCCTCCGTGCCTAGTCTAGGGAGCAACTCAAGGGTGTGATCCAGGAGTCAGGCCATGATATTGACATGAATATACGCCACACAGGCAGCTGTGCGGAGGGTAACTTTGAAAAGAGCGATGCTGGAACGAGGAAATCAAGCTGGGGGGAGTCACATGGGAGCCCAGGAAAGAGATGATTAGAGCCTTAAGTAAGGTGATAGAAATGAAGTAGACAGGCTGATCTGAGTGATATTTCGGGGGAGGATAGAGCTGTTTGATTCGGTAGTTCTGTGGGACTAGGGTATGAAGGAATGATTCCCAGGGCTGGTAACTACAAAACAAGATGATAGTAGTTATTTGCAGCTGGGACTGATAATTCAGGAGGAGTTGCAGCAGGTCCATCCTTTAATGCAGCAGTGTTTATTAGAGGTCCTTCCTGAAGGGCTGAGTAGCTGGAAGGTGATAAATGAGGTATGGAAGAGGTCGAGTTGAGGTCCTGGTGACATCTCCATGTGTAAATGTCTGACAGTCTGAGAGATAGAACTCTGATGCTTGTAGAAAGGATATAAGCCTGAGATATTAGGACTGTGAGTCGCCAGCTCACAGGTGGTAGTTGAAACCGTGAGAATGAATTTATATATCCCGGGAGCATGTAGCAGAAGGAGAACACTGGATTTGGTAGAACTCCGGAAGATGTGAACATTAAAGTGTGTATTTAATTACTTTTATTTTTAGTAGAGAATACATGTATATTATTATACAAAATCCAAAGGGTTCAAAAAGACATATAGAGAAAAGTGAATCCTTCTCCAACCTTCTCCCCTGGCTGTGGTGTTTCCAGCTCTGGAGGCTGCCATCTTTCTTGGTTTCTTGTGTTTCCTTCCAAACATGCTCTCTACATATGCAAATATTTGCAAACATATTTATGGTTGTTGGGGTTACTTCACACAGTGTCGTGCAGTGTTCACTCTGGTTTTCTCTTTTTACTTAAAAATCTCTAATTTTCACATGCTGGAGAAATGTGCCAGAAGAAGAGGAGGGCAGAGCTTGGGAATGATGGGAGCATTTTCCCACAGGAGGCAGGAGAGAGAAGGGTTAGGGAACTAAAGTATGGGAGGAGGCGTGACCTTGAATGAGAGGAAGGACTGCCTCTGAAGACAAAGTGGTAGGTAAGGAATTTAGGGTAAGGAAGGGAGGAAAGAAGCATAATGGAATGAATGTTAAAATGTCCAGTAGACATCACTGGAAATAATTCAAGACTGATTCCTACGGCTGTTCCCACATGTTTTTAAAGTTGGAGTGGAGAGGAAAGCGTGGTATATGATACATTTAACGAAACTAGGCATTCAAGTTACTTGGTGTATTAGTCCATTTTCATACGGGGCAATTTACAAAGAAAAAGAGGTTTAATGGACTCACAGTTCCGTGTGGCTGGGAAGGCCTCACAATCATGGCAGAAGGTGAAGGAGGAGGAAAGGCATGTCTTACACGGTGGCAGGCAAGAGAGCATGTGCAGGAGAACTGCCCTTTTTAAAACCATCAGATCTCATGAGAGTTACTATCACAAAAACAGCATGGGAAAACCCCACCCCCATGATTCAGTTACCTCCCACTGGGTTCCTCCCATGATATGTGCGGATTATGAGAGCTATAATTCAAGATCAGATTTGGGTGGAGATCCAGCCAAACTATATCATTTGGTGACATGGGCCCCAAAACAAAGGGCTACAGAGCCCTTCTTGAGACAAAGGGAGCTAGTTTGATCACAGAAATCAGAAAGCCAAGACCTTTTATGGCAAGGATGAATAAGAGCTGAAGGGCATACATGCCACATTTAAGAAGCTGTGTAAGAATGGGGTCAACCATCTCAGCTCTACTCAGGCAGGGAGGACAGGAACATGGTAGAAGTGGAATCACCATTATTCACAGACTCAGTTTCTAACTAGCAGGGCCAGTGTAACTAAATTTCCTTCAGTTTATCCAAAGTTAATTGAAGTCTGAGGGGACTGATTCATAGTATGCAGTTCATGGCAGTGAATGGATAACCCAGAATGAAAGTTTATTTCTCCCTTTATCCTAATTATCTCTCTTTTTAACTGCCTTGTATTAAAATGTTATCAAGGTTGCCTTAAAGCTTTTTTAGGAGGAGACAGCATCTGGTTTAAGTGCAAATACTAGATCTATTAAAATGAGGAATATATTCATTTTTTCGGCACACAGCATCCTGTGTCTTAGAATCCAGTGTCTTAGGAATCACAATAAAAATCAAATTGTGTTCTGGTGAGCCTAGAATCTTGGCATCTAAAATTGGATGTTTGTGAGGACTGCTTCATACTACAAAAAAATTGAAGCACCCCTCTGGCGATTAGAATATTCACATCTTACAAGTACAGCTGCCATCTCCCTAGAACATGCTGGATAAGAGTTTATGTTCTTACAATCCAATTTCCCTTTTTTTTTTTTTTTTTTTTTTAGATTTTTCATGAAGACCCTCATCCTCCTGTTGGCCTTCATTTGCCAATTGTCCCTCTACAGTAGAATTGATTATGGTCATGAGTTTCTTTAGCTACTTTCCAGGCCTGAGGATGTAATTCTGTTCAATTCTGCAGATAGTTACTGAGTGCTTAATGTAATTTTAAAATTATGAGACTACAAAGATGAATAAGCCTTGGTTCTTACCCTCATGGAGCTCAAAATTTATTTTAAAAAAGTTAAAATAGAAACAACTACTTATATCCTACTGTTACAAGTGCTCTGGGGGCACAGAGGTGAATGATTTATTCTATCAGAGGGAGTAGAGAGGCCTTTACAAAGAGAGTTTAAGAGTTGAAGACTGAATGGGAGTTTTCCAGTCTGAGAGATGGGGGAAGGATGAGTTTTCCAGACTGGTGGACCAGTGAGTAATGTGTGGCTTGGAATGAGGAGAATAAGAGGGCAGTGGGATGGTAGGTGGGGACTACTGTTTAAAGGACTTTGTGCATCATACTAAGGAGTTTGGGTTTTATCCTATAAGCAGGTGAACAGTGATGGCTTTTTGACGGGGGGGAGGATTGAGAAAAATAACTGACCTGGCAGAAAGCTAAAGCCATGAAGATTGGTAGAAGCACAGTGGAATAGTCCATTAAAAGATGCCAGGTTCTTAACTAAGGATGTCTTAGGCAAGTGAAGAAGGGGATGGAGAAATTAGAAGGTCACTGAATGAATGAGACCAAGGGAAAATGGAGAGGGGGAGGCATCTGGTGTTACGGAAAGTTTTAATTTGGGAACTGGGAAATGATCATTGAAAAACAAACAAAAGCAACCTAGTGCACCCAGGAAAAACTCCTGATTTGCAAAGGGTTAGTGCATGGAGAGAAAGAGCTACGTATCAGACATACTGAATTCTATTTGCCCAAGGACATTTCAAGTGGAAATTTCCTATGTTGATTTTACGTATTCAGTTTTCAGAAAGGATTCTTTAAAAAGTCATAGCAATACAATTCCTGCAATATAAATAATAGATCAATGAACATCATAGGGATTAGCATAGTTGATTTGACTAAGCTTCAGATTCAGTTTGAGCTTCCCTGTAGCCAGGGAGATAATAGGAAACAAAGATTTGTCTGTCTCTTAATATTGAATTAAAGAAGCACGCAGCATCCTAAAGAAACATCATTGTTTTCCTGGCTCTACGTAATAATAATAATAACAAAAATAGCTGTCCTTTGAGTGATTGCTATGGACAGGAACTGTTCTGAGTACATATGAACTCCTATTTAATCCTTAAAACAACCCTATGAAAGAGAGGCTGTTTCCAGAGGATTACGTGGCACAGAGTATTAAGGACACTTCATATGGCCAGCAAGTAATAGGACCTGTATTCAAACTTGGGTGGTGGTCCTGAACTCTTAAGCAGCGTTACACTTGAAGTGATTATTGGCTAGTGTCCTTATCAACATTTTTATAACAAATCCCAAGGGAAATTATATGTGGCTGTTTCTCATGGCCTTTGATAATTGTGGAAAGCTTAACATTAAAACACCAAAGATAGGGTGACAGTTCTCCAAGGATAAAGGTCACTGTTGCCTAAAATGTATTCTGCAGAATACCACTGAGATACTCTGAGAAAAAAAGGATTCCAAGGACAGTAAAACTTTGAAAGCACTCATACTGGAAAGTCATCATTACGTTAGCATTTGCACTGAGGAGTTTGGAAGTGAAGAAACCTGATTAGCTTTGTCTAACCTCATGTTGCTCCCACTTACTTGACCTCGAGCCCAACTGCAATGTTATATGGAACACACTTTGGTAAAGAAATTCAAGTCTGAAGTAAACTTTGAAAACCAGTCTAGGAGATAGCATAGTTGACTCTCTACTGTAGTTGTTGAGAAGCCTATCCGTTGTGTCTCTGGGAACATCAGAAGATAAAGCTATAACAGGTGCCCACGTAGGAAGCCTGGATTTTTCGCACAAAAGTAACTTTTCATATGCTCTAGTGGTGAAGCAGTTACCCTGTAGACCCAGAAGCCAGAATGATTTAGTCTGAAAAATCTAAAGATAGGTATTAAATTAACTCTCATGATCATAGAAAATTCTTTGCACCATTTTTGTAGAATATCCCACCGAATAACTTGGCTTTTCACCCAAACCACCAAGAAAAATTGCCACCAGTGACTTGATGCAATTAACTTGCTATCGGGAGTTCTTTCTTGTGAAATGATTGAACTTTGAAAGATGTTTACCAAAGACAGCACCTTTAGCTTCATCACAATTACTGTGGAATCTTTCTTTGTAAGTAGTTAGATGCAAAGGCCAGTTGTTGCTTGAGGCCTCTCCTGGATTGTGATTTTAAAGTGTATCATCAACACATGGGAAGATATTTCTCCCTCTTTATCTTATGACAGAAATGCAGGTATAGCTTTCATCTCAAAGTAAGATTAAGGTATAAGTTACAAAGATGTGTAGCTACTATATGGTCCTGTGTAATGCTACTTGAGGAAGGCTGTTCCTTTCCTGGCACTGAAATTTTAGAGCTTGCATAATCAGTATATCAACCTCGTGTGGCTTGGTGCTTAGCAAGTTTCAGCTTCTAGAGCCCATGGCTAATGGAGCCATCCAGGAGAATGTTGGAGAGATAGGTCTGAAGCCTTAGAAGAGAAGTCTTGATTAAGGAGTAATGAGTTGCGGGAAGGGGTCATGG
Source organism: Homo sapiens (assembly GCF_000001405.40). Classification (NCBI taxonomy): domain Eukaryota; kingdom Metazoa; phylum Chordata; class Mammalia; order Primates; family Hominidae; genus Homo; species Homo sapiens. The sequence goes on along the minus strand of NC_000023.11, from coordinate 31,159,650 downwards.
TTGTGGCGGAGATGGAAGCCTGGGGAGAGGACAGAGACCTCCTAGGAAGAGAGTTTGTGTAAGAAGAAGACCAAGGACCTCCTGATGTACTTGATTGTAATTGGGCATGAGCAGCCCAGTTAGAAATGGTTTCCTGTTGGTATTACATATGTACATGGATGGCTTCTGCAGATGGCTAAACTCACCCATTTTATTTTTTTACTATCTTAATAGTTAAAATATGACCTTTTCTTGTGTCTCCAAATTCTGAGTTACCTTATGGTGCTAGTCTGTCTGTTGTAACTACAAGTCATAAGTAAATCCATATGATTCTTTTCCTGTAATTTCCTGGTAAATCAAGGCGATAATTTCAAAGATAAAAATCTGTATTTTTAGCTTTAGCAGTGAGCATGATTCCCAGTCTTTTTGCCTTCGAGTAAGGTTTGTTTCCATGGTGGAAGTAAACAATATCCCACACTCTAGAATGTGAGCTCTTCAAGGGTAAGGGACAGTGTCCTACATATATCTTTATCTCCACAGCACTGGGTACATAAATGTGTCATAAAAATGAATGGGTAAATATCCTTTGGAGTTTTTCTGTTACTTGATGGGTTTTTGGGGTTGATTTTCAGGTATCTCCCTTGTTTTTCTCATTTCTTACATTATTTTCTTTCCCAAAATCCCTTAATATACCTGTTTAGTTTGTGATGTCATTTTCCATTAGACTGAAACCATCCAAGTTGTTTAGGCTAACCCAGACTTAAGCATTTTCTGGGCTTATTTTTGGACTCTTTTTAAAACTCATCATCTGAAAATATTTAATGTCCACACGGATAATTCTGAAGACATGTGCATACCATTTTTCTTTTATGTACATGGGTTAAACCTTGATTTTTCCATAGTAGGAGAAAGCATTATAAGATTTTATTGTTTTCACTGGGGTAATATCTTTTGTGCTATAAGAAATAAAATTTTGAATCTAGAACTTAGTTTTTTATAAGACCTTTATTGAGATATAATTCTCGTACCATAGGAGTTACCCATTTACAGTGTATTAGTCACTGATTATTAGTTAATAGGTTAACCAGTATTAGTAATCACTGGTTATTAATTACAGAGTTGTGCAACCATCAGCGCACAATTTTAGAACATTTTTATCACCCCCCAAAAGAAATCCCATCCCCATTTTCAAGTCACTCCTCGTTTCTCCTGCAACTACTCTTTTCAGCCCTAGCAGTAGACAATCCCTGATCTACTTTCTGTCTCTATGGATTTGCTTATTCTGGACTGTTAATGTAAATGAAATAATACAATATAAAGTCTTTTGTGACTGGCTTCTTTCACATAGCGTAATCTTTTAAAATGGTATCTATATTATAGCCCGTATTAGTATTTCATTCTTTCTTTAATGCTGAGTAACATTTCATTGTATGGATATACCACATTTTTTAATCTATTCATTACTTGATGGACATTTGGGCTATTTCTACTTATTGTCTGTTATGGATAATGCAGCTATGAACATTCATGTACAAGTACCGGTAATTATTTTAAAGAAGTTATTCTGGGCTGGGCATGGTGGCTCACACCTGTAAACCCAACACTTTGGCAGGCTGAGGTGGGAGGATCACTTGAGACCAAGAATTTGAGACCAGCCTGGGCAACATGGGGAGATACCGTCTCTACAATTTTTTTTTTTAATTAGCCAGGCATGGTGGCTCATGCCTGTAGTCCCAACTACTCAAGAGGCTGGGGCTGGAGGATCACTTGAGCCCAGGAATTCAAGGTTACAGTGAGCTATGATTACACCACTGCACTCCAGCCTGGGTGACAGAGCAAGGCCCTGTCTCAAAAAAAGAAAAAAAAAAAAAAGATTCTATAGTTTCTGTCATTGTAATAGAGGAGGCCATAGGATCATATATGGCAAGAGTATATAGCAGTGCATGCCAGGGAGTGAAAAATAGGCCATCAAATTGAAGTTACTGGGAGAACTTAAGACTAAGTCTAACTACGCATGAGGGATTGAAGCCGGGACACACAAAGCTTAAAATTATGATTCTTCTAGAGACTGTTACGGCTTTTTGCTGACCACAGACAATGAAAGTTTGATATTTTGCTGTATTTGTCTGAAAATGGAAACACACTTTTCCCAATGGCAGTATTCCTGAGGACTAGAGTTCTTCACCTCTAAAACCTCTCCAATCCTAGTTTTTCCTTTTGGCTGATGATGACCAGCCACTGCCATTTTTGTCTTAGGTTTTGTTAGTCTGTCTTATTTCCAGTTATAAGTGGTTAAAATTTCTTATGAATTCTTCTTGTGTTGAACTTTTGATTAATACATTTAGTCTATAGACAGTAATGAATTAGCATCTGATCAGGAATTTGTGAAAAACATCTCAGTCATTAAAGATTAAGAAACTGAAGCCAATTAATATTGTCATGTTCTGTCTCTTGGAACTTGAGCAAGATACAGATCTACGTGTCAATGACATATCCAGAAAATAGACTCCACCTAGATACATTAACCCTGTACCCTTGGTCCACATATTTTATTTCAGCAATGATCCATGGACATATTATAATTTGACAGTTTCATCACATACCTAGCGTATTGGGTCAAATCAAGGAAATCTCATCCTAGTGATCTTAACTCAGTGATTTCATTTTGCCCAGATGTTCAGCTGTGATAAACTTTACTAAGGCACAGATGATGGATGATACACAATAATTCCAAAATTTGGGGGTGGCTACAATGTGGCTAGGGGCTAGAACTCAGGTATCTACAGGACAAATACTGAGTGATTAGTCACTTTCTAAGCGCTAGATATGCATATGTTCTGCCAAGCTCAGTAGGTCTAAGTAGATTGCTTCCATTTCAGATAATTAAGTGCTTTCTTTTTATAGGAAGTTTTTAGCACATCTGAGGTTCTAAATCCAAAAAGTAAATAATATATAGAGAAAGAAGTAATAACAATAATAATAGTAACCAACATTTATTGAACACAGTATGGGCTGGGCATGGTTCAAAGAAAGTTTGACATATAGAATGTCGACCATACTGGCTTAATAATCCTCATAACTGAATTAGTGCTTAAGTCAGTTGCCCAGCCTCAGCAAGCAGCAGAGGCAAGTAAGTCATAAATCAAGATCTTCTGAATCCAAGACCATCTCTCAAGCCTTGTTCTAATTCTCTCCTCAGCCATGGATGGTGAAAGGCACCACAAAGGCAGCGTGTCAAAAAGTGGCATTGTTCAACCTTTCCCCTGATGGGGCAAAGCTTTTATTTTTTTCCTTTACGTTCTTTGACATCTGTTTTAAAATGCAGATATCACTAGAAGAAATGACAACTTTATTATAAAATCCCAGTAAAATGTAAATGTCTTATATAAAACCTTTATACTGAGCAAATTTCAGTAGGAAAGGGCTTGGAAGTAAGGCTCTGAATGTTTTAAAGGGGGACAGTGCTAAGAAATGATTAGAAACAAGAGCCTGGAGGGGTCCTGCCATTTTTACTGTTTTGCTTAAGGCTGACCTAAAATATGCATAGTCTTACTTCTCACCCTGTGAGCTTATCCTTATTAATGTCTTTTTCCACCTAGTTTAGGGGTATTTTTGAATTTGTGTTTGATAAAGATGTCTAAAGCTGTACTGTAAAATTTTATTGTCACTTTTTTTTTTAAATGGAGTCTCCCTCTGTTACCCAGCTTGGAGTGCAGTGGCATGATCATGGCTCACTGCAGCCTCAACCTCCCAGACTCAAGCGGTCCTCCCACCCCAGCCTCCTCCTCCTGAGTAGCTGAGACTACAGGCATGTGTCACGACATATGGCTAATTTTTTTCAATTTTTTTGTAAAGATGGTGGGGGTGTCTCCCTATGTTGCCCAGGCTGGTCTTGAACTCCTGAGCTCAAGTGATCCTCCCACCTCAACCTCCCAAAGTGCTGGGATTACAGGTGTGAGCCATTGCACTGAGCTTTATTGTAATTTCAAGGGCTCAATGCAATTTCCAGTTTTTAAAGTTCATCTTGCTTGCAGAATTTGTCTTTCATTTAAAAAAAAACTGCTGATTGGCTACATTTATAGCTGCTGTAATAGTTCTGTATGATTTACTACATTTGCCTGAATTTAGATTGGTGGATATGATTTAGCTGCTTTTAATATTATATGAGGGTAAAGCCAGATTTCTTTGGATCTATTCCTTTTAGATGGCAATCTTTGTAGTTGTTCTACTTTACAAAATAATCCCTGTGTGTGCTCATGCTTTGGTATACAGTTAAATGTATGATACTGTTAAGAAAACATTGATCACTGGAAAGTGACCTTCATTTCTTTATTTCATAAATATCATTATACAACTATATAACTACACGTAGTAGGGAAGCTCCATTTAAAGAGTAGATGACTTACACTGAAATCATTTGACCTTTGTAAATTAGTTTAAATTACACAGAGATTGTTGTAATGTTCTTTATCATACATAATAGTTACGATTGCTAGAGAGGCACTCATAAATCATTGCTAAAAGGGCCAGCTGCTTTCATGTTTTCAGCAGGTTGAGTTAAGGGAACAAGCCTTGCCAATTTGATTAATCTCTTATGTCCATTAGTTGGTTGGGAAGTTTTTTTGAGTGTAAATTTGTATGTAGACAACAGAGTTTATATTCTTTATGACATAAAATTAATCAGATATATCTACATATTTGTAGAATGGGGGGATTCTTAGCTCTATAGAGAATAAGAAATACTGGATGGAAGACTTTTTTTAGGATGACTGGCTACAGGAAGAAATTGTAGTGACAGAAGCCATGTGTATTGAATTTGAATTAATGTTCCTTAGGGAGCTACCAGAGAAATATAATTTACAAGATAATCAAGAACGTAAATAGATTCTCTGTGGAGTCGTTGTCTGATCACTGACATATATTCATCTGTATTGAAATGACTTCATGACTACATTCTAACAATTAGAGAATCATTAGGGGTGAGATGTACGTGTATACCTTCAAGAAAAGCAAAATATGTATTGGTAATAATTGACAGCTGTTAAAACGAGTGCATTGTGTACTTGTTAAACATTAGAGGCTGGGCATGTTGGCTCACACCTGTAATCCCAGCACTTTGGGAGGCCGAGGCAGGCGGATCACGAGGTCAGGAGATGGAGACCATCCTGGCTAACACGGTGAAACCCTGTCTCTACTAAAAATACAAAAAAAAAAAGCCGGGCGTGGTGGCGGGCACCTGTAGTCCCAGTGACTCTGGAGGCTGAGGCAGGAGAATGTGAACCCAGGAGGCAGAGCTTGCAGTGAGCTGAGATCGCACCACTGCACTCCAGCATGGGCGACAGAGCGAGATTCCGTCTCAAAAAATAAAAAATAAAAAAATAAAAAAAAAACATTAGAATAACTTACCTTGGAACAGTAACTCTGAGGGAACCTTGATCATTTATGAGAATGATCTCCCCTACGTTAATACTGCATCAAAACTAACATTATGGTATACCTCAAAAAGTATTGGCATAGATGTTTTTAAATATAAGAAAATTCAAATGCGTAATTGATAAGGGCTAAATGGCTCAATTTCCCAACCCCTAACAAAAATATGCCCTAACACAGCTCTGTGACTATGACTGCATTTATTAGAAAACATTTAGTAAAAATCATCTCTAGTTCAAACCCTCCAGCATCAGTTCTTCTTGATAATTCTCATGAACATTTAGAAATACCTTAAAAGAGAATTCAGACTCAAATCAAAAAACCTTATTTCATTTGGTTGCAGGCCAAGATACCTCTTTTAACCATTTCTGGCTTTTAGAATCCTTATCATGACAGCTTGTCCTATCTCAGAGCTTCAGGAGGAAAAACTAGTCCCTCAAAATCAAGTTTGCTATTGAGCTTAATAAGAGGTTTCTGTATGTCATATGTTTGTTTAGAAGAAAAGCACTTGTTCGACTCATTTAATCCTGGCCTGATGAATTAAGGCTTGAATTAATACTGAGGGAACCTTGACTATACATCTACAAAATCAATGTGTCCTGGTAGGCTTCTGATTAAGATAACATTAGCTCTTGCTTGAAGGCATCTTTCTCTGCTCCTACCATTTATCCAGTGGTAGATAATATATGGAGTGAAAAATGAAAAAGACATAGCTGGGCTTTAAAGCAAGATGAACATCTCTGTGAACCAGAAATGTGAAAGAAAAAAAAAAAAGTAAGTGGGGCTAAATTAGTGGGCTTTCAGCTCGTGCTGTAGTAACAGGGATTAAAATTCTCCTTACAAGGTAGTGGCCCAAAGCCAGGATTACTATTTGAAATCAGAGCCCCACAAAAACACACCTAGAGAGAGACACATACACACTTACACTTAAAAGCAACATGAAAAGAAACAGTTTGCTGCAAGGGTCTACAGCTTATATGCAGCTATGGCCCTAATGCATAGAGCCGAGGGAAGAGGCAAAGATTCGCAGTTGGGAAAGAGAGCATCACAGCCTTGAAACCAGGACCTGAACCAATCTACCTACTGCCTGGCAATGAAATGAGTGATATCTCTGTATCACTCAGTGTAGGAGCTGCAAACTACCAACAGATGTGGCTCTAAACTCTAAGCCCCTGGGTATGGCTGGGAGAAGCCATAAAACCACCTGAGAGAGAGATAATGAGTTTAAAAAGAGAGGAAAATATTAAAGTACACACACATGAGAATAATAGAAAACATACACATGCATATGTATGCACATGCAAAACATCCCTTGCAAAATTTGTCTCCAAATCACGATCCAAAATACATGAAGAAATGGGATAGCACCCCCCACCCAAGTTAAACATCAAAAAGTGAATTAGGCTGGGAACAGTGGCTCACACCTGTAATCCTATCACTTTGGGAGGCCAAGGTGGGAGGACTGCTTGTGCCCAGGTGTTTGAGACTAGCCAGGGCAATGTAGTGAGGTGCCATCTTTACAAAAAATAATTTAAAATATATTAGCCAGGAGTGGTGGTACATGCCTGTAGTCCCAACTACTCAGGAGGCTGAGATAGGAGGATCGCTTGAGCCCAGGAGGATGAGGCTGCATTGAGCCATAATTGTGCCACTGCACTCCATCCTGGGCAACAGAGTGAGACCCTATCTCAAAAAAAAAAAAAGATGAATTAATTCTAGAAGAAAGCAAAATAATACACTAGTACAACAAAGATTTTTACTTACATTTAAGATGCTCAGACCAGGTGCAGTGGCTCACGCCTGTAATCCCAGCACTCTGGGAGGCTGAGATGGGTGGATCACCTGAGGTCAGGAGTTCAAGAACAGCCTGCCCAACATGGTGAAACCCTGCCTCTACTAAAAATACAAAAATTAGCTGGGCATGGTGGCAGGCACCTGTAATCCCAGCTACTCAGGAGGCTGAGGCAGGAGAGTCGCTTGAACCCAGGAGGTGGTGGTTGCAGTGAGCGGAGATCGTGCCACTGCACCCCAGCCTCCATCTCAAAAAAAAAAAAAAAGATGCTTAAAGGCATAAATAAGGGGTACCACTCGCTAAAATAACAAGAAACTAAGAAACAGAGATGGATGAAATGTAACTAGGTCTGAAAACAAAGATATCTTTGCCAAAAAAACTAGTCATTGAAGTTACTAAACTCAATATACAGGATAAATTCTAGACTTTGTCCTGTCAGAGAAGGCAAGGGAATTAGAAGATGATGCTGAGAATGTTACTGTGTACAACACTCACAGAAAAAGATAAGAAATATAAATGAGCAATTAGGAGAAATGGAGAATTGACCACAGGCTCTACAATATACCTTACTAGAATTTAGAGGTTTGTTTAGGAGTGTATTTGAGAGGTTTCAGAAGAAAATGGAGGAAATGGTAGAGAAGTAATATTTGAAGCTGTCATAGCTGAGAATCTTCCAGAATTGAAGAAGGATGTGAGTCTTGAAGGAAATGTGCTCCCAAGAGAAATTTCAAACATCTGGGAAGGAAAGAAAGGCCTGCATTGAGCAATTGATATTCTTTACAGCTCAGCTTTGGCTGATTAAAATGAGCCTTTTCTGTTTTCACTGGAAACCACCAAAACAGAAATGTAATGTGTTGTATATACCAAACCATGCCTCTTGAACAAGGGTCCTTATAAATAAATCATAAAAGAAGAGCCCTGTGGACAACTAAACCCACAGGATCAAGATACCAAGGAAGATCTCTCTAGAAAAGGCAGTCTCCTGTCAGCACCTTTGTGAAAAATAGGTGGGAAGACAGTAATGGCTTGTTGTACCATCTTGAGGTCCATGTCTAAAAACTGTTTTCAAAAGGAACACCATGGCTGCCCCAATCTGGTAGAAAGAAAAATTTGAATAGGATTCTACATAAAAAGTGTTGCCAGTTAGAACATTTTGTTGAAGTTTTCTTTTAATGAAGAGGGAAAAATAGAAAGTAATTCCTATGGAATGAGACCTTGTGAACATTGGATACTGCTTCAAGTTCACAGAAACATTGAACTGATTGCCAGTTAAGTTCTCAGAAATTAGATTTAATTAATGTGGACAGTTACATACATCGGTGCACACCCAGAAGACCCGTGTGCAGAATCTGACTGAAGGTGTACTTACTTCGATGAATCTCTTCTCATCACTGCTTTGTCAAAGCAGATTGCTATGAAATAAACTATACAAACAACTACCCTTGAAGGCTGATAGCAATAGGATTTCAATCAGTACAGATAGGAGATTCTATTTCTGTAGATGAAAAAGATCATACATTGATTTTCTGTGTGACTTTAAATAAATTCCTGGAAACCTTGTAATGTTAGGTACTAGGTAGAATGAAAAAAATGAAGCAAAACAAAACAAAGAAAAAAACCAGAGTAGATTGGGTTTTCTTTCTGCTTCCATGTGGAGATCTAGCCTTTTGAAACTGAGCATTTTGGAAGACATGCCGTCCCCTGTGGAATGTTCATTCCGAGTATGGGACAACAGAAAATATTTAGCAGACCTGGTGATGAGATGATCTTGCTTTCTCAAACTGGACAATGGGAAAACTCTTCTTGGCTACTCACTACTTACATTTCATCTCTTTTCTCATTGATATAGATCTCCCACATTTGTGGATAGGAATTTCTCTCACCTGATGAAATATCATCTGTGAACAACAGAAATCTGTCATCTTATTTTGGTATTTATCACAAGTAGAAGAAAGATGTCAAGAGTTCTAATCAGTCACTGGATATCAAATATCAGAAATGTCCTCAATTGGAATTGTATTCTCAGTAAATCCTAAAGCATTTGGGACCTTCACATGTGCTAATACTGTTTATATTTATTTGGAAATTAACCAAATATAACCAAAAGACAGTGGAATAACCATAGAAACCTTTAAATGGAATAAAATTTATGGCAATCAACATTATTAGGAAGAAAAAGTATACTACCTAGAAACAGTGCAAGAACAACGAGGATCTTCTGTGCATCTAACTATATAGGTCTAGAAATATATAAAGTGAATTATGATAGAATTAAAAGGAGAAACTAACAAATCCATAATTATATCTCAACACTCATCTAACAAAAATTGATAGCTACAAATAATCAAAAATTAATAAAGATATGGACAATTTTAACAACAAAATCAGCACACTATGTATTTAGAGACTCCATCTTTCCAATGGAAAAATACACATTATTTCAAGTACTCAATGAACATTTTTAGAAAGTGACTGTGAACTAGGTCACAAAAAGAAGTATTGCTAAATTTCAAAGGATCAGTATCATACAGGGGTTCTCTGATTGAAACGCAATTAAATTAGAAATGCACTAAGAAGTGAAAATGGAAATATAACCACTGTGCTCCTAAATGACTATGGGTTAAGTTAAAAGAAATCACAGTAAGAATTACAAAACATAAGGCACTGAATTGAATCAGGTGATGTATATAAAAACTTTTGGTATATAATTAAAGTGGTACCAAGGAGGAAATGTATAACCCTAAATGTGTTCATTAAAAATAAAAAATCAATGACTTATTCAACCTGTAAAGCAAGAGGAAAAAAAAGAGTAACAAGTAAAACATTATTAATGGACATAAAATGAGACCATAGTAAGTAAGGAGCTTCACTGCATTCTTGGATGTGAAGACTCAATTATTATGAACTTAGTTCTTCCCAGTTTAACCTATGAATTCAATGTAATTCAAACTCAAAATTTCAACAAGCATTTTCATAAAATCAGAAAACCAAACACTAAAATCATGGAGAAGATCAAAGGGGTCAGAATAGTCAAGACAATTTTGAGGAAAAACAAAGTGGGCTGAGAAGGCCTATCAGACATCAATTGATTTAAAGCTGGAGTGTGGGATCTACCAGGGATATGCAGATAGAACCACAGACTAGAATACAGAGCTCAGAAGCACACCTGTATATTTATGGACACTTGATGTTTTGCGGAAGCATCGTTAGAGATCAGTGGGAAATAGATGGACCATACAATGAATGAGGCTGGCTTCATAGTTTATCCATGGGGGAAAAGTAAAATTAGATCGCATGTTCACGGCAAGCACAAAAATAGATTCTGGGTAAATTCAAGTCCTAAATGTGAAAAACCAAATTTTAAACTTTAAAATGTAGGTGTAAGAAAAGATTTTCGTGAACAAAACATAAAAAGCAGAGAACATACAGGGATATGTTAAAATTTACATCTTTTATACCATAGGATGCCATAAGCAAAGTTAAAGATAAGCTACACTAAGATAAGGGTAGAAGATCATATTTGCCATGCACATAACTAACAATGGATTAGCATCTAGAACATATCCAAAGGTTTAAAAAGAAAAAGACAATCCAGCAGGAAAATGGGTAAAGGAAGCATGAAAAGCCAGTTAACATGGAAGAAGTCTAACCTTGCCAGTAATCCGGGATGTATGTGCAAATTAAAATGCACCCATCAGGTTAACTAAAACTTGAATGTCTGATAACACCAAGTATTTGGTGAGGAGGTGGGCCAAATGGAAAACCTCATTCACTACTGAAGCGAGAGTAAATTGGTAAAAGCACCGATTTGTCACCCAGAGCGATTCGGTGACATGTAGCAATGTTGAAGATGTTGCTAAGATCCAACAATTCCACATCAAACTATATTCTGTAAAGAATCTCTTCAACAGGTATCCAAGGAGATAGGTATAAAAAAGAATTTCATTGTATCATTGTTTATAATAGTGAAAAGTTGGAAACAACCTAAATGTCCATGGACAGGAAAATGTTGGCATATTCAAGCAACAGAATAATAATACCTTATGGCAGTTAAAATAGCAAACTATTATGTATCGACCTGGAGAAATCTCCAAAATGGTGTTGAAGGCAAAAAGCAACTCTTAGAATGGTATGTATATTCTTAAATGTGAAGTTCTTAAATTTAAAGTTTAAAAACATGCAAAATAATGTTATTAGATTGAATCACATAAAATGGGTGTTTTTGTAGGTGAAAGAAAAATACAGGCAAACATCAGCATCTTTTTTAAGCTCAACCTAGTATTTGTTGATACATTCATGGTAACACTGGGCATGAAATTCAGTGTGGCATTATCTCCTTGAGGGCAGCGGGGAGGAGAGAATGGTATGGTGTTGAGGCGGGCATGTGAGGGAGCTTCTGCTTTGGCTGTTAACTTTTCTTTCTTCAAAAAACTTTTGAAGAAAATATGGCAAATGATAAACTTATCAAGGGGAGGTGATAGGAACATGGGTATACTTACTCCATTCTTATACATTTCTGTTGAAAATATTTGCTAATGTTTAGAGCAAACCAAAGTGTTGATAGAGGTATAAAATTTTTAATCTCATGACATTATAAAGAAATATTTACAAAGTGATTAAATCCTTTGCTGCTTACTTATCTGAACATACCAGTCGCGAGGCTTTTAGTGTAACATAAAAAATTGAAAAGCATGGCTCCCTTCACACACCAGGCAAAAGCTTCAAATTTTGTTTTGTTCTTTTAGCACTGGTAAGATTGTCATCATTAAAACCATTCATTAGTGCCTCTTTTGCTTGCTGTTCTTCGGTGGCAGTCAGATGCATCTATCTACCATGGTATATAAAATTTGGTGATGATATTCAAATTACTTTTTTTCTTCTTTTTCTTTTTCTTTCTTTTTTTTTCTTTTTTACTTTTTTGATGCCAATAGGAATCTGCAAGCAGAATATGACCGTCTAAAGCAGCAGCACGAACATAAAGGCCTGTCCCCACTGCCGTCCCCTCCTGAAATGATGCCCACCTCTCCCCAGAGTCCCCGGGATGCTGAGCTCATTGCTGAGGCCAAGCTACTGCGTCAACACAAAGGCCGCCTGGAAGCCAGGATGCAAATCCTGGAAGACCACAATAAACAGCTGGAGTCACAGTTACACAGGCTAAGGCAGCTGCTGGAGCAAGTGAGGAGAGAGATGGGATTTTTACAAACATTCATTTTTCCCTCTTAAACAAAACTAAACCTCAGAGAGCACTTTTTATAGGTGCAACAAGCATCAATTCTTAAGTGCTTGGTATGTGCCTGCAAAGTGATAGTATCAAAGGATAGAAGTAGAGGAGATAGAAAAACTAGTGTGTCTTTTTTGTATTTGTCCAATATTGTTTCCTACCAAAATGGTTTTTTCTTGACCAATTTGAAATACATCTTGGGGAAAAAAACGCCTAAAGGTTTCCACTAGTTCTCTAAAAGTGAATATTTCACTTCTTGAAATGGAACTATTTCATTTACAATTAGTTATATTTTCTGGTATACCTTTGTGTTTTTTTTCTCCTAATCCCTAACACATAGTTCTTTAAGCCTCCATCGAAAACCTAGCAAGATACTGCATTGTAAGAGGACCTACCTGGACATAGTTCTGGCTTTCTGGGAATTTTAAATTTTTCAATTATGTTCTCTCTATCTTGTTACTTAATACTTCACAAAGATATGAATCTTCCATTACAGTTTTGAGATCTCACATAGTCTCATCATTCACACATGACCTTCTAAATCTTCCAGTTATTTAATGTAATGATGTATAGTCTCATTCCAGTGTAGCTCTGATTTTTTTCTCAAATTTATAAGGGAGCACAATTCAGATACAAAGACAGTTTCTATGGATTATATCAACAGTGAAATATCCCAAATTAAACAATCTTTGGGAGGGCTTCTAAAGTAGGAAGGGTCAAAATTTATGAGTCCTGAGTGTGTATCATATTTTGAAATTTATACATTTGTATGTTTATTATGAAAAGTAATTCTGTTTTCTTTTGGATGACTTAGCCCCAGGCAGAGGCCAAAGTGAATGGCACAACGGTGTCCTCTCCTTCTACCTCTCTACAGAGGTCCGACAGCAGTCAGCCTATGCTGCTCCGAGTGGTTGGCAGTCAAACTTCGGACTCCATGGGTAAGTGTCCTAGCTACTCTCAGATTTTGTTGTCTGAAGAAAGGTAGAGTCGTATTACAGGGACATGAATATTTGGCCGTAAGTGTTTGACTCATCTTGGTATCAGGGAGCCACTGAAAATCATATACCAGGCGAAAAAAGTCTAAAAAGAAAATTCTAAAAAGGTGTATTCTGGCAGCTCTATCTGGCCCACAGAAAACTTGTATAGGTGAGAAGACCAGTTAGGAGGCAATTGCCAAGGCCAAGATTGGTGAGTTCTGAGGGCCTGCACTTGAGAGATGTGGGAGGAGAGGACTGTGAGACTATTCTATAAAAATAGACTTGCCAGGGGGCTGGGCGTGGAGGCTCACGCCTGTAATCCCAGCACTTTGGGAGGGTGAGGTGGGCGGATCACAAGGTTAGGAGTTGAAGACCAGCCCGGCCAATATGGTGAAACCCTGTCTCTACTAAAAATAGAAAAATTAGCCAGGCATGGTGGTGGGCGCCTATAGTCCCAGCTACTCGGGAGGATGAGGCAGGAGAATCGCTTGAGCCCAGGAGGCGGAGGTTGCAGTGAGCCAAGATGGCACCATTGCACTCCAGCCTGGGCGACAGAGCAAGACTGTGTCTCAAAAAAAAAAAAAAAAAATAGAGTTCCCAGGGTCTGGGGACTGAGTGCAAATTGTAAGAAGAGGAATGAAGGGAGAGGATTTGGTTGGAAGAAGATAGTGAAACTTCTGATTGTGGACATAATGTGTTTGAGAAATTGACAGGTCTTCTAAGTCATGTCCCAAAAGAAATTAAGATACAGATCTATACTTGAAGTAAGTGGGCAAACTGGAGAGATTTGAGAATGAGTTTCATAGAATTGATTGCTGAAGGGTGTGAGATGAGAAATCTATAAAATCTATAACACAGGTGCTTCGATCCAGTGCCTTGGAAAAGACCTCCATTTGGGTAATGGGATAGTAAAGGATGGATAAGTAGGGAGGTTCAAGGAAGATGTGACAAAAAGGTGAAATGCTAAAGAGAGCTCAATGGAAATTAAAATAAATCACAGTCCATTGGGTCACTATAAATGCATTGGGTAATTTTGAGAAACCATTTTAGGCCAAGAGAAGGGAAGGTGGAAAACTTCTGTTTCAATGAAATGAAAGACTAGGTAATCTTAAAATGAATGAGGATTAAGGAAAGTGAAGACAATTTTGAAACATTACCAAGTAAGAAGGAAGCCTTAGGCAAAAGTTGGATGAATTTGTTGAGGAAATGGTCCACATGTTCTGTTCTCATTCTTAGCAATGTTCTCTGCCTAGGACTAGGTTCTAAGAAAGGTGGAGCTGATGAGGCATAAATGATCAAAGGTCAAAACAAGAGTAGGGCATTTTACAGTGGTAATGAATGGCTAGGACAGGGGTTCCTAGCCAGCTGCTCATTGGTTTTTCCTGCTGTGTCTGGCTAGACAATAGAGGGTTTTATGAAGGCCACAAATACTTGGTCCCCCTTCCTCATTTCTCTTTCTCTGTAAAGGCCCAGTAGGAGTCAGCTCCATCCTCTCTCCTTACTTTTCCCTGGGACCTAAACTGGTTATATACTTGGTCCTCTCAAATCTTACCTCACAGAATAGAAAAGACCTGTGACTCCTTGATTCCATACACTTACAGCTCTATTGCCTGATATGATGATGTGTTCAGGAATTCATTTCATACTTGAGCTCTTCCATGAGGGTAGAATAAAGGGAGGCAAAGTGCCTTAACCAAAATGGATAGGACAGAAAGGAAAAGTCAGGGGTGTGGGTGAGTTTTATGGCGAAAAATTTGGAGATCACAGTCGGGAAAATTCAAAAGTTGGATATCATGGAAGTAAAATACTTTCAAGCAATTTCTACATCTAACATGGTGCCTCCCAGCGAGCTGCTGAAGATTTTACTTGGAGATCACTGAGGGGTAGGGAGTACAGTTCATGGAGTTGATGAGACCAACGTTGCTGAGCTTATCAGCAGAGGGGTGAGGTCCAGATCCTGACGACAGTGGTAGATCAGGATGGAAAAGATGTTGAAGAAGATGGACGAGGGCTCTGAGGAGATGAACATTTCTGAGGAAAGAGACAGGGTAGTTGAAATAAATGTGATGAAGTTCAAGAACCTGGAGCAGTGGGAAGAGGCACATCCTCCTCTGGAGAAGCCAAATCTTGTAGGAAAGCCAGGTTTTGATTTTTTTGAGAAGGAAAAGGATATGTTTGAGGTTATTTTCCTGAATTTACTACACCTCCATGATTTAAGGCAATCTCTGTGTCAGATTATCTCCCTCCACCTGAGATCTGAATATAGCTAATAAACTGTTGGGATTGTAAATGACAACACACTACATGAAAAACAACTGTATGCATTTGCAAAGTCTGTAAATTCTGAAAACAACTGAGCTTTAGTACCTCTTATTTTTTTCTACTTCAGGATTTTCCCCCTTTTTTAAGTAAGTAAAGCATATGAAACTAAGTTACATATTTTAGTGGTCAGATTCAGAGCCCTGGGTGCTTAGAAGCATTAATAATTATTTAGGTCGTTGACAATGGCGAATAGGCAGCATACTCGTTAAAGCACTCAAATTAAAGTGCACATTAGGATGTGGTCCTGATGATCTGTGGAGCTAAAAAGATCATGGTAGAACTGAATACCAGGACAAAAGTGCTATATTCCAATGGCTAAGCTAAGAGATAACTTGCTGGCATAAAATGGATAAGCTGTGTTAAATTTGTCCTCTGAAAGAAAAGACTGAATTCAAGGGTACTTTTTCTTGAACTGTGTATTAATCTGTTTTCACACTGCTATAAAGAACTACCTGAGACTGGGTAATTTATGAAGAAAGAGGTTTATTGACTCAGTTCCACAAGGCTGGGGAGGCCTCAGGAAACTTACAATCATGGGGGAAGGTGAAGGGGAAGCAAGGCATGTGCTACATAGCGGCAGGAGAGAGAAAGCGAGGGGAGAACTGCCACACTTTTAAACCATCAGATCTTATGCGAACTCACTATCATGAGAACAGCATGGGGGAAACCGCCGCCATGATCCAGTCACCTCCCACCGGACCCCTCCCGCAGCACATGGGGATTACAATTCAACATGAGATTTGGATGGGGACACAGAACCAAACCATATCGAACTGCATAAGCTAACTTCATTTAAAAAGGAAAAAAGCCTTACCGTCTTCTTGAAGGATGCACACAGGTGTTTAAATAAATGCAGTGTATATACTTGGGCTTTGAAGGTTTGAGATACAAGGCTGGGATCTGCTGAACCACATTCTGGATAGAGCTGCATTCTTTAAATATGCAACCCCGATGACTGATTTTCTTTTAAGTGAAACATGAGACAAGTCATATTAGGTGATGTGTCTAAAGAGTCAACATATTTCCTCAAGCCATGAAATACTTATCACTGAGTCTCTATGTACCATTTGTATTCTGTACAGTTCTTACTGAGACAATGTGCTAATGAAACGTACATTCTATTGGAGGAAGCAAATACAGAACAAAATAGCAATTAACAATGTTTATCCCCTATTGGCTCTCATGGGCTCCATATACAAATCTGTGATGTCCAGACAACTCCTTATCTCTGATGACTCCTAACTTTCCACCAGATTACTGTTTTTTGAAGCATTTTATATTTTATTGATTTAAAAATTAAACTGTTCCTTTGCTTTTTAAAAAATTTATCATGTACATTTGAGGTTTATGACATAATGGCTCCCTAGCTTTTTATTTAGAACAATTTCAAACTTATGGCAAAACTGCAATTAATTCAACAGTTTGCCACATTTGCTTTATAGCTATTTATTTATGTACTTTTACATTCATGTGTTGTTAAATGGATTGCATATATTTAGATTAACATGTATATCTGTATGTTAACATATTTTTATATACTGTATATGTTTATATTTTATGTGCATATTTAATCATATTCATGCGTGTATATAGTTTGTGGATTTTTTTTTCACTGATCCACTCAATGGTTAGGTTTCATACATAACACTTCACCCCTAAACACTTGAACACGTGCCTTCTAAAATGAAAGATATTCTTGCATAAGCACAATTATCATGCTCAAAAAGAACAATACTGTTATATAATGTAGAATTTAAATTCAAATACCTCCAATTCTGCCAATTAATATTCTTCATAGCGATATTTTACATTCAGGATCAGTGATGTCCCTGTAGTCTCCTTTAATCTGAAGCACTTTCCCAGCCTCTTTAAATCTTTCATGACATTGATATATTAGAAGAGGTCGGGCTAGATGTTTTGTAGAATGTCCCCCAATTTGAATTTGTCTGCTTGTATCCAAGTGATTGGGTTCGGGTTAAATGTTTTATGCCAGATTACCATATAGGTAAGGTATCCTCAGTACATCACATCAAGGTTTTCCTCAAGATTCTCCATCCCCTTCACCGTTCTTCACTCTCCCTGGGCGCTCCTTCCATACTTTGGCTTCTGCTATGCTGACAACTCTTAAGTCAAGATTTCCAGCCCAGACCTCCCACCTGAGCATCTTCTGGATAAAATTATAAATAAAAATATAGCCTAATCTGAAATCATGATCAACCTTTGGAGCATCTCTTCCAATTTCCCAATCTATACAAAGTCATTTTCTACCCCTTCTTCCTTTACCTGCCTTCCTTAGCTATGTTCCACCACCATCAATCCAGTCACCAAGGTCAGTGTGTTTTGCTACTTATGAAAAAGAGCAAAATTCTTCAATTCAGCTACTTCTGCCCAAATTTAGCCCTCATCATGTGTTACCTGAACAGACAATATGAATACTTTCCTAATTGGTTCCTCTGCCTTTGGTCTCTCTCCCTTTCTAAGCTATCTTCCAGAAACTTCAGTTCCTCTTCTACCATTCAAATTATATCATATTATTCCCCTCTTTAAGCATTTTATGCCTTCTGTTTGACAACAGAATAAATGTGCTCTTTGGCCTTGAGTACATTATGTTCTTAACCTGAAATATAGCATCCTTTCTTTTCACTCAGTGAGTTTTCTTTTGGAACTTAATCATGCATTATATCATTCTGGTTTTGTTGTTGTTGTTGTTGTTGTTGTTGTTGTTGTTTCTTTTGTGTGAGACGGAGTCTCGCTTTATTGCCCAGGCTGGAGTGCAGTGGTGCGATCTCAGCTCATTGCAACCTCCACCTCCTGGGTTCAAGCGATTCTCCTGCCTCACCCTCCTGAGTAGCTGGGATTACAGGCTCGCCACCATGCCTGGCTACTTTTTCTTGTATTTTTAGTAGAGACAGGGTTTCACCATGTTGGCCAGGCTGTTCTTGAACTCCCAACCTCAAGCAATCCACCCGCCTCAGCCTCCCAAAGTGCTGGGATTAAAGGCATGAGCCACCACACCCAGCCATGTTTTCAGCCAGTTACTAGTACTTCTTTCTTCTGCCTACAACTCCCTAGAACTTAAGCTCCTTAAGGACAGGATGTAAGTCTTGCTCATTGTCGTTACTGTATGAGGATACTCTGTGCAACAAACAATCAGTAAAGTGCTTGTTGAGTTAATATTTTAGAAATCAAGCATAATACATTCTTGTGTACACATGGAACAGCCCACACGTTTAGGAAATTTAGCTACTAGTTTCAGTATCTTTCACCACCATTCACAACTGATCAGCTAATAATCAGCAACAACATTGTACACCATAATATGTTAAAGGTGTTACACACAGAATTTATGTGTGAAATTGAAAGCATCGGTCCTATATCATATGGAAAAAAATTAATTGTAGCCAAATGTTGGGTATTGGATACATCAGTGTGCTTTTTCTTCTAAAAAATACTGGAGAAAGGCAGGAAATACACAAGTACTAAGATAATAACACATCAAGTCGGAAACTGGTTAAAATCCAAAGAAAAATGTTGGTGGGCGTATTTGTTCATACACAGCCCCCTTTATGAGAAAAAATAATTTCTTGTACACAGCTCCTTTTTAAAAAAAAGAGAAAATAATTTGTTTAGATTCAGACAAAAACACAGGAGTAATTCTTGTGTCTATTCTGCATAGGCTGCGTAGGTTCTGGCTAAAATCACTTTTTAAGCAGATAGAACCATTATCAGCGTTTGAATCAAAGGGAAGTGAGTCAGATGGGATATCTTCCCTTCAAGAAAGGGATCTGAAACCATCGTTATATTTCAGAAGACTGAAGAATATCTTGCCATGGCAAAGCATTCCTTTTCTTTTTTCTCGGATTAAATTGAGTCATCCCACTTCTTTTTTCTTCACTTCAGCAGTGATTAAAGGAGACTATCATATTTTGCTATATCACGGTACTATTTAACTTTGACTATGTCTTTCCTTATTTTAAAAAATGTTTCAGTGATTTATTTGGACCACAATCAGACAAGCCAGGAAGACCAAATAGCTAATAATCCAAAAAACATTATTTTTCTCTTTTTATTATTTCAGTAGTTTTCAGGGAACCCAGGTGGTGTTTGGTTACATGAATAAGTTCTTCGGTGGTGATTTCTGACATTTGGGTGCATCCATCACCTGAGCAGTGTACACTGTACCCAACGTGTAGTCTTTTATCCTTCACCCCCCTCCCACCCTTCCCCCCAAGTCCCCAGAGTCCATGGTATCATTCTCATGCCTTTGCATCCGCATAGCTTAGCTCCCACTTATAAGTGAGAAAGTACAATGTTTGGTTGTCTATTCCTGAGTTACTTTACTTAGAGTAATGGTCTCCAACTCCATCCAGGTTGCTGTGAATGCCATTATTTCATTCCTTTCATGACTAATATTCCATGGCGTGTGTGTGTGTGTGTGTGTGTGTGTGTGTGTGTATATAAACACCACGTACATACTGCATTTTCTTTATCCACTCGTTGGTTGATGGGCATTTAAGCTAGTTCCGTATTTCTGCAATTATGAATTGCGCTGCTATAATCTTGGTATGCAAGTATATTTTTCACATAATGACTTCCTTTCCTTTGGGTAGATATCCAGTAGTGGGACTGCTGGATCAAATGGTAGTTCTACATTTTAGTTCTTTAAGGAGCCTCCATAGTGTTTTCCATAGTGGTTGTCCTAGTTTACATTCCCACCAGCAGTGTAAAAGTGTTCTGTTTTCACCACATCCACACTGACATCTATTATTTATGCATGTTTGTGGAAATCACCTTGGAGTAGAGTCAAGTTTAAGTGTTAAAGCATTGCCATCAACTAAGTTTAAAATCCCCCAAAGACTAGCAATATGCTATTTGAGCAGGCAATGAATCTGTGAAGTAGGGATAAGGGCTGTGCAGGTCTCTAGTGTGCAACTGGAACTCAGTATTTTCTTGTTGAATAAGTGAAAAAAGTGAAAAGGTGTTTTTGTTTTTGGTGATGAGGGGCTTGTGATGACAGGTATTATTGTTAGAGTCAGAAATATTTTGAGGTTGCCTATTAATATGGTTTGGCTCTGTGTTCCCACCTAAATCTCATCTCAAATTGTAATCCCCACGTGTCAGGGGAGGGACCTGATGGGAGGTGACTGGATCATGAAGAAGTTTTCCCCCATGCTGTTCTCGTGATAGTGAGTGAGTTCTCAGGAGAGCTGATGGTTTTTAAAGTGTGTGGCACTTCCCCCTTCTCTCTCTCTCTCTCTCTCTCTCTCTCTCTCTCTCTCTCTCTCTCTCTCTCTCTCTCTCTCTCCTGCTGCCATGTAAGAGGTGCCTTGCTTCCCCTTTGCCTTCCACCATGATTCTAAACTTATAATCATGAGGCCTCCTGAGGCCTCCTCACGCATCTGGAACTGTGAGTCAATTAAACCTCTTTCCTTTATAAATTACCCAGTCTCAGGTAGTATCTCTATAGCAGTGTGAAAATGGATTAATACACCTATTATGTTGTAGCTACATAGTGTATGATTAGACAAGCCATAAATATTATATCTGGCTTGTTTCATGCCCATAATAGTGTATCAGTCAGCTGTTGCTGCATAACAAATAACCACAAAATTCTCAAGTTGCATATTTCTCATTCACGCATCTGTTGTTTGGCTGAACTTTTGCTGGCAATCAGCTGGACTTGACACCAAGTTGTGGTTTGGGTTCAGGTCTGTTCAACATGTCTCTCATCCTTCTTGGGCTAGCAAGCTACCTGGGCCATATGCTTCTTGTGCACATAAACACAAGCGGGCAACCCCAACCAGTCAAAGACATTCTAAGCCTCTACTTTTGTCATGCCCGCTTACATTCCATTTTCCAAAGCAGGTTATGTGGCCAAATCCGAATCCCCAGGCCAGGGAAGTACTGTTTTCCCAGCTCTTGTTCACTCTGCTTTATCTACATTAGACTTCTTGCTGTGCTTGAGGAAGCCAGTCACACTCTCCTCTCAGAGTCTTTGCATTTGCCAATCCTTCTGTCTGGAGCACTTTTCCCTCAAATACTTGTGCAACTCATACCCTCCAGTTCTTAAAGCTTTTGCTCAACTGCATCTCATCAATGAGGACTTCCAAGACTCCACTTTCTGATGACTCTCATTGTCCCTTGCTAGCCCTCTCCTCAGAGTGTTCATCACCACTCAAGATACCTATATAGTTTACTTATTTACTTGTTAAGCCTGTGTGCCTCCTTATGAATGCGAGTTTCACAGAGAGAGTGTGTGGGTGGGGTTTGTTTGCTTATTGCTATATCTTCAGTGAACAATATGCCAGGCACTGTTCAACCATTTGAACAGTGCCTGGCATATATAGTTGGATTTTAATAAATATTTGAATAAATAAATGAATCTTACTGTTTTTAAACTTTTGTGGTTTTTAAAAGGCATTTTAAAAATCTGGGTTAGTATCAAATATTACAATGGTATTACTTTAACTTCAGGTTTCATTTAGCTGTTTTAACTTTTACAATATATTCTGACACAGAAAATATTAGGCATTAAGCATTTTTCAATGAGTTGATTCACTTCTACTCATGCACATATGTGATGTCTGATTTCGATTCTTAAAAAGAGATGAGCCTGGGCGTGGTGGCTCACGCCTGTAATCCCAGCACTTTGGGAGGCCGAGGCAGGTGGATCACGAGGTCAGGAGATTGAGACTATTCTGGCTAACACGGTGAAACCCTGTCTCTACTAAAAAATATAAAAAATTAGCCAGGCGTGGTGGCACGCGCCTGTAGTCCCAGCTACTCAGGAGGCTGAGGCAGGAGAATCACTTGAACCCGGAAGGCAGAGGTTGCAGCTAGCCGAGATTCCACCACTGCACTCCAGCCTGGGTGACAGAGCAAGACTCCATCTCAAAAAAAAAGAAAAAGAGAAAAAAAGCAATGCATTAAAACCATCTTGAGAAATCATGAAAATATGGAGAAAAGAAGAAAACAAGATTATACTCTACTTGTTTTTATACTACCTAGAATGTAATAGGCACTCAAAAAAATGTCTGAATGGATACAATTATCACTGCCTTAAAAGTTTTCCATTAAAGCAAAGAAGCCAATTTTACATTTGTATTATACTTGGACACTCATATTAAAGACTCACAGAGAGTTTATCTGGAAAAATAAACTTGGCTGACATCATTAGGTTTATACTTTATAATTTGATCTTTGAAATAATTCAGGAACAGGAATGCCAGTCACTTCATTGAACTGTACCTGAATTTTAACACAGTACAATTGAGTTCCTAGAGCTCCAATATGATGTAATTAAACTGTCAGAAATATTAACATCGATGTTCATGAGCGTCGTTCATGATGTTCTCTTGGTTCTGATTTATTCAGTGAGGCATACTGTCACTGAAGTGGACTTACTGCCATTAAAAATGCCTCATGTTTCCCAGTTCCGCAAAAATTTGCATCAGTAATGAAACAGAGAGATGTAATCAGCCCTGCAGTTGTCAGGATCTTGATCCTCTTGGTAGTATTTCATTCATTTCATCTTCACCAGATAATGGTAGTTTAAAACCGCAAGAAAAATGAAACTAAAAATAGTGAATTTCACTTCTTTTTCTAAAGGCATAAACTTAAGCAAATAGTGCATGTGTGTGAGGGGGGAGGAAGAGAGAGAGAAAGAGGAGAGAGAGAGTTTGTAACTATTCCTTTTCTGCTTTGTGACCTTAATTCTTCAGCACCCATTTCCTGTACTTAATATTGCAAAGAGGTTTCCTGTGGTATGTTACCAGGAGACTCATGTAGTCTGAGGCTTTTTATCTACCTTACGTTCTTATCCCTCCATTCTAATAAAAATATGAAGCCTCACATCCACCTAGAATATGATTTTGTCTTAATGGTTAGCATTGGCAATGATTCTTTTAGCTTCTGCTGTTAAAAAAAAAAAAAGGAATAAATGCAGGATTCTAATCAAACATGAAAATCCAAGTGGCATAGACCAAAGGGAATGAGAAGCATATTTAAGTCATTTAGTCACTGGCTTCCGAAGCAGTTCCAAGTCAGATGTAAACCTGAGGTTGTCCCTAATTAAGTTCATTATGGTTGACTTGCTAAAGCAAGGTCTTGTTTTAGATGGAAGTGACAATGTGCAAAACAAACAGAGCTTGAATAGAAGTTATTTTCACTATTGGAAGATTGTATATTATGAAAAGTTAGTTTCAAAGGACCTTTAAAGTTTAATTTTGTTTGCACCTAAGAAATTTCCCTTTAACTTGCAAATGCTGTTTGAAGTGTATTTCTTTAACACATGAACAAACAATACAGACACAGATTCACAAAATCTACAAGGAGATTTCCATTCCCAGTGAATATCATCCATCCATAGGTTTCTTTGCTTCCAGATCATCATTCTCTCCTCACATAAACAGTCAAAATGTTTGTAATGTCTTCTTTATAAAACCCAAAACATAATTATGATAAAGTAGTCCCAAGTAACAGAGGAAAGGACCATAACTCTCCAATATATGCCATATCTACAGTTTTTAGAATATTCATATTTCATTACCTATATAGGATATATACTATTTTTATTTCTATTACATTGGAGTTTAAAGGTACTTGAGTTTCGTTTGTATTTTTGGTTAAATGTCAAAACAAAGAGTGAAAAAAAGACCTCAGTGTCTCAACTCCCTTCTTACCTTCATGAAGTGACTGCAAAGTGTTCAATTCTTACTCTTTTGTGTTGAGGAGACAGCACTGCAAGTGTGCAGTAATACTTATTTTATTACATAGAACAAAGTTTCACATTTGTGAATGGGGCACAAAAGAGAGCTTGTCAGTTTTACCTTTTTCAATTGACTTTTTCTTTTATTCTTTTTAACTTTTAAATTTATTTTTTGTTTTTTTGTTTTTTTGTTTTTAAATAGAGACAGGGTCTCACTATGTTGCCCAAGCTGCTCTCAAATTCCTGGCAGCAAACAATCCTCCCACCTCGGCTTCCCAAAGGGCTGGGATTACAGGCATGAGCGACCGCACCCAGCCTGTTTTTTACTGTAGTATAATATTTGTACATATTTATGGAGTGCATTTGATATTTTGTTGCATACACAGAATGTGTTAATGATCAAGTCAGGGTATTTAGAGTATTCATTATCTCATGTATTTATCATTTCTATGTGCGGGGCACATTTCAAGTAACTAGTCAACTTTTAAAAAGATACGCAGTAGGCTGGGCGTGTTGGCTCACGCCTGTAATCCCAGCACTTTGGGAGGCTGAGGTGGGCAGATCATGAGGTCAGGAGTTCGAGACCAGCCTGGCCAATATGGTGAAACCCTGTCTCTACTAAAAATACAAAAATTAGCTGGACGTGTTGGCGCATGCCTGTAGTCCCAGCTACTCGGGAGGCTGAGGCAGAAGAATCGTTTGAACCTGGGAGGCGGAGGTTGCAGTGAGCCAAGATCGTGCCACTGCACTCCAGCCTGGGTGACAGAGCAAGACTCCATCTCAAAAAAAAAAAAAAAAAAAGATATACAGTTTTTTTTTCTCCAAGGGTAATGATATAGATAAACTACTGTATGGATTTCTTCTTCCCTTTAAAGAATTACTTCCTCATTATTAAGCTTGAGGGTTTTCTTTGTTATTTATGAGCAAGTGAAATGAATTTATAATGGTGTTAAAAATGTAATCATGGCCCTTTAATATCTGTTTTCTATAAATGTAATTTTCCATTATTTGTTTTTGCTTTTATTAAGGTGAGGAAGATCTTCTCAGTCCTCCCCAGGACACAAGCACAGGGTTAGAGGAGGTGATGGAGCAACTCAACAACTCCTTCCCTAGTTCAAGAGGTAAGCTCCAATACCTAGAAGGGACTCAGATTTGCTGGGATCAGGCCACTCGCTTCCCTACCCAACTGGTGTGTGTATTTTCCATATGGAAGCCAACACGCAGTATCAGAATGGCAATTTGGGTCCATGGTGAAAAGATTTGATTTTTAAGTGTGAATTTGTGGTTTAGAGTACTCTGAATTCAAATACCCGTGAGGGCAACATGTTTCCAAAAATAAGAATACCACCCTCTATTTGTCAAGTATTTTACTTGCTTCACACATTAGTCTGAAGAGTTAATTATGAGGTGCCCTTTACTGAAGAGCAATTATTATGTGACTTTTACAGATGAGGAAATTAATGCCCTGATAGTGCCTTTGCCAGGGACATATGGCTACTACGTGCTACAGCAAGGCCTAGAACAATGCCTACTGATTGGTAGTGGTAGAGATTCTGACTTGCCATCTGATGCCCTTTATATTTAAAAATTGTATCTTACTCCATCATTTAAATATAGGGACAATTAAATCTTCATAGAGTAGTTGGTTATTTTTTACTTCGATAGAGGAAATACAGGCTTAGCAAAGAAAGACATTAATATTTTTCTTTTTCTTCATCACTTTGGCCTTGCGTATTTTACCCCCATACAAAAACAGCATTTTACCCTGCAGAATTTTCCCACTGGCTTGCATGAGCTTCAGATGTCTTGCTTCATCCAAGATGATGTTTTGCTGCTACTGTTCGTTTCTGGGGGCATTTATTTGGTTTATTGCCCTCACATAAAACAAAGTCACTCTCTCGCCTTCCTTCAACGAATAAAAAGGATGGTGGCAGTCACCTGTGATCAAATAGAAGAAAAGCCTAGAGAAACAAAAGGGAGAAAACACAAGGCTTTGTGGCCAGTGATTGGCACCTCTAATGGGTAGCCTGGGAGGGACGGGCAGCAGGAAATCTGGGCTGTTTGTTCCTCTCCATAAGGGCAATGAGGAGGGTGTATTGAGTAGTGTGTTTTTCCTATCTTTTTGTTCAGTGTCAGTTAACAATGGCCATTTCCTAGCTATTTGATGTGCAAGTAAACGTTGTGCAGTGCACATTAAAAGCAATAATGTTCTGGTAGAGCGTTGCTAAGGAACCGTCAGGGGAAGCTAATTTTAAATGTCTGCACCAGCCATCTTTTCACTGCTGAGCGCCACTGAAGTGATGATTTTAACAGATAAAAATCTTATCTGTCTTCCACCCACCTCCACATCCCCCACCGCCACCCGCATCCCCATTCTGACTATCTTAGGTATCTCCTTCTTCTAGATGTCATAATTCATAATGAGAAGATCATACACAGGCTTGACAGAATCAGGTGCTTTCACGTGTCTCCTCATTACTTTGTCCTGCTTGCTTTTACTAGCACCTACTACGTACCAGTGGAGGTAGTAGGGATGGAAAGAAGAAATGACAAATTCCTTGCCTTCAAGGTACTTATGGTCAATTGCAGATACAGAACTCCAAAGAAATTCAAATCACAGTACAATCATTGATTACTGTATGATCCTGGCCCCTTGAACTGGCAGCTTGCTTACCTGCTCTGGAAAGTTGCTGGCTGCCCTGTTGGCACCCTGGGCATTTCTTCCACATCTAAACAAGAGGTTAGTAGAGAAGAAGCTACAGCAAGGCTCATGACTCTGCTTCTTCATAGGCAGCCTTGACTTCCTAGACTCCTTTTTGTACCTGAGTTTCTGGTCCACCCTAATTAGCTGTAAGGTGAAATCCTTTGCACCATCTCCCTGTGTCCCGCTTTTAGAGTCCTTAAAGCTAGATACCACATGGGTGTAGAAGCTTCCTGGAAGACAAGAAATATACCTCCTCTGATATGGTATTTAGCAGTCAGTATCTCTGATGTTGATTTACTTACTTGTATGGAAACTTGGGAAACTCAATTCAGGCCACCTGGATAGTGTTTACTAAATTAGTGCTTACGGAAGAATTTCAGGCCTTAAGGGCTGATTTAAGTTCTCAAATGTGGGAGAAGGAAGCCTTGTCCGATACCAATTCCATTAACTTAAGTTCCGGCTTACTCAGTGGTACCCTTGTGGCCTGAGAAAATAAATTCACATTCTTAAAAAACAAAACAATTAAATACACAAAAAACACAAGAGAGTAGCTAAGGTATTGGAAAATCTGGCCTATCATTCTGTAATACCATGATCTTGGCATTTCCTCACGTTTTGCTACTTTCAGCTAACTCAGGCTTTCTTACAGGCCTTTTTCTCCCCAAATTCAAGTGGATAAAAAGTTTCATTATTGTAAAAATTAGGCTAATTATTGATGCACTCAAAAAAGTGGTTTTTGGATGCTTTCTTTCCAACTAAAAGCACTTTTGTTTTTTAATTTTGAAAAATGGCATATGTGTGTGTACACACACATATACCGTCAAGTTTGGCGGGAACATCTTACCAGTTGGTAGATGTGTTCAGCTGATATTAAGCAGAAATTCTTGAGAATCTTAACATCTTGGGATTACAAAGTCTTTCAAATGGAAGAGCCTTGAAAGGTCATTTTAACACTTTTGACATCCAGGACAGTGATTTCTGACTCTGTTTTGATGGTTATCCATATCAGAGGAACATTTTACATCACAAACTGGGGTAAAGATATAAAATAAATTGTACATGTGTTTATGTACACACATGTATATATACACCCACCATATGTACACACACACATTTACAGTGTCATATGCATACAAAGATCAGAAACAAAAGTTTCATCAAGTGATGCCTTCCATACTACATACAGTGCATGCTGTTTTTCTATTTTATTTATTTAAAAACAAAATGCTGGTTGCAACCCACTAAATGGATTTTCTGAACCAGTGGTTTAAAAATACTAATCTATGTGATCTCAGTTTTTCTTGCCTGGTTGAATTATCTTTCAAAAAAATTTAAATTTTGAGATTTTTGCCGTGGAAGTTTCTGCCAAGACGTTGCTAATGTCTCAGAGACCTTTATAGTTTTATTCTAACACTACCATCCATGTTCTCATTGTTGTGTTACAAAAAACAAAGTTCATGATTGCTACAGCTGTTTTGGACAGCTGTTTGAGTAACTCAAAACAGATGTGAGAGCCAGAGGTCTGACATTTAGTGGAAATGTGCTATTAAATACCACCGCGTGGTTTACTTAACCCTGCTAGATAATTGCCCACAGAGGAAAAGCCGTTTTTAAAAAACTTATGCTCTTCATAAACATAAAGTATATAGATAGGTAAGCTATTATGTACCTCAAATTTACAACTTTTCTGTTGCCCCTTGCCACAGAGTTGGTCCTGAAGGTGTCAGCTAACCTTTCTTTATCTTTTATTTTCACAAAGAGTACCTGGAAGCCAAGAAAAGTCAAGTGCCTTATTTATGGCCATTCAGCAGGTTAAGTTAGGCTTCTAATCTTATCTTAATGGCTTTGCTAAACTGTTATCAAAATTAATAAATGAGTGGCATGCTTCTCCATTTAGTGATAAACCGATGGCCAACACTATCCTGCATAATAGGCAATATAAGCAGGAGCATATTCAAGATATGAATGTGTAAACATTCAGCTTTGTGATTATATCTTTCTGGTTGGTCTCTAGATATACTTAGTTGTTCACAAACACTTGGGAGATTTGAGTGGCTCAGTGTATATTTGAACACTGAATATTAGCCAATTTCTATCTAATCTGTCTATCTCTAATCTCTTCCTTTGTAAGTATATGTGTAGAAATTGAATTATAGTGTAATAAGTCATTATCTACTTTACTATAAGGTACTCTCTAAAGCTCTGCCATTCTATAGGAAAACTACATGGGTACAATAAACAAACGTAATTTAAAAAATAACCCCATTAAGTGATTTGTCCATAAGTCTCTGATCATTTAGCAGACTAACAAAGATATTTTTATATGTATGTGCATTGATGAAAGAAACGCTCTCCTAGTCAGTAGTATGGTATTAGGCTCTCTAAAATGTGGTACCACTTTATATAGATGAATGAATAATAGGAGCCAAGATAAGCTCTTAATGCAGTAAAACAATCCAGAAAGCAGTTAGCAGTGCTACTATTTCTGCTACCTGTACAATCTCTTGCCTACTGACCTGTGCCACATTATCTCCACCAGCCCATGCCATCCTCTTTTTTTCATACCATCCCCTCTCAAATAAGCCCGCGTACATTCTATCAAATACCCCTAAATTACCAACCCAACAGCTTTGTAAAACCTACCGTCTTTTAAAATTAAAATCTTATTCTGTGGTTCTTTTATGGAAGAGCAACATAAAGAACAAAGGCAGATAGAAATATGGTGTGCCCTTTTTCAGGCACCATTCTGTTTCCTGTATGCTCCCACAAAGGATTTGAGCGGTTATCCCTTTAATCCAGGACTAGCAAACTACATACAGCCCAAATGCCAAATCTGGCCCAATACCTGTTTTTATAAAGCTTTATTGGAACACAGCCATACCCATTCATTTACATGTTGCCTATAGTTGCTTTCTCATTACCAGGGCAGAGTAGTTGCAGCAGTGCTGAATAGCTGGTCCAGAGACCGTGGGCTTGCAAAGCCTGAAATATTTACTATCTGGCCCTTTATGGGGAAAATTTGCCAATCCCTGCTTTACGCTATTATTTCGTTGTCCATTCTGACTCATTACATGTATAGAGTCACAGGCTTCTGTGCTGATCAACTTTCAGCTGAACAAGATTATTGAGCTGAAATTGAATTGATTTATAGATTTATATTCATATTCACCAAAGAGCCTGCAAGTGTGGCCATTTGAATTTTTTTGACTTATAAAATAACAGAAATCCTAAAAAGGGACTTATTCTTCCTTAAGTATTTTAAATAGTCAGTGAATTAATATAAAAGAGGCTAAAAGCACCCAGAAACAGTACTGTCCTGCAATTCCAACTCTAAAATAATGAATTACAATCAATAATGTCAATTTTATAGTGCCCGAGGAAATTAGACTTCTCGGGACCTGACCAAGCCCTTTATTTAGACTCAGGACTGCCCCAGCACACTTCCCTTTTGTCTTGATTCATTTCCTGACAACACATCACATTGCCAGATGGACACTGTAACTGAAGGTCTACAGAAACTCATTTCCAAAAAAAAATAAATGTTTAGAAAATGAAACATATCTGAAACTTTATTTATCGGTCAAGAACTTTTAAAAATGTTGTAATCAAGTAGCCTCTGTTTTGTCAGCGTAGAACTAGTCCTTTTACAGTAGAAAATATCATTTGTTTTTAACTTTTTCTAAAGTGAAAAAAAGGACCTTCCTTTTGTAATGTGTTAATGAGTACGTGGGGACCCAAGTGATGAGGGAGGATTTTAGAAGAGATTAGAGTTAGCTTGGCTCTGGGAGGTCCATTTTCATAAAATATGGTTTCTGAAGAAGGATCTGGAACATAACACAAGTCATTTGCTGCTACATATTAAGAAATAATCAATTGATAACTGAGTTCTGAATATGGCTTAGTGTAGAATTACTAAAGATATGTATCATTAAGCATTCAAAGAATCATCGTTACATTCTGAAGTACATAACCATAATTACATTCTAAATCACATGGCTTTCTAACAACACTGTCCTTCCTAAAGATCTCAAGTTTTCAAAACTAGACCAAAGTTACATGCCGAAACAAGTTACCCACCTTTGGCATCCAAACTAAAGTGTGCCAGTGAAGGGCAAGTTACTTATAACACAGAAGGACTCCTCTTGGTCATGACCCAACTACTACTTTACCAATTCACTTCAGCCAGTATTTATCAAATACCAAAAGTGTGTATATACGGTACAGGGCATTGGGCATAGAGAGGTGGATGAGCAACATGTGGACCCCGTCCTCAAGAGGCTTATAGTCTTACAGGGGAAGGGAATTAATTCTGCCACCAGACAGTATTATGAAACATAAAGATACTTTTTTAAAAAAACCTTGCTAAAGGAATCAAAAAGAAGGGGTGAGTGATTCATACTGGGATTTCAGCCATCAAGGAAAGAATGATGTTCTCCTCCCCAAATGATGGGAACATCATTTGGTATGGATCTCCCACTAGTGACACCCACAGCTGAGGAGCTAGTACCCATTTTTCTCCCTCTTTTCCCTGGCTTGAGGAGCATCTTAAATACCTGGCCCTTACGTGGTCAAGCTGAAAATCTGATACTCCTAAGAAATCGCTGAGTCATGTAGGAAATTCAGAAGGAAGAGAGGAAGGGAGAGAAGGAGAAAGGGAGGGAAGAAAGAGAAGGAGAGAGGGAAGAAAAACTTAGAAACTATCCTTAAATGTATACTAGAAGTTTTGAACCCTAACCTTGAGTGAGTTTTGAAAGGTTTCTATTGGTGTCGTAGCTCCATACCTCTTCATTCCAGACTAGTAGTTCTCAAATTGTTTCAGGGAGTTTTTAGTCTTCTTGGAGCCACTGAGAATGATGGGTGGAGGGGAAAGGGAGATGCTGTACAGGATCTCTCACAGCTCTGCTTTGAACTGCTCAAAATATTGGAATTCCATATAAGATTGTTTTAGGAGATGTCCCATTGCTATAGTTAAAACAGTTTGAAAACCAAGATTTTAAAGGAAATTGCATGCCCAAGACAGGCTATTGACATGTATGGACAGAAGTCCCTACTTTTCTGTCCAATTATGACTTATCATAGAACACTTTCTCATCAGAGTCTACTTTTGAAATACAAATAAATGCATACAGATGTAGGAATCTATGAATCAAGGCCAGTGGGTCTTTAGCCATTGCCTCGTAAGGCTCCTGATATTTGCTGAATTGGGGAGGAAGTGGAAAGCTCATTCCTGGATCTGGCTCTGTGGCTTGCCCATTACTGGGACTTACCTCTTCCCCTCATCTGTTCTTTCTGTTTTCTCAAATGCCTCCAATTTCATCATGGAAATGCTCAGCTTCTATCAGATAGAACAAATTCTCCCAAGAGGATGGAGTCCAGCCTCTATGTCGGGTTCTACCTTGCATTTGATGTGCAGACTTTGGGCACACAGAGTCAACTACTGTTTATGTTTCAATGTGCTGATTGTCAAGAGTGAAGAGATTCTGAGACTTTTTTTAACATTAAGTTTGAGTTGTCCTTGAAAACAATGCCCAATTTGTCAGATTTCTATTCTGTGCCAGTTTTCATCCAGTTTAATGCGTGAACTCTATGGATTTTACAAATGACGTCTTCTGGATCATGTTATCTGTTTACACTGATCTTAAGTGTATGTAAAGGTTATTTGACTAGATGTGTCTTTTGGGTTTTTTGTTTCTGTTTTTTTTTTTTTTTTTTTTTCCAGCAGAGAATAAATGGTCATCTCAACATTTGTTTGGTAAAAGAAGCAAATTGGTATGAAATTGTATATTTATGCATGTTTTTTTTCCCTTTCTGATATCTCTGCCTCTTCCTCTCTCTATTATTAAAGGAAGAAATACCCCTGGAAAGCCAATGAGAGAGGTTAGTGAGATTCAGGCTCACGGCCATGGCTTCTGTCTGTCTCATCCTGCTTTTTATGTTTGGCGTTTGTGTAAGAATTGTGTGTGTGCACGCGCATGTGTGTATTACACATTGTGTCATCATGTAAGGATGGTAGTCACCTCTCCACTTGCAGCTCATGAGGAACATTCCTCAAATGTTCATTGCCGTTGTCATCACCATGACGACAAGACTGGGGTTGGGAGCAAGAATCTCTTTAAAATGGCAATCCTTTGTAGTCCCTAGGTTGGAATCCTGCCGTTCATCATCTGTTGCCATTTGCAACACTAACAAAATCTTCAAAATAAATTTAGCCTTGAACATAACTGATGAGTCATAAAGCTTTCTTCCACTTCCAGGACCTTAGCATTTTCTGCCAGCGCCCTTAGTTTTTATTCTTCTGGGATGACTTCATTTTGCTTTTGTTTCCTTTTTTCTTGGTTCCTACGCTCTTTCTCTCCCATTTTAGCGAACATTTTTTGAGCACTTACTGTGTGCCAAGCATTGTTCTCAGCACTTGCCATCTTTTTCATCATGTCATCTTCATGACAAACCTGTGAGGTAGGTACTCTTATTAACCCCGTTTTACAGATAAGGAGACTGAGTCAATGAGAGAGTAAGCAGTGTGTCCCAGGTGACAGAGCCAAGGATTTGGATCCAGGCAGTCTGGCTCCAGACCCACACTCTTAACTCTCATTTGAAAGGCTTACATCATCTCAACGTACCCTTCAGAAGATGATCTTTTTTATTTGGTATTTGAAGCCACACAGAACAATAACCAATTCGATTAAAAAATTAAATATTGGAGTTTTGAGAGGTTTTTAAAATGCCTATTTATGGGTTGAAAGGGATAGGGTGCAGTCTTATCACTGAATGTGGTTTCAGGTTTTACGGTGAAAGATGCTTCTTACTCCTATTCCACCAGGAATATTGTCTGAATATCGAATTACCTAATTAAGTGACTGTTGGATGACAAAGTGTTAACTGACAGCCCAAGTAAAATCAAGGTTGTCTTTACCAAGAATTTAATCTGAAGGAGGAGAGAAGGAAAGCTCTCCCATGGGATGACAGTGTTCTGGGAGACAGGCTGGATGGGTGGAGAGTCCTTCTTAAATGAGAAGATTCTGGATTCCTTAGCAACAGGATGGACTGGAGAGACCACTGATTCATTTAAACACAGGAGTCGTAATGAAAACTCTGCCAACATCATGCCATACAAGTCTAATCAATTTAATGATTCTTCAGTGTGTCTGTGCCAGTGCCTCCTTCCAAGGCTTTGGGCAGTGGGGCCAGGGAGGGAATGGTAGGCTGGGAGGAGAAATTGAGGAAACCTGACTTGGTGAAGCATTGAATGCCCCTGACGGTTTGCCTGGTTCATGTACTTCGTATGTGAGACTTCTTGGGTTCATTCTTATGGTAAGTGCCCCTTAAAATTTATTCATTTTAACTTTTTGTAGAAAAATGCACCATAATTTTGACCACCTTAAACATGTTTCACTCACAAATGAATTTCAGAAAAGGCTAGCACATGTAATTGAAGTTATATAGGCATTTGCAGACTTGACTACCTGAGGTGTATGGTGTTCAGACAAGTTTCCAGAAGCCAAAGAATCAAAACAATAATGACCTTTTTTAATGCTATGAAAATATCCCAAATGTACGTAAAGCAGATTTTTTTCAGAGATTAAATTATAGAGAAGAAAAGATAAGCAAATTTCCCTGTAGTATTCCGGCTTTCCTTTGGACAACTGAATGCTAACAATTTATTTGGGAATTGTATTTTTAAAAAATAGAGCACCAGATTGCTATTGAGGTCTTGGATCTTTGCCAGAAAGTCTCAATTCCAATCGCTGTGGAAAACAATTCCCTCAGGCAGTGGTGACGTGTGAGACTAAATGTGTTGCAGTTAGCGCCAACTTGAAAAACATACAACTGCCCTAATGTTCAAGGCATAGTGCCTTTGTGTTCAATAATCCTTAAGAATGGATTAAATCAATACTTTCTATAGACATAGTTTTCTGTCACCTTGTGCCTGAAGGTGATTGCAAATGCCTGAATCCTGGCTGCTTTTCAGTACCTCTCATACTTCATAGTATGAGATTGTAATTTTGACTTTAGAAAAATCTGTCAGGTAACATTAATGACCTCCCGAATGCTCTGCCTTACACACATGGATAATAGAACTAGGATACAAATCTACTTTCTATAGTCATGTCACAGTGCAGTCTTACCCCTCCAACGGATTAAAGTATGATTCTTTAGGGCAGTAGTTTGTAAAAAGAGATTGACTTCTTTTTTCTGGATCTAATGAAAAACTCCATGGAAAGAAATTAGAATTATTTATTCTGGTAAAGCAGGTATTTAGTGAAGTAACCAAAGGCATAATATAGATGATGAGGTGACTCTAAAAGTTCTTTATTTTTATAGCACAAAGATGGCCACAAGGTCATTTGTGAAAATGCAGCAGTGTAAACCGGTTAAAGGCCACCCAACTTTTTGTCGGAGTGTGCATGGCACATTAAGAATAATGAACCTGTTTTCCCTGGCAAATCTTTAAATAGCAGATACCCCTAGAACTTATGCTTCTTGAGAGACTCAAGAATTTTCCTTCCAGTTAGTAACTGAACACCATTTCAAGGAAGAGAAGCACCACTTGGCTATATAATCCATAAATGCATTTATTTGTTTTATTATATTTTGAACTGCCATCTACATCCCCTAGCACACAGCCTAAAAAGAAAGACACTTTGTGATTATCGATAAGCTGACAGGAAAAAAAATGAGTTTTCTCCCCTTTTCGTTGATGTTTTGTAATATGTTTTCTAGCTACTAGGTGGACTACATACTATAGTCACATGTGGGCCATGAGAAATACTTCGAATTACATTCAGGCACCATGTTGTAAAGGTCCTGGACTTTGTTTTTACTGATTTTGTTAACCGTAAAGATCGCTAGTAATTAAAAATTGGCAGTTAGTCCATCTATCTTCAATTTATGCATGAATAATTATGCAGATTTCCCAGGGTTGCTGGACAGCCAAAAATAGATACAGGGGAAGCCCTCCAACTTGATAGCAGCAGTTATATATTTGTACTCTGAGCTCTAAGGAGCAGCAAAGGCCCCACTGTGTCGTCTTCCTGTGGTTTTTATGGCACAGAAAGCCAAAAATGATTTCAGTTCTTCACTGAGGGCTGCCAAACTATTGGCCCACTTTATGAATAGTTGCATATGCTTTGTTAAAAAATTTTTATACTTGCAGTCTCAGCCAAAATCCAAAGTGATTTTCTAAAATATAATTAATACTCCATGAAATTCTTTGCACTAATAAAGCACAAAAAGATAGATATACAAACTTGGTCACCTTAATAGAAATGCCTGAATGACATTAAACTTTTAATAAGTAAGTCTTCAGTTGATCTGGTGCCATCACTGTTTAAGTGCCTGCCCGTGAATCCGCTTCATTTTGTAGAGAAGCTATATCTCTTGAAATAAATATTAAAACAAAATACTCTCCCTAGTCTATAGCTTTAATTTTTATT
This sequence comes from Homo sapiens, assembly GCF_000001405.40. Classification (NCBI taxonomy): domain Eukaryota; kingdom Metazoa; phylum Chordata; class Mammalia; order Primates; family Hominidae; genus Homo; species Homo sapiens. The sequence goes on along the minus strand of NC_000023.11, from coordinate 31,123,084 downwards.
GGGATATCTTTAATTTTTATTGGTATTTTTAACAATTATTATGGGAATCTGTAAAGTTGATACATGGCAAGGTAGTAATAGCCTAGTAAAGCATTTCAGTTCCAAAGACAATACTTGAATAGTGGAAGGATTTACCAATGTGCAATAATTAAAATTAGCCATGTAAAACTATGGGACATAGACGAAAAGGCAAGCCATAAAGTAAGTCTCAGATTATCTTACTCTAAATCTGAATTTTGCTACGAAGTACCCAGGGACATTGTGCTGTTCTTTTTCTCCGTGCTGGGAGATTCGTGCTAGGTCGTGCTGCATTATTAGTAAAAGGCTATTGTGATAGTTAACCCTCATTTAGGAGGAGCTCTAAGATGGATTCACAAAATACCCAAATGCATACAATACATGTGGGTCACCTTATAATTAGGGTCTAGAGTAATTTGGAATGTAAAGCAATTTTTATTCTGAGGTTTCCTAATTCAAATGTTAATAGTGCACCAAAAGGTCAATTCAAGAGTTTATTATTATTATTTTTCAACCCAAGTAAAAGCAGAGAGAAAATAGCCACCTCCACCATAGCCTCAGAAGCAAGCCAACAGCCTGAAACAGCTTTGAAATGAAAAGTTGGTGTGGCGGTGATGGTGGCAGTGATAATGGTGACGATGGTTGGGTGCTGGTGATGGTAGTGGTAGTTGTGAAGGTGGTGATGGTGGTTTGATTGATAGTAAAAAAAATGTTCGTTAATACAAGTAGAGAGTAAGTAATCAATCAATCACTCATAGCCAAGGTGGAAAAGATGTATCCCATCATGGAATATTCCTGTTCTGATAGAAATCTTGTGCTTATCTATGGAATTCTTTTGATATATATTTACATTGGGAACCTGAATGTAGCTTGACATTTTTCCATGTAAACACCAGTAGCCTGATCCAACATTAAGCTGATACTAACAAACAACGTGTAATGGCTTCATTAATAAGGCTTTGCTTCTTCCTGGAAACTGGTGAAAAATCAAACCTTGTTGTGTACACCCTCGATGCAGCTTCTGTGTTGTCTTCACCCAGAAATGGGGAATGATTTCCCAAATGGCAAAGAAACAGAGTGATGCTATCTATCTGCACCTTTTGTAAAGTCTGTCTTTCTTTCTCTTTGTTTTCCAGGACACAATGTAGGAAGTCTTTTCCACATGGCAGATGATTTGGGCAGAGCGATGGAGTCCTTAGTATCAGTCATGACAGATGAAGAAGGAGCAGAATAAATGTTTTACAACTCCTGATTCCCGCATGGTTTTTATAATATTCATACAACAAAGAGGATTAGACAGTAAGAGTTTACAAGAAATAAATCTATATTTTTGTGAAGGGTAGTGGTATTATACTGTAGATTTCAGTAGTTTCTAAGTCTGTTATTGTTTTGTTAACAATGGCAGGTTTTACACGTCTATGCAATTGTACAAAAAAGTTATAAGAAAACTACATGTAAAATCTTGATAGCTAAATAACTTGCCATTTCTTTATATGGAACGCATTTTGGGTTGTTTAAAAATTTATAACAGTTATAAAGAAAGATTGTAAACTAAAGTGTGCTTTATAAAAAAAAGTTGTTTATAAAAACCCCTAAAAACAAAACAAACACACACACACACACATACACACACACACACAAAACTTTGAGGCAGCGCATTGTTTTGCATCCTTTTGGCGTGATATCCATATGAAATTCATGGCTTTTTCTTTTTTTGCATATTAAAGATAAGACTTCCTCTACCACCACACCAAATGACTACTACACACTGCTCATTTGAGAACTGTCAGCTGAGTGGGGCAGGCTTGAGTTTTCATTTCATATATCTATATGTCTATAAGTATATAAATACTATAGTTATATAGATAAAGAGATACGAATTTCTATAGACTGACTTTTTCCATTTTTTAAATGTTCATGTCACATCCTAATAGAAAGAAATTACTTCTAGTCAGTCATCCAGGCTTACCTGCTTGGTCTAGAATGGATTTTTCCCGGAGCCGGAAGCCAGGAGGAAACTACACCACACTAAAACATTGTCTACAGCTCCAGATGTTTCTCATTTTAAACAACTTTCCACTGACAACGAAAGTAAAGTAAAGTATTGGATTTTTTTAAAGGGAACATGTGAATGAATACACAGGACTTATTATATCAGAGTGAGTAATCGGTTGGTTGGTTGATTGATTGATTGATTGATACATTCAGCTTCCTGCTGCTAGCAATGCCACGATTTAGATTTAATGATGCTTCAGTGGAAATCAATCAGAAGGTATTCTGACCTTGTGAACATCAGAAGGTATTTTTTAACTCCCAAGCAGTAGCAGGACGATGATAGGGCTGGAGGGCTATGGATTCCCAGCCCATCCCTGTGAAGGAGTAGGCCACTCTTTAAGTGAAGGATTGGATGATTGTTCATAATACATAAAGTTCTCTGTAATTACAACTAAATTATTATGCCCTCTTCTCACAGTCAAAAGGAACTGGGTGGTTTGGTTTTTGTTGCTTTTTTAGATTTATTGTCCCATGTGGGATGAGTTTTTAAATGCCACAAGACATAATTTAAAATAAATAAACTTTGGGAAAAGGTGTAAAACAGTAGCCCCATCACATTTGTGATACTGACAGGTATCAACCCAGAAGCCCATGAACTGTGTTTCCATCCTTTGCATTTCTCTGCGAGTAGTTCCACACAGGTTTGTAAGTAAGTAAGAAAGAAGGCAAATTGATTCAAATGTTACAAAAAAACCCTTCTTGGTGGATTAGACAGGTTAAATATATAAACAAACAAACAAAAATTGCTCAAAAAAGAGGAGAAAAGCTCAAGAGGAAAAGCTAAGGACTGGTAGGAAAAAGCTTTACTCTTTCATGCCATTTTATTTCTTTTTGATTTTTAAATCATTCATTCAATAGATACCACCGTGTGACCTATAATTTTGCAAATCTGTTACCTCTGACATCAAGTGTAATTAGCTTTTGGAGAGTGGGCTGACATCAAGTGTAATTAGCTTTTGGAGAGTGGGTTTTGTCCATTATTAATAATTAATTAATTAACATCAAACACGGCTTCTCATGCTATTTCTACCTCACTTTGGTTTTGGGGTGTTCCTGATAATTGTGCACACCTGAGTTCACAGCTTCACCACTTGTCCATTGCGTTATTTTCTTTTTCCTTTATAATTCTTTCTTTTTCCTTCATAATTTTCAAAAGAAAACCCAAAGCTCTAAGGTAACAAATTACCAAATTACATGAAGATTTGGTTTTTGTCTTGCATTTTTTTCCTTTATGTGACGCTGGACCTTTTCTTTACCCAAGGATTTTTAAAACTCAGATTTAAAACAAGGGGTTACTTTACATCCTACTAAGAAGTTTAAGTAAGTAAGTTTCATTCTAAAATCAGAGGTAAATAGAGTGCATAAATAATTTTGTTTTAATCTTTTTGTTTTTCTTTTAGACACATTAGCTCTGGAGTGAGTCTGTCATAATATTTGAACAAAAATTGAGAGCTTTATTGCTGCATTTTAAGCATAATTAATTTGGACATTATTTCGTGTTGTGTTCTTTATAACCACCAAGTATTAAACTGTAAATCATAATGTAACTGAAGCATAAACATCACATGGCATGTTTTGTCATTGTTTTCAGGTACTGAGTTCTTACTTGAGTATCATAATATATTGTGTTTTAACACCAACACTGTAACATTTACGAATTATTTTTTTAAACTTCAGTTTTACTGCATTTTCACAACATATCAGACTTCACCAAATATATGCCTTACTATTGTATTATAGTACTGCTTTACTGTGTATCTCAATAAAGCACGCAGTTATGTTACAAAAAAGTATTGACTGGACTGCAGTACTTTGTTTTTATTTTAATTTAGTTGTTGTTACTTACTTACTTACTTTTTAAATAGGTAATACATGCATATGAGTAAAAAACTATAATCCAGAAAGACAGTGAAAACACTCCTAACTACCCCTTCCCCCATATCAATCAATCATCCTCATTGCTCTATGAGTAGACATTATTAATTTCTTATTTAGTCTTCCAGAGGGTCTTTCTTTATTAATTATTATATAAGCAGTTAAAATAATATATATGTTCCTATTTATTTTTTTCCTATTATTATTTCATAGGATATAGCATTCTCTGCACCCAGTTATGCACCTTACTTGTTTGTTTGTTTAAATTTAAATATGGACTCAAGAAATCTTTTCATTTAAATATATAAAATGCTTTCTCATTCTTTTTTATAGCTGTATAATATTTCATTATATGTTCATAGGATATTTTATTTAAGCAGTTCCCTTTGGTGGGATATGTAGTCTGTTGTCAGTCTTTCTTTTGCTATAACAAACAATATTGCACATTTCTCATTACATCATTTCATTTGTGCATAAACAAACAAATCTGTGGGATACTTCCTAGAAGTGAGATTGCTGGATCAAAGGGGGTAAGCATTTGTAGACTGGGAGATGATACATTTTGTGCAGTGATTGATTGATTGATAGTCATAGTGTTTGTTTGTTTGTTGTGTTTTTTGTTTTAATAATGACAAGTATATTAATTAAGTCAGTTTGCAGTTCATACTTTGCTTCTCAAGAGAATTTCATATCACTTCTATTCTTAATGTCACCATCTAAGAGGATGCATGAGTGAGTAGTAAGAAAGAGACACCTAAAATGATGTCTCACAACTGGTTCTGGGGAAGAAGAATCCCTTACCATAGTCAACCACCACCATGGGGAGAACCTCTCCTTTGCCCCTGCCCTGCTCTGTTTCTTGCCCTAGCTGCAAAGGAAGCTGAGAAAGTGGGTAGCAATGTCAGCACTTCTTAGGGAGAGGCTATCTATCTTTACCTATTCCCAAGGTTCATGGATGGGGTGGGCGGGGTTCCCCAACAGTGTTCAGATACTGGTGAGCCAAAGGAATAACATAAGTCCACCAGGTGCAGCCTATCCTAGTGATTTTGGAAATAATAGGAGATGAGATGATCCATCTCATTAGAAATGATGTTTGTTAGTAGATGTGGCATCTCTGCTGTGAATCAATCACTTGCTAATTTTTTGAAAGTAGGGTGATGATGCTGACCTAAGTGACTACCACATTGAAACACTTCCCTTGACATCCACACATACCAAGAAAAATTTTCATCCTATTTAAATAAACAAATCATTTATCCTTCCCACCATTACCCGAACCTACCTTTGTTTGAAACACCCAGACTGGCTGTTTTGGTGACACTTAAGGAGGTAACTGAGGAATCTTCAATACTTCACCACGTCTAAGACAACTGTGTGTGGATGACTCTGAGGAGGGCATTTGGTTTTCCATTCCATACTTGGCACACACTAGAAGAGACAGAATTAATTCAGTTAAAAATTAAAATGAATCGAGCTGGCACAGATTATGCACCGGCAAGCAAAATGTGTGTTTGTTTGGGAGAAAGCACCAAGACTAATGGATGTGTTCTGTAGAGCTGCGATGGGATTTCCCTGAATTTGTAATGCTCTAATGGTGGAATGAATACAAAGGCAGGCACTGGCGCACTTGCAAAGACTTTGCCTTCAAATTAAGTGTAGGAAGGACACAAATCAAATTCTTTCCCACAGTAGCAAAGCCATTGGAGTAGGAACTATAAATATGTTCTTCAATGCCCCTTGCACGTCAGTGTACTGTGATCTCATGGACTTAGCTGACAACACAAGAGTGGCAGCATGCCCAACATTCCATAATAAACAATATTGTGTGAATGTGTAAAGTTTGGGGATGTTTGTTTGAGAGTAGCTTTTGTGTACAGAAAAGGTTACCTACAGTAACTTGAGGTTTAAATGTTATATGTACATATGTGTGTATGTACATGTGTGTATTTTATATACATTCAGGATTTTAGCTCTTCCATAACTTTATTTTGAAATAATTCAAACAAGAAAAACTGAAACAAAAGAAAAATTGCAAGAACAGTACAAAGAAAGAACCCACATATACCCTTTACCCAGGTTAATGAATTGTTTACATTTTGCTTCATTTACTTTATCGTTCTCTCAATGAATAGATGATAGTTTTTCCTGAACCATTTTAAGAATAAGTTGTAGACATCATGCCTCCTTACATTTAAATACATCATGTACATTTCCTAATATCTAGGACAGTCTCTTGTATAACCATAGTACAATTATCAAAATAAAAAAATTATATATAGCTATCATCTACTCCACAGTCCATATTCAACCAAATATTGTCAATTGTGCCAATGATGTCTTTCATCATTATATATATTTCCCTAGTCTGGACTCTAATTCATGATTTCATGACATTTAGTTGTCATATCTCTTTAATCACCTTTGATCCGGAACAGTGTCTCTGCCTTTCTCTGTCTTCAAAGACCTTCACATTTTTAAGAGTACAAGACAGTTACTTTGTAGGATGTGCATCAATTTGGGTTTGTCTGATGTGTTCTCATGGTTTAGATTCAGGGTATGCATTTTTGTCAGGAATACTACACAAACAATGATGTGTCCTCAGCATGTGATACCAGGAGGCATATTCCCATTCTTGGTGCTGTTAACACTGATCATTTGGTAAAGGTGGTGTCTGCCAGGTTTCTCCACTTGGTATACATTTTAAAACCTAAGTTTTCATAAATCTTTAGGTTCAACTTAGAAATTTCATTTTTAGATATATAAATGTAGACAATTTGTATGAAGTAAGAACAGTCACTTTTAGTGAGCAGACTTAGCCACGTTGAGTAGTCTGAATTTTTTCGTTCTAAGCTGTATTTATACACTTAATGTGCTTTATTTTCAAGCCTATCTAATATCTCACAGGGAAGACCAACGCCAACCAACAGCACCTCCACCATACCTAACTCACATATATCGAGACAAACATATAAATATAGTGAATCTCAAGTCCTCTGAAACATTCCAATAGCATATACTGTATGAGCTGAGTCCAACTTTTTTTATTCATTTTGAAATAATAACATGTGTAAAATTACACATTTTACATTGGAACCTAAGACATCTCTCCAATTTGCTAATATGTCAAATTGCCACAAACATCTTAAGCACTTTAAACGAACACAGATTATGCCTAAATTCAACATAAAAGTATTAAAACCAAGGGTTAGGTTTACTCCACCATCTCTTTGTTTCATTTTAAAACTTCCTAGGCTTTCAAGACTTATTTGATAAGGTGTATATTAAAATGTGACCCAGGTGTGTTAAAGTCTTTGAATCTCATAGTTTTGAGGGTGGCCACATGAGGTCTGTAGCCTTCAGCCTCCTGCAGTTAATCAAGGATGCCCTTCAATTGATAATAAATGTATCTGTGTGCCACAACGTGAAAACATTTGGGAAACTCTGCACGAAGAGAATACTTTTATCATCACAACAAGAGTTGAGGTTACTGGCTCAACAATTCCTATCCATACTAAAATTAAGCATCCTGGGCATGTTGACAATTTTTATCAGCCAAAAATTTGTGACTGGACTGAGTAACTCTTTTGATGCCACAGAAGGATAAGCACTCAATTCCTTTTTAAAGTCAGTACGACAATTGGGGGACTCCAAGCCTGTACTTTCCAGATACGATTGATTTCACACCCTGTGTTCCTGGGTTCAATTTCCCCCTTTATACCTGTGTGGGTAGCTGCAAGCTCCTATACTAGGACTCCCCTAAGTCCTAGTGTGCCTGCTTCATTGATGGCTACATCTTTCATCATGACATCATTATCAATAGCACCCTTTCAATCTCAAAAATGCCCTTCTTAGTAGGTACACCTAATGTCTTTCAAACACACTGTTTCTCAATAGAAATGTTGTTGGTATTTGGGTTGGGACAATTCTTCATTATGCACAACTGTCCCTCACTTTGTAGTTCTCCCAGTCATTTTGATGACAAACCTGCCTCAATACATTCCCAAATGCCTCCTAGGGAAGCAGTAGAAAATTGCTGATTCTCTTTACTGCCTGAATACAGGCTGTGTTCTTTTCATACTCTCCCTAACTGGCAAGCTCCAGCTCTTAGAGATATTTTAATGGCATTAGTTCTTGCATACTTTTCCTATTTTGTCCAGCCCTCCAGTCACTTCTCTAAAGTAATTTAATGATACTACGCTAGCTGAAAACATTGACCATGAGATAAAAGCCAGCAAATAAAAGTATTTTTCGACAGTAGAGAAAGAAGCTATCCCCATTCATTTGCATTCATTTAAATGTAACATCTGGACTCTTGGTGCGTTTTGAGCTTGTAGATACACCCCAGCCACATCCCCTCTTGTCTTCAGAGACAGTGCATCCATGCCCTCGCTTCTGGGAATATCAGCTGCTGATGGCTCACAACTGTGTCCCTCTCCGGACACCCCCCCCCCCCCCCGAACTGTCAGAACAGAGAACTGCCTTGCCCAAGGTAACACCACCTGTCACAGGGAAATCGCCTGGGCCAATACTGGCTGATGTAGAGAAACAAAAACCCAGTCCCCTTGCCTCAATTTGGGACAATTCTGAAGGGCCATCCCAGCTCTGGAGCACCACCTGGAATCCACCAAGGTCTTAGTTGTAATCACTTCACAGTTCAGCTTCTCCTCTGCCCCTCCTGCCTTCTCACTTTCTTCAGGTGTCTCTGTTATGAGCACCCCTGCCCCCAGTAAACCTTCTGCAGAGAGTGCTCCATCTCAAAGGCTGCTTCCAGGGAGTCCGGTCTAAAACATTGCTGTTTGTTTCACTGAGAGAGTTGTGAAACAAAAGAGTAACCTAAGTCATTCTACCTCTTTCTCCATCCTGCTGCTTACTACAGCCAGACTGCCCCTTCCAACTGCTTGGAACTGCGAGCCTAGCCTTCTTCACTCACTGCTGCATTGTTTTTAAAATAAAAAAAAAAATGATATACAATATTTTACATCTTTATGGGGCTACATGTGAGATTTTGTTATATGCATAGAATGTGTAATAATCAAGTCAGGGTATTTGGTGTGTCCACAACCTTAAGTTAATCATTGATATGTGTTGGGAACATTTTAAGTTCTCACTTAGCTACTTTTAAATATACAATACATTGTTGCTAAAAGTTGGTCTGCTTTAAAAAAAGAAATTTAGAGACGAAGTCTCACTATGTTGCCCAGGCGGAACTCAAACTCCTGGGTTCAAGGAATCCTCCCATTCTCCTGCCTCAGCCTCCTGAGTAGCTGAACCACAGCCAGCTCACTGCTGCATTCTTATTGTTCAAGGTTTCATGGCAACAGTCACGTTCCACACATCAGCATCCTTTCTTTCCTCCATCCTAAGTCGAAACAGCCTGCTTCTCCAAAGTTTACTCACTCAAGGTTGCTTTCACCAAAATGCTTATGTGTAATGTTCATGCGTATGTGCTTACATTTTTTACAGTCTATCCCCGACCTGTTAACATTGGTATGCCCTAAGGCTCAGTTCTTGGACCTCTTTTCATTTATGTTTACACTTGCCACCTTGGTAGTCTCATTCGGTCTCAGGGCTACAAATACCTTCTGCATGATGATGACTCCACGATTTGTATCTCTAACCAGAACTTCACCCATGAACTCCCGACTTGTAGATCCAGCAGCTTCCTCAACAGCTCCACTTAAAGGTCTAATAGTCTTCTCTAACTTGTCATATCTAAGAGCAAGCTCCTGATCAACCCACTGCCACCACCTCCCATCACTATCTAAAATATTCTCTCCCCAAGCCGTTCATGGCAAGCCTATCCTTCCAGTTGCTCAGGTCAAAAACCTTAAATACTCTTGACTCCTTTTCTTTTGCACCCACAACCATAGCATCAGCAAATTCAACTGGCCTACCCTTTAAAACAGATTAGAACCTGGCCACTTGTCCTCATCTCTACTTTCACTGCACTGGTCCGAGATATCATAATCACTGTGCTGCCAAATCATCACAATAGCATTTAGCTGGCCTCCCAACTTCTACCCTTCCTTCCTTCAGTCTATCCTCAACACAGCAGCCTTATTATGTTAAGGCATAATAAGGTCTTGTCACTCATTGGCTTAAAATCAACCAATGGCTTCCCATCCCAAAATAAAAGCCAAAGTTATTCTAGAGCTCGAGGGGTTCCTACACGATCTGACCCATACCTCTCTGTCTTCCTCCTTGCTACCCTTCCTCTCCTTCACTCTGCTCCATCCATGTACCTGACGCTTTATTGTTTCTCTAACACACCAGCCAGTTCTGACCTCAAAGCCTTCATGCTTGCTGTTTTTTTCCACTCAGCATGCTCTACCCTAGCTGCCTGTTTCGTTGGCTTCCTCATTTCCTTGAAGTCTTTACTCAAAACACCTTCTCAGTCAGACCTCTCCTAGCCAGTATTTAGAACTGCAACTCCCAACACTACCCTTCCCTGTCCCAGCTCTATTATTCTACACCACATTTATTACCAGCTGGCATACAATGATTCTTTACTTGTATATTTTGTGTTTCATCTGTCTCCTCTAACTAGAATGTAAAGTTAGGGAGGATAGGAATTTGGGTCAGCTTGCTCACTATATTATAGTCCAGAGCACCTAGGACTCCTGGCCCAAAGGATGTTTTCAGAGTGAATGGCTGAACTAGGGAGGAGACAATAAAGTACACAGGAAAAGTGACACTTGGGGATTTCATATTCTAACTTTTCTTTCCTAGGCATTAGTCATGTTCTTTTTACGGGTGGTGTTCAGAACTCTGGGATGAATAAGACAGCTCAGGGACATTCCAGCAGAGAGTCAGAGATATGGCTGTTTAAGAAATAAGACCCTAAAAGAAATAAATAAGAGAACTGAAATTTCATATACAAGGGGAAAAAAATAAAACTGTGAGGTGATTTAACATCTTACATTGAAGGTGATGACCAGTTGTTCCCCACTTCTTCTGAAGAGAGAATCAAAGAAAAGGAGTTTAAAGCATAGCTTGAAGAATTTGGGATGCTATACAAGAAAGAATTCAATAACAACCACCCTGGCTAAATTCTGAATGCAGTGGATTCATCTTCCTCTGGAAGCTTTTATAGAAGGACAGATTCCCCTTCAAGTCTGGTCCTATATAATAGTAATGTGGGCAAGGTAAAAGCTAAAACAAGAATGTAAAATGGCTTCATTACCAACCTTTCCTTCCTCTGATCCTTTTTTTTTTTTTTTTTTTTTTTTTTTTTTTTTTTTTGTGAGACAGGGTGTCACTCTGTCACCCAGGCTGGAGTGCAATGGCACGATCTCAGCTCACTGCAACCTCCACCTCCCAGGTTCAAGCGATTCTCCTGCCTCAGCCTCCTGAGTAGCTGGGATTACAGGCATCTGCCACCACGCCCAGCTAATTTTCTTATTTTTAGTAGAGATGGGGTTTCACCATATTGGCCAGGCTGGTCTCGAACTCCTGACCTCAGGGGATCCGCCCACCTCGGCCTCTCAAAGTGCTGGGATTACAGGCGTGAGCCACCACGCCCGGCCTTCCTCTAATCCTTTAGCTTGTCTTTTGCTGTCTTGTTTGGCTGAATGGCTTGTCTAAGCCTGGCCTTTTTAACATATGATAGGACCTTCTGCTCCATGTTATACAACAGGTAGCACCGATGCCCCATTCTGGCATTTTGCTTAAACACAGGTCAAAACCTGTGCCTTTAAAGTGATGACAGATTCTTCCTTAAGTTTTTCCTCAATATCCTAGCCTCCTACCATGTTTCTCTGAAAAATTTTTGGCATCCTAAAATGGTACCATGATTCTAAAACTGACGTAGTGATACAAAACCTGATCTGTTCATATATGTGTGATGATACAAGTCATCAAAAATTGTAACTGTAAAATAGGTATTTAAGTGGTTTTTTCTGATTCTAAAATCACAACAGTTTAAACAATAGTGTCAATATTCATTAACTAAGCATTCACTCAGTTTCTACTTCAGGCCAGGCACTTAGGATATTAAGTTAAAAGGGGATCTGTGTGTCCTGTTTTGTACCTCACAGTCTGCTAGAGGAGACAGGTGAGAAATATTTGCCATAGGTCATGATATATGACTCATGCAAGCTAAAGCAGTAGCACAAGGAAGGTGTCCTAATCAAACATGGAGAAATCAGGCAAAATTTTAAAGAGAAAATCCCTACACTGAATCAAATAATTACATTTGCAAGCACTACGTTAATATTCTTTCACGTGTTTTGTTTGGAAAAGATCTTTCCAATTAATCTGGTCTTCAGAGTAAATTAACGCTCCCTGCAGCGTACGATGGTCATGAAAAGATACTATACAGAATTGGCAGCCAGATGTCTAATAAAGTTATACGCAGCCCAAGGATTATAATTGCCAATAAAAAATTCCACATTTCTGGCCACATTTAGCAAAGATTATTAACAGACATGCATTACTACAAGCAGCCTGAGTCCACCAACATCCCTATCTGAATACCAACCAAAAAGAACATTGCTGTACAACAAAACATACGTAGTAGATCTTAGTCACTTTTTGGTTGAATTTAATTCTTACATAAATTAATCAATAAATTAAGCACATATTTGTGTGTTTGACAGATTTGTACAACCCTTCTTCATCAAAAAGGCAGCATATTTGGAACTTTCTATTAAACATAGCAGATTTCTAAACTATGAAAAAATAGAGAAGAAATGAAAGATTCATATTTATAGTAAGAATTGTTATGCTAATTGTGAGTTATTTGTGTTCTGTACTATTTTTTGCTTTCTACTGAATAGTCATTATCTTACTCCATGTTTCTGTTTCAAATCGTTTGGAAAATTCAAAATGAAGAAGCTGAATAAGGAAATATGCTTATCTGCATATCTAATACGCATTCTGAAGTGTCAAATTAAAGTGACCATATAAGTCCTGCCCAACTCAAAACCAAGTATAGTTACAAAAGTTTCTTTGGAAGATGATGCAGTTAGGAGAAGTTAAATTTTGCTACAATAACAAGTAGACCCCAAAATCTCAGTCACTAAACCCAACAAAGGTTTATTTCTCATCCACTTCACTGCCCAGAAGCCAGGCTTCTTCATTCTTACAAATCCACCATTTTGGAGGCCTTCCAGTCCAGCCACATGGACCAGAAATGAGAATATACAGAAGGTAGACTTGTGGAAGGGACAGATCATATCTGTTCAAATTCTCATCAGCCAGAATTCAATCACAATTTCCCAATCTAACTGCAAGGAAGGCTAGGAAATATAGTCTTTCTGGGTGCTCAGGTAAAGGAAATGTATTGGCAAACGTCTAGCCAGTCTTGACATAGAGAAAAAGAACTTAAAATACACTTTTGTATTCAAATTATGTTATATATTATTATTAGCTTCTCTAGTCAACCCAACTCAAAATGCAACTGAAGAACAATGTTCATAGAGTAACAGCTCCAAGACTTCAATGGCACCTCTCTAGCCACTGAAAACTCATTAATAGTCATAACAGAGGTTCTTCACTCCATACATTTACTCATCTTTCATCCAGAAAATATTTTGCCAATCTGTGGTAGGCACCATTATAGGCACTTAAAAAAAAAAAAAGAAAGATTAGATGATTAGATCTAGTTTCTAGTTATTTCTCTCAGTGGCAATAATGAACTGTAATCAGACTGAAATAAGTACCGGGGCCCTTTCAGGAACTACAGATTGTGGCTACAACAGAGTGGGAAGAACTCCTAGTTCTTGGTGGACTAAGAAAGGGGGAAGCAGTTCTTAGAAGGCGCTGTCTGCCATGCTGATAACAATTTGGGCCTTAAATGGGAACGTACTAAAAATTTAAGCACATGAGTAACAAGACCAGATGGGTGCTTTTGAAAGACCACTCAGATTGCCTGCTGCATGAAAAGTGAACTAGCAGGACACAAGGAGAAGGCTGTGACTACTACATGGCTGCCACTGTTTTGTCATCAAGGACATTTTGATGGAGCTGCATTGACCTGGACATTTTGACATGCAGGCAGTATAAAAAAAGCAAATCATTCTCTATTTTCAAAATAAAAATTTCTTTGTTGTTTTCCTCCTTCCATTTATATGCTCATTGTGAAATATACAGAAAATACATGGACTTACAAAGGAAAAGTAAAAATCACCCATTATCCACTGCCTGGAGAAAACTGCTGTTAACATATTCAGTGTATATGTTTCCACAACTTTCCCCACGCATACTTTTTCTAAGAGAAATGTGATAAAAACAGAAATGAAGGTGTAACCTGCTTTCTTTAACAATGCATTCTGAACATTTTTCTAAAGTAATACATATCGTTTGTGTCCTAGTCTATTCTGTGTTGCTATAAAAATACTTGAGACTGGGTAATTTATAAGAAAAGAGATTTATTTAGCTCATGGCTCTGCAGGCTTAGAAGTTCAAAGGCAATGGCCCTGGTTTCTAGCAAGGGCTTTTGTGCTGCATCACAAAATGGCTGAGGTCAAAAAGGAAGTGGACATGTACAAAGAGGATACCCTTAAAAGTGTCCTGGCTTTATAACGACCCACTCTTGAGGGAACTGATCTGTTCCTGCAAAAACTAATTCAGCCTCATGAGAGTGATAACTCATTACCATGACAACAGCAGCAAGGTGTTCATGAGGGATCCACCTCCATAACCCAAACACCTCCCACTAGGCCACGCCTCCCAACACTGTCACATTGGGGATCAAATTTCAACTTGAGTTTTGGTGGGGACAAACAAACCATATTGAGACCATAGCATTTCACCCTTGGTACCCCAAAACTCATGTCCTTCTCACATGCAACATATAATCATTCCATCCAAATAGTCCCAAAGTCTTAATTTGTTCCAGCACCAATTTAAAAATCCAAAGTCCAAATTTCATCTGAAACTCAAGTTCCTTCTAGCTATAAGCCTATAAAATAAAGTTATTTACTTATATGATAAATAGAAGTGGTATTTATCATATAAGTAAATAACTTGGTTTTTTTGGTGGTACCAGCACTGGGTAAACATTCCCATTCCAAACGGGAGAAATTAGTCAAAAGAAAGGGTAACAGGCACAGGCCCCACCTAAGTCTGAAACCCATCAGGGCAGACATTAAATCATAAAAGCTCCAAAATAATCTTTTAGTCAATGTTCTGCTTCCTGGGCACACTGGAGCAAAAGTTGGGATCCCAAGGCCTTGGGCAGCCCTGCCCCCATGGCTTTGCTGGATGCAGCCCATGTCGCTGCTGTCCCCATGGCTTTGCTGGATGCAGCCCATGTGGCTGCTCTCTCAGGTTGAAGTCGAATGCAAGAGTTTTTCTAGGCTGAGGTGGCACACTGCTAGTGGCTCTATAATTCTGGGGTCCCCACATCAGCTCTACTCTCTCAGCTCTACCAGGTGGTGCCCCCATGGGTACTCTCGATGGTGGTTCTGTCCCTGTTGCAAGCTTTTGCTTGGACATCTAGGCTTTCAGATACATCCTTTGAAATCTAGGTGGAAGTTGCCAAGCCCCCATGGCCCTTGCATTCTAGATCCCTGCAGACTTAACCCTGTGGGAAAGCCATCAAGGCTTACCACTTGCACTCTCTGCAAAGGCCAGGATACGAGTAGCAGCATCCCGAGGCAGCACCCCAGGCCTGTCCACAAAATCACTCTGTCCTCATAGGCCTCATAATGGGATAGGCAATCTTAAAGACCACTGAAATGCCTTCAGGGCCCTTTTTTCCATTGTTCTGAGTATTAGCACCTGGTTTCCTTTTATATGTGCTAATCTCTTTAGCAAGCAGTCACTGGGCTGCACCTTTGGATTCCTCTCCTAAAAATGCTCTTTCATTCTCTACCACATGGCCAGGCTCTGAAATTTCCAAATTTATACACTTTGCTTCCCTTTTAATTATAAATTCCACCTTTAGGTCATTCTTCTGTTGCCACGACTGAGTGTAAGCTGTTAAAAGTAACCACACCACTTTTTGAGTCCTTTGCTGCTTAGAAATTTCTTCCACCAGATACCCTAGGTCATCATTTTTAAGTTCAACCTTCCAAAGAGCCCTAGCCAACACATCCTAGTTCTTTGCTATGGTACAATGTGTGCGCACTTTGCTCCAGGTTCCAGTGAGTTCCTCCTTATTTCCATCTGAGACCTCATCATCAGAATGGCCTTTACTGTCCATATTTTTATCAGCATTTTGGTCACAACCACTTAGCCAATCTCTAAAAAGTAGTAAACTTTCCCTCGTGTTTTTATCTTTTTCTGAGCCCTCACCAGAATCACCTTGATATGATTTGGCTGTGTCCCCATGCAAATCTCATCTCAAATTGTAATCCCCATGTGTCCAGGGAAGGACCTGGTGGGAAGTGATGGGATTATGGGGGCAGTTTCCCCCATGCTATTCTCATGATAGTGAGTGAGTTCTCCCAAGATCTGATGGTTCAAAAGTGTTTGGCAGTTCCCCTCTTGCTCTCTGTCTCTTCTACCACCCTGCGAAGAAGGTGCTTGCTTCTCACACTCTGCCATGATTGTTAAGTTTCCTGAGGTCTCCCCAGCCACGCGGAATCGTGAGTCAATTAAACCTCTTTCCTTTATAAATTACAGCAATGTGAAAACGGACTAATATAAACCCCCAATGTGCCATTCATGACGATACAATATTTTTATGGCCTGCTCCTCCAAACTCTTCCAATCTCTGCCCATTGCCCAGTTCCAAGGCCACTTCCACATTTTCAGGTATCTTTATAGCCACACCCTACTCTCTGTACCAATTTCCTGTCTTAATCCATTTTATTTTGCTTGTAACAGATATCTGAAACTAGGTAATTTATAAAGAAAAAGCTATTTCTTACAGTTATAGAAGCTGAGAAGTCCCAGGTCAAAAGACTATGTCTGGTGAGAGACTTCTTGCTGGTGGGGACTCTCTACAGAGACCTAAGGTGGTGCAGAGCATCACACGGCAAGGAGGCTGAGCACGCTAATGTGCTAGTTCAGGTCTCTCTTCCTCTTATAAAATGACCAGTTCCACTCCCATAATAACCCATTAGTCCAAGAATAAATTGATCTATTTATGAGGCAGAGACCTCATGATCCAATTAACTCTTAGAGGCCCCACTTTTCAATACTACCACATTGGGAATTAAGTTGCCAACACATGAAATTTGGCAGATATATTCAAACCACATTAGTTTAGTATCATAACTTTTAATGGCCACAGAGTATTCCACTAGTTGGATGTTCCATGAGGCAGTGTAGGGTAGTGGCTGAGAACTTAAGCTGTAAATTCAAATTGTCTGGATTCAGATTCCAGCTCTTAGCCAGAGATCAGAAAACTTTATCTGTAAAAGGCCAAA
Organism: Homo sapiens; assembly: GCF_000001405.40. Classification (NCBI taxonomy): domain Eukaryota; kingdom Metazoa; phylum Chordata; class Mammalia; order Primates; family Hominidae; genus Homo; species Homo sapiens. The sequence continues at coordinate 31,105,817 of NC_000023.11, read as the reverse complement.
TAATAAATATTTTAAGTTTTGTGGGTTATATTAACCAGGGTTCTTCAGATGAATAGAACCAACAAGATATATAGATACAGATATAGATATAGATGTGGAGATTGATTGATTTAGTTTAAGTAATTGGCTGACGTGACTGTGGAGGCTGGCAAGCTCAGAATTCGCAGGGTATTCCAGCACACTGGAGACCCAGGGAAGAGTTGCAGTTCAAGTCTAAAGGGTATCTTGCTGGAAGAATTCCTTCTTTCTCTGGGAGGGCAGTCTTTTTCCCTTAAGATGCTAAACTGATTGGAGGAGGCCCACCCACTCTATGGAGGAAAATCTGCTTTACTTAAAGTCTACTGATTTAAATGTTAGTCCCATCTAAAAAAAATCTTCATAGAAACATTTAGAATAATATTTAACTGAATGGGTACTGAGGCCTGGCCAAGTTGACACATAAAATTAACCATCGCATGGGCTACATAGTTTACATTACAAACTACTCAACTCTGTTGATGTATGTCATAGCAGACATATACATTAGGTAAAGAAACGTGCATGGCTGTGTTCCGATAAAACATATTTATTTGTTTATTTTTAGAGACAGAGGCTTGCTCTGTTGCGCAGGCTGGAGTGCAGTGGCACAATCACAGCTCACTGCAGCCTTGACCTCCCTGGCTCAAGCAATCCTCCCACTTCAACCTCCCAAGTAGCTGGGACTAAAGGTGTGCGTCACCATGCCTGCCTAAGTCTTGTGTTTTTTGCAGAGACAGGGTTTGTCCATGTTGCCCAGGCTGGTCTCAAACTCCTGGTCTCAAGTGATCCTCCCAAATCAGCCTCCCAAAGTGCTGGGATTACAGGCGTCATGTCTGTCCAACTTTATTTACAAAATTAAGTGGCAGGTTGGATTTGACAAGTGGGCTGTTGTTTGTTAACTCCTACTCTTTAGCCACTTTGTGACTGAGACTTTGGGCAGGTCATATAAGTTCTTCAAACCTCAGTTTTCTCATCTGTGAGAAACAGGGATAACAAAATCAAAGGGCTGGGGTGAGAATCAAGAGAGACAATATTGCCAGGCGTGGTGGCTCACGCCTATAATCCCAGCACTTTGGGAGCCTGAGGTGGGTAGATTTCTTGAGCCCAGGAGTTTGAGACCAGCCTGGGCGACACAGGAAGACCTCGTCTCTACAGAAAATAAAATAATTAGCCAGGCGTGGTAGCAGGCGCTGGTAGTCCCCGCTACTGAGGGGGCTGAGATGTGGGGATCGCTTGAGCTAGGAGGTCGAGACTGCAGTGAGCCGCAATCGCACTACTGCACTCCAGCCTGGGTAACAGAGCAGGAAAAAGAAAAGAGAAAGACAATATTTGCAGAACACCCGGCACAATATCAGGCACATATTAAGTGCTCAATAACTCTTCTCATTACTACTATTTATCCAATATCTACCGACAGAACTATTTTAAACAACTTTAAGGTATAACTGACATACAATAAACTGCATATATTTAACGTGTACAATTTGAAAGGTTTTAACATATCTATACACCCATAAAGTGATCACCACAGTCAAAAATAGTGAATATATCTATCACCCCAAAAGTTTCCTTCTGGCCCTTTGTAGTCCTGCCATCTCATCCCTTCTATTCCCAGGCCCTACTCCTGTCACCAAAGAACCACTGAGCTGCTTTGTGTCATTATCCTACAAACAAACTTTTGATTGTTTACAATCTTGCACTATGAAAAACCACACAGTCATACACATCCATGGACAGATCTTTGCATGTGTTCAATTACTTCCTTAGGATAAGATGCCACAGGTAGGATCACTAATTTGTAGAGTATGTGCACTTGATATTGTTATACATATTGACAAATTGCATTTCAGAAAAGTGCCAATGTGCAATGACTGTTTCCACTTATTTCAGATTATGTTGACAGCATGTCTGTATGTGCCCAAGGTAATACTGTGTGGAGTTAGGAGTTTGAGTGTGAGTTTACATTTGAAGTATCTAGAAATACTTAAACATCATTTAATTGGCCCTAATTGAGAACCAACACCTTCAGAGATGGTGACCTAGCACTTAGTAATGGGAAGAAATATTTTTATTCGTGAGATGAGAGGTGTTCCAGGGAGGGGACCCACTAGGAATGTTGTACAGGCTTTACCGCCCTTACATGAACAAGATAAAATTCCAGCCCAGTGGATATAATTCCACTAAAGCAGTATTCCAGCTCTGGAGCCCTGTTGGTCCTGCCACATCAACAAGACTCTGCTACTCTGACACACCTACAAAACCAGCCAGTCATGTGATCAGGAATAGAGGAGTATCTGCCACAGAATAAGCCTTTTACGCTCTTTTGTACTTGCTTGCTAATAAATTTTTGTATGTTTGAAAGAATTTGAAGAACATAGCCTAATAGCAATAAACCATCTGCTAACAAGGTTGTGCGGGCAAGTATGTATAGCTACCACCCATCTTTAATATGTTCACTAAAGGACCTTGACATTGGCTGGACTGCCAAATTGGCTTAGGTCTGTTTGCTAATCCAAAAGGGAGGAAATTATGACTTGCTATTTTCGTTTGCATTTTTAATTAGTAGCTAGATTATCTTTTCATAAGGCTGCTGAACATTTGCCTTTCTTCTTTTGTAGATTACTTGTCCATATCCACTGATCATTTGTCTACTGTGGTATTAAAATTTTTCTTATTGATTTGTAAAAGATCCTGCTATATTAAGGACATGGTTTTTTTCTTGAAGTGTAAAGGTTTTCAATATTTTTCTTTGATTTCTGGCTTTGGCATCATTCTTGGAAATTTCTCTACCTCAGTTTTTTTCTAAGGGTAAGAATGTCTGTTTTATACATTCCTTGGGAACAAAAGTAATAGCTGAAAGTATAACGGTTAGTAAAAGCACTTGAAGGTCTAAAATTGCCTTTCTGATGGGATGATAAAGAAGTAAAAATGGTTTTGTTGTAATTTCTAAAATTTGATCTCCTTGTTTTATGGTCTCTCTCTCTCTTTCTCTCTCTCTCATCCGTGCGAATAACCAATTCAAAATAGAAGAGGAGATGAGTTTGTAGGCTAAGGGAGGCAGAGGGTACAAGGATATAGACATAGAATGCTAACCTTTACCAATGAGACACACCTATGCCAGAGTTTGAATCAGAAGTTTGTGACCCAAAGAAGCAGGCACTGCCTGGACTCCATTATGATGTGGGCAGCAACCGATACACCCAGTCTCTAGAAGCATCAAGTGGCAGAGTTCCTAGCAGTTGCATCCAATGCCTAATGATGTGATCAGAGTTGCCTGTCCTAAGAAATGGTGGCAGCATTGTTCCCACTGAAGCAGTTCTATTGAAGGACTCCAGCCCCTGTGGAGAGCATGTGAACTTTATAATACAGTAGTATCTGCTTATCACAGGGGAATACATCCCAAGACCCCCCAATAGATGCCTGAAACCACAATTAGCATGAAACACATTTCTGTTCGTGTCTTCTATCCACAAATTTAATGCCTCTTCCATCTTAACTAAGCACTTATCACACACGGTGGCGATAACTCTTACAGTCTGAGGTGCGACAATGAAACCAGCATGAATTTCCTTTTCCTTCCTCCCAATTTCACAGATAGGAGATTTGTTCTTATCATAGATTTTAGCAATCTCAGTATATAGGATTTTTTTCTTTCCTTATTAAGTCTAGAAGTTTCACCTTTTCACTAAAAGAAAGCACTTCGTGGCTTCTCGTTGGCATATCCAAATTGCCAGCATCACTACTCTTGCACACTTTGGGGCTATTATGAAGTAAAATAAGGGTGACTTGAACACAAGCAACTATAACAGTTAATCTGAGAACTGAGACACTTCTAAGTAACTAGTTGGGTGGGTAGTGTCCACAGTGTGGATACTGATGATTTACATCCCAGGTGGAACTGCATGAGATTTCATCATGCTACTCAGAACAGTGTGCAATTTAACTTATGATTTGTTTATTTCAGGAATTTTTCACTTAATATTTTCAGACCACATTTGACTGCAGGCAACTGAAACCAAGAAAGCAAAACCATGGATAGGGGGATGACTGTACCCTTGAATAAATCTCTTTTCTAGCTTAAACTAGCAAGAGGGGTTCTGTTGTTTGCAACTAAGAAATCTGACTGATACAGAAACAGGGCAAAGAGTGGCTACTACAAAAAGTATATATAACCTCAATTGCTGACCTGGTGGGCCTGAAGGCAGTGAACATCCATCCCAGCATAACCCCCATTAGGAGTTCTTTCTTTCTTTCTTTGTTTTGAGACAAGGTCTTGCTCTGTCTCCCAAGCTGGAGGCAGTAGCACAATCTCAGCTCACGGCTGCCTCCTGGGCTCAAGTGATCCTCTCACCTCAGCCTCCTGAGTAGCTGTGACCACAAGTGTGTGCCACCACTCCTGGCTAATTTTTGTATTTTTTTGTGGAGACTGAGTTTCTTCATGTTGCCCAGGCTGGTCTTGAACTCTTGAGTTCAAGCAAGTGATCCACCCGCCTTGGCTTGTGAAAGTGCTGGGATTAGAGGTGTGAGCCACTGGGCCCATCCTTTTTGGTTTTTTTGTTTATTTTGGAGACAAGGTCTCACTCTGTCACCAAAGCTGGAGTACAGTGGGAAAATCATGGCTAACTGCACCCTCAACCTCCCCGGGCTCAGTTATCCTCCCACTTCAGCCTCCCAAGTAGCTGAGACCAGGGGTGTGTGCCACCATGTCCAGCTAATTTTTGTATTTGTTGTAGAGACAGGGTTTTGCCATGTTGCTCAGGCTGGTCTCAAACTCCTGAGCTCAAGTGATCCACCCACCTCAGCCTCCCAAAGTGCTGGGATTACAGGCATGAGCCACCGCGCCCAGCCAGGGGTTCTTAAATACTGGTTTGTATCGTGCATTGATTACAAAAAGAGCTACACTATATCTATCAAGCCATACTTCCCAACCCCCAAACTAACTCATTCATAAATGATCAAATACTGTGAAACTCTTAGGTTACATATTAGTGGACGAGAGAAGACCATACTTTGTCCTTACTGAAGCTGAAGCAGCAGCCAGAGTAGCAGGAAACAGATTTCCTTGTAACCAGATTTTTTTTTAATTGACCACTGTGGTGACTTCACACATTATAATATTCTATGCATACCTGAAGCTGGCATAGAGTTTGTGCCCCTAAAGCACTCTTTTGCCAGAGATCCTAGAGGACATTGGGGCTATCTGTATCCAGGGAGCTAAGATTCTAATATAAAACTTGCTAAAACATGCACACACATACATAATTAAGACATCTGGTTACCTTATGTTGAAAATATGACTGATTCCTTCAGCCTAAAAGTATTCATTACAATATGGTCTGTACCAGGCATAATTTTTTAGCACAAAAATCAGAATCCATTCTTAAAAGTTTGTAAATGAAAATTTATGAAAAATATGTGAAAAATAATGGTCTTGCCTCAACAAGCTGACTTTACTTAACCACCAATGATAATACATATTAGATGTTGAAAAAACTCATGATAAGATTATTTTCTAATGGAAGCTGTATTTAGCCCATTCTATGAAATTGACTTAAAGGTGAGGTAATACGTTAGGTAAACAATTTAAGAAGTCTATCCAAATTGCTCAAAGTGCTTTGCAGACATGAGCTAATTCAGCCTTATAAATAAGTTTGTGTAGTTGGATTCATGTCCACTGTTCCCTTTGAAACTGTCTCATGGGTGGTGGTTTGTTGAGGAAAAGGTGTGGATAACAGCAGGCCCATCCCCAGGCTCAGGGCATCTTTGGAGGCCCCTGGGAGGTCCTCATCTTTTGAGGCCAGACCTCCTGGTTATATCACAAGATCTCCCTGACTCATCTCCTGGGGTTTCAAAATGAGGAAACAGCTGTCGGGGAAGGCATGTGGGGGAAAACACCTTGAGGGAAAGGAGGCTGGTAACTGTTATGTTTCTTTTAAAAACACCCTGAGACCACACAAATTTGGGGGATTTCAGCCATTACCTCCTTTGAACTTCAGGGTAGTACTAGGAATTAAGTTGAGTGGAAGTAGTCACTTGGCTCCGTCCTCTTGAAACAGCTGCTAATCTATTCTCATGGCACCCCACTTTGAGATGACTCATCTCCCCTGTGGTGGGTGCCATGGTGCCTGGCCACATGCCCCTTTCAGAACTGAGGCACTCATCTTCCCAGGTGCTAACAATGTTGTCTGGTGCTGGCTTATGGCTCAGACCCTTTCTGGAAACTACCCTCAGTTGAAGGTAGTTTTCTCTTCCAAAGCCATGCCCCTTTCCTGCATTCAATGGTTGGCCAATGAAGGGTAGATACAAGGCTTGGCCCCCTCACTCCAATATAAGACGACTCTGAAGGACCATCCCAACCCTAGAGCTCCCTGTGGAATTGGATGAGGGGGCTGCGTCACAGTTCAACTTCTCCCTCTACCCAGCCCTGCTTCCTTTAGTACCTCCCAGGGTATGCCTCCCTGGAGTATGCTTTGATGAACTTCTTTCGCACTAATCTCCATCTCACACAGTCTGTTTCTAGGGAACCTGAACTAAAACACAGCCATTTTAAGTACAAGGCTGCATCTCGATGTCAGAATAACTGTACAGCCTTACTTAATTCTTTAAAAATTGTGTTACCTATAATTAAGTCACTTCTGAGGGGAGTACTGACTAGCCTTGCCCTTTGACTTAAGATTATAGCAGACAGGGCCCAATGCCAAAAAATGGTTTCGTTTAGGGATAGCAATTATCTATTAATAACTACAGCAAAGCCAGTAGGTTTATTATAATAGGACACAAAGAGTTGCTCATGTATTAACTGTTGAGGTAATTAATGTCAAATGAGACTTGAAGAAGGAAGAAGGGAAAGAAAGTCATAGATAGGTAGATAGATATCAATAAATAGATATTGAGCACATGTGATATAAGTAATGGGGAACCAATACGAAAAGATATATCGGCCCTTCCCACATGGAGCCTGCAGTCTAGCTAGGAAAACAAATATGTTATTAAAAGCAAGCATGGTAAATTGTAATGGGGGAAATGCAGAATGGCATGACGGTACCTAGCAGGAGCATATAACTCTGTCAAGTACAGGGTTGGGGCAGGACAGAGAAGAAAAAAATGTGTATATGGAACTAAATAAACAAGTAATGGACTGGGAAAAAGAGGACTTTAGGGAAGTTAATCCAAGGAAGTAATAATCTGCAAGGCAAAAGAAGGAATTTGCAGGAAGATGTTCTATTTATAATGTTGGAAAATTGGAAGCAACTCAAATGCCCAACAATAGGGGAATTATAATAATAGAACATTACAAAGTCATTAAAATGAAAATAATAAAGATTACATCCATTTCTGGAAATGCAGTGTGAAATAATATTAAATGAGAAAAGCAGAAATAGTGCATGTTCACTGGATTATAACTATATAAAAATATGAGTCTTTATAAACAATGGCTTAGAGACTATGTACCAAAGGAACAAAAATTTAATGTTTAATGTTTCCTTCCTCCCCCTTATTCCCTGATTACGTCATCTTTCTGGCCTGATTTATTTTTAAAGTTTTCTTTTCTTTGTTATGAAAGCCTTACATATCCATACACTGGTCTAAAAGTGTTTTTTTTTTTAATCTTTCAGATATACACAGAAGTTCCTGCTCTTCGCTACAATGAGGGAAAAAAGTGGCAACATCGATAGAGGCTAGAGGCAGAGAAATTCTAGGCAGACAAGGGTGGGACCTAGCAAAACCCCACCTTCAAGCTGAAACCCACAGCCCAAAGTGAGAACTTCTATCCCTGTTTGCTCGCTCTCTCCCAGTTGACTCTTTCTGAATAATGTCTTTCTACCTATTGAATGTTGCCTTTTCCCAAAATTACTTATGACCCTCCCTGCCCCCCATCATATCCCTATAAAGACCCCAGACTCAGTAGGTAGAAAGGGAGACGCAGCTTGACTGGAGAGAGGCAACTTGACTTCAGAGGGACAGCTGGACTTTGGAGGAGTGATGGCTTAACTTCGGAGAAGAGCTGGCTGGAGACTGCCAGATGTCAGGGAAGATTACCTGCCCGTCCTGCCTCCTCTTCAGCTCCCCTCTCCACTGTGAGACATTTCCATCCCTAAATAAAATTCTCCACCTCCACCATCCTTCAAGTGTCCATGCAACCTCATTCTTCTTCGACACTGGTCAAGTGCTCTGAACCCACCAAGTGCTGGTACCCAAAAAAGGCTGTCACACTGGCCCTTTACCCTCACTGGCAGAAGGCAGCCACCGCACACGACGAGGCAAGGGGCCCACTGAACGGATAACACTCCACTGTCCACGGACGGTGGAGCTAAGAGAGCAGTGTAACATGTCCTTTGAGGTTTCGGGGATTGCAGGCACCCCTACGTGGGCACCACCGCAGGGCCCTCATGGAGCCTGCTCCTGCCAGCAGCCAAAGCAGCTGGCCAGATTCTGCACTTGTTCGCCCATGCCTGGTCTGGCCACGGGGTCTGCACAGAGCCTGCTCCTGCAGGTGCACAATGCGGCCAGCTGGATTCCACACTCACTCAAGTGCTCTCTCCCTCAAAAGGTTAAGCATGGTGGGCCAAGTAAACAAGCCACCCTCCGTCCCAAGTCCGACAAACAGGTTGAGAAAATTCCTGCACCAACATCACCCTGGGGAAGAATAAGCATCTTGGACTTTGGACTTTTAACTTAGAGGGAACTGAACATTCAGTCCTTACCCCCTTCCCTCTCCCCCGTCTAGTAGCCCTCAGTGTCTATTGTTGCCATCTTTATGTCCATGAGTACCCAATGTTTAGCTCCCACTTATAAGTCAGAATGTGGTATTCGGTTTTCTCTTCCTGCATTAATTTGCTTAGGATAATGGCCTCCAGCTGCATCCATGTAGCTGCAAAGGACATGAGTTCCTTCTTTTTATGGCTGCATAGTATTTCATGTTGTATACATGCCACATTTTCTTATCCAATCCACCAATGATGGGCATCTTCTAAGTTGATTCCATGTTTTTGCTATTGTGAATAGTGCTGTAATGAACACACAAGTGCAGGGGTATCTTTTTGGTAGAACAATTCATTTTCTTTTGGATATATACCCAGCAGTGGGGTGCTGGATCAAATGGTAATTCTGTTTTATGTTCTTTGAGAAATCTCTAAACTGGCCACCATGGTCAAACTAATTTACATTCCTAACAACAATGAAAAACATTCTCTTTCCTCTATAGCCTCACCAGCATCTGTTGTTTTTTTTAACTTTTTAGTTATAGCCATTATGACTGGAGATACACACATTTTGATAAACAAGAAAGTTACAACCTTCTTAGAAGGCCATTTTGACAATATATCTCAATGACTTTTAAAAACTGTGTAGTCTTTGATTCAGCAATTCCTATTCTAGGGTGTATCTAGGGGTATGATGGTAAATATTTAACAACCAGATCTCTCAGGGGAACAAAAAGCCTTGAATCTGTAGGGTTTGTCAGTTTCCATGCTGTAAATATTCCCATCGTGGCCAATTCCAAGTTACCAATAGAATCACAAGAGACATGAAAATATATGTCCACAAAAACCCTCATATACAAATATTTGTAGCAGCATTATTCACAATAACCAAAAAGTAGAAACTATCCAAATGTCCATCAACTAGTGAATGGATAAACAAATTGTGATCTATCCATACAATGGAATACTACTCAGCAATAAAAAGGAATGAACTACTGATACACAAAACAACATAGATGAATTTCAAAATAATCATGTTGAATGAAAGAAGAAAATAAAAGGAGGTATACTGCATGATTCTAATGACATACAATTCTAGAAAATGAAAATTATAGTGACAGAAGGCTTGAGCAGCAGTTGTTTAGGAATGGGAAGATGCCAAAGGGAGGGATTATAATGAGGCAGGAGAAAACTGTCAGAGGGAATGGCTATGTTCATTATCTTGATTCTAGTGATGGTTTTATTTTTCTTTTTTTGAGGAGTCTCACTCTGTCGCCCAGGCTGGAGTGCAGTGGTGCGATCTCGACTCACTGCAACCTCCACTCCTGGCTTCAAGCAATTCTCCTGCCTCAGCCTCCCGAGTAGCTGGGACTACAGGCATGTGCCACCACACCTGGCTAATTTTTGTATTTTTAGTAGAGACAGTGTTTCACCATGTTGGCCAGGATGCTCTCAAACTCCTGACCTCAGGTGATCCGCCCACCTCGGCCTCCCAAAGTTCCGGGATTACAGGCGTGAACCACTGTGCCCAGCCATGGTGATGGTTTTAATGGTTACATACATGTTAAAACTTATCATATGTATGATATGTACAGTTTGCTATATGTCAGTTATAGCTCAATAAAACTTATTTTTAGAAAAAGCTAGTCAGAGTTTGCTCTACTCATATCCCCTATGATTTCCTTAACATTTTATTGCACCCAGCCTGACTTCCAATGGCTAACACCTGCATTTTCATCAGAAGCCTAACTTGGGGCTGCCAAACCCCACATCGCCATACAAGCTGAGTGGAAGTGCCTAGGAGCTAACAGCTTCCACCCCTCTTCTTTACCCTCCCTCCCCTGGGCAGCCTTTAATGATCAAAAAGCATGAGGGAATAAATGCCCAGCTCCCTTGCCCTTTTACCATGATAATTGTACAGTGAATTGTTAATACTGGTAGGATTAAGTTCTAGTTCTAGCTAATGGTAGCTGGCCTAGTAAAGTAGCTGGCCTAATAATGAACCCATTGATGGGCTGTCTTTCCCTCCTTGTATCACTTCTCCACTCCCCTGCCCACATCCTTGCACCCAAATAAACTGAATGTACCTTAATCCTTGACCCAAGGTTGACTTCTGGGGGGACCCAATTCAAACAGAGTCAAAGCTTTGATGTCTCTTACATTACTGGAAGACAATACTGGAAAAGATGGACAAGTTACAGGAAGAAAAAACATTGGTTAAAAAGATCAAAATATTTGTGTAGTTTGGAGTGAGAAAATAAGCAGCTTTCCTGTTGCTTCTCCCTGTACTAATTTCTGCAACAAATATTTGTTCTTGTCGAGCATCTCATCTCAGCCAGAAACTATTCCATGTGCTGGAAATATGGAACAGAAGAAGACAAATAACACCTCTGCACATATACAACACATATTATAACACGGGGAAACAGACAATAAACATAATAGACACAAAATATCAGAGAGTGATTATTTTCAAAGAATTAAAGTTGGGTGAGATAAAGATAAAGGACTGATGGTATGGCGGTTTTCGATTGAGTGGTGTAGTAGATTATTGTTCAACAATCTTCCCCTCCATAGGAAGAGTGTTTTTCCTCTACATTCATGTTGACTGTGTAAATTGACTTGGATAATGGTGGCAGGGAAATACTGGGTAGAAAAGGGAGGAGGTCCCCGGCGAGGGAACCACCCTCAAGCCTGGACCCATGGTCCTAAATGAGAACATGCATTCCTGTTTTCCCACCAGAATGTTGCCTTTTCCAAAACCACCCTGCCTGCCACACTCCCTATCCTGTGCCCATAAAAACCGCAAGCTCCACTGGCAGAGGAGCAGGGTAGCACACCAAGAAGGAGAGAAGAGCAGAAGCGTCTGAACATTGAGAGGAGACGAGGCAGCTGGACATCAGAGATTACTGTCAGAGAGGAGTTTGGCTGGAGACAACTGAACTCCAGGGAAAGATTATCTTCCCACTCCATCTCCTTTCCAGCTCCCCATCCCGCTGAGAGCCACTTCCATTGCTCAATAAAATCCTCCACATACACTACCCTTCAATCACTTCATGTGACCTGATTCTTCTTGGATGCCAGACAAGAATTTGCGACACACTGGGTGCAGGAACCCAAAAAGACTGTCATGATGACTTCACTGAGCTGTTTAGCACTTAATCCATCCACAGATGGCAAAGCTAAAAGAACATTGTTTGTAACACATGCCCTCTGGGGCTCCAGAGGTCACGGGCAACCCCTAAATGCTGCCACAGGCCAGTACAGGGTTCATGCCAGCACCCAAAGGCACTTGCCCCAGCTCCTGCACCAGTTCACCTGCGTGCTCCTCCTCCCACAAGCGGTTTGAGTGCAGCAGAGGAGTAAAGGAGCCACAGCCCTGTCGTAAGCCCCAGGAAGGGGTCAAGGGAACTCTCCCATCTCAATGGGAGTGGGAGACAGACAGTGTGTGAATTCTTAGTTTAGGCCTTAATAGGATTGAGGGTTTTCATTTGCCCATTTAGGAGGCAATGCAGACCCAAAACTGAGACATAGAGCAAGGCTGCCCCAATCACCCCACAGGCCTATGAAGATCAGAATAAATACTTGCTGTTTTAAGCCACTGAATTGTGAGGTCGTTTGCTATGAAACCATATTATAGTAATAGCTGACTGATTTGCCTAGTCAGGGGAGTCTATCTGAGAAGATAAACTGGGATCTGAATGATAAGAAGTCAGTCCTATAAAGATCATTCCAGGAAGGGAGAATATCTAATACAGATAAAAAGATGCAAAGGTGGGAGTTGCCTTGGCATGTTCGGGAAATTGAAACACAACTTGTGAAGCTGGACTGTGTGAGTGGCTGAGTGGGAGAGTGGCATGGAATGAGACTGAAGGGGAATCAAGTAAAGGCCAGCGAATAGAGGGCTTTGCAAATGACAATAAGGATGTTGGTTTTCATTCTAACTGCATTGGAAAGCCCCTGGAGAATTTCAGCAGTGTAGTCACACAATCAGATTGATTTTTTAAAAGATCACCCTGCCTGCTGTGTGGTGAATAAATTAAATGAAGGACATGCATGCTTTTCTACTAAACTAGGCTGCAGTCTCAGAATCTTCCTCAACAGAGTTCCTGAACTACTAAACAGAGTTAAAATATATATGCCAACTTAAATTTAGGTAGTGATAGACACCTAGATAAAATACACGTAGAAAATAGTTTGAGGAACTGTTTCAGTCATATGTAACAAATCATCCCAAAACGTAATGAGTTAACAATCATACATTAGCAAAAAAAAAAAAATCATACATTTGCTCACAAATCTGCAATTTCGGCCAGTCTTGATGTGGACAGCTCATCTCTGTTCCATGTGGAATCAGCTGGGGAGGCTCAACTTAGGATTGGAGGATCCCCTTCCAAGATGACCTCATTAATATAATTGGCAAGTTGAGGCTGGCTGTTGGCCAGGGACTTTTGTTGTCTTCCATGTAGAGATCTTTACGTGGTTGCTTGGAATTTCTCAGCTTGGTGGATAAGTGATCATTCCAAGAGGACAAGCCCCAATATGCATGCCACATTAAAATCCACTGCTTTTAAGAAAAGACTTGCTCTAACAGTCAAGGGAAAGATGGTCTATGTACTCATAATAGGTTCCTTTTTTCACTTAGTTTTCAATAACTGCATAAGCTTCTTTTTAGCACCTATAACATCCACCTTTTTAAAATGTATTCCATTCATAGTTATAACTATATAAAAATGTAAATACTTAACATTATATAAATGAAGAACACATTATAACAGTGATTGTTCATTTTCAAAATATTAGAAAGCATTAGGGACCAAAAGAAAAAAGAAAAAGACATAAACCTTCACAGCATTCCAAGTTCCAAGGCAGTAAATCAGACAATGGTGGGATTTTTCCTTCTTCATCATATTGTCGTTTTCATATCCCAGTAGGTGTAGAGTAGATGCAAACACAGTGCCACTTCAAGCTTGTAATGTCAACCTTTATGGCATAAACAGGGAGTATATTTGTCACTCTTCCTTCCCCTCTGTCCTTTCTGAACATCTACCTCTGCAGTCACCACAGCTTTGCCCATATCTGATGCAGTTCCTTTCACCTGAAAGAACCATGCTGACTCACTGAAGATGAATAGCAGCTAGTGTATTCCATTTTCATCACCTGGATGACCAGGCATTTGGCTTTAATCTTTCAAGGCATCATGTATTGCTATTGATTCTATGTAGACAAAGAGGGAGCTTTTGTGTAATTGTGTCCTGTCACTATTGTGACCCTGAGCTGTTAACAGGAGATAAGCTAAGGAAAGGATGGCCAACCCCATGTGGTCAGAGATTCAGACTCCATTGTAGCTCTTGTATTCTTCCTTGAAGAAAGTAAAGTTGGGACAATTAGGATTGATTTCCTCTGAATCAACTGATCAAGGGAGAGGACATATTCATTCAATATTCTCTCAAAAAAAATAAGTAAGAACACTTGGGGAAAATGTGAGTTAGATCAGGGTCCTGTAAAGTCTGAGGTCTGAAATTCATTTTGTATTTTTTAAAATTTAAGTGTAATTTACATACCATAAAAGCACAGATGTAAGTATACAGCTTCCCATGCCACCATTCCAATCAGGTTATAGAGTATTTCCATTATCCTAGGAAGTTTCCTTGTAGCTCTTTCTAGTCAATACCCCTGTCAGAGGTAATCACTTTCTGACTTCTATCACCATGGCTTGGGTTTACCAGTTCTTGAACTTCATATAAATGGAATCATACAGTACTTTGTGTGTGTGTCTTAGGCTTCTTTAACTCAATACAATATTTTAAAGATTTATACCTGTTGTCGAGTGTATCAGTGGCTCATTCCTTTTTATTGCTGAGTAGTATTTAATTGTATGACTATTTCAAAATTTGTTTATCCATTCAACTGTTGATGAACATTTGGGTTATTTCTAGATTGGGGCTGTTACGAATGAAGGTGCCATGAACATTTTTGTTTTGTTTTTGTGTTAGAATCTCACTCTGCCGCCCAGGCTGGAGTGCAGTGGTGTGATCTCAGCTCACTGCAACCTCCATCTCCCGGGTTCAAGCAATTCTCATGCCTCAGCCTCCCGAGTAGCTGGGACTACAAGCGCCTGCCACCACATTGGGCTATGTTGTTGTATTTTAGTAGAGATGGGGTTTTGCCATGTTGCCCAGGGTGGTCTGAAACTCCTGAGCTCAGGCAATCTACCCGCCTCAGACTCCCAGAGTGCTAGGATTACAGGTGTGAGCCACCTCACCAGGCCAAACATTCTTATCAGTTCTTTATGTGTACATGTGTTCTATTTCACACTCCACATACTTCAGAGTAGAATTTTTGGGTCATAGGATAGGTCCATGTTGAACCTATTCTTAACTTTTCAAAGTGGTTATACTATTTTATATCCTCTCAATATCCTCACCAATACTTGGCACCGTGTTTTAGTCATTACAAAGCTAAAATGTTGTCTTGTTGATGATACATTCAATCTTTACCTTCAAAATCCATGGAGCCAGGACATTGGAAGTAAAAGAAAATGTCAGCCCAGAGTCTTCCCATTCAACCTGGATATGGGTCCAGATCTGAAGACATACTCAACTGCTGCTCACTCTGGATCAGCATGGTCTTAACAATCCATAAACAAAGGGCTTTATGGAAAACTGATATGATTCCATATTCAGCAGGACTGAGATACCTTCCATCTTAAACTCCCTCTTCTCTAAATCTCAATGCAAATATTCAACCAAATATATGATATGTAACTAATAACCAGATAGAACTTGACTGAGAAATCTCCATTTCAGAGTATTATTTATAATACCAAAAAACAACTTGAAAATCCCTGCTGAAATAAAATCCACAGGTTTATCACCACAGGAGAAGCTAAAGGCCAAGGTAGAAACCACAATACTATGGTATTACTTGACCCTCAAAATACCAGTCAAACCCAAAATACAGTCACCTCATGACTGTAATCAAATCTCTTAACCAGCCAGTGTTCTAGAGGCCTCATCTGTAAAACAGGTGTGCCAAATCGGAGAGACAGAGATACTTGAGGAGAACTGGTTAAGTGTGAAGAAATCCTTAAAAACAGTTTCCTAAAAAATACAAGACTGTTCTTATTTTTAAATCATTTCACAAATATGCTTTGCTTTACATTTAAAGAAGAAGCAAATAATAATAATAATCAAAGGCAAAAATGCACTGCTTTTGCCTTTTCTTTTTATTTTATATTTTGTCCTTTTTATCTAGCTATTTCTGGAGTACACAACTAACAATAAAGAATGCTCATTGACAATTTCAGTGATGACACAGATCAACTCTATTTAGGATAGCATCTTCTTTGCAGAATATATTCCAAAGCTTCCTGGAGTTAAAAAATAGTGGAAAAGAGCATTAGAGAAATTAAGAAGTAAAGAAAGAGGAGTGGTGCTCTTTCTTCAGCTGAGATTTGACAAGCCTTGGTAATCACAGCCGCTGCATATGGCAAAGCTTTCAGCACCCTGGGAGGAGAGCTTCACCTTAGGGATGTTGTTGTCTTAGTACATTGTGAAAGCTCTTTCTCAGCTGAGCAGATGATGTTAAGGGGCACAGTCCATCCACCTAACAAGCCTCCTTGTGCACCTGTAAGTAGTTGTAATCTACCAGCGACCTATTGCCAGAATTCATTTTACAGTATGACCTCACTAACATCGTCAACAATTTCTTGGAAACTGCAAGTTTATGCAAAACAATGCCTAAGGAAACCAATTTTTCCATAAGCTAATTGTTATAAACAAGAGTTAAGGCGGCCGGGCGCGGTGGCTCACGCCTGTAATCCCAGCACTTTGGGAGGCTGAGGCGGGCGGATCATGAGGTCAGGAGATCGAGACCATCCTGGCTAACATGGTGAAAGCCCGTCTGTATTAAAAATACAAAAAATTAGCCAGGCGTGGTGGCAGGCACCTGTAGTCCCAGCTACTCAGGAGGCTGAGGTAGGAGAATGGCATGAACCCAGGAGGCGGAGCTTGCAGTGAGCTGAGATCGCGCCACTGCACTCCAGCCTGGGCGACAGAGCGAGACTCCATCTCAAAAAAAAAAAAAAAGTTAAGGCAGGGTACGGTGGCTCATGCCTGTAATCCCAGCACTTTGGGAGGCCGAGGCAGGTGGATCACTTGAGGTCAAGAGTTCAAGACCAGCCCGGCCAACATGGTGAAACCCGGACTCTACTAAAAATACAAAAATTAACCGAGTGTCATGGCACATGCCTGTAGTCCCAGCTGCTCAAGCACAAGAACTGCTTGAACCCAGGAGGCAGAAGTTGCAGTGACCCAAGATAGCACCACTGCACTCCAGCCTGGGCGACAGAGTGAGACTCAGTCTCAGAAAAAAAAAAAAAAAAGAGTTAAGTTCCTATGGCATATTTCTGATCACAAAACATCACCAAACTTCTAAATAAAGACCAAGACACTTCTAATATTAAACCTTGGAATACATGTGAACTATACAATGTTTAAGAAAGATTCAATAAAACAGGTAAGACTATCTACCCAGTGATTCCAGTTTAGGGTCATGGGTGGCCAGAGTCTATCCAGGCAGCTCAGGGAGCGAGGCAAGAACCTGGCCAGGATGCCATTCCATTGCAGGGCACACTCACACTCACTCACATTGGGACCATGTAGACTTGCCAATGAACCTGACGTGCACAACTTTGAGATGTGGGAGGAAACCACAGTACTCAGAGAAAACCCATGCAGACTAGAGAGAACATGCAAACTCCACACAGGCATTGGACCCCGCCGGGAAGTGATTTTTTTTTTTTCTCATTGAGGTTATAATCAAGCGATGTCAAAGAAAGATGTTATTCGAAGACCTGAAGTTGCAAGTTGTCAGAGCTATGGGCACAATACTCTGGGCTCAGTGCTCCACAGAACTCTGTGCTAGAGAATATAGGAAACATAACTATACAAATCATTCAGAGTGTTCACCAAATACTTTCTGCTTGCCACTTTCCAGGCAAGTGGTAAGGTGGTATTTCCCTGTCGCCCTTGAAGTCAGACCAGTGGATTTTCTTTGGCCAATGAAATGATCAGAAATGATACACATCACTTTCCAGTGGAAGCTTAAAGAGCCAGTGAGCAATTTGCTACATTTCCCACTGCTTCAGTGATCACAAAGTGTGTGTTGAGATGAAGCCCTATCAGTTTGGATCCCTGTGTGGCAATTAGCAGAGCTTCTTATTGATGCACATTGGCCACCCAGTATAAGCAAGACCTGCACTCCATGACCCTGGAAGTGGGTGCCTCCTGAAATTTTGAATCCTAGGCACTTCATTTGCCTTGCCCTATTCCTGGCCTTGAGCAAGAATTAACCCCTTATTGGGTTCAGACACTGAGATTGGTGCAGTGCGGGGTGGCGGGGGTGCAGGGGACTTATGTATTTGTAACTGAAGCACGCTGTAGCCCATTCTGATAGATAAAATTCCTCTCCACTGGACTGGAATGAGGAGAATAGACAGACTCCACCACTGGTGGTTCTAAAATGTGCCTGAGCACTCCATGACCTGGAGACTATGGCTTTCAGAAATAATTTGTTTTTATTTGTAAGTAAGCCAGGACATTTGGGGAAATAGAACCCTATTAAATAATCAAATTAAGCGCAAATATTCCTGTATGTGACAGGCAGAGCCAGAAGACTAAAAAATGAGCAAGTTAATGACATGATTGGGTATTGTTCCAGAAGAAAGTGACTGTACATAAATAGAAAGCAAGATAATAAACAGGCTGGTCGAGATTCCAATCAAATGCCCACTCAGCTCTGCTCAGGGTCCATTAAAAGTAGTAAAATTCCGTTTACAGCATGCACGCAGATCTCCAACAAATTACCTGATAAGGTCAAATCAAGCTCTTCATGTACATAGTGACGAATATAAACAACTCTCTGTCAACATAACACAGAAAGCCTGTAATAGTCTTTATTACAGCGCTTCCGAAACCTGCCTCAAAGTATTCCATTTGTCTTCAAAATAATCACGTAATTAAGTAACATGTGGTACAAAGTTGGATTCTTAGGAATCACCTAATCATGATGAGCTTTCAGAAAAATCAAAGTAATTTCCCATTGCTCCTAATCTTCAGATACCTCATCTCATTGAAAATGACTGGCATATTATGCAGCCTTAGGCCAGGAGATTGCTCAGGTGCTTGGAGAGTGGACCTAATAAAGCTAAGACTGAGCTTAAGCCCAGGTGGGTCAGTTAGCTTCATGCAGAGAAAATCTTTTTTAGCCACCAACTACACCCAAATTGTGATCACAAGACAAATTCTGTCATATTAGCCATAAAGAAGCATGGACAAGCATGTCTCTAGCTCTCTATAACCTATTACTACTAATGGAAAAATAAGTCCTAACACCACCTCTTACTGGTTACATCATCTCTCCAGGGTCCTGCCTACAAACACGATATCTTTCAGATATGTTTTTCTCTAAAATACTACTCTTTAACAGAATAAATGCCTACAAAGGGGCTTCATTTTTCCACAGGTTCTGGACACCCTTCTTAAAGTTATTATTTTAATTGAGCCCTTTCTCCTGAACTCTGAATCACAAGTCACTTTTTTACAGAACATCTTCTCTTGGATGACTCAGAACTCAAGGGCTTGATTGAATCCCAAGTCATTATCTTCTTCCTCTGGACTGCTTGGCCTCCTGCATTGCCAGTCTCCAAGGATGGTGAACCAAAGCCTGAAATCTGGGAGTCCTAGATTCCTCTTTCTTTCATTACCCACACCCATATTCAAATTCTTTTAGCTGTCCACCTCAATGCCATTTGCATCCCATCTCTCCTCTCCATTTCCCATGTCACTCACTGCCTACTCCACATACCTCATCTTCCTAGACTCGATCATTACAAAAGTCTCCTGGCTGTTCTTTTTCTCTGCAGTCTCACACCCCTCCAGTCTACCCAGTCATTCATTCCAAAGTAATCTGTCTGAGAGAAAACATCTGATTTTGACACTCCTCTGCTTTAAAAAGACCCAAGCACCCCACTGGATAAAGAATAAATCCCAAGACCAGGCTTCTAGGTTTTCTGATTTCTCTCAAGATACCTGTAGCTCCCCCTTTATTCACATGTCATCCATCACAAACTGCTTGTCATACTCTGTACATGCATAATAGTTTTATACCTCTATGCCTTTCCTTGCATGGAATCACGAACTGGAAACTCCTTTCTTTCAAGTTCTGCCTGGGAAATTTCCACTCATAAGCTCAAATGTCACCCCTATGAGGGCACTCCTGAGCTTTCTTCATCCTTTTGCTTCCTTTGTGGACCCATTGTACTGATAAAACTATCTAACCCTGTACTTCAGTTATCTTTTGCAGCATAGCAACCCCCTCAGTTTAAAACAAAAACCATTTTATTATTGGTCATAATTCTGTACATGAACTGGCTTCATATCAGTGGTTATTCTCTTTGTTATGTCAGCAGGGCTGCAGTCATCTGGAATAGCCAAAACAGCTTACTCTCATGGCCAGCAGTTGGTATTGGCTGCTGTCTGGGAACTCAGCCTTGTTTCTCCTTCTTGTTGCCACTTCATCTGGTTAGAACATCTCACAACATGGTGACTAGATTCGGGGTAGGGGGGCATCCCAAGAGTAAAACCTCTAAGAGGAAGGAAGAAAAAGCTGCCCATTCTCTTGAAAGTCGCAGAATGCCACTTCCTCCACATTCTATTGGCAAGGCAGTCACTGGTGGACAATATAAGTGCCAACTCTAGATGAGGAATAGCACGCTCAAACAGGGAGGGGAGGAACTGCTGGGTGATCTTTGAAAGCTAGCTACCACACCATGTTGGTTTTTATTCAGTTTACCCCTAAAATTCTGGAAGAGTCTTGAGGATTGGCACTATGCTTTAATTATCTCTTTATCCACAATTCTTAGCACAAATCCTGGAACATAGTACTTAGATGCTTAGTACTGATGTTTGCTGATGTACTTAGTACTGATGTTTCTTCAGATGTTTGCTGACTCTATGAACCTAATTAAATCAGATCAAATCAGCCCATAGGTTTTGAGCACTTATTCTGTGCTAATCTGTCTAGTTGATTGTTGTGGAGTTGAAGATAGGGAGTTTCCCACCCATGAGCTTATGGGTCGGGGACAACATTGCACTAAAGGGACACAAAGGAAACGAGAAGATTAATAGTTCAAGGCAATTACAGTCAAGGCGTCACTGGGCAGTCCATGACTGATTGCCGTGCTAGTTGTGTGGGCACTAATCCCTTTAGATCTTTAGAGGAGGCTGAGTTCACTTTAGACAGAGAGGTTTCAGGTAGAAGACAGGGTTGGATCTGAGTCTAAATGGCAAGCTGGGATCTAGAATGGGAGATAAATATGGCCAAGGCGGAATACCAGAAGCAATTATGTGGAGATGGGACCACACAAGCTGCATTACATAGTACGTTGCCACACACAAAATATAAATTGTGAAATTCTGTTTTCAAAAGAAGCCTTGCTATATGCACGCTCTAGTAACTAAACAACAGTAGTCAAAAATGTGAGTTCTTTTTGTTGTTGCTGTTCAAATTTCCAAAAAATTTCTTTTATTTTTTTCTTTTTGACTTTTAGGTTCGGGGAGTGCACCTGCAGGTACAAACCTATATGGGTAAACTGCATGCCACTGGGGTTTGGTGTATGAATGATCCATTACCCAGGTAGTGAGCACAGTACTAGATAGTTTTTCAAACCTTGCCCACCTCCCACCCTCCCCTCCAGTAGGCCCCAGTGTCTATTGTTCTCATCTTTGTGTCCTTGTGTGCTCAATCTTTAGCTCCCACTTATAAGTGAGAACATGCAGCATTTGGTTTTCTGTTCCTGTGTTAACTCACTTAGAACGATGGCCTGCAGCTGCATCCATGTAATTCAAAGGACATGATTTCCTTCTTTTTTATGCCTGTGATACAACGTGTATATGTATCACATTTTCTTTATCCAATCCATTGATGATGGGCATCTAGGTTGAATCCATACCTCTGCTGTTGTGAACAGCACAGTGATGAATATACAAGTGCACACGTCTTTTTGGTAGAATGACTTCTTTTCCTTTGGCTATATACCCAGTAATGGGATTACTGGGTTGAATGGTAGTTCTGTTTTAAGTTATTTGAGAAATCTCCAAGCTGCTTTCCACAGTGAGTGAACTAATTCACATTTCCACTAACAGTGTATAAGTGTTCCCCCTTTCTCTGCAACCACACAGAGAAAGGGGGAACACTTTTTAATAATACCCCCCGCCAAATGTGGATTCTAAACAACTTAAAAAAAAACTAGGATAAATGGGTAAAACATGCATGGCAGAGATTTTATTATTCACCAAATATCACGTTTTCTCCTGCACTTCCCAGCCTCCCTTGCAGGTGGTTTGAGCTGAAGTGCATATGACTTCTGGTCCAAGGCAGTAAAGAGCAAGAGAAAAGTTTCCATGTTTCCTCTTTCCCTTCTGTGCAGTTGGAAGTAAAGAATTCTGAGATGGCAGAACTGCCAGATGGAATTTTAGCCTGCATCTATAAGTTAGCCACTGGTGGACAACCATAAAAGAGAGTCATTTTAGTTGCCTCAGACTGTGATGTAAGCAAGAAATATTTTCTTGGGGGGTGGAGCCAAGATGGCCGAATAGGAACAGCTCCAGTCTACAGCTCCCAGCGTGAGCGACACAGAAGACGAGTGATTTCCGCATTTCCAACTGAGGTACTGGGTTCATCTCAATGGGGAGTGTCGGACAGTGGGTGCAGGACAGTGCGTGCAGCGCACCAAGTGTGAGCCGAAGCAGGGTGAGGCATCGCCTCACCCAGGAAGCGCAAGGGGTCAGGGAATTCCCTTTCCTAGTCAAAGAAAGGGGTGACAGACGGCACCTGGAAAATCAGGTCACTCCCACCCTAATACTGCGCTTTTCCAATGGTCTTAGCAAACAGCACACCAGGAGATTACATCTCGTGCCTGGCTCAGAGGGTCCTATGCCCACGGAGCCTCACTCATTGTTAGCACAGCAGTCTGAGATCAAACTACAAGGCGGCAGCGAGGCTGGGGGAAGGGCGCCTGCCATTGCCGAGGCTTGAGTAGGTAAACAAAGCAGCAGGGAAGCTCAAACTGGGTGAAGCCCACTACAGCTCCAGGAGGCCTGCCTGCCTCTGTAGACTCCACCTCTGGGGGCAGGGCATAGCCAAATAAAAGGCAGCAGAAACCTCTGCAGACTTAAATGTCCCTGTCTGACAACTTTGAAGAGAGTAGTGGTTCTCCCAGCACGCAGCTTGAGATCTGAGAACGGACAGACTGCCTCAAGTGAGTCCCTGACCCCCGAATAGCCTAACAGGGAGGCACCCCCAGTAGGGGCAGACTGACACCTCACACAGCTGGGTACCCCTCTGAGACAAAACTTCCAGAGGAACTATCAGGCAGCAACATTTGCTGTTCACCAATATCCACTGTTCTGCAACCTCTGCTGCTGATACCCAGGCAAACAGGGTCTGGAGTGGACCTCCAGCAAACTCCAACAGACCTGCAGCTGAGGGTCCTGACCGTTAGAAGGAAACCTAACAAACAGAAAGGACATCCACACCAAAACCCCATCTGTACATCACCATCATCAAAGACCAAAGGTACATAAAACCAGAAAGATGGGGAAAAAACAGAGCAGAAAAACTGGAAACTCCAAAAATCAGAGCACCTCTCCTCCTCCAAAGGAACGCAGCTCCTCACCAGCAATGGAACAAAGCTGGACGGAGAATGACTTTGACGAGTTGAGAGAAGAAGGCTTCAGAAGATCAAACTACTCCGAGCTAAAGGAGGAAGTTCGAACCCATGGCAAAGAAGTTAAAAACCTTGAAAAAAGATTAGACGAATGGCTAACTAGAATAATCAATGCAGAGAAGTCCTTAAAGGACCTGATGGAGCTGAAAACCACAGCACGAGAACTACGTGACGAATGCACAAGCCTCAGTAGCCGATTCGATCAACGGGAAGAAAGGGTATCAGTGATGGAAGATCAAATGAATGAAACGAAGCGAGAAGAGAAGTTTAGAGAAAAAAGAATAAAAAGAAATGAACAAAGCCTCCAAGAAATATGGGACTATCTGAAAAGACCAAATCTACGTCTGATTGGTGTACCTGAAAGTGATGGGGAGAGTGGAACCAAGTTGGAAAACACTCTGCAGGATATTATCCAGGAGAACTTCCCCAATCTAGCAAGGCAGGACAACATTCAAATTCAGGAAATACAGAGAATGCCACAAAGATACTCCTCGAGAAGAGCAACTCCAAGATACATAATTGTCAGATTCACCAAAGTTGAAATGAAGGAAAAAATGTTAAGGGCAGCCAGAGAGAAAGGTCGGGTTACCCACAAAGGGAAGCCCATCAGACTAACAGCTGATCTCTTGGCAGAAACTCTACAAGCCAGAAGAGAGTGGGGGCCAATATTCAACATTCTTAAAGAAAAGAATTTTCAACCCAGAATTGCATATCCAGCCAAACTAAGCTTCATAAGTGAAGGAGAAATACAATACTTTGCAGACAAGCAAATGCTGAGAGATTTTGTCACCACTAGGCCTGCCCTAAAAGAGCTCCTGAAGGAAGCACTAAACATGGAAAGGAACAACTGGTACCAGCCACTGCAAAAACATGCCAAATGGTAACGACCATCAAGGCTAGGAAGAAACTGCATCAACTAACGAGCCAAATCATCAGCTAACATCATAATGACAGGATCAAATTCACACATAACAATATTAACCTTAAATGTAAATGGGCTAAATGCTCCAATTAAAAGATGCAGACGGGTAAATTGGATAAAGAGTCAAGACCCGTCAATGTGCTGTATTCAGGAAACCCATTTCACGTTCAGGGACACACATAGGCTCAAAATAAATGGATGGAGGAAGATCTACCAAGCAAATGGAAAACAAAAAAAGGCAGGGGTTGCAATCCTAGTCTCTGATAAAACAGACTTTAAACCAACAAAGATCAAAAGAGACAAAGAAGGCCACTACATAATGGTAAAGGGATCAATTCAACAAGAAGAGCTAACTATCCTAAATATATATGCACCCAATACAGGAGCACCCAGATTCATAAAGCAAGTCCTTAGAGACCTACAAAGAGACTTAGACTCCCACACAATAATAATGGGAGACTTTAACACCCCACTGTCAACATTAGACAGATCAACGAGACAGAAAGTTAACAAGGATATCCAGGAATTCAACTCAGCTCTGCACCAAGCGGACCTAATAGACATCTACAGAACTCTCCACCCCAAATCAACAGAATATACATTCTTTTCAGCACCACACCACACCTATTCCAAAACTGACCACATAGTTGGAAGTAAAGCCCTCCTCAGCAAATGTAAAAGAACAGAAATTATAACAAACTGTCTCTCAGACCACAGTGCAATCAAACTAGAACTCAGGATTAAGAAACTCACTCAAAACCGCTCAACTACATGGAAACTGAACAACCTGCTCCTGAATGACTACTGGGTACATAACAAAATGAAGGCAGAAATAAAGATGTTCTTTGAAACCAATGAGAACAAAGACACAACATACCAGAATCTCTGGGACACATTCAAAGCAGTGTGTAGAGGGAAATTTATAGCACTAAATGCCCACAAGAGAAAGCAGGGAAGATCTAAAATTGACACCCTAACATCACAATTAAAAGAACTAGAAAAGCAAGAGCAAACACATTCAAAAGCTAGCAGAAGGCAAGAAATAACTAAGATCAGAGCAGAACTGAAGGAAATAGAGACACAAAAAAACCTTCAAAAAATCAATGAATCCAGGGGCTGGTTTTTTGAAAAGATCAACAAAATTGATAGACTGCTAGCAAGACTAATAAAGAAGAAAAGAGAGAAGAATCAAATAGATGCAATAAAAAATGATAAAGGGGATATCACCACCAATCCCACAGAAATACAAACTACCATCAGAGAATACTATAAACACCTCTACGCAAATAAACTAGAAAATCTAGAAGAAATGGATAAATTCCTGGACACATACACCCTCCCAAGACTAAACCAGGAAGAAGTTGAATCTCTGAATAGACCAATAACAGGCTCTGAAATCGAGGCAATAATTAATAGCTTACCAACCAAAAAAAGTCCAGGACCAGATGGATTCACAGCCGAATTCTACCAGAGGTACAAGGAGGAGCTGGTACCATTCCTTCTGAAACTATTCCAATCAACAGAAAAGAGGGAATCCTCCCTAACTCATTTTATGAGGCCAGCATCATCCTGATACCAAAGCCTGGCAGAGACACAACAAAAAAAGAGAATTTTAGACCAATATCCGTGATGAACATTGATGTAAAACTCCTCAATAAAATGCTGGCAAACCGAATCCAGCAGCACATCAAAAAGCTTATCCACCATGACCAAGTGGGCTTCATCCCTGGGATGCAAGGCTGGTTCAACATATGCAAATCAAAAAACATAATCCAGCATATAAACAGAACCAAAGACAAAAACCACATGATTATCTCAATAGATGCAGAAAAGGCCTTTGAAAAAATTCAACAGCCCTTCATGCTAAAAACTCTCAATAAATTAGGTATTGATGGGACGTATCTCAAAATAATAAGAGCTATCTATGACACACCCACAGCCAATATCATACTGAATGGGCAAAAACTGGAAGCATTCCCTTTGAAAACTGGCACAAGACAGGGATGCCCTCTCTCACCACTCCTATTCAACATAGTGTTGGAAGTTCTGGCCAGGGCAATCAGGCAGGAGAAGAAAATAAAGGGTATTCAATTAGGAAAAGAGGAAGTCAAATTGTCCCTGTTTGCAGATGACATGATTGTATATCTAGAAAACCCCATTGTCTCAGCCCAAAATCTCCTTAAGCTGATAAGCAACTTCAGCAAAGTCTCAGGATACAAAATCAATGTGCAAAAGTCACAAGCATTCTTATACACTAATAACAGACAAACAGAGAGCTAAATGATGAGTGAACTCCCATTCACAATTGCTTCAAAGAAAATAAAATACCTAGGAATCCAACTTACAAGGGACGTGAAGGACCTCTTCAAGGAGAACAACAAACCACTGCTCTATGAAATAAAAGAGGATACAAACAAATGGAAGAACATTCCATGCTCATGGGTAGGAAGAATCAATATTGTGAAAATGGCCATACTGCCCAAGGAAATTTACAGATTCAATGCCATCCCCATCAAGCTACCAATGACTTTCTTCACAGAATTGGAAAAAACTACTTTAAAGTTCATATGGAACCAAAAAAGAGCCCACATTGCCAAGTCAATCCTAAGCCAAAAGAACAAAGCTGGAGGTATCACACTACCTGACTTCAAACTATACTACAAGGCTACAGTAACCAAAACAGCATGGTAATGGTACCAAAACAGAGATATAGACCAATGGAACAGAACAGAGCCCTCAGAAATAATGCCGCATATCTACAACTATCTGATCCTTGACAAACCTGACAAAAACAAGAAATGGGGAAAGGATTCCCTATTTAATAAATGGTGCTGGGAAAACTGGCTAGCCATATGTAGAAATCTGAAACTGGATCCCTTCCTTACACCTTATACAAAAATTAATTCAAGATGGATTAAAGACTTAAATGTTAGACCTAAAACCATAAAAACCCTAGAAGAAAACCTAGGCAATACCATTCAGGACATAGGCATGGGCAAGGACTTCATGTCTAAAACACCGAAAGCAATGGCAACAAAAGCCAAAATTGACAAATGGGATCTAATGAAACTAAAGAGCTTCTGCACAGCAAAATAAACTACCATCAGAGCGAACAGGCAACCTATAGAATGGGAGAAAATTTTTGCAACCTACTCATCTGACAAAGGGCTAATATCCAGAATCTACAATGAACTCAAACAAATTTACAAGAAAAAAACAAACAACCCCATCAAAAAGTGGGCAAAGGGTATGAACAGACACTTCTCAAAAGAAGACATTTATGCAGCCAAAAGACACATGAAAAAATGTTCATCATCACTGGCCATCAGAGAAATGCAAATCAAAACCACAATGAGATACCGTCTCACACCAGTTAGAATGGCAATCATTAAAAAGTCAGGAAACAACAGGTGCTGGAGAGGATGTGGAGAAATAGGAACACTTTTACACTGTTGGTGGGACTGTAAACTAGTTCAACCATTGTGGAAGTCAGTGTGGCGATTCCTCAGGGATCTAGAACTAGAAATACCATTTGACCCAGCCATCCCATTACTGGGTATATACCCAAAGGATTATAAATCATGCTGCTATAAAGACACACACACACGTATGTTTACTGTGGCACTATTCACAATAGCAAAGACTTGGAACCTACCCAAATGTCCAACAATGACAGATTGGATTAAGAAAATGTGGCATATATACACCATGGAATACTATGTAGCCGTAAAAAATGATGAGTTCATGTCCTTTGTAGGAATATGGATGAAGCTGGAAACCATCATTCTGAGCAAACTATCGCAAGGATAGAAAACCAAACACCGCATGTTCTCACTCACAGGTGGGAATTTAACAATGAGAACACTTGGACACAGGGTAGGGAACATCACACACTGGGGCCTGTTGTGGGGTGGGGGGAGGGGGGAGGGATAGCATTAGGAGATATACCTAATGCTAAATGATGAGTTAATGGGTGCGGCACACCAACATGGCACATGTATACGTATATAACAAACCTGTGCAGTGTGCACATGTACCCTAAAACTTAAAGTATAATAAAAAATAAAAAGAAAGAAACGTTTTCTTCAGCCATTGAGATTTTAGTTTTTTTTTTTTTTTTTGTTACTGAAGCATAGCTTAGCCTAGCCTGACTATTATAGTCAGGCTAGTATTCTCTGTGAAGGAATTGAATGTCATATAATACAGATTATTCAGCCTCTATTTAGAAAAGATAATAAACAAAGGAAACTTTTAAAATACCTTTTTGGCTATCTGAAATTGAAATTGAGGGTTATATTTTCCTTCCTACAAACAAATAATTAAGAGGTGTCAAATTAAGTAATCAGCATGTATAATCTCTTGTGTACATTGATTGGGCCCACTGACACAGTGCTGTGCAGAGCACTCTGTGATAGCTTTAATCATGGGCAACAGAAGGTAGGCAGAGAAGGACAAAGCTTTACTTGAAATAAATAAAGGTTTACTTGAGATATTCCTCAAATCTTATTAAGTCAACATCTTCCACAACCAGACTTTTAAACATGGTTACTAACAAGTAGAACCCCTGCTTCATCTTACCTCATCCTCATTCTAATGAATCTACTAATGAGATGAGAGGTAATCAAAACGCTAGTCACCTAAGGAGAGACGGAATCCAAAGGCCAGAGAAATCCACAAGCTACAGCACTTCGGGGGTCCGAGGCGGGCGGATCACGAGGTCCGGCGGATCATGAGGTGGGCATAGATCAAGACATCCTGGCTAACATGATGAAACCCCGTCTCTACTAAAAATACAAAAAATTAGCCAGGCGTTGTGGCACGCGCCTGTAGTCCCAGCTACTCGGGAGGCTGAGGCAGGAGAATCGTTTGAACCCGGGAGGCAGAGATTGCAGTGAGCTGAGATCATGCCACTGCACTCCAGCCTGGGTGACAGAGCAAGACTCCATCTCAAAAAAAGAAAAGAAAAGAAATCCATAAGCTAGAAAGCTGGAGCCTGAATCTTGGGTGGCAGTCCCACCTATGCTGTTATTATTTTGGCCCGCAACTATCCTAAGTCAGGTACTTTATTTCTCCCATCAGTTCCATTGATCCTCTGGCCTGACGGAACGTCCAGCTACACACTGGTTTCTGGGACCCCATGAATTTCTTAGGCTGTGCATTAAACTTGAGCCAAAGAATACCTGCTCTTTGTAGTAATGTTTGCAGAAGGCCTATCCTGAGAATGGTCCTACTGCATCCAGGGAGCAAAATGTATAAAAGGGAAATAAAGGCGCCTCTTAATTATCTGCCCTGAAGAGATGGAGCCAAGAGAAAAAATACCTCAACTTCACTCCTCCCCTGCCCTCCCATATCCTGCCAGTGCCTCCCGTTGACTGAATGCAACTAGAAGCCAGACAGCACAAGGGACCTAGGGGTGCAGTACATACAGGTCAACCTCCCCCTCCCAGTGTGCCAAGTAAGATGGAGAAAAGCAGAGAGTAGTCTTAGAGAGGTAGATGGAGATTATTCAGCACACTGAATAGAAATGAAAAGTTATAACCTTAGAAACAATTCCTATTTAACTGACGAATATCAGCCATCAACTTACATACAATGGGCATGTCTAAGTTCTGAGGGTTTTCCTTTGCTCCTCAAGACAGTGATTCTTCTTTTTTCCCCCAAAATCAGAACAGCAAGGAATTAGAGACTGGAAAGAGCATTTTCTTCTTTAGAATATGGTATGGGTGTGAGTGTTGGACGTCTCAGTAGTGTCCAACCAAATAGGAGCAACCATTGTCCTACGGCCTTTGTGCTAAAAAGTTGTCCCATAGTAGGGCCAAGAAGAATGCATTAGAGCGTCCCTACATCTGATCACCAGCTGGAAGGAAACTTCTCTGGAAGATGAAGCCCATGGCCCAGTCCTGGATACTCCACACTCTTAGTATCTGTGGATCCGAACACCCCTTCCAGGGGTATGATTCAGGGAGCACAAAAGTGCTGATGAGAGGATCCTTCATCCTGGCTCCAAAAGCTCAGGTTCCTACCTCTTTCCCAGGGTTAACTTTACTCAGACCATGAACCTCAGCCTGTCAAACTCCCATCTGAGTCAGTCAACCTTCCACCCCTCAAATCTCTGTTAACTACATTCTCTGCCTGGAAACTCTCATCACTTCCCTGGTTCTCAGCTGGTTCCAGTTTTCTACAGACCTTTACTGGTCACCCCTACTTCTCTATCCTCCCCAGTTTGCATCAGGCCAGCCTCAGCCCCACTGTGGCTACAGTGTTCTGCTGGTGAGGTACCTCTGTGGCCTGCTCCCTGGATATCCACTTCCTCTGCTAGTTTTCGTTGGTCTCCTACAGCCCTGGACTACTCCCTGCCTCCTTCTCCTCAGAGAGGCTATCTTTCCATAGTCCATATAGAATTCCACAGTCAGGAATTCTATGCCTTTAGGTCCTAAGTAATTTTCTGGAATCATATCTCAGGTGAGCAACCCATAAAAGTGCTCACTTTACCAAGTCAACTTCCCTGGGCTTCAGTTGTGTTCCTGGTCGGGTGGGGGTGGACCTGGGGAGTGCTAAAGAATAATTACGAGGAAAAAAGTAAAATCATGACTCTCATATAAATATAAAATATGTGCATGAAACATTTTATTTAACTTATTAATTAATGAGGAAACTAGTAAGATGTTACAAATGGCTCAAAGGAGAATTCAAAGAGCCATACATATGTAGGAATAAGGAATATTGAAATAAGGAATGTACAAATAGATGCAAAATAAGTCAAAAATCAATTGCATTTCACCAGACATTTATTTGCATTTCTGTGGACAAGAATTGTTTGCATTATTATTAGTTTTCTACAATCTGAAGAGTTAGAAAATAACTCTAAGTCAATGAAAGATGGAGATAACCCAGAAAGGTACTCTAAAAACCACATCCAGGAAATTGTTTTTGCTGATTTTAAAGTCTTTCACAATTTTTTGTGATAGGAGAAAGGTCTCTTCCCTTTCCCACAAAAAACTACATCTAGTATAATAAATAGCACAAGCATTGTCTGTGATGTGAGAACAGGAATTTTTGCTTGTGGAGTCCAATATATGTGTCCTCTTTATCTCTAAACCTTGATAAGGGATAGAGGCCTCCTCCCTCTTAGAGCATTGCTACTCAGAATGTGGTCTGGCATCACCTGAGATGCTTAGAAATTCTGATTTGGAGCCCCAGCCTAAATCAAAATCTTTATTTTTAAACGTCCTGGACCCAAATAAATTAAAAGACATCCCATGTTTATGGACTAGAAGAGTTAATATTAAGATACCAATATTCCCACAAATGACTTACAGGTTTAATGCAATCCCTAACAAAATCCCAGTAGGCTGGTTTTTAAAAAAAAAAAAAAAAAAAAAAACGAAATTGACAAGCATATCCTAAAATTCATAGGAAATTCAAGGGACCCAGAATAGCCAAAGCAATCTCTGCAGAAGAGCAGAGTTGGATGACTATACTTCCCAATTTCAAAACTTACTACAAAGCTATAGTAATCAAGCCAGTGTTGTGCCAGCATCAGTTTAGACACATAGATTGACAGAACAGAATTGGGAGTCCCGAAATAAACCCATACATCTATGGTCAATTGATTTTTGACAAGTGTGCCAAGACCATCTAGTGGAGAAAGAATGGTCTTCTCAACAAATGGTGCTAGGACAACTGGATATCCACACACAAAGGAATGAAATTGGACAATGACCTCATATCATATACAAAAATTAACTCAAAATGAGTTAGAAACTTAAATGTAAAAGCTAAAACTGTAAAATTATTCAAAGAAAACCTGGACATAAATGTTTATGACCTTGAATTAGGCAATGGTTTCTTAGATAGGACACTAAAAGCACAAGTGACAAGAGAAAAACAGAAAAATTGAACATAATTAAGAACTTTGTGCTTCAAAGGACACCATTAAGAAAGTGAAAAAAAAAACAGAATGAGAGAAAATATTTGCAAATCATATATCTGAAAAAGGACTGGCACACATAATATATATAGAACTCTTAAAACTCAGCAATAAAAGTACAAATAACCCAATTTTAAAATGGACAAAAGACTTGAATAGAGTTTTCTCCAAAGAAGATACAAATGACTATGAAAAGATGCTCAACATCAATAGCCATTATGGAAATGCAAATCAAAACCACAGTGAGATACCACTTTACATCCACTAGAAAAACAACAAAGACAATGACAGTGTTGGAACCTTCATACATTGTTAGTGGGCATGTAAAATGATGAGGGGACTTTGGAAAACAGTCTAGCAGTTCCTCAAAATGTTAAACAGAGTCTTAACATATGACCCAGCAATTCTAGTCCCAGGTATATACCCAAGGGAGTTGAAAACATATGTCTATTATAAAAATCCTCATAGCTGCATTAGTCATAATAGTCACAAAATGGAAACAACTCAAATGCCCATCGACTGATGAATGAGTAAATAAAATGTGGTATATCCATACAATGAAATATAATTCAGCCATAAAAAAGACAAAAGTTAAAGACATTATGCTAAATGAAAGAGGCCATATAAAGGCCGCATATAGTATGATTTATT
Organism: Homo sapiens; assembly: GCF_000001405.40. Taxonomy (NCBI): domain Eukaryota; kingdom Metazoa; phylum Chordata; class Mammalia; order Primates; family Hominidae; genus Homo; species Homo sapiens. Next base: position 31,072,803 of record NC_000023.11, on the reverse strand, counting down.
TGAAATGTCCAGAGTAAGCAAATCTCTAGAAACAGAGATTTCATTTGTGGTTGTCGGGCCAGTGAGGAAGGCGAGATGGGCAGTAACTACTCATGGGTAGGGGATTTCATTTTGGAATAAGGAAAACGTTCTGAAATTAGATTTTTGGTGATGGGGTGATAGTTACACAACTTCATGAATATACTAAAAACCATGGAAATGTTTCAGAGGGTGAATTTTATGGCAGAGGAATTGTATCTCAATAGTGCAGTTTGTTGTTGTTGTTTGACACAAGTCTTGCTCTGTTGCCCAGGCTGGCGTGTAACGGCACAATCCCAGCTCACTGCAACCTCCGCCTCTTGGGTTCAAGCAATTCTCCTGCCTCAGCCTCCCGAGTAGCTGGGACTACAGGTGCGCGCGCCAGCATGCCTGGCTAATTTTTTTTGTATTTTTAGTAGAGACGGGGTTTCACCATGTTGGTCAGGTTGGTCTCCATGTCCTGACCTCGTGATCCGCCCGCCCCGGCCTCCCAAAGTGCTGGGATTACACGCGTGAGCTACCGTGCCCGGCCTAGAGCAGTTATTTTTAAAAGATGGTCTTGAAACATTCAGCGCCAAGTGGCCGGGATTTCCGACGGAAGTCAGCGCTTGTGCCCCCACCCCCTTGCCCCGCAACTCTGTCCCCCGCCGCCCCTCCCCCCACCGACAGAGCGCGCTCCTCCCTAACGGTCGCCACTGCCCACTTCCACTGCCCACTTCCGGTTTCATCGCACACCCGCCTTTCACTATCCGCCATTCTTGTCACCTCAGCTGCTGCCCTCGCTACCGCACCGACTTCGCCCGTGTGCTCGCCTGCACTTGCGCTGCCCGCCATGGCCACCGCCCAGCCGTCGCAGGTGCGCCAGAAGTACGACACCAACTGCGACGCCGCCATCAACAGCCACATCACGCTGGAGCTCTACACCTCCTACCTGTACCTGTCTATGGCCTTCTACTTCAACCGGGACGACGTGGCCCTGGAGAACTTCTTCCGCTACTTCCTGCGCCTGTCGGACGACAAAATGGAGCATGCCCAGAAGCTGATGAGGCTGCAGAACCTGCGCGGTGGCCACATCTGCCTTCACGATATCAGGAAGCCAGAGTGCCAAGGCTGGGAGAGCGGGCTCGTGGCCATGGAGTCCGCCTTCCACCTGGAGAAGAACGTCAACCAGAGCCTGCTGGATCTGTACCAGCTGGCCGTGGAGAAGGGCGACCCCCAGCTGTGCCACTTCCTGGAGAGCCACTACCTGCACGAGCAAGTCAAGACCATCAAAGAGCTGGGTGGCTACGTGAGCAACCTGCGCAAGATTTGTTCCCCGGAAGCCGGCCTGGCTGAGTACCTGTTCGACAAGCTCACCCTGGGCGGCCGCGTCAAAGAGACTTGAGCCCAGATGGGCCCCACAGCCACGGGGTCCCTTCCCTGGGTCAGGCCACTAGGCGGGGCGTGCATGTTGCCCTTTCAGAACGTTCTCTTCAGTTTTATCTTTCAGTTTTACCATTGTTAGCAAAAAAGTTATCTGGTTCTCAAAGCAATAAAGGTGTCCATTTGATACACCTGCAACTCTCACCTTTTAGGAATCAGGGCAAATCCCCATGCAGGTTTAAAGTAGGTATCCAGCAGTCTCTCCACCCACCCCTGCCCCATCTGCATGCAGCTCAGGATTTGCAGGGGTGGAGTGGAATGGTATTTTATGGGCCCCTGGAAAACACATTAGTCTTCCCTTTGTAAACTACCAGGGTATGTGGGGTGGGATGGGGTGGGGTGGTCACTCTTGGGCCCTGGTGGCTGTGGGTGCATGGGCACGGTAAAGTGTAAAACGTGGTCTGGAATTCATCATAGTGGTTGCCTCTGGGGAAGAAGTGAAGGAAATGGGATTGGGCAAGGATTAAAATAAACAAAGGGTCTTCAACTTTACATGAAAACTTGTAGTTTATTAAAATATGCCAATGTTAATGTTTGTGGATTCTGAGTAGCAAGTGGGGGCTCTGGGTGACAGCACAGCAGGGTACTTCTTTGGCAAGCTCACTTTGGGTGACAGTTGTAGTGGGAGCCTTAAGCTGGCTTCCCCATAGCCAAGGGGCTGACAAACTAAAATGGCACTTTGCAAGTCCAAGTCCTTTTATTTACATTGTTGTACTTTGTTTTTACAAGAATCTCAGGAAGAAGGAAGGACAAGTATCATGACTTTATTAGTGACAAAAAGGGAGGCCATACAGGCAAGAAGTTGTGGAATCTGGACATGAACCTCGATCTTCTGATGCCATGTTCCTTTTTCTTTCTGTTACCCTGCAAGTATATCAACGGGTTAAAGAAGATTGTGTGGGTAGACTGGGAATCTAGCCAAATAACCAGCCCTGGAAGGGAGGGAAATCCCCCAACACTCTTAAAGACAGCCCTGATCACTGGAGTCTCTCTCCTAATTACAGGTGTGCCTTCCAGCCTAGGGTGGGGACAGCTTCTAAACCTCAGCCAAAATCCTTCTCTTATGAAAGAAGCCTTCAGAATAAGTAACAGACTATATGAGGTAGTAGGGCACCTCACAGGAAGGCAGCCAACACCTGTACACTTGAACCCCTCTGTTCAGGTACTCTCCCTGAAGCAGACAGTCACACTGTTGCCTGAGTTGGCACTGAATACCTAAGAAGGCCTTAGGGCTGGAAATCCCCAGAGTGCACCATCCATCCACCACATGTCTTCACTGTCAGTGGCTTCTCTTCAAGCACAGCAGGTAAATGGGGTGGCTACAAAACACACATGCTCTATCTGCAAATCTAGCTCATCTCAAAGCCTGGACAGAGAAGCCCTGTACGTTTACCATGCACAGTGTACTGTAATCTATACATTCCCTGTTGTGGTCTCTTTACTGAGATCTACAGCTGACGTCAGACTTGTTCCATCTTGGCCACAAGGCCCCCTCTTTATTCCATTTTTCCCTTTCCTGTGATTCAGAGACACCCCAGGATAATGCAGAGAAGTCTACTTAGAACTACATCCTTTTATTTTACCCGGAAAAGCAGGATTTCCTCACCTGCAAGACTCAAAGAGGATTGTGATTACACTCCAGCGCCTATCACATGCCACTACTTGTAGTGTCACATTTCACAGCTTTTCTTTCAGAATCCCTGGCTGGGAAGTCTAGGTAAAGCGGCAGCTCAATTGTTTCTATTCTTGTTCCACTGCAACAAAAACATGAATGTCCTAAATCCCCTCCTTTTGGTTCAGTTTTAGGGTCCACAAACAGCCTTTTGAATATGTGGGGCAACTGTGGGAAAAACATGAGAAACATTTAGACCAAGCTGGCCCCACTGGCACTTTTCAATGTCTTGACCTTATCCATCGCTGCAAGTCTCCTCATTTTCCCACCCTCCCTTGCCACATTCCTCTCAAAAGGAGTGAGCAAACTTCTTACAGGTGGGCCACATTCCCACATACACACAGCCTTCCCAATTCTTTGAGAGCCTGACTTTCAATACTTGAGAGTGAGTTGTGCCTCAGTCTTCCAGCCCTGAAAAATACCATCCTGAGACATACAACTGGATGCTTGTCAGTCATTCGTTGTGCTCTATTGCTTGGGGGAATGATGTCCGAAACAGTGGCTGTTGCTGTGGGTACCAAAGTCTCAGGCAATGATAGTATCGGGACTGAGGGAAAATGGTAAAATTGATAACTTCATCTCAGACTCAAACACGGATTCAAATTAACTGTGTTGAATAATTTACCTCTGGGGAAAAAACCCTCACTCTATCACAAAAGGAAGTTTCTTAATAGATGGTTGTCGCTGACAACTTGTACTTCATTTTCCAGAAAAAGGAAAAGTTTTTTTTTTCTTAGAAATGTGTGTGACAAGCAGTACAAAGCACCCATTAATTTCTCCTGAATCTTCTCTAACCTGGAAATTTGCTCTACATTTCTGATTTTTAAATTCTCCTTTAATTTTGCTTTTCATTTACAAGCAATTACAGTTTCTTTTCACAAGCCTGAGAGACATATCTAATCAAGTATTTAGTAGAGAAAAGCATTGTCTGTAACCTTGAAAGTGATACTATGTTTCAGATTTTAAAATAACAATTTTTGTTTTACAAATAATTTGATGTTGCTGTTGTTGCTGTTGTTATTGCAGTCCTGAGTTCAGGTTCAGAGAAATATTGATGGAGAATTTGCCTCAGGAAAGCTGAAAGGAAAGGTGAAATGAGAGTAATCATATTAGCAAAGTGTGAGGACACCTGAAAGGTAAAAGGAAAGAAATTTACACCTTGATTCACTAGTCAAGGGAGCTATAGGAGTGGGATGAGGTATAGTAAGAAAGGAAAGTACTAATGGCTATCATATTTTTAGGAATCATGTGACCGTTTGGTTTGGGTTAGGTTATGAGTAGTAACAAAGACCAGAAAAGTAGAGTCTTAAAAAAGATAGGTTTTCTTTTTCATGTATGAAAGAACTATGGAAGAAAACAGTTCAGGGCTACTGTGGAAGAGCTTTCAATCACATTTCATGGATTCCAAGAGGCACATTTTTTTTCTTTACATTTTAACATTAAATTGGGATGTATCTTACAATCACTGTCAGCCATACCTGTCATTGCCTGAGGATGCACTGCAAAACTCGACAAAATGATATCATTGGCTAAGAAAAAATCCTGGAGATATTAGAAGTGTACTCTTAAAAAATACTGCGTCACCAGCACGCTTGATGGCACAGAGGACGATATTAAGAGATATCAATGATTCTGAGTACAGAAGTGATTTAGAAGAGTTGAAATTTGAATCTGAAGAAGTTCTAGCAGTACTTGAAACAATTTATTTAGCACATAGTTTCCTTTTTATGTGTACACACAAGAGTGATTCAATAACAAAAGTCTGTGCTTAAATAAGTGTAAAAGAGATTTTCCAGTAACTGAAATTTAAAAATCTAAGGGACAAGAAAACACTGTGTTCTAATTTAGTTGGTAGCACTTTCTTTTTGTGTGGTACATAGAATAATGATGTGCCTTAAATTAGTATGTTTGATTTGATAAAATACATTATCTTGTTGTTCCACTGAACAGGGCTTCCAGTACAAAGGTCATCTCATGATCCACATGGCTATTACAGCTCCAACCATTACATTAGCATGTCAGGAAGGAGAAAGAACATACACACACACACACACACATATACATATATGTGTATATATGTATATATGTGTATATATGTACACACATATATATACGTATATATGTGTATATATACACATACGTATATATACGTATGTGTATATATACACATACATATATATGTATATACATGTATATATACACACGTGTGTGTGCATATGTGTATATACACACGTGTGTGTGCATGTGTATATACACACGTGTGTGTGCATGTGTATATACACACGTGTGTGTGCATATGTGTATATACACACGTGTGTGTATGTGTATATACACACGTGTATGTGTGTATGTGTATATATACACGTGTTGTATGTGTGTGTATATACACATGTGTGTGTATATGTGTGTGTATATACACGTGTGTATATGTGTGTATATACACATGTGTGTATATACGTGTGTATATGTGTGTATATCCACATATGTGTGTATATGTGTGTATATCCACATATGTGTGTATATGTGTGTATATCCACATATGTGTGTATATGTGTGTATATACACATATGTGTGTATATGTGTGTATATGTGTGTATATACACATATGTGTGTATGTGTGTGTATATACACATATGTGTGTATGTGTGTGTATATACACATATGTGTGTGTGTATATACACATGTGTGTGTATGTGTGTATATACACATATGTGTGTGTATGTCTGTATATACACATGTGTGTATGTCTGTATATACACATGTGTGTATATACACATGTGTATGTGTGTATATACACATGTGTGTATGTGTGTATATACACATATGTGTGTGTATATACACGTGTGTGTATATACACATATGTGTGTGTATGCGTGTGTATACACATATGTGTGTGTGTATACACATGCGTGTGTATGTGTGTGTATACACATATGTGTGTGTGTGTGTATACACATATATGTGTGTATATGTGTGTGTATATATATAGAAGTGAGGGAAGATCAGGACATTTATTAGGAGGAAAGAAAAGATTATACATCTAAGTGTAACGGAGGACTGATCTTCAAGTTAAGGGCTGGTTGCTTACTGTGATCTCTGATGATTCAGGGGAACAATGTCATGGGAACATTTATTTTCCTTCTAAACCGGAGGATCCAACAGAAGGCCTCAGGCCAGATTCATCCACAGACGTGTTTTACTTGGACTAATGATTTTTTAATAACCTTTTTATTTTGGAATAATTTTAAATTTTATATTTAAATTGCAAAGATGGTACAGTTTCTGCATATCCTTTCCCCAGTTTGCTGTAATGTTAATATCTTACAGAACCATGGTACATTTGTCAAAAATAAGAAATTAAAATTGGCACATTACTATTAACTAACCCCCACACTGTATTCAGATTTCACAAGTTTTTCCACTGACGTTCTTTTCCTGTTCCAAGTTCCAATCCAGCTTTCTACATTGCATTTAATTGTCATGTCTTCTTGGTCTCCTCTGTCTCAGTCTTTCCTTATTTTTCATAACCTTCACAGCTTTTAAGACTACTGATCATGTATTTTGTGGAATGTTTCTCAATTTGGATTTGTCAGGTGCTGCTCTCATGATTAGACTGAGATTCTGGGTTTTGGGGAAAAAGGCCACTTTACCTCTGGAGTGTGTATCCCATCACATCCTATCATTGAGGCTACGTGACATGAACATGACTTATCATTGGCGATCTTAACATTTATTGCTCGGTTAGAGTGGTGTTGGCCAGGTTTCTCCACCTAAAGTTGCTATCCCCTTTCCGAACTCTGTTCTTTAAAGTGAGTCATCAAGTCCAGTTCACCTTCAAGAGGCTAGGAGGAGGAGCACCGCCTGGATGGACAGAGTATCTACCTACAATATTTGGAATTCTTCTATAAGAAAAATTTGTACCTTCCTTCCCATTTATTTATTCAATCATTTATTTATCTCACTATGGATTCATGGATATTTATTTAGTACTTTGGGTTATAATTCAGAACTACATTATTTATTTTGTTCCTCAAATTGTTCCACATTTGGCCAGTTGGAGATCCTTCAGTTGGCTCCTGTTTTCCTTTGACATAGTCTCATCCTCTGTGTGTATGTATGTAGCATTTCCTTACTTTTTAGCACTACGATATGCTCCAGACTCATGATGCATTTTCCCTGCCCCAGCTATAGAATTAGCCATTTTCCAGAGTCCTTGTCCCTTTTATTAGATAAATCGTATTTAAAAATGAACATCTGGAGAAGCCAATGAATTATAACTTTTTTATTTTAATTGACACATAATAATCGTGCATGTATATGGGGTACAATGTGATATTTAGATATGCATGTACTTTGTGTGATGATCAAATCAGGATAATTACATATCCATCATCTCAAACATTTATGAATTCTTTGTGATGAGAACACTCACAATTCTGTCTTGTAGCTATTTTGAGATATGCAATACCTTATTGTTGACTATAGTCTCCCTACTGTGCAACAGGACACCAGAACTAATTCTTCCTTTCTAACTGTAACTTCCCATCCTCCTTTTTCTCCCAGTCTCTAGTCTCTGGCAACTACTATCTACTTACTATTTCTATGAGATCAACTTTTCAGGATTCCACATATGAGTGAGAACGTACAGTGTTTGTCTTTCTGTTAGTGAGAACGTAGAGTGTTTGCCTTTCTGTGTCCTCCAGGTTCACCTATGCTGTTGCAAATGACAGGATTTCATTCTTCCTGTAGCTGAGTAGTATCCTATTGTGTAGATATACCACATTTTCTTTATCCATTCATCTGTTGTAGGATACTTAGGTTAATTCCATATCCTGGCTATTCTGAATATGCTGCAATGAACATGTGAGTGCGGCTGCCTCTCTGACATACTGGTTTCATTTCCTTTCGATATATACCCAGTAGTAGTATTGCTGGATTATATGGTAGTTCTATTTTTAATTTTTTGAAGAACCTTCATACTGTTTTCCATCATGGCTGTACTAATTTACATAACTACCAACAATACACAAAAGTTCCCTTTTCTCCACATCCTCACCAACACTTGTTATCTTTTATCTTTTGGACAATAGCCATTGTAACTGGCGTGAGTTAATATCTCATTGTGGTTTTGACTTGTATTTTCCTGATGATTAGTGACTGGCTCTTTTGTTTGTTTTTATTTTTGTTGTTGTTGTGGGGGGTTTTATTTTTATTTTTATTATTTTTTGCTCACAATTGCTTTGGCTGATTCAGGGGTCTTTTGTGGTTCCATACAAATTTTAGGGTTTTTTTTTCTACTTCTGTGAAGAATGTTATTGATTTTTTGATAGAGATTGCATTGAATCTGTAGATCACTTTGGGTATATAAACATTTTTAGCAATAATAGTTCTTCCAATCCACGAACATGAAATATCTTTCTATTTGTTTCCTCTTCAATTACTTATATCAATGTTTTAGTTTGCAGTAATCTTTCAATTTCATGATTAAATTTATTCCTAGCTATCTTTTTTTAGCTATTGTAAATGGAGTTGTTTTCTTGATTTCTCTTTCAGATAGTTCACTACTAGCATATGGAAACACTACCGATTTTTGTATGTTGATTTTTGTATACTGAAACTTTACTTTCTGTGTACTTGTAAAGTTTCCAAAGTTCTTCTTGTTGTTTAATTCTAGTTTTATATCATTGCTGTCAGAAAAGATACTTGATATAATTTCTATCTTCTTATGTTCGGTATAACTTGTTTTGTGGATAATGAACTTTTAATTGGGAAAGTTCTCATAAAATTATACATTCCTGGCTCCTTTTGAAAATACTGACTATCTGGCTACATTGGGCCCTGTTCCCATGGGAACCTTCATATGGAACGGAGTTTCAGCTGCCATCTTAAAGCATACATATTCTCCAATTCACCACAGTACATGCCATTAAAGCAATGTAACTTAGGTACCTCAAAGTATACTATGACAATAAAGTATCTCTTTATTGATTTAAATTACCTACTGGGCCCTGCAGTCACTCACTTTTGTCTTGTTGTACTTAGACTTTCTGTCCCAGGTGCCATGGTGAGTGAAGGAATCAGTAACTTGTTATACAACCTCAGCCCCAGAAAAAGGATGACCCCTTGGGTTGATGTGCCCTTCTGTCTCTGGGCCTCTCATGGTATTTGGGAGGTTATAGTTGGGTCCTTGGACTCTTTGCCTTTGCTGCTTAGAAATTAGAAGAGCTCAGGTTATAGTTCAGTCTGCAAGTGTCTCTGTCAGTTTCTCATCCCCTTGTTGGCCAAAGTGTCAGTTTCTTTAACTTTTTGTCACTCCTTGTCATGACTGGAAATTACCTTGATGTTTCTGTAGCCTTCAAATACATTGCCAGACAGGATGTACAGGGAGTCACAAACCAAGAGGCTCATAGATCAAATAAAGACACTCATTTCACAGTGTTTACTGAATGATATGGAGCATAAGTGAGAAACAAGGAAAGAGGGCAGTGAAGAGAAGAGAGGATGCTAGCAGGAGGAAAGGACCATGCAGCCTAAATCGCATGTCAGAAAATGTTCACTCTCTCTTTTCTGTTTTAGCTTTGCCCACTGACTGTATGCTTATGAGGACCAGCAATGAAGATAGCTAAAGTCAACACACACCTGCTCTAACAGACAGATCCAGGGGCAAGTACCCCTGGGCACAACTATAACTCACAGGTCACCTGCTAAGCAGGTGTTTTAATCTAGTGTATGAGAGAGAAGACATATGGGACCAGATAACTATTACCAATGAGCAGCTGATCTAAGGATGTTCCAACTGTCATGAATATTTGGTTTCTACTTGTTCTTTCCATACCTTCTTTTTTTTTTTTTAATTTTTGAGATGGAGTTTCACTCTTGTCGCCCAGGCTTGAGTGCAATGGCTCGATCTCAGCTCACTGCAACCTCCGCCTCCTGGGTTCAAGTGATTCTCCTGCCTCAGCCTCCCGAGTAGCTGGGATTACAGGCACCTGCCACCACGCCCAGCTAATTTTTGTATTTTTAGTAGAGATGGGGTTTCATCATGTTGGTCAGGCTGGTCTCGAACTCCTGACCTCAGGTGATCCACCCGCCTTGGCCTCCCAAAGTGCTGGGATTACAGGCATGAGCCACCATGCCCGGCCTTCCATCCCTTCTTATTCAGCACACATATATTCTGCCTGCTTTATCCATGTCTAATATGTTTCACAATAATTATCTACACTTAGTTTCACCTATCCTTATTTGTTTTGCATATCTATTGCAGAATTGAGTATTCTTAAATAAATTGTAAATAAACATTTTCCTATGCAAACATCTTCTAATCTGTTCTTCAGACATAAACTGGCCTGGGAGGGTGCCATGGATCTTTTGCAGGGCATTGTTGGTGTGGTTCCTGTCATGGTTCTCTTGTCTAGAACTTTTGTAAGCTATCTTGAAAATCACCTGGAAGCCCTCTCAGGGACATATCCAGCTCACAATAAAAATTGTCCTGACCCCATTTTCTTTAAGAACCTTGATTCTTTAGCTCCTAGTTCCCCTAGGAAATCATTTGCCTCTGTGATCTGGAAAAGACAGGAATGCAGTCTTCCTAAAAAGGAGCATATCTGACTAGTTGCCTCACCTTTGTTTTGAGTCTGATACGTGCAGTGGATTATTAAGTCCAAGAGGCCCTTGAAGGAAGAGAGGTAGGGGTATGGGGTAAATTCAGTAGGTTGAGAATACATGGAAAGTGAAGGCACGTATACAGCAGGTGTAGACGTGGATGCAAGAAGTGTCAAGAAACTTTGTGGAAATTCGTTGCGTATCTATTATGAGAACAAAAAGTTACTGGCCCTTGATCTGCTTTCCTAATGGGCAAGACCATATTTGGGGCTAACTCCAGGGACCAGTGAGGAGTAAAAAGCTCGTTCCTGCTCTCAGAAAGGAGAACAAACATGTGTTCCCTGGTGAAGACAATCTGTAGACTTCACAACCGAACAACTGAACTACTTTCTCTCACAATTTGTTCTGGAAGTGTCCTAAACGGAATTTCCTCTGATCACAGACAACCTCCACTTCTCCATTAAAAGGTTCCCAACAGAGACCTACTGGAAGAAAAATCTACTAGAAAAGGTAAAAAAGAAAACTGGAAGACTCAGGTGTTTGGGGTCTGTTCTCACTCTGGAGAGTCTTGACAAACTTCCTTGGTTAGAGGCAATCCAAAATGCAGCAGTCCTTTGATGCAGAAGAGTTGCTTGCATAGAACTCAATGATGCCAAAACTGGACAGGATTCCTGATAAGACAATTAACAGCAGGCCCAAGAACCTTGGGTGAGGGCTCCCAAGGCATCAAACTAACCGGATTTCAGGGCCCTCTGATACTTGCAGTAACCCCCACACACGAGTTTCACTATTATCTGTCAACCTACATCTCACTGAAAATGAAGGTGTTATAAGGAAGGAGTTTGCTGAAGTAGAGGAAGGGGATTTTTCCCCTGAATAAATCAGGAAAACCCACTTTACCTAATCTGATCTCTTCCTGGCCCCAGAGGGAGAATGATCTCATTGTAAGTGGTAGCTCCGGGAAAAGAAGTTTGATGCCAAACTTATCTAAGATGTTAGGGAGAGAAGTGGAGACTTGAAGGTGGCAGGAAGATGGAGAGCCCAAACATAATTATAATCATTATGGTCCAACCCATAATGTTATTGAGGTTGGCAGAAATGTAGGCTCTGTCTGGGAGGATTTCCCATATTAAAAATGTGAGAAACCCACATTGAATAAAGCAACTTTAATATCGAGAAAATGATTTGCTTTTTTTCCTCCACTCACTCTTCCAGTCTGTGAATGTGTATGGAAAACAGAGGGTAAAGAAGTGAAGGCGTGTGGATCAAAAAGCAGTGGTGTGGGTCATTCTATAAAAGATGCTTAGCATAGCTAAAACTTGTGAGAGGAAGAGCTGGCCGGACAGATGTGGAGGTGAAAACAATAGGAGATAGACTTCCACATCAGGGCTTGTGAGAACTGAGGATGAAGGCAAGAGAGAGGGTTCATCTAGCATGAAGAGAAGAAGTGTAACTCAAGGGGAGATGATAAAAGGGAGGTATGGAAGATGGGCTCATATTAAAGTTAAGGGTATAGTTTTTATGTTTGACTAAAAGGCCATTCAGAGAAAGCAGCACATTTAGACTAGGGCTTCAGAAGGGGGTTGTCAAATTCCTTTTTGGGGATCTCCTGGGATAATGAGGGTGCCTAGTGACAGACACTTGGGATGAATATGAAAATGTGAAACTGATGGCTGCTTGAAGACGCAGGAAAAGCATTCTCTCTAATCAGGCAAGTGGCATCAAAAAGTTCTGAATGAGGCCTCACTGTCCTTTTTCTTTTAAACTGGAGTTTTTGACTATTGTTTCAATTTGCTGCTTCAGAAGAATACAAGCCCAGATGTCAGGATGTCAGAGTGCTAGAAGAACATCATCAAAGCCCCTGGTGTTGCCAGCGCAAGTGTCTCAGAGCAACATCAAAGAAATCCAGGGCTTGTACCCTTCCTTTCAGAGAAAGAACATCAGGCTCAGCTCTGGCAGCTTTTACCTCCCTTGAAAAACCGTTCACTGTTTTTGTCAGACGTTTGGAAGAAGGAAGTTTATTGGCAACCCCTGAAGTTTAAAAAATGCCCATGTTCCTTAACCAGTGAATCCTTCCCAGGGGATGCATGTGTATCAGGACAGAATTAGGAAACAATGGCAAAGTTATACAGCATGGTATTGACACATTTTACTATTCAACTAACAAAATAGGACAACCCCTCCCCAAATCTCCAAATAATCATAGGTAGATGTGAGGAGGGGGTCCCCAGAAATCCTTCAAATTTTCAGCCTTTTATCACTGTCTCCCTTGCAGCCAAAATCCTAATCTCAAATTGCCTTTTATCTTTGCTTATATCCATCAGCACGAGAGCCACTCCCCGTTGCCCAAAGCTTCCCAGGACATACCTCACCCTCCATGCTGTAATCCCCATAAGAATATGCACCTCTCCTTTTCTGTCCCTTCTCTTATCCCTCCCCAACTTTTGAAAGTTCCCTTGTGCTGTTTGGAACTCATGAACCATTACGAGTTTATCAACTTCTCTTCTGAACAAACCCTTTACCTTCTTGTTTTAAACTCACTCTAGAATTCCCCTAAGGACACTGCTTCCCTTGCACCCTCTCCAGTGATGATCATCCTCTCCACAGTACAACTGGGCCCGAAGGTTAAGGTTGGAATCCTCCTTTCTCCTTGTGGATGTTTCCAAGCCATTCTTGCTCCTGTTCCTCCTCCCTTAAAACCCCCAGTTTAGAATCTAATGCCATGATATTATGCTCCCCTCCATCCCTTCTTGTTATAGTTTTCTAGAGATTCCAACCCCATATTTTTTGATGATCTTAGATCTTAGTTTAGAATCTAATGCCCTGATATTATTCTCCCCTCCATCCTTTCTTGTTATAGTTTTCTAGAGACTCCAACCCCGTATTTGTTGATTATCTTAGATCTTAGTTTAGAATCTAATGCTATGATATTATGCTCCCCTCCATCCTTTCTTGTTATAGTTTTCTAGAAACTTCAAATCCATATTTGTTGATGATCTTAGCTCCTGGCTAATGGTAATCTTCAGTATCTGCTGTGTTCTAATTCCTGGTCATTTTAATATCCACATAGATGATCCATTCACAACCTGGCCTTTTAGTCCCTTGATCCGTTCTCTTCTCATGATCTCATCCTCCGGTCCACTCAGCCACTCATTGTTATGGTCATATCATAGACCTTGTCACCTGGGATAACTGCACTGTTTCCATAATCTCTATCTTACGCATCAGACTCTCTGAACACCACCTCCTCTTTTTCTGGTTCGTTATCTCTGGAGTCCTAGTTCATTCTCTCTAGAGTCCTGATGCTCAAAAATTCTATAATCCCCTTGGGAAATCAATCAATTGGTCCACAACATTTTTACTGTACCTCAAGTGCTTGATCTCCTCTATTTGCTCAAGTTAAATCCCATAGTAAATGATGATAATCATTCGTTTGCATACATTTCCACCTTACCTGACCTGCTTTGTTGTACTTGTTTGGCAAAATCCCTAACCTGATTAAATATATTTTGTCCCTACAGCACACCTGCACCCACGCAGCTGAACGTGGCTGGAGAAACACCCAGCCATTCCGACTGAACACACTTAAACTTAATGAGTATGACTCATAAGTGGGCCCTTAGTGCCGCCGACAAACATATTTTCCTATTCCATTTACTCTCCTACTCTCCCATTCTCTTCCGTATTGGTTAGCCTTTGCTACACAGTAAGCCATCCCAATACATAGCACAGACTGAGCATCCAAAATCTGAAAATTCAAAATCTGAAACACTCCAAAATTTGAAACTTGTTGAGTGCTGACATGACACTTAAAGGAAATGCTTATTGGAGCATTTCAGATTTCAGATTTTTGGATTTAGGGTACTCAACTGGTAAGTGTAATACAAATATTCCAGAATCTGAAATGTGAAACATTGCTTGTCCCAAGCATTTTGGATAAGAGATATTTGTCGTGTAGTTCAAAGCAATAATCATTTTATTTGCTCATGATTTTGTGGGTCAATAATTTGGGTTTGAATGTTGGGTTGTTGTTCTACTAGACTTGTATCTACCTAGTATCAACCATGTGGCCGTGGTTATCTGATGACTCAAGTGGGGCTGGCTGGTCTAAGATGGCAGTGGGTGATTGCTGTTGGCTAGGCCACATGTCTCCAGCTTGCTAACTTGGGTTTCCTCAAATGCTGGTGGGAGAGTTCCTAGAAATGAGCGTTTTGTATTCCTCTGCTTACATCATACTTGCTAACATCCTCTTAGCTAAAGCAAATCACATAGTCAAGCCGAGAATTAGTGTGGGAGAGGTATAACAAGGGCTTGATGTACTATGAGTTATTACTGGAACAATCTACTACTTCTCCCAACCTCTAACCACTCGCACCTTCTCCCAAACCCTCCTCACTCTCAACTGGTAACCTTGCATTCTATTTCATTGAAAAGAAGTTGGAAATATACAAATTTCCACAGACTTCTGCCTACCACGACACCTTCCCACCCACCAGCATCTGGATGCATTTACTCTACCTCCTCTCCTGTTACTGGATGAAACCTCCAGGCCCCTATCTAAGTCTAACCTCTCAATTTTTGCCCTACAGCTCCTCTTGTCTACCCAAGGACGTTGCTTGTATTTCTCATCTGAAGTCACTCTTGCTGATGCAGCCATCTGGTGGCTTGAATGGTTTGCTTGCTCTAAGATGGCCTTACTCGCTTTTCTGCATCATCATTTTCTCTCTCCTCATTGGATCATTCTCTTCAGGAAAAAAAAAAAAACCCACAGGATTTTTTTTACCCTACCCTAAAATATCACTCTAATAACCCTCTGACTAATCTCCTTCATGCTAAACTCCTTAAAATGCTCTCCGTATTCGTAGTGCCCATTTTCTCTCCTTCCAACTCCTCTTAAACCCGTGCCTATCAGGCATTCATGTCCATAACTCCATAAAAGTTCGTTTTGTCATAGACTCCAATTTCCTCCACACTGATAAATACAAGGGTTAATTCTTAGTTCTCATCTTGCTTGAACACCTTTTTTTGTTCGTTTGTTTTTGTTTTGTTTTTGAGACAGGGTCTCACTCTGTTGCCCAGGCTGGAGTGCAGTGGTGCAATCTCAGCTCACTGCAGCCTCAACCTCCCAGGCTCAAGCGATCCTCCCACCTCAGCCTCCCAACGTGCTGTGACTACAAGTGTGAGCCACTGTTCCCAGCCTTACTTGAACACTTTACTGAGGTGATCTTCAGGATATTTCACTCTCCCAGTTTTCTTTCTATCCCTCTGACCTCTCTTTCTCAGTTCTGCCTAATGTTCCTCAATGCCTCTTCATCTTCCTGACATCTTAGTATTGGAATGTCCCAAGGCTCAGTTATTTATGTCCTTTTTTTTTTTTTTTTTTTTTTGAGACAGGGTCTCACCTGTTGCCCAGCCTGGAGTGCAGTGGTGCAATCTTGGTGCACTGCAACCTCCGCCTCTTGGATTCAAGCAATCCTCCTGGCTCAGCCTCCAGAGTAGCTGGGACTATAGGCATGCACCACCATGCCCGGCTAATTTTTTGTATTTTTAGTAGAGACGGGGTTTCACCATATTGTGCAGGCTGGTCTCAAACTCCTGACCTCAAGTGACCTGCCCACCTCATCATCCCAAAGTGCTGGGATTACAGGTGTAAGCCACCACGCCTGGCCTTATATACATATAGTTTTTAATTAACAGATGATATTATATGCTTTTATCATGTACAACATGATGTTTTGAAGTATATATACATTGCAGAATGGTTAAATCTAGCTAATTAACAAATATATTACTTCACATAGTTATCATTTTTTTTCTTTTTTTTTAATATACTTTAAGTTTTAGGGTACATGTGCACAATGTGCAGGTTTGTTACATATGTATACATGTGCCATGTTGGTGTGCTGCACCCATTAACTCATCATTTAACATTAGGTATATCTCCTAATGCTATCCCTCCCCACTCCCCCCACCCCACAACAGGCCCCAGTGTGTGATGTTCCCCTTCCTGTGTCCATGTGGTCTCATTGTTCAATTCCCACCTATGAGTGAGAACATGTGGTGTTTGGTTTTTTGTCCTTGTGATAGTTTGCTGAGAATGATGGTTTCCAATTTCATCCATGTCCCTACAAAGGACATGAACTCTTCATTTTTTATGGCTGCATAGTATTCCATGGTGTATATGTGCCACATTTTCTTGATCCAGTCTATCGTTGTTGGACTAGTTATCATTTTTGTGGTGATAGCACATAACATCCACTCTACATTTTTCAAGAGTACAATATATCAGCATTAACTACAGTCATTTTGCTATACAATAGATCTCTTGAAATTTATTTTTTCTATCTAAATGTAATTATGGACCAACATCTCCCTGACTCCTTTACTCCCTAACAACTTCAGCCTCTGGTAACCATCATTACACTCTCTATTTCTGTAAGACCAAGTTTTTTTTTAAGATTCCACATATGAGTGACATCATGGATATTTATCTTTCTGTGTGTGGCTTATTTCACTTACCATAACATCCTCCAAACTCATCCATGTTGTCAAAAATGGCAGGATTTCATTCTTTTTTATGGCTGAATAGTATTCCATTGTGTATATGTACCACATTTTCTTTATCTATTGATCCATTGATGGGTATTTAGACTTTTCTATCAACTGTATAATGCACTCCTTTGGTGATCTTATCAAACTCATGGATTGAAAATGCACTCTATGTGTTGATTATTCCAAATTTACACCTCTGGTCTAATTCTCTCCCCTGAACTCCAGACCCATGTATATAATACCTACTTGAATATCTACTACTAGACATCTTAATCTGCCACATAGATATTGATCAAAGGGTACACACTTTCAGTTTTATGATGAACAAATTCTGGGAATCTAATGTGTAGCATGGGTAGTGATGGATGTGTAAATTAATTTGATTTTGGTCATCATTATGTATATCAATTCGTAACATCATACGCCTTGAATATATACAATCCTTATTTATCAAGTACTTATTTTAAAATAAAAAAAAACAAAACAAAAAGAATGAAAAAAGCCAGGAAGGAAAAAGATAATGTCTAAAACAGACAAAGCAGTGTATAACAGAACGAGCACATTATATAGAGTTATGAAGATAACTTCCAGAAGAAACATCTTAAAGAGGTTTTCTTTGGGAATCATGATTAGAAGAGAAGTACAAGTGGGGGCAAAGTTTGTCGTTTTTAATAATACGTAAATATATACATACATACATATAAAGTATATACATATATATACACACACATACTATGCCTCTAGGGTATTATGGCTTTTAAATAAACTACATGGTTTTTTGATTAAAAATTTATGTAATTGACTATATTTTCCCAAAGACGTTATATCAAATCATGGGAGGTAAGTGTACCACATAGAACTCCTCATATTTTTCCCCATACCTTCTCCATCTCAAATTTATGGAAATTTCCAATTTTTCAGAACAAAAGCCATAAAGTCATCTTTAATTCCTCTCTTTCTCATGTACCTGACATCCAAATTATCAGTGAATCTTAGGCAAAATATACACAGATTCTGACCCCCTGTCACAACCTCCATTGCTACCACCCATATTCTATCTACCACCACTTCCCACCCAGGCTGTCACAACGGACTCTGATCTCCCTGCTTTTTCCCTGGTACTATACAGACTATTTTCAATACAGCAGCCAGACTGAGCTTTAAAAATAGAAGCCAAATCATGTCACTCCTCTGTTACAATGGTCCTCACAGCTCATACATTAGGCCTATCCCCTTCCCTACCCCATCCTGTTTCTTCTGCCCTTATTTCCTTCTACTGCTCTCCTTGTTCACTTGACTCCAGCAACATTTCTCTATTTATAATTAGTAAAGTACCTCAAGACTACTAACTTCTTAGGATTTTTGTATCTAGTTTCTTCTGTCTGGAACATGGTAGCAGTTAAGTTTTGTTATATAGCAAAGCAATCTAAAACATAATGGAGTAAAACAACAATCAATTATTACTTCTCAGGATTCTCTGGGTTGACTGGACAGTTCTCATCAACCAGTTCGGCTGAGGGTGGAAGGTCCAGGGCTGCAGTCAGCAAACTACAGGCTACTAGCCAAATCTGGTCTGCTAACTCTTTTTACAAGTAAAGTTTTTTTAGAACACATCTATGTCCATTTGTTTATTTATTATCTACGAATGCTTTTATATTAGGATAGCAGTGGTTTGATGTTGATAGGGCAATGGGAATGAATTGGCCATATGCTTCTCGTCATCTAACAGTATAACCCAGGCTTGTTCACATAATAGTGGTCACAAGTTTCTGAGGAGAGAGAGGGAGGGAGGGAGGGGGAGGGAGGGAGAGAGAGAGAGAAAGCACCACAGCGCATAATACATTTCAAGTCTCTGCTTGGGTCATAATTACTGTTGTCAAAGTAGGTCACATGACTAAATCTAGACTCAGTGTGAAAGGGGCTACCCAAGGACATGGATATAGGAATGGCAATTTTTGTGTTCATTTTTGCAAACAATCTACCATAAATATTCTTATTTTCTGACGTGTTGCCTCACCTCCTTCAATTCTATGCCCAACTATCACTTTATCAGTGAGCCTTCCTTAATGAGATCTCCTCTCTCTGCATCCTATCCCCCTTTCCTGCTTCATTTCCCTTGGTAACATCCATCACTTTCTATCCTATCATATTTTTTACTATTTATTTTTTCATTGTCTTCTCCTTCTGGAATATAAACTCCATGAGGGCAGGGATTTTTGTCTGTTCTTTCTGCTGTTTTGTCTTAAGTGCCTCTAACACTACTTGGAATAGGAAACCAAAAAATGTTTTGAATGAATAAGTTAATTAACGACCTAATGCTATTTAGAATTTGAAGCAGGAGCAGTTCCTGCTTGCCATGATAGTACTACTGACATTTAGATCTAGAGTCCATCAGTTATCCTTCTTGGTATAACACTGACAGTATTATTTTGGAATAATGTTCATGAAGCACTTTGAAAATAAAAAATTTAAGAATGAAGTTACTATTGCTTAGATTTTTATACCTTACATAAGTTTCATGACTTAAGTGAGTCTATAACTTACTCAAAAAGTAACAGTCACAAATTATCATATTAACTCTCCTAAATGAACCAAGGCACTACTAGTACCTATTTTGGGATGGTAATATCTTGGAGGAGAGTTCTATTCCTAAACAAAGCTCTGATCACGTTGCACATACCCCGATTCAACCCTCTTGGGATCTTTTCTGCCTGCAAGATAAACTCCTTCAAAGTTAGTACTCATTTTGCCTTTCTAGTACCATACACTTTTTATCAAGTTAGCTAGGTCTTTAAGAAAGGACATAACTCCGAAAAAGGTGATATGAGGGGTGGAAGGGATTCTAGGCAAAAGTCAGAACGTGAGGTTTATGTAATTTTTTTTTTTTTGAGACGAAGTCTTGCTCTTGTTGCTCAGGCTGGAGTGCAGTGGCATGATCTCGGCTCACTGCAACCTCCACCTCCCGGGTTCAAGCAATTCTCCTGCTTCACCCTCCCTAGTAGCTGGGATTACAGGTGCCTGCCACCACATCTGGCTAATTTTTATATTTTTAGTAGAGACGGGGGTTTCACAATGTTGGCCAGGCTGGTCTCGAACTCTTGACCTCAGGTGATCCGCCTGCTTTGGCCTCCCAAAGTGCTGGGATTACAGGCGTGAGCCACTGCGCCAGCCAAGACTATTTTAGGAACAAGTTGTGGAGCAATTTGGCTGGTATGGAAGAGCTATATGATACAGTACAATATAGCAGGCTATGGAAAAATACATGGGAAGACCATGTTTCAAATTATTCCAAAAACATGATCGAGCCCCAGGTCAACCAAATGTCAAAAAAAGAAAATACATGGAACTGGACAAGTTTGACAATATGATGAGCATTTGGTATGCATTTTGGTTCCTGTATTTACTCCATTTACTGAATACATACACTGTCTTTTTCATTCTAAATTCTGTATAAGTTTAAGATATTGAAACCACTGTGCCAATAGATTTTCTGGTTGTGATATTAATAGTTTCATCGAGAGCAGGATTCTAGCCTGCTCGATTGTTGATCTGCCATTATGTCTCTATCGCACCACTCCCTCAGTGGTTATTTATACTTCATCTATGGTTCCCAGACATTAACAAGAAAGAAAGGTCTTGAAACTTAAGGGAGTTTAGAGGGAGAGCTCTCTATATCTTGTGAAACAGACAAGTTCACTGCTTAGTCAACCTTTCTTACAAAAGAGTTCAGTGATAACGGCCAAATTAGAGCTCTGGTCAACCGCAGCTGATGATGGGCTCTGTTGATGGGTGCCCTTGGCTAGACCTGAAAATGATGTCCTGAGAAATGATTACTCTTCTGCTCGATAACCCAAAGATGTATCTATTAAAGGCTGAGCAGAAAGGAGGAATAAAGGTGTAAATGTAGCCTCTTGATCAGTCCACATATTAGGCCTCTTACTCTAATAGTCATGATCCCTAGTGTATTTCTCAAACTCCCTCCTGTGTAAGGCTATTCCAGTGCAGTTTTAGAGACACCGAGTCCTTGATTGTCAAAGTCTTTGTAATCTTAGAAAAACATATGTATGTAGACCAATGAACAGTTCTAAAAATAAAAAGCCATATGGAGAAACTTTGGATTACATGCTATTTATTCATGCATTCATAATTATTTACGAGGACTTCATTTTCGCCAGGTCTTGTGCTAGATGCTAGGTGCTCTGCCTTCACAATGTTCAGACTTTATTTGGGCAGACCAACATTAAAAGTGACGATTAAGTGCTGTGATAGGATTAAGTACACACAGAGAAATAGAATGTTACCTAGATCTGGATGTTCTGGAAACTTCCTCAGTTGTGATGATTCTTTTAAGGAATTTTGGTGATTGAATAGGGGATGAGGAGAAAAGATGGGGTAACACATTGCAGGTAGAGAGAGTGATGTGGGTCATAAAGGACCTTGTCATGTTCAGGGTCAAGTGGTGGGGAAGGATAAGACTGACAGTAAGAGGAAGAAAGGATGCGAGGAAAGAAGCAAGACAGATCAGAGAAAACGTGGCAGTTCAACTACAAAATTTCAATTGTACACTAAAAGCAATGGAGTGCCACTCCGGAATTTTTTCCTTAAATGATCATATTTTCCCTTCAGAACAAAGACAAACGTGGAAAATGAATTAAGCATATGGGATCTATTGGGAGACTGCTACAGAAAATCTTCAGGGAAACGGTGAAGGTTCAACTAAGGGAGCAACAGTGAAGAGGAGGAGAAGATGTTAACATTAGAAACTATAGTTCTTGAAGACCAGATGTGCAGCAAAGGAGAGAAAAGAATTCTGAAGGACGATGTTTGGAATTTCAGGTTTGTGCATCCTGAGTATAAGGTAGCATCAAAGAGACAGAACACAGAGGAGGACTGACAACTTTGGAAGAAAGTGGTAACTTTCTGTTTCAAAAAATAAATGAAAGAATTAAAAATAAGATGCCACGGAACATCTACTAGGTGGAGTTAAAATGGAATGAAATGTGGCAATTATATATTTAGACGACATGGAATTAAAGGTGAGGGGTAAACTTTCCCACCCCTAAATCCCCTTCTGCCTTTGTATGGCTTTGTTCCTTTCTTGCAGAAAAGGCCTTTTTATCTGAATGATAGGAAGATAGAGAAGGCCTCAGGGATGGATGAGGGCTGGAGGAAAGGCAGAGATTTGAGTAGGCAAAAGGGAGAAGAAAAGGCAGTTCAAGGAGAGAACACGCCACCAACAAAAGTAGAACACTGGTACCAAACAAGACAAAAGCAGAGGGTTCAAGGTATAGAAAAGAGGAAAATAAGTATTACCAAGAGAATGGGGCTACATTTCCTAATGAATTTATTCTCTGGTTGCATGCTGGAAGGATAGACTTTAAGCAATCAGCAATAAGAGGCCATGGTAGGTTTTTGAGCAGAGGAGGAATATTATTGATTCATATTTTAGGAATATGGTCTGGAAGCAGCATCCAAGAATGTGAGAAATTAGCATAAATGGAGACAAGGAGATCTGGTCAAGAGAAAGTGATTGGGAACCTTCCAGGCAGCTCCTGCTGCTTTGTAAGAAGGAGAACTCCCAGTGATTCTGCTGGCACCTCTTCTTTCCTGTCAGGAATATGGCAGCACTTACATGACTGGGACTGAAAAAAGTCATGCTATATACTCCTTCAAACAGAATCTGCCCATAGCCTTCTTGAAGCAGCAGCAGGAGATCCATGAGTATTTTTTCCTTTAGAGAAATACAGAAGCAAATAAAAAAAATAAAGTTTGCAGTAATGACTATTTTTACCCAATTACACATGCATTACCAAGTGTCACAAATCCCATGAGCTAGAAGGTGTGATTTTCTGAGTCGGCTGCTGTGTTGAGATGAGAGGAATTGCTCAGTGTTGATAACACTGTTGGATGTTGCTAATGTAATTACAGTTTCCCAGTCTGGTCTCAAAAATTAAAGTTCTTGTATTTTTTATTTTCCTTCCCATTTGAGAAAGACAATAATTAAAAAGTACAAACTTGCTTGGTTTGACTTTGTATCCAGTTTTTACGGCATTTTTATTGCATCTTATATTGAATGGATTTTTTTTCAATTTGTTTTTGAAAATGTCATTTGCACAGAGATTGAATGGACTTACTTTGTTTCGTCTTCCAAAGCGATGCTTATAAGTGGGCCATGATAATTCGGTAAATATATCACATGAAGGGAGATAGTATGAACAACTGAAAGAATTACTCATAGTGTGTGAGGAACAAAGATGGATAAAAGGAAGTTCGCTAATAAATAGGACTCAGATGTTAAAATAGAGATGGATGTAAGACATTCATATTGTCCCATTAAAACACAATATTAATTTTGAGAATTTCTTTGTGTCATTGGGGCTTTATTGTTGCTGTTATGGTTGTTATTACAAGGATATACAGGACAGACCCAACATAACGAATGTAAATTTCTCCCCCATGCTTCTTTGAGCATCATAGATAGTTGAAGCTAACTGAATTTGTGCTTTGGACAATTATGATGTACTATTACAAGATTGTTTCCATTTCTTGTCCTCTACCATTCCCTACACATTTAGTCCACTTGTAAAAACATTCTTAAACTTCTTAATTCATTATTATTATGCGTGTTTTAACTGCTTAGAACTGTCAATGAAACAAGTTTTAAAACCCTTTGAAAAATGCAAACAATTGGAGAAGAAACTGTTTTAAATTGCATTTTTAGGCATGTGAGATTTATGAATAATCTGAGAAGCTATAAGCATGTACAATGTATTCACTGCCTACAAAGTGGTCTCATGTACAATATGTCATGAAAATCTGTCATTTCCATTTCATGGGCAAAGTGGCAAAGTTGAGAAAAAATGGCTACTAACAATGTAACCTTAAACACAGGAACTATTTTTCTCCCTTCAGATCACCTTGAGATACCAATAGTACATAAAATGGACCTTGGAAACTTGGGAAAAAGAATCTTTGGGATAATGTCTTGTTCATATTTTTCTTTTAGGGAAACGTAACCAATTAACTGACATAATATTTTCCAATTATGCACTGCCTAGGGAGGTGAGGCAGTATAGGGTCAGGATTCAGACTTCCTGGGTTCAGATTCTGGCTAGCTAGACAACCTTGGACACATTAATAAACTTCTCTGTGCCTCATTATCCTGATCTGTAAAATGGGAATGATAATTATCCTACCTCACAGGGCTGTTCCATATATAAAACACTTTACATGCAGAGCACAGAGTAAAAACTCAGTAACAGTTTAAAAATAATGATAAGAGCTTGACATCAAGTATTTTATCTTTTGCATAAACATGACATATTGAACATTGCCACCTTAAAGAATTCCACAGTTCCAATTATATTGAACACACACCTCTGGTTTCTACGTAGCAATAAGAAATTATCTATAGTTTAACTCAAAACTCTCACCATCTTACTGAAAATAAA
This sequence comes from Homo sapiens, assembly GCF_000001405.40. NCBI lineage: Eukaryota > Metazoa > Chordata > Mammalia > Primates > Hominidae > Homo > Homo sapiens. Next base: position 31,048,086 of record NC_000023.11, on the reverse strand, counting down.
TTAGTTTATGGAAGTTCTTGACACACATACATAGGAAAACTTGTTGACTCCTGCTGGAAAGTTGATGGACTATAATGCAATTCTGTAAAATCAGTGATAGCTCCCATGTTTCCAAGGCAAGTAAACTTCCTATGTGACATCACTTTGTCCAGATCTCTATGGTAGGAACAGGTCCAGAGTACTATGTCCAGCTCAGGATGATCAGGTTTGTAGAGGCCACTGACCAGTGGAGTAGTCTGGAACATTGAAGAGTATTGGAAAACCACATTATACAAGAAACAGTCAAAGGGGCAAGAATTTGAGCTTTAGAAAAGATAACCCAGAAGCTGTTCAGAAATATCAAAGAGCTGCCCCAGGTAAGAAGAATTGGACTTGTTCAGGAAGTTGCTGGAATTGGTAGGTGAATGTTATATGTGATTTTGCTCGAAACAGGACAACTGACAATGAAATGGGTTGCTTCTTGAAATAGCAAACACTCGTTACTGAAAGTATTTATGCAAAATTTGTACAACCTACTTAAGTGAATGATTAAGATGGGAGTCCTTTGTATGGGAAATTTGAGTAAAAATTTCTGAATCCTAGAGCCTAAGATCTCCTTTAATTCTAATTTAATTTTAGTATTTCAAGTAAGTTTTCATATGCCATTCCTTCCTCTACAACCTCCTCTGACACAAATGCATAGCTTCTTGGGGTATGTTCTATACCTGAGAGATGTAGATACAATCTGCATTCTCTGTGCCATTACTGAAATACCTTTACCAAGAGGTTAATTTGACCCTCTTGGAGAATTCGAGACAGTTTTAAGCATTTGATGATTAACACTTATCATCATTTTATTTTGGCTTTGTATTAACTGGAAAAGAGGTACCATTTTATGGAATAAAAGTTCCATGAAGACCAAAGGTTCCTCAAGTAGGAGACATTTGTAGTCTGTTTATAAGTATTTTATCTCATTTGATCCCTTAGCAGAGCTGGTAATATCATTATTTTTGTTTTACAGATGAGGTTCTGAGGATTAAGTGGCAGAGTTTAGACTTGAGCTCAGCCCTTCTCACTCTAACTCCAGTGTTTCTTCTACTTGCCCTCACTCACAGCTTCATACTGCTTGGTCCACATACAACTGAAGACCAAAAAAGTGGGGATGAAAAGGCAGAATGAAAGAAGAAAGTAACCAAGTGAACACTGCCAAAAGTAAATCTCAAAAAGAAATATGTGGCTGGAAATTCAATTAGAGAAATTACAGAGAAATTTTACAAAATAAAACACGTAGGGATAAATTACGAGAATAAAACTTGTTAACCAAAAGGGTCAAGGTTGAGAAACAATATATGGGAGTTGAAAAAATAGATATGTTAAGGATCTGAGAAATGAAGAGGGAATGGAGAATTACAAAAGGATGTAGATAAAAATGAATGACCATAGCGAAGGAAGTGAGAATCATCAAGAACAATACCAAAATAAACTGAAGCTGCAACATCAAATGGCACAGCAGGACTATAAAGATAGGCAGAAAGAGAGATAAGTACAAGAACACTTCTGAATGGAAAATCACTATTAAACCAAAATAAAATGATAGACACAAAAAGGCAAGCATGGAAGCCGAACCTGAATTAAGAACAATAGATTTGATTTTACACATTGTTTTCTACAGGGGTAAAATTCTATTCTCCTTTCTTTGTGTTGATTTTCTTCCCACTTCACCTCCCTCTGAGCTCTCCAAAAGGGAAATGCAGAGGGTGTGAAGGGGATGAAAAGTCAAGCTGCTTATTTTTAATGTGTTCCCAAATGCCACAGAGAAAGCTACCACAGCCTACTTGGTATGTAACATATATTTTAAAACTAGTAAACCATGATAGTCATGATGATAGCACTAGCTAGCATCGGTGGAGCAACCATGAAGTCAGATTTGAAAAAAATTAAATATTGGCAGTTTGCTGCTCACATATTTGATTTTCAATAGTATTATGAGTCCATATTTAAAGTTATATTGTATTTTTCTGAAATTGATACATTGAAAAAGAACTTTCAGACCCTTAGATTAAAAATTACCCCCATAACTAAAGTACGATATTATCATATATATTAGAGTAAGCAGAACAGTTGTTTTGAACCTGCCCCAGTGTATCATCCAAACATACACAGACTGCTACCGAGCTATACTGAAGCCCCGAATCAGGCAACTTGATCTTCCCTTGTTCGCTGCATCAAATACTTGCTCTAGAAGCAGCTTCTCCCTAGGGAGCAACGTCCTCAAAGCATGCTTAGAACAAAGTGACTGCTCTCTGACATTTACATCAGGAATTTTATCCACAGAGAAAGGGTGGATGTAGATATAGAACGGATAGAGAAGGGAGTAGACAGTGAAAAGGAATAGGAAAAAAAGCTGTTGGTGGGGCGCGGTGGCTCACGCCTGTAATCCCAGTACTTTGGGAGGCCAAGGCAGGCAGATCACGAGGTCAGGAGATCGAGACCATCCTGGCTAACACGGTGAAATCCCGTCTCCACTAAAAATACAAAAAATTAGCTAGGCATGATGGCGGGCGCCTGTAGTCCCAGCTACTCGGGAGACTGAGGCAGGAGAATGGCGTGAACCCGGGAGGCAGAGCTTGCAGTGAGCTGAGATCGTGCCTCTGCACTCCAGCCTGCGTGACAGAGTGAGACTCGGTCTCAAAAAAAAAAAAAAAAAAAAAGTTGTTACATGACTAAAAAATGTTACCAGCTATGTAAACTTGAGAAACTTCCTCAAACCCTCTAAAGCCTCAGTTGTCTTATCTGTTATATGGGGATAACAATAGCACTTCTCTCTTAGGATTGTGGTAAGAATTGAATGGCATAGCATATGAAAAGCATTCAATGCAGTGCCTAGCATGATGTATAGTAAGTGATCAATAAATGTTGGATATCACAACTATTACAATTTCTCTGATTCTACTTTTACCTTCATTCATTCTTTACTTTATTCAACAAATGTTTGTTGAATATCTGCTATATACCAGAGACTGTGCTGGGGATATGGATCTGTGTAGGTTAGGCATCTCTCTGCCCTGGTAGACTTTATGGTGCAGTAGAAAAGACATAATATGAAAATTTAACTAATAATTTTTTAATTTGTACCCCTGATAAAGGCTATGAATGAGAAGTCCAGGATAATAGGAGAGGGTACAGTGGGGGACCTGATCCAATCTAGGACTTCCTTTAGGAAGTAGCTTTTGCTCTAAGTTTTTAAGGATGAGTAGAAATTCACTAGAAAGGATGGGGCAGGGGTAGTTTGAGGTGAGAGAGGAAGACAGAAGAGCACTCCTAATAGAGGGAACAGTATATAAGAAGGCTCGGAGGCTGGGTTTACAGAAAGCATAGAATTGATAGGACGTTTGTTACTTTCTCTACCTATTGCTTTTTTTTTTTTTTTTTTTTTTGAGATGGTGTCTCACTCTGTTACCCAGGCTGGAGTGCAGTGGCACAATCTCTGCCCACTGCAACCTCTGCCTCCCAGGTTCAAGCAATTCTCCTGCCTCATCCTCCCAAGTAGCTGGGATTACAGGCACTCGCCACCACTCCCGCTCATATTTTTAGTAGAGACGGAGTTTCACCATATCAGCCAGGATGGTCTCGAACTCCCAACCTCAAGTGATCTGCCTGCCTCGGCCTCCCAAAGTGTTGGGATTACAGGTGTGAGCCACTGCATCCGGCCCTGTTGCCTTATTTTAATTTCACTATATTGACCTAACTGGTAACCCAAGAAGGAATAAATAGCTCCCATTTACCCCTTCCTGAATGAAAAGCCATAGCAAATCATAATGGAATCCTTGTTTCTTCATCCTAAATCCATAACTCTATCTTGTCAAGGGGAATGAAGTGATGAAGTTCATCCTAGAACCCCAAATCTAAATCTATTCTGTGGTTTCAAATATGCATTAAAGTTTATAACTCAATTTTACACATAGCTTTGTATCACATCCGAAAGTCCAGAGATGAGAATAATATAAATGAAAGTGTTACACTGACTATTGAAATATCTTTCATGCAGAAGAGAACCAAAATAATAAATTGGGGTGTGCATCAAGTTCTCCTTGTGCTGTTAGAGTTAATGCTGCCAGGATGTTTATATTATAGACTTCATCTTTAAAGCTCTAAGATTTGGTCATAAAATCTCTTCCCAGCTGAAATGTGGCATATAAATAAGGTCTCTGCTTAAGGGCTGAATTGCTCTGTTGCTCTTTTAAGCTGTCCTTTCTCTGAATACAACTCTGGGTGACTTTTTAACGCTTTTTGACGCCACCAACCACTTTTAACTTTTTGTGCTTAGAAAAGGTGCTACAAAAGTCACCTTATCATTGCTCTTTAGAATTTTTAAATGGCCAGAAAACTAGGCATTTGTATAATGGAGAAAAGAGTAAATTGCGATCAAAGAATAATTTCAACACTACATTTCTTTTTCTTTTCAAAAAATTATAATATAGAAACAGGGTCTCACTATGTTGCCCAGGCTGGTCTTGAACTCCTGGGCTGAAGCAATCTTCCTGCCCCAGCCTTCAAAGTGCTAGGATAACAGGTGTGAGCCACCATGCCTGGCCTATTTTTAAAAAAATTTTCCCTCCCAATATTCTGGAAGATGTTAGAGCTCTGGTGATAGCGTGGCATATAGCCAGCCCAAGAAAGAAAAAAACACAGCCTAGTAATCGTCTTAAGAAAATTTCAGTATCAATCATATGTGTAAACCAAAAATAAGATTCTAAGCTCCCCAACCAACTGATGAGCCCCCCTCACAGTCAAGGGCATTCCAAAGTAAACCTGAAAATCTAGTTCAGGACACGATGGGAAGAGGGGGTCAGACATGCTCTATTATACCCTACTCCCTTTGGAATTCAGGGACAACTGACCAGCACTAACATTAAAGCAGAGATCTTAAGACTGACCAAACAGACTTTTTGTAGCAATAAGATACATCACATGACAGATAGCAGGATCTGGAATAAATCAAAGTATTTTACCCTGAAATATATTTCTTTGACATATTTTGAAATGGCCCTGCAAGGCTGTCCCTCGGGAAAATCTACATTCTGTAGAGAGTCCCTTTCCCTTTCCAGGTCTTTTCCGTGATATAGGAGAGAATTAACTAAGAGTCATGCACCTTTCAAGGTCTGATAAGAGCTCTGAAGCCTACTACTTGGAGACTTCATCTGCATGGTAAAACCTTGGTCTCCACAACCCCATAATTTATTTATTATTTATTATTTATTATTTACTTTTTTGAGACAGAGTCTTGCACTGTCGCCCAGGCTGGAGTGCAGTGGTGCAATCTTGGCTTGCTGCAACCTCCATCTCCCGGGTTCAAGCGATTCTTCTGCCTCAGCCTCCCAAGCAGCTGGGATTACAGGCGCCCACCACCACGCCCACCTAATATTTTGTATTTTTAGTAGAGACGGGGTTTCACCATGTTGGCCAGGCTGGTCTCGAACTCCTGACCTCGTGATTTGCCCACCTTGGCCTCCTAAAGTGCTGGGATTACAGGCGTGAGCCACCATGCCTGGCCAACCCCTTACTTTAACCAAAACGTTCCTTTCTATGGATTCCAGGTCTTTAGCTAATAACTCTTTCAACCATTTGCCAATCAGAAAAGTATTTGAATCCACCTATGACTTGCAAGCCCCTCTGCTTCAAGTTGTCTCGCCTTTCTGGATTGAACCAATATACATCTTACATGTATTGATTGATGACTTATGTCTCCCTAAAATGTATAAAACCAAGCTGTAGCCTGACCACCTTGGGCACATATTTTTAGGATCTCCTGGAGCTGTGTCATGGATCATGGTCCTCATATTTGGCTCAGAATAAATCTCTTAAATATTTTAGAGGTTGACTCTTTTCATTGACATAGGTCTCCTCAAAACTTTTTTGCATCATATGCCTTTTCGAAATCTAGTTTTTGGCCTGCAAATTCATATGAAAACCAGTATTACCAAGGGTTTTTTTTCCCACTCATTTACTGATTCAATTAGCTGTTGATATTCTGAGACTGGGGCTGCAATTTGGTTGTTAAATTTTTAAACTTTTAATTGTAAAATAATTACAGATTCACAAGAAGCTATAAAAGTAATGCAAGCCAATGTACCCATCACTCATCTCCCACCGATGGTGACCTCTTACATAACTATCATGCATTATCAAAACCAAGAAATTAATTGGCACAATACTATACAATTTACTATACTGCAGATCTTACTCTGATTTCACCAGTTTTTGCATGCACTCATTTTTTTTGTATGTGTATATAATTCTGCAGTATTGTATCACATATATGGATTTGTGAAACCACCACCACAATCAAAACACAGAACTGTTCCATCACTACAAAGGAACTCCTTCATGCGGCCTTAATTTTAGTTATACTTCCTTCCCTTCCTCCCCTTCCCTAACCCCTGGCAACCCCTTACCTGTTCTACATCTCTATAATTTTGTCATTTCAAGAATGTTATATACATGGAATCATTTGCTATGTCAACTTTTCAGATTGGTTTTTTCATCCAATATAATGACCTTAAAATTCATCCTAGTTGTGTGTATCAATAGTTCATTCCTTTTTATTGCTGAATAGTATTCCATGGTATGGATGTACCACAATTTGTTCAACCATTCACTTGATGAAAGACGTTTGTGTCATTTCTAGTTTTGGACTACTACCTGTAAAGCTGCTATAACTACTCACACACAGGTTTTGGTGTGAACATAAGTTTTCATTTCTCTAAGATAAATGTCCAGATGTGTAATGCTTGCTAGTCATGTAGTAAGCATATGATTAATTTTTAAGGAACTGCAATGCTGCTTTCTAAAGTGGCTGTACCATTTTACATTCTTACCAACAATGTGTGAAAGATTCAGTATCTCTGCATTCTTCAGCAAATGTTAATGTCAGGTGTTGCCAGCAATTGTTGTTATTTTAGCCATTGTAATGCAGTGGTATCTCATTGTGGTTTTAATTTACATTTCCCTAATGGTTAGCGATGGTGAAAAATTTTTCATGTGTTTATTTTCCATCGATATATCCTCTTAGCTGAAGTTTCTGTACAAGTCTTTTGTCCACTTTTTAATTGGACTGTTTATTTTCTTACTGTTAAATTTAGAGAGTTCTTTGTATATTCTGGATAGGAGTCTTTGTTGGACATGTGATTTGCAAATATTTTCTCCCAGTTGGTGACTTGTCTTTTATCCTTTTAACAGGGTCTTTTTCTAAGCGAAAGTTTTTAATTTGATGAAGTCCAGTGTGTCCAGTTTTTCTTTTGTGAATCATGCTTTTGGTGTCATATGGGCTGAATTTTTCTTCAGTGGATGGAAATGCTGCCATTAATGATAATAGATTCCATGTATTACACACTTACCAGCATCTGGGAATTGTGCTAAGCCCTTTATAAGCATCATCTAATTTCATCTTTACCTCAGCTCTATGAAGTCCACATGATGACCCGCATTTTTACAAATGTGGTGGCTGAATCTTAGCAAGGTCAGTCACTTGCTGAAGCTCACATAGTAAGCATTTAGTCAAGTCTGGTTTCAAACTCAGGTATATCTAACTCCAAAGTACGCTGTATCCAATGATGAATTAGGAAAAAAGATTCCCAATCCTAAGTTCTGCCCCTTTGCTTTGCTTTCCCAAAAATGGAAGTGGTTAGTGAGGGAGGCCCAGCCAAAACAGATGAGATGCAGCAAGAATCAGTGATCATCATATCTTAAGTTTTAGGTTCTCAAACTTCAGGTCTATGAGACTCACTTGTGGGAAATGGTTAAAAATGCAAATTCCCAAGCTCTTAGCTTAAAGATTCTAGTGCTGCAGAACAGGAATGGGGCCCAGGAATTTGTGTTTTTCCAAGTATCCCAGTTGATTCTGACAGACCTTTGAGAAATTCTAAGTATCTAAGTTTCCAAATGCACATGATACTGCAGCAGCAACATATGGAACAAACTGATTCGAAAGCTCAGGCTTGTGTCTTCCCCAACATACAGCAAAGTTAAAACAGCTGGTTGATTTGATTAAAATGATCAAATCAGCTTTTGACAGTATTGTTCGGTAACTTTAGTTAAAACAGGCAAGTCAGAAAATTCTCTATATGGCCGGGCGCAGTGGCTCATGCCTGTAATATGAGCACTTTGGGAGGCCGAGGTGGATGGATCGCGTGAGGCCAGGAGTTCGAGACCAGCCCTGGGCAAAATAGTAAAATCCTGTCTCTACAAAAAATACAAAAATTAGCCGGGCATGGTGGCGCATGCCTGTAGTCCCAGGTATTTGGGAGGCTGAGGCACAAGAATTGCTTGGAGGCGGAGGTTGCAGTGAGCCGAGATTGCACCACTGCACTCCAGCCTGGGTGACAGAAGTGAAACCCTGTCTCAAAAAAAAAAAAAAAGAAAGGAAAAGAAAAAGAAAATTCTGTATGCCATCATTCCAACATTAAGGAATGACAGCTCAATAACAATGATAATGATGACCATAATAACAGTCTGATCCAATGACATGGGCTGTGCCAAATCTCATTATGAATCTTTTGTTAACCTGGGCCCTATTGCTTTCAATATTAGATGATGTTTAAGTTTCCTTCACGCTCTAACAACCTATAATTTTACTTTGAGGTTTAAAGACAAGTGCATATCACTGTGAACCGGGAGCCTTGACACTAAGGAGAAAGAGCAGAGAGGTAAAGTCAAGATATTCAAAAGGAAGAAGAGGAAAGGAGAGAGGAGAAGAAAGGGTACCTTTGACGCAAAGCTGCCAACTCTTGGAAAAAAAGGGTAGACCACAAAAGCATGCACACATGCACAAAACCCTCATTATTTTTCAGCTACCGCCTATCTAGATCAGCTGCTGTTAAGCCCTGCATTGCTGACATGAGTCAGAAAAGTATATGCTGTAGTCTAGCCGAGATTAGGGGGTTTGCTTTGTATTACACCAGCTTCCAACTACTATTTCACTGCAGCAAAAATGACAGATGAGGGAAAAACACCCCACCCTACAACCTACGGTGGTGTTTAACATAGGAGATGTGCTCCATCTGCTGGTAGAGACGATGACCACAGGCAGAGAGGCAAATACCATAAAACAGAATAAAGACACTCATTTTAAACTGGATTCTGATTGTTTAGATAAAAAGGGCACCTTTTCTTTAAAACACACACACACACACACACACACACACACACAAGAAAGAAGAAACAAAGAATTAAAATCATGACATTTACAAAGACAGAAGCTATGAAGGAAAAGGGGAAACAGACTGGACAGAGATACAGTGGGAGAAGAAGCATAAAAAATAGGCAAGAAAGTGCTGAAATAGCAAAACTGCAGGAAACAAGCTATTTGCTCATCACTTTAACACAGAAGCTTTTTTAAAAACCCCCACAGGATCTGGAAATAATATGCCACGTGCCATGTTGTAGATGCTTCATTTATATTATTATAAGAAAATATTTTGTAGGGATTCTATCCACATTGACACGATTCACTTGAGTAAGGCCAAGTCTTAATATAGAATCATTATACATTTTGTCATTGTCTGGGGATGTACAGACAATAGTGCTGACACTGAAAGTTCGCAGCAATTTGGAAAAGACTGGAGGGGTTGAGGCATGACCAGCCCTTCTGTGCCTCTTGTGCATATAGTTGGGTCTCTAATGACAACAGCTGTTGCCTACCAAGCCCGTCACTCTTTCCAATCATGATTCTTAGGCGTCTAAAGAATCTGATACTTTTTTTTCTCAAACAGAGCTATGTGCTTTTTGACATGCTGATGAATATTTGACCATCACTTCTCACTTACAGGCATTGACAGTGCAAGTCTGCAGTGTATTCTACAAACAACTTTTTTCACATCTCATAGACTTGCCTTATCAATTGGTCTTGTAGCTTCTCAGGATAAAGAAAGCAGAAAAAGGAACACTTAGGATCTACTAGGCACCGGGCTCAGTGCTTCATAGGCTAGTCATTTAATCTTCACACCAGTCTTATGGGAGTCTTTCCAATTGTCCTTATTTTGAAGCTGTCAAGACAAAGCCTCAGAGAAATTAAAGAATTGCCCAAATGCTATTAACTCATAGATCTGGAAAGCTGACCAAAGGAAATATCATGTGTGGACTTTCTAGCATGAAAATACGCCATGCTGGGAACACTCAGTATCATAATAGAAGCCAGTATTTCTCAACTTGTAGAGCTCAGGCCATGTGCATCAGGATTCCCGGAGTTCCTTGTCAAAAATGCAGACCCCTAATCCTCAGCAAACTGGCTGAATCTGAATCTCTGGTGGAGCCCTGGAATCTGCATTTTAACAAGTGCCAGGAGATGACACATTAAACAAGTGTCAGAGATTCTCATTAGATTTGGGAACCATCTGATATGAGATAAATGAACAAACAGAAAATCCATGCTGGGATACCAAAGATGTGGTTTTAGAATTAATGGCATGGCAGAGGCTTTCTCTATTTTTACAGTTCAGGCTGCTGTGCCATGGGGCACAAACATTATTGCTTGTTACCTGGTTAAACTACTCAGATTCTCTGAGCCAGTTTACTCATCTGTGGAAAGGGAATCATAGCTTTTGTCTCACATAGCTATAGTGAGGTTTAATGCATGTGAAAACACTATAAATTCTAAATAGCTCTGTGGTAAATTGTAAAATATGATAAAAAATTCTCCTGCCCCCTACATCCATACCCTTGCAAGATTGATGTCACAGCTCTTCCCATCAAGACGCGGGGCACTTGCCTCTATTTTCTGAATCTGGACTAAGTGATTTGCTTTGACCAGTGGAACAACAGCCAAGCAACATGACTCAAGCAGAGGCTTGAAGACTCTTGCATTTTGGGGTTTGCCCTCTTCCTGTGCTTGAGATCCTGAGGCCATCATGTGACTGAGTCTCAGTTAGCTTTCTGGAGGATAAAAGGCCACTTCAAAAAGAACCACAGTCAGCCAGCTAACAGCCAATATCCAGCCAACTGCCGGACACATTAAGTGAGGCTATTCTGGCTCATCTGGCCACCTGCTGGAACTTCCAGCTAACTGCAGACTGATGAAGGAAACCAGCAGAAATCAGTAGAGCCAGACTAGACCAGAAGAACTTCCCAGGAAGCCTGCCAAATTATGAGCTAAATGATTGTTGCTTAAAGCCACCATGTTTTGGGAAAGCTCGTTACACAGCAAAAGCTAACAGACGTAGGTTCAGGCACATGCTACTATTTAAGTTATCTAGTATTTTGAGCATGGGTTCTGCGGTTTTCACAGACATTGCCCAGAAGTGCAGACTACAGATGAGCAGACATGAATGCACAAATTTTCAGTCAAGTTATTTCATTCTATGGGCACAACGCCTACCGGAAATTGTTTTACAATATCTCCTGAGCGAAGCATCCTATAAGTAGCAGGGAGGTGGAATGAAAGAACCTCTCCCTATTATCCTAACTCATTGTTTTCATAAAAGAAGTTCAGCAGCCTTATACAGAAGGACAAATAACCTAACTTTTCTCCAAGCTGACTGTCAATAATAATCTAACTCCACAAAAGCATGCATAATCTGCTGCATACCTTCCCGTGCACACACTTTCAACACCCTCCTGCTGGCACCAAGATAAATGGCTTCATCAAAGGCAGCCATGGAGCCTTGCAACCTGTTGAGGCAGAAAAGCTTCCTAGGGGATCAGAAACATCCTGATGCCTATATCAAACATCCTCACTGCCATGTGAAGCATCACTGTGCAGAATACATTAAATAAACCTGTAATGGTGAACAGGGCAGGATTGTCCTACGCCGTTCGCCCCGGGAGTCTTTATACTATGATTAAATGCCTTTGATAGGCATTTTCAAAGTGTGTTGTTCCTCTTGCTAAGTATGTTTGGCGAGAGAACACCATCATCTGGAAACAGTATCTGAGGGATCTCATTCAGTGAAACAAGGTGCAAGTGTTTTCTGTCAAATCCATTTTCTACAACCTGAAAAGTAAGCATAAAATCAAGAATTTTTAAACCTTTCTTTCATTCTCTCAATAGATTTAGAAATCGTGCAATGAATCAATACAGCCGTTTCACCATTCATTTGACGTAGAGCAAATTGCAACCCACTCTGGAAGTAAGTGGCTATTTGCAAGGCTGATGCACCATATTCCAATCACATACTCATTCTGCACCCCACACACTTTATTAGATGGTTTGGTGGCTATTGTTGTTTGAGAATAACCACATAACCCATTTTCTTAAATCTATCTGTAAGCTGTGTTGAATCAGGTTGATATCTTAGAATGCCACTGGGTAATCCAAAATAAGTCTCAGGCTCCTTCTGCTTATTATGCACAGGATTGAATATGTTCACTTACACTGTAGAATCTCAAATGCCCTTTTGAAAGCCTAACAGATTTTCTGGATATAATTTGGAATTTTAAGCTTCATTCAAAAAAAATCAAAATTAGTCTAAATAAAAAATCACCATTAAGTCAATTAATGTGAGTTCTAGAACCAGGATCTTACTGAAAATTTGCTCATATCAGATCAACTGCCACTGAACCATGGTTAGTTAACAATAAGCTTTTATTTGAAAAGTAGATAATAAAAACCAACTGAAGTTGTGGTAGAAATATTTAGGTGCTGGATACAGTCCTGTGGTTGGAAGTGGTCCAGGCAACAAATAATGAATCCCCACCAGAAGGAAATGAATAACCAGTAGAGAATGAAGAAATAGAGAAAACCATCATGTGGGCACAACCAGAGGAGAGAGAGGCAAGCAGATGATATTTGAAGCCATGAGCATGGTGAGCTCTCCCCCGAACATTTATAGAGTGACAATAGAATATTGCTAAGGACAGCACTCCAAGGAGCATCTCTACTAAAAGTATAGGAGGAATATACTCAGTATGAGAGACAAGTGGCCAGATAGGTAGGAGGAAAACCTGGGTGCCCTGTATCACCAAACCAAAGGCAGAGAATGTTTCAACACAAAGAAGATGCCAAGAGAGCAAGTAAGGAATTAGAGGAAGGAAGTCTATTGAATTTAACAAGAAAAATTATTAGTGACTTTGACCAGAGCTGTTTTTGTGGTATGGTAAGCTCAGAGATGAGACTGTAGTGGGTCGAGGAGTCCATAGTAGGTAGAAAATGAAGAAAGCAAGAGTAGACAATTGTTTTAAGAAGTTTAGCCATAAAACATGTGGGAGAAAATGGAAGAAACGGAAGAAGTAACAAGAAGAGAACATAGGATTGGGAAGCCATGCTAAGAGTGGGAAAGGCTTAAGTGTTTCTAAATGTTGACAGGAAGGCACCAGTAGTCAGAGAGGCTGGAGACAGGTGTTCGAGATAGAGACAGAAGAGAAAATGGATGATAATCTGGAGATGGTAGAAGAGGGGCCAGAACACAGAGGTAGAATTACTCTCAGATAGGAGGAGGGACACCTCTTCCATCCTTACAGGAGGGAAAAAGAGAGAAGGGTATAGTTGCAGAGATATTTATACGTCTGGCAGCCAAAAATTTTGTGCACTCCCACCTGATGACTTTTTTCTCAGTGAAGTAGGAACCAAGATACTTCTGCAGAGATTAAGGGGGAGAAGCGAGACCAGAGGTATGATGAGGGTAGAAAAAGTGGAGACTAAGAAGGAGCTAGTTGACTAGGAAACATGAAGGGATTCCTGGATGCATGGAAGGTGGCCTCAGGTGAAGTTAGATGTCATGGATTTATGGCGACACCAGTGGTGTGATTTTCTCCAGCAGTGCTCAGCTGTCTACATATAAGCAAAAAGCAGGAAGGTGGATTTATCCAAGAGTAGAATTCATCCAAGAGAGAAACACTGATTTGTTAGACAGGCAATGGAACAACGTTGTTCAGAATCCTGGTGAAAGAGAGGTTACATTGATGGACCACAGAATTTAAGCTAGATGGAGAAGGGAAGATAGGAGGGAGCTGATATTATATAGGGGAAATTAGTAGGTCAAGTGAGGAGAGGTCACTTGAAGTTAACCAACAGGTGTGGTGGGAGTAACTGGGGGAGGGGAGACACTGAGATTGTTGTCAGAATGGGCTATGTAAACATAAGATGCCAGAGGTGATACAGTTCTAAGAGTGACGAGATCCAGAACAGGGCCATGGGGTGAATGACTGAAGGGGAGTGTAGGCACAGGTCATGGAAGAAGAGAAGATCCACAGCTTGAAATGATAAGGGTGGTTTGTTCTCTACATGGGGGGCAACCTTCATGGGATGATGGCAGGATTGGGGTGGACAGAAAACAACGGGTCATCACTGACTGAGAGGAAGTGGCAAGGAAGCTGGAAGATGACAAAGATGAGGAGATGCAGAGAGTGGCATAGTTGCACTGTGGGAGTCTCAAAAACCCAGAGGGTGGGGGACAGTCTGGAAGAAGAATGAAGAGGCAGGTGAGGGCCTGCATGCCTCACCTCCCAACCTCACACCCTGCTAGTGGGAGACGGAACACCTCCACTTGAGAGACCACAGCAACGGGGTTATAGCTAGGTCTGGGAGGAGAGTGAGCACGGATGTAGGAAGCTTTACTGTGGGAGAGGAGTTGCAAATGGTCTGGTAAAAGTGGTACAGTGTGAGTGGAGAGGAGTGGAAAAATACCTGGAAGGATTCACAGATCACAGCAAATCAGGACCAAAGAAAACTGTGATGTGTGGCATGGATGGTTTGGCTGGCTAAAAAGTTTTCAACATAACTTACTCCATCTTTCTTCTGGTAGCTGGAGAGAAGTGTTAGGGCTGGCTCTTCAGGTGTCTAGGTACCCTGCAGGTAAGCTTTAAGTTTACTTGTTGATATGGTTTGGGTGTGTCCCCACCCAAATCTCATCTTGAATTGTAGCTCCCATAATTCCCACGTGTGGTGGGAGGGACCCGGTGGGAGATAATTGAAACATGGAGGCAGTTCCCCCCGTACTGTTCTCCTGGTATTGAATAAGTCTCAGTAGATCTGATGGTTTTATAAGGGGAAATCCCTTTCACTTCATTCTCATTCTCTCTTGTCTGCTGCCATGTAAGATGTGCCTTTCACCTTCTGCCATTATTGTGAGGCCTCCCCAGCCACGTGGAACTGTGAGTCCATTAAACCCCCTTTTCTTTATAAATTACCCAATCTTGTGTATGTCTTTATCAGCAGCGTGAAAACAGACTAATACATTTGTGAATAGCATTTTGTTTGAAGCACATGAAATACTACTGTTTACTATTTTTGACTGACAAAAATTACAGTGTTATATGGTTCAACCTAAGAGTATCTGCATACTAAAGAGAATGTTTATTTTTTATCAGTGGTCTGGGATTGATGGGCTGCTGCTTTCTGCTAATTTAAGACTTTGCTATATGGAGCTAACAGTGGAGGCAGTAACTCTGGTCTCTTAAGTTACCAAAGCAGGGAGCACTCATCTCCAACGTCGTATGTTCTGGTATCCAGGGTGGTTAGCAGCAGGAGTGCATGAGAGGAGATGCCTGCTTCCCAGGGATGGATATCAAACTGTTCCTTGATGACTGGAGCCCAGAGGTAAGAGAATAATGCAGCTGGGAATGTGGGATTTGAGGACAGAGGTTAAAAAAAAAAAAAAAAAAAAGACTGCGGGTCTGAATAGGAGGAAAGAAACAGAAGGTGACAGGAGGCCACAGGGAATGAGATCAAAAGAAGGAAAGCAAAGAAGAAACAAAGGTAA
Source organism: Homo sapiens (assembly GCF_000001405.40). Classification (NCBI taxonomy): domain Eukaryota; kingdom Metazoa; phylum Chordata; class Mammalia; order Primates; family Hominidae; genus Homo; species Homo sapiens. The sequence goes on along the minus strand of NC_000023.11, from coordinate 31,032,415 downwards.
AAGCTCAGAAAGTACCTCATATCAGAAACAACATCTTTTCCCTAGGAAAGGAAGTGCCGCCTCCCCCAAAACCAATTTCAGTGGCAGGAGAGGAAAGGCATGGTACACAATGAGGAGAGAAAAATAACTGTGAAGAACTTTGCAAAAATAAAGAGTTATATAAAGTCCCAATAATAATAAATCACCTTGCCTGAGGTATGAAAACCTTAAAATAACCTGAAAAATCAAAACGTGGAAGAGAAGCAGGAGGCATTGACTAGCTTCCAGAAGGTTTGTGTGCTTGCCTTAAATTCCTCCCCCTCAACTTTTCCAGCCAGGTTTCTTAAGGGTAAACCTCAGTCAGGTTTTCAGATGAAAATAGATCTGGCCCCTGGTTAAAACTGCCACCCCTAGTCCATGCCTGCCCCTGGGTTCATCAGAAGAGAGCACAGACTCTGGGAGAAACCTCTTCCTCTTCCCTGAATCTGGCACCTGCCTTCTGGAATACTGATGCATCTGTTTTGTGCAGGTTTTCTCTCTCTCCTTTTGTTCTAGAGAGAAAGAGAGAAAGAGAGAGAGAGAGATTTTTAAAAAATAATCTTCATTCCTGGAAAAAAAAAAAAGAAAGAAAAAAAAATAGGCCTTTCTGAATTCCCAGTCCTGGAGCTCTGTTCTTTATATATCTACTTGTTCCATTGTTAAATAAACCTACATATTTAAGGGTGACACATTCTCTTAACTAATGCCTTGTCATGCCCATGTGCCTTGCTAAAAATGGACCTTGATGGCTGCTGTTTCCATTTTTTTCTAAGAAATAATTTGATTATTTTTATCCTGCTTCTCTCTATCACCACTCACAAGAAAATGGTTGTCTTCTCGCAAAAACAATGTTTAAATAAGCCAAGTGTTCAAGCATATACAAGACAGCAGGTTTAAAAAAAAATCTAAGTCACACATCTCTACTCACTGCCTTGTGAAAATTAGCTTCAAATTTGGAGTAAATGCTTTCCAAAGTAAAACTGTTTTCTGTTAAACTTCTTAACAATATTACGTCCATCCCTACATCTTAGTTTGTGCGGACCTGAATATCCCCTAGAAAATGGATAATTTAATAAAAGCGGGTGATATGAATCACCCAGGGACAATTTGAATTATTATCTGTAGATAATTCATTATGCACATATTTCTAGTGAGATCCTTAAATCAGCAGGGCTTCTTAATCAGAGACTTTCAAATTTTGTCTGTAATAACTGGAGACTTGACCCATAAATCAGCAAATAGGCCAGCAGGCTCACCACATGCTTCACATTTCTTCTCAGGAGAAAAAGACACTTAATTATCCTGAGGTCACAAAAGAAGGGAAAAATGGACATGAAAAGTTGTCGGGAGTTTTATAGCAAAGTATAACTAATTTCAGCATTTTCTCAAAAGTGGCTCGTGAAAGGAAGACAATGAAAACATTTGAAATCAAGTTAGGCGTTTTATACAGAGAAAGGAAGATGTTTTAAATATTTACAGGAACAATCTTACCAACCAATGCTGTCTCTCACTTCCAGTAAGATGATTGTCCCAAATTTGAACAATTATTTTTTCATGTTACCAGTTTTGCAAATGAAATTTCTAATCTGGAAGACATGGGTAATAGAGCTTAATATAAGGATGAAAATATCTACTTGCAGATTTGGAATATAGGACCTTTTCATTTTAACCAATATAAGTAATGGTAATAGATAGATCATATTTCTCTTCTATTTCCAGTGTCTTTCCTTCCCCCCACTTCACTAGAACCTCTCAGTTACTACTCTCCTCCCTTCCTCCCCTTCAGGTCTGATCCCTCCACCAGCCATGGTAACAATATGCACTGCATTAAGGACTCTATATTGATCTCAGGGCAATGGAAAGCACAGTGTGAAGATGGGGAAACTCCATGGAATATTGCACCAGAAGACTTAGGTTCAAATCCCAATGCCCATTAGTACTATGTAGAAGATACTGTTGGTGCCCTGCCCAAACACCCTTTCCCTGGAGGGTGAACTCATCTCCTAGCTACTGTAGGTGTAGGCAGCTAACCACTCACTCGCAGCTGACCCCTTTTCCAGGAAATTGCCCTCAGACAAAAGCCAATTCTTCAAAGAGATTAAACCCCCCTAGCCTCCCAGGGGCAGCCACTGGCCAATGACTGATTGACATAGGGGTACAAAAGGCCAACCATCTCAAGGAGGGGCTCATTCTGTGCTCCTATTTATGCTCCATGCCGCCTTGGCCCCACCCTCCATCAACTTAAAGTCAGCCTCAAACCTAGACCACATCCTTGCTTAACTCTCTTCCCTGGTCCTATCCTGCTTTCCTCCTTCCCCTTCTCCTGAGGGCACTTGCTGAATAAGCCACTTAAGGATCTCCACTTCAGGCTCTGCTTCTAGGGGAGCCTGAAGCACTGTGACCCTGGACACTCACTTAATATGTCAGCAGTTCCCTCCCATGCAAAATGAGGACAATCATACACATCTCATGGGATTGTTGTACAGGTGAAATGAGAAAACTTGTGCAAAAACCTTTGATCAACCAAGCGCTACTTAAATTTAAAGGATTAGTATGTGTTAATGTAAATATAAGACAATGTGCGTGTTCCTCTTCCCATAGACAAAGTGGAGTGGAGTGCACCTCCTTAATAAAAGAGCTTCTTCACTTGGCTTCTGGTTCTCTTACTTCTCTAGATCTCTGTTGCTGTCTCTTACTCCTGTGCCCAGACTCTAAATCCAGGCAGCAAGCATAGGTCACCTATTTCAGTTCCAAGCATATGCTGAGGTTCTCCACATACTCATGACTTCCAGCTCTAAATATCCAGCCCTGACCTCCCTCTAGAACGCCACACTCATATTGCCTATGGTCTACTTGACTAGATAGCCACATGGCTATCTGACAGACATCTCACATTTGACGTGACCAAAGCATTGCTCTTGATTCTCTGCCTCTCAGTCTGCTTCCCTATCCCTGCCTACCTTCCCCAACTCAGTAAACAGTAATGCCGTGCCCACCTTCCCCAACTCAGTAAACGGCATTACCTTCCAAAGAGCCACTCAAGTCAAAACTCTATGAATTATTGTTGATTCTTTTTTGCTTTCACTCTTTATATCCAACCCATTACTAAGCTCTGCCAACTCTTCTTCCAATCTCCACTTCTCCTTCTCTCCATCGTCACTGCTACTGCCATAATTTAAGAGATGTGAAGTCCAAGATCAAGGGCTGGCATGTGGAGAGGGCCTTTTTGCTGTGTCATCCCATGGTGGAAGGCAGAAGGGCACAAAAGGGCAAGAGAGAGGGGGATAAACTCCTCCTTTTATCAGAAACCCACTCCTGTGATAATGGCATTAATCCATGCGTGAAGGCAAAGCCCTCATGGCATAATCACCTCTTAAAACTGTTGTATTGGGGATTAAGTTTCCAACACATGAACTTCGGGGACACATTCAAACTATAGCATCCAGTGTGTATATCCTAAGAAAATGGATATTCTCTTATATGACTACAAGATAGTAATCAAATTTAGGAAACTTAACATTGATGCAATATTTTTATTTAATCAACAATCCATATTTCAAATAAATGAATTGTTCCAATAATGCATTTCGTAGAGAAGAAGGAGGAGGAGGAGGAGGAGGAAGAGGAGGAGGAGGAGGAGGAGAGGAGGAAGAACAAGAAAACTTTCATTCTAGGATCTAGTCCAAGATCACATACTGCATTTGGTTTTCATCTGTCTTTAGTCTCTGCTTTTTTTTTTTTTTTTGGTCTTTGTGACATTGAGAACATGCCAATTATTTTATAGAATGTCCCTTTCTTATTTTTAGAATGGGAATAATAACATTCACCTCATAGGATTAAATAAGATTAAATCCTAATCTTAATTGAAAGAATAAATAAGATAGCATCTGTGATACGCCTAGCATGTGACAAGAGCTCAATAAAAACGGATATTAGGGTAACAAGGAAAAAGAAAAAAAGTGGACTTTGCAAGATGCTTCTCTATGGAAGGATTTCAAGTTTTAAAAAGTGTATAAAAGGGAACCATTGGAAATGAAGATAACGTTATAGATCTGAGGCCTATTTTAATCATGTATGACTTGTGTCTTTTTTATTTATTTAGCAAATATTTACTGAGAACCTACACTGTGTCTAGAAATCTTAGTCACGTTTCTTCTTTTGGCTCCAAGCTTATGATTTTATCTGTAAATTGGGGTTATTGATAATATTTTCAAACAGTTGTTGAGAAGATTAGATAAGAAGAATAGAGATATTTAGGCAGTTTCAAAACTAGGAAAGTCTATAAATGCAAGTTGATGCTTATGTTCTTGATAGTGATATTGTGTGTCACGGCCATTCAGTGAAATTCTTATTAGTCATCTTGAACTTGAGAAGCAAGTGATCAAAAACCTTTAATATGGATGACAAAGACTACTTTTTTAAAAAATAGACTGATGTACATGATTTTTATGTTGAACTAAAGTTATGCTGTATCCCACTGAACCAACCCTCATGGAAAACAGGGTGTGAGCATATGAGGGTAGGGGGAAAGCATAGCAAAACTATTTGACACTATGGAATTGTTAAACATCAAGGCAAAGCTAAAGATGAAAATTTTGGATTTGAGCATATGATCATCAAGGCTATGTATGGAATAGGGAGGATGACAGTAGTGAGTCAATAATACTTGAACTAGATTCAATAAAGGTTTTATAGACAATAATTTGTTAAGAGCTTTGCAGTGAACTTGCAGACTACACATCAATCTCCACAAGACTCCAAAGATTTTTTTCACTGAAACTCAAGGAAGTCAATCATGTGGCTCACTTTCTTTCTATTCCAATTAGCATTTGAAACCAGAAGGGCCAGTGTTCAAATTCCAGTTTCACAACTGATTGTGTGATCTTGAGACATTTACCTAAGTTTATTTTCTTATCTGTAAAATAATAACTACTTCCCAGAGTTCTTATAATAAAGCAGTTTTCAAAGTATAGTCATACATTAGCAGCAGCACTACCTGTTTAAGATGCAAATTCTCAGGTCTACCCCAAGACCTGCAGAATGAGAAAGCTCTGAGGGTAGAGCCTAAAAATCTTTAACAAGCGTTTCCGGTGATTTTATACATGCTAAAGTTCGAGAACCACTCTTATAATGAATTAAATGATACAATGTAGGTAAATACCCAGGCACAGTGCCAGGTAGCCATATTACAGAGTGACTGTAAAATAAGTATTTGTTTCTTCCTCTGCCACTCCTCACTCCCCCAAACTTCCCACACACGCTTTACCCCACACACACACCTGTACAAGCATGCGTGCATGTGTGCGCGCACACACATACACACACACATACACACCAGTCAACAATTGTTTGGAATAGTGTACATGAGATAAAACACTTTTGTTTCAAAATCACATCCATTTAGAGCTGGAAGCATACCTATAAAACTTGATATATCTCAACACAACCAGTAATGTCATTATTCTCACATCTTGCCTACTTGATACTGGGGGAAATGTTCATCAATAAATATGTAAGTATTTATCACATACTCAATTCTGGTTGCTAGTGAGGACATTTAAAAAGTAGAAAAAAATTGTTGCTGCCTTCAAAGAGCTTAGTGGGAGAAAATAGACAAAATTAATATTGATCAAACACTTACTATTGTGGTGGGAAATTATCTTGATCAAAAGGCAGACTCCAAGTACACTATCAGACAAGCTATCCCAGGGGATAAAAAAGAAAAGGTCAAAGAAAGGACCAAATTATGATGCTCGAATCACATAATTTTAGTTTATTTAAAATACATGATGAGAAGCAAAGTGAAAGGGATGATTTGGGTTAACATGTCTGGGATAAGGTGCAAACGGGATGGTGGAATCACACTGTCTGAATCATGGGTTATACCAAGTTTATACATCCTGTCTTTCCCTGTCACATCACCTGCTGATGATGTGGTTACCAAGACCAGAGTTTAAGGTGAACAATGAGACTCAACAAATGGCAGGTACCTGAATACAATACACACTTGCTCTATCAGAGAGACACAGGGATAAGTGTGCCTGGCCACAGCTATAATTTGCAGATCATCTACAGCTTTTGTCTATGTGTCTAGAACAGAAGACATGTGGGGCCAGAACAGGTGGCCCTAATGGGTGGCCGATTTATGAAATCTATAATTCTTATGAATGTTTGGTCTGACTTAGTCTTTCCTGTCTATGTTCAGCATATATGCTTCACTTACCTTGCCATGTATAAGATATCTTAAAATCTATTGGTTCTCGGCCTGGCGCGGTGGCTGACACCTGTAATCCCAGCACTTTGGGAGGCCGAGGCGGGTGGATCACAAGGTCAGGAGATCGAGACCTTCCTGGCTAACACGGTGAAACCCCGTCTCTACTAAAAATACAAAAATTAGCCGGGTGTGGTGGCAGGCGCCTGTAGTCCCAGCTACTCGGGAGGCTGAGGCAGGAGAATGGCGTGAACCCGGGAGGCGGAGCTTGCAGTGAGCCGAGATCGCGCAACTGCACTCCAGCCTGGGCGACAGAGTGAGACTCTGTCTTCAAAAAAAAAAAAAAAAAAAAAAAAAAAAAAAATTGATTGGTTCTCTACGTTCACCTATTGTCTTTATTTTTCTTGTTCTCAATACAGTAGAATTGAATATTCTTAAGTAAAAAAAAAACCACATTTCAGGTACTATATGTTCACATATCTTTTCATTTAATTCTTATATTTTATTTTGATGAAGCAAAAAGATATGTTATATGCACTCAACAATTTGAGAATAGTACAAAGCAATATATACTCAATCAATGGTTTGGTGGGGTGGACTGCCATGTTCTAGAGATTACAGTAAGGAGAGCTGGGCTTATGCAGTGAAGGACTCATGGAGAAGTCGTTCTCTACCACGCTTTGAAGGAAGTGAGGGATCCTATTTGAAAGAGAGTAGGGGTTTGGACATTACCAGAGGAGCAAGATGAGAAAATCTGGGGAAATATGAGGATCGCCGATGGGGAAAAAGTGGTCCATGTTTGGCTGCAAGAAGAGATACAGTCAGCTAAGAGAAGGCAGAGCTGATAGAAGGAGAAGGATGGAATATACAACAGAGAAAGCTGAGCTTGCCTTTCTAAGCTGATGGTCTTCAAACATTCTTGAAGATATATTTCTATGAGTAAAATATTAGGGGCAACCCTCTGTAATAGACTGTATTACTGTTTAACATATTCGCTGCTACTCCCTGTTTAGGATTACATGTATCCACTCTGTTGATGTTAGCCTTAGCCAATAGACTTGCTTTGGCTAATGAAATTGATTGGCAGTGACATGCCCCACTTCTGAGGAAAGGTTTAAGAGCCATAATGAGATTCTACCATATTTAACTTTCTGGCAATGTCCCAGCTAGGGGATTCCCCTTCAGCCTTTGTTCTGGAATTAAAATGATCTGGAGGCTCTAGCCAACTCAATATGGAAAAGTAGCACAAACAAGAAATAAGTTTAAAAATAAGCCTCTAAGAATTTCAGGTTCCTTGTTACTATATCATAACTTAGCTGACACAGCTTCAAGTCAGCATTGTTTTGGAGGTTCTGGCCAGTACAGTAAGACCACAAAAAAAGTCTTTGGATTGATAAAGAAAAACAAATATTTCTCTTTATTTGTAGGTGATATTTCCTATGCAGAAAAATCAAGAGAATATAAAGGTAAATTATTAGGACTAATAAGACAGTTGGCAAGATTGCTGAACACAAAGTCAAAATACAAAAATCAATACCCTTTTATACTCCAGAAAAAAATTGGTTAGAAAATATAATTCTCTAAAGTGCCATTTAAATTTACAACAGAGATAAATGTTTTGAGGAATAAATCTAGCAAAAGATGAGTAAACCTATTATGGAAAAATTATCCTGTATAGAAAGACACTCCGTTATTTATTTATTTATTTATTTATTTATTTATTTATTTAAGTCTTCTTAAGTAAATGCGGAATATGGCAAATTCTTGGTTTAGAAAACTCAGCTTTGTAAAGATGTCAGTTCTTCCCAGTTAGATCCATACAATCAATGTTCTTTCAATCAAAGACTCAATAGGGTTAAGTGTGGAATTTGAGAAGCTGACTCCCAATTTATATAGAAGAGAATTGGATCAGGAACAGCAAAAACACTCCTGAAGAAGAAAGATAAGGTAGGGAGACTTGCCCTATGAAATATCAAGGCTTATTTAATGGCTACAATATTTAAGACTATGCTATTGACAAAGGGATACATACATTTCACCAAAGAGGAAATAAAAATTACCATAAACATTTGAAAAGATGCTGAACCTTATTGATATTCAGGAAAATGCAAATTAAAACCATAAGATACCATTTTCCACACACCGAATTGGCAAAATTTAAAAGTCAGATAATATCAAGGATTGTCAAAAATGGAAAAACAACATGTACTTTCGCCTACTGTTGGCAAAAGCCCATCAGATTTTAAAGTTAAGTTGAACATACACATATCTATGACCTATTAATTTCATCTCCAGGTATATACCCTAGAGAGCTTCTTGAATACATACCAAGAGATACAGAAAAAATGCTCACAGCAGCCTTGTTCCTGAGAACAAAATGCTGAAAACAACTCATCATTACCAGTAAAAAGACAATAAGACTGAGGCATATACATATACTGGAATCCTATACAACAGTGAACATGAATGAACTATAGCCACATGCGTTAACATGAACAAGTGTCAAAGACAAAAAGTTTAGCTGAGAGGGCCAAGTCACTGAAGAATACATACAGTATAAATTCAGTTTGCTACCATTCAAATCAGGGAAAACTAAACAATGCTTAGAGATACATTCACATGTGATTTAAAAAAAAAAAAAACCAACCTATGAAGCAAAGAAGCTAATTATCAACACAATATCCAGGATAGTGGTCACCTAGGGTTCAGGGAAAAGGTCTCCAGAGAGCTTCTAAGTTAGTGGTAATGCTTTATTTCTGAAGCTGGTTGGTAGGTCCATGAATGTGTGTTTTATCATTCTTTCATTTGCATGTGTACATTTCACACCCTTGTGTATATGATTATATATATGTAAATTTTATACATAACTATTGTACTAATGTATAGGAATTGTAAAACACATAAAAGCTGACATTTTTAGAGGATGATATAAAATAAACTAGACATTCTTTTGATTTTTGTTCATGATTAAGGAAAAAAAAACCACTTCTGCCATTGAATTGTAGAAGTTTGGCTGCATATCCTGAATACTTAGCATTCAATGCCTTGCTAATCATGATAGCTTCATGTTATCATTGGCTAATATCTCAAGGCTAATATATACTCAGGGTGATGTACATTGTTAATGATTGTGGGTGTATATTAATATCTCAGATGGTCTTCTTTAATAATTTCAATTTTTTATAACCTCTAGTTACATTTGATAAGATTGTCACTACTTTTCCCTCAGAATATGACTGACTGACGAAGACTTAGTTCTAAGTGTAGGAGAAGTGTCAGCTCTTCCATTTATTTGTATTAGTCTTGGTATTTTGATCCATCTAAGGTTTCTTTGTAGAAATCTCTTGAGGCCTTTATCAGTGTTTCAAGAGTTCATTTAAACTTAATCTGTAAATCTTCTCAATTAGGCTCATAAAAAATGCAATTGCATCTATTACCTACTGTTATATAACTATCCCAAAGCGTAGGAACTTAAGGCAATAATTTATCACTAATTAAATATTAAAATTTTGTGGGTCAGGAATTTGCACAGGGCACAGTAGAAACAATTCATCTCTGCTCCACAATGTTTGGGGCCTCAGCTGGCATGATTTGATTATCTAGGGGATGAAGCAATGGGGTTAGCTAGACATCCCTCTCTCTCTCCACACAGCCCATCCATTTGGCTAGCTTGGGCTTCCTCACAACATGGTTGCCCCAAAGTTCTAAAAGGGCAATGCCAAAGCTGTTAGTCTTTGTATAGGCTAAACCCATAACTGGCATAGTATCACTTCTACCATTCTCTATTGGGCAAGTAAGTCACTAAAACCAGCCAAGCTTTAAGTGGCAGGGCGATTAGAATCTACCTCTCAAAAGTAGAAAAGAATTTGCAGCCATATGTAATCTACCATAGAAATATGTCAACAAATGGGAGTCACTATAAGCCCCTTCTCACTACAGAATTTTAAATCCTCTCAGAAGTGGGATGTGAAGGTCTCATACACTGACCCAGTAAAGAAACAAATGTCAAGCAGTTATTAAATATTAACGAAACTAATTTTCTTTCTTTTTTAGCAAAAAATAAATATAATTAGAATCTCCTGCATCCTTGTGAGGACACCCACTCCTTTCTAAGTATAGGCAGGCATTATGGATGCTTGAAAAAGACAATGATCGCACTCAACTGAAAAATGTTAATTGCTGATTTGCTGTGGCTCCACAACCCATGCAGCTGGGTTGCAGAAATTTGAACATTTGAAGTAAATATTCTCAATTGGCTTCCAAATGCCAGTCTCTTGTTTTCATCACATGGTGGCCTAGCTTAGAGTGCTGGACCGGCTGCTAGGTGCAGCTTTAGCAGTCCTGCTGCACACTCTGACAGGTGGATGGGTTACTTTCATGGAGCCAGAGGCCCCACAGCTGCTAATAGTAATTATACTTGTCAGCAATGCATTCCCCTCAGGAAACTCCTGCTGCTTCATTAGGGCTATTGGCAGTGCAATTTCCTAGAAGAGGAGGGGACATAAACCCACGGGGAGTTGACAGAACAGCTGTGTGAGCTCAGAGAAGCCAGATGTGGCCATGTGCCATTAAAGTGTAGCTGAGGGCTGCTGAATTCATTCAACCCATTCCTGGGAACAGAAGAATATAAAGAATTTGGTGAGGTAGGCCAAATTCCTCTTCATCTTTACTTCCTACCAGCTTTTGTAAAAAAATATGAACACATCTTGCTGGACTTCCAACTAAAAACAAAAAGAAACAGTACCATTTTGAAATATTTCTTAACCTATATAGGACTTGGGGTTTAAAGAACTTCCCTATAGCTTCATTCATTTATCTGTTCATCAAATAGCTATGTATTAGGTTGGTGCAAAAGTAATTGCAGTTCCTGCCATTGAAGTAATGGGAAAAACCGCAATTACTTTTGCACCAACCTAATACCTACAATGTGTCTGGATCTATGTCTGCACTTAGAATACAAGATGGGGTCCTCAGTGACGAGAACCAGATCACATATAGAGTCTTTATTTTAGTTAGCTAGGGCTGATACAACAAAATACCATATACCGGGTGGCTTATAAGCAGCAGAAATGTATTGCTCACAGTTTTGGGAGATAAATGTCCAAGATCAGGATGCCAGCATGACTGGGTTCTGGTGAGGTCCCTCTTCCAGATTGCAGAGTGCTGATTCCTTATTCTATCCTCACATGGCAGAGAACAGGGAGGGGAAGCAAGCTTGCTTGTGACTCTTATAAGGGCACTGATTCCATTCATAAGGGCTCCACCCTCATTACCGTATCTAATTCTAATTATCTCCCAAAGACTTCACCTCCTAATACCATTACATGGGGGGTAGAGTTTCAACATATGAATTGTAGAGGCACACAAACATTCAGTATACAGCATTCTGCCACAGCCCCCCAAAATGTATGTCCTTCTCACATGTAACATACATTCATTCCTTCCCAACAGCCCCAAGAGTCTTAAATCATTCCAGCATCACCTCTAAAGTCTAAAGCTTAAGATTTCATCTAAATATCATCTAAATCCGATATGGGTGAGACTCGAGGTATGATTCATCCTGCGATAAAATTTATCTCCAGCTGTGAACCGTGAAGCCAAACAAGCTACGTGTTTCCCCAAAATACAATTGTTGGGGCAAGTATAGGATAGACATTTTCATTCCAAAAGGGAGAAAGAGGAAAAAAGGAAGGGGTGATGGATCCCAAGCAAGTCCAAAACCTAACAAGGAAACCTCCATGAGATCTTAAACCTCAAGAATAATCCTCTTTGGCTTGATGCTCTGCCATCCAATCACACTGGGGTGAAGGTTCTGCCTTCTGGATTCACTGGGGCTACAGGCCCACCCGCAACACCTCTGTGAGGAGATTGTCTGGCCTGCTGAAAGCAAGGTCATGTTACTCACCTTTGAAATGGAGAGGCATCCCTGATGATCTCTAAATCGCTTTTGGACTCATTCTTCCTTGTCTTGAAGAATAGAGCACATTGAAAGCCGAATGGCTCTGTGGTCCTGCCCTGTCAAATCCAAGAAGTCCAACAGCCTTTCTTCTTTCCTTCCCTCCTTATTCCTCCTCTTCAGTTCAACGTGGCAGTTTTCTTTCTGGGGTTGCTGATTACGTTTGTGATTCACATCTATTATCAAATGGTCACTTGGCTAGACCCTTAGTATTTTCATTTTTTACAATATGGATAGGTCAAGAAATTTCCAAATCTTTACACTCTGCCTCATTTTTGCTTAACAATTCTATCTTCAACTCATTTCTCTCTTCTTGCATTTTACTATAAGCAGTCAAGAAAAGCCAGTCCACACCTTCAACACTTTGCTTAGAAATAGCTTCAGCTAAATACCTAATTTCATTACTCGTGAGTTCTACCTTCAACAAAGCAGTAGAACATGAACACAATTCCCCTGCACTCTTTGCCACTTTATAGCAAAAACGTCCTTTCCTCCAGTTTCCAATAATGGGCTCCTTATTTCCATCTGAGACCTCATCAGAACAATCTTAACCATTCATATTTTTACCAACTTTTTGTTCATGATCATTTATGTATTCTCGAAGAAATTTGGGGCATTCTCTACAGCTCTCTTTTTTTCCTTGATCGCTTACTAGAATCACCTTTAAAAGTCTGTTCATGAAAATCTGTTTTTTTCTAGCATACACCTCAAAACTCTCTCAGCCCCTTCTCCTTACCTAGTTTCTAAGCCACTTCTACATTCTAAAGTATTTGTTACAGCGGCATCCTCATTTCTCAGTACCAGTTTTCTGTCTTAGTTCAAACTGCTATAGTAAACTACCATAGACTGGATAACAATTGAAGTTTATTTCTTGAAGTTCTAGAGGCTAGGTAGTTCAAGATCAAGATGCTGGCAGATTTGTTGTCTGCTTCCCTATCCATGGACGACCATCTTCTCATTCTGTCCTAATACTGCAGAAGGTGAGGGAGCTCTCTGGGGTCTCTTTTATAGCATCACTAATCCCATCCATGAGGGTTCCACCCTCATGACCTAATTATCTCCCAAAGGTTCCACCTCCTAATACTATCACATTTAGGGTTTAGATTTCAACATATGCATTTTGAAGGCACACATTCAGTCTCTAGCAGTCTTATAAATCAAAGTAAGGACTTTGGCTTTTACTGTAAGATGGAAAATCACTGGAGCAGAGAAGTGCTGTGATCTTACATTTTAAAGGATCAGTCTGTTTACTATGTAGACTAAAAGGGTGCAAAGATAGAATCAAAAACACCCATGGGAGGCAATTGCAATAAGCAGGTGAGAGATGGCAAGGACTCAGACCAGGGGTCATAGGGAGGTGATGGAAAGTGAGAAGAATATGGATATACAGTCATGCATTACTTAATGGCAGGAATACATTCTGAAAAATTCATCATTCGGCACTTTTGTCACTATGCAAACATCATAGAGTATACTTACACAAACCTAGATGGTATAGCCTGCTACATACCCAGACTCTATGCTATAGCCTGTTCCTCCTAGGTTACAAACCTGTATAGCATGTGACTGTACTGAATACTATAGGCAACTGTGACACAATGGTCAGTATTTGTGTATCTAAACGTAGAAAAAGTACGGTAAAAATACGGCATTAATAATCATATGGGACCACTGTTGTACACGTGAATCGTCACTGAAACATCATTATGTGGTGCATGACTCTATCTGGAAGGTAGTGTCAACAGAATTTCCTGATGGATTTAATATGGAATATCGAAGAGAGAAATATGGATGACTCCAAGGTGTTGGGCCTAAGCAACTCACCAAAGAATAGGGTTGCCATTGGATCACCTGAGGTCAGGAGTTCAAGACCAGCCTGTCCAACATGGTAAAACCCCATCTCTACTAAAAATACAAAATTAGCTGGGCATGGTGGCGCATGCCTGTAATCCCAGCTACTCGGGAGGCTGAAGCAGGAGAATCGCTTGAACCCGGGAGGCGGAGGTTGCAGCCAGCCACGATTGCGGCATTGCACTCCAGCCTGGGCAACAACAGCGAAACTCCATCTCAAAAAAAAAAAAAAAAAAAAAAAAGAATAGGGTTGCCATCAACTGAGATGAAAAAAAGCCATGAGTAAAGCAAATTTTGGAGACGGGAATGGGAGGGAAACAGGAGTTCGGTTTGGAACGGTGATTTTGAGATGTCTATGTAACATCTAAATGGATGTCAAATAAACAGTTGAAGTTAAGGACAGAGATCTGGAATGCAGATAAATTTGGAGTCATCAATATATAGACATTATTTAAGTATTTAAAAACCAAATGAGTTCACCAATTGAGTGAGTGTAGACAGAGAGAAGATGAATGACAATAGGGCTCCAGGGCACTCCATTATGGAGAGCAGGATTAAAAAGAGATACTGGTGAAGAGACTGAGAAGAGACAACCAGGGAGGTAGGAGGAAACCCAAGAGTACTGCGTCTCAGGAGCCACAGGAAAGAAGTGTAATTAATGGATAAAGAGTACTCAACTCTGTCTCATAATGCTGACAGACTGGGTAACACAAGAACTGAGCCTTACCCATTGGATTGTTGTACAAAAAACTCTCGATATTTAAAATTAAATGTTTAGCAGATCTCTCTCTCAATCTTTAATATTAGTAAAAAAAACAAAATTAATGTTGACTTGAAATGAGGAATATTTCTCCCTTACAGAATAATCTACTTTTAATACTTTTTTCAAACTTTTAAAAGTGGTAAATAATGAAAGTAGGAATTAAAGCCTTCTTTAATCGGGGTGGAGGTTAAGATGTAGTAGCGGTGAGGAATGTGTTGCATAGATTAGTTGGATAAGCAGAATAGCCCACTTGTCTAGCTTCTGATATAAATTGGATCACATCTTGTAACAGGTAAACTTTTTGCTGTAGCCCTACCTCTTCAAATTTGCAGAATGTCTCTCCTTGATTCTCCCTGATACTCCCAATTTGTCTCAGAACCCTCAAGGCCTTCTGAATCCAAAGATGAAATACTGCTTCCAGGTGAAATATATAGTGTAGTGGCTAAGAGCCTGGATTCTCAAACTGCATTTCCTAAGTTCAAATCCTAGCTCTACCTCTGTATTCATCAGCTAGCACTAGGTTATACTGCCTAATAAACAAATGTTAAATTACAACAACAAATAATTCATTTATTCTTCATTTGATATGTGAGTGGCTACAACTAAGCTGCTTTGACTATGCTTCTGGCTCTGGGTTATGGTAGAGCCTGTGCCATAGCTCCTTGACTGAAGGGGCAATCTCAATCTGGGAAATGTTTGTTTCAGTGGAAGACAAGAGAGATTCAGCCATACTATGCAAACACACTTATGAAACCGCCTTTGCAAAATTATGACTGAGACAGTGAAAGAGATCTGACCTAACCAACTCCATGTTGCTTCTAACCTTTAAGCTGTCCTGGTTCTTTCCTGGGTGTAGGCTGAACTAGCTTTAGGATGAACTTAGTTTACGGTTTATAGTTTAAAAGAGAACAGTCCTTTCCCAAAACAAACATAGTTCCTGCCTGGGGACTGGATTGCCTTTGTAGGACTAACGAATTAGCCACAAGATTAGAAATCAAGGTTTAGAAGTCATGCAGCTGGAGACTACAGGACTCTGACCCACCCTAAACTGCTCCTAAGATCAGTACTTGAGATATTTTGCAGACCCTGCACTTGATGGATCGGCTGGTGCCACCCAGATGGATAAACTGACTCATCTGATCTTGTGGCCCCCACCCAGAACTGACTCAACACAAGAGGACAGCTTCAATTCCCTATGATTTCATCCCTGACCAATCAGCACTCCTGGCTCACTGGCTTCCCCCCACCCAATAAATGTCCTTAAAAACTCTGCTCCCCCTTCATGGAGACTGATCTGAGTAATAATAAAACTCCAGTCTCCTGCAAAGCTGGCTCTGCGTGAGTTACTCTTTCTCTATTGTAATTCCCCTGTCATGATAAATTGGCTCTGTCTAGGCAGCAAACCAGGTGAACCCATTGGGTGGTTACACTTATAGCCTGTCCTTGGATGTCAAGTCCATTGACTTGACATTCCTTTGACTAAGCAAGTTACATGGTATGGTTTCTATCTCCATATATGACTACCATCAATTCCTCCTTTCCCTGTATGTATGTGCTTCTCCGATCATCAAAAAATGGAGCTATTTCCCATCCCAGTGAATCTGAGCCGGCCATGTGAATTTGCCTTGACCAACAGAATGTGGCAAGAAGTGGCATCTTGCAACTTTCAAGCCCAAGTCTTAAAAGCTGATAGCTTCCACTTCCTCTGTCTTAGGACACAGCTGGCACGCTGGTAGGAATTCCAGATTGGACTACAGAATGATTCGAAGCCATGTAAAGAGAACTCCTGAAGGATGAAACATCCTGGACATTTTAGCCTCAGCTAGGCCCTAGTTGAATGCAGATGAAGAGAACCCAATTAAGACGAATAGAAGAACCTCTGCCTGTGCCCCAGAAAACCTACAGAATCATAATAAATGGTTCATTGTTGTTTTAAGCCACTAACTTTTGGGGTAGCTAGTTTTGTAACAATAGATAAGTGAAATCCATTGGTCAAGCCCCAAATCAACGGAGCAAAACACACTTATCTTATGGAGATGTGTGGAGAGAAAAGTGAATATTTTTGAACAGTACAATTTAGCACAATCTTTCAGTGACTCCGTGAATTACTTTAACACTCTGTGCCTCATCAGCTCATCTGGAAGTGGGAGGATTTTTTTTCTTTATTGTAACCATTTCATTAGATTTTGTGAGGCTTAAATAAGTAAAAAGAGTTAATAAACAAATGCGTGTGATGTACTCAGACTTGAAAGAAATTATTAGATATTTCTGTCCTATTTTAGGGATAGGATTTTTGTCTTATCCCTAATAGGTCTCTATTTCTTGCTGGTATTGCCTTACGGCACCCAAAAGATGTTATTTGGAAGCTGTGACCCTTACCTTAGTCCAGATCTCTGCAGGCCACAGCTATCCCTCATGGAAGGACAAAACCATTCTAGCCAATTACTTAACTCTAACCAGGTTTACATTCACACACTCAGTTATACTCAGTTATCATCCCCAAAGTACCTTCAATTAGAAAAGATCTCCAGCCTGGACCACATGCACTGTTTCAGAAATTTCATCCATCCACAACGTAGGGCTTGGTATTAGACTCTAATCACCCGTCAAGACTTCCCCTTCTCTTGTGGTGAGTCCCTTCGGGGGTCTTTGATGTCCTTCTCTCCAACAAACCTCTATTAGTGTTGTAGGAGTTATTAAGAAATTATTTTAGCAAACAGAGAGGAAAACGGGTCCTTGGAAGTTTTCGTTTTTTAAAGCCTCTCCAGAAAAGTTTCCAGTAAAGCCCCGGCTCTTAAGCCAGGCCGGCAACCTTTGATATGCAAATGCAGACCATTAGAAACTGGGTCCACCCAACACGGGATTCCTGCAGCCTTCTTGCCCTTGCCCGACAGGTTCCTGGCAACATGGCCGCCCCCACATATCCCCATGTGTGTAGAAGATCCTGGAGCCCAACATTTGCATATTAAAAGGCTAGAGTGGGAGGGCCAGCTTTCTCCGTGGGCTACGTAAATGACATGCCTAGTCAAACCAATCCCCTGAGCCCTATGCAAATCAGACACCACCTCCTCCAGCCTCTGCATATATACCTGGCTGGTGTCCACCGCACTTGGGGTTCCGTCTCCGGCTGTATGGGGGAACTTCTTCTTTTTGTCTTCTCCCTTCCTTCTTGCCTATGAAACCCTCTGCTCCTCAAAACTGCTCCACGTGTGTCCGTGTCATTTTTTCTAATTCGACGTAAGACAAGAGCCCTGGTGTTCCTCCACTCATCACAGCCGTATCATTTGGACCATTTCAAACCATAAAAGAAGTGAGATAGAGATCACAGTCTCTTTTTTGGCCAGGAGATTCTTTGGTCCCAGTGGATATTTACCCATCTCCTCATCAGAAGCAACTGTGTGTTACACTGAATATTGGAGGAGACAACTTTTGCCAGGATCTAAAATGATAACTGTAATCATTTGATAGGGAAATTTCAAGTGTTACCCTCTCTCTTTCTCCGAATGTTTTGTGTAGATTTTTGGATTTTTTTACTCTAGAAATCTATATTTATAACTAGAAAACAATAAATCAAATGAGAAAAATGTGAGGGCTTTTTAAAAAGATCTCCTCAGTGGTGTCTCAGTATTTAAACATGCAAGCTTATTTAACTTTGCAAATGTAAGGTTCTTTATCAAGTTCCTTGTAATTCATCACATGTTAAGCTGATGTTGGAGTCCCCACCTACCTAACTAGAAAGAAGTCCAAGTTGTTTTTTGTTTTTTGGTTTTTTTGTTTTTTTTACTAAATATTTCTGAGAATCTGTAGGGATGCTCATCAGCATGATTGAATTCATTTTGATTGTCCCTGCATTTTATACACAGAGCAAATCTCATCTGATGCTTTAGGCCCTGGACAGAATGCATCCACCTATGTAGACTCCTGGTTCCCTTCCTCTGTATTCTCTCTGTGAAGAATTGTCCTAACTACAATGACCTGTTTTAAAATTTAATTTTTATTATTATTTAGGTGTGGTGAAGCCAACAGATCAGGAGACAGTTGCCATTGAAAAGACTGTTACTCATAGTTCCCAAAAGGAGGGAGCATGCCACACCAGCAGGAAGCACCAGGGTCACCGAGAGGAGGGTAGAGTAAGGATGGGGTGGGAGGGATGCAGCAGTCCTTATTCTTTTTATTTTTATTTATTTATTTTTTTTAATTGAGATGGAGTCTTGCTCTGTCACCCAGGCTAGAGTGCAGTGGCGTGATCTCGGCTCACTGCAACCTCTGCCACCCAGATTCAAGCAATTCTCCTGCCTCAGCCTCCCGAGTAGCTGGGATTACAAGTGCACACCACCATGCCTGGCAAATTTTTGTAATTTTTTTTTTTTTTTTTAGACAGAGTCTCGCTCTGTCGCCCAAGCTGGAGTGCAGTGGCACGATCTCGGCTCACTGCAAGCTCCGCCTCCCGGGTTCACGCCATTCTCCTGCCTCAGCCTCCCCAGTAGCTGGAACTGCAGGCGCCTGCCACCACGCCCAGCTAATTTTTTTTGTATTTTTAGTAGAGACGGGGTTTCACCATGTTGGCCAGGCTGGTCTCGAACTCCTGACCTTGTGATCTTCCTACCTCGGCCTCCCAAAATGCTGGGATTACAGGCGTGAGCCACCGGGCCGGCCAGGAGTCCTTATTGTTTATTGTGGTTCCACAGGAAGGAATGAGCAAGACAGGATAATCAAGTTTGGGATTGGCTAGTTTAAATAATTGAGGCTCTGGCATGAAGGGGCTGCCCTGAGTTGGCTGGTACCTGGCCCTGGGGTATTTAGGGCAGGGGAATATTGGCTTGGATGTAAGAGCCAGATAGAAGTGGTGGAGGGTGGGGGTGGGGAGTATGGACTGGTCAGTTTGCATACAAAAGGCACACTCCCGGGCTGGTTGTTTGCTGAGATAGGAATTAGCTAACCCTGGAAGGGGCAGTCCCTCTGATCAGTGATGAGGCCCCAGGTGCCAGAGAATCAAGCACAGAGAATGAAAGACAGTATAGTTGGTACACAAGCCTTGATTAAGGACCACCCTCACGCATTAGACAAGTTTCTACATTCCTGAACCTCAATAGTGGAATAGTGGGGGCACTCCAATTCTGCCCACCAAAAACAGCTCTCAAGTCAAAGTGCCCTGTTACACATTTTTTTTTAAAGAAATCTGCTTTATTTTTCTTAACTAGGAACTAGACTTACACTATTATGGCATTTTTCAACATATTTTTGTAATTTCTTACCCCTTTTTTGGTTTCTTCCACTAGAATATCCGTGAAGCAGGAACAATGATTGTCTTATTCACCCTTGCATCTCTAAATGCACACAGGGCTAATTAATGCATAAATATTTGTTAAATAATTGAACTAATGCATTAATCCTGCAAATAGGACATGTAGGGAAAATATCATGTGAGTATAGGCATATAATTCTCTCCCTACTGTTTAAGATTCTTGGAATTTTACCAACCAAATTTAAAATGGGGGAGAACTGTTTCCTAAAATTAGTGCTGACTTCCTTTCCTGGGCCAGGACTAATTTTTCTTAACAGCTTTACTGATTGATAATTTACATAATATAAAGTTCACCCATTTAAAGAATACGAATTCAATGGTGCAACAATCACCATAATCTAATTTTAGAACATTGTAATCACTGCAAAAGGAAACTTTGTACCCATTAGTAGCCACTGCCCCTCCCCACAACTTGTCCCTGCCTCCTTCTCCTGCCCAACCTCTGGCAACCACTGACCCACTCACTGTCTCTATGGATTTGCTTATCCTGGACATTTTATATAAATGGAATTATACACTATATAATATTTTATGACGGGCTTCTTTCACTAAGCATATTATTTTCAAGGTTCATTTATGTTGTAGCATGTATCAGAACTTCATTCCTTTATGGCTGAATAATATTCCATTGTATGAATATACCACATATTATTTATCCATTAATCTGTTGATGGACATGGCGGTCATTTCCACTTTTTGGCTATTGTGAATAATACTGTATGAACATAACACCTGTTTTTAGTTCTTTTAGGTATTTACATAGGTGTGAAATTGCTGGGTTGTATGGCAATTTTGTGTTTAGCTTTTTGAGAAACTGCCAAACTGTTTTCCATAGGGATTACATCATCTTACATTCTCATCAGTAATAGATAAACATCCCAATTCATATATTGCCTTTTCTTAATCTATTCTTCCCTCAACATTTCCCTCAACTTTTATGGGGAATATACGCGTGTGTGTGTGTGTGTGTGTGGATACACATACATATATAAATATAATAATCTCTCCTTTACTTCTTCTCCTGTCCTAGATTTCTCTTACTAACTTTCCACTTATGCACCTTCCTTCCCCTCTATTTTTCCTAAAATGTAGTCATAGAAAATGTCTAAATGAAAGGAGAGGGGAGACAGAGACGAATAAGGAAGCAGGAAAATGCTGGCGCAGGGACCAACTTCCTCTCCTGCCCACTGTGGTGCCTTTCGTAGTTTGGGTTCTTCCAAAAGCAAAGCTTGAGATAGTGGTGCGGGTTGTTTATTTGGGAAGGAATCCCAGTGAGGCAGGGAACCTGAGGACTTCCTAGAACTAAATCAAATGGAAACACTTCAGCTATACAGGAAATATCCTCTCCATTTACACAGGGCATACACCGAGTAAATGACTTTGTAACTTTACTTCATCCTCTTCATTTACATAGGGCATACACCAAGTAACCATGGAAACCTCTAGAAGGTATTTAAACCCCAGAAAATTCTGTAACTGGGCTCTTGAGCCCCTATGCCCGGGCCCGCTCCCACTCTGTGGAGTGTACTTTCATTTTCAATAAATCTCTGCTTTTGCGGGGTGGGGGTCTGGGGGAGGGATAGCATCAGGAGAAATACCTAATGTAGATGACGGGTTGATGGGCGCAGCAAACCACCATGGCACGTGTATACCTATGTAACAAACCTGCACGTTCTGCACATGTACCCCAGAACTTAAAGTATATTTAAAAAAATCTCTGCTTTTGTTGCTTCATTATTTCCTTGCTTTGTTTGTGTGTTTTGTCCAATTCTTTGTTCAAGATGCCAAGAATCTGGACACCCTCCACTGGTGACACCAGGATGTAGGAGTGAAGGAGAAGAAAAAGTGAGATGGGTAATGAGAACTAGCTAGTGTGAGGGTGCTTTATTCTACTTACAGGGACTCAATTCCACAAAGACCACTGAAAGTCCACAAAAGACTTTTCAGAATTGTCTGTTGGACAGGCTGGAGTATTTATCCATTGTCTCTTTTTCCCCAAGGCTTGAGAGTGGCCCCCAGGAACACTGAACTGTGGGCTGTGCTTTAGCATGGGTTTTTTGTGTTCCTGGAATTGGAGAAGGTCCTGACTACTGACTTTAGTCAGTACTGTCTCCCACAGCTGCAGCTGTAATAGAAAAGCATAACCTGGACAACAGAGGCCTCCACTGCATGCCACCTCTCACATACTATGGTATTCTTTTAAAATTATTGTTCCTGAAATATGATTTCTATGCAGTAAAAGGCACAGATCATAAGAGGACATTGACAAGTTTTGACAAATGAAAACAGCACCTCGTTTGAGATCTGAAACAGTTCCATTATCTCAGAAAGTTTCTTGTTCTCCTTGTAGCCAATCTCCGCTGAAACTCCACCCCCATCCCCACCCTAGTCAACCACTGTTCTAATTGCTATCACCACAGATTAAGTTAGACTGTTTTAGAACTTCATATAAATGGAATCACACAGTATGTACTCTTGATTTTGGCTTCTTTTGACAAAACATCCTTGAGATTTACCCATAAAGTTGCATGATCAGTAGCTTGTTCCTTTTGATTTTGGCTTCCTAGTTCAGCTAAATTCGGGTTCCTGTGTCATGACCAAGAAAAATTAGGCACGCGGACACATTGAAGGGTGACGACAGTGGAACTTATTGGGCAAAAAGGGAAAAAGAAAAACAAACTCTCAGCAAAGCAAGAGGGAGTCCTGCCAACGGGCTCCCACCTCATAGATTGAATACCAGTTCATCACACAAGAGCTGAAGAGGCCAGGCTCCTCTCACTGCATAAGGTGTGAATTACTGCTCACTCTACCCCATTGCCCCAGTGCACATGTGGGCATTATTCAGAAAGAATCAGTTGGGAAAGAGTGGGCAAACAAGGGCATTTTTCCCTCTGGATCGCGGGTTTCATCCAGAACCAGCAGTCCAGTCTTTCAGCCTCCAGGCTGTTTTAGGCTTGAAGGTGGGTTTCGATGGGGTACCGTTGCTATCTCCTGTCTATCACTTTTCATTGGTGAGAGATTTTCCATTGTATGAATGCACCAAAATTTGTTTATCCATTCTCCTATTGATGGAAATTTGAGTCATTGCCAGTTATTGGCTACTATGAGAAAAGCTTATGAACATTCTTATATAAGTATTTTTATGAATATTATTATAATTTTCTTAAAGTTTCTTTGCATATGTAGTGTTGTCTCATTATACAGTCTCTTTCTTTGCTTCAGAAGTCTTGGTTGAAGGTAGAGAGAGGAGCCAGGGAGAAAATCAGGTTCTGATCCATTTCTCCAAAGGCCAGCCGCATCCCATGGCCAAGCACTACATTTTGTTATAGGGATTTTTTTTTTTTTTTTTTTTGAGATGACGTCTTGCCCTGTCACCCAGGCTGGAGTGCAGTGGTATGATCACAGCTCACTGCAGCCTCACCCTCCTGGGCTCAAGCAATCCTCCCACCTCAGCCTCCTGAGTAGCTAGGACTACAGGCTCACACCACCACACCCAGTTATTTTTTTATTATTTGTAGAGACTAAATAAAGTCTCACTATGTTGCCCAGGCTGGTCTTGAACTCCTTTGCTCAAGCGATCCTCCTGCCTTGGCCTCCCAAAGTGTTGGGATTACAGGCATGAGCCACCTCACCTGGCCAGGAATGTATTTAATACATGTGTTAAATGTTATTTGATAAGAAATAATCAGAATACTGTTTCCAAAAACCTGCCCTTTATTATCAAAAACTATAAGCAACAGACATCCCTAACTCCTACAATATCTTTAACATACAGTCAGATACAGAGTACTATACAGTTTCTACTTTCTTCATTTCCATAAAACTGGAGCTTCTGAAACATTATTTTGTAGAAACAAAGATTTTTAAGCCTGTTTAATGTTGGTGAATGTGTCTTCCTCCCTCAAAATCACTATCATGAAAGAAAGTAATGATATCAAACACTATATATATATATACATATGTATGAATACAGAGAAAAATATCATAAATTTAACAAAAAAAGTCTTAGCCTGGAGTTGAGAATAAAGCATCAAATTATGGCCTCATTACTCTCCCCAACAAAAAACGGTTAAAATACACCCAAATAAGATTAGCATAATAAGAAAAGTACAAACAGCAGAGATTTTTTTAAAATATAAAGATCAGAATTTTTTTATTCATCAGATGAAATCAGAGAATCTGAGATGCAGATCATTAAGATTCGAGTGGCTTCCCAGCAAAGATTTTGCTCTTGGGTGTTCTCCTAACCCCAGACTTGCCTTCTAGGTGGTCAAGGGACCTCAAAATGAGTCTTCTCCAGGCCTAGGATCTTCTTATCACTGGCCCTAAGGTTCTTTTCTTACCCCTTTAGCCTCTGCTGTTGCAGTCTCCTAGCCTTGCCGCCTCCATTGAAACTTATAGTTCCTGTGCCCTGAGCACTGACTTCTCTTTGACTTCCGAGTTTATGACTTATTAGCCCCCTAGGAGACAATTAAAGGCTCTCCTTCTTCCTGCAAGAAACCAGCAAATTTCAGCAGTAGCCTTCCAGAGGCATCTCTCCTGCCTTAGTGTTCTACTCTAAAATGATACCTAAAAAGGTGGGGGTTCTAGGCCCTCCAGAAAGGGGGTATTTATGACAGAGCTATTTAAGGGCCAGTCGGAGCTTCCAATGACAGCATGCAGACGACCACCTGCTTGGCTTATGGCTTGTCCTGCCTCTGCTATTTACCCTTAAGGATGGAGATTCCAAAGCAGAAAATCATGAGTAGCAATTTTTCAGCTGCTGCTGGCACACAGCTGAGAATTGACTTGGTTCTCACTATGGAGCCAGGACGTGTCATGCTTGGAAAAGCTATTGCAGCAGCGGGGTGATCTCATTAAAATCATAAAATAAACTAAAGCAATCAACACTGCATCCTTGGAAAGCTGGAATAAGCTAGGAGCTCAGAAATTGCTGGGAGGCAAAGAGTTCCTTTTTCACATAGAGGAAAAAAGATTTTGACTCCTAGTCTCATGCTTGGGTGTCTGAATGCATGTGTACTTGCCTAATCACATACGTTACTTCCTTGGCACTGATGTGCACAAACTAATCAGCCTTGATACATTAAAACTCAGCATCGCCCAGCAAGTTTTATCTTTGGTATATACCCAGTAGAAATACTTATGTACTTTCATAAAGAGACATGTGCAAGAATTTTCATAGCAATGCTATTCATAATAGCCCCAAATTGGAAACCACACAAACAATCATCAATGGTAGAATGAATAAATAATACAGCAATGAGAATTAATGACCTTCGACTTTATACACAATATGGTTGGATCTGCCGAGCATAATATTGAGTGAAAGAAGCCAGATGCAAGAGAGTACATATTGTTTGATGCCATTTACATAAAGCATAAAAACAGAAGTTTAATATGCTATTAGGAGTCAAGATAGTGACTACTGATGGAGGCATGTGGTGACTATACAGGAGGTAGAGGCTTCTGAGTTGTTAAACGTGGTCTGTTTTTTAATCTGGACGCTGATTTCATGGATGTAATCAGTTACTGAAACCTCACTCAATTATACATTTATGACATGTGCACATTTTAGTATGTATAATTCAATAAAAGTAATTTTTTTAAAACCCTTAGCATCAGACTTCAATAGATGCCTAATGCTTGTAAATTGTAAATTGCAGTGAAAGAAATCTAGAATAGAGTAAATCTAGGTGAATGGTTAAGTGGTGTAAAGGTGTGTTCTCTGGCTAATATCCGTTGAGGAAAGAACTTGGAAAAATAGAGGAAAGGGAGTGAGAAAATATGTGAAGTTTCAGTGTGTCCTTTCTTAGAGGAACCAGGATACAAAAATGCAAAAAAAAAAAAAAAGGTCTCACTCCAATAGACATAACTAGCAAAAAGATCATATGGCAACACAAGAGACAACCAACTCATGGCATTTCTTCCCTCCACTAAAAGCCATAAACAATATTATGTTTCATTCTAAGAACCACTGAGAATTTTAAAATGACTTTTCTCTCTCTTGTTTCTCATGCTGATTACTCCGACTACAAATCCTCAGACTGAAACAAGATGATGTGTTTGAAGGCTGTGGGTAGGATCACTGAACCTAAGAGGAACCACCCAGAGCATCAACAAAAGTTGACGAGGATGGTGGCTGGTGATGGTGAAGAAATCTGCTGCTGCCTCCAACTGAGGGCACTGGGCCAAGACATAAAGGAAGGCAAGTAGAGATCAGCAAAGGAGGAAGGGTAGGACAGCAAGATGGAAGATATTTGGGGAAAGATGATGCAAAAGCCAGGAATGTATCCTATTCTCCTGTTTGTTAGGTAGGCAATAGAGCCAACACCAAGACACCCAACATTCTGGTCTACACATACACAGGAACAAGTCCTCAAATACTAGTGATAAAGGAGACAGGGATAAGCATTCAGAGGGCCATAAATGTCTGTCTAGGACACTTGCACATCATTGCATACAAGCACAACAGAAGATTATCTGGAAACGTTGTGACAAGGATAATGCAAATATACTGAGTTTTAATTTTTCCCGAAAAGAATAAAGAACTCTTTGAGGATACTTTGGGTACCCTATAGCCTATAGATCTTGACACCCCTATGGTCCCTTTCCCCTAAACAATTGTTTCTCACACTTTAAGGCATTACAAATCCCTTGGGGATCTTGTTAAAGTGCAGATTGCTATGGTTTGAATGTTTGTCTCCTCAAAAACTCATGTTGAAATTTTACCTGGCCAACATGGTGAAACCCCGTCTCTACTAAAAAATTACAAAAATTGGCCGGGCGCGGTGGCTCACGCCTGTAATCCCAGCACTTTGGGAGGCCGAGGCGGGTGGATCATGAGGTCAGGAGATCAAGACCATCCTGGCTAACACGGTGAAACCCCGTCTCTACTAAAAAAAAATACAAAAAAAAAAAAAATTAGCCGGGCGCAGTGGCGGGCGCCTGTAGTCCCAGCTACTCGGGAGGCTGAGGCAGGAGAATGGCGTGAACCCGGGAGGCGGAGCTTGCAGTGAGCCGGGATAGCGCCACTGCAGTCTGGCCTGGGCAAAAGAGCGAGACTCCGTCTCAAAAAAAAAAATTACAAAAATTAGCCGGGCACGGTGGTGTGCGCCTGTAATCCCAGCTACTTGGAAGGCTGAGGCAGAATTGCTTGAACCTGGGAGGCAGAGGTTGCAGTGAGCCGAGATCATGCCACTGCACTCCAGCCTGGGTGACAGAGCAAGACTCCGCCTCAAAAAAAAAAAAAAAGAAAGAAAGAAATTTTAATGCCATTGTAACAGTATTAAGATGTGGAACTTTTAAGAGGTGACTAGGCCATGAGGACTCTGCCCTCATAGGTGGGATTAATACTTTATAAAAGGGCAAGTTCAGCCCCCTTCTCTCTCTTTTGCCATGCGATAATGTAGAAAGAAAGCCCTTGACAGATGTCAGCACCTTGATATTGGACTTCCTACCCTCCAGAACTGTAAGCCGTTGCATTTCTGTTCTTTATAAATTACTCAGTCTGTGGCATTCTCTCATAGCAGCACAAAACAGACTAAGAAATTGGTACCAGAGAAGTGGAATGTTGCCATAACAAATACCTGAAAATGTGGAAGTAGCTTTGGAACTGGGTAATGAGTAGAGGCAGGAATAGTTTTGAAGTGAATGCTGAAAAAAGCTCACATTGCTATGAATGGAACATTAAGGATGATTCTGATAGGGCTCAGGAGATAAGAATAGCTGTAAGGAAAGTCTAAATTTTCTTAGAGGTTAGTGGTTAGAAATATGGACAGTAGAGGCCATTCTGATGATGTTTTCAATGAAAATGAGGATCAAGGTATTGAAAACTGGAGAAAAGACTATCTTCATTATAAGGTTACAAAGAATTTGGTGGCATTGTGTCCATGTCCCAGGACTTTATGGAAGGCAAAACTTAAGAGCAATAAGTTAAGATATCTGGCAGAGTAAATTCTATGCAGAAAAGCATTCAGCGTGCTGTATGGCTTCTTTTAACTTCATGTAGTAAAATGCGAGAAGAGAGAAAGAATTTAAACATGAAATTTATAATTAAAAGGGAAGCAGAATGTTAAGTTTTTTTTGTTTTGTTTTGTTTTTTGTTTTTGTTTTTTGGTTTTTTTTTGAGACAGTCTCACTCTGTCGCCAGGCTGGAGTGCAGTGGTGCTATCTTGGCTCACTGCAACCTCCACCTCCTGGGTTCAAGCAATTCTCCTGCCTCAGACTCCTGAGTATCTGGGACTACAGGCGTGCACCATCATATCCAGCTAATTTTTGTATTTTTAGTAGAGACGGGGTTTCACCATGTTGGCCAGGCTGGTCTTGATCTTCTGACCTCGTGATGCACCTGCCTCAGCCTCCCAAAGTGCTGGGATTACAGGCGTGAGCCACCGCACCTGGCTAAAGATTTTTTTAAATCCCCAACCTAATCACATAAAGAATAAAAAAGCATATTCATACATAAAGAATAAAAAAGCATATTTGGAAAAGAAAACCAGTAAAAGCAGTGGTGTGACCAACCAACAGTTTAATGAGATTAGTATGGATAGAACGAAGCTCGACGCACTGCCGAAGGATGCAAGCGGTAAACGTTGGTGACATCCAAGTGGTGCTAATTCTGCAGGCTTGCAGAATGCAAGGGCTGTGGAGGCACAGTTTTCTCTACCTATATTTCAAAGGTTGTCACAGACAGCCTTGGAATCCAAGCAGAGATTTGCCAGAGGGGCAAAGCCACCACAGAAAGTCTCCACTAGGGCAATACCTAGTGGAGCTGTGGGAGCAAGGCCACCCTAGAGATCCCATAACTATAGAGCCGCCAGCATGCAATGCCAGTGTAGGAAGGCTGCAGGCATCCAACTTCAACCCATGAGAGAAGCTGCATGGGCTGCAACCAGCAAAGCCATGGGAGTGCCCCCACCCCAGGGTTTTGGAGGTTTTGGAGGCCCAACCCCTGCCTAGTATATGCAGATGATGGGACATGAAGTCAAGAAGATTATTCCCCAGCTTTAAGATTTAGTGTTGTTTTCCCTGTTGTGTTTTGGACTTATTTGGGACTTGTTTCCACTTTCTTCTTTCCTGTTGCTCCTTTTTGGAATGACATTGCCTATCCTATGCCTGTAATGTGTTTTGATTTCACAGATTCACAGCTGGAAGGAAATTTGTCTCAGGATGAATTATGTTCTGAGTCTCACCCATATCAGATTTAGATGAGACTCTAGACTTCAGACTTTTGAGTTTAGACTTTAGATGTTTGAGTTGGTGCTGTAATGAGTTAAGACTTTTGGAGCTACTGGGATGGAATAAATATATTTTGGATGTGAGAAGGACATGAGTTTGTGGGGGGTCAGGGGAAGAATGCTATGGTTTGGATGCTCATCCTCTCCAAAACTCATGTTGAAATTTTATTGCCATTTTAACAGTATTAAGAGATGGGACCTTTATAAGGTGATTAAGCCATGAGGACTCTGCCCTCATAGGTGGCATTAATACTATTATAAAAGAGCAAGTTTGGCCCCCTTCTCTCTCTCTTGTCCTCTCATCTTCTGCCATGTGATGATGCAGCAAGAAGTCCCTTGCAAGATGCCAGCACCTTGATATTGAAGTTCTCAGCCTCCAGAACTGTGAAGCAATAAATTTCTGTTCATTATAAACAGACTATTATTCTGTTACAGCAGCACAAAATGAACAAAGACATAGATTCTGACTCATGGATGTAGGGCAAGGCCTGGGATTGTGCATCTCTAAGAAACTTCCAAGTAATGCTAATGCTGCTGGTCTTTGGACCACACTGTGAGTGCCAAGGCTCTTAAATAGGGATTTGTTAGTGATCACAGGAGGCTGATAGAACTTTATTATTGTTATTTTCACATTTTATTTGAATATACATTAATAGTCTCTGGAAAGATACAAAGACACTACCAGCAGTGCTGGTGGGGTGGCTGATGGAAGACAGAGGTGGGAAAAAGATGATTTCCTATATTCTATTCATACTTCTTGATTCATGAGCCATGTGAAGCCATTCCAGAAATTAAAAAGTAAATTTAAAACAGAGATTTTAAAGACCCCAAGAATTCATTTATTATATCTGTTTTGTTCCTAGGGAATAAAACAGGCACTGGTACAATCTGCCTCAACATTTTAATTCATTCCTTCACTTGGTAAGCAAAGCCAGTCTCATTGTGCGGAGACCTAATTAGTATCCAGGGAACACTAGGCTTGATCACATAGGTCTCCCATCTTATCCTGCAGGTGTTGATAGTGAGCACTGCCACTGAGATCTGTGGTGGTTACAGTGACTAATAACCAATGGAAGCCTGCATATTTCAATGCAAGCACGTATCCAAGATATAATTTGTCAACAAGATAAAGAAGCCTATTAAAGTTGCAGCTTCTTCCAAGTGATGACTTTTCCAGCATTAAACACAATCAAGGCAAAGCTATTAGGATCAGGAAGAGGGTTAAAACATACATGGCACTAAAGTCCGATTAGAAAATGTTAATTTCAGAGAAGGGAGGAATCCAGTCTTCAATTGCACAGCCAATTTTCAAATACACTTTCAGACACTGATTTCTTGATCTGGTGATTTATTTATAAGTAGAAAACTTGATTTAAAAGAGTGTTTATATTTGTTGGATATTTATTGGCAAACTTTTAATGAAGTGTGGAATACAAACAAAAGTGCACACATCATAAACGTATAGTCGATGAAATTTCACAAAGTGAACACATCCAAGTAAAAGAATCCAGAAATAGGAAATTTTCAGCACCCTTGAAGTATCCCTTATGATCCCTTCCAGTCACTAACCCCCACCCCAAAGTAACCTCTACTTTGACTGCCAACAGCATAGATTAGTTTTTTTCTGACTTTGAGCATTACAGAATGGAACTAGACACTATTGTATCTGCATGTGTTTAATTAGCATCCTTGTGCTCCCCTTTTTTAATCAGTAAATTGTACAACTTTATCTCTATGCTCAGAAAAGAGTGACCATGAGACCTTTGCTGATTAAGTGATTGATCAAAGCACAACCCTAAACCATTGTGATTTCTTTTCAAAAGAGGTGCATGAAAACATTGCCCCCCAAAATTACAATACCTCTCTATAAAAGGACACATCCCCGGATAGCATCTTTATCACCATTTTCTTTCCAAGTCATCAATTTTAAGTTACCAAGCGACCCCGAGGTACTGCAGATTCCAGGTCTGCAATTCTCTTCTCAGTCAGGAAAAAGAGTGGGGAGGATAAATCTTCAGCCTGTCAGCAAACCCTAAAACAACAATATCCCTGTTAACCTCGTTAAGAAGAAATCCTATTCTCTTGTACTCTGGGGAAGAGAGAAGACGCATCCCTTGAAATTAGATTATCTTCTCTGCCAGTGTAAGGTGGGGCAAGAGCAGAGGCGACTTCATTTTGGATTTATCCAGGGACTAAATGGGGTGCCTGAGGGATATCTTTTGGGTGAGGACGTTCTAGGCAGAGAAGATATATAAAGTGGCACAAAGAAGACTTCAGAAGAAAATGCTATAAAGGCAATTGATGATGTTATTGACAGAACTGAAACCTGGAAATCTAGTTATGTGGTATGGATGCCAGGAATCAGTGCTATTTATGACCATACAGAAGAGATTGGTTACCAAAAAGAGAGCAGCATCTTTACTTTCCCATTTTTTCCCTTAGAAAATCTCTTGGCTGAAGTCTACCTCACTCCATGTCAAACCCAGAAAGACTCAGGTGATAATAATAGCCATGGGGAGGGATTTGAAGAACCAGAGCACAGTTTATCATAGTAGAGATGAAAGCTTCATTCTTGGTCCAGCATAAAATTGTTATGGCTCTAAAATGTAAGGAGTTAATACTAAACATTTACCCAACGTAAAATCCTTTTGTAACATCCATATGTATGTTATGGAACCTGACTTATTGATTAAGTAACATATACCATTTTATTTTAGGTCATCAGAAGCTACCAGTGGTGGCATGAGGCCATAAAAGTAAGCCGTGGCAACTGCAAAGCTTTCAGTCAGCAAACATTCACAGGGAACTTTTTTTGAAGTTGGCACCACCAATTGAGGTCTATTTTCTGGCCTTAAGAAACTCACAATTGGGATGGGAGATGAGTATCATCTGGGAGTTTGTTATAATAAAGAATCTGGCTGGGTACGGTGGCTCACGCCTGTAATCTCAGCATTCTGGGAGGCCAAGGCGGGAGGATCACTTGAGGCCAGGAGTTTGAGGGCAGCCTGGGCAACAGAGTGAGACCCTGTCTCTACAAAAAAATAAAAAATATTAGCCAGGCACAGTGGCATGATCCTGTAGTCCCAGCGACTCAGGAGGATCACTTGAGTCCAAGAGTTTGAGGTTGCAGTGAACTACAGTTGCGCCACTGCACTCCACTCCTGAGTCAAAATTTGTGCTGGAATAAGATTCCCAGGTAGTTTATCTGCATGTTAAAATTCGAAGAAATCTGAGCTTAAATGACATTCTAGTTCAGTTATTTTCAACCCTGGCCACATGTTAGAACATCCTGGAGAATTTGGAAAAAATCCTAATTCCCAGTGAAGGAGTAAATCACAAGAAGACCTGATACAAAGTTAAAGTTAGACCAGGCGCGGTGGCTCACGCCTATAATCCCAGCATTTGGGAGGCCGAGGCGGGCGGATCACCTGAGGTCAGGAGTTCGAGACCAGCCTGACCAACATGGAGAAACCCCGTCTCTACTAAAAATACAAAATTAGCCGGGCTTGATGGCACATGCCTATAATTCCAGCTACTAGGGAGGCTGAGGCAGGAGAATTGCTTGAACCTGGGAGGCAGAGGTTGCAGTGAGCCAAGATCGTGCCACTGCACTCAGCCTGGGCAACAAGAGTGAAACTCCGTCTCAAAAAAAAAAAAAAAAAAAAAAAAAAAAAAAAAAAAGTTAAAGTTACACTGCAGGAATAAGTTTTAGTTTTTGATTGCACTGCGTGGTGATGATAGTTAATAATAATGTATTATATATATCAAATTTGCTAAAAGAATATATTTTTAATGTCCTCACCACACAAAAAAATGTTAAGTTGGCCAGGTGATGAATATGTTAATTAGCTGGATTAAATCTTTCTGTAATGTATACATAGGTCAAAACATCATAGTTATGACTTGTCAATCAAAAAGAAAGAAAGGGAGAGAGGGAAGGAGGGAGGGAAGGAAGGAAGGGGGAAGGGAAGGGAAGGGAAGGGGAAGGGGAAGGAAAGGAAGACTTAGAGCTGGAGCATTCCAAGCATAGGGAATTGTCAGGGCAAAGACCAGGAAGTGAGAACAATCTTGGTATATTCCAGGAACAGCAAGAAAAGCTAGTGTGTCTGCAACAGAGTGAATAATGGAGAGAGTGGTAGGAGTTGAGGCCAATGAGAAAGGCAGTTCTAGCACAACTTTCAGGTCATTGAAATGAGGGAGGATTTTATTTGATGGGAAGTCATCAGTGGGTTTTGAACAGGGATTAGTTTGGAAGCATTCAGTTTAAAACAATCCTTCAGCCATGAGCTAAATTGTGACTTTATTTTTTCTTTAAGATGGAGTCACTCAGTCATCCAGGCTGGAGTGTAGTGGTGTGATCTGGGCTCACTGCAACTTCCACCTCCCAGGTTCAAGCAATCCTCCCACCTCAGCCTACCAAGTAGCTGGGATTACAGGCATGCAACACCATGCCTGATTAATTTTTGTATTTTTAGTAGAGACGGGGTTTCACCATGTTGGCCAGGCTGGTCTCGAACTCCTGATCTCAAGTGATCTGCCTGCCTCAGCCTCCCAAAGTGCTGGGATTGGCACTTCCAATGTGCTGGGATTGGCCTCCCAAAGTGCTAGCATGAACCACCGCGGCTGGCAATTGTGACATTTTAAATAGTTGTTTTCTTTACTCCTTTATTGCTTTACCCCATCCAAAAAAAAAAAAATCAAACCCATACATAACCCATACATATTAACTGAGAGTAATTCGTGTATTAATGCAGTATAGAAACCAAACTTTTGTTAAGATAATAGAATTCACAGAGGAAAACAAGTTAAGTAAACCCATGGGTTGAAGTCCTCGCCTGCTGTTGCAAGGAGGTCAGTTGGGAGAGAGACATTTCTACCTCTTGATGGCGGAGCAGCAGAGTTCCATTGCAGAGGGCACACATACAGAGACGGAAGGAATTTGAGGCGTTTTTTGCAATTAACTACACTGTCTGTGACAGAAGAAATGCTCTCTAGGAGCACTTTGTCCAGAGCCCTGCAGGCATCAACTTCCTTCCTCAGTCCGTGAACAAGATGTAAGGCTTCTCTTCCTTGTTTCCCACATTCACTTGCTCTGCCTCTTAAGTTATTGGCTCCCACAGAGCTGCTGCAATATTCCAACAGGATACATTCCAATCAAAATAGCTAGTTTTCCACAGTATCCACTGATTTATATGTTGCATCCATGCCCTAGTTGTTTTTATTCTCAGGATCATTCATGCATACAACAAGTAGAATTTTTAAAAATGTATTTGTTCCTCTATTAAAAACATTTTAGAAGAAAGTTTTACTCAGCCTGATTGTGGGCCGTGACTTTCAGCCCAATAGCACGCTACAAATTATGTTTAGCAAATCAGCATGCTATAAGACAGTAGCAGACTAAATTAGGAATATAATGCTTGGCGGGATATGTGTAATGTAAATGCCAGAGGACCCTAGAGGCTGTGGAGCACAAAGAACTCTCAACTGATGGGGAAGTTCCAGGAGCTGTCCTTGTCCCCGCCTAGTTCCAAGCCTTCGTATTGCATATCTTTCACACATCATTGTGTGGATGTTTAAAGGTCAGGATTGCATTTATACTTGAGCTGTCTAAAATAAGAAAGCCATAACCAGGAAATTTAAGAATATATTTTGTTGTGCGTGCCCTATTTTCTCTCTGGTCAAGTTCTCAAGCATTCAGAAAACATACAACCTATTATAACTAACATGCATTCTAGGGTATAGGAGTGAGGTGATGCCAAGGAAGCTGCAATTGTTTTTTAATGCTCCAAGTTTCTAAGAATAATTTGGTTTTCACTGGTATTGGTGACTTTCAATATATTTAAATTTGAAAAGACCTAACCTTGGTCTTCCTTCCTACTGCATGGTTCTAGAATGTTATGAAATAAGCTCAGTCAAATACAGCCCATCTATTCCACAGTCATAAAGAGGACAGAGAAAAGCCACCAGGGATCTGTTTCAAATGCTAATCTCCTCTCATGAGTAGCCCTCCAGGTGATATGTGAACTCACCCTTCCGTCAAAAGCATTCATAAAATGTATTAACTGCCATTACAGGTCATCTGTAGGTGCCTCATATGTATGTGTTTGGAGGTAAACATGTCTGCATATTTGCATAGGATAATTTTTTTTTTCTTCAGATATGAAGTTGCATGAAGTCCCAGCCTGTTTCTAAACATATTTCATCATGTCTTCTTTCTGGGTATAAATATGTCATTAATCATATAATATAGGGGTTCCTAAACTTTTTCCATAAAAGGCCAGATAATAAACATTTTAGGCTTTGCAGACCACATGGTCTCTCACAACTACTCAACTCTGCCATTGTAGCAGGGGAAGCCAGCCACAGACAATCTGGTTTTCATGGGCGTGGCTATGTTCCAATAAAACCTTATTTATGGACACTGAATTTGGAATTTTATGTAATTTTCACATGCCACTAAATACCATTCTTTTAAAAAACATTTTGCAACCATCTACGAATGTCAAAACCATTCTTAGCCCTTGAGTGGTGGTACAAAAACAGGTGGTGGGGTCGGATTTTGCCCATGAGCCGGTTTGCCGACTCCTGACATCGTGTGTTAATTGATGGAGCAGTTACCTGACAAAAGAAGCAGAGATTCCAGACTAGAGCTCTCTGGCTCCATTTTGGCATCTCTGTTTTCTCTATAAATATATTTCTCTATGAAACCTAATCTCTGAAAATTTTTAAGCAACTCTGCTTTTATATATAACCACAGGGAAGAGCTGCTGCTTTGAGCCTCTGCGTTTTTTTTTAAGCGAAGATGAATGCCGTTTGTTAGCAAATTAGTTTTCCTTTTCTTTATTTTCACATAATTGTGTGAGTTTAGGTTTTTCCCTTTCCTTATTATTCTTTACAAAGCTTCAGATTTCTTCGTCTGAGTGATGAGACAATGATCTGTGAATGGCAACATGAGTAATAAATCACTAAGTTGTGGAACAAAGCGCATTTTGATAATGGTAGCTCATCCCTCTGTCCAAGAATCAGCAAATTCCATCCTTCAGGACTTCCGCTATGCATTGTAGTTCTAGCCCTACATTGTCTTTGATTATAGTATATCATAAAGACCTGTGTTCAATCTGATCTTTTTTGATTTTCCAATTTAGATCTCAAGAAGTGAATAAAATCAATGTCAGCATTTTGACAGCGGTAGTACTTCAGACTTTGTTCAGCATTTTTTTTATAACTTGGGTTGCTCCTTATTCTGATGATACATAGAGAGACTATTTCACAGTGTTTGCATTTATCTCATTGGCTTGACTGTTTCTGTCTGATACAGAGGAGTCAGGATGCCTCCATGTCCAGATAAAATTGCTCCACTGTTCATCTCATTCTGGATGGTGTAAGCAATTCTAATGAATCTTTTACTGTTATTTCACCATCCAATGCTTTATGACATTTTGGTAAAAATGTTATGCTCGATTGATTTAGTAGCTGCTTTAACTTTTGAAGTAGTTATTTGAATAGTAAACCTATTTTGATTTCCTTTCCCCATAGTCAAGGTGATGTGACATCAATCTGTTCTGAGTGGTGAAAGGCTCCCCTGAGGTTCTTTTGAGGCACTTCCTCTGAGGTATTATTTACATCCTCCTTCATCCCTGTGTTATATAAATATTTACCACCTTAAAAATGCATGAATCTATATTTTTCAATCCAAGCCTTTCCCTTCTTCAAGTTAACTATGAATTCAACTCAATTCAGTGATTGTTGGAAACTTACTGGACACTGACTTTGGTGCCAGGTATTGTGAAAGGTCCAAAAAGCAGTGGGACATGGCTGATCTCAAAGTGTTTACACTTGTGCTGAGGAAGAAAAGTCCAAACACTGATAGCTACTAACAGGACTAAACTATGTGGGCTGGATTTTAGATGGAGAGTTTTAGATAGTGGAGAAATGACTTACTGCAGGCCTCATGGCATCAACTTTAAGCCTTCTTTGGTGTTCATATTAAAGTACTGTACACTATTGTCCACTTTGGTCTGATCAAATGAGGCAGCCCCTTTTGGCTTTGGTTTCAAACTTTGAGCCACGAAAT
Organism: Homo sapiens; assembly: GCF_000001405.40. Lineage (NCBI taxonomy): Eukaryota > Metazoa > Chordata > Mammalia > Primates > Hominidae > Homo > Homo sapiens. The sequence continues at coordinate 30,995,001 of NC_000023.11, read as the reverse complement.
TACAAAAACACCTATTCCCTACACCTACCAAATTTACTCAGTATTCTTGCAGGGGGAAAAAGGCTTTAAAAAGAGGATGCTATTTGAGACATGACCAATTTTCTGTTTTGACTTTATCAGTCAAAAATTTGCTCAGTAAAATCAAAACCACAATGAGATATCATCTCACAACAGATGCTGGTGAGGTTGCAGAGAGAAGGGAACACTTATACACTGCTGCTAGCAATGTAAATTAGTTCAAGCATTGTGGAAAGCAGTATGGCGATTCAAAGAGCTAAAAGCAGAACTGGCCGGGTGCGGTGGCTCATGCCTGTAATCCCAGCACTTTGGGAGGCCGAGGCGGGTGGATCATGAGGTCAGGAGATCAAGACCATCCTGGCTAACACGGTGAAACCCCATCTCTACTAAGAGTACAAAAAAAATTAGCCGGGCATGGTGGCGAATGCCTGTAGTCCCAGCTACTCAGGAGGCTGAGGCAGGAGAATGGCGTGAACCCGGGAGGCGGAACTTGGAGTGAGCCGAGATGGCGCCACTGCATTCCAGCCTGGGCGACAGAGAGACTCCATCTCAAAAAAAAAAAAAAAAAAAAAGCAGAACTACCATTTGACCAAGCAATCCCATTACTGGATATATACCTAGAGGAATATACATCATTCTACCATAAAGACACATGCATGTGAATGTTCATTACAGCACTATTCACAATAGCAAAGACATGGAATCAACTTAAGTGCCCATCAATGACAGACTGGATAAAGAAAATGTGGTACATACACACCATGGAATACTATGCAGCCATGAAAAAGAACAAGACCATATCTTTGGTGGGAACATGGCTGGAGCTGGAGGGTATTATCCTTAGCAAACTAACACAGAAACAGAAAACCAAATACTTCATGTTCTCGCTTATAAGTGGGAGCTAAATTATGAGAACTCATGAACACAAAGAAGGGCACAACAGAGGCTACTTGAGGGTGGAGGGTGGGAGGAGAGAGATGAGCAGAAAAGATAACTATTGGATACTGGGCTTAATACCCGGGTGATGAAATAACCTGTATAACAAATCCCTGTGATATGAGTTCACCTATGTAACAAACCTTCACATGTACACCCAAACCTAAAATTAAAGTTTTTAAAAAATTTGCTCAGTTATTACCAAGACAAGTCAATCCATCGAATGGAAGAACTAGCACAACTGATCTTTGAAAAGTAAATTGAAATGATTGTTCAGTGGAACTAACTGCTCAGTTCAGTCAGACTGGGAGAGCTATAACCTAGCTAGGTTCAGCCTAGGTACAGACAGCTGCAGGTTAAAGCTATGTCTAGAAAAGCAGAGGTACAGTTATTAAGGATCAGAGATGCGGGAGAATAATGGGGTTAAGAATGGAGTAAACAATCAAGATTTGGCAAATTTGAGATGTACTCAAGGCAAGCATTGGGCCCACACTCAGGTGGAGAGGCTCAGATGGATGTCTACCCCAAGATGTAAACATCAACTGAAAATTTAAACCAGAGATCCCCAATACAGGCATCCTAAAGGCCTCAAGGGAAGAAGTGATTCAGCAGAGAATCAAATCAAAGGTGAGGAAAGACCTTAATTAAACGAATCAAAGGCGTGTCTTCATCTAGGACTTTTTACTCTTCTCCTGCGAAATCCTAAACCAAATTCCCATTTGCAAGGGCTGATGATTTTGAACATTTGACTCCAGTACAGAGAAGATTAAAAGGATTGTAGTTGCCTGAAACAGAAGCTGAAGAAAATATTCTTTCCTCTCGCTTTTTTAAGCCTATTGCCAGAAAGATATTTTTTAAAAGAAACACATGGATCATTACATTAGTATTTAATTTAGCAAACTATGAGGTTTAATTATTTAGATTAAACTTCAGTTAAAGATGAATCCTGATATCCCTGAGAATGGCCACGAGAACATAGTATAAATCAAGAGTTTCAAAATTTTACTTCTAACTCTACAAGCACTTAAATGGGCAATACGGAACTTGAAGTAGGTATATATTTTATTTTTCTCGCTTTCCTAGCTGGCGCTGTTTCTCTTCTTTATAAAGGACTTCATGTAAGAGTCCTCTGATAAAAGGTATTGCTCTGATAAGTGCAGGTGCTATTGGAACTTAGCCCATCACCACCAGCTCAGCCATCAAGAGCTGTATCTACAGATCACAGTGAAATTGAAAAGAGCAGGAGTTGGCCTTGTGGAGGGGTCTAATGGACCGGCAGCTGTCAGTTCATTGTTTAAACACTTGCTGTTCCTCGGTAGTGATTTTTCCCCCAGAAACTGGCTCAAATCAACACATGACCCTTCTGTATAATCTATAGAGACTGTTGGTTTACTGCAGAGCACTTGAAATTGAAAACACAAAAGCTTTCTTTGAGTGTTAAAACAAAGCCGCTTCTGACTTGCTTTGAAAATGCACATTGTGGAGATTCTTATCTGGATTGGTCTTTGAGTTCCGGCCAAGTTTAGAGGAGTGTGGTCTAATAATAAAACAGCAAAGCAGTTTGAGTACTACATTCACATAGAGCTTTTCAGAGAATATAGAGATAAAATCCAAAAGAGAAATGCTCAAAACAATTTCCAAACCAATAAATTCCACTCCTCCACCTCTCCCACAATGAAAACTAAAGCATAAAAGAGCAAGAGTCCTTGTGTTAGTAAGAGTAGGTTATTTTCTTTCTTTTAAAAAGACATTTATTGACTGTTTCTGATTATTAAGACAGGACATATTGGTTATTTAAAAATCAGAGAATATCCATAATCTCTCCACTCTAAAATGAACATTATTTTCTGTAGACATCTGTATTTTTTTAATGAAAGCCTTACCATGCTGTGTGTACAATTTTGTAGGAGTAAGTTATATTTGAAAAGGTAGTGGGCTGGGTGCGGTGGCTCACACCTGTAATCCCAGCACTTTGTGAGGCCAAGGTGGGCGGATCACGAGGTCAGGAGTTCGAGACCAGCCTGGCCAATATGGTGAAACCCCTGTCTCTACCAAAAACACAAAAATTAGCCGGGCGGGGTGGTGCGTGCCTGTAGTCCCAGCTCCTCGAGAAGCTGAGGCAGAAGAATCGCTTGAACCTGGGAAGCGGAGGTTGCAGTGAGCAGAGATCGTGCAACTGCACTCCAGCCTGGGTGACAGCAAGACTCTGTCTCAAAAAAAAAAAGAAAAGAAAAGGTAGTGAAGATCAGTTGAACCTTCAACAAACATAAACTGTGAGGGTTAGTTGATGACAACAGTTTTCACTTCTCTGATATACTTTCTTCCATGGCTTCTGCCAAATATAATACATCTTGCAGGATCAAAAGAGACAGTGACACTTTAACAAAGTAAGAGGAAAAAATAGTTGAGTTAGATGCACAGAGAATCGAAGTAGAATCAAATGCTTGTCTTAGCCTTTTGACAGTTCCTCTATGATAACCAGGAAAAAAAAAATTGCGAGCTTCTCATTTCATCCTAAAACAAATCTAACCCTCACTAATTTGGGTCCCCAAATGATCATAAATGCAAACAGAAAGTATGCACTAGAGGGAACCAGCTAAATCCAAATAAGATTTCTATGGCGTGTGACTATATGTCTAGGTGTATGTGAGTGTGTATTTGTGCATGTGTGTGTGTGCATGCATACCTGTGCGCACACACTCAATTGCATAAGCACCTCCAAATAAAGCCATTTTAGCTTCCTGTTGGCAATACTAAGTCATCATGAACTAATTATGATAAAGACTACCATTTACTAAGTCACTAAGCTCTGTACTGTGGCTCTGCTTGCATTATCAAATCAATTTTTTTTTCAGGATTACTCTGTTACAACTGCAATCTACACCTCTCCCCCTACCCCAGTACTCTTGATACCCCTTGGCATACATTACTATGCACTTTTTCTCTAACACTTATCGCCTTTTAACATACTTTATAATTCACTTATTTCTTTTGCTGTTGTCTTTCTAATTATTATTAGCTGTCTGTCTCTTGCCATTGTCTGTTTTGTTCATTGATATAACTCAAGATCCTAGAACAGTTTTCTGGCACATCGTAGAGGTTTGATAAATATTTGCTCAATGAACAAATGTGTGAATGCATTATTTCATCTTTACAACAACTCTTTGTGATGGAAAATATTATCTTCATTTTTGAGAAAAGGAGATTGTAAGTTTTGTCCATGGTCACATAGCTGGTAAGTAATAAAATTTAGTTTTCAAATCAAATACCTCTAGACTCCAAATCTTGTCCTTTAAAGAGTGGTCCCCAGCCCATTGCTGTTTCGTGAATTGTTTGTTACCAGCTGGTTCAGATAAGTGAAATCGAGAGAAAGTGTTTGGAAACTTTTTTAACAATTTGATATTGCTGCAATATCCAAGGAAGATTAAGTCAGTGTACCTGTCTCATTGAATAGGGCATGGACCAGTTTGGATGTTGTCAAACTTGCCTGGTGAGTTACATGTGGTGTAAGTTGCCCACAAGTCATGCACTGCAGAAGGACCACATTACAATACATCATGTTTTAGGGTTACTTTGTCAACTGTAACTCAAAGTGTATAAAAATCAAAGAAAATGTAGGCATTTATTTCTTTTAATAATTTTTGTTTTTATAATTGTTTTAATTTTTAGAGATTAACATTATCAACTAAATTAAAGAAACAAATTTTATAGAATATTTGTTTTAACCCTGAATGAATGACACTCGGCAAAATAAACTTCACTGGACTTTTTTCGTCAAGTATGCCCACAGCAGCAGTAGTAAACTAAATGACCGTGACCAACGTGCATCCTGAACAATGAAGGCCAAAATAATTTATACTAGTTTTATTCAGAAGTATTTTTCTTCAAATAGTGAGATCAACTTTGTAGCCATAACTGATGGTAAAGTACTTAAAACGGGGTGTAGTGCTTGTGGAGATTTTCTAGCTAAAAGAACCAGTAAGATATATCAAAATGTAGGCAGCAATTACATACTAAAAGAAAAGTTCACCAAACAAACAAAAATAATCCTTGAAAGAAAGAGTATTGACATAAAAGCCGACAGAAGTAGATGTTCAATGTTCAATTTGTTTCATAGAAGCATTAGTGCTGTGCAGGCTTCTTATAAAACAGCCCTTCAGTTTGCTAAGACTAAAAATCCGTATACAATTGCCAAGACATTAATGAAAGAAGCAAGAAAGAGGTTCGCTTGAAAATGCTGGGTAAATTTGGTTGCAAAGAAGGTAGCTCAAATACCACTTTCCAATGACAGAAACGGGCTAGTTTATGGATGATCAACTCAGAGAAAACATAAAGCTTGCAGCCAGGCGCGGTGGCTCATGCCTGTAATCCCGGCACTTTGAGAGGCTGACGCAGGTGGATCACGAGGTCAGGAGTTCCAGACCAGCCTGGCCAATATGGTGAAACCCCGTCTCTACCAAAAATACAAAAATTAATTGGGTGTGGTGGTACGTGCCTTTAGTCCCAGCTGCTGGGGAGGCTGAGGCAGGAGAATTTCTTGAACCCAGGAGGCGGAGGTTGCAGTGAGCTCAGATAGCACCACTGCACTCCAGCCTGGGCGACAGAGCGAGACTCCGTCTCAAACAAACAAAAACAAAAAAGCACATAAAGCTTGCAAAGCATTTTCCACTGCAACTCGATAGTATTAACAGAGAATTAATACAGTAATTTTTTAGTATGTGGACAATTCCAATATAATGGTAATATTAAGATAGAATTCCTTTTTCCAACCCTATTGCTGACAAACACAACTAGCATTTAACTGTATAAAACTATGAAGACAATTATCTGTCAACGAATATGGTTTGATGTTTAAATTTCATGTGGAAGTAATGTTCTGATGGCTCAGCTGCAATTACAGGAAAACATTCTGAGTAGTTACTCAGATTAAGGTGTCCCCAGAACGTCAATCAATGCTCTTTCCTTCATCAAGAAAATCTAGCCACAAAAATCATATTAGCTGAACTAGCCAATGTGCACACTGACGTGGTAAAATCTGAGAATTACATAGAAGCGAATGCATTATATTTCAGATTGTTCTCTATATTTTGTGATAATATAGAAACTGAATATAAACAATGATATTGCATGCTGGGTATGATGATTATCAAGAGGAAAGTTCTGTTGAGAATGTTTGAACTACAGAATATATTCTCAGTGTTTCTGCAAGATAAGTAACTAGTTTAACCTAACTTTTAAAGATATGAGTTAGACTGCCAGCTGGATTTTTTTGTCCTATATTTTCAGCGTATTTATGATCTAAGCTTTGTACTTAGCCCATGTAAGGAAGTAATACAACATATTTTTCAATGGCAGATAATATCTAAGAACAACAACAAAGTTAGAATCTTGAAAGAACAGAGTTTTATAGACTATTATGACATGTTCCACAATTTAACAATTATCATTGACGTAGGTAATTATCTTAATATCATATCAGCAAAAAGTTTTCTCTGAATACCTTACAAATTTGACAGAACATTTTGGATTTTATTTTCCTTCAAAAGAAAATTCATACACAGGAAATTCATAGAACTTTTTAATCCATCTTTTTCATCAAAAGATAATGTAAGTTCAATTATAACTTTACAAGATTAACCGTTAGAACTGGCTACTGATGAAAGGTTGAATATAAGTTTTGAAAATACAGTATTGCTTAGTCTTTGTTGAATAAAAGTTAAAAACAAATATCCTGACCTTGCTGAAATTGCCTTAAAATCTCTTCTTTCATTTCTGTCAGCACACTTATGTAAGATTGATCTCTCCACTATGAGTGTTAGTAAAACAAAACATTGAAACATTTTAGATATGCATTATGTCTCATGAGTAGTGGTGTCTAGATTAGTTAACAAACAAGAAGCAAAGTCATTTACCACATTAAAACTTCAAATATTGGCCAGGAGTGGTGGTTCATGCCTGTAATCCCAGCAATTTGGGAGGCCAAGGTGGGAGGATTACATAAGTCCTGGAGTTCGAGACCAGCCTGGGCAATATAGTGAGACATCATCTCACAAAATATTTAAAAATTAGCAGGTCACAGTGGCGTGCCTGTAGTCCCAGCTACTCAGGAGGCTGAGGCAGGAGGATCCGTTAAGCATAAGAGATCAAGGCTGCAATGAGCTATGATCGCACCATTGTGCTCCAACCTAGGCAATAGAGAGAGACACTGTCTCTAAAAAAACAAAAAACAAAAAAAACCTTCAAATATTGTTGTATACAATGTTTGTTCAAAAAGGTATATAGGAATTTAATATGGGGAATTGCTACTTGACTCAACTTTTGTTTATGATTGTGAAATAGCAAAAAGTTATGAGTATAATAGTGATTATATTAATATTAATCAACTGCACATTTTCATAAAGAACATGTATGGCTTCAGTAATTCTTTGTTACATTTGTTCTGATTATATTTATTGAAATGTCATTTGATATCTGTTGAATCTAATAAAACAAGTTTGAATTTTATGTCTTTCTTTTTATCTTATTCTTTTAGTATTTTAGTTTCATTATATTTTTATAAAAATATCAGTTTGTAATGGACTGGAAGTTTTTTTGTTTGTTTGTTTGTTTGAGATGGAGTTTCGCTCTTGTTGCCCAGGCTGGAGTGCAATAGTGCAATCTCTGCTCACCGCAACCTCCACCTCCCAGGTTCAAGCAATTCTCCTGCCTCAGCCTCGATTCTCCTGCCTCAGCCTCCTGAGTAGTTGGGATTACAGGCATGTGCCACCACCCCTGGCTAATTTTGTATTTTTTTTTAGTAGAGATGGGGTTTCTCCATGTTGGTCAGGCTGGTCTTGAACTCCCAACCTCAGGTGATCCGCCTACCTCAGGTGATCCGCCTGCCTCGGCCTCCTAAAGTGCTGGGATTACAGGCCTGAGCTACTGTGCCTGGCCGGAAGTTTTTTAAAGTATCTAATTCTTTACCACAGCATACAAAGCACTGCATAAGCATTATGCTCTCCTTCCTCCACTTAGGAGTCATGTTGACCTGCCAAAGAATTTGCACCATCCCTATCCTTTAGCTTTTGGCTGGTCCAACTCATTCCCTGAATCCTAGTGGACTTGGATCAAAGGATTTAGCAAAAATTTTTCCATGGCCTCCATGTACCCAGACTTGTTCATATGAACTCAATTTCCTGAGGCCTCTGAAACCTTTAAGTCCTATTCAATGACTGCAAACCAAAAGAAAGCATGACAGAGTCCTTCAGGCTACCGAAAAATGCTGATGAAAATAATATCTTTCCTCGTTTTCCTTTAAGAACCTAGAGGAATGCATTGGGCTGAGGCAGGAAGGTAGCTTGAAATGAAATTGACAAGGAGAAAAAAGATAAGAGTAGAGTGGAGTGTGATTATTCATAACAAAGACACTTGTCACCGGGAAACAAGCGGCCAGAGATTTATTGGACCTTGGGAGAATGGTTTTGCTTCTGCTTCACATCTACCACTTTGAGGGGGCCCTTCAGCATGCCCTTGACTCCTAGGAGAAACCCTCAGAGATCTGGTAATGGATTCTCTATATCCCAAACAATATACACAAAAAAGCAAATTATCAGTAACTGCACACATGAAAGCTCTACATTCTATATTGTAGAACATCTCTTATGAACCACGCATGGTATTGGAATCATCTTTTTAATCCTTATAATAACCCTCCAGGCTAAACATTCTTTGCATCCTTTAAAGATTAGATAAATGAGGCTCCCAAAATTTAAGGAAGTTTTTTCCCTCCAATCCACCTTCTTTTCTCTTATTACACCATCTCCCCACCCTGGCTTTCCCTACTCCTCCCAACTCCCACCATTTATATAAGCTTCTACTAAGTTTTCCTGACCCAGCCGAGAACCACAGGTTCATCTTAGAATCACCTGAGGAGCTGTGCTGTTGACATGTTAAATAATTTTATCTTTGAACTTGTGTTTTGTAAGTGAAGTTCAACAGGACAGTGTACATTCACATGAGCAGAAGAGATACACTGTATTTCCTATACACTATATCTCTGCTGCTTATTGTCACTTTTCTAGCCCACAGCATCTGCAATGCCCCATGAACAGAGTTCTGGTGGACCTACATGTGTGTGAGTTTAGTGAGACTCAAAGGATGGGCCTTTCTGAGCACAGGGCCCTGTGTGAGTGCACAGGTGGCACACTCATGAAGCTAACCCTGAGCTAGAATTTCATCTAAAGGGATGGGAGAACAGTCTCAGTGGAAACAAGCTTTCAGTGGACCAAGCTTCTCAGTGGGCATATCTCCTTGATCCCATGGACTCCTCGTCCCCTAGAGAGAGCTGTGATGAAAAGAGGACCAAAGTGGGATCCTCTGAAGGCCAAGTCCCAAGGCAGAGGCCACTTGTGCCCCGGTTTGAAGGCCTGACAGATGGTGACTTCTACGTTAAAAGGAAAGATGGTGGGAGTGACAAGTTTAGGGAGAAGAGAAAAGTTATTGTGCCCTCAGCCAAACATACAGATTCAATACATATTTGTGAATAAATTAATAACACACACAGCAAACAAGTGGTTGTGCAATGAAATAGATGAAAGCATATGTTTTGATGAAATGACACCCGACTTACATTGAGAATTCAGGCCTATGTTCAAAGCCAACTCTCTCTCACTCCTTATTCATTAAAATGTGATTTTACAGTATGCCCTAATTGTGTGCCGTTCATCCTATGCTATCACACTACACAAAGAACCACCAAAGCACCATCTTCCGGCTTCCTCTTTATATATAAATGATTTTTTAAATTACTTGAACTAACAAAATACTGAACTCTACGTTTTCTTGCCTCAATTATGTTTTTCATCATTATATTCCTTCTTCAACCTTGAGATTTACTTTTCTTAAATTGCATTTCCCACATCTGGGATACAAACCATTCTGTTGAAACAGCAAATGCATATGATAAGGGAAATGCGCATCTGTTTTAATTCTCTAAAACCCAGGCAAGATTTGACCAAACAAATCACTGGGCCATTCAAAAATCTACTTATTTCATTGAGTATATTCATACTGAACTGGTAAGAAGTCAACACTCGGGAAGAAAATGTTGCTCACCTATTTTTTTTTTCTTACTAAGCTGTGCTGAAATATTTGAGTCCTATTGTGTGTCTTTTTTTTTTTTTCCACTTTGGTTAGGATAATAAATCTGCCTAAAATGCCCCACTACCAAATAAAAATATGCATACATTCACTGAGAGAAAATTACCTGTTAACAAACTTTGAAAAGAGTGAGATACAGATTGCCACTCTCTCTGTTCATTTTCATAGGTCCAATTGGATAAATAAATATTGCCTCTAGTTTCCCCTTTTGTTTTGATTATTGTGTTTTCACCAGGTACCTTGTACTTGGTCTCCAAAATCTCAGTGCATGCCTATAAGTAGTATATAAACTTAATAAGGAAAAAAATCATTCTTTTTGCCTCCTGTTTTTTGGAACTTTCAGAAATTCTTATTATGCTTTGGTGACTGAATTCTCTCCAGCCTGTGCTTTGTTCTTCAAAAAGCTGGGTCTTGGTTCACAGACCTAACTCCTGTCTCGTTCACATATGTAATTTCCATTAGAATTTCCATTGCTCCTTCAACAATTCTAAAGCAATCTAATCAATAAAGATAATCCCAGATTTTTAAAGGCTATGCTAATTGCTCCAATTCCTTTTATTCACTAAATCCTCCTTTATTTTACCCTTCCATAAAAGAGAATGGTAATTTTTCTTTTGGAATCAATAAACTCTTCCAAAGCCATTGAAGCTTCCAGAAAAAGGCTGTCAGGTAAAATTTTTATTTTATCTTAACTTCTTTCCATATGCATTGATCTCACCAGCTCAAAGATGAAAACAAGACTGGATCTGGAAAAAAACAAATGAAATATAGCCACCGGAGCACAAAGTAATTAGTTAGCCACCTCTAGTATGAGTGGTTGGCCTGTTTTTGATGCATAGGAGGTGCACAGTCATGATTTGTTGATTGTTTGATTGATGTTTAAAAGGCAAGTGCCTGAGGGAAAATTTGAAAAATTCCTTACCATTACATCCTTTCCCACTGTATGAAATATATGACTTTCTATAAATCACTCTCAAAATACATTGTGTCAATTTCATGTTTCAGAGAAAGGCAATTTGGAGCAGTTCTCCAGCAATTTACAATGAAAATTTAACTGATGACAAAGCAGTTCAACAGCAAATAGCAATCATAAACATTTAGTGGGAACTAGCTACAGGCCAGCCACCTTACTAGATAGCGGACATATAAGGACACCTAAGATTGAGCCCTTGACTTTTGAAAGCTCACGGTGAAGTAGGGGAAATAGTAGGATAAATAAATAATCATCATGAAATGTACAGAGTTATAATAAAGGCATGTACAGAGTAACGCAGGGGCATAGAGGGTCAATATCAATGGATGGGGATTCAGCAGAGTGGTTAACAGTAGAGGCTTTGGAGTCAAACTGCCTGGATTTGAATCCCAGATATATAATTTACTGCATGAGCTTGTAAGCTACTTTGCCTCTCTGTGCCTCAGCTTCGTCCTCTATAAAATAGTGATAATGATATTCCCTATCTCATAGGGTCATTGTGAAGAGTGAATGAAAAACATAGAACACTGCCTGGAACGTAGCACTCAATAAATATTAGTCATTATTAATATTATCAGATCATACATAAAAGGGAGCCTGAGGCTTAACCTACAAAAGTAGATGGAAAAGTATAGCATTCATGTTATAGGCAGGTTTGGGGGAATCTCAAGGGAATCCCAACCAACTCTCTGGCTAGAGAACAGTTTAACAAAGTAGAAATGTGAGGATAACACTCACTGCTGTGGGCTATGACATACATGCATCCTGGCTCTGCTACTCACTAGCTGGGTGCCTGAGCAAGTCAATTTGGCATGAAAGATACAGGTACTCATTACATGAGAGTAAGTATTACTGTGGGTGCATGTGAGAAAATGGCTTGAGACTGGCACTAGAAGTCTGGCTGGCTTTCAATTGTGGAGGGCCTTTATATTACGTGTTATTACTCAACTATTGTTGCGATAATGCTATATAACAACCACCAAAGTCTTAGTAGCTTACGACAATAAACATTTATTTTCTAACTTAATAGGTGGGGCAGCTGAAGTTCGGCTTATTTTGGCTGATTTTTGCTGGACCTGCTTGGGTTCTGCTAGGCTTGGCTCCAGGCTGCAAGCCAGCTCTGTTCCACATATCCCCTTCTGGGACCTGTAGCTACCAGTGCACAGCATATATTTCTGAGCATGCATTTCTCATGACAATAGCTGAAGCTAGAGAGGGGGAACTAAACTATATAAGTACATTTAAAGTCCACTCACATCACATCAGCCAGTTGCAGAGTCATGAAGAATGAGGAAGTATGTCATATTCACATTAAGGCAAGAATTGCAAAGTCACAAGACAAAAAGCATGGACGTACAATTCTATCACAGCACACAGTGAAGAATTGGGAACAACAATCTAATCTACGTGTTTGGGAATTTTCATACATTCGGTAGATAAAAAGATCTACAAAAAAATAGTATATCAAGGAAATGTCATGATTAGATCTAAATTTTGGAAAGGTCTTCCTGGTAGCTATGTGGAAGTTGAATGGGATGGGGAAGAACTGGAAACACTGGGACTAGTGCTTCTAGCGTATGGACCAGACAAAACTTAGGTAGGGCACGGGATTGCATGAAGAAGATAAATGTGAACAAAAATGATGGGTTAGGATTAAAATGACATGGTGAATGACTGGATGTGGCAGGAGTAGGAGTGGGCAGGGTTGGAGAAGGATAAATGGTTTGGGTGACTCAGAAGTTCCTAGGTTAGATAAGTAGGTCATTGGTGATGGTATATTCTAAAATAGAAAGGGTTGTAGGAAGATCACTTTTCTGAGTAAGAGGGCCCTGGAAGATAGTGAATCTGATTTTAAACAGTGTGGTGGCTTTGTAATGTGTCAACTTGCCTAGGCTCATTTCTATTTCCCAGAATTACCTTCCCTGAGTTTTTCTGGTTAGGGTTGGTCACAGAAAACATTTTGGGTAAGATTCAGAAGATGTACTTCAAGCAGGATTGGTATTAACATTTGTTATTCTCCGAAGGTCAGTTCAGGGGCACCAGGTGATGTTGCCGTTCCTGCACATCGTCACTTACCTATTGGCTCACTTTGTTGGTGTGCGGTAGCAGCTGGACCTGGAGCTGCCCCAGTTTCCTCCCGATCCTCCTTCCCCTTCTCTGAATCCTAGACCAGATACATGATTATCTCTAAAACAAAAGATGCCAGCTTCCACTGTAGGACACTGACATCATCAATGCTGTAGACACAGGCCGTAAAAGACAGACACAGACTCCAGTTCTTTCTCATGAGTTCATATTTGTCTTGGATCCACTCCATTTTACAGCCATCTCCCCTTCCTAGCTGCCTGCCTTGCTAACTTCAAACCCTAGAATCCAATGTAAAGACCACAGCCTTACTGACACCACTAACCAGCTTCTATAAGTGCAAAAGATCAAGTCTTTATAAGAAATCTTATAAATGTGATTTCCTAATGGTTCTGCATCTCTGATAAAACCGTGAAGGATACAGACAGGTTGAGTCTGAGGTGCCTGTAGTAAATCTATGTAGAGATAAGAAAAATGGTCTATATTTAGTAAAATGAGTAGAAATGTAGGTTTGATCGTATTGGCTAGGAAGTGGGAGTTGATGATACATGAATAGTTGTATTTCATTAGACTGTTTAAAGTAAAAAGGGAGACTACCCGAAGATGAAACCATAGGAAATTCCAATCTTTGAGGATCTGGAAAAGGGAGAAGAATCAGGAAAAGGCAAGTGACAATCAAAGAGATAAGGAGAAAATCAGGAGCAAGGAATGCCCTGAAAGCGAATTGATGAAATGTTTGAGAAGAATAGGGTATCCACCACATGTCCCAGTGCTGCATAAAGGTCATACAGAATGAGAAGAAAATAAAAAGCCACCAATTTCTAGAATTGAAGGGTAACCATAGGTGGAAATGGCTGTGAGGTAGAGTCTACTCTCAAGTGCTTGATAAGAAGCCAAGGAATAGTTGGCCGGGCGCCGTGGCTCACGCCTGTAATCCCAGCACTTTGGGAGGCCGAGGAGGGCGGATCACAAGGTCAGGAGATCGAGACCATCCTGGCTAACACGGTGAAACCCCGTCTCTACTAAAAATACAAAAAATTAGCTGGGCGTGGTGGCGGGCGCCTGTGGTCCCAGTTACTCGGGAGGCTGAGGCAGGAGAATGGCAGGAACCCGGGAGGCAGAGCTTGCAGTGAGTGGATATCGCGCCACTGCACTCCAGCCCAGGCGACAGAGTAAGACTCTGTCTCAAAAAAAAAAAAAAAAAAAAAAAAAAAGGAAGTCAAGGAATAGATAAGGCATCTGTTTACCAGGGTTGGAAGTGATGGTGACAATAAAGAAGATTTCCTTAGAGTTGTGGCAATTTGAACCCATTCCTGTTCGGAAAGGAGGAAGCAAGTTGGAGAAGATCAGAATTCCAGAGAGAATGAGGATAATGGATACAGTATATGTTGTGGTGCATGATAGGAACAAAGCACCTATGTAGAGATGCCAGCCTTGATCAAAGTCCTTAGAAACATTAGTACTTCTCCCAAGGCAGGCAGGAAGGAGGGAAGGATAAGGTTGAGAGTGTATGAGAATTACTTGAAGGGTATTATTTTCTCAGTAAACAAGGTAACCATGTCTGTTAGGGCTTTTTTCCTAATTCACATAAGAGCACTCTGTTCCCACTTCACTGTGAGTTCCTGGGACAGCATCTATCCAGAGGGGACACTTTTTCTAATTTGCATAAAGATGTTATAGAGCCAGCACTAGTGCCACCGCCATCATCCTTGCTTCAAAAAAAAAAAATGTAGCTGGAAAGCACATTTATAACTTGTACTTTACGGATATGGGAACATTAAAAAAGCCTCCTAAACCTTCCAGGAAACTAAGAAAGGAAAGCAAATATTCTCCATGACTATCTACTGAACTAAACAGGAGAGAGATTTGGAAAAAAAAAAAAAAAACATAAAACAAATCCAAAACAGTAAATGCCTGAAGTAGCCATTAGGAAGACAAATGGGAATTAACTAAAATGATTTCTCAGCAATGTGAGGATCCCAAAGAAGATTTGAGCTCCAAAATTTATAATTAATTTGTTCACTTATTCAATTATTCAATAAATATTTATTAAATGCCATGTGCCAGGTATACTGTTCAAATCACTGGGAATATGTGGTGAGCATGAAAATAATTAATGCAGGCATTCTGGAGATGGCGATAAGATGATAATAAATGCTTTGAAAAAAATAGCAGGCTAAGGAGTTTGAGAGTGATGCAAATAAGTGATGCAAATTTAGATGGGATTTTCAGGGAATGCCTCTCAAAGGAGGTGACATTTGAACAGAGCCCTGGCTGTAGTGAGGGAGAAAGCTGTATAAAGTCCATTTCACCCCCCAGAAAAAAAGACAGTTTCAGGCAGATGTAGCAGCAAGTACAAAGTCCTTGAGGGAGAAATGAGTTTGGTGTGTTTAAAAAAC
The DNA here is from genome assembly GCF_000001405.40 of Homo sapiens. Lineage (NCBI taxonomy): Eukaryota > Metazoa > Chordata > Mammalia > Primates > Hominidae > Homo > Homo sapiens. Next base: position 30,979,452 of record NC_000023.11, on the reverse strand, counting down.
ATCAAAATGGCTGCTAATGTGACTGCAGCAGCAGGCTTGGTGAGGAGAGGGGAAACCTGTAGGAGATGACATCATAAGGTGGGTGGGCCTAGATAATAAAAGGTCTTGTAGACCATGATAAGGAGATTACTTTTTATTTTAGGCATGGGGAAATCTGTTCGGGAATTTTGAGGAGGAGAGTGACATGATTTGCTCACATTGACTGTTGGGTGAGTAGTAGTGGAAGTAGAGAGACTAGATCAGAAGGCATTGCAATAGTTTTGTGAGAGATATAGCTGCTAGAACATGATCTGCACTGTAAAAAGTGGCCAGATTATGGACATAATTTGATAGACTACATATGAAGTATAAGAAAAAGTGTTGTCAGAAATAAGGGAATAATTCCCTTGTGTCTGATTTCAAGTTATTAATGTGGCTTTACTAAACACAGAATTGGTAAGAGATGCTAACTTTTGAACACAGCATGTTGATGATATATCCTCAATCTAAAGACAAAAAGAACTGCTTGCAAATCTTGAACTCTAGTTGATGGGTTTTATTTCATTTTTCTCAGTGGTGTGGGTTTGCAATTTTGAAATCTTTACTCTGTGTTGTAGGATTGAGAAAATGAGTAAATATATTGATAATATTGGGAGCCAGGTTTCTCACTGTTGAAAAAAGAAGATATAAATATGGATTGAGTGAAGACTGGGAAGAGTAATTTGATGGTGTATTGTGATGAACTCCAATTATTTCTAATCTCTTTTCACTGTAAGGAAAGCAAAACATCACAGTAGCAACAAAAACACTTCATATTAGATCTTTGTTTCTAAGTACCATTTCCCACTAAAAGGAACCAAGGATCCTTGAACAAACAGCCGATTCCAGGGCTAGCACATAGAAAGTACAGGATGAGCCTGAAGCATTATTTTCTGTGTGTATCAGAAAGTAAGAAAGTATTCAGAAAATAATGGGGTATGTCAAAAGTACACAGAAGTAGCCTGAAGGGGATTCCACTGGCCAAATATGGGACAATTTAACATTAAAATATATAATGGCAGCAATGAACTATAACCCACTGAATAAAATAAAAAGTAAGTCCATACTGATGGATGTAAGTCCATACTGATGGATGAATGAATGGATGGATGGTTAGATTAACAGACTGGTAGATAAAGAAAAAGCTCTTTCTTACATGCTAACTAATAACAGCTAATACATCTAGATGGAATGATGATTTAGAAAACCATATTGTTGCAAGCATCATGGTGATAACTGATTCAGGTAAGAATCATCAATGGATACTAAAACTAATGGATTCAAGATCTATATTGCAAGGAGAGAGACAGAGACAGAGACAGAGAAAATGAGAATGATATAGCCAATGTGGCAAACAGTTAGTAATGTTAGCAATTGATAAACTGAATGAAGGATTTATGGGAGTTTTTTCTTCCACTCTTTCAACATTTCTGTAAGATTAGAATTATTTTAAAAGAAAAAGTTTAAGGAAAGGGAGACCAACTATGTTAAAAGCTGTTTGAGATTTGACCTTTGGATCGAACAAGATGGAGGTCATGAACAACCATGTCAGGAGAGGTTTCAGCCGAGTGCTGAGAATGAAAGCAGAATTGGAATCTGCTGACCAGAGAATGGGAGATTCAGAAAGGAGCAGCAAGTGAGAGACAACTCCTTTGGGGAGTTTTGCTTAACTGAATGGGAATGTGTGGTTAGGAGAGAGTTGTGGTTTTCAATATGAAACTTCTTACATATATGGTGGGAGTGTTTTTACAATGATGCAGCAAGAAAAGAAAAAGACAGGATACATGAGAAAGGGACAAATGACAGAAGAAAAGTCACTGAGGATACACAAAGGGATGGCATCCAGTGATAAGTGAACCACTTGGCCCTAGCAGGAGTTCAGACACTTCATCCATGTATAGGAGAAATACATGGGTAGAGATGCAGTTATGATGACAAGCATTGGAAAGAGAAAGTCATTCTCTTCATTTTGTTTCTAAACTCCACTGTAGTAAGAACTGGGAGCACCAGCTGAGAGTGAGGAGGCAGAAAGGGGTGCTGAAATTTTGAGGAGAAATAAGAACATCAGTTATCTCAGAGAAAAAGAAAATGGATTATTTGATGTATTAGAATTACTCGACACTTTAGATTTATGATCAGAATTGCTACTTTCGATTTAGGATCAGAAATCTGAAATACATTGAGATCTCCATCTTGTTCAATCCAAAGGTTGGTTCTCAAACAGCTTTTAACACAGTTAGTCTCTCTTTCCTTTAACATTTTCTTTTAAAATAATTCTAAACCTACAGAAAAGTTGAAAGGGTAGAACTAAAAGCTCCCATAAATCCTTCATTCAGTTTATCAATTGCTAACAATGCTGTTTGCGACATTGGCTATATCATTCTCATTTTCTCTCTCTCTCTCTCTCTCTCTCTCTCTCTCTCTCTCTCACACCTCTTGCAATACAGATCTTGAATCCACTAGTTTTATTATTCATTGATGGTTCTTACCTTAATCAGTTATCACCATGATGTTTGCAAAAAATATGGTTTTCTAAATGGATTGAGAGTCTGTTTCAGATTTCTGATCATAAATCGAAAGTAGCAATTCAGTAGAACTTGCCACACCCCGTAAGGAGCACTAGATAATTCAGAACAATGCACTAGCAAAGGAGCTGGACAATTTTTCCAAATCTTCTTAAAAGTATCAAGAAGGTAACAAAATAGTGAGGAACAACTACTGTCACAGGAAATTCAGAAAAGTGGCACAGTATCTAGGCGGCTTTTGCCCTGGGAGCCATTGTTAATCCTGACTGGGAAGCTGAGAGACCCAGTTGTGCTTTGACAGTTTCTCAAGATTAGGAGGACAAAAGTCAGAATCTAAGGCCTTTCAAGGGTGGGGCCCCTGGTAAATCACCCTAGGAGTCAGGAAGAGCTAGAAACAAACCTACCATGAACTTGCAGCACGACCTCAAGTCATCCAAGAGACCCAAAAAACTTCATGCCCTAAAATTTGATTGAGTGATCCTGAATTACTAGTGACCCCAGACCTCACAGTAGCAAAGAAAATTCTTTATGGGGGAAATGATGTTTTCAAATTCAATATGCAGCATACATTCAGGTCCTCTGTTACCTTTACCCCAGTCTACCTTTCCAACAATCTCTCTACAACCTTCTTCTTTCCACACTCTAGCCCTACTGCCCATTCAATTTTCATGGGATCCTTGCAATTTCTGCTCTGCTTAGCACATTTTCCAGTTTTCTGCCTTTGCTCATGCCTGCCTGTTTGTCTAGAATTTCCCTTCTCGCCCACTTTTTAAAAAACAGTGGCTTAAACAAGATGTAAGTGTATTCTCTCTCACATAATAGTCCAAGGATAGGAAATTCTCAAGATACGGCTTCCATGTCTCAATCCAGGGCAGCTGCCCCAGTTATCACAGTCTCTCAGGCAGCCATCATCCCTACCACTTCTGCCTATGGAAGTGAAGTTTCTTCTCAAAGCTCACCTCCTCTATTAAATTGTTCTGGCCCCAAAGTTGGAATTAATTCATCCCTTCCCTGTTTCTTCATTTGTTTGTCCTCTGCTTCTATCACCTATTACCTTCTGTTGGATAGGGTTGCTCACTGCCTGATATTTTGTGAGCCTAGAGTGGGCAGAAACCTTGTCCTGTGCATCTCTGTATTCTCTGCATCATCTACCTTGCTTCCTGCACAGAGTAGTACCCACAAATGTTTGCAGACTTGAACTGTGATAGCTGGACAAATGTTGACACTGAGGTTCAAAGCTCCAGATCCTCTCTTCCAGTTTCCAGTTCTAATCAAACCATGTTCCCTGGTTTTATCCAACTTTGAAAAAGTTACTTTCAAGGTCAGGAAACAGGGAATATTCTGCCCATGTTATTTTATGAGCAGACACAAAGATTAGGTTTGCTTTTTCCTTTTTAGTTCTCCTAACATTGAGCTGATTGATGGAAGGTAGAGGAAAGTAATAAACCTTTATTCACAGAACTACAAAACCCTTTCTGGCTGCTGCCTCCTTCCCTCTCTGGAGATAGATGGGGTCGTTACTATTATGAAATATACAGCAGAGGAGTGTTTTTCTAGTAATCCCTCTAGTACTCATCTACATCTTGACTACTTCTTGATAAAGATATCACCCTCTAGATAGAACCTGTCATCAAGACAAGCAGGCCACATATATATTTAACTGTTTCACTTCTTAAAGAGAATAGCAACTTATCATGAAAAATTGACTGCTCTTCTCAGGGCAATGATTTTACAGCCTTAGAGAAGCTGCATTCTAGGTAGAAATTCCAAAAAGAAATAAGTCATAATGTTCCATGTCACAGTACTTTCCTGTTCTTTATTTCAGCACATGACCATTGGCTGGAGCCCAGTTGACCAAGAAGGAAGCCAGAGAAAGCCACACATTCGGGCGAGCAAGGTAGTTCTCTGTGTGATCTGATGCTACGGTCAGAACCTCAGAGTCCAAGTACAACATTCCTACTGGTTAGGTATGGGGCATTTTTCTTGTCTGGACTGTTTCCCTGATGTCTGCTAAGCTTGCTCTGTGTCTGTGGCCAGCTGTTGGCTCAGCCAGGCATAGATGGGATAGGATGGTCTCACTCATATGTCTCGCAAATAGCTCGGTGTCAGCTGGGGCAATGTGGATGACTTTGCCACACGTGTGTCTCTTGTCCTCCAACAGGCTAGTTCAGGCTCATTCACATGGTGGTCCTAGGGTTTTAAGCGCAACAAGACAGCGAGGCCTAGTGTCATGAGCGGTGCAAGGTTAGAGATAACCAGCTCTGTGCATCTTTGTGTCTTTCCACAATGTCAGACTTTCGTTGATGCTATCTCAACCACAAAAGCCACATGCTACATGGAGTTTCCCGGGAGACAATTTTCCTTAGTACTTGCCATTCACTCAGTAGTCGGAGCTGCGAATACACAGGCTCAAGCCACTCCACAAGTCAGTCAATATTGCAAAGCATACTTTCAATATCAAAGTGTTACAGATTAAACATTCCACAACAAACAAAGAAACATTTAACACCGAGAGAAAAAGAGATAGGAGAAAGGGCTAATGAACCACTCCAGGGGGAGCAAAGAAGACAAAAGGAAACTTGATCTGGGCTGGGTGTTCCTTCGGTCTTGCAAGGTAGAGCCTTTAATGTGGCAGTGCCTTCAGTGGCAGATGTCAAGCTTTTATTACGAGTGACTGCAAGGCAGTGTCACTTAAGACGGCCATTTTGAGCTGCTGAGAACCTGCTCTTTCATGGCCACAGAGTCCTCTGGTGAGAAGTGATAGTGGAAGAGCATGTTTGTTTGTGTTCTTATCTGGTTGGATACAGTCTTAATTTTTTTATTTGTTTGTTAGGCAAAACATCTTTGTTGGCAAGGTGCCCTATGAAATGTAAAATGGAGTCTTTTTCTAAGATGGAGTTAGTTATGTCAAGGGTGCTCTATACATCTAGTACATGGGCTTTTGAGCCTCTGCTTGGGTTGAATTAGCTGTGTGCCACTTTGGGAGGCAGTCCAAAGCAAAGCACCTGAAAAGAAGAGATAAAGAACATGCTGAGAGGGGAAAGATCCACCTGAATCATACTTGTCTGGAGAGAGAATGGGGGGCGGACAGGAGGCTCATTTCCTGAGGAGTGGACTAGAGAGGGCAGACCTAGGGAGGGGTTCTCCTCTGACCTCCGCTCCATCCTTCCTCCATTCATCAGCTCAGGTGTGTCAAGGTGACTTTGAAGTCCCACTTTCTGGAAAAGTGAGCAGTGTATTTTAAAAATTAGATGATTATATACAAAAAACTTCATTTTAAAAGAGTAGCTTTAATATTTGGAGGTAATTCCAAGCATATAGAAGAATTGCGAGGATATGCATAGGATCAGCAGGCCCTTTTTTGTTTGTTTGTTTTTGAGATGGTGTTTTGCTCTTGTTTCCCAGGCTGAAGTGCAGTGGTGCCATCTCGGCTCACTGCAACCTCCGCCTTCTGGGTTCAAGCGATTCTCCTGCCTCAGCCTCCCGAGTAGCTGGGATTACAGGCGCCCACCAGCACGCCAGGCTAATTTTTTGTATTTTTAGTAGAGATGGGGTTTCGCCATGTTGAGCAGGCTGGGATCAGCAGAGCCTTTATCCAGAGTCACCTATCGTTCACATTTTACCCCATTTGCTTTGTCATTTGTTCTCTCTCTCTCTTATATACATACATATATAGACACACATACATATATATATACATGTGTGTGTATATAATATATACATATATGTGTATATACGCATATATGTATATATAATATATACATATATGCGTATATACACATATGTGTGTATATATAATATATATTATATAACTATATAATATATATATTATATATTGTGTATATATATTATAAAATTATATAATATATATTATATATTGTGTGTGTATATATATATATATAACTGAGCCATTTGAGAGGAAATTGCATATATGAAGGCTCTGTACCTGAAATACTTAAGCATATGTTTTCTAAGTATAAGGATATTCTCAGTGCGGTACCGTGGCTCACGCCTGTAATCCCAACACTTTGGGAGGCCGAGGCTGGCAGATCACTTGAGGTCCAGAGTTCGAGAGCAGCTTGGCCAACATGTCAAAACCCCATCTCTACTAAAAATACAAAAATAAAAAAAGTTGGTGGGCTTGGTGGTGTATGCCTGTAATCCCAGCTGCTCGGGAGGCTGAGGCAGGAGAATTGCTTGAACCCGGGAGGTGGAGGTTGCAGTGAGCCGAGACGGCGCCACTGCACTCCAGCCTGGGCGACAAGGCGAGACTCCATCTCAAAAAAAAAAAAAAAAAGAAAGAAAGAAAAAAAAGTGTAAGGATTTTTTCAAAGAGAGTACCTTTAAATTCAGAGAACACACATTAAAGAGGAGCCCCTCTGCTGAGGCATAGGAACTCCAGAACTGTACAGCACAGTGCTCAGCTGAGCAAAGCCCTCTCCCATATGCTCTGCCTTATTCTCTCCGGCCACAGTAGCCTCCCTCTATCTCCTTCTACGAGCGCAACCTAGTGGGTAGAGGGAAGAGAGAAGCAAGCAATAGAAAGTCAGGGAGAGACAGGACTTTTAGCCTCAAGAGAAATGAGGAAGGAGTGAGATATTACTGCTTCCAGGAAATTAAACAATGTGGGGGTGGGAAAGAGATCACATAAAATTGGATTCTTTTGTTCGTTTCTTTCAAACAGGGAAAGGAAGAAAAAAAGCATTAGAATGAAAAGGGACGCATGGGGCTTTTGGAAGATGTGGCAGAGACACGCCAAAAACACTCATTCTTTACTTGCTTAATTTGTTCAAGACTGATTTTCAGGGAAATGTTGGGACGTCTGAAAAACCAGAGGCATCTCAGTGGTACACATTGGAACCATATGTCTCTTCTAGAAACATTCCAGGATCATTTTCCTCGTACTGAACCAACTAGACGCACAAAGTAAGAAAAGCATGCGCCACTCCAAGGTTCTTAACTGAGGCTTGCTGGCCTCTAGTGGCCAGGAAGGAACCTCACAGCTACTGGCTCCATCTGGCTTTAATGTGGCTTCAGTGAGAATGCAGAGGCTTGGGTGAGGGAGAAGAGTTTATGCTAAGTGTCTTAGTTAACCATTTTAGCTAACCATTTTAAAGTCTGCTTGAGAATACTGGTGACTCTCTGCCTCTGTACCAAAACCTGGATAAGAAATTTTCTTGGGTCCAGAACAAATTACAGAGGCAGCATTTAAGCCCCAACTCAACTCCCTTTGTTTCTAAGATGTGGATGATGTTCTAAAGATAATACTTTTCAGCTCTCTAATGAAAAGTACAAAAATAGATGACAGGCATGATATATTTGGAGAAGAATCTCACGAGCATCTGAGAATGAAAATCAAATAGAAATAATGTGTGCCAAAAAAGTTTGTAAACTCTAAAATACACACATACTGCATACATTATTTTTAGGAAAAAAAAATCAGTGATCACGTGGCCTCTATAATAGGTTCTTGGACAACATTTGAAACTTCTCTAAGTTCTTATATACAGGTTTGCATCTTTTATAAGGTTCTTATATACAGGTTGCTCCTCTTTATATAGAAATAATGGTACATCCCATGTGCATGGATTGTTGAAATTGCATGGGTCAACAGTGTTTACCTTTTATTGTGCAGGACTAACACTTATTAAAGATTTAATAAATTTAGCTATTATTATTGTTGTTATTATTTTGGACATTCAGTCCCATGTTCGGTTTTATGACAGACCAGGAGAAACTTTGCCTAAATTAGGATTCTATTTCACAGTTCCTAAGAGGCTTTTAAGTACATGTCGACCCCATTTAATTAAGGAATCACCTGAAATTCTTCATAAAGTGCTCCTCAGGTAGGTAGAGCAATAGCCCTTCTAAGGAGAAAAATGCATTCAAATAGCCACTTGATATGAAGACACTGTGGACAGGATCTAAGTGGCGTTTGGGGAGGTTGACAAGATGGACTTTAAAACCCTTGCAGGCTTGGAATTCTGTGTCATGTGACTCTATGACCTTTTTTTATTGCCTGCAAATTCATGAAAAGAGGTAAACTGCAGCAGACTCCAGCGACACATCACAGCACGAAGTCAGGGTTAACCTTATGCCCCACACTGGAAGGATCTCCATCCTTTTCTCCTCGGAAAGAGGCACTCTAGTCTCTCCTATTCACACAGGGATGCTCTTCGGATGGCATGGAGGCTGCTCATGACTGCAGCCTCCCTCCTGGTGCCATCCTCACTCCTACAGTTATGTTAGAGAAGGAGGCATGTGTGTTGAAAATGCCTTCTAAGTAAAGAAAAGATTGGCATCAAGCTGAAGTAAATCAAAGCACTAAGACTTTGTACGACTGACGGAAAATCTAAAATGGACCTAAGTAAAGAATTGATAGTGGGCCAGGCACAGTGGCTAACACCTGTAATCCCAGCATTTTGGGAGGCTGAGGTGGGAGGATCTCTTGAGCCCAGGAGTTTGAGGCCAGCCTGGGTAGCATAGCAAGACCCCATCTCTACAAAATATTTAAAAATTAGACAAGTGTGCTTTCTGATGCCTGTAATCTCAGCTACTCTGTAATCCCAACTACTTGGGAGCCTGAGGCAGGAGGATAGCTTGAGCCCAGAAGGTTGAGACTGCAGTGAGTTTTGATTATGCCACTGCACTCCTGCCTGGGGGACAGAGACAGACCCTGTCTCAAAACAAAACAAAACAACAAAAAAGAATTAAGAATTGATCATAAAAACTGGCAAGGATGATTTATATGTCAATCTGATATTCTGCAAGATATAAATAATGCAAATTCTTTGTATTTTGGTAGAAAATAATGCAAATAATATCACATAATTTGTCAATTCTATCTGATAGGAATAGAGTTAGTAGAACTCTGTGATTCGTATGCATAGGAAGAAACATATGTGCATATTATCAGAACATAGAATCCAAATATAGTTAATTCTTCTTTATGGAAGGGTACAATAACAAGTTGGTGAATTAACTGCAGTAAATAATAACAGATTATAAATTTCTAAGAAGACACCATCATTATAAATCAGCAATAGTTTGATATATAAGACATATATAGTTTGAAATTAAATGAAAAAAATACAATATAAGAATAGCTCATGTTTGTTGAGCACTTCCTGAACAGCAGATGCTATGCAAAGTGATTTTTATGCGTCATCTTATTTAATCCTTGAGACAGATCTTGTGTTATCCTATTGTACCAATGAGGACACTGGGATTCTGTATGTTAGTGGTTCTGTGTGGTCAGGAAAAAATGTTTCACATGACAATTGGGGATCTAGGGGGCTCTTTGCTCTATGTACTTTTAAGATTGGGAGGCAAAGAGGGAGGAATAAAGGGACGGGGATATTTCAGAGCAAAGTTTGGGACTTAGCTCTAAAGACTGTGAGACTCGAATCTCCCAAATCTATTCTAAGATCTTTCAACACGACCCTGGATTCACAAAGCACTTACTCAACAGAAGAGAAACCCTGAGGAGTATGGAAAAAAAGAGATCTGAGGGAGGTAAACATAAGAAGATGTGGATTTACCTGAAGATGGGGAGTTTACTTTCTTTTTTTTTTTTTTTTTTAAGACAGAGTCTTGCTCTGTCAGCCAGGTTGGAGTGCAGTGTGGTGATCTCAGCTCACTGCAACCTCTGCCTCCCAGGTTCAAGCAATTCTCCTATCTCAGCCTCCTGAGTAGCTGGGATTACAGGCACATGCCACCACACCCGGTTAATTTTTATATTTTTAGTAGAGATGGGGGTTTCATCATATTGGCCAAGCTGGTCTCGAACTCCTGACCTCAGGTGATCCACCTGCCTTGGCCTCCCAAAGTGCTGGTATTACAGGCGTGAGCCACAGCTCCTGGCCAGGGAGTTTACTTTCTTGAGTGGCTCGATGGATGCGGGTGCCAACCAGGGTTGAGGCCATGAGGAACAACGTCATGACTCAGGTCAGCAGTGAAGAGGAGCCGTTGGCCAGAACAAGCAGGTTTCCCATGGCACCCAAAACTCATAAAGCCTTCTGAGTCCATTGCATGTGTGAGATGTATCTATGGGCATAGGTGGTTGTAGCCTTTTTGCTGTACATGAAATTGTGGATACCTGCCCTGCTCTCATATTTCTTTAAGTTTGGGTTTATGTCTGCAGGGTGCTTAATATGTTACTAGATATTGGTTGTGATTGCTCCTGCATCCTGTTTTAATGAGGATTGGGGGTGTTCAGGGCTCCCTCCTCCATTTCTATGGTTAATAGAGTGCTGATTCTATAGCACAGGGAGAGCTCATATGGATTCTGAGAACCACAGGTTGAGCGAAAACCTTATAGGCAATCGCCTGTTTTCCAGATGAATAAACTGAGGCCCAGATTTGTTATGAAGTTAATTTGAGTGAGAACCAACAATTTGCTTTTCTGCAATGCCATGCCTGTATCCCATCCCATCTCTGCCAGCAGGAAAGGATCCCTATTCAGTGTTTTCTAAAAGGTTGTTTATACGGTTGCACCAACGATGGTTGTTGGAAGCTTTAAATGCCATTTTAGGACCATCAACACCCACATCAGTGCAAGAGAGCCCCTTGGGAGGCAGCAATGATAGGAATCAGTCATTTAGGTGGGAGAGGATGGATTGGCAATGCAGTCATTTGGAAAGCCATGTAATTCACCTGCTGCCGATTGTCAGATAAGAAGCATATACACAATCACCCAAGACAGGAATAACACTTAATATTTTTCTAAGTGTTTAAATAGTGCCACTTATTGGTGATTAGCTCTTTGCATGTTTGGAAGAAAACAAAATAAAATGAAATGCATTATTAGGATACTAAGTCATATTTCGTTATAAGGGATTTAAAATTAATTTCATATTTTAATCTGCCAATTATGTTATTTCTCTCCAGTTTTGAATTAATTAAAACAGTAATGGATCTGTGGTCAAAGTTTATATAAACAGATTATTGAAGTACTGAGAGAAAATTATTTCTCACAAAAAACGTTTTTATTTAGCTAGTTAAATAATGTTTCATTTTACACTCAGAGAGAAAAGAGAAGTAGAAAATAACTTTGAGGTTTCTAACATGAGCAACTCAGCGGATGAGTTTCACATAGTTAGAAATGCCATCATAGTTGTGGCAGATTATCTGCAAATAGCGCTGCAGTAATTCTCTCCCTCCCTGCATACCCTTGAGGATTTCTATCCCACAGTTGACTCTCTGGTTGCCCGTGTGACTTGCTTTCATTAATGGGACAATAGCAAATGCGACATAAACAGAGACTTGAAAAGTGTGAGTTGGAACATGTCCTCTTTTGCTGCACTTGGGAACTCTATAATGCCCACCATTGCATGAGCCCAGGCTAGCCTGCTGGATGATGATGGACACTGGCCAAGTCATCCTCTGATTCACCTGACACGGAGCTGACCACCAGACCTATACATGAGGCCATCTGGGTTGAGCTAAACCTCAGCCACACCTGCCCAGTCCGGAACAGCCAGACACATCATAAGACATTACAAATATTTATCTTTCAAAAATATGTGTATCTTTTAAGCCATTAAGTTTTGGGGTGGTTTGTCATGTAGCAAAAGTTAAATGTTATAAAAGGTATCACCTTTCAACATTGCATTTAGAGAGAGAGGAAAAGAGACAGTTAAACAATTCATTGCTCCATTTGTCTGTTCCATTCATGGTAAAACTTACTGAAAGAGTTGTGCAAATTCATTGTCTCCACGTCCTTTTTCCTAAATATCTTTAATCATCTCCAGTTGAATTTCTGTCTGCTCCATTCTCCTGAACCTGCTTCTAGGACATTAAACTTTCCTGGCCTACCACCTTTGCCTCTTCCAATCTCTTTCTGCCTCTGCCTCTTCTTCCCAGTCTCTCAAGTTTGAGCTTCCGGGTCTTCTTCTGTATTTTACACTGTTTCCCTATTTTACACTGTTTTTTCCCTACTTCCCTGTATTTTACACTATTTACATAATTCATTATGTCCCATAGCTTTAGATGTTGTCTGTGTACTCATAATTGCCATATATACATACATATATGTGTGTATATATATATGTGTGTGTGTGTGTGTGTGTGTGTGTGTGTGTGTGTGTGTGTGTGTATATATATATATATATATATATATATATATCTCCAGCCCGGACTTCTCTTCTGAATGCCGGGTTCCTATAGCCAACTACTCACTAGATATCTCCACGTGGACATCTGCTAGGCTGCTCAAACTTAACATGTCCAGAACACTTTTTTTTGAGACGGAGTCTTGCCCTGTCACCCAGGCTGGAGTGCAGTGGCGTGATCACGGCTCACTGCAGCCTCCGCCTCTTGATGCCCCAACCTGGGCCCCCAACCTTCCCCTCCAACAGTAACAGTTACTGGCATCTCTGATCATCCAGTTGAGCAAACAAATGCTAGAAGTCATCCTCAGTTCTTTCTCTCTCCCTTTAGATACAATCCATCAGCAAATTATACTAGTTCTTGTTCCAAAATGTGTCACCAGTGCATTCTCTTCTAACATATTAGGTGAAAACACCATCATTTGTTTTCTAAGCTACTACAAATAAGCTCCTAAATGGATCCCCTATTTCCACCATTTCTTTGCCATAGTCTATTCTCCAAGCAGCAGCCAAAATAATCATTTAAAAACACTCAACATATACCAGATCATATTATCACCCTGCTTAAATTCTCCAATGGCTTTATACCACACCACAAGTAAAGTACAACTTCCTTACTGTATAATCTAGTTTCTGTCTTCCTTTTTGACCTTGTCTGATTTTCCTGGTAGAATGTAAAATTCATGAATTTTGTTGGTTTCACTTGATGATTTGTTTGTTTGGTGGTGATATGGTTAGGCTGAGGCTTTGCGTCCCCACCCAAATCTCATCAAGAATAGTAATACCCATAATCCCCATAATGCCCATTCGTCAAGGGAGAGACCAGGTGGAAGTAATTGAATCATGGGTGCGGTTTCCCCCATGCTGTTCTCATTACAGTGAGTGAGTTGTCACGAGATCTGATGGTTTTATAAGGGGCTCTTCCCCCTTTGCTTGGCACTTCTTCCTGCTGCTTTGAGAAGAAGGTTCCTTGCTTCCCCTTCGCCTTTCACCATGATTGTAAGTTTTTCTGAGGCCTCCCCAGGCATGCTTAATTGTAAATCAATTAAGCTTCTCTGCTTTATGAATTACACAATCTCAGGCAGTTCTTTATAGCAGTATGGAAATGGACTAATACAGTTGGCAATAGTCAATTCACTAAGCATTTATTGACTAAATGATGAACAATCATAAAATTAATAGATGGCTGTGTTGCACTTGTTTTAACATAATTTTCTTAAATATTTTTAGTGCATCAAAAGTATACAAGATACATATACCTTAAAAATTAGTATTGTAAGTACCCCCATCCTTGAAACTCCCTGTGGTGACTTTTTTTTTTTTTTTTTTTTGAGACGGACTCTTGCTCTGTTGCCCAGGCTGGAGTGCAGTGGTGTGATCTTGGCTCACTGCAACCTCCACCTCCCAGGTTCAAGCAATTCTCCTGCCCCAGCCTCCCTGAGTAGCTGGGACTACAGGAGCACACCACAACACCTGGCTACTTTTCGTGTTTTTAGTAGAGACGGGGTTTCACCACGTTGGCCCCGCTGGTCTCAAACTCCTGACCTTGTGATCCACCCATTTCGGGCTTCCAAAGTGCTGGGATTACAGGCATGAGCCACCGTGCCCGGCCCCCTGTAGTGACTTGCATCTGTAGATTGGTCAGTGGATGCCACCATAGAATTGGGTTCCCTAATCTTGAATTAATAATGAAATCCTGGAGTGATAAAATAGTACAATTCTACATTTTCTATTTCTGTATACATATTAAAAACAATAGAGTCAGGCTGGCATCTTAGTATATAGTGATGAGAAGCACTGGATTTAGACTTGTTTTGGATATGTTCATGTGACCCTCTGATCTACTCGCCATCTGTCCTCTGTTCTGTGACCTCAGATGCTGAACCCTCTCTCTCATCTTCTGGCTTAAGGTCAATGTGAGCATTAACAGGAAATTGAAATGTAGGAGATGGATAACAGTGTATTTACTCCTCCCATGCTGGGCTGTGTTGCCCATATATCCCTCTATCAAAGGCCATAGGTTCTGGCTGGTGGTCTTTTCCATACAGCTACTCTCACCTGGTTCTGGCAACTCTTCCCTTCATTTGTTCCTTCATACTATTGCTAGCTTTGATGTATTGCACCATCTCTCCACTGAATCCTGCCCACACCTTTGTAAATCGCCTCTTTATTAACTTGCCTCAATTACCTAGTTGAATGTTCATGCTGGTACCCTGAATAATACAGTAATTGATACCAGAATGAGCCCCAAGACACAAAACCCTAAAATGAAATGCTAGGATATGATGGATCACATATTTAAGGAGTGCATAGATAACTTCCTTTCCAAGAGAAAATGGGACACTGGTAATCCATGTGGATTGAGTGGCATCACAATAACTCAAATTATCATATGGTGCAGGTGGAGGGCAAAGTTTGGCTGGCTGTGGAGTTTGGTCAGCATGCAGTGACAGTTATTATAAAAGTGGTGGGATCAGCTTATATTTATACTTGCCCTATAAAGAGTATGATGGAGGAGGTAATACCTTGAAAGTGTGATTTTCGACTCAGGGCACAGGTGGAAAATAAGAAAGCCTTGAAAGCAGCTTAAATAGTTGGCATCTCCTGAAGTTACAGAGCACATATAGTTGAGGACCAAGCTTACAAACTACTGAATGAGATCCCGAGAGAGCAGGTACATTTGAACAGACACAGACAAAACTGAGAACTTTGAAGCCCCAACTCCCTTGAACATACCTCATTGGAGAAGCAGACCCTCCAGACTCTCCTCTAATCAGATGATGATTCTAATCACATCTGTGGTTCTGGTATCTTTTTTTTTTTTGAGACGGAGTTTTGCTCTTGTTGCCCAGGCAGGAGTGCAGTGGCGCAATCTCGGCTCACCGCAACCTCCGCCTCCCGGGTTCAAGTGATTCTCCTGCCTCAGCCTCCCGAGTAGCTGGGATTACAGGCATGCACCACCACGCCCGGCTAATTTTGTACTCTTAGTAGAGATGGGGTTCCTCCATGCTGGTCAGGCTGGTCTTGAGCTCCAGACTTTAGGTGAACCGCCCACCTCGGCCTCCCACAGTGCTGGGATTACAGGCATGAGCCACCGTGCTCCGCCTTGTATCTTTATAGGACCAAATAAAACCTTTTTCTGGCACATAGATTGTAGCTAACCTTCATCTGCGTAAAAGCTTTTCAATGATCGCACCTGAGATGGTAACCTCACAGAATAAGATTTAACATATCCCAGATGAAAAAGTAGCCTAGTTCAAGAGGAGAAACTTAATTAGAAAGAGTTTTAGGATCTCACCAAATGGTATCATCAGTAGTCTAGGGAGTGTGTATGAAAGTGAATTTTAAGTGGGAAGGCTTTTGTAGCTCAGATGACAGATAGCATTTTTGCCCAAATCCAGCTCACAAAGAATCCAGTGGGACCATGGACGCATTGTGTAGTTATTACTCCCGTCTTAGAATATACAGTGGGAATAGACACACTCGGTAATTGGAGAAATTTTCACTCTGGCTTCCTGACCCAGGACGTTAGGGCTAATATAGAAGGAAGGGCCAAATAGAAGTCCTGGAAATGCCGTCAAGACCTCAACAAGATAGTAAACCAGAAGCAATGCTGCATCACTAGGGAAATTACAGACCAAGTGTCACCATAAAAGACTTGAAAGATTTAAGGGTGGTGATTTCTATCACATCCCCATTTGACTTGACAGTTTGGCCAGTGCAAGGGCTAGATAAATCTTGGAAAATGACTATAGATAATCATAGACTTAACGAGATAATGGTTTCAATCACAGCTGTTGTTCTGGACATGCTAATTTTATAGGAGCAAATAAATAGAACCTCTGGCACCTGGTTTGTAGCTAGTGATCTAACAAAATTGTTTAACCTATTCCTATCAGCAAAGATCATCAGAAGCCATTTGCCTTCACATGCAGGGACAGCAGTATATCTGCATATACTCTGGGCTATGTCAGCTCTCTTGGTCTCTGCCATAAGAGTCTGGAGAGTCCTTGATCATCTTGATTTCCCATAGAATATTATTCTGACACAATAAAATTATGACATTATGGTAACTGTACCCTGTGAACAGGAAGTACAGTAAGTAAGCCAGATACATGCATGCCAGAGGGTGGGAGAGAAACACCAAGAAGATTCAAGGACATTTAAGTTTCTAGTGGTCCAGTGGTCTGGAGCATGTTGGACTATCACCTCTAAATGAAATAAGCTGCTTCTCCTTACACAGACCATAACAATGAAAGACACACAGTGATTCTGGAGTCAACACAGATTACATTTGGTTGTGCTTGTTGAACTCATTAAGTAGGCCCTGGAGCAAGATAAGATACTATGGCAGGTGCAGGCTGTGGTGCTAGTTGTCCTGCTGCTGGGCCTTACCTCTCAACAGACCAGTATCAAAAGTGTCTAAGAGCAGACAGTAGAACTGATGGGGCCCCCAAGCAGACCCCAATGAGAAAAACTTCTACCAACAATTCTTCATTTGAAAAGTAATACTTGGCTTGCTACTAGGCCCTGGTAGAAAACTGAAAGCCTGTCCAAGGTTTTCATGAACTAGGTATTTTCTTACCTATATTATCATAAATCTGTATTGCACAGCAGCATTCTATGTAAAATAGAAATGGTGTATACAAGACTGGACCCAAGCAAATCCAGAAAAGGCATAAATAAAATGCTCAAGTTGCTGGTTTATACTCCCATGGTACCTGGTCCTATTGCTTTGCCATATTGCCTTTTATCTACATTTATGGCCTTATAGGGCGTTTCCTTTGACCAGATAATGGAGGAGGTAAAAGTTCAGACGTGGTTTATGGATGGATCTGCATAGCATGCTAGCACTAGCTAGAAGTCAATAGTTATTAATATATAGCCCTACACATAGGTGACCTTGAAAGGTGTTGGTGAAGGGTAATTCTCCCAGAGGGCACAACTTCAGGTTATAAATCTGGTTGTCCACTACTTTAGCAGGAGAGACAGCCTAAGATAAGTCAGAATCTACAGTAATTCTGATTGACTAAGAAGTTGGCTGACTGTTCAGAGACTCAGAATAAAACTGAAAAATTTATGTCAAAGAGAACAAGGGAGAAGGATATGAATGGGGTTCTCAGAATGGAAAGTTTGGAGATATTTACTTCCCCATAAATGCACACCAGAGGTCATCCACTTCAGAAGTGGGCCCAGTAATTTGGTACACAAGATAATGTGTCCTGTGTATATTTGTCAGCCTCTTTCTCCATCTACCTTCTTGTTAAAGAATAACTTTCAACTGTTGCTAACCCTAGGGTTCTGCACTGCATGAGTCTGTTTTCACACTGCTAAAAAGATACTACCTGAGACTGGGGTAATTTATAAAGGAAAGAGGTTTAATTGACTCACAGTTCTGCATGGCTAGGGAGGCCTCAGAAAACTTAGAATCATGGTGGGAGGCAAAGGGGAGGCAGGCACCTTCATCACTTGGTGGCAGGAAAGAGTGCACAGGGAAAATGCCACTTTTAAACCATCAGATCTCCTGAGAACCCCCTCACTATCACGAGAACAGCATGGGGGAACCACCCCCATGATTTAATCACCTCTCATCAGGTCCCACCCTCAAGAAGTAGGGATTACAATCGGTGATGAGATTTGGGTTGGGTGGGGACACAGAGCCGAACCATATCATGGACCATCTTTGTTGGTTTCCATTAGCCCTGATCTAACTAAAAAATTGGTAGGATATTGGTTATCCTGCCTGCAACTTTTTAACATTCCTCAATTATCCAGTTTAAATGTGCCATCTGTCTTTTAAAGGGATTTTGACTGATATAAAATGCAAGTAAACTTCAAAAAAATCCTTTCAGCTACTTAAAAGCTCTCTGTACCCTGGATTACTCTCTGGAAAATGAAGACATCTTATGCAGAGTTGTATGTTGAATGCATAGTTCCTGATACATAGCTAACACTCAGAAAAAGGTAGTGGTTAAGAATATTAGTCTTACTAAACTAAAAGCAAATTTGAATGAAATTTGCCAGGTTAAGTCGACATGTGATGTATCTTTAAGAAATACTACCATCAATTAGTAGTAATCGCCAACATTTGCTAAATACTTTATGCATGTCAAGCACTCTTTTAACCTTATAGGCCTTATTTCATTTACTCTTCCTGACAAATATGAGGAAAGCACTATTGTGATTTCCATTTTACACATGAGGTTAAGTAACTTGCCCAAAATGAGACTGCTTATAAGTAGCAAAGCTTGGATTCAAATCCAAGTCTGTCTGACTCCAGGATATAAGCGTTCACCGCTATGTTCTGCTGCCTTCACGCCAGTTCAAAATAATAACACACATTGACAAATCCACCTGTTGACATATCTACTGTATTGTACCCTATTTATACACCTCCCCAGATTTAGTCTGCCAACACCTGCCTCCCAGATCCTCATCTGCCTCACCTCCTCCTACTTCCAGCCCTTTAATCAGCCCTAGGGCAAGGGCCAGGTTGTAGTCCAATCTCTATTTTGCCCATTTCAGTGGGAGCCACAGGGCTCCAATGCCCAGAGAACTGAACTAACCAGACACACAGATGCTATGGCTCCTTTCTCCCCTCTCAGACTCTGAAGTACTGTGGCAGGAGATATGTGATCTGGCTTCCCCAGCAGCTATTCAGAAAGGCTAGGTTTTATGGTTTGGCTCTGTGTCCCCACCCAAATTTCATGTTGTATTGTAATCCCCCGTGTTGGAGGAGGGGCCTGGTGGGAGGTGATTGGATCATGGGGGTGGTTTCTCATGGTTTAACACCATCCCCCTAGTGCTGTCTCTTACAAGATCTGATTATTTGAAAGTTCTCTCCCCTCTCCCCGCCAGCCACGTGAAGATGTGCCTTCTTCCCCTTCCCCTTCACCTTCTACCATGATTGTAAGTTTCCTGAGGCCTCCCCAGAAGCAGAAGCCTGTACAGCCCACAGAACCTTGAGTACAATTAAACCTCTTTTAAATTACTCAGTCTTAGGTAGTTCTTTATAGCAGTGGGAGAATGGACTAATACACTAGGTGACAGAGCCTTGAGTTGCAGGGGGTTTAACACTCTATATGTTGAGTAGTGACCAGCAAAAGATGAGACAGGAAGAAATTAGCACACAGATTCCTCTTTCTTCTCTTTCTTCCTCCTTCCAATGGATGTTCTCAAGAGCAGTGGCTTGGTGCAGCCTGTCAGGAAATAAGTCACATAAGTGAGAAATCAGCTCTATTCTTCTCTTGAAGTTCTGGTCAGCTTAATACATCACCTTGCATTTGCTTTTCCTACTTCCCTGTCTTGTTTCCCCTTTTCCCTCATTCTTGCTGCCCTGAAATTGCACCACTCAATTAGGGTGACCAATTGTCCCAGCTTGCTTATGACTGAGGACATTCCCAGGATGTAGGATATTCAGTGATAAAACCAGGAAAGTCACAGGAAAACTCCATTCTCATAAAGTATTAGCATGTTTTGAGTAAACATTGAGTTAGGCCCTGTTTTCTAAATAATCCAAGGTGTGACAATTGGTAGCAGGAATGACTATAGAAAGCCAAGTCAGGATGGGATTTTGGAGCTAGAATGAATGATAATTTGAAAGCAAAACGATTTCTCTTGCTGGTGGTCATTTGGGACACTAATAACCTATGATATCCACTAGCATCAGGGTTACTCGAGTTACTGCATAGGTATGTGGATTTATTATGATGAAGTATAAATTGAGGGCAAAAGATTAGGAGATCAAGGGCTGCTCCTTTTGATCAATATGGGGGTACTAGAAATTATAAAGGTGGTCAAGTAGGGTGGTTGCTTTTGACAGCATTGGATGCCTCGCAACAAAGAAGTGTTAGGCTCAGCTCACCTAGTTGTCTAAGACACTATGTGAAGGTCACAAGGCCTTCATGGCAGCATTTGGAGAGATCCTCGTCTCATCAGCCACCAGGCAGGCTTTGCTGAAAATCTGGCTCGGGATGTGATTGTAGCAGAATGGCAAAGGAGACTGAATGCACAGTCTCAACAGTTCTATGCCAAAGTCAGGCCCCTCATAACAAAAGAATGGGACCCTGAGAACTAGGATGGGGACATTTGGGTAGGCAAGCCTGAGAATCTTAATTCCCTCCACAGTCACTTGGACTTGCAGAAGCAGCTCCCTTCCCCATGCTAGGAGGTGGCAGCCTCTCCACACCTGGAGACTCTGGAAAGACCCCACCTGTCCTAGTCCATTCTTACTGCTACAACACAATGCCAGAGACTAGGTGATTTCTAAAGAATAGAAATTTACTTATCACAGTTCTGGAGGCTGGTGAGATCAAGGCACCAGCAGGTTTGGTGTCTTGTGGGGGTGCATTCCTCATAGATGGCACCATCTAGGTGTCTTCACATGGGAGAAGGGACAGAAGGGTGAAAAGAAAAAAGGAATGAACGTGGTGTCCTCACATGGCAGAAGAGATGGAAGGGAAAAGGGACTTAGGGCACTCCTTCAACCTCTTTTATAAGTGGCTCCTAAAGGACCCACTTCTTAATACTATCACGTTGGCAGTGAAGTCTTAACATTTGAATTTTGGGGGACACATTCAGACCGTAGCACCATCAGAGACAGATACCTCTCAAGGATGCTTATCCTCCTCAACATTTGCCTTATTTTCCCTCACTGCTGCCAGACCAGTAATATGAGTCAGGTAACAGCACCTGCCAAGAATGGAAATACAATCCGTGTTCTAGAAGGAAATGGCATGCCCATCTAAACAATTGCAAGACCTGGTCTATATGTACAAACAAGAACTGTGGTGACACCAGTGGGAGTAAACCACGGGAGTGGATTATAAGGCTGGATTGGGAGGAATGTATTGTCACGGGATGACTTTGATGACTCAGAGTTTGACTCCTGGCAAGGACACCCGGGGCTGGTGTTAATACATTACTGGGATAGTTCCTTGAAGCTTGAGCAGACAGGATGATGATCTATGGCAGGCATGCTGGAACTGCCTGGTAGAGGACTGAGTAGAGGTCACGAGGTCAGGGAGGGAGAACGTAAGAATGGACTAAGTGTGGCTCGGGGCCTGCACAAGGCATTGAAAATGCCTAGATGAGTTCATGTAACTCCATAAACACACAGGTTCAGAGCAGGCCTTTTAATTAATTTTTAGCGAAATTACATCGGATTTGTTTCTCTGGGAAGGCCCTCAGGACACTTCCTTTATTAAAGAAATAAGAAATGCGTTGGTCAAGAGGGCAATGCTATTGTTGAAAAACTCGATGTGGCTATCCTTAGTATACCAACAATGAAAATAGATATGGCTGTCCTCTGTATGCTGACACTGAAAATAGAAGATGCCACCACGAAATGAGGCCTCCTAGTATCAAAGAGGGTGGGTGCAGGTTCCCTTGCCCTCTGGTTTCCACTGGTTTTAGTCAGAATAAAGCACCAGCAAGACAGCAGTGAACTTAGGAAATTGATTCACTCGGACCCTCCTGGTGGGGTTGCCATGGGCTGGCTGTTTACTTCAATTGAATGTCAAAGTTTCTCTAAGGCTGCCTTCTCCACACGGCCTTCCTGCCTCCAGGATCAGGTTCCCTCTTTCACCCTTTAGACTCAAGGCCCCCTTTTACTAGCTCCAGGGTGTTATACCATCCCTCTGGGCTTTCCAGTATGCTGCTTCACTTTTGTAAATAGTGTCTCAATTAAACTATCCTCAAATTACTTAATTTGTACCATCAGTTTCATGTCAAGATCCTATGTTTAGGATAGATTTGGAAATTTTTCTCAAATTTTGGAGATGGAAATTGTGTGGCTAGGGAACACGGATTGAAGGGAAACTTTTCAGTGTATACTTTTGAATTTTGAATCTGTAAATGTATTATTAAAAAATATTCCACACTCATGTGCACACTTAATAGCCAGGTTAAGTGTGGAAGGGAGTAGTGACAGAGGGGAGACAATGTGGCAATTGATATTATAAGCTTCAAAAATGCAACACAGTATTTCCACTTCCAGGAACTTATGCTTAGAAAATAAGTGAATATACAAAAAAGGCATGTACAAAAAGGATTCATTGCAACTTATACAAGAGAAAACTTGCTGACAATATAAATGCTCAATAATACAGGTGTTTATAAGAAAACATATGACAGAAATCTCTGAGCTATCAAAGATTATGCTTTGCAAAAACATGTTGAAGAGTGCAGGAGAATCTCATAATTTAATGTTAGGTGACAGAAGTAGAATACAAGGGCTGGGCACGGTGGCTCATGACTATAATCCCAGCACTTTGGGAGGCCGAGACAGGCAGATCACTTGAGGCCAGAAGTTCAAGACCAGCCTAGCCAACATGGTGAAACCCCATCTCTACTAAAAATACAAAAATTAGCCAAGAGCGGTGGTGACACCTGTAATCCCGGCTACTTGGGAGGCTGAGGCATGAGAATCACTTGAACCTGGGAGGTGACGGCTGCTGTGAGCCAAGATCGTGCCACTGCACTCCAGCCTGGGGAACAGAGTGAGACCCTGTCTCAAAATGAAAAATAGAAGTAGAATATGAAAGAATTTGTACAATTTTGTAAAATGTACAGTATGTGTATAGATTATCTTTATTTTACCAATAAAGGCATTGAGGCAGAGAATAGTAAAATACCTATATGTGCTCAAGGGCAGAGGGTTTATGAATATGGATTTTAGGGTCTACAAGTAACAGAATATCCAACTTAAAGGAGCTTAAACAATAAAAGTGTTTAATTTTCTCACCAAGAGATCTGAGGGTAGGTAATTTTAGAGTTGGTTTGAAAGCTCAATTATGTCATTAGGGACCCATGTTCTTTCTATCATTCCATTTCAGCTTTGTGGCCTTGGACTTGTCACCTCATGGTCACAAAATGGCTGGTGCAGCTCCAAGTATTACATCATCACAGGACAATGATCAAAGCAGGAAGGCCTTAGAAGCTAACTGGGTTTGGTCAGGCTCTCCATCTACGCCAGCTCTTTGAGGGACCCATGATGCAACTCGGGGTTTATCTAAACACATCTATACTCGGTAATGAGCTGTCTTATCATTAGAGTCTACTACTCTTGTTGAAACAACTTTAAATAAAACCAGAAATAGTCTACCTTTTAACAGATTCCCTTCATTCATAAAATGAGTGGGTTGGACTAGATAATCTCTGAGGTTCCTTCCATCTCTGCTTGGTTCTGATTAGGAAAAAGACTGGCTGAAAATACTTAAAATTATTAATTGTGGTTAACTTTGGATGGTGAGATTATAGAGGATTCTTTTTTTCATTCCACAAATATTTATCAAACACCTTCTTTCCTTAAATTCCAAATTCCTCATTTGAGGCAGTCCAAATGCTCAGCCGTCCCAAAGCTGTTCTACTCTCCATACAAAGCTTTAGTTTCTCCAGCATTTCCCCATTACCACGTCTATAGAGGATTTTTTTCTTCATGGTTTTCTTTTCAAAATTTTTATCATGATGTGGGTTATGTATGTAATGAGAAAATATATCATTTTTAAGGTATAAGTGTTTTAAACTAGAAAACTTTTTTAAACTACACATGTAATATGTGTTGTTGTTGTTGTTTTGTTCATCTGCCAGTAGTTCAGTGTGTTTTAATAAAACCTATTGCTGTACTTTGACCCTCCAGTTGTATAGGTGTAAATGTCATCTGCAGTTATGGGCCTTTTAGTAAAAATAGCAGACATGGGTAATGGTGGATAGTAAGCAAGCTATTTCTTCTTGTGTGAGCTCAATTGCTTTAAGAATTGAAATCCTTCCAAGAAAAGCCACAGATTCATAATGCATTTAACTGCCTGCAAAACTTAGTTATGAATGACAAGGTTGTGAAAATAATCACATCTAGACTTACAACTTGGAACTGGATACTAATTTTTGTGCTTTGTTTCTCATGGAAGCTAAACTGTCTTTCAACAAGTTCCAAAGTCTTTTGGGTCCAATGCACCTCACAAATACCTTAACATTTGTGAGACACTGATGCATTAAAAAAAAGAACAAGAGAGAGAAAAAAATAAAAAGAACAAGAGGGTGAATTTTCACATTTTCCCCATGAGGCTCATTTCCAAGGTAAGTATAATGGAGCACACAATCTAGTAATAGAAATGTACCCGATATTGATCAGTGGTAAATATTTGCCAGACACTGTGCTAAGGGCTGGGTATGCACTGTATCCATCCACACAGCAATCCTATGTGGAAAGTAGTATTATCCCATTTTATAGAAGAGATCAAGGCTCAGAGAGAAGTGATACTTGTGCAGAGTCACACAGCTAATAAATGAGGAAGACAAGTTTCAAACAAAGTCAATCTGATTCCAAAGCACAAGCTTTTAAGCACTTGCTATATTTACCTAATTTTTCTGTTTATTGCATTTAGCCCAATTATCTCTTGAATTTAGAAGGTACCTGATTCTGTCCTAGGAAGATCCGTATTTTATTTTAAACTATAGTTCATTTTCTACCCTCCATATATAATATATTTATCCAAGAATTATGCTTCCTCTGTGTGTAAGGGTGCCTTCCTTCTCTAGGTGAGAATGAGTTTTGTTTCTTCCCTCCATTTTTAGAACAGCATCTATCCTGTTTAATCCTGGACTGTTTTCTTCTTCCCTCAATTTCATTGCCCTGTATTCTCCATTGCTCTAAAGCTTCCTGGACCTGAACTAGGATTGACTTTGTCCTATAATTCATTTGTCTTAGTCAGCTTCACCTGCTGTAACAAAGTGCCATTGGCCAGGTAGTTTATACACAACAGAAATCTATTTCGCATGATTCTAGAGGCTGAAAGTGCAAGATCAGGGTGCCAGCATGATCAGGTTTTGGTGATCAGGTTTTGGTGAAGGCCCTCTTCTGGGTTGCCAGTTTCTCACTGATCTTCCACATGGCAGAAAGAGAGTGAAAGAGTGCTCTGGGTCCCTCTTATAAGGGCACTAATTTATTTCATGAGGGCTCCAGCCTCATGACCTAATCACCTCCCGAAGGCCTCACCTCCTGATACCATTACCTTGGGGATTAAAATTTCAACATATGAATTTGGCAGAGGAGGCAGCGGTTGTGGGGTGGGGGGAGCACAAACATTCAGTCCATTATAAATAGAGAAATATTAAATTAAGTATTATTTACTTAAACATTTAATTATCAGGTGATTCTGAGCAGCATTTCACTGAGAGAGCATAATATAAGATGAATCTGATTTTCTCTCAGTTGTTCTGAGTGTAGCATCTAACAGAAGGTGATTCATTCATTCTTTCAACGAATGTTCACTGAGTAATTACTATGTGCCAGTACTACTCTAGGGTCCAGTGATACAATAAGTAAGAGAAGATCATTTGGATACTACTAGAGAGCTTTATACTCTCATGAAGCTTATGTTATACTGCAGAGAAGCCACAATGAACAAATAGTAATAATAACGTCTGACCGGGTGCTGTGGCTCACACCTGTAATCCCAGCACTTTGGGAGGCTGAGGTGGGCAGATCACGAGGTCAGGAGACTGAGGCCATCCTGGTCAACATGGTGAAACCCTGTCTCTACTAAAGAAACTTTAAAAATTTGCTGGGCATGGTGGTGGGCGCCTATAATCCCAGCTACTGGGTAGGCTGAGGAAGGAGAATCGCTTGAACCCTGGAGGCGGAGGTTGTAGCGAGCCGCGATGGCGCCACTGCACTCCAGCCTGGCTACAAAGCGAGACTCCATCTCAAAAAATAAAATAATGTCTCATAGAGGTGAGTGACATGAAGAAAATAAAGTAATGAGACCAAGAATAGCTGATGGGAATAGTAGAGATTTCTTCAGAAGCTTTGTAGGAAAGGCCTCTCAGGCTAAAATATGAATGATGAGAATATAGCCATGTGGAAAAAATATGTGCAATGAGCACTTCTAGTGAAAGGAACCAACAGACTAAAGGCCTTAAGGGAGGATATGTATGGTTGGAGTACAGAGACTAAAGGAGACAGTAGTTCAAAATGGGGGTGAAGTGTTCTGCTGAGTCCTGATCATGGAGGCTGTGGTATGAGTTTAGATTTTATTCTAAGCAGTATAGAAAATCACTGGAGATGTGTTTTATTTTTAACTTTTATTTTGAAATAAATTTTAGATTTACAAAAGTTGCAAAGATAGTACTGAGAGTTCCTGTGTACTTTTCACCCAGATTACCCTAATTTTAACATCCTACATAACCATGGTACAAGAATCAAAACTAAGAAATGAACATTGGTACAATACTGTTAACTATACATATTCAGATTTCACCCATTTTTGAGCTAATGTCATTTTTCTAGTCCAATATCCAATCCAAAATATAACACTACATTTAGTTATGTCTTCTTACTCTCCTCCAATCTGCGACTGATTCTCAATCTTTCTTTGTCTTATATGACCTTGACAATTTTGAAGAGTACTGGTCAGGTATTTTGTAGTGTGTCCCTCAAGTTGGGTTTGTCTGAAGTTTTCTCATGATTAGATTGAGGTTACAAATTTTTGAGAAGAATAACACAAAGGTGAAATACCTTCCCCACTGCATTATATCAAGGGACACATCATATCAATATGTCTTATCACTGGTGATGTTAACCACAATCACTTGGTTAGGGTGGTGTCTGATTTCTTCACTGTAAAGTTACTTTTTTTTCCCTTTCCACATTCCACTCATTAGAAGTGTGTCACTAAGACCAAGCCACATTCCAGGAGAGGAGAGGATAATTAACTTCCACTTCCTAGAATATCAAAGACACTGTGGACATCTGTCAGAAGCAACACAATAATCAATAAATATTTTTGGAAAGATACTTTGAGTCTATGCATATATACCTATGCATATATATACTTCAAGTGAAGTGGCATTATTTGAAGATGGAATTACATTATTTCAAAATGTATAGAGTATTATATATGTGTGTGTTATTCATTCTGTTTGTTCTCTGAGTTTCTTGGATCTGTGGTTTGGAGTCTGTCATTAATCTTAAGAATTTCTAGGCCATTGTTTCTTCAAATATTTCATGTTCCTTGTTATCTCTCTTTTGTCCTGAAATTCCAGTGAAAGATATGTTGAACCACTAGATATTGGCCCACTGCTCCTGGATGTGCTGTTTTGTGTTTTTCCTTCCTTTTTTCTTTGCATTTTGGTTTGGATGATTTCTATTGACCTATCTTCAAGTTCACTGATTTTTTACTTGGCTGTATCAAGTCTACTGATAACAAAGGCATTGTTCACCTCTGTTACTGTGGTTTTTATCTTTAGCATTTCCATTTGATTCTTTTTTATAATTTTTATCTCTCTCCTAAAATATTGCCTTTTTCCATTACAACCTTTAACATATTAGTCATAATTATTTTTAATTCTCCATCTGATTTTTTTAAACATGTGTGTCACATCTGAGTCTGGTTCTGATGATTGCTTTGTCTCTTGGGAAGGTGTTCTTGCCTTCTGGGGGCATGCTTCATATTTTTGCTCAAAGCCTATATTTCACACAGGACAGTAAATAGTGAGGTAAATATTTTTACACTTGGAGCTGAGCATGCCTTTTCTTCTACTAAGCCTTCAGCATGAAGGTTTGTGTTAACCTAGTCAGGGTGTGAGATTTATTGTTGCTATGGATACCCTTGGTAAAACAAAGGCTTCAAATTCCTCTGTGATATCTAGTGTTTAGGGTGTGGGCCAGGTTTGCTAGAGGTTACTTTCTCAATGTTTCCTTTTTTTCACCTTGAGTTTTCCATTTGTGCTGCACCACAGTGAGAGTATAATATGTCTCTTGCAGCTCTTCAGTTCTGTTCTACTCTTATTTTTACCTGATGCTTGTTGACCTGTGGTGAGGGCCAGGAGATGGGAAGATTCTATGACGGTCTGACTAACCCTCAGTTTTAGGCAGAGGCTGTGTCACTGAGTCTCAGGGGCATGGCCTTCACAAATGCTCCTGCCCTGCCTCCAGCTGCAGTTTTGGTCTAGCACATATTTCTGCCTTTCCTTCAGAAATAGAGCCTTTTTTATTCAACTGTCTTCCCCAGCTGCAGTGGGTTTTCACCAGTGCCCTAAGATGTCTGTTTTTGTTATTCTTACCCCTACAAATTTAAGCTTTTGTTCCACAGAGGAGGTAGGAGAGATGGGTTGAGCGCAGTTTTAGCAGTGGCTGCTGTTCCCTTCCCCAGCCAGCACCATGCTGGAAGCTTTATCAGGATTCTACCCAATCCTTCCTACGAATGCCTGGTGGGGTTTGCAGAGGAAAATCCTGCAAGAGGATAAAGTCTTCAAACTAGCCCACACTTGGCCTTTAGCAATTTATTAAAAGCATTTAGCTGAATCCTCTTAGCAGCTTATATGGAATCCAGAAGCAGCTGCTCCAGATTAGCAAATGTTCAGGTCCTGTATCTCCTTGAAGGAACCTGGCTTTTCTTAGATTTTGGGTTACACTGTAGTGGCCTTATAACCTCGGTTCTCTGGTTCAAGAAAAGTCATTAATTTGCAGTTTGTCCAAATTTCCCTTGTATGAATAGGTGGGAGAGACTCTCTTTCCAGCTCTCTGCCTCTCTAAGCTGAAACCGTAAGTCCTTATTGGAGGGTTTCAAGCAGTGTAGTAATGTGATTAGATTTATATTAAAAGCTCACTATGACTATTGTATGGAGAATGGACTGTAGAGGTCTAGGAAGAGGGCAAATGGGACAGTAGTAAAACTAGATAGGACGCTATTGCATTTATTCAAATAAAACATGTTGGCAGCTTGACTTGGCTGCTAACAATAGAAATGAGAATGGGTGGGTATTTCAGAACAAGTTCCCGAGGCACAGTGGAAAAGAATTGATGATTGGACTATATTTGTCAGGATTCAGTCAGAAGATTGAAAACACACCAGTAATTTGAACAGGGAAGATTTAATATAAATACCTATTAACTAGTAACAGGATTAACTACTAGGAGATGGAAACTAACTCTACAGGAATAGCAGATGAAGGAAGCAGCCACTATCTCTAGGGCTGAGGGAGAGCAGTCTAAGAAGGAACAAACTTGAAAGAGGGCACATTCTTACCACCAGGGCGGAGGTTTAGATCTTGTTGGAGATGGTGTGGCTGTAGCCCCGTGGAGGGCAGAGAAGCTCACGGAGGGGTGAAACCAGTGTCTGGGGGCCAGAGAAACTGACTAGAAAGCTGCCTGCTAAGGTACTGGTGAAACTCGCTGGGAAGCTGCCTCTGTGATGCTGGCAGAACTCACTAGTTCTTAGATTTGGTGGTTAAATCTGAGAAATATACTACCCTTTGGTCCAGTAATTCCATTCCAGGTATTTACTCAAGAGAAATGAAAACATATGTCTACAAAAAGGCATGAAAGAACTTTCTGGGATGCTGGAAATGTACTATATCTCCATCACAGTGGTGTTTACACATGTGTATACATCTGTCAAAACTCATTGAACTTTATACTTAAAATTAGTGTCACTACAGGAGGGGGTGTTGGAGAAAGAAGAAAGTGTGAAGTGATTGTCTCAGATATGGAAAGTGAATTTCCAAGAGAGACATAATAGGAATAGCCAGGAGTGCTGAAGGCCTATTAGAGATTTGTGGTAACACGTTTAAATTGAGAGTGCTCGGATGGGTTGTGGTCATTTTCTACAGCAAAGCTCAGCTTCTCCAGTACCGATGCAGAATAAGATAGTTGGCTGTGGCCAGGATTAGAAACTTGCTGGGGAGCATGATTAAGGGAGAGGTACAAGGGGTGCAGCTCTGTGTGTCTTCTGCTGGTCTTGCCTTCTGCAGTCTCAGTCACCTAGTACCTCAGCTGGGACTGAATGGTCTAAGACGGTCTCATTCATATGTCTGTCAGATGGTATGGGCTGGGCCACATGTCTCTAGCTGATCAGCCTAGATTTGTTCATATCAAAATTGGATTCAAAAAGCAGCATAAAAGAAGGCAAGCCCCAATGCACAGGCACTTGACTAGCGTCTGCTTGTGTCACATTTGCTAATGTCCCATTGGCCAAAGGAAGTCACATGTCCAAGCTGAGTGTCTGTGGGGTGGGGGTGGGGGAAATACACCAGGGCTTGGAGAGAGAGTTGCAATGTGTGGAGGGCCATTAATTTAACAACCACACGGA
Organism: Homo sapiens; assembly: GCF_000001405.40. NCBI lineage: Eukaryota > Metazoa > Chordata > Mammalia > Primates > Hominidae > Homo > Homo sapiens. Next base: position 30,948,711 of record NC_000023.11, on the reverse strand, counting down.
GATTAGGGGCAGTTCTCTCTTCCTACAGCCAGTAAACAACAGCTAAAACAAAACAGGAAAGTGAGCCAGTTACTCTCCTGGAAAAACATCATTTTCCTTAGAGTGTTATAACCTAGGCTAGGATGCCTGCAATTTTTCTCAATGTTATGAAATTCTAAAGACAATCAATTTGAAAAATACATGTGTCATTGAACATTTTGGGAAGAGAGTGGTCATACAATGAGATAATGATAGTGTTTAGAAGCTTCCAAAACTTGTTAACTTGGCCCTTCTGTTTTGAATGAGCATATTCGTAGACAGGAGATTGAACCATATGACCTTTAATGTTCTTTTCCACTACTGAGATTTTGTTATAAACCATTTAGTAATCAGTCTGTTACAGCTCATTCTGTCTTGGCTGAGAAAATGTCCTTTTTCCTTACAAGCACATACACATATGCCTCTCCATAAGGCAGAACTCTGAAACAAATGACAGTCCTGTTTCATAATATTTGTCTCCTGATAGAAGAGGACCAGCCCTTGAGTTATTTTCACCTCATTAGCAAAAGTAAAAATCATAGACAACTCCCAGAATTATGGGAATGGAAATACTGAAACTTTCTTTTACGAGGGCTATTTCTGATTTTTAATTTTTCTTTGAATCCCAGAAACTTGGAGTTCTTAACCCCTATTCCTAGGTTAGTGGGAGGAACCCCCATCCAACATTAGAAGGAAATGTTGAAGCTTGGACGTCAAAAAAAAAAAATAGGCATAAAGAAAAAAAAAGAAATAATCATTAATGTTTCTATGGTGATAAGAAAGAAAAATATAAATATATTTATTGTTCTCTAAAGAATTCTATCTTATAGGAAAAATCCTTATTTCATATAAAAACATGAAAAGAGAGATTTGCTGACCCAGAGTTAGATCCTCGAGTATTTTTATTTGCTCTGCTGGCACAGCAAAGCTTATGGGCAACTTAATAATTGCCTGAGTGCCCAAAGGTTATGGATCAATCACTCAGACTGCCAGTCATGCCAAGTCGCAAGCCAGGAAACAGTCAGAGAGGCTTGGGATCTTTTTTCACGAAGGGAAAATGGCTTATTGTTAGATTCAGAGGAAAAACAGAGTGAAAGGAAAATGCTATTGAGCGTACTTAGTGAGAAACATCATTTATATCCGACAGTAGCACATTTTTAATAATGAGACCAGCAGGGAAAAGACAGATCTGGAAAGACCTTATAGCAAGAGCTTTGCTCAGTGAGCCAGTTCAGCTGTTGTGAAGTGGACCCAAAAGTCCACAGGGGAGAAAAGAATATTATATTTTAAAAATGCAGTGTGCAGCATTTACTTTTAAGCAGAAAAATGCTTGAGTCAACTCCACGCACTGACTTGATCTCATATCTACAACTCATTTATTCTTGCTAGCTAAAATTTCTTGGTTATACACATCTGAATTATTCATTTATTTATTTATTTATTTATTTATTTATTTATTTATTTGTGACGGAGTCACGCTCTGTCGCCCAGGCTGGAGTGCAGTGGCACAATCTGGGCTCACTGCAAGCTCCGCCTCCCAGGTTCACGCCATTCTCCTGCCTCAGCCTCCCAAGTAGCTGGGACGACAGGCGCCCGCCACCACACCCGGCTAATTTTTTTGTATTTTTTTAGTAGAGACGGGGTTTCACCGTGTTAGCCAGGATGGTCTCAATCTCCTGACCTCGTGATCCACCCGCCTTGGCCTCCCAAAGTGCTGGGATTACAGGCTTGAGCCACCACGCCCGGCCACATCTGAATTCTTTTTAAACTGAGCTTATTTTTTCAATTATGAAAGTATTCTACATTATTCTTTAATAAAAGGGAATTTAACTCTTGCCACAAGTTAGTATTAGGATGAATCATATGGAATTGCCAATATTCTACTATTTTTGACCCTAAAACTGCAATCCCAAATTGTTCAACCTCAAACAGTACCTATAAATAATTAGTATATGATACATTTGGTGTTTTATATGTGTGGAGATTACTTAATAGATGGTCCTGTTCCTGGAACTATTAGACAAGTATTTGGGACAGATTAAAGAGCCTTGTATCAACCCATACACAAAAATAAATTCCAGATATTAATTTGTAATTAAATGTTAAAATATAGAAAATTAAGAAAATTTGGATGAATATTTACATAACTTAGGGGGTACAGTAAACATTTCTTACCAAAAAAGCGTAGGAGAAAAGTCATGATAAACTTACAAAAAAGTTTAAGTGCAAAAACATCAATACATTTCTTTTTAAAACTCTGTAAAGAAAATCAAAGCACAATTTTAAAACTGGGGAAAATACTTGCAAACTATATGACAGTTTAAAAAGTTGGGATCCTTAATATGTAAGAAACTCTTATCAATCAATTTATCAGAAAGAGATAAACACTCCAATTAAAAATGGGCAATTTCCAAAAGGAGACATAAAAACCTCACAATCAAGGCTAATGCAGTTGAAAACATTAGTGAGATACTAAGTGTTGTCTTTCAAGCTAACAAAAAGAATGACAAAACAGGCATTGGTGAGAGTATAGAGAAATAAACATTCTTATAGCTGGCTAGAGAGATGGGGCAATTGCTAATTTGTGTTAGAAAATCTTAAAACTACTCGTATCTTCTGAATCCACAATTCTACCTTTTCTTAGTTATCTTAAGGATAAAACCACAAATATGCCCAAAGGAACATTTATAAGTATTTCATCACAGTGAAAAGTTGGAAACTAAATGTTGTTAAATAATTGAATTGTTCAGAAATCATGACATCCATAAAGAAAAATACTACACCAGCTATAAGACCATGTTATAAAAATAGTTCTAGGCTTGGGGGAAGGTATGCTATTTACATGAAAAGAATAAAAGGCTATCAACCAACATGTATGCTGTATATCCCAAGGTGGTGGTGAATTCACACCATCATTTAAACTGTATACAGTGGCACTCGTGCCTTATTTCCTGGTCTTGGTCAATCACCAGATATCCAGTAGGTACTGAGATGCATGATAGTGATGTCACTACCTACACAGAACGTAATTAGATCCCAATGTAGCCTCCTTCTCCAGAATGAGGAGTGGATCATCTAGAATCATTTGACAGTTCTAGGTTGTCATGTTAGTGGTGGCGTAGGAAGGAGTAAGATAAATCCCACTTTGTGGGCCCAGTGAAATCTGGCTTCAATAACACTGATACTAATAATAGCTTATTATTATCCTAGTGGCACCTCCTTCCCTGTCCCCAACACTTCTCCCTTATCCTACTTTTTTCCTTCTGCATATACATCATCTTCTAATACTTTCTATAATTGAGATATTTATTATTTTTATTGTCCTCCTCCTCCCCCTGGTACTAAGGCAGAGATTTTTGTCTGTTTTATTCACCACTGTATCTCCAGCCCTAGAGCAGTACCTGGCACACAGCAGAACTTCAATCAGTATTAATCAAATGAAGGACTGAATAAAAGCTATATGTATCCCATGCATCAGGAACTTTAATTCAATTAGTTAAGGATGGATTTTAGGGAAAAGGGATCACAAATGGGCAACACAAGAGGCATAGCTAAAGGGGATAGTGGGAGCTCACTCTCTTTGCCTTGCTAGTGGCTGTGAGGGTGCTGGGTAAGAGTTGATTAGTGATAAGTGAGCCATATGTCCCTTTTAATGCAAACTTGAGGAGCTGCCTCTATCGCTCCCATGAATTGTCCCCAGAGACACTGCCCACTGGATCCACAATGAGGGACCCAAAATGAGAGACCTAGGAACACTCTTCTCCTTTACTCTCTTCTAGGTTTAAAGCTCATGGGCCCTTCTCCAACAATCCAGAACTCTGAATCAGGAATTGGAGGAGTATGTGACAAAACAGTAGCATTAAATTATGTCTCAACAAGGAGGATAATTGGGAAACTAAGGAAATATTCACAATGATATTCATTTCTAATGTTTTTTTTTCTTAATCCACAGTTTGGCCTCACTACTTAGAACCCTTCTTTTGCTTTCTATATTCAAATTCATCATTCCCAGAAGGACCATACTTTTACTCTTGAAAGACTAGTTCTTTGAATCATACCCCATAATTATGTTCATTCTATTTTCCTGATGAACAAGATCAGTTTTGAGCTCCACTGCATTCCAGCCTGGGCGACAGAGCAAGACTCTGTCTCGGGGAAAAAAAAAAAAAAATGTATGTCCTGCCCTTCTTTTCCTCTCCTCATGTTATCTGTCATAGCCACTGGCTTTTGCCTCTTTGCTGATCATTAGTTTGAATGTGCCTACTATGAATAAAGCCTTCATTTTTATGTTTTAACAAAAGAAAAAAAAGATATCTCCCTCTGCAAGTACAAAACAGCCAGGTTTCACAACATGAACAGGAACTTCAAAATTATTGCCAGTTCCTGGCATGCAGATAATTCTTCCAGAATTGCAGTTTTTTCCAGTCCAAATTATACTTGAAAAACTACCAGCTCCCTAGAATAAACTCTATGCAATGTCCAGCTCATACCACCCCCACAATAACAGGAAGAATACTGCTTCATATTTCTCCCTTGAAAGGCAATGCACTCTAGCTGATAAGAGATCAGAACAGATACCATAAAACCTGGCTGTATTTATGACTCTACTTCTTAGAGACTGTGTTTTTTTCTTCTCTCCTCCTCTCCTCTTCCCTTCCTCCCACTCCTTTTTTTCCTTTCTTCTCCCCAACTGCTCTCTTCTCTCCTACCCTCCCCTTTCCTGCCATTCCCTTCTATCCTCTCCTCTCCTCATTTTCTTGTCTTCGCTCCCCCTCTCTCTCCTTCTAAAATTAACTATTCGCGGCCAGGTGCGGTGGCTCATACCTGTAATCCCAGCACTTGGGGAGGCTGAGGCGGTTGGACCACAGGGTCAGGAGATTGAAACTATGCTGGCCTACGTGGTGAAACCTTGTCTCTACTAAAAATACTGAAAAATTAGCTGGGCGTCGTGGTGCATGCCTGTAGTCCCAGCTACTCAGGAGGCTGAGGCAGGAGAATCACTTGAACCCGGGAGGCAGAGGTTGCAGTGAGCCGAGATCACGCCACTGCACTCCAGCCTGGTGACAGAGCAAGACTCCATCTCAAAAAAATAAAAATAAATAAATAAATAAATAAATAAATAAATATTCGCTATAAATACACTCATACTAGGGTTGACAATACCAAGTGTTGGCAAGGATGTGGAAGAACTAGACATACATTGCTGGTGGAAGTGTAAAATGGAACAACCACTTTGGGTAAAGGTTTGACAGTTTCTAACAGAGTTAAAACATGTATCTACCCTATGACCCAGCAGTTCTGCTCTTAGGTATTTATTCAAAGCATATGTAAACATATGTCCACAAAAGACTTGTACAAGATGTCATAGCAGTTTTAGTCAGAATATCTCAAAACTAGAAACAACCCAGATGTTTGTTAATAAGTGAATTGATACACAAATGGTGGTATGTTCATACAATGGATTATTACTCAGCAATAAAAAGAAAGAAACTCCAGGTACGTGCACTAACCTGGATGAATCTCATCAAGTTGAATGAAAGAAGGTAGGCACAACACATACAGCACATACTGTATGTTTTTTATTTATATAAAGTTTTGGAACAAATAAAACAATTTTATGGTGATAGAAATAAAATCAGTGGTTCCCTGGGGCAACAGGAATGGTAATGGTGAAGGGATATAAAAGGAGAATGAGGGAACTTTCTGGGTACGGTAGAAATGATTTATATCGTGGTTCCAAGCCTGTCTGTAATTGTCAAAACTCATTAGACTATACATTTAATAACTATGCATTTTATTATGTGTAAATTATGCCTCAATAAAGTTGATGGAAAGATTCATACTGATGTCCAAGAAAGAGTTTAGAAAATATTTATTTCCCAGATTACAAGGATAAATCTTGCATCAGCCTCTCTGTAAATTCACATATTCGGTAGGCTGGAGGAGGTGGGTTGAATCAGTAAGGTCACGAGTCTGTTGGTAAAACTCCTGCTATCTGCCTCATTAAATTCAAGAGATAGTCACTGAGTGCTTCAATCTGTAGCATAATATGTTAGGCTTTATTGGAAATATAAAGATGAATAATTCAGAATTCCCACTCTCCAGTTGCTAATTATTTTTGGCCTAATGGCGATTTAAAAAACAATGGTCATGCACTCAACTAATAATTGTAAAATAAAGAATAAGCGGGGAGCATAGGGTCATGCTTAATGCATACTTAATACTCAGGAACATCACAACAAGCTGTTGGATATCTTATTTATACATGGTTTCTAGGCCTTCTGGAAAGAATTTCGAGGGGGACTTTGCAGCCCAAGAATGCATTAGTAAGCACTGGAATTAATACTCTTCCACCAGAAACTTAGGACAGGGTTGTCTTCCTTCCCCTGGAAAGGATGGCCAAGGAATATAGGGGACAAGCTTAAGATGACATTGAGTCAAGGGGTGAGCACCTACTTTGAGACACAGGGATGGGAATGACAGAAGATAGTTATTAGAATTGTCAAGACCAGGGCTATCTAGAACAGCTTCACATGGTCTTTGGCTAGGTCTACATTAAAGAAAGTTGCAAAACTGGAAGGGTAGGTATATTAGAGTAAGTCATCTCAACAGTTTTACACAATGAAAGTTTATTTCTTCCTCCCTCAAAGTGCTGTGTAGACAGTCTTGTTTGAGCAGCTCTCCTGGGCCTCCAAGTGGTGACTGGGATCCAGATTCCTCCATTTTGTGACTTCAGAGTAGCTTTGGTGCCATCTAGCACCAAACGGAGATGGAGAAACACACACATAGGAGATTAGGTGGAATTTTTTATGGGTTACACCTGGAAGTGACATACATCAGTTCAGTCCACATTCCAAAGACCAGAAGTCAGTTACACGATCCCACTTAGATACAAAGGTGGCTGAGAAATTTAGTTTAGCTGCGTGCCCAGCAAAGAGGAGAACCAGACTGGTGAATGCCAACATTCTTGACCACAGCAATTTGAGAACTATAAATATGCAGTGTTCAATTACTCAAAAGTAGCTGAAAGAGATTCCATAAAGCAGGGGATGGGGAGTAGCATTCTACTTTTTGAGCAGAAGCTGCTGTGCAGGCAGGGCATGGTGGTGATTCATGCCTGTAATCCTAGCACTTTGGGAGGCTGAGGTGGGAGGATCGCTTAAGGTCAGTGTTCTGGAGTTCCAGACCAGCCTGGGCAACATAGTGAGACTCTGTCTTTACAAAAAAAAATTTTTTTTAATGCTGTGTTCCTTATTGGGAGTAGGCAAGCAAATCTTCAACAGTTGAGACCAAAAGAACAACCCTGTGTGGCAAATGTTTGGTTATCCAAAAGCCAAAGAAGAAGGAAAAAAAAAAAAAAACAGCAGAGGTCTGAGATCAGAATAACTCTGTCACAAACCTGATAAAATGGCTGCTATACTTTGATGACCCGAAGCCTGGAGTTGGTGTATGAGCTAGATGTGGTGGCTCGTACCTGTAACCCCAGCATTTTGGGAGGCCAAGGGAGGAAGATTACATCAGCTCAGGAGGTTGAGACCAGCCTGAGCAGCATAATAAGGCCTCATCTCTACAAAAATTTAAAAATCAGCCAGGTGTGGTGGGGTGCACCTGTAATCCCAGCTACTTAGGAGGCTGAGACAGGAAGATCACCTGAGCCCAGGAAGTCTAGGCTACAGTGAGCCATGATTGCACCACTGCACTCCAGGCTGTGTGACAGAATGAGATCCTGTCTCAAAAAAAAAGAAAGCAGAGACTCAAATAGACACTTGCGCACCAACGTTCTTAGCATTATTCATGATAGCTGAAAATGGAAATAGCCCAAATGTCCATCAACAAATTAATGGATAAACAAAATGTAGCATATACATACAATGAAATAGTATTTGACCTTAAAATGTTATAAAATTATGATAATGCTTCAACATAGATGAACCTTAAAAACATCGCTAGGTGAAATAAGTCAGACACAAAAGGACAAATATTGTGTGATTTCAGTTATGTGAGGTATCCACGACAGACAAATTCATAGAGGCGGAAAGTAGAATAGAGATTACCAAGAGCTGTGTGGAAACAGTAATTAGGAATTATTGTTTAATGGGTACAGAGTTTCTGTTTGGGATGGTGAGAAAGTTCTAGAAGTAGTGGTGAGGATTAGATAACATTGTGAATGTACTTAATGACACTGTACACTTAAAAATGGTTAAAATTATAACTTTTTATGTTGTGTATATTTTGCCACAATAAAAAAATTTTCAGAAAAAATGAGGGACATGGACTCTCTAATAGAGAAACAAATAATCTGTTAAGAGCCAGACAAAGATTTCAGTTGGTGTATGGGGATGGGAGGAATCTAGTAAGGCTTCATAGAAGACAGAATTACTTCAGCTGGGCATTGGAGAATTTCAAGCTGGATTTGGAGAGGAAGAGGACAGAGGAAAGGTGTATTTCAGGATGCGGAAGTGTGAACAAAGGCAGAGTCATAAAAGTATGTGGCATATCTAAGAAATGGTGATTAGCCTAGTTTACTCAACACATCTCCTGCTTTCCGTCGCTAGGGTTACTGATGGTATTCCTTTGGAACTACGTTGGGTGATTGCTAGTTGCTCAACACTTCCCAGCACCTGGGGCACAGAATACTCCTGCCTGGCTTAACAGGAGCAACAGTGACCCTCAGTCACTGCACATGAGGGTTTCTACTTTGTTCACACAAGAGGAGTTTATGTAACTATGCAACATACATCTATTACCTTTTTCAAGGGAGCATCATTGTGTTCTGGAGAATTTCATCCACCAAATCTTTTTATATATTGTTAGATGCATGGACAGATAATACTTCTGAAGTGTTAATCAGTATTTTTTTCTCCCTATTGCTGGCTCCTTTGTTTCTCCTTGTTCTAACAGATAGGTGAGTTCGTACATGCTGCCTCAAAGGAGGAATGAGACAGGGTGGTGTTTTAGATTGCTACAAAAGCTAGACATGACTCCTTTTCCCTAGACTAGGCATCGTTTTTTTAAATAATTTTTTATTATACTTTAAGTTCTGGGGTACATGTGCAGAACGTGCAGGTTTGTTACATAGGTATCCACATGCCATGGTGGTTTGCTACACCCATCAACTCGCTATCTACGTTGGGTATTTCTCCTAATGCTATCCCTTCGCTAGTCCCCCACCCCCGACAAGCCCCAGTGTGTGATGTTCCCCTCCCTGTGTCCACGTATTCTCATTGTTCAGCTCCCACTTATGAGTGAGAACATGCGGTGTTTGATTTTCTGTTCATGTGTTAGTTTGCTGAGAATGATGGTTTCCAGCTTCATCCATGTCCCTGCAAAGGACAGGAACTCGTCCTTTTTTATGACTGCATAGTATTCCATGGTGTATATGTGCCACATTTTCTTTATTCTATCATTGATGAGCATTTGGGTTGGTTCCAAGTCTTTGCTATTGTGAACAGTGCTGCAGTAAACATAAACATATGTGTGCATGTGTCTTTATAGTAGATTGATTTATAACGCTTTGGGTATATACCCAGTAATGGGATTGCTGAGTCAAATGGTTTTTCTAGTTCTAGATCCTTGAAGAATTGCCACACTGTCTTCCACAATGGTTGAACTAATTTACACTCCTATCATTTTGATCCTTTAAAAATCAGCAAGACATGGCCGGGTACAGTGGCTCATGCCTGCAATCCCAGCACTTTGGGAGGCCAAGGTGGGAGGATCCATTGAGCCCAGGAGTTTGAGACCAGCCTGAACAACATAGTGAGACCCCGTCTCTACTAAAAATAAAAAATTTGCCAGCCATGGTGGTGCATGCCTGAGTCCCAGATACTCGGGAAGCTGAGATGGAGGATTGCTTGAGCCCAGGAGGTTGAGGCTGCAGTGAGCTATGACCATGCCACTGCACTCCAGCCTGGGCAGCAGAGCAAAACCCTGTCTCAAAAAAAAAAAAAAAAAAAAAATCAAAACAAGTTTCTGAACATCAGGAATCAGGTGTGTTTATCTGTGAGTGTGATTTTGATATTAACTTTTTCTTCGCTGTCCAAGATAATTGTAAGTGACATCGATAGCGTATTATCTCTTTAGCTGCAGTTTCCGCCCTTCTGCTGAAAATTAACTTAACCTTCTCACCTCTGAGCTGTTCTGGGTCAGGAGCTGCTTTAGCTCATCTGGTCTCAAGAATGGATTGACCACATTCCATGGCCAAGCCCTGTAGGTCCGCCTGGTACATTCTTTGAAGGAGAGAGATGTTCTGATCATTTTATGACTTGTCCTGGGGCAAAAATGAAGAGCTAGAGGGACAGCCAAACTGACCTTCATGGCTGATCAAGTGCTAGTCTCTCTGTAGTGACTGCATCAAACAGGAAGTGAACATAAGTTCTGAACACATCTTTTTATAGTAGAAAAAAATCCAACCATTGTCTAGCTAAGTGATCAAAACTAACACCGGCAATAAAGGGCAAGCAGATACGCTGTGCCTCCAGATGAGATACCTGGATAGGATGTAACCTCACTGCATTGCTCTAAAGTGACAAACTTAACCTTAAAAACATCCACTGATTGCTTTCGGAAAATGTGGGGCCTACTTGTAGTTAGTTCCCTTGGTAGAAAGATGTACCCTCCCAGGCCCGGCGCGGTGGCTCTCCCCTGCAATCCCAGCACGTGGGGAGGCCAAGGAGGGTGGACCACTTGAGGTCAGGAGTTCGAGAACAGCTTTGCCAATGTGGTGAAAACCTGTCTTTACTAAGAATACAAATATTAACTGGGCATGGTGGCGGGAGCCTGTAATACCAGCTACTTGGGAAGCTGAGGCAGGAGAATCACTTGAACCCAGGAGGCGGAGGTTGCAGTGAGCCAAGATTGCGCTACTGCACTCCAGCCTGGGTAATAGAGTGAGACTCAGTCTCAAAAAAAAAAACAAAGAAGAAAAAAGAAAGATGTACCCTCCCTATATCCATCCCAAAGCAGTGCTTCTCAAACTTTAGCATGCTTGCCAATCACCTGGAGATCTTGCTCAAATGCAGATTCTGGTTCATTAGATCTGGAGTGGTGCCCCACATTCTGCATCTCTAACAAGCTCCTAGGTGATGTGGCTGTTGCTGGTCTGCAGGCCAAACTTTTTAAGTAGCAAGGTCCTAAAGCAGTGGTTGCAATGATTCTCAAAGTGTGGTCCCCAGACCAGAAGCAACAGCATCACCTGGGAACTTGTTAGAGATATAAATTCTCAGACCCCACCGCAGACCTACTTACTTACTGAATCAAACCCTGGGTGTGTCCAGCCAGAGCCGGAACTAATGTTAGGAAAGGAAGTTGCCTAGGGCGCAAAATGTAAGGAGGTACCCACTCAGAGTAGTGCAAGTGCAGTGTGTGAGAGTGTGTCAGCCCTGAGACAGAAATCTGTTTGACAGTCCCTCCTGGGGATTCGGATGCCTGCTAGAATTTGAGAACTCTTGTCACCTTTCTTCTCAGTAAATCACCTCACTGCTATAGCAGCCTGGTTGTATCTATATCATCTGGGCTCCAATTGAGACCTATTGAATCAGAGCATTTGGAAGTAGAAAAATTTTCATCTGGTTAGGGGATGTGAATAAGAATGCCAGTCAAAGAGCTGTTTGTCACAACAAGGATATATAAAGGAAAACAAATATCAGCTATGATGCATTGGATAAGCAAAAGGTGTGGAGGCATATGGCAGTTAGAAGTACAAAGCTAGATGTATCATAGAGCTATGCAACAAGATCTTAAAGAGTTGGACAAAAATGGCAAGAAACGTGATTTAGAGCAATATACCATTTATCCAAATTGAAAATTCATATTTTCAAACACTATTATAATAAAGATACATAAATAGGGTACCAGAGGGGAAGTGGAATGGGAGTGGAACCAAGGATAAGGTCCCCTTTACACTTTGGAACCCAGTAATCCAGTAAATATTATGATGTTTCCCACCCCTAGATCTTTATTCATGCTGTGCCACTCTTTTGATCTTTCTTCACCTGACTAACTCCTCTTGATTCTTTTCAATTCAGCTCAGGTGCTATCACATCAGGACAGTGTCTCTGACCTCTCTGGCTGGGTTAAGTTTACCCGTTGGCTTTCATAGCACTGGGCTATTTAGTCATATGACATTTTATTAATACTAGAATCATTGGTCTGTGTGTTTTTAAGCCTCTCCAGCCCAAGAACCTGCTCTTACCACGTTTAATAGCTTAGTACCTGTCAATATTGCATCTGCAACTCAATAGGTTCTTGAATGTGGTAGGGCTTAACCTTAAAGCGGATGTAGTAGGGCTTAACCAGCACTAGGAATATTATTTAAATCACTTACACAAGACCTTGTACTGAAAGGACTTAAGGCAGCACTTGATAACTAAACTTCAGAGAAGGGGAAGGTGGAATTTCACTGTAACAAGCCAGCAGCAAAAGCAGTCCCCTGCAGCCACAGGGATCCATCATGGCTGCCTCTCTGGACAGATCATGATCCGGAGCCCAGAGCCTGCAATTCTGGCTGTGGCTGGTCAGCAAATGATCTTCATCTCTGCCTTCTACTGCCATCTCCAGGGGACTGGTTGATTTTCACCCAGCTGCTGGCCTCCAGCTGCTGGGAGAAAGTCACAGCTCTGAAATAAAACCACCTTCATGAATGATAACTCATTCTAACCCCTTCTCTTCCAGGTCTCTGAGAGAGGTATTGCAAACCCCACGTTTTCCTGTCAGGTAGAGACCAGAAGACCATTTTCTACTGTGTACTCATGTACAGCAAATAATTTCTGAAAGTATAGCCTCATAAGAAAACTCCTAAAATACAAATTGCCATTGCAGAACCAGGGAGTTTTTTTGAGAGATTAATGTAGAGAATTGGAAAGTCCATGTCTTAAAAGATTCACAAACCTTCCCTTAAGAAAACATTTGCAATTATAGTTATGTTTCCCTCCCACAGAAAGGAAAATAAATGTTTCATTTAGAGCAATCTTAGAATAAAAAGACACCTGAAACAATCTAAAATGAATTTGCCTATTTCCTGAATTTTCTTCAGTTTTATATCATTATGTTTCTAAAAGAATCATCATAAAGTTTTGGTTATTTTTTTAACACAGCAAGTTATTCTTGCTTAATAGAAAACCACAGTTTGGTAAAATCTAAATTCAATTGGCTAGAAAAACCTTTCCTATAACCTGTAAAGTACTCTTTCAAAATGAGTCAAATAATAATCAGGAGAAAAGAATGGGATAATCACTAGAACAGGATTTCCTAGCTTCAACACTATTGATATTTTGGGTAGGATTATTCTATCTTGTAGAGGTAGGGAGAGAGGGCTTTTCCATGCATTGTGGGATGTTTAGCAGGATCTCTGACCTCTACCCACTAGATGCCGGCAGCGCTCACCCACCTCCAGTCATCAACAATGTAAATATCCCCTGGATGAGGGAGTTGAGAACCACTGCACTAGAATGAGACACAAAGCCATTCACAGATAAGATGGAGTCTGTAAATTAGAACGTGAGACGGAATGCACAAACCTTTCCCCTAATGTAAACCCCAAGGATTTGACTTTCTAATTTGAAAGTGTCGAATTTGTTAAAAACTGTATTTGGGAGCAAATCCTTCTTATTATATAATAACAGTTCAAAATCTAGCCGAGAGACACCTAACAGAGGAAGTCTATCTTTCAATAATTAATATAGTCTTTCACCAAAAAAAAAAAAAAAAAAAAAAACCGACCCTTCGATTTTGGCTTCTAACAAATATGACCCAAGATGACAAAAGAGATATGTTGACCTCAGTGAACAAGCTTAGCCATTCTTGAAAAGAAATCATTAGAAATTTTGAATGCAGTAATTCATTATAAAATGTCTGTGGTAGGCAGAATACTGCCCCTCCCCACCGGCTAAGATGTTTGTATCCTAATCTCCAGAACCTGTAAGGCAAAAAGGACTTTACAGATGTAATTAAATTAAATAGATGGTGAGATTAGCCTGGATTATCTAGGTGGGCTCAATGTAAGCACAAGAGCCCTCATAAGGGAAAGAGGGAGGCAGGACAGTCAGAGAAGATGTGATGACAGACACAGAAGCTAGACTGATGCGATTGCTGGCTTTGAAGCTGGAGGAAGGGGCCATGAGCCAAGGAATGCAGGTGGCCTTGAGAAACTGGAAAAGACAAGGAACAGTCTCTCCTGGAGCCTCCAGGAATAGAATTCAGCCCTGATGAAACCTTAAGTTTAGCCCAATGAGACTCTGACCACCAGACCTGTAAGATACTAAATTTGTATATTTAAGCCATTAAATACATGGTACTTTGTTATAGCAGCAATAGAAAACTAGTACAATGGCTGTCTACGAGCACAGCACCATCATGGGGAAAATCCAACAGGATTATTGTGTTTTGTGAAGCCAGGAAAGGGAAGCCATTTCTTAATTTTTATAACCATAATTGGTATTTTAAACCATAGAGACCTCATACAATACAATGATGCACCATTTCGCCCTAATAATAGCTTAAATGTATATAGCTTTTAGGTGTCAGACACTAAACTAAGGGTTTTAAATGTGATAATTCATTTAATTATCACAACAATATGATTAAAATGCCTTCATTATCCTCCCGTTGCTGACGAGGGAATAATTTCAAGCTCACACATGGCTAAGAAACGGCAGCACTATGCTTCAAATCCAGGCAATCTGGCTCCACAATCCAAATACATGCTACCCAGAGGAGATCTATGAAGTTCACGTGTGGAATGTTTAAAAAGCAAAGCCCTGGACTTCTACACCCAAAGAAGATACTTGACCATAAGTACTGTGGCATCTGTGTTTCCAAGTGCAAGGATATCTGCTGTTTTTGCCACACAACATGCTTGCCACCTCACATTGACAGTAGCACCTTAAGTTTCCCTTGGTCAACCCTTTTCCACATTGCATACAGTCTCCATGGGACTGTCAATCAAGATGTCCCACCCTTCACCTGGCCAATGCAATACAAACCAGACCAAGGCAATTCCCACCCGCCACATCTAGAAATTGAATCTTGGATTCTCCTTAATTCCTGCTACCCGATCCCTGGAGGGTCCCCGGTTCCTGTATTTTCTAATGCCTACTTGTTCAGCTTTTTCTCTGACTTCATGGGCAATTTCATATCCTTCCAATAAAGCCCTTTTTCATATAAATGTATACAAGTATGTTACTTTCTTCACACACACACACAAAACATAAAGTTGGCATTCAAGAGTCTTATTTGCTGAGAACCCAAACTGGATGTTGCCTTTCCCACCACATGAAAAGAGGCTGGAGCATTCATTTTATAGGCCTAGAAGAGGCAGAACGCAGGAAACTGATTAGATAATAGACAGAGCTCATAGTGAAGGAGGCTGAAGACTGCAGGGCCATGCAAATAAAATGAAGCTGCAGTTCAATGATCAGTCAGGAGCAGTTTGGAAAGTAGACGATTTTTCCTTAGTAATTACTGTTGCATAGACTATGTATCTAGAGTAAACTACGAGCAATGATTCAACCATCCCAGCATCCACTAGTATGACAACAAACAGTAAGGGATGCATTGAACCTAGATAATGCAAGCAGTGAAGTGAGCATTTTGCTGGCATAATGAATGCTTTTATTGTCTTCATGCACTGCTGTAGGTAGCTATCTCAATCCATTGGATACTGTTATTGACCATCGTAGCCAAGATGCTGTTGACAGAATTGACAAATCAAAGATTACTTCCAACAGAATATGACCTTAATAGGGCTTATTTACCTTACACGTACATATAAAAGTAAGACATGAATAAAACTTATTTTGGATTTCCTAAGCTTCTGCAAGCCTATGCATTGTTGCAATTTAAAAATGTTACATTGAGATAAATTTTCCCTCTGCAGTTACCTATTACATGTACAGCTAAAAAGGCACAGCCTCCAATCTCACCGTGTTAAGATTAAAAACTTTGAGATGATAAGCAGCTTCGCTGACCTGATTTTAACAGGTGCTAAAGTCACTTTCACTTGTCAGAACTTTTTTAATTACAAAAAGCTACATTTTTCCAATAAATGAAATGTCAAACGCTTTGAGATTGCCTGAGGCAGACTTTTTAAAGTGTTGTGGGTATTTTTTTTAACTTTCCATTCGTGACTGATTCAGGCACATTAAAGTCCTTATGTATATTGTCATCACCTCCTCATCTTTTTCAACAATTTTGTCCTAGATTCAACCTATGGAAGACAGGTTTTACTGTCACTCTTTAAGAATGTCACTAAGAAGTCACTCTACTTTTCTGAGATAGCTAACTCCATGCTGGGTAGATCTTATGAAAAATTCTCCAGTTCAGTCTTTTGACTGAATATGATACATTTCTAAGGACATTAAGAGAACAAGAGCAAATTAAGAATGTATTCAGATTTCAGTGTATTTTGTTTTATTATGAAACTATATTACAGTTGACCTGGACTCATAAGTCACCAGGGCAGACTTCTAATCACAGCATACCCACTAATTAGCTATGCCTCTGGGATAGATTGCAAAAAATGTCCCCAGCCCTTCCCCTTTCTCTGTTGTAGCTTCCTTCATCAAAAGATGGAGTTTATTTCCTCATTCTTAGAATAGTAGCCATTCTTGTGATTTGCTTTGGCCACTATAATGCTGCTGTGATGTTGTGTGAGTTCTAAGTCTAGGCCTTGCAGCTTCCACACTCGTTGCTCTTGGGACCCAACACCACTATGTGAATAGACCTGAGCTTGCCTGCTGGAGTTTATGAAGCCATGTGCCAAGATGATCTAGCTGTCCCAATCATCCCAGCCAAGGCCCCAAACATAGAAGTGAACCCAGTCAGGATCAGCTGAACCTGGTTCAGACTATAAGGACGGCCATCAGAATTATGAGCTAAATCAATAGTTGCTATTTTAAGACACTAAGTTTTGGGGTGTTATGCAGCAAAAGGTAACTGACATGGTAGCACATAAGCTCTCTGGGTTCTGTAAAATGAGGGGATTGAAGTAGCACTACAATTCTCTCATTGTAAAAACATTCTCAATAATATATGTGTGATATGGTTTGGCTTTGTGTCTCCACCCAAATCTCATTTTGAATTGTAATCCCCACATGTTGAGGAAGGGGCCTGTAATCCCTACATGTCAAGGGAGGGAGGTGATTGGATAATGGAGATGGTCTTCCCCATTCTGTTCTCATGATAGTGAGTTCTTGTGAGATCTGATGGCTTTTATAAGTGTTTGGACATTCCTCCTCTGCTCTTCTCTCTCCTGCCACTTTGTGAAGAAGGTGCTTGCTTCCCCTTTGCCTTCTGCCATGACTGTAAGTTTCCTGAGGCCTCCCCAGGCATGTAAAACTGTGAGTCAATTAAACTTCTTTCCTTATAAATTACCTAGTCTCAGGCAGTTCTTTATAGCAGTGTGAAAATAGACTAATACAGTGTACCACCCTGTTTACTCCTGAGCACTCAAGTTGTAGGAAGCTAAAATGGGATCCACATGATTATATGCAAGGATTCAAGGTGTATAGTGTAATACATAAAAATGCTTGTAAACATTAAAGCATTATACAAAGTTAAGCTGTAATTGTAATTACACACAAATTGGGAATACAAAGTTAGTCTAAGGAAAATAAATGAAGACCAGGGCAAGACTGCGGAGGGATGCTCCATCTCCTAGGCAGGCTGAGAAATGGCGAAGAAAGAACTAATAGTTACTGAGCACAGGCAACGTTCCCAGTTATTTATGTACTATGCATTAGCTCATTTCACCCTCAAAACGATCCTGAAAAGTAGTTATTATCAATCCCTCTTACAAGGAAGGTAAATAAGGCTTGCAGATGGTAAATAATTTGCCTAAGTTCAAACAAAATAAGATATAATAACCAGGGTATGCACACAGGCCTTTGGACTTTAAAGCCTAAGATATTTCTTTCCTATCACTACCTTAGTTGTTGACATGCCACCCAGCAGAGTCAACTGAAATTAGTTATCATTAAACATTTTTCTTTTTATTTCTCATATTTTCGTCTTACGACAGAAAGATATGCCTATGGGAAACACTGGCATTAAAGTATTATCCATGCATGCAAGATCCTATTGTCTCAAAACTACTACTGTTAAATATTGGGACATATTTTCCCATTTACTTTCTCTATACTGGGTTTTCTTAAGTAAAAAAGCATTTTAATTATTATTTTTAAAATCATGTCAATAATATATGAACAAGTGTTTATTATAAAAAATTAAGCAATCTAGTTCAAGACCAGCCCAGTTAACATACAGAGATCCTGTCTCTACAAAAAGTAAAAATAAATTAGCAGGGTATGGTGGCAGGCACCTGTAGTCCCAGCAACTGGGAAGGCTGAGGCAGGAGGATAGTTTGAGCTGAAGAGTTCAAGGTTGCACTCCAGCCTGGGTGACAGAGCGAGATCCTATCTCAGACAAAAAAAAAAAAAAAAAAAAATTTAAGCAACCAAAAAAATTTGTAAGACTTTTTTTTAAAGTATCAGTTTGGTGTGTACCCTTGCAAACATATTACAAAAAAGATTGTACTGTATTGTATCTTACTTACATGCAGACTTTTTTGTTTTACGTAAATGGGGTAAGTCTAGCTATATTTGTTGCAAATTTCTTTCACTTAGCAATATGCCTTGGAGATCTTTCTACATTAGGACATGTAGATCTGCCACATTTTTTAAAATATGCAAAAGGTGCATGTACCATATTTTATTTAACCCTTCTCTTATCCATGTGCATTTAGGTTGTTTCCAATATGTTGCTACAACAACGTAATTTTGAACATCCTTTCTTTTAAAAATACTGCAACAAATGTAATTATACATATAGCATTGTAAACATGAAAGAATTTCTATTTATAGATGAAAACACAGATTTAATTTGCAAAAATACTGCCACATTTACCCTCTAGGAGACCAATTCCAAACAGGATATAAATGCCCATTTCTACCACACTAGTGAATACCAGATATTATATATTTAAAAAATTAGTCCTAACTTGATTAGAGAAAAACAGACCGTTATTCCATAATTTACATTTTCCTGATTTTCAAACAAGCATTAGTTTGTATGTTTATTGGACATTTGAGTTTCTTCTTCAATAAATTATTAATGTATTTCCTGTGTTCAATTTTAATTGTTTTTCTTTTGCTTTGGAAACCAGATATTTTATATATATATATAAAATGGACATATAATTATATATAATATAGATATTGATACTTTGATATACATATAAAATATTCTCCCAGTTTGTCACTTATCTTTATGGTATGTGCAAAAATGTTAAATTTGCATGTATTCAGATGTCTATTTTTTATGGCTTCTATGCTTTTAAAAACGACTTCCCCCACTCTGTGATTGTGTGTGTGTGTGTGTGTGTGTGTGTGTGTGTGTGTACTTCTAGTACTTCCTAAGGTTTTTTTAACATTTAGGTATTTAATTCAACTGGAATATATTTTTGTATTTGATGTACAGAATGGGGCTGACTTTTAACCCAATGGATCGCCAGTTTCCACAACACCATCTTCTATCACCCACCATGTTCTATGCCAATGTATTTTTTAATTGATACATAATATTTTACATATTTAGGGAGAGGGTACATGTAAGTACTTGTTACATGCATAGAATGTGTAATGACCAAGTCAGGATATCTGAGGTATTCATCCCCTTGAGTATTTATTATATCTATGTGTTGGGAACATTTTGAGTCCTCTTTTCTAGCCACCTTGAAATATACAACACATTGTTGCTGACTATAGGCACCCTACTCTACTACAGAACACTAGAACTTATATCTTCTATCTAACTGTATGTTTGAACCTATTGACCAACCTCTCTTCATCCTCCCCCTCAACCACACACCCTACCTGAATGCCAAAGTATTTTTATTATTTTAGCTTTAGTCCATTCTCACATTGCTATAAGGAAATACCAAGGCTGGGTAATTTATAAAGAAAAGAGATTTAATTGACTCACAGTTCCACATGGCTGGGGAGGCCTCAGGAAACTTACAATCATGGAGGAAGGCACCTGTTCACAGGGTGGCAGAAGAGATAATGAATGCCAGCAGGGGAAATGCCAGATGCTTATAAAACCATCAGATCTCTTGAGAACTCATTCACTATCACGACAACAGCATGGTGGAAACTACCCCCATGATTAAATTACCTCCTCCCGGGTCCCTCCCACCACATGTGAGGATTATGGGGGTTACAGTTCAAGATGAGATTTGGGTGGGGACACAGTCAAACCATATCAGCTTTATAGCATGTTTTTTGTCTGGTAGAGCAAGTCCCCATCACTATTTCTATTTTTCAAAAATGTCTTTATTATTCTTGTATATTATCTATATCTAAATTTTATTAAATTTGGAGTCACTTTATCAAGATTCTAATTGGCATTGCATTAAATTTAGAGATTAACTCTGGGGGGAAATGATAGCTTTATGTGACAGGCAGATTAATGTTCCCCTCCCTAAAGAATCCATGTCCTGAAACCTGTGAATATTTTATGTTGCATGGCAAAGGGAAATTAAAGTTGCATATGAAATTAAGGTTGCTAATCAGCTGACTTTAAAATAGATTATTCTAAATTGTCTGGGTGGGCCCAATGTAATCATAAGGGTCCTTAAAAATGGAAGAGGGAAGTGGAAGAATAGAGTCAGAGGGAGATAACGACTATGGGAAAAGGGTCGAGAGATGCAATGTTGCTGACCTTGAAGTTGGAGGAAGAAGACCGTGAACCAAGGAATGCAGTGGCTTATAAAAGCTGGAGAAAGCAAGGAAATCAATTCTCTCCTAGAGCCTCCAGGAGGGAATGCAGCCCTGCTGACACTTTGATTTCAGCCCAGAGAACTACTAGCTGGCAGAGATGTAAGATAATAAATTTGTGATTTTATTTTATTATTTTATTTTACTTAAGTGCTGGGGTACATGTGCAGGTTTGTTACATAGGTAAACATGTGCCATGGTGGTTTGCTGCACCTATCAACCCATCACCTAGGTATTCAGCCCAGCATGCATTAGCTATTCATCCTGATGCTCTCCCTCCCCCACACCCTGACAGGCCCCAATGTGTGTTGTTCCCCTCACTGTGTCCATGCGTTCTCATTGTTCAGCTTCCACTTCTAAGTGAGAACATGTGGTATTTAGTTTTCTGTTCCTGCATTAGTTTGCTGAAGGTAATGACTTCCAGCTCCATCCATGTTTCTGCAAAGGACATGATCTCACTCCTCTTTATGGCTGTATAGTATTCCCTGGTTTATACGTATCACATTTTCTTTATCCAGTCTATCATTGAGGGGCATTTGGGTTAATTTTATGTCTTTGCTATTGTGAATAGTGCTGCAATGAACATACATGGGCATGTATCTTTATAATATAATGATTTCTATTCCTTTGAGTATATACCCAGTAATGGGATTGCTGGGTCAAATGGCATTTCTGGTTCTAGGTCTTTGAGGAATCACCACGCTGTCTTCCACAGTGGTTGAAATAATTTACATTTTTTACAGCAGCAATAGAAAACTAATACACTCTACAATATTGAAATTTCTGTAACAGTTGGGATATTTAGTTGCAAGCAGCAGAAATAGACCACGGCTAGCTTAAATACAAGAGAAATTTATTGTGATAATATTAGAGATTGTATAAATATCAAAATCTTTGGAAATTAGGATCTGGAAGTGAAGCAAGAACCAAGGGAGGCCAGACGGCAAGATGCATAACCAGAGTTTTGACATCAGTCAGTGTTCAATTGAAAAATCAGAAACCACTTTAGATATTCAAGCAAAGGGAATTTAACATAAGGAATTGATTAAATGGATGTTGGAAGTGCTGAAAGAGCAAAATGCAAAGGCGGGGCCAAAGAAAAAGTGAGCAGAAGGAACAACTATGGATAGGAGTTACTCAGGGATGAGTATGATACTACCGCTCCTGAGCTGGAGACCATGAGACTGCACTCACCATTGAGCTTCTGAAGACACCACTATTGCTACCACTACTGTTGAAACTGAACCATTTCTGCTGAGCAGGAAACCAGGATCCCATATCTCACAAATGATGCTAGAGCCCAGAGCATTCTAGTTACCTTCAATTAATTTCTCTGATGGTGCTGTTGCCAGAGACTTCCTCCAAAAGTGGGGGGAAAGATTTATCCTTTGCCTTAAAGTCTTCCTTCATTACTTTCTATTGGCAGAATCTAGCAGAAAGCCAGCTACTAAGGGAGTTTGGGGGACGTAGTTTGCAGGGTTTTACCACCAGCAATTCATAAGTGAGACCAAGATTTGAGTACAGAGGTGAGAGACACCAGGCATCATTTGGCACAGAAAGAGTATGTTTGGCATGTTAGTTTTCCACTGCTATGTAACAAATTATCACAAATGTAGCAGCTTACAACAACCTACATTTATTATCTCATAGTTTCCGTGACTCAGGAGACTGGGCATGGCCTAACTCGGTCCTCTGCTCAGGGTAGAGGTAGAGCACAACTGGGTTTTCTGCTCAAAGTCTTGATCAGGACTCTGATCAAGATGCCAGCCAGGGCTGCTGTCTCATTGGGTCTCCAGATCCTTGACCAAACTCACATGCTTGCTGACAGAATTAAGTGCCTTGTGATTGTAGGACTGAGAGCCATACTTTCCTTCTGGCTGTTGGCCAGGGGCTATTATTACCTCCTAGAAGTTGCCCACAGTTTCTTGCCATGTGGCCCTCTCAAGATATAGCAGCTCACTTCTTCAAGGCAGCAGGAGGATCTCTTTCTCCAGTCCACTGAGACAGAGTTTTATATAATGTCACATAATCAAGGGAATGACTATCCCATCACATTCACCATATTCTATCGGCTAGGAGCAAGTCACAGCTTCCACCCACACTCAAAAGAAAGGGATTCCTTAAGGGTGTGTCTACCATAGTTAGCAGATAGATGCTGATATCAGCACCACACAACACTGGTTCTGGACTCTTATGACTGCCATAGGTATGAATAATTTCTAAATTTCCCTGTATCTTGACCCCTCACTCCTTCAAGATTCAAGGAGTGTAGCATTCATTGGCTGAACTCTTGTCATGTGCTCGCTCATTCCCTTCCTAGATAGCAAAGAAAGGGAGAATTTCCCTCTTTTATTTTCTTTTTTATAAATTTATTTTTTATTTATAATTGATATACAATTGTTGTACATATTTATAGAGCACAACATGATGCTTTGATACATGTATGCATTGTGTAATGATCAAATCAGGGTAATTAGCATATTTATCACCTTAAACATTTATTATTTCTTTGTGATGAGAACATTCAAAAACCTGTCTTCTAGCTATTTTTGACATATACAATACAATATTGTTTACTCTTGTTATCCTCCTATGCAAGAGACCATCGGAACTTATTGCAACAACTGTAGCTTTGTACCCATTGACAAACCTCTCACCATTTTCCTCTTCCCCCTACACTCCCCATCCTCTGATAACAACTGTTCAACTCTCTACTTCCAGGAGAACAACTTTTCAGAATCCACATAAGAGTGAGATCATGTGGTATTTGTCTTTCTGTGCCAGGCTTATTTCACTTAACATAATGTCTTCCAGGTTCATCCATGTTGCCACAAATGACAACGTTTCATTCCTTTTTAAGACTAAATAGTTGTGTATATGTACCGCATTTTCTTTATCCATTCATCTGTTAATGGACACTTAGGTTGATTCCATATCTTGGCTAGTGTGACTAGTGCTGCAACGGACATGGGTGTGCAGACATCTCTAGGACATACTGATTTCATTTCCTTTGGTTATATACCCAGGAGTGGGATTGCTGGATCATATGGTAGTTCTTTTCTTGTTGTTTTATTTTATTTTTAATACTGATTGTAGATTTTCATGGGGTTTAGCGTGATGTTTTGATGCATGTATACATTGTGTAAAGATCAAATCAGAGTATTTAGCATATCCATCACCTCAGACGCTTATAATTTTCTCTGTGGTGAGGACATTCAAAATCCTCTTTTCTAGCTATGTTGAAATATACAATGTAATATTGTTAGCTATAGTCACCCTCCTTTCTTTTTCATAGTGGTTGCACCAATGTTACTCAAAATAGATCCCTCCCAAATAGAATGTTTTATTGGATGTTCACTTGTTATATCTCTCCATTTATTCAGGTCTTCTTCCTGAACGTGATGTAAAGTGTTGTGGTTTTTTTCCATAGAAGACTTGGATGTTTTTGTTAGGTTTCTATTATTAGTCAAGAATCTCAATTGCAGGTGACACAAACCATAACAAATGAGCTAGAAGAAAAAAATAAGATATATTGGCTCAGATATTGAGAATACTAGAGATGCAGCTAATTTAGAAACCCCAAAAAAATCCTTTCTTCTCTCTCTCTCTCTTTCTCTTTCTCTCTCTCTCCCACCTCCCCACCCTGCCCTTACTTATGATCTCATAGTTTATTTTTATTTTATTTTATTTTATTTTATTTTATTTTATTTTATTTTATTTTATTTTATTTTATTTTTTGAGACAGAGTCTTACTCTGTCCTCCAGGCTGGAGTGCAGTGGCACTATCTCAGCTCACTGCAACCTCTGCCTCCCGGGTTCAAGCGATTCTCCTGCCTCAGCCACCCAAGTAGCTGGGATTACAGGCATGTGCCACCACACCTGGCTAATTTTTGTATTTTTAGTAGAGATGAGGTTTTGCCATGTTGGCCAGGCTGGTCTCAAACTCCTGGCCTCAAAGTGATGCACCTGCCTCAGCCTCCCAAAGTGCTGGGATTACAGGTGTGAGCCACCACGCCCGGCCTCATAGTTTATCTTTTACCTGCAATCCCTCCAATAGCAAAAGACCTTTGTTTGTGAGATAGGGAAATGTGTGACTTATCTGCGCAAAGATAGTAGGTATTAAATTCACAACCCAAAAACCTGAATGCATAAACATTTAACTTTCAAATCTGATGTTTAAATATTTCATTGGAAGTTAGAAAACTCATAAATTAATTATGAGACAACTTTTATCATTTAATCACCATAGAAATCCTTAAAATAACGTGCTTTATATATGTTACTTAAAATCATTAAACTTTCAAAGAACCTTAAAAAGTATAACTTTCCTCCTTTCTCTTTAACTGTACTTAATTTAGCTATTAAGCTCACAAGGTAGTCAGCAGTATAAAACTTAATTTTGCCAATTCAAGGTAACTCAGCCATTTCTAGCTTGAAACTTAGAGTCTTTTGAGTAACTTAATATTCCTAACCTCTTCTTCTCCCCAGGAATGAGCTAGTTTCCTTCTGGGTGGCTTACTACAGATCAGACTTCAGTATGGAAAAGCATACATGCAAGCCTCGTCTTTTACCAGAGTTTATTGAAATTTAACTCGCTTATCTGGTCTTTGTCATTGAGTTCTGGCATTTATTTCCTTTGGTTATATACTCAGTAGTGGGATTGCTGGATCATATGGTGGTTCTTTTGTTGTTGTTTTATTTTATTTTTAATACTAATTGTAGATTTTCATGGGGTAGAGTGTGATGTTTTGATAGAAACAAAGTCCACTTTGTTTCTGAAGTCCATAATCCCATTGTGGCCTGTGGCCACCAGGACACAACTCTGATTCTTCTTCATCCTGACACCAGGCACCGTCAGGTCCACTGGTGCTATCTTAGACTCTCAGAGGTTTAGGATCACTCGGCTACTTTCCCCACACCAGGCTAATGTGCATGAGGCCCTGTGAGGCTGACATCAGGTAGATCTGCTTGGCGACCTCTCGGTCTCAGTGTCCTCTGTTCTGGTGCCTTGCTAAATGAGAGGCTTCTCTTAGAGGCTTTCAGTCTCCTGGCTACAGTGGAGATGTATGGTGCAATTCCTTCCACTCTCAGATCCCCTAAAACCCATCTGAGTCTCGCATCACCGCCTCTCACTCCAGACCCATTCCAGAGAATGGGGGCTGAGTCCCCGTACTCTGAGGGACACTCACTGATCTCAGATGTTCTCATTTTCCTCTCCAAATCTGAACTCTTCCTCTCCTTAATGGAGTCATCACCTGGTATGGGGCAGGAATTACTTTTACATCACTGCGCATTCATACTCACTTTGTTGTTTATGGCTAAATCTCATGTTCTACTTCACTTAAGAATTTGTAAAGGGTGTGAAACGTAAAAAAAATGCTCTTTGAAAATTCTAAACTTCTTTAAAAATATAAGGTGGCATTTCAACTAATGTC
Source organism: Homo sapiens (assembly GCF_000001405.40). Classification (NCBI taxonomy): domain Eukaryota; kingdom Metazoa; phylum Chordata; class Mammalia; order Primates; family Hominidae; genus Homo; species Homo sapiens. Next base: position 30,922,487 of record NC_000023.11, on the reverse strand, counting down.
CTCATAATGGATAATGCCTGCTTAGTTTGAACTTAATATTTCTTTAAACTTGGGAGAGGGGGTAGGGAAAAATAAAGCAGTCCACAGTTGATTATCTTAAAATCTGAATTTACAAAGTTGTTTGGACATGCTATTCTTTAACAAAATACGCTATCTCTCTAGAGCATGATTCCCTTTTGCAGAAATTTGCATTAGCCATGATAGCAGTTGATTTTTCTTCTAGGCATCAAAACTAGTTTTAGGCTTTATTTTTCTTGCTCATTGTGTCATATGCAATTAATTTTAAGATGACTCCCTCAAAATACATTGACCACACTATTCATATATTCAGGTTAGCCCAGTCAACGGTATAGAATTAAAATGGTGAAGAAAATGTGTGACATTTAACTTGAAATCAGAAATATGGTGTCCAAGAAGTATCAGAGAATTCTACACATCAAGGGACATTTTCATAATCTTTTCTCATTCTTGATCATGCGTCAGGCCATTCTTAGGGCAGTTGAACCACAATGCTTGATATTTTGTGCTTCCTTCTTGTACTTTAAACAATTTTAGCCTGATATAATCTGATTTTTAAAAATTAGATGCAGCCTTAAAGGAAAAAAATATGTTACCTTGAAGAGAGTATATGGAAGGGAGAGGGGCTTGTTGCATCTACCTATTTTACTTTGACGATGGTACCCTGTAATAATAGTAATATTATTGATCACTTATTGTAGGCTAGGCACTGTGCTAGACCTTGCACTTACACTATCTGATTTAATCATCACCAAAACTCCATGAGGTAGACACTCTCGTGAGCTCCATTTTATAAATGAGAAAACTAAGACCCAGAGGATTTAAGTGACTTGCTCATGATCATCACACAGATGGAATATTGGGATAATGAAAGCACATAACTCATAAGGTTGGTGGACCATGAAATAAAATATTAGAATATTGTAGAAGCTTAATAAATATTAGCCATCAGGATGAGAAAGAAAAAGAGAAGAGAGCTAATCTGCAATGAGAGAAAGTCCAGTCAATGCACAGAGAAACGTGAAGATAAAATTCAGGGAGAGAAGAAGAAATATTGGCAATCACACCTCTGGTTCCAAATATTCCTGAGACCCAGGTACATCCTGGAACTATGTGAGCCAATAAATGCTCCTTTCTGATTGAGCTATACTTTGAGTAGGTGTCTGAAGTTCGCAACCAAATCCAAACTGTGCCTTCCCCTTCCTGCTTTCCTACCTGAGTGTAAGCTCAATTCCAAAGACCATAGAAATGGCTCGCTCAGGCCCGACGCCATGGCTCATGCCTGTAATCCCAGCACTTTGGGAGGCCGAGGCGGGCAGATCACTTGAGGTCAGGAGTTTGAGACCAGCCTGGCCAACATGGTGAAACCCTGTCTCTACTAAAAATACAAAAACTAGCTGGGTGTGGTGACACACGCCTGTAATCCTAGCTACTCAGGAAGCTGAGGCAGGGGAATCACTTGAGCCCGGGAGGCGGAGGTTGCAGTAAGCCGAAATTGTGCCACTGTACTCCAGTCTGGGCAACAGAGTGAGACTCCATCTCAGAAAAAGGAAAAAAAATGGGTCACTCGTTTAGGATTGAAATAGAAGAAGCTCATTAAATGGGTAAGAAACAAATATATCTTTAAACCCCTAAGTTTACTTTTGGTATTAACTTGGTAATTATAGGCAAGAAACTTAGTCTTTGTAGAGGATACATCATTGTAAAAACCTATTTGCATAAACCAAAACTGGGCAAAATAGATGTCTGAGCTTGGGTTTTCCTAAAAGCAGACCCTATGACAAGGATTTTGATATTAGTTGTTTATGTGGAAGGTGGTCCCAGGAAGCACATGTGAGGAATTGGGAAAAGTGCGAAAAGAAAGAGAAAAAAGCCTACAAAATATGTGTTCATAATAAGGTTGTCACTGTAGGCAATTAGGGCTCAGTCCTGCTGAGAATTATCTGAGATATGTATGGAATGCCCCTCAAAATTGCCCCAGTGGAGGTTGAGGATGCTGAGGAATTTATCCAGCAACTCTTCTCATCCCTTGCTTGAGAGTTGTCGCCAGGGCCATAAACTACTCTGCAGAAGTTGCGCCTACAGGAAGCTGAGCAAGCTTTTGCAGTGCCAGAGAAAGCCCTTGGCATAAGAGTAGAGATACCCAGATACTTTGCAGTGGGAAGTTGCTAGCTTGCTGGGAGTGTCCATAGCTTCAAGTGACCCAGGCAAGCCAAAAAGATCTGGAACAGAATATGAATGGTATCTATTATTTTAGATACCCTCTCTTCCCTAATGGCTCCTGGAACTGTTTCAGTGTCACCAAGGAAAGCTCTTTCATCACTTCCAAATTTAATTTTCCACATTTACTTATCTTTCTCAATAACTCAGGAAGGCCACCGTTAACCCCCACCCCCATGATTTTCTCCAGGTAGACACCACATCTGAATTAGTAGAAAAGTATATTTCTTTACATTTAAGGTCTTCTGGAGGAAATTTGAGTTTATGCCTTGAAAACTTAAATTTCTATTTCCAGCCATGTTGGAGTAAGTGGGGCTTAACATATTCTCCCACCATAAATAATTACAAAACTGCTCAAAGTATATGAGACAATTTTTAGACATTGGACAACAGGCAGTACAGGACCATAAGGACGTAAGGAAAACAAACAAATGAGGTGAGTTATACAATCACCCCAGTTTTCTGCTTAGAGGCAATTTCCAAACCTTGAATCCCAAGCAGAGCAAGGAGATGTTGATGAATTGAAGAGATGGCTATCAGTGCTCAGGAAGACTTAGATGGCTGGAATTTACAGGGTAAAGTACCAGGGAGGAGGGAGATATGCAGAGAAATCAATCCAAAAATAAACATAGAGATTCCCTTGAGTCTGTTGCTGAATACTAAGCTGCACGTGCATAGAGTGAACATGCTTGATGTTGGGCAAAAGATAAATTGGAGCTGTAATCTGAACAATTCCCAGAGACCACACAGGACTGTGCATTGGTTGAGTTCTGACTAATCAGAGAAGAAATTTCATGCTGAACATCCAGGCCTTCAGTGAAGAGCTCAGAGGATCACTCTTTAGGAGAGAAGCTAAACTAGCCCTAGAATAAAGGCTAATCTAAACACACCCTTAAAAAGCTAGAAGAATGGGAAGTTATTGTGTGATGGGTACAGAGTTTTTGATTGAGACAATAAAAAAGTTCTGGAAATGGATAGTGGTGATGGTTGCACAACATTGTGAATGTACTCAATGCCACTGAATCGTAGACTTAAAAGTAGTTAAATGGGTAAATTTTATGTTATGTATATTTTGCCACAATAAAAAAAAAGTATCAGAGAGAAAATGAGAGACATGGAAAATACATTGAGAAATTATACAATACATCCGATAGGGTTACAGAAGAAGAAAAAGGGGAAATAACAAAAAGTAATACTCAAAGAAATAATGTTTTTCCTGTATTAAAGAATTAATAATTAATAATTGTCCTGTATTAAAGAATTCTCTTCATTTTTTAAAGTACATCTTAAGCACCAAGCTCAATAAATATAAATCCACAGATATATTGTGCTTAAAACTGCAAAACATCAAAAACTAAAAGAAAATCTTGGTTCTTACTCTCCTACTCAAGTAAAGCTAGATGCTGTAGCAGACAACACTCACATCTCAATGGCTTCACAAAATAAAAGGTATATTTCTTGTTCATTTCACAGAGCTGTTGAGTACTTAAGAAAAGACTTCCATATGACCTTTCAAAGACCCAGCCTCTTTCTATTTTTCAGTCCTTGTGATCCTTGCGGTCTTCCACTGGAATCACTACATCTAGCCAGAAAACAAAGGAAGACAGTGTGTGGGTAAGACACACACACCAGGAATATGCACACAATGGAATACTAGTCAGCTATAAAAGGAATGAAATTATGTCTTTTGCAGCAACATAGATAGAACTAGAAGTCACTATCATAAGTAAAACAAGCCAGGCATGGAAACACAAATATTATATGTTCTCACTCATAAGATTGTTTAGTGGATGCAAAAAATGTGTTCACGTAGATGTAGAGAGTGGAAAGATAGATAGACGAAAAGAGACTCAGAAGAGTGGGAGGCAGTAGGATGATGAGAGATCGGTAAATGGGTACAATGTACATTATCTGGATGATGGATATGCTAAAAACCCTGACTTGACCACTACACAATCTATGCATGTAACAAAATTGCATATGTACCCCATAAATTTGTACAAATAAAATGGGAAAACAAAAACACAACAGCTCTCAACTGCTTTATATCAGAAGTAACACATTACTGCCATTTATGTTACACTGGCATCAATAGTTGAATAAATAAATGATTTATGGTACATCAAAAAAGTAGAATATGGTTTAAATACTTAAATTACCCAAAGCTATTCATATATATGTGTGCACATATAAATCTTAAAAACACAATAGAAAAAAGGAAGTTGCAGGACATGTATTTTATAATGATATTTCGATAAAGCTTTTAAAATGCAAAAACTATCAAATATTATATACATATAATATGCATAATACATTTATGTACATACATGTGGGGAGTGGTATTATTATATACATATTGAATATATGATTATGGCAAATCTAACATTTTGGCAAGTTCAGGAAAGCGGTGAACTTTAGGAGGGAGAGAGAGGAATCAGTTGGAGAGGGGTCAATACAGAGGGCTTTGTCTATCTCTGAAATGTTTTATTACTTAAAACATAACTAGCAAATATGGCAAAATGTTAACATTTGATAAAGACAAGTATTAGGTACACAAGTATTTCTCATTTTATTTTTCATATCTTTGTGTGTTTGCAATATTTTATAAACTATTTCTAGCACCTAGCAATCAGTTAATATTTCCTACTATAAATTTCCAGACATGTTCTATGCATATATATGCAAATGTATAAGTTCATGCTTTAAACAATATTGAGCTCATAGAATTCATAGTACTTTGTTACATGATATTTTCACTCAATAGTATATCTTCTTCATTAATAACTATATATTTAAAATATTTTAATGACATAATATTTCATTATACATTCATGCTATAATTTTTAACCACTTATGTATTGTCATATATTTCATTGTTTCAAGTAGTATATTGTCATAATCAAAACTACAATAAATATTATTTTACGGATGCCTTTCAATTATATGATTATATTCTTCCAAAAAAATTCCTGAAAGTGAAGATGCTTGGATAAAAACCATACGCTTTTTAAAGTTTTGATACATATTGACAAGTTGGCCTTTTAAAAAATGTATTCAATTTTAGTTTTAAGTGTGTCCAAGATTGTGGGGTTTTTTTTCATATTTTAGTCTTTACCAGTTTTAATCATCTTTATTTGTGGATCTTTGAAAACCTAAACATCACAATTGACAGAGGGCAGCCAAGGCTGGTTCTCCATAAGCAGTTGTACTAAGAGAGCTGTATTTGCTTAAATGTAAATTTTCTCAACAAACAATATACAATTATAATTTGTATATTGATGAGTGTTAGGAAATGTGACAAATGTTGGGAGAATACTATTTATACCCTTGAGGTCAGTGCTATACGTTATATTATAGATATTTTGTACTCTGTAGAAAGTGTACAGTTTTACTTCACTTCAACTGTTAACTTGTCGTAAAGTCTATTTACCCTAATTGGATGGGGATATTAAAAGGCTGGGAAAAATAATCGAGAGCAAGGGTTTTCTTTATGAAATTTCATTGGCAATTTCCTGCTCTTTCCTGAAATTGCCCTGAATACCCAAAGAGAGGAGCTTCCCCTTTCATTTCTAACAACAGACCATTAAAATCGTGTTTCAGGTGTTGGTAAATGTGGGCCTTGCCCTTCCAGTTTCTGGTTTGACAAGCATCGTTGGGATGCAACAAAACAAAACAAAACATAACCTTAACTAGGATAATGTGGTGTCATGTGAAAAGACATACAGAAGAGGTCACCTTGGAGGAGGTTATTAAAGGTAACTCTTATTACAAACTTATTGCATAAGAAATGCTTAACTAAAGTAATAAGTTTTAAAATACTTTAAGTTAAAAAAAATGCATATGTAAAAAACCTGTCCTTGTTACATTGCACAATTGACCCAAGTTAGGCCTCTGTAGGCACTAATGAACATAGTTTAGAGGACACTGTGAATCCATATTTTGAATCTGGCGAATGAGATTGAAGCAACGTGCCCAGATTTCAGCTGACACCCAGAAAGTTTCCTTTACTCACCTTTCATAATCCAAAGCAACGGCTTATAATTTTATTAAGCCTCTTAAATTGCATTCCTGATCAGGCTTTCACGTAGTATCATTATTTTTATGGACATTTCTCTAATTCCCAAACTGCAGTCCTATTGGTCTGTAGCCCAAATTACAGACCTATTGGTCTGCTGATCACTGAATTTAAATTTGGTGTTTGCTCCTACTTGAAAAACTGTATGTGTCAGATTGTGCAGACAATATTTCACATGGGCATGAGCGGCCACTGATATACTCATTTATAATTTTTGCCAATAATCTATTAAGAAATATGAGTCAATTGCAGGTCTAATTGAATTGACTGCTCCTTAACCATTCACTGACAGGTAAGAATAACAATTCTGTGATCTCAATATGGACTACTGATTATTCATACTTACTAGACCCATAGCCTCAGCACTATTGTGAGACTTGGGGTCTGTCCTAATGGCCCCCTAACAGATAAATCAAAAAAAATTTTTAAATTTTAGATACAGGCTCCGGCTTTGTTGTCCAGCCTGGTCCTGAACTCCTGAGTTCAAAGGATCCTCCTATCTCAGCCTCCCAAGTAGGTGAGACTACAGGCATGAGCCACTGCCCCCGGCCAATCAATGATGGGATTTTTTTTTTTTTGGCTTAAAACAACACAAATATATTCTCTTAAAGGTCTGGAGGTCAGACAATCAATGGTTTAAAGTGATGTAATATAAGACTGCATTCTACCTCCCTTCCCTTGCTTTGTGTCTTGACTATTTGCAAACCTTTTAGATAACTTAGAATCATACCGTCTCACTTTAACTCCCATTGTAGAATAGAAAGATCAGTATGTTTTTTTATTGACATGAACTGGCAGCAATATCAATAGGCAGTTCTGTTATCTAATTATCAGAAATACAGTAAATACTTCTTAAGATCAATTACTCTAAAACACCACAATTATTTTGGGCAAATAATCCTATATCATGATTAGGATTGGCTGTGAGTGACAAAACCCCAAAGTAACATTAGCTTAAAACCAATTGAAGTTTATTTCTCTTTCACGTAAGTGGAGTCCTAAGCAATCTTGAGCTGGCAGGGAGACCATTATCAGGGACCTGTGCTCTGTGTAATTTGCTGTTTGACCATTCTTAAAACACGCTACCACATTTATGGTTCAAGACAGTTGCTTCGGCTTCAGTCTTCACATCCACTTTCCAGGCAGCAGAAGAATTGAAGGCATTTACTCTCCCCTTTACAATGGCACTTAAACTTGTAGTCTGTTGACCAGAACTTAGTCAAAAGTTCACCTAACTGCAAATGAGGCTGAGAAATTTAGTCTTTATTTCAGACATCCATGTGCCTCCCTAAAATTTGTTGTAGGTTCTATTAGTAAACAGGAAGTAGAGAGTAGATATCAATGTGCAGTCATGTGACATTTTCATCAATGATGAGCCATATATACTACAGTAGTCCCATCAGATTATAATGGAGCTGAGAAATTCCTATCACCTGGTGACTTCTTAGCTTTCATAACACATTGCTCACGTGTTTGTGGTGACGCTGCTGTAAGCAAACCTACTGCGTACCAGTCTTATAAAAGCATAGCACATACAATGGCGTACAATACGTAACACTTGATAATGATAATAAATGACTATGTAACTGGGTTATGTGTTTACTATACTATACTTTTTATTGTTATTTTGCAGTGTACTCTTTCTACTTGTGAAAAAAATAGTTAACTGTAAAACAGCCTCAGGCAAGTCCTTCAGGAGGTAGTACAGAAGAAGGCATTGTAAATATAGGGGATGACAGCTCCCTGCATGTTAATTGCCTCTGAAGAACTTCCGGTGGGACAAGATGTGAAGGTGGAAGAGAGTGATATTAATTATCCTGACCCTGTGTAGGCCTAGGCTAACGTATGTGCTCTGTCTTGGTCTTTAACAAAAAAGTTTAAGAAGTAAAAAATAAAAAAATTTAAAATAGAAATAGCTTGTAGAATAAGGGTATAAAGGAAGAAAATATTTTTGCAGAACTATACAGTGTGTTTGTATTTTAAGCTAAGTGTTTTACAAAAGAGTCAAAAAGTTTTTAAAAATTAAGTTTATAAAGTAAAAAATGTTTTATAAATTTAGTGTAGCGTAAGTGTGCAGTGTTTATAAAGTCTGTAGTCGTGTACAGTGATGTCCTAAAACTTCACATTTCCTCACCACTCACTCACTGTCTCACTCAGAGCAACTCCAGTCCTGCTAGCTCCATTCATGGTAAGTGTCCTATACAGGTGTACTATTTTTTATCTTTTATACTGTATTTCTACTATACCTTTTCTGTGTTTAGATATGTTTAGATACACAAACACTTACCATTGTGTTATAACTGACTACGGTATTCAGTACAGTCACATGCCATGGAGGTGTGTAGCCTGTGAGCAATAGGCTATACCATATAACCTAGGTGTGTAGTAGGCTGTACCATCTGGGTTTGTGTAAGTACACTAATTACCTTACAACACATTTATCAGAATATGTCCACATTGTTAAGTGACACATGACTGTATAATCTTCAAATACACACACACACACACACACACACACACACACACCCTCTCTAAGAAAGATAAATCCAAAGTCCTATCTGGTTATTGCATCCACCTCATAGTCTTGGGGATCATATCTGTCTTGGTATAAATTCCATACTATATCTTTTTCCACCACCAACACCTCCAATGCCATCGGGTCTACTGGATCTGTAGGGCTGATTGCACTATAGCCTGGACTTGCTACATAGCCCTTTGAGGCTCTAGATTCACTCAGAGTTGGTAGTGTTTTGTGTCACCCAGTACATGCCTAAAATGCTATTCCTAGGGATGGAAGGTATTGTCTCCAGAACCCAAAGAGATTACCAGGTGTTATGATTCCTTCTTTGTGGGAGGGATATAAGATGCAACAATTAGTTTACTTTACAGAGGATGTCTCAGTGTGCCCAAGCACTGGACCCTTAAAAATTTTACTGAAGTATAAGATTCCAGCTGGCCACCTCTTCCTCACTTTTCTCAACCAGCATAATGTCATCAATATAATGGGTCAATGTGATATTCTGTGGGACTGCCCAGATCTCTTTGGTCTATGTTATGACAAAGGACAGACAAGTTAAGAAAGCCTTGTGGCAAAACTGTGACTGCATAGTTTGTCCATTCCAGATAAATGAGAACTGTTTCTGATCCTCTTTCCTGACTGGGATAGAAAAGAAAACACATGCCAAATCAATGGCTGCCTATCATTTACCTGAAGCCACATTAATCTGTTCTAACACGGATACCATGTTCAGTCTGGCAGCTGTGGATGGGCTTATTGCTTGGAACAATCTGTGATCATGCCCCAGGATCCATTCAGTTTCTGCAGAGGCCACACTAGCAAATAAAATAATTCATGAGATCTTTTTAGATTCTTAAGGGCAGCACTAATTCTTGCAACCCCCAAGGATGTGATATTGTTTTTGAGTTACTACCTTGGCTGCTTGGGGGTTGGGGTAAGTGATAGAGAAAGAGGTATGTTTCATCCACTTGGCCTTCTCTACTATGATAGCTGTTGGCCCTACACAGGCCAAGTACCCAATGTGGGGGTTAAATCAATTGCCACGTATATCCATCCCAATTATACAGAGACTAGGAAAATAACCACCAGGTGAGTCCACAAAATCAGTAAGCTAGACTTTGGCTCCCATATGCCTCCACTCTAACAGGGGGCCATGATGATGCTTAGTGTGTCTAGACCTCAATGTCAACTAAGATCCTCTGTCCAATAGTCCTCAAATTGTCTGCATATTTCCCTTTCCCCAATGTAGCAGTCATCTAAGTTAATAACAGTCCCTTTGGGAAAGGACTGGTGGAATTGTCACACTCTACACTGTCATAGTGTTTCAGCGTCCTTCCTCCTGGGGACCTGGAGACCTGGTTCCCTGATCATCTCTTTGGTCAATGGGTTTTGGTCCTAAAATCTGGCTCAGACCCAGGAAATGGGCAATGTGTCAGGACTTTCTATTGAATGGACACTCTAAGCCTTCTATGCGTGCATTTTTGCATCCTTTTGATTAACCAGCATCCTGGTTGTATGCCCATTGGTTTTGCCCTTAGGGAGCTGTAGTTTTTAACCCTCTTCACAATTCTCTGCTAGTTAAGGCCCTTTGGCAGTCATTTCAATCTTTCTGGTCATAATGATAATTGCACCCCCATGGCTTCTGGTGATCAACGCCACCACCACCTGGCCTCTATTGCTTTTGAGTCCCATCATCCCTATTGCTATCAACAAACCAAGTTTTGTGACAGACTCGCTGATTTAACCCAGGCCTGCATGCAGCAGAAGCCACCACTAAATGTCTTAATGGTGCTGATGGATGACCATCTCACCAGCACATTTCTGATGGCCTTGGCAAGTACTGTGTCCTCTGGGCATAATCCACTGGTGGACCTTTTGGCCTTGCATAATATATGCATTCCTGTCTGCCCACTTATCTCAGACTCTTTATTCCTTGCTCTACAGTTTGTTATAGCAATTTAGACACTTCAATTTTGCTCAGTTTAGGCTGCCACTTTCTCTGGAGCCACCCAGCAGTGACTTTACCCCATGCCCAAGGTCCTTGCCTGCGTGTCCCAAGAAAGTACCATCAGGTCAATAAACCCTCCCTTATCCAGTCATAGTTTTCAGCCCCATTGATCAATTACCCTCAAAATCCAGCTGATTGGTAAGTATTTCCACAGCTCTTGTCAGTGCATGCTTGACAGGTCTTGCAGCTCCTTTGGGGTAAATTCTCTTTCCTCCCTTATCAGACCCAGCACTTTTCCAACGGAGACATAACATAATCCTAGTTATTGCCATGGCAATCAGGAGATACAGTGGAGACAGATCCTGAGAGCAGCCTCTATAGCCTTGCCAGGAAGAAGATAGTGCTGGTGTATCTTTCTACGCTGGAGGGTAAGAGGGAGCATGCTAGCTTGTAATAGGGAGAGGTGGGCCCCTGTGAAGGTTCTCAGGGTTTAAAGAGACTGGGGAGTCAAAATCATCAAGAGCATCCACCCACATGTCCTCATCCCATGTACCAGAGTCCAAGTTTGCCCCAAACAGGGCTCCAACTTTTTGTATAATAAACTCCCTCAGCTGAACACTCAATCATTTCTGAAGGTCAATGAATATAACTATTAATTATTGAGTTTTGTCCTCAGGTTTTTCTGCTATCCCACTTCTGGAGGTAAGGGCCTATTTGTAAACTACCAAAGAGAACTTCTGGCCTTCACACCTGTTTTTCAATTGTTTACTAAGTTCCCTCAGTATTTCATTATCTCTCTGTAGGGTGTCATTGAATCTTAATAGCAACCAGGCAATTCCACTATTCTTATATGTATTATGACTACACACCTCCACCCCTACCTCCCCCTACCATGGAATTTTCAAATCCTTGCACCAGCCAGAGCATTTCCCTCCATCAGAATTTTTTTCTCAAATCACTACCAGTGGAAGTTATAGCAATCAGACTGCAAGATTAGGCCAGGGTCCATCATACCTCCCAGCATGGGTTCCTCATTGCCAATCAGGTGGCGAGTGACTCAGTCACCATTCCCCATTGTTTCTCCTGATTTCTCAGACCACTTCCAGTACCGACTGCATCCGTTCAGGTCCTCTGGGAAGTAAATGGTAAGATGGAATGAGGAGTGCAAAAAGTTTATTGAGGGGTTTAGCAGAAAAAAAGAAGTAGAAAGCAGGATAAACATACAAAGCCTTAAGATGGTGATGCAAATCTGACATCTATCAAAAAAAAAAAATGAGAGAGGAAGTAGAAATAGGCAGAGAAAGCCTCAGACGGCAATGCAGATCTGACAAAGGCTCAGCCAACCCAGTGGGGAGCTCTGAAAAAAGATTGCCTGTTGATGAAGAACTATGTTCGGCAGAAATGGCCACGTCATTGTGGCCACATTATGCTTGCCCAGGAAGAGCAGGGCCTCACAATTATGTGCTGAGGCAGATCCTGAAGACACTGCAGTTGGGGGCTATCAGCTAACTGCACTCTGCAGCCGATTAACAAGTTTTTTTCTTTAAAGAAGATGCAAATGGCACACCTTGTTTGCCACAGCAGGCAAAAACAACAGATGTCCACCTCATTTTCATCAGTAATATGAATCTCTTCTATACTAAACAAGTCACAGAGACTTTTATTCTCATAGTTTCTTTTTAAAGATAACTGCTTCACTTACAAGCTCCACTGAGAGAAAAGCAGATAAAAAGTATAATCACTACCATTTATTAAACATCTGCTATTTTTAGAGATGAAACAAGGAGGCTGGCATAAATTATCTTTAACCTTTACACTATTCATTGTCCAAGGATAACCTTAATCTTCAAGGATAGGCCAGCCCACACCATAGGCAACACTGAATAGTACAAAAGCTGCCACATTCTGTGACTCAGGTTCACATTTCATTTTTGTCTCCTTTCTCTTAGCATTTTATTTTTTGAACTCCAAACTTGTGTGTGACTTTGGCTGACACATGTTCTTGGCTTTATCTCTGGATTTCTTCTCCTTTTGACTCCTGTTTAGATTTGCTGCTCCTTTTTACTTTGTTTTCTTTCAAGGTTTCCCACCCCCAGATATGGTGACCTAGGCTCTGGTGCCTGACCCTAGGACCCAAAGGTTTCTACTCCTAGTCATGAGTGTAAAAGTTACCCAACTCCATCTTATGTCTACCCAGGGGTTATCTCTACTTAGTCTCCCATTAGTTGGAGAGTAAGAAAAGATAATCAGGCAAGGCAGATATTATTATCTCAATTTTATAGATGAAGAAATTGAGTCTCAGAGAAATTAGGTAATTGTTCAAAAGCTAGTATATTGCGTAGTTAGATATTTAAGATACATATTTAAAACTTGTGAAATAAGGGAGGAAATTGGATTATATGATGTTTTAATGTCACCCTGGGGTACTGACAGGATTACCCAAGCATTATTTAATTATCAAGGGAGATGTATCTGTGGGCAACTTTGCCATTTGCTATTAATTAAGGGCTCAGACTCTGTAGTTATATGTTAATTTTTATGTCCAGTAGAAAATATAACCCCAAAGGAACGGTTTCATTGCTGTTTGGATATTAACAAGTTTTGTCTCTAACTTAGTACATTTATTTCAAAGTGGCTTTCCCTGTGACTATAAATATGCCAGTAGTCCAAATGCTCTTTGAACCACCCCTGGGAGTGGGTACAAATTTCTAATACCTTGGACTGTGAGTATCCTTTGCTGAGAAATTTACTTAAAACTGATCTTGAATTTATGAAATTTGCAAGGCCAGAGCAAAGACAAATGTTAAGCCATCCAATTATAACACCTCCTCAACCCAGGACACACAGAGGACTCTCATGGAAGTTAATTTCCACAGAAGAGCATTCTGGTTAACTTACCATCTTATTGATTCCCTCATTCATGAATAAAATCTCTGACATATTTCCATTTTAAATTTGTATGAGAGTCATGTTTTTAACTTTTGAAAATCACTCTTTGGCGCTATAATGTTTGACTTCAAAGTCCTTGGTCTTTTCCTATAGTAGATTACCTTTCAAGATGAGCATGCCAATATATATGGGAATAGGAAAAGAGCCGTGCTCCCTGAGATTAATTTTCTCTGGAATTGGGAGAGAAATCTTATGCTGTATCTCTCCTTATGTTAAGGCTATGCCTCCATCTTGGACCATGTTTTGGGGAAGAGTTTTCCTCTTGCAAAGACTTCTGGTGAAAGGAACAGCTCAGGTAGATTGACCATGAAATCTGCCTAAAAAATTATTCCAGAGATTGTTGAAACCTTGAAACAAAGCCTAAGTGCTTGAAACAGAGGCTAAAATTCTTCTTTGAGGGCTCTTTTGCTTTGGGAGGCCTGAATGGACTCTGCATAATGTGAAAAATTGTTTTCATTGTGGGCAGGGTGACATGCTGAGAGTTTACACTGCTTTAACTCACAGTAATTATTGTTGCCTGGCAAGATGTTAAAGTCCCTTTTACTCCTACCTCATTGAAAGGCTAGATAAGGCTGAGGTGGGAGGACTGCTTGAGCCCAGGAATTTGAGAACAGCCTGGGTAACATGATAAAACTCCGTCTCTCTCTCTCTACACACACACACACACTATATATATATATATATATATATATATATATATATATATATATATATATATATACACACACACACACACACACATATACATATGTGTATATGTATGTATATATGTATGTATATATACGTGTGTGTATATATATACATGTATATATATACACACACGTATATATACATGTCCAAGGTATTACAAATTTGTACCCACTCCCAGGCAGAGATCATATTCAGGGGTCCAATTTCTTGCAGGTAGCTCTATTTTTGCCAATGGCCCAGGGTGGGTACACTACTTGTGTGTATTCTACTTCTACTCTTTGACAAAGGATAGAAAAACCCCTTCCTAGTGCCCACATTTATTTAGAGAACCTAGGTGGGGGTAGAGAGAGTGCATGCAGGTAATTGATCCCCTTCTTAGGAACACATGTATAGGGTTCTTTTTTCCCTCTGAGTCTCCTCTCTGCTAGTCCTGGGAATACTTTATATAGCTTTAAGCAGCTATTATTGATCTGGTCTTTTTCCAGATCTTTCTGTGTCTACCCTGAAGCCTTCAGGACCTTAGGTTTTGATACTCAAACTACTCAGGCTCCTGCAGCCCCAAAATCTTTTCTTTCATAAATCTAAGTTCCACAAAGAGCTTCAAAAGCCTATTTTGTAGCGTAAAAGTAAATGATTCTCTTTTCTTTCTGTTCATTTTAATAAGGGGAGGGCTTTGGGGGTAAAAAGTAATTACCAATAATGAAAAACACATTGGTTTATACTGCAAAATACTATTCTGCTATATCACATGTATAGGAAATATGGTATTGCTTTATTTTCTATAAATCACCTTAAATTCTGTTTTGGGTCTCCGTTCCCACTGGGCAGATGATCCCAATCATTATCAGACTAGCTCCTCTCTCATTGTTATATCAGAATCCAAGAGTCTTATAGAAAAAGGGGAAAGGGTCCTGTGTAGTAAGGAATTTGGCCTTGCTCAAAGAGTGGTCTGGCCTTTGTCCTGGCTCTTGAAGGTAACCTCTAAAGCCTTGGAATTTTTGGAGTAATGGGACTGTTGTTATCCATGGTCAGCCACTTGGACCACACCCAATAGCTCATGCTAAGGAGATGACTCAAGGTGGGGCAAGCCACACTGGATAGTCTTTTGGTGGAGGCTAGACATACCAGAAAGGTTAATTATGTGATGGGGGTGGGAGCTGGAGATTGAATTCAACCACAACTCAGTCAGCCTACACAATGAAGCCCCAGTAAAAACTCTGGATATAAAAGCTGAAGTGAGCTTCCTGGGTTGACAGTTTGCACAGAATATTGTTGGCAATCCTTTGTGGGTATCGTTACACATTGCTGTCATGAGAGTAATGCATCCTGAGAACAATGGGAGCTTCATGTTTGGAATCCTTGGGAATCCTTCCACACTCTGCCCTGTGCATCTTTTCCTGATTTTAATATATCCACAGTAGTACTATTTATAATGGTCCCAAAGTGGAAACAATGTTCATCAAAAATAGAATAGATAAGTAAATTGTGGTTGCTATGGTTTGAATGTCCCCTCCAAAACACAGATTGAAATGTAATTGCTATTATAACACAGGTGGGACTTTTAAGAGGTGATTAGGCCATGAGGGCTCTGCCTTTGTAAACCATAAAGTATCTGAGACAAGTTTCAATCAATTTAGAAGGTTAAGGGCACACCCATGACACAGCCTCAGGAGGTCTGAGAACATGTGCCCAAGATGGTGGGGTTACAGCTTGATTTTATACATTTTAGGGAGATAGGAGTTAATCAATGCATGTATAGCGTACATTGGTTTTGTCTAGAAAGGTGAGATAACTTGAAGGGGAGGTGGGGTGGGGGGGGGTGAGGGGGTTCTAGGTCATAAGCAGATTCCAAGATTTTCTGATTGGCAATTGGTTGAGTTCACCTAAAGGCCTGGAATCAATAAAAAGGAATGTCAGGGTTGTGGTAAGGGGTTGTGGAGACCAAGGTTCTTATTATGTAGATGAAACCTCCAGGTAGCAGGCTTCAGAGAGAGTAGATGGTAAATGTTTCTTATCGGACTTAAAGAGGTGCCAGACTCTCACTTAATCTCTCCTGGGTCAGGAAAGACCTGGAAAGGGAAGGGGACTCTCTACAGAATGTAGATTTCCCCCACAACAGACAGCTTTGCAGAACCATTTTTAAATATGTCAAAGAAATATATTTCAGGGTAAAATACTTTGATTTCTTTCAGATCCTGCTATCTGTCATGTGATGTATCTTATTGCTACAGTCTGTTTGGTCAGTCTTAAGATCTCTGTTTTAATGTTAGTGCTGGTCAGTTGTGCCTCAATTCCAAAGGGAGGAGGGTATAATATGCCTGACCCTCACTTCCCATCATGGCCTGAATTAGATTTTCAGGTTTACTTTGGAATGCTCTTGGCCAAGGAGGTGGGAGGTGGTCAATTGTAGAGCTTAGAATTTTATTTTGGGTTTATACTTTCATGAATGGATTACTGCTGTTATCATGGGAGTGTGCTAGTTATCATGAGACTGCATTTGTTACAAAAGCAAGTTTGGTCTGATTTCCTTTCTCTGTCTCACGTGCTTGTTTGCCCTTCTGCCATGATATGACACAGCAAGAAGGCCCTCACCAGAAACAGCCCCTTAATCTTGGACTTCCAGCCTCCAGAACTGTGAGCCAAATAGACTTGTTTTCTTTATAAATTATCCAGTCTGTGGTAATCTATTATAGTAGCAGAAAAGGATTAAGAGAGTGATATGGTCATATAATGGGATATATATAACAATAAGAATTGACCAAACTAGATAACATACAACAACATGGATGAATCTCACAAACATAATGTTGAATGAAAGAAACTGGAAATGAGATTATAAACTGTATGTTTCCATTGAAATAAATTTTAAAACCAGGCAAAACTAATCTAAAATGTTTTAAGTAAGGATAATGGTTATTCAAGGGGGTGGTGACTAAAAGAATACACAAGGGGGCTTCAGGGATCCTGAAAATATTCTCTTTCTTGATCTGGATATTATTTACATGTGTGTTTACTTGGTGAAAATTTGTAGAACTGCACACTTATGATGTGTGCATTTTTAATTTGTATGTTATATTTCAATAAGAAATTTACATAAACGTGGTATTCCTCTCCCCACTTACCTTTAAGGGCACCTCTCTTCAACGAGCTCAGGGTTTAGAAAAAAATCCAGATGGGAAGGATCTCGTACATGACTTCTGCTTAGGGCAACCAACTTGTCCTGGCTTGCCTGGGATTTTCCTGGCTTCAGTACTGAAAGTCTCATGTGCTAGGAACTGTTCCCCTCTCAAACCCCCCCTACAAGTCCTGAGCAAACTGGGATAGCTAGTTACCCTATTTCTGCCTACAAATAAAATACAAACCCTCCTCTGGGAAGGTGCACAAAAAGAATTACTAACTTTCTGGAATGAAGGAGGAAAAAACAAGAAGAAAGAACATACATTATGATCTCAATATATTATCCTGCCACAATATTTATAGTGTACTCATTATCACAATCAACAAAAGCTCTTTCTGTTTGGGAAATCAAAGACACACTATATCACTTTGAAAAGTCAGAATCTATATTAACCTAAAAGCTCAAGCCACACACGCACACATGCGCATGCACAACCATCTGAACCTAGATCCAGAGGGAGATACTCAGTTGGAAAGTTTACTTTCTAAAAGGTCAAATAATTCTCCCTGAAGTTCCTGTAGACAAGTGATTTTAGAGATAGAGGCCTCTAGAGATCTAAAGGAAATGCTATGATAATACAAATAAACCGTCTTGCAACCCAGCTGTGACATTTGATACCAGGGGGAATATGACTGAAAATACACAGTGCCACTCTGGCTTTTCTCAAACGAAAAGGGAATCGTCAGAGACAAGTATAACTTGCAAAAACAAATACCAAAACATGAGAATTTCCATTTATAGTTCAAAGGATGAAGATGCTAAAGGGAGTGGCAATGGTGGGCTGTAGAATAACTACCAAATAGAAATAAAATATTGAGCTCAATCTTGGCCAAACAGTTCCAAAATGGAAAGCCAAAGAGGAGAAGAAGACGACCAGTTTAAATTAACTCCCCAGTCAATAAGTCTCTTAAACAAAGTGTTGTTACTTTAAAGTCTTCTATTACACAGTGATTAAATGTGCTCCTACTCTGATTAAAAACATTTTGTGGGGCCCATTTCTCCAATTCTAGTTCTATAGCACTTAATGTTCCCTCCAAAATTGCTTTGGGGAAAGCAATCTCATGTCAGGGAAATGAATTCCAAAGTGCTTCCCTACAAGGGCTGAGGGAAATTCACACCTTCAGTCCACCACTTGGAAAATAGCAGGCTTTAGATTGCTTTTGGAAGTTCAAAAAATAAATTCAAGAAATCTGATGTTGAGTGAGGTAATCTTTAGACAGTTCACATACACATTTAGTCCTTAGAACTATTATTACCAATATTCTTCAGCAGAATATACTTGTTATCCAAGGAACTATTTTAACAGTATGTTTTGTAAGCATTAGCTTTTATAAAATATCTCCTTTTCAGAGATGGTAATTTAACCTTTTGCCTTTCCAGCTTTTGGTCACACTATGTATTTAAACAATGAACATGCATAACTTAGATTTAGCTATAGACTAGAAGGACCCCCTATGCAGCTTCTGGAACTTTTCTGTCTTGCTCTCTTCCCTCCAGTCCTTTCCCCAATATACATATCTCCCTCCACTGGGCAATCCTTCTGGACTCATGACCAATGATGTATGTTGGGACAGCTTGCTTGGCCTTGAGTCCACTTGGGAACAGACCCTTCAAAGCCTCTTTCACACATGGCTCTGTTATTCTTTCCTCGAAATGGATCCTCTAGCAAAAGCCATAGCTTAACACAATTCCAGTGAATACCATTCACATATATGATAGAGGGATGCTACTCAACTAGAGGTGTGTGATGTCCAGACTCTGTCTCACCCCTCAGTCCTTATTTTTCTTCACCTGAAATAAGTACTGGTCACTTGTTCACATTCCCCCTAAAGCTGTGGTCTCCATGCTTTGTTTACTGTTTACCCTGTGAATAAAAAGATTTTTGATGACACTTTCCAACATATATGCATACCTTTATTTATAAAATATATACATCTGCATATACATACACAGATACAATGTATACATACATACATATTAAAAAACTTTTAAAAGTTTGTAATACAAACTAAATATGAAAAGAACTTCTAATAATTTTTGAGATCATCAGATTGGATGAAAAAGCAAGACCCAAATATGCTGCTTACAAGAAATCCACTTTGAATTTAAAGATGTAAATAAGGTTAAAAATAAAAGCATGGGAAAATATATACCACACTAACACTAGTAAAAATAAAGCTGGAGTGGCTATATTAACATGAAAGTAGATTTCAGAGCAAAGAATATAAGGGATAAAGATGGTCATTCCATAATGATAAAGGGGTCAATTCATGAGGAGTACATAGTAATACTAAGTATTTATAAACTTAATAACAGAGCTTCAAAATACATGAAACAAAAACTGATAGAACTGAAAGGTGGAATACATAATTCCACATTTACAGTTGGAGATTGAAACAACCCTCTCAATAATCAATCCAGAGTAAACAGAAAAAACAAGTAAACAAAATCAGCAAGTATGTAGGAAACTTGAATAATACTATGAACTAAAGTGACCTAATTAACATTTATAAAACATTCTGTGTACCAAGAGCAGAATACACATTCTTTTCAAATACACATGGAATATTTAGCAAGATAGACCATATTCTGGGCCACAAAGCAAGTCTCAATGAATTTAAAAGGATCCAAATTTTGCGATGTGTTCTACAACCACAGTGAAATTAAATTAGAAAACAGTAACAGAAAGATCTCTGGAAAATCCTCAAATAACACAACTTTAAATAACTTATGGATCAAAGGAGAAATTAGAATTTTTAATTATATAAAAACAAAAATATGACAAATCAAAATTTGTGCGATGTACCTAAAGCAGTGCCTGGAAGAAAAGTTATGGCACTAAACACCTCTTTGAGAAAAAAGCAAAGATCTCAAATCAATTATCTCAGCTTGCATGATAATCTAGGAAGTTAAATGTTTCTGTATATAAGCCATTGGGATTCCTCTCCCTCTGAATTCCCTTTGTGGAGGTTTTTTTGCTCAGAATCTTTATTTATTTACTTATTTATTTAGAGACAGGGTCTTGCTCTGTCAACCAGGCTGGAGTGCAGTGGCGTGATCTCGGCTCACTGATACCTCTGCCTCCCAGGTTCAAGCAATCCTCGTGCCTCAGCCTCACCCCGCTAATTTTTGTGTTTAGTAGAGACGGGGTTTTACCATGTTGGCCAGGCTGGTCTCGAACTCCTGACCTCAAGTAATCCGTCTGCCTTGGCCTCCCAAAGTGCTGGGATTAGAGGTGTGAGCCACCATGCCCAGCCTGCTCAGAATCTTACTCATGACCTCTTTCTGTGACTGGCGATGACAAATGGGCCATATTTCTTCTTTTCCTCACTCCTTATTCAGCTAAGAAAAAGACCTCTACTCCTACTTGTACCCCTTAGACACTTGAGCAGAAATTAAGTTTGGGCTCAGGAGAAAGGACACACAGGAAAGGCCCCTTAGGCTAGTTTCCAGTCTAGGCAGAAACAGTGCTCAATGCCATTAGCGATCCAGTCTATGTTACCTGGGCCGAGATGTCCACTTGGAGTTTTGGAGGGCCATCACGATATAATCACATCATGCTGTCTCCTCTTTAGACTTCAAAAGACCTAATTCTCTTTTGACTACTTTAGTTAAATATTTCCAGTGTATTTTAGAATTATTAAAAGGAAATTCATTGATTTCAATTTATTAATTCAATAAACATTTATTGAGTGTGCACCAAGTACTATTCTGGGCACCAGGTATGTAGCAGTGAACAAATAGGCAAAATTTCTTATATTTCTATTGGTATAAAAAACTATAGCAATATGCATTTCTCGAAGTCTATTGGCTTTGTCCCAGAACTTCTTAGAATAGCCATTACTCCCATTTTTAAATAAAATTGATATTTAATTTGTATTTTGACAGTGCAAACTAATGAAGGTATTTTTAGTGCTAGAAATGAAGGAATCTGGAGTGCATTTATCAGATGAAATGAACGTCAAGAAAATGACATAATAAATAATATGAACATGCTGAGAAGAGACGGAAAAATCTCTGTGACAATCGATAATTTTTTATTCTCTTTAAAGGCTTATTTTATAATGTAAGAAAGAAAGAAATATCATGAGGTATTTAGAATATGTTACAAGCTCCAAATCAACATTGAATATTTCTAAAAGGAAACAAAAGAATTTCAGAAGTAACTTCAGCAATCCGACAACCATATTGAAAAATATTATAATAGTGCATGGCTTTTCTCACCTTTATAGCTTTTAAAATCAGCAGGTAGCTGTTTTGTTAGACTTTCAAAATTAATTTCTTTTTTATTTAGTTTTTGACATGAACCAGAAAGTCAGGTTTTTGCTAGTTATGAGATAATCTTTAGGCATCTATACCAGTCATATCAAAACTAGCAAAAATTTAGCCACAATTTTTTGTTTTGGTGAGGAGGAGGCTGTCTGGGTTTCCTTTTTACAGTGAGTCCTTTCATACTGTACTGTATGGCAATCTGAGGGTGCCAGCTTTCTATTTCATTGGCCCCATGCCTTCTGCAAGTCAAGTTGCTGACTCACTTTATGGAATGGAATTAAGAACCTGTCCAAATCAATAGGCATTTGTGTGAGCATGCTAGTTCTTCCCCAATATCCATTTTCTCTTTCTTCCATGGAAACAGAAATTTTAGCTAGGCACAGTATTAACAAAGGTCAGCAAGATCTTGGAAGACAACTCATGAGCATAGCAAGCAATGGCATTGGGGTAAATGATAAGAAAGATTCCAAATGTTGGGGGAATGTATGCTGCATCTTAGTACTTTTAACAACATCCTATAGAGTGATGGACCCTGGTGAGAGTCAGACAGAAAGCAACAAAAAATGGAGGGAACATAGCTCTGTCAAGAGTATGTTCTTTGCCCGTGGCCTGCAATTTCAGAGTCCTACGCAATTGAAAAAGCCATCTGCTTTCTGCAACTTCACAGTAAAGCAGCTTAAAGAGGCTGCAGAAAAGGAAGACTTGGCAGGAAATAATATTGTGGCTCCTCACACATCTTCCTTTTGACCAGTAAATGAGAACCAGAGCAGAGGTAGAGATCATGTTAAGTATGTCAACTTCTCTTACAAACCTATTAAGAAGAACCTAAGGAAGCAACTATTAAGTTCAATGAGAGGAAGATGAATCAGCACAGAGAACAGTGACAGCAAAAGAATTTACTTGGAAGAGATCTTAGACTATGGTTACTTCTATATGTAATTGGCAAGTAGCAAATAGACCAGAATCCTATTAAGTAGTAGAGGGAATCCAAAAGCCACAGAAACCAAAAGGCTGGTTTGCAAATGCCTATCATGATTAGAGCCCTCATGTAGTGTTAGGACCCCCCACACTTCTCAGTAGGAAACAGGCTGTGAAAGCTGAGCAATCCCCAAGAACCGCCCACTGCAAATGTGGCCATAATAATCAATGAAAATGAACCTTCCATAGAGCAGAGACAAGGTCCATAAAGGACAATGGACAAGGAGTTTTCTTAAGAGAGCAGAGCTAAGAGCTGTCAGATGGGCTAACTAAGAAATTCAATCCAATGTTAGGACAAGGAGCTTTTGCATTTCCAAGCCAGTAGGACTTAATAATTACCATGAACTAATAATGACTGCTGAGTGGTTCCCCTTTTCCCTTTCCAACATCAGTGTTTCTGTTCTTATTACCTTGTTCCTAGTCCACCATTATGTTGTGGATGGGGCACATAACTTGTCTTACTTTTTATAAATCACAGGATCACAAGGAGACACATCTGAGCCTGATATAGAGGATTGCACATCAGCACATCATTCAGAGATCCTGGACTTTGAGATGTATGTAGTAACAGGCGTGTATTTTGGAGTTTTCTTCGTTGGTGACGGATGAGTTTGTTCTATGTGTGGCTGGAAAGTGCAAGATCAAAGAGCTGCTATTTGGTGCCTGGTGAGGGCCTTTTTGCTACGTCCTCACATGGCAGAAGAGCAGAAGGGCAAAAAGGACAAACGTTCCCCACTCACATGGCAGAAGAGATAGATAAGCAAAAGCTAGGTAGTTCACTACAGCCCTTTCATAAAGTTGATAATCCCATTCATGAGGGGTCTGTCTTCATGACTTAATCACCTCCTAAAAACCCCACTTCTTAATACTACCATATTGGGGTTTAAGTCCCAACATGAATTTTGAAGGGGACACAAATATTCAAACTATAGCAGTGGTACAGGCACAAGATTGGAGAGATTGGAGAGCAAGAGGGAAGAGTTTGCGGTATTTTTCTCCCTCTTTTTCTGATTCTTAAATCATCTCTTCCATGGATTTAGCTTTTGCCAAACCAAACCTCCCTTGATGGTCCAACTACTACTGGACAATTCTGACCAGGCAGACATAGCCATGATTCAGGTTCCCTTTAAATTGCCCTGGATTCTGGGATCTGGTAAAACCACCTCCTCCAAATAAATATTAGAGTAGTTTCTGTGTTTATTGCTGTACCCTCTCTTAATACACAGACAATATAACCCTCTTAGAAACAAGAGCAATAATGATAGTCATATATGTTGACTCAATTTTTTAATCTGAAAAATGTGTCCTTGGAAGATAATATAAAAGAAATATAATATTTGCATAAAGATGTCAATTTTAGCATGACATATAATAGCAGAAAATTGGAAACTACTTAAATATCCAGTATTTTTAAATGGCTTAAAAAATTGGTGTGCATACCGCAATGGAACAATGTAGACATTATAATTATTAATTCAGTAAGCTTTTGCTAGATTATGCTGCAGTAACAGATGATTCCCAAATCTCAGTGATTTATCACAGATTTATTTCTCACTCACAATACCTACCCTTTGCAGGTTAGCTATAGCTCTGCTTCATCCTAGGACCCAGTTGGAAAGACCAGTCCCCATGTTGGTCTCATGGCAGTGGACAAAAAGTAGAACAGAATAACAGCTCTTCAAGCTTATGTTCAGAAGTGGAATATTTCATTTCTGGACAAATTCCACTGACCAAAGAAAGTCATATGACCAAGCCTGCTATCAATGGGACAGATACTATTCCTTCAGGGAGGCCCCTCTCCCCGAAGAGGTTCTATAGAGATGGACCCAGAGGAGAAGGGGGCAAATTTATTGAAGAATAATAAAACCTACTACATTAATGAAGACTATGAAGAAACATGGAAAATGTTTGATATGAAGAAAAG
Source organism: Homo sapiens (assembly GCF_000001405.40). Classification (NCBI taxonomy): domain Eukaryota; kingdom Metazoa; phylum Chordata; class Mammalia; order Primates; family Hominidae; genus Homo; species Homo sapiens. The sequence goes on along the minus strand of NC_000023.11, from coordinate 30,897,717 downwards.
TAAAGTAAGAATCTACAAAAAGATTTTACATATACCATCATGGTGAATTCTGGTAACTGTTCACCAAAATCCATTCTAACCTGCTTCCTAGGTATATAAAGTTAGATGTAGTCATATGATTAAATTCTAGTCAATGAGATATGAGTAGAAGGGATGTGTGATACTCCCCGGCCAGGTGCCTCCTTTACACATTTTTGGTCATCTACTAGCTGATGTCCGTTTGTGGCAATCCAACCTCAATCTCGTAGGTAACAAGGCTATAGAAGTTATAGAGGCACAAAGCAAGAGGACCCTGGGTCCCTAGATCACCATGTGGAGAACACCTGACCTAGACTGTTATGTTAGGGAGAAATAATTGTGTTCTTTAAGTCACTAAATTTTGAGGATTTCTTTGGGGTTCTATTAGCCTACTAACTGATACAAGTATTACTGCATTTGTAAAAGTAAATGATACTGTCACTTCCTTCAATTTAGATGTCATTTTCTCCATGAAGCCTTTCATGAGTCCCTCAGTCCAAATTAGGTATCTCTACTAGGTGCTCCTCATACCTACCCTTACTACACTTTATTGTACTTGTTTGTGTATCCATCCCTTTAAATGGAAAACTATAACCACAGATCTTTGTTCACTGCTATGACCCTGGCTTCTCGCATAAGACATAACATCACAGAGCCTCCTTATATATTTGTTGAATGAATGAATGAGTAAAAAGGAAAGTCACTGTTTTATAATAATAGAATTACAGGCAAGTGTAATATTTTAAATAATTATCCACTGACTTTTGACTATGTCAATATGCTTTATTTACAATTTTCTAACCAAATATGCCAAATTAAGTATTGTCAACTATTATTCTTCAGCACGTCTTTTGGACATTACACACATGAACCATAATATGGGTTTGAAACTAGCGGGTTTTTTTCATTTTTTGGAATTTCATTTTGAGACAGGGTCTTGCTCTGTCACCCAGGCTGGAGTATAGCGGCATGACCATGACTCACTATGGCCTCAACCTCCCAACCTCAAGCAATCCTTCCATCTCAGCCACCCAAATAGCTGGGACCACAGGTAAGTGCTACCATGCCTGGCTAAGTTTTTAATTTTTTGTAGAGACAAGGTCTTGCTGTGTTGCCCAGGCTGGTCTTGAACTCCTGGACCCAAGTGATCCTCCCATCTCAGCCTCCCAAAGGGTTGGAATTATAGGTGTGAGCCACCATGCCCAGCCTGAAACTGGTTTTTAACCCATCTGGGTTTGAAAGATCTATGCATGCACTTTATCGGCTACTCCAAGACTATTCCTTGTCTAAGGAATATCAAGAGGACTCACTCTCATGCGCCATGATTTAGCATCTCCCAACTGTTCTCTTTCACATCTCTGAGCTCACAACAGTGAGTCAGAAGATTGTAGAAAAAGAAGTTAGAAAGAGTTCTTATGGTGTCATCACTCTCTGATTGAGAGCATGAGATGTGGGAGTAAGCAAATCATCTTTTTAAGTAGCAAAAGGAGACATTAGCTGGGCGTGGTGGCTCACGCCTGTAATCTCAGCACTTTGGGAGGCCGAGGAGGGTGGATCACCTGAGGTCAGGTGTTCGAGACCAGCCTGACCAACGTGGTGAAACCCCATCTCAACTAAAAACACAAAAATTAGCCAGGTGTGGTGGCTAACGCCTGTAATCCCAGCTACTCAGGAGGCAGAAGCAGGAGAATCGCTTGAACCCGGGAGGCAGAGGTTGCAATGAGCTAAGATCGAGCCATTACACTCCAGCCTGGGAGACACAGCAAGACTCCGTCTCAAAAAAAAAAAAAGACGTTAAAAAATTCTTTATATAATTTATCCTAGGCAAGATGGAAATAATAATAAACCTTAATTTTGAATTTAATTATTTTATTTATAATAACTGGACATATACTTACTCATTTTTATTATGAGTTTACACATGACCTCTTTCAGGACAACTGAAGACAACTAACTCTCTCCCACCCATAACTTTTAGCAATCCCCACTCTCCCAAACACTTCCTCCAGACCCATAGCTTCTAGAACACCAAAGGCATGAGCTATGGCTTCATTTGCTACATTCCATTATGCTTATTTGTTTATGTGACATTCTTTCTAATAGGCTGCAAATACCTTGAAGCCATGGACTTTGTCTTATTCATCTCGGTGTCCTCAGAATGTGGCTCAATAAATGTATGTTGAATGATGAATTAATCCCTAAGGCTATGAATAAATGACACTTACTGTTTCTGGTGTTCCTGGCAGAGAGCTCATTGCATTTGGGAAGGGAAGGGCTGAATTCCCATCTTGGCTGAACCGGTTACCTATTACCTTGGGCAATTCTCTTAACCTCAATTTTCATCTGTCAAATGTCTCTTTGTACTATTACATGTTTACTATGGAAAGGAAACTCTGTGGTTCAGGAAAACCTCAAGACCATCAGGAAAAAAAGCTACTAAAACAAGCCATTTTTTATGTTTATTGAAGGGTAGCCTATAGCCTTCCCAAAAGCAAAGAACACTCTCAGCTACAATATTTTGTAAGCAGTATTGATTCATAAATCACTTACTTTTGGTGGAGAGGGGTTTAAATCCTGCCCCTGTCCACTCACTGTGTCACCTTAGGTTCTCCAGGTGTGTTTCCTTTTGTAGAATTACAATTAATTTAACACATGCTTATTGAGCACTTATGTCTTGAGTATTTATTACATGTTGAGCCCTAAGCACTAGGCAAAAATTGGATTCATTTTAGTGAAACAATATAAATATTTTTGGTCACTTTGCCTTCTGTATTAGTCAATTTCTATGCTGCTAATAAAGAGATACCCAAGACTGAGCAATTTACAAAAGAAAGAGGTTTATTGGACTTACTGGTCCACATGGCTGGGGAGGCCTCACAATCATGGTGGAAGGTAAAAGGCACGTCTCACATGGTGGCAGCAAGAGAGAGAATGAGAGCCAAGCAAAACGGTTTCCCCTTATCACACCATCAGATCTCGTAAGACTTACTCACTATCAGGAATACAGTATGGGGGAAACCACCCCCGTGATTCAGTGATCTCCTACGGGGTCCCTCCCACAACACGTGGGAATTATAGGAGTACAATTCAAGATGAGATTTGGGTGGGGACACAGAGCCAAACCATATCACCTTCCCTATACTCAGTCATGATCTTGAGTATTCAAACCATTCATTTCTTATGCTCATTCATTCATGATATATTCATTTAGAATCTTTTCTTTGCAAGTGACAGAAAACGTATCTCAAACAGGCTTATGCAAAAGGAAAAGAGATCATGTAACTAAATAGTCTAGAAGATAGGGCTGGTTTTAAGTACTGCATGATGCAGGAGTACAAATGATATCCTCCAAACCTAGTTCTTCTGTCTCTCCCTTTAACCCTCAGTTCACTACCTTTGGGTTGGTGCTGTTCTTTAGACAGAGTCCCCACTATAGTTATGATATAGAACTAATTAATAATTTTATATTCCCTCTTTCAGTGTCTTGGTATAAGAGGGCTCAATTCAGTTGTTTCTTGTGCTTATGATAGGGAAAATTAGAGTAGGTTGCTCTTAATTCTTCTAGCAAGCTCAGAAGGCATTCTGACACTTGTTATTTAAGGTACTGGCCAGTACAGGCACAAGTACTAAATGAAGATTAGGTGGGAAGCAGAGTAGGGGGTAGAATATACAGAAAAAAATTAGATTATGAGAAACCCCTTTTTCATTGAGAATCACTAAATCACAAAGTAAAAATCAAGGGGTCTACACAGAACATTAACATAATTTAAATAGGGCATTTTAGTACAAAGAGCAGATTTGTCTAAATGTGATCCTGAGAACTCATGTTGGGTTACAGGCAAAAAGCTAACTGGAACCAGGGATCTGCCCTTTTACCAAAGGGAAAAGCTGCATCCGATTTCAGCTTCCCACAGGACTTCTCCCCCTCATAGAAGAATTGTAATATCTAATTAACCCCAAGGTCCCAGACAATGCCTATAAACAGTTGGCACCACAACTTCAGATTGCCTGGCATCAAGCAGCCTGAGTAGTCCATCACTGACAAGGCTTCTCTTAGACTTGCACTATAAGAAGGGAAAGCAAAGGGGCAAGGGATCCTCTCAACAGAACCCAGTGTTACCCTTCAGGCCCAGCAAGGGCTCCCTCTTACCAAGGCTCAATTAGCTATTACTGGCCCGACCTACCAGCAGCAGAGATCAACACTGAGCCCACAGTACAGCACCATTTCTCAAGGAGACCAGACACTTTAGCAGATTGATTACTTTGGATCCCTTCCACACGGGGTGTGGGGCATGCAGTTCATTCTTGCCAGAACTGATTCATACTCCAAATATGAGTTTGGCTTACCTATCCGCAGTTTCTGCACGAGCACCACCATTCAGGAGTTTGCAAATGGTCATCTAGTAACATGGTATCCCACAAAGTATTGCCTTAAACCAATGGACCCATTTTACTGCAAAGGAGTTGCACATGACAGTAAGAACTGCTGGTATCATATACCTTATCCTGTAGAAGCAGACAGCCTCATGAAATGGTCCATGAAAGGCCCAGCTCACTTTTTAGCTTTTAGACCATACCTTGTGGAGTTGGGGGTGACACAGAATGTCGTTGGTCCCATGAATAGCCTCTATTCTTTCTACCATGAGTGACCCCATGTGAGACCAGAAGAAAAACTGCCTGGCTGAGCCCACCCCAATTTGCTGACCCACAGCATAATGAGAAAATAACATGATTATTATTTTAGACTATGTTTTGAAGTGGTTTGTTACAGGACAATGGAATATTGATACAACAGGTGAGGCTAAAAATATCTGAAATGGTACATAAGATGTGTCTGATGATACAGGTGAAAAGAATGCATACTAAGTACTATCACATTCCAAAGAGAGCTCCTAGGCACTTCTCTACAGGACTCACCAAGAGGTGACAAAACCGGTTCTATGGCCTCACTCAAACACTTCCTCCAGCCTAAATAAGAGAAGACTACAAGGGAGAGGTTTATTAGTTATTACCTTAAAGGGGGTGTTGTACATTTTCTCTCCCATTGAAAAAGGGGAAGCCAATGAGAAAAATGAGAGTGAGGTGGCCTATGAGAGCTGATTAAGAATGTCTTCAAGATATATCACCCTCCAGATGCTTGGTTACTGAACTGAAGCTATCTGTAGGTCCAACCTGGAGAGAAAGTTTTAGAGAGAGCCTGCTATGTATCCCTGGAGTTTGGAGGCCCATGTCAGTATAGACACTGAGACTGCCTCTTGTCAGAATTCTGAAGGCAGAAAACTTGCTGGAGCAGCAATGACAAGGCAGCATGTCTGTTGTTCAGCATGGCAAGGACTTGTGAACTTCTCATGGATCAGGTGAGTGTCTCAGAAGGCAAAATAACTTGAGCCATTTGCTTGTGCCTGCCAAAGGGCTTGCCAGTTGGTGAAGCGATACTGGCAGTAAGAAACTATAGGTATTCCACAAGAGACAGGGGCTGAGGAGAAGTTTAAAAGGATTGAGTCCATATTTAAGAAATGTGCAGTGAAGGGGGTCCTGAACAATCATACTCACCCTATGAGAGCCAGCATTCGGATGCCAGTCACATAGAAGGCATTGACAACCAATAGAGGACTTACAGCAGCATTGAAAAGTAAGAGAGACAAAGGGCTGAGGAGAGAGAGGCTAGATGGAAGAAAGAGCTTCATTTGTGTCCTGAGAGGTACTCCTGAATCTCCCCAGTGGGACCCTAAGAAGAACTCACAGAAGAAATCAACAAAGAGCCAATTTTCGGCATTTGCCATGTCCAGAGAGGACAAAGCCATCTTATGAAAGGATCAGTAAAGCAACACCTTGCCACCTCCATTTCTATCCTCTTCATCCCTGGAGGAGATACAGCTATGGTTAGCAAGATAGGGTAGGAGAAGTAGAAGCCTAAGGGACGGAAAGAGAAGGGTTACACCTGCTTCCTTGACTCCAAGCTCCTCATTGGTGGTAGGATCCAACTGGGAGAGAGGACAAGATATAACTTCAAATAAGGTCTGGGTTTTGATAATTTTATGGGGCTTCTGGTTGTCCCCTCAATGTTTTTTCCAAAGTCATGGAATGTTTAGCTAGTTACAGGACTGCTTAGAATAAGACCACATTTCACAGTCTCCCTTGCAGGTAGATGCAATAACGTGATTAAGTTCTGGCCAGTGGGTTGTGAACATAAGTTGATGGTAACAACTTCTGGGTCATGCCCTTAAAGGAAATGGGTAGGCTTTCACACCCTTGATGACTGAAATGTGATGTCGTGCTGAGCCATTCTGGACCATGTAGACTAGGACGACAGTCTAGGAATGGTGGAGCAAGAAGACATAGGGAGACTAAACCGTGGCTCACTTTGTGGAACAGAGCTGCCGTATTAGTCCACTTTTGCCACGTAATAAGGAAAAGTCTCAGTGCCATGCTACAATAAGCATTTATTTCTCACTCATGGGTTTGTGAGTTGGCTGGGGCTGCTCTGCTTGGTCCGAAACCTGAACTTGAAGCAGGTTTTCTACAAATGTTTCAGCACGATGGGCCCCAGTATGTGGGGTGTGTGATAGGAGTGAATGACCCCCTTTCTGACCACATCCAGCTTCCAAAATGAGTGGCTCTTGACACTGGAGCTGCTCTACTTCAGGATGTGGGTCAAGTTCAGCTCCAGTCCAGGTGTCACATTCTCATCCCCAGGCTAGAGGGAGATTGGAAGCTCCCAGAGGGACAGGAGAACTTCCTTCCCATAGCAGCAGTTGGATCCTTTGCAGTTTCCCCACACTTGCAGAGACAACGTCTTGAGCCCCACTCAAAGACACGAGCACCAGCAGATGCTGCTCCTTTCTCAGAGGTCTGAGTTTTACCTCCACAAGGCAATTCCTCTAAACGTCTAAATTGTAATAATCCCAACCTCTTCCCTTCCTCCTCCTAGCTCTAGGCATAGTAGCTGCTTCCTGCAGTTGCTACCTCTGCGATACATTAAGAGTTCTCTCTGACCTTATCAGTTGCCTAATAATCAATTCTTGATATTAAATTCTCTTGGTTGAAATAATTGGGGTGGTTTGTTTCCTGCTATCGCCCTGAGTGATTCACTGGACTAAATCCTATGCCTGTCAGACACCGCTCAAGAATTTTCTCTTTGGCTGGGCGCGGTGGCTCACCACCTGTAATCCCAGCACTTTGGGAGGCCGAGGCGGGCAGATCACCTGAGGTCAGGAGTTCAAGACCAGCCTGGTCAACAGGAGAAACCCTGTCTCTACCAAAACTAATCAGCCGGGCATGGTGGCACACACCTGTAGTCGCAGCTACTCGGGAGGCTGAGGCACGAGAATCACTTGAACCTGGGAGGCTGAGGTTGGAGTGAGCCGAGATCACACCACTGCACTCCAGCCTAGGCAACAGAGTGAGACTCGGTCTCAAAAAAAAAAAAAGGAATTTCCTCTTTGATGTATTTTATATCCTCCCCCCATATCTGTCACTCCTCTCTGTACTCATTTCTATCATAGAACTTACTGTGCTAAAGTGTCGTCATTGTTTTTTCTCATTCATCTCCATCCCAGACCAATAGCTCCCTGAGATCACAGCATTTCCTCAGTAGCTGGCACATAGGAAACTGAACAACACACGTTTGAATGAATGAGCAAGAAAAAATAAAATAGGAAAAAGAATTATTAGTATCAGATGGCTCATGTAGCACTAAAAATGAAAGAGAAAGTTAGATGGTGATGTGGGAAACAGGAGGACTGTGGCTGCCAACTGTGAGGCCATCTGCAAGCACACAGCAAGAAGCTCTTGATTAATAATGTGAACCCATAACAGGATGAAGAAGGTGCAGCTGAGGCTTTGCACAGAATACTCGGTGACAAAACCCATAAGGACAAGCAAAGGGTTAGAAGACTCCCGGGGACGCAAAAAGTGTGTTGGCCATTCGGGCTCCTGAGGGATGACCAAGCCTTAAGGGACGCCTCTCACTTGGTGCCTGGTCCTGCCAAGCCCTTTACTGGGTTTCTTGACTGGGTTTCATTACCCCGCCCCGCGCCACTAGTGGAAACAGGTAAAACCTGGAGAACTAGGTCCTACTTTAGGGGCCGTTCCGGGCATGCGTCATTACCCGCGCACGCAGGCGCAGTAACTTCTTCGGTAACTGGTACTGCCCATTTCCGATATGGGAAGCGTTTGCTCAGGCTTCCCTAACTTATCACCTTTCCTTTGGGCCCCCGCCCTCCTGTTCCTGTGGGGGAAGCCTCGCGAGATCGCCCTGGGCAGTACCCGGCGGCGCCATCTTTGTGCCTGGCGAGCGACGGCGCCCGACGGAAGCCCTGAAGCCAGAGCTTGCTTGCCAAGCTCTCGCTCAGACCGGATCTAGGAAATACGAGGCGGGCCTCGGTGGGAGGGACGCACTGAGGGAGGAGGGAGGAAAGGGGGCGGCGGCGGCGGCGGCGGCTCACACCGGATCCCGGCCCTGCACGGCGCGTACCCTGGGGGTTCGGGCGGGGAAGCGGCGCCGGCCCGGACCCCCCGCGGGAGTAGGCGACGGGCGTGAGGGCGAGGCGGCGGCGGCGGCGGCCAGAGAGCAGCAGCCGCCTGGTGAGTGTCCGCGGGGAGGCCCGGCACCTGCCCGAGCAGGGACGTCGGGGGCGCCCCCGGGATCGTCCCAGTGACCCTGTGCCTGAGACGGTGGGCGTGTGCGCAACTGCGGCGTCCCGGGGACTCACCCCGGCCCGGGACTGCGGCTGACAGCGGGAACTGCGGGGCTGCCGGAGGTTTGCGCAGGGCCTGGCGCGTCCGCGCCCGCCCCAGACGCCCCGAGAGGCCGAGGGGAGAGGGAGTGGCTGGGGTGGGGTGTCGACTTGATTGGCCTTGGTCCCCCAAACGGAGGGGACGATGCCCTTCCTCGCCGGACCCTAGGCATTGCGGAGAGTGAGCCTCTGTGGACCGGCTTTAAGCCCCCAGGAAGGTGTTTGAGGATGAGGACTAGCAGCACCAGCGTGGGGGCCGTTGAGGGTGTTGAGAGATGTGAAGGTTAGTAGCAGTATAGTAAGAATTGTTGGAGAGGAGGTTTCCAGATGACTGTTGGTAGGTGTTGAGTAAGGAGAAAACACTGCTTTCCTTTAAAGATCGCACAAGCAGTCCTCTGAGGTCCAACAACAGATTAGAGTTATTCCCAGTTGGAGTTCTGTAGTTTACTACCGTGTGCCAGCTCATAAAGTGCGTAAAAGCAGGATTTGAAGGGTGAGGGACAGGTGAGGCATAAAGTAAGCTGCATAAAAAGATCCAAAGTTTGTTAATGTGTTAAAGTGTAAATCCTTCTGTTTCTACTGAAATGTAACTTATTTAAATTATTTAAGAAAACTTGCCACCTTTGGTCCAGACCGGGCTTGTCAGTTCGATGTGTTTCTTCAGTGACGTTTGTCAATCAGGCAGTCATTTTGGCATACAGTATATTTACTTCTGGTTTCTAAAAGAACAAGAATGAATGAGAAAAGGGAACAGTTTGGCAAACTGAGCTTTCTTTGCGCACTTTTTCATTTTGAAAGGATAAGAGAATTTACTTTTTTCTTTGCTTTAGTAATGATTTGCAGTAGTATACAAGAACACGTGGAAGAAGAAAGGGTTTTTTGAGATGAGAGTTTAATTTTGCACAGTGTTAAATTATAAAGGGCCTCATCACCCATGGTAAGTTTTGTGATGGTGTGTTTTATGAACACCGGAAGAATACAGGCACATACATATACATGCTTTTTAGTCAGTGTGTGATATGAATCTTTACAACCGTAGGGACAGCCCCCGCCCCCACTTGCTTACAACTGGCTTAATCAAGGGAAAGACTTCAGTGAAGGTAAATATTAAATATGTGATTTTCATCTTCACATCTGAAAGAACATAATCTGCATTCAGTCACCCTGAATTTTCATCCATATGTTTATTTGATGGAGTCTTCCCCTCAGTTATAGATACCACATTGTGTACAGTTTGTTGGAGCAAACAGAGCTAACGTCGATTATATTCAGGCACTGGAGATCCTCACAGCTACCCTATGCTAAAGATAATGTTATGCCGATTGCACAGAACAATACTAACCTCCAATATTCTTTGGCGACTTCGCTGAGGAGATTATATAGCTGGTAAATTGCAGAGCTAGAACTCAAACTCATGTAGGTCTGATTCTAGAGTGTGTGTTCTTTCACCATACTCTGCGTAAGTTTTTGTGC